>NC_000003.12:183705574-184955574 GCF_000001405.40 Homo sapiens | reverse complement strand
CACTACCACCAAGACGCGGAGACCAGCAGTGGCCTCAAACGACTGGGCGTGCTGATATTTATTGCATACAAGACGAGGGGGCGCAGGGTAAGGAGGATGAATCTTCTAAGTGATAAGGTGAAGCAAGTCACATGATCATGGGACAGGGGGCCCTTCCCTTTTAGGTAGCCACCGCAGAGATAGAGAAGGCAGCATATGTCAGCGTTTTCTTCTATGCACTTATAAGAAAGATCAAATACTTTAAGACTTTCACTATTTCTTCTACTGCTATCTACTACGAACTTCAAAGAGGAACCAGGAGTACGGGAGGAACATGAAAGTGGACAAGGAGAGTGACCACTGAAGCACAGCACCACAGGGAGGGGTTTAGGCCTCCAGATGACTGCGGGCAGGCCTAGATAATATCCAGCCTTCCACAAGAAGCTGGTGGAGCAGAGTGTTCCCTGACTCCTCCAAGGAAAGGAGACTCCCTTTCGCGGTCTGCTAAGTAACAGGTGCCTTCACAGACACTGGCGTTACCACTTGACCAAAGAGCCCTCAAGCGGCCCTTATGTGGGCGTGACAGAAGGCTCACCTCTTGCCTTCTAGGTCACTTCTCACAATATCCCGTCAACACCTGACCCTATACCCACCGGTTATTCCTAGGTTATATTAGTAAAGCAACAAAGAGTAATATTAAAAGCTAATGATTAATGTTTATAATAATGATTGATAATTGTCCATGATCATCTCTATATCTAATTTGTATTATAACTATTCTTATTTTAACTATTTTCTTTATTATACTGAAACAGTTTGTGCCTTCAGTCTCTTGCCTCGGCACCTAGGTAATCTTTCGCCCACAAAAACGAAGAATAGAGGGCTGAAAACTACAGGGACTAGGGCTATAAAGTCAGAGATAATTAGGAATAAATCCTATCGGAAAGTCCTACATGGAGAAATTAGAAGCAGCCCATGATAAATCTAGGGACACGGCAGTTCTCTATGTGGGAATATAATATTGTGATATAATAAGCACACAGCTCCTAAAATCCTTAAGCTTTCCAAAGTGTTATCTTCTTACATACTAGTGAGATGACTGAGGGCTGGAGGCTCCTGGCCAGCCTCAGGATAAGGGCTGGTTGGTTGTCAGGAGGGCCAACCATGTGATTAGAGAGCTGGAACTTTCAGTCCCACCCCAGCCCTGACACCTCTGGAGAGGGAAGAGTGGCTGAAGATTGACTTGATCACCAATGGCCAACGATGTAATCAATCACGTCTACATAATAAAGCCTCCATAAAAACCCCAAGGACTAAGTTCAGGGAGTTTCTGGATCACTGAACATGTGGAGGGTCCTGGAGGGCAGTGTGCACTGAGAGAGCATGGAAGCTCCCTGGCCCTTCCCACAAACCTCTCCCTATTCATTTCTTCTATGTGGCTGTTCCCCTATATCCTTTGTAATATCCTTTATTATAAACCAGTAAATGTAAGTAAGGTGTTCCCTGAATTGTGTGAGCTGCTCTAGCAAATTAATGGAACCTGCGGAGGAGGGTCAAGGGTATCCTGATTTAAAGTCCTAGTTGGTCAGAAGCACAGGTTACAGCCTGGGGCTTATGCTCGGCACCTGAAGTAGGGGCTAGTTTTGTGGGACTAAGCCTGTGGGAAGAGAAATAAAAGGAAAATCCTAAGCTCCCCAACCAACTTAATGAAACTGAGATGGAGCAGGGGCCTCTCTTAGCAGCCTGCCACACACCTTTCCCTCCTTCAAGCATGAAAATAAGGAAAAATCTTGAATCTCTTCGAGGGAAATTCCAGGCATCTAGCTAGTCTTTAGAAGTAAATGAGCAACCTGATAACAAAGAAACAGCTTACAACAATAGCCACCCAAGTAGGTTAGAGCCACAAGATGTTTGATTCCCTGTAGAAATTAAAGATAACATCTTAACATATGTCCCTGAGTTGTTTTTCTGAAACCTGCACCACAACCAGATGGAAAATGCCAACCACTGTCATGCAGAACTCAGATAAGGGGGCCCCTGAGGACTGAGCTCTGTCTGCTGTTGTTTGCTCTAGATTGCTTCCTAAAGGGTCTGAAGAGAGTCACGCCCACAAGCCAAACCTTAATATTCCTTCTGCTGACCCCAAGTTCTCAGGCAAAGCCTTGCTTCCTTAACCAACTGCAAATCAAAGAATCTCTGAATCCACCTATGCCATATAGGACCCCCACTTCAAGATATCCCACCTTTTTAAGCCAAATCAATGTATAAAACCTCCATGTAGTGATTTGCAATTTGGCCTGTAATTTCTGCTTTCCTGAAATGTTCCCCTGCCTTTAAAAACTCTTCCTGTAAGCCATCAGGGATGTCTGGTCTTAAGCATGAACTGCCAATTCTCCTTGCTTGGTGCCCTGCAAATAAATGCCCTCCGTTCTCTCACTGCAAACCTCAATGTGGGTGTTTGGCTTTACTGCACCAGGTAAGTGGACCCAGGTTCAGTTTGGTAACAGACCCCATCTTAAAAATTGAGTTCCCAGCCATGACAGGATGGCAGGTCTGACATGCCTCAGTAGGCCCCTCCCTTATTAACCTTTAACCAGAATTCTTTCCTAAGGAGTAAACAGAAAACAGCTCTGGAAAACAAAAAACATATGGCTCATTCTTTCATTGCCTTTAGCCAACTGTCTGAGGTTGTGACCAGACTCTTGCTCCTCCTCTGCTGTTTCAATGTGACAGCTCACCAGTTTCACAACACATCCTTTCCTAAACACTAAACACCACCTCCACAACTGTTTTGCCGAATGGCAGAGGACATGCAGTGAGGGTTTTCGTGTCATCTGCTTCACCTTTTGACATCAGAGGGCTGAAAACAGCCCATTTGGATTGTGCTAATGCTGCCATATTTTGAACACGGGTCCCACAAAAAGGCGTGAAGCTTGATTGTGCATGTGCTTATTTCTCCTTTCATAAATATTCATGACTCTTCCTATAGGTTACTGAATATATATACTTAGCTACTCTACTCAGCGTAAATTACTATTCCCTTTACCCCTCCCTTGAACTGCTTATTTTCAGCTTCTGCCAGAGGCTACACTTCCCAGCCCGTAGAATGGCCACCTTGCAGGTTGCAACTCTTTATCTGAAATAAAGCTCTCCTTTCAAAATTTATGAACCTTGTGATTCTTCAGTTGGCAAGGATCTGACAGTAACTCCAGATACATAGTGTCAGAAATGAGTGAAATTGTAGGCTACCCAGTTGGTGCCCACTAGAGAACTGCTTGATTGGTGTGTGGGGAAAAATCCCCACACACGTCACCAATGCAGACTGGTTTATCTTATTATCAGAGGAATCAAGGTTGTGTCTCAAGAGAACACTATTAGGTAAAAGAAAATGGGAATGTTAACCAATGTTTCCCCACATTCAGATGAGCCAGTGTGTTTTCCAGAGGTTTATGCCAAATTGTAGCTTGTGTTTTATGCCACATTGTTGGTATTTCATTTACATCAGACTTCTGTTAATATGTCTTATAAATGCAAGACTATGGAGCAAATTAAGACCAGACATAAGTATGAATAACAGTACTTAATTCTTTCCAGAAAATTTATTGACACAACCATTTACGAGAAACAAAGTTGTGAATATGCATCAAACCAAGCAAATCACCCAGATGAATAGATTTTGATGGATTCATTTGTGAGAGAAGTAACGTGTCTGATGGGAAATAATCAGGCCACATCAATATAATCAAAACTTTAATAAATTAGCTGGAGCATTAATGAATTTACATCCATTTCTGACTGTTGCTTATCAGTCTTGCACATAAATTTGTTATATCCATTTCCCAAAGCTATCTGTTAGTCTTCTATTAACTATCTGCTTTGCAATACACCCACTGCTTTCTTTTGTCAGTTTTAGAAGAAAGCATGTGTGTGCCTTGTGAAACACACACACAAACCCTGCCTACTACAGAATTCAGGTTGGAGCACATATCCACTCTTACTCAGATTGTGAAAATCATTTCAAATTATAACTCTGTAAACTGAACCATTTCTAGGGAAGACTAAAAATATATATCAGTTTTGAAAAACATACATCAAATTCTTTTTTTTTTTTTTTAGACAGTCTCACTCTGTCGTCCTGGCTGGAGTGAAGTGCTGTAATTTCAACTCACTGCAATCTCCGCCTCCTGGGCTCCAGTGATCCTCCCACTTCAGCCTCCTGAGTAACTGAGACTATAGGTGTGGGGCACTACGCTGGCTAATTTTTGATATTTTTGTAGAGATGGGGTCTCACCATGTTGCCTAGGCTGGTCTTGAACTCTTGGGCTCAAGCAATCCACCTGCCTCAGCCTCCTAAAGTGCTGGGATTACAGGTGTGAGTCACCATGTCTAGCCCACATTAAAATTATTCTAAAATTCAAATTCTGTAAATTAGTTCAGCCATTGTGGAAGACAGTATGGCAATTCCTCAAGGAGCTAGAACCAGAAATACCATTTGACCCAGCAATTCCATTACTGGGTATATACCCGAAGGAATATGAATCATTCTACTATAAAGACATAGGCACACATTGTTTATTGCAGCACTATTTACAATAGCAAAGTCATGGAACCAAGCCAAATGCCCATCAATGATAGACTGGATAAAGAAAATGTGGTACATATACACCATGCAATACTATGCAGCCATAAAAAGGAATGAGATCATGTCCTTTGCAGGGACATGGATGAAGCTGGAAGCCATCATGCTTAACAAACTAACACAGGAACAGAAAACCAAACATCAGATGTTCTCACTCATAAGAGGGAGCTGAACGATGAGAACACATGGACACAGGGAGGGGAAGAACACATACCAGGGCCTGTTGGAGGGTGGGAGGCGAGGGGAGGGAACTTAGAGGATGGGTCAATAGGTTCAGCAAACCACCATGGCACATGTATACCTATGTAACAAACCTGCACATTCTGCACACGTAACCCAGAACTTAAAGTAAAATAAAAATTAAAAAATAAATAACATTCAAATTTTGACTTCCTAACATTTGACAAAGAAAATAAACATTGCGTTGGAATTTTTTTAAAGGCTAGTCTAGTCCCACCCCCTCACTCTAAAAACTGTATCTAAATAGGCCAGTCTAGATTAATCTTCCATTTCTCTAAGGAAGAGGATTTCACAATCTCCTTCATATATTGCTTTTACAATTTAGGTCCACTTCGGCTTAGCCTAAATCCTGTCTGCTTAAATTCTCTGCTCTATCCCATATATCCAGTCCTTAGATGTGGTGGCCCCCTTTTGACTACCCAGTACCTTTTAGACTGAGAATGCAAATACATCATCCACAACAAGCTAGAGTAAAAAAAAAAAAAAAAAAAAAAAAAAAAGCAGAAAACTGCTGGGCGTGGTTGCTCACGTCTGTAATCCCAGCACTTTGGGAGGCTGAGGTGGGTGGATTCTTTGAGGCCAGAAGTTTGAAACCAGCCTGGGCAACATGGTGAAACCTCATCTCTACTAAAAACATAAAAAATTAGGGCGTGGTGGTGCGTACCTGTAATCCCAGTTACTCGGGAGACAAAGGCAGGAGAATCACTTGAACCCAAGAGGTGGGGGTTGCAGTGAGCCGAAATCACGCCACTGCACTCCAGCCTGGGCAACACAGTGAGAGACTCTGTCTCAATTAAAAAACAACAACAGCAGCAACAAACAACAACAACAACAACAAAAACCCCTATTTTCCCTATAGTTGTCATTCAAATCACAAGGCCTTTAAGCTGAACTTTCAGCTTTCCATACACATTGTGAGTTAAAAATGCCAAATGTAATCCTTAGTTTTGCCAACTAAGCAAAACATAAATGAATGTTCCAATCTGCCTGAAAAATACATTAAATGTGATTATTACAGGTAGTAAAGACAGTATCTATAAAATCTGTATGAAACTGTAACATACAAACACAATGGTCTCTACAAACTTGACAAGCATTGACTGAGACAGAAACTTTCCTCTGGCAAGAAGGAATCCAGTGCATCCTTGGTCTCTTTGCTCCCCACCAAGACCGCCACGATCCACATAGCTAACAGTATTTCCGCATATAGGAACAGCCACAATCCCTCATAAACTTTTAAGAGGCACAGAACAAAGCAGGCAAGCTCATCACTGCCTGACAGCAAAGACTCTGACACATCACGTTAATGTAACAGCAGATCTAAGACAGCTGGCTGTAGGGGATTTGGTCACTTTCCACTTCCCTGGTTTGACTAATAATCAAATGCCAAAATCTAACTTTTCAAATCTTTTTTTTTTTAAAGACAGAATCTCATGCTGTTGGCCAGGCTGGAGTGCAGTGGCATGATCATGGCTCACTGCAGCCGCGACCTCCCCAGCTCAAGCAATTCTCTCACATCAGCCTCCCAAGTAGCTGGGACTCTAGGTGTGCACCACCACGCCCTGCTAATTTTTATAGAGATAGAGTTTCACTGTGTTGCCCAAACTGGTCTTGAACTCCTCGGCTCAAGCAATCTACCCATCTCAGCCTCCTAAAGTGGTGAGGTTACAGGTGTGAGCCACCTCACCCAGACTAATCTTTCAAATTTTAATAAAATTTGTTATTTCTCTGATAGTCATGAAAAGAAAGTATATATTGTTCTCCTACGTAGGAAGGAAAAATGAGCTTTATAACCTAATAGAAATAAGAGCCTAATGATTTCAGGGACAGGAGGAATAATTTAGCTCTATAACCACATCAGGTATAAATGTTATTTGAATCATTCTAATTCTATACAGGCTGGGATGTCGTATTTTCAGACTACTTTAAGAAACTAAGGTTAACTTTAAGGGGCCATTGAAGCCCTTAGAATAACTAGCCTGGTGCCATGTCTACATGGTTCCCAGCCTTGCAGTAAGTAAAGAATGTCACTTTCTGACAGGCCCAGGAACCTCAGAATATTCTGGGGACTCCAAGCAAAAATGAATTCACCCAAGTACTACTGGTAAAATCTGATTACTATGCTGGCCACTGATTTACTACTGGTAAAGTCCGTGGCTTGACTTCCTGCCCTGAAGACCCTTTTTTGTTTTTTGGAGACAGGTCTCCCTCTGTCATCCAGGCTGTAGTGCAACGGCTGTGGCACAATCACAGCTCACTGTTAACTTCAAACTCCTTAGCTCAAGCAATCCTTCTGCCTCAGCCTCCTGAATAGCTGGGATTATAGGTGTGACTACCATGCCTGGCTAATTTTTCATTTTTATTTGTTTTAGAGATGGGGTCTTACTATGTTGCCCAGGCTGGTCTTGAATTCTTGGCCTGTAGAGTCTTTTAAAGGTATAATCTGAGGTTTCTTATAATAAATTCCAACAAAGCAGATTTAAAAAAAAAAAAAGAGCCTATATGGCCAATCACTATTCTTGTTGCACTTTATGCAAATGATCAGGCCAAGTATAATAAGGCTAAAACTGGTTTTTATAATTAAATTAGTGTAATTACTGTAAATATCTTTAGTAAGAATGGGGGTAATTATAAAGAGAACTTATGTTTCAGAAGAAAACTATAGCACATCTGTTATTAAATTCTAGACCTGTCTACTGTTTTTGAGTTTTTTTATTACCTGGACTAAATCCTGAATTTTTAGTTTCCTCCAATATCTGGCTATGACTCCCAGACTAATGTTTCTAATTTTTCTCCTACCTTTCTGACTTGAAATCATTAAAAGTTTAAAGTGTGCTTTCCCTGAAGCCCTGCAAGCTAAAGTTACACAACTTGATATAAACTTCAAAGAAATCATACAAATTATTTATGGAAAAAAGTTCACTGAAATTTTGACGCAAACAGCAATCCAGAAAAATCTGTCAGAATCACCAGTTTACTTTTACTCCAACTGTAGATATTTTGAAAACAAATATAAAAATCTTCTCAGCTGACTGCTCCAGAATTAAACAAGCTAACAGACTGCCCCAAACATTAACCTTTGTTTTTCTTTTGCTCCCACAGACATGCCTCTTGCTAAATATATTTGTCTATATCATAGAGTTGATTTTGATTTAAAAAAAAAAAAACCTGCCCACAACATCACCTCCTGAAATAAGATATAACTGATCAACTGAACAGAGTAATTCTCAGGACTAAAAGACTGTTTCAATAAGGTATGGGACAATGTACCCAAATTTGTTCCTTTCCACTTGTTTTAATCTATGATTTTCTCCCCTCTGCCAAACTCTTATGTCAAAATCTCTAACCCAAAATCTCTCCAGAGCTACCCACCTAGCTTTTAATATGTGAAACTTTCTGAAAGGAAAGTTTCAAAGGGGGCACAGAACAATCAAAATACATCTCCCCAAAATATTGAGGATTGTTAAAAACAATGAAAATGTGGGGGAACTCTCTGCTCCCGCCTCTATCTGCCTGATGGCAGGACATAACATTCTTTACTGGAGACATCACTTGCTTATTGGCCCAGAGAAAGCACCAGCAGGTACCAGCGGAATCTGGGAACAGATTTTACTATCTCTCCACACGTCTCCACCTTTTACTAGGCTGGAACTGCTCTTTCCTGTCTTGTCACTATGTAAGATTTAAGGCTTTTTGTTAAAATACTGTTTAAGCAAAGCCTCTAAGCCACTGCCTTGAGAGAGACACTTTTGAACTGAGGCCTGTCTCACATGATGGGTACATCACACATTAATAAGCTTCTGCTTGTTTTTCTTTTGTTAATCTGAGTTTTGCTTTCAGTAGAGTGTCTAAACTAAGAACTGAAAAGGAAAAAAAAGTTTTTTTCCCTAAAATGACTTTACAGCTATTATTACACATAAGTAAACTGCTCTCAAGAAAACAGTGTGGATGAGGAGGGAGGAACAGGTATGTGAAGGGAAGAATGGCAATGTGTAGTGTACCTGATGAACACGTAGGTCAGCACTGCTCAGGAATAAAGGAGAGAAGAGATATGGGAAGATAGAAGAAAATGCTGCTGGCCAGGTGGGCCTGAATCCTTTTGTACCAAGAAGGGCCTTGTATACCAGGAAAACTGGATTTCACCTTAGGTAATGGGAACTGAAAGAGCTTTAAGAAAGTGGCAGAGAACATTATCATTATCTGCCTGTTCAAAAACGGAAAAGGAAGCCAGGCTGGTTATGAAGCTGCCACTGCAAAGATGATGACGGTGAGAGAAATCTAGCATGGTTTACTCCGTCTTGTGACAAGCCTCATAGGCTGGCTGTCCTCGCTCATTCCTGGGCGCAGGCCAAGCTAACCATGAGTGGAATTTAATTTACAGTTTAACTTTGAAGCAAGGATGATAACAGTCCCCCTAAAACTAACCCCTTCCTTGCTCAGGGACCAAAATCACCTTTGTAAGACTAATGAAAGACTACAAGATTGGGATTATGGGAAGAGCCTGAATTCTGCTAAAATATAGGTGTAGCTAAATGGCAGCCAGCCACTGTAACCTAGCTTGCCTTTCTATAATCCCTTGCTGCACAAGGAGTCATATGGCCAGACATCGTAAGATCTGTGACTTCCCCAACTGCTCCTATAGATAACACCACTATTGTAGAACCTAAGATTGGTCTTTGGAGATGTTTTCAGACTTTTGCATTCTGGCCATCTTCTGACTCTAACCAGACCTGGGACTCATGACTAAAGTGGTCCTGTGGCCCCCACTGAGGCAGACTCAATACGTAAGGACCATTTTCCACACTACTATGATTTCATCTCCAACCAGTCAGCAGTGCCCATTCCCTAGCTCCTTGCCCACCTAATTATCCATAAAAGCCCCAGCCTCTGAGTTCTCCAGGAAACTGACTCAAGTTATTACACCAGACCTCCCATGTGGCTAGCTCTGTGTTAATTAATCTCTTTCTCTACTGTAATATTGTGGTCTCAGTGAATTGGTTTTTCCGTGTAGCAGGAAGAACCTGTTGGGAGATTACAGTTGGGAAACCAGCAAAAGAAACCAGAGGAGGGATGTTGAGTGCCTAAACCAGGGCAGTAGGGGTAAAGACAAGAAGAAAAATCACATATAAGAGACAGAGAAGAGGTAGAGTTTATAGATTTTGGTAACTGTTTCTGCGCGGTGTGGTGACAAGGTAGAGTGGGAATGGATAAAGGAAAGTGAAAACTTGATCATCACTCTCAGGATTTTATTTAAGATACTTATACATAATTACCTGCTTCTGCCTATCTTCCTCCATTAGAATGTAAATTCTCTGAAGGCAGGGCCCTGTCTTATTCATCATTTTATCTCCCATGCCTGTCAAGTGCTTGGTATGCTGTAGTTACTCAGTAAATTGCTACATAAAATAAATGAGTTTATGATATTAATTGTTAAGAGAGAAGAGGTTTAGGCTGGAAAAAGTGAGTATAAATAAAAATTTCATTATAGGTAAGTACTGATTAAAGGAATAAAGAAATATATATGTAATAAACATATATATATAGAGAGAGAGAGAGAGAGAAAGAGAGAGAGGAGCTGACTGGTGATTAGGAGGTGATGATGTGTTACAATTTAAAAGGTTGATTTTGAGTTGCTAGCAAAATACTAACCAAAGATATAAGATCTAGGGGTAAGCCAGGCCAAATTAACAATCACCTTGGCCACTGTAGGCACTCATTGAAGTAGGTATTTTTTTTAATATGTCAAAGTTCATGAACATATATAATCTCCTAATTTTGTATTTTAACTTTGAAATATATTATTTCAATACTGAGTGTCAATATCTTAAAATGTCCCTTCAAAAATATCCACAGCAACACTGACAGATTCAACTAAAATCCAATGCATAACCATTTCCATAATCTATATCTTGCTCCTTGACAAAGTTACTCATTTTCTTAACAATGTTCAATTTTTACTTTACTTTGATTAAAGACTTTCAGATACAATGTGACGTATGTGTTTTTTTCCTACAGGAAAATCATACTATATGTTTCAGAGGCCTTCAGAATATTGTTAACAAAGGCTAAATCAACATTACCAGGAAAATCATACTGAGGAAAATATTCAGAATATAAATATACTTGCACATTCTCTTTACTCCTTATGCAGCTCATGGCCTCACAAAAAACACGTGTCCTTTTGTATTATCCTTTAAGCATCCCCACTGCATAAGGAACCTGCAGCTGGGTGTAAGCACATCAGGAGAACTCCTGTGAGAATTCATGGCCAGCAGCAATGCACCCAGGGGATGGGGGTAGAGTCGGGCTTTACGTAGCAGCTGTCCCAAAGGAAATAATTGGAAGAGGATGCAAATCCTCTCTCCCAAGCTGTTGTCCTTAATTCAGGCAAGTAATTTCCTTCTGGAGGATTAATCCCCTCTCCCCCTAAAACTACCTAATCTTTCTATGTACAGATGCCACCAATATCTTTGCAGGTCAATTAATTTGACTGAGGAAACTATTTACATAACAAGGATGACATAAAGACACTGGGTAAAGACATAGAGAAATATCCACACAAATTCAACTGGATGACCTATCCTTTTAAAAATGCTGTTGACAAAATAAAAACTACCCCCTCAAAAACAACTTGATACTTGTAAATGTTTGTTTGTGTGTGTGTGTGTGTGTGTGCAACCTCTGCCTCCCAGGTTCAAGCAATTCTCCTGCCTCAGCCTCCTGAGTAGTTGAGATTACAGGTGTGCGTGACCACGCCCGGCTAATTTTTGTATTTTTAGTAAAGACGGGGTTTCACCATGCTGGCCAGGTTGGTCTCGAACTCCTGACCTCAGGTGGTCCGCCCGCCTTGGCCTCCCAAAGTACTGGGATTACAGGCGTGAGCCACCGTGCCTGGCCATACATGTAAATGTTAAATTAAATATGCATAAACTATACATACAAGAATGAGAATCCTATTAACTCAGGTGTTGGCGGCAAGAGCAAAAAAAGCAACACTGAGATGATACATACACACCAGCAGTCCTCATCTCAAAATAACTGTTTTCTTTCATAATGCTGCTTTAGGAGTTTCATGGCGGAAAAAACCTGGAGGTTAAAAATATCTATTGCTTAAAAAGAACAAAAAGAGAAGAAACAAAGGCAAAAATATTTCACAGTTGGCTGTCAAGTAAACTGCTAGCCGGGGCCAGTCTACCTATTCTTGATGTTGTTTTGACCCTATATCCGTATTCTGTACTCCCTCAGTTTTCCCAGTACCTGAAAAGACTCTAATCCTTTACTTTAGGTTAGTTAACAAGCATGGTCACTAAAAAACAGCTAAAATGTAATGAGAAGTTAGTCAATCAGAGACTAATATAAACCAATCCATGTGCTCTGCGCTTTCTTCTTACCCTTGAGGTCAACTGTATTAGGAAAAGGTGTTGAGTTTTTTCCCCATCTTTTATATGCTTCATTGTTTTCATATGTCATTTATATATTTCTCATTGTAAAAGGGGCCATACAATACAGAAACTGACAAAGCAACTAGAAAACAGTTTTGATGGGGAAATGGAGGAAGGTAATTTGGATTTTTTACATCTATAAAGAACACTCTATATCTGAGTGTGCCTATAATGCAAAGAGCTTGAAGAAGTGTGTGTACCCTGCATCCCTGGAAAGAAGGGAACGGAATGGGGTGGAGGTAGGGTTCAAAGGATACCAAAAACAGACCTTAAACAAATCAAAACTTTTTCTAACAACCACTCTCAAAGCAAGAAAGGGAGAACTTCCTCTTTTTTCTTTACTCCCTCGGCACTCAACCTTCTTAACCTACTTTCTCTCCCTCAATCCGGAACTCAATATGTTACTAGTATTATATATTTATTTACACTGTGGGTTAAAGAAGCTTTTATGGATTAGCTTGAGATACTATCATTTAAAATGTTCTTTACATAAAAATGATTGAAATGCCAAACATTAAATTCAAAAATAAGTTTAGAGCATAATCTAAATCAATGCCTGCCTCCTATGGAAGACATAAAGTAAGAGGATAAAATATGATGAATCCAAGAATCAGGACTCTCAAAGCAGAACACGCGGTCTTTGATACTTTGGAGGCAGATCAATACAAACATGAGCTCTTTTTAAAGGCAGAGCTAAGGTAAGCTGGTGACTTCAAGGCTCTTAATTTCTGGTAGACAAACGTAAAGCTAGAAATTTGGCTGTGAGAGTGAGGTCATTCCTGGTCATGTCACTTTTTGGGGAAGGGGAGAGGAAGGCCTGTGAGCACGCTGACTCTTTTCAAGGTCGGTAAGAAAGGACCTTGCGCCTGAATTGATATGACAGGAAAGGAATAATGTGTGAGAGGTAATTATCCTGGTTAGGGTTAGCTTAGGGAAATAAAATATACCTGTTTCTCAAGTAAAATGATCTGTGGTTTACTGGTGAACAAAACAACTTTCACAGCACTCATAAAGGGTCTTACCTAACTAACATCTTTCAAATCTAGATATAGGTAAGAAGGGAGCAAGACTGTCCATTGAAGACCTTTGATACTTGTGATATGCCTTTTTTTTTGTAATATTTATTTTAAATAGTGACCGCAATACCAAAGCAGGTATATTATTTGTATTTGCTTTTTATTAAAAAATGATTGAAATGCCAAACATCAAATTCAAAAAGTTTAGAGCATAATCTACATCAATGCCTACCTCCTATATAAGACATAAAGTAAGAGGATAAAATATGATGAATCCAAGAACTAGGATTCTCAAAGCAGAACACTAGGTCTTTGACAGATATTTACATTACCTAATACTGTTTTTTTTTTTAAATAAAAAAATATACTTGGTCACCATCACTTTCCACACTTCATTTGAGAAAATGCCAAGTTCAAAGCTGACCTTCCCCTGTTGTTCTTGCTTGAGTCTCTCCAGGTAGGATAGCAGAGGAAAAGGACTTGATTAAAATAAATTATCCTAAGGGCAGAGCAGTGAATGGATCTAACACTGGGAAAAGTATGGGAGAGGAAAAGAGGGAACTGTGCCACAGAAAAAGAGGTGGGCAGGCTCTGGAGAAAGGGCTGAGAAGTGGGGCTGGCGTTTCCTTCCTCCTCCCCTGAGCTCCATCCTCTGCCCTACTTTCATGTCTCCCCCTCCCAGCTCTCCCTACCTCTACCCACATTCCTTTCTTCCCTCCCACTCCCAACTCCAATTCTAAAATCTTTCCATCAGTTAATTCTGGGAGTAGAAAAGGGCCCGAACTGACTCTGAGGGAAATACACATGATTAATAGGAATTTAAAAAAAAAAAAAAAAAAAGGATGTCTACCCTCAGTAATAATCTGAGGACAGAGAATTAAAATACAGATACTTTGAAAAGGTCTTGAACACAAGTGGAGGGGGCTTTGTAATCAGTCTGCTTTTAGTAAACATCTACACATACATATTCGTTTGACTAAATTTAAATGTACCACAGCCTATTCAAGATTTAAATGGTTGAGCTTTCAAAAAAATTTTACAACCAACAAAATTACTGGTATTTTGGTATTTTAAAATCTCACAGAACACGGAAATAACCAAAGCTGATATTACAATTGCTAACGTAAGTAAATAGTTGTTTTCAATGGCCAGCATATATTATAATGAAACCTAAAGTTTGTATGTCTGATATGAAAGCTATGTCATCTTGGAAAATTACACGTAAACCATGCTTAACTCTAGGTGTGCATCAAAATATTCCAACTCCCAGTGATTCTGTGGGTTGGGACAAGCCATCTGAATTTTTAAAAGCTTCGTAGGTGATTCTGATGCACACTACTAGTCAAGAGTAGCTATCTTAGAGGATATTAAATATTACTGCCCTCAACTCCCAATGTACTCTATGTAGTTACAGCAAAACTTTAAAACCTCATATGCAGCACTGCTTTGCCTACAAATCCATTATTAATTTCATCATCTCCTTGAGTTTGCTTTTATTTGATATAAACATCAGAGTAGCTGTTGAAAAAACACATTTAAACTTTCCTTCCCACACCATCAGGAAGTTGTTTAAAACTAAACATATTAAGTCAGAGTTTAAAAGGTAATACATTTAGAGGTGGGCTGGGAACCAAGTGTTAACTTTGGAAAGTAGAGCCACCATCAATCACCCACATGAAGTTAGGAGTAGGCAAGAGTGAAACAAGGGCAGGAGGGGGAAGCTAACTCTTCTGAAACATGTCCTTGTGGCATGGCTTCATTATTTTATTTACACCCATGAGAACTCACCATATATGCTCATGTTCAAATGGAAAGAAAAGTATTATCTCAAGATATAATCTATCGTTCAGATCTTCTATTTTCACATTATCTGTGTAACAGTTGCTCCTACTAATATAAAAAATTAAGAGCTAATTGTATTATTTAGATACCATGGGCTGGTAACTTTATTTATTTCCTTTTATTTCTCATATATATATATATATATAATGAAAGACTAAAGTTTGTCAACATACCTTGGGTCAAGAAGACTCCTCAAAAATTTGAAAAGCAAAACCTGGTTCTGAACAGAAAAACAATAAAAATTACAATTAAATATTAAAACAAATTTTTCAAATATTCCATGGTAAAGAACTACTTTAACCTATCCCTTTATGCACAGATATCTGAGTATTTCCACAAAGCCCTCTGTACAGATCTAAGAAATTCTAAAGAATCATCTGGAGGTTATGTCTTCTCAATAATTCTAATCACTGTCGCACATTCACTTCTCAGTGTAAACGGAACACAAACACCCTATTATCGCCCAAAACAGACCTCTACTGAGACAAATCCTCGAGCTGTTCCCAGCACAAGGACCCTCGGAGTGGCAGGTGCTTGGAACTGCTCTGTGGATGCTGAGCTCTGGATGCACTGATCAGTTTCACCTTGCCTTAACCTGGTCCTCCTGTGGCAATGGGTTGCTGTGAGATAGTTCATCCAGGGAGGGTGGGAGTTTGAGGTCCAAGTTAACAACCACCACCAAAAAAGTTCATGAATATCAACAACTACAGAAGAGATGCCAATCAAACTGCAACATGTTAGCAATCAACATGCCATAAAATCTGGGTTCTGTTTTTGCCATTTACTCACTTACGTGACTTTCTGTAAGTTACTTATCCTCTGAGCAATTCAATTTCCTTATGTGGAAAAAAAAAAAAAAAAAGAGGACAGCAATATCTTCTCTGCCTTCCACATTGGGTAGTAGTGAGGGTTAAATGAGATAAACCTTCAAATACTACAAAAATATGAATATTTCTAAATTCTTGGGAAACCTATGCAAAAATTGTTATTGTTTAGTTTTTCTTTGTTTTTTTATTTTTTGACAAATTCACACTTTATCTGTAAAAAATGGGGGACTCTTAAAGATGAAAAAGATTAATATAAAATATGATTTAAAAATATATTTATTTTTATCAGTCTGATTTTCTATTTTTTCACTATCACTTTGTGTTATTTTACATGACTTTCTTCTCAGTTATAACATAACATTCTGGCAATTTTTCATTTTAAGAATTCTGAAAACAATTGGTCAGAGGCATATTTCTTGCCATCAAAAGTAAAGGTACTTTGTAAGATCTATGTGGGATTCTTGCACAATTTATAAAGCTATGCAATAAAGTAAATACTTCATTTCTTTAAAAGAAATGTCTAAGACTCCACAAACAGACCTTTTTTTTTTTTTTTTTTTGAGACAGGGTCTCACTCTGTCACCCAGGCTGGAGTGCACTGACATGATCACAGCTCACTGCGGCCTCAACCTCCTGGGTTCAGGTGATCATCCCACCTCAGCCTCCCGTACAGCTGGGACAAAAGGCACCCACCACCATGTCCAGCTAATTTTCTGGATTTTTTTGTAGAGATGGGGTTTCACCATGTTGCCCAGGCTGGTCTTGAGCTCCTGAGCTCAAGCGATCTGCCCGCCTGGGCCTTGCAAAATGCTAGGATTATAGGTGTGAGCCACTGTGCCCCGCCCATACTTTACTTTTATATATTTGTCTGATGAATGACATTATATTCACCTACTGGGCCTGTCTCTTAATATCCGTAGAGACTACAAAAAAAAAAAAAGAAAAAAAGAAAAGAAAAGAAAATCCTACAAGTGATCATTTTAAATCTTAAAGGACAATGACAACACAGCCACCACCACAGGCAAAATTTACCAGAAGTGCTGACTTTTAAAGGGGAGAGAAGCTCTGGAGGTTGAGAGTAGTTTTGGTAGAAACCTCCTCCTACCCTCCCTCACTAGACTGGATTTCATGTCCTTCCGTGTACTACTTCAGTATCCTGGGCTCCATTAGCATTCCAATCAAGCTAGTCTGTAATTGTCTTTTGGCTTATTTGTCTTCTTCCTAGAGAGCAGGATCACACTTACATGTTTTTGTATCCTCAGCACTTAATGTTTTTGGCCCAGAGCAGGTATTTATTGAATTAATCGGTGAGTCTTTTTCTTGAGTTAATGGACCTCATCATTATCATGCTGGACAACCAAGCCTGATATCTGGGAGTTGTTTTTAACTCCTCCCATCACATTCAACTGATTTCCAGATCCTATACATTTTACTTCACAAAAATGTCCTAAATCTGTCCTCTCCAACTGCCACTGACTTAGTGCTAGTCCTCTCCATCTTTTGCCTAGACCTTCTTCTCTCTCCTCCATTTGCTCTCCTTTCCAGTCCATTCTCCCCACTGCTATCCGAAGTTCATTTTCTGTAAAATGGATCTAATGATACTGCTCTTTAGCTTTAAAGAACTTCAATAATTCTCAGTACACAGAAGACAGTTTAAATTTCATAGCATCACATGTGAAACCGTTTCGTATTTGTCTCCAAGCTGTATTTTGCAACCCCTCTAGTTTAGCTCCTCCCCTCCAGCCTATCACTAGTAGCTTAACCTAATGCCACTTCCACCATCACCCCCTGCTGACGTCATGCTTCACACAGACCTGACTGTTCTCTGAACATGCATGCTGCTTTATGCCTTCAAGGCTTTTATACCCAGAACCTTTTTATTAAGAAAGCCCTGCCCAAGTCTCTGCTTGGAAATCTGACATTAGGCATTCAAGACCAGATTAGGGATCTCTGGGCATTCTTGTCTTTCTCGCAATCCATCACCCTCTTCTCTTGTTCCTACAGTACTTTTCACATATCTCTAGTGTAGCTCTTTCAACACTGGACTATAATTATGCAAGTGCTTCTCTGTTCTAGAGGAAAAATTTAAGAAAAGGTTGTATTCTTATTTCTGTCCCTAGGGCCTAGCACACTGGTAGAGAGTAGAGCAGCACTAAGTGTTCGAATGAATGAATTCCATATTTTTGTCTCTCATGCCAGCTACCTCCTACTCACTGCTCTGATTTCCTTCTTGCACAGCTATTCCCAACCACTATTAATGTCACTTGAGGACTCTGGGTGGTGCTTCATGTCCCTGTCATTGTCCTATTCCCTGCCTCTATCACTTGTGGCTACAATGACAGGGAGCAAACTCAACATCAGCACGGCCATGGTAAGTGGTAAGTGGAATACCTTAAACAGTCCATTCAATAGTACTTCTAACTGAGCTTCTCAATATTTACCATGCATATAGCTGTATTCCAGTTAAGATTTTCCAAGAAACATTCTAAACAGCACAATTTCAGGATGACAAAGTTTTGAATAAATATGAATCTCAAAGAAAACAGGGTTGTGGCCCAGATGTGGTGGCTCACGCCTGTAATCCCAGCACCTTGGGAGGCCGAGGCAGGCGGATCATGAGGTCAGGAGATCAAGACCAACCTGGTAACATGGTGAAACCCTGTCTCTACTAAAAACACAAAAAAATTAGCCAGGCATGGTGGCAGGCATCTGTAGTCCCAGCTACTCAGGAGGCTGAGGCAGGAGAATGGCTTGAACCCGGGAGGCGGAGCTCGCAATGAGTGGAGATCACACCACTGCACTCCAGCCTGGGTGACAGAGCGAGACTCCATCTCAAAAAAAAAAAAAGAAAACGGGGTTGTGGATCCTACAGCAAAAGAAAATGGGAGAAGGGAGGATCTGTGGATTAGGATTTCTAGGATAAGTACATTATAGTTCCAGAAATGCTTCTTTGAAGCTCATATTTGTATGCACAAAGATGAACTCCCTCATTTCCAAACTAAGAGATCATCATACAACTGCTCCCAACCACACACACACACACACACACACACACACACACACACACACACACAGTATTAGGTTGGTGCCATTAAAGAAATGGCAAAAACCACAATCACTTTTGCACCAACCTAATAGAAACTGCTAATAAATGTCAACTGAAGAAATCACTACAATCAAAACTTCTTAGGTGACGATTTAATAATTGTCTTTCCACTAGATATTTTTCCCCAATATATATTTGCAATATGTACCTGAAGTTTTTTAATGACCGTTTCAATATGTCCAGAAAAGTGGGTGGCAACCAGCTCCGCAGCTTTACAAGGCTTCAGGGACACGAGTTCCTGGAGTTAAAGGAAAAGACAAAGCCATCTCTAATGGCTCATTTAAACAGCATATCCACAGATGTGAGGCACGATTACCTACCTCAATACAGTCGCAAGCTTCCATGCTGCATTTCAGCAGACCTTGATATAGGGCCTCAATTTAAAGCGCACTTTGCAAATGAGCAAAATTAGAAATGTGCCATGTAAAAAAAAAAATCAAAATTTCATTTAAAGAAAGGTAATTCAGAATTCTTAGAAAATGAAAGCACTATAGAATTCTGGATTTCAGCCATGATACCTGCAGGAGAAACAGAAGGAGCAAAAGCTTCCCAAATTTCCTGTCAATGCATTTCACCCTGGAGCTTAAAGTAATAACTTGAAGAAACGAGAAAGAATAGTTGTAATTTATCTGGCCGAGAATTTTAAAACTTTACTTCTGGTGCCTAGTGGATTTAGAAACTGCAAGCATTTTAAGAAATAAACTTCAGGTCTTAAATTTTATATGAGAGTAAAATGTTGACCACTTTTAATTAAACATTGTTAATAAAATGTATTTGTCAAATATAAGACTTTTAATTTGACCTCCCCTTGGACTTTCCTGGACACTACTGACTATCCTTTTCTTTTTAAAACTCTCTTCTTACTTGGTTTCTGTCACCTAATATTCTACCTTTCCAATTGTACCTTCTCTGTGGGGACACTATGATCAAACACAACCACAATACACGGCTAAAACACAAAGACCAAATGTAGACCAAAATAGGTATTATTAAATAAAACTCAGACAAACCACTATGACTGCAACATTCACAATGTATCTCTTAATTATTGTGTTAGGTAGTACTTGTAGATTCATAATAATTAGCTGCCACAAATAACTGTAGTTTACATAACTTTAATGCAATACTCCTGATGAGTGAGAAGGTATAACTAAATATTACAAAGGAGACACTACTACTGATCTGTAGCCATTCAAAAACAAGCTACGATGAATGAATTTATGCCAAGAATTTGGAAATTCAGACAAAATAAATTCCTAAAAAGTATAATTTAATAAACTGACTTGAGAAGAAATAGCCTGAATTGATTTTTTTTTTTGGTAGAGACGGGGTCTTGCTATGTTGCCCAGGCTGGTCTGGAAGTCCTGGGATCAAGAGATCATCCTGCCTCGGCCTCCCAAAGTGCTGGAATTACAGGCATGAGCCACCGTGTCTGACCCTGATTTGATTTTTAACCATTAAAATAACTGAGTGAGTAGTTTAAAAACTTTCCATATGAAAAACTGTAGGGTCAAATAGCCTCACTGGTAAGTTCTAGCAACCATTTAAGGAAGAAATAATTCCAGCCTTAACTAAACCTCTTACAACAGAGAATAGAAAAAAGAAAAATTCTTCAGCTCATTGTAAGAGGCTAGTAACATTTTGACACCTTAAACCCAATAGGACAAAATTACAGATCAATCTGAATCACAAATATTGATATAAACATCCTAAATAAAAATGAAATTCAGCAATGTATAAAAATAATATATCAGGATCAAGCTGCACTTATCTGCAAAAATCAAGGTTGGTTTAATACCAATAAAATTTAACACAAAAACAGAATAAGGAAGAAAACATGATAAAATTCAAAATCCATTCATGAGGAAACTCTTGGCATAGTAGAAATAGAAGAAAACTTCCATAAAAATCCTTACAGTAAACATACTTATGTTGGAAATGAAATTTTTAAAAATGCCATTAACAACAGCATTAAAAATATGAAGTTGTGACAGTAAGTATAACAAAGGATGGGGCTGGGCGTGGTGGCTCATGCTTGTAATCCTAGCACTTTGGGAGGCCAAGGTAGGTGAATCATTTGAGGTCAGGAGTTTGAGACTAGCCTGGCCAACATGGCAAAACCCTGTCTCTACTAAAAATATAAAAATAAGCTGTGCGTGGTGGCCATATCTGTAATCCCAGCTACTTAGGGAGGATGAGGAGGGAGAATCATTTGAACCCAGGAGGCTGAGGTTGCAGTGAACCTAGATGGTGCCACTATACTCCAGCCTGGGCGACACAGTGAGTGAGACTCTGTCTCAAAAAAAACAAAACAAAACAAAACAAAAACAAAGGATGGAAATTCCCCACAGAGAGCACTATAAAACTTTATAGGAAGATATTAAATAAAGGATTATACCATACAGTCATAGATATGAAGACTCAATATTGTAAAGATTGCAAATTATCTTCAAAATTATTGATAGATTCAGTGCAATGCCTGTCATAATCACGAAGTTAAAAAAATTTTGGTGGAACTTGATAAGTTGATTCTAAAATGTATTTGGAAGTATCAAAAGTCAATAATAGCCAAGATTCTGTTAAAGATATCAAGACTCATTATACAGCAACAATATTAAATATAGTGTGGTACTGATGCAGAGATGGACAAACAGACCAATGGAACAGAAGGCCCAGAGAAACAGACTACACATATAGATCCTTGATATACTCATCACAAAGGTAGCATTGCTGAGCAACAGGAAAAAGCAACCTTTAAAAATAATTGCTGCTGGGAAAATTGGGCATCTGTATTCTAAAAACTTAACTCGACTTCCATCTCATACTATGCACAAAAATTACTTTCAGGTGGAACTCAGAGCCAAAGATTAAAAAGAAATAAGAAAGCAAGCAGGACATAAAGAGGGGGGGAAATGATTATTTTGACCACTTAAAAACACACACACACACACACACAAAGATCGAAAGGAAAAGCCACAGAATGGGAGATGGGAGAAGATATTTGCAATATATATTGCTGATAAAAGACTAACATCCACAATACATAAAGAAATCTTCCAAAACAGTAAGTATGAGACATTTCAAACAGAAAAGTGGGCAAAAAACTTCAGCAGGCACTTCACAAAAGAGAAAATTTAAATGCCCAATAAACATATGAAAAGGCTGTCAGTCTTATTAGTAATTAAGGAAAGGTAAATGTAAAACATAATTAGGTATCATTACACATCCACTAGATTGGGAAAGATTTAAAGTCTGCCAAGGATATAGAGTCCATAGGAACTCTCATACAGTGCTGGCATCCAGTGAAATTTAAAATATTAATCTCAACTAACTAGGAATTATATACACTAGAGCAGAGATTATGAGTTAGCATACATCAGAATAATGTAGGGGATTGCTGGGCCTCACCCCCAGAGTTTCTGATTCAGGAGGTCTGAGGTGGAGGTCCAAACTTTGCATTTCTATCAAATTCTCAGCTGATGCTGTGATGTTGGTTTGGGGATGAAACTGAGAATCACTGCCTTAGAGAAATGTATGTGGCTATGCTCAAGATGCACATATACGGATGATTGTGAACAGACTGTTCTTAATAGTTAAAACTAGAAACAACTGAAATGCCTAGCAGCAGTAGAATGGATAAACTGTGATATACTTATAAAATGTAATACTATACAATAAAAATCAACTGCAGCTATGTAAAACAAAAGGTAAAATCTTCTCAAACAAAATACTGGGCAAAAATAAGAAAATAAAGTATGATTTCATTTTCACAAAGTTCAAGAATAGGCAAAACAAAAACATATATTTAGGGATGCATGCACATGCAGTAACAGTATACAAAAAGGTAAGAAACTGTCACAAAAACCAGGATAATGGCTGTGTGGGGGAAGGGGGAAGAAAGAACTGTGATCAGAAAAGAATATGTGGGAAAAGTCGGAGGTATGGAAATATCATATTTCTTGTTGAGGACCTAGGATGTTTGCTTTTCCATTTTTAATTAAGCTATACATTTGTTTTATGTACTTTTTTGAATGCTTTATAAATTTCAAAATATAACATGTCAACACAATCTAATGAAATCTTTCATATTCAAAAAACCATCTGAACCAGAGATTGGTCATCTAAGAAAGACTTTCAGGGATCTGTATATCCCTGAAACTTTAAACAGAATCATGTATCTATGTACATGTGCAATATTACGAGGCATCAATCTTTCATTAGAGTCTCAAAAAAAGTGTTAAGAACCACTAAGCTATAAACTAAGTGTATCTTGTCAGAAAACTTCATTATGATGCCTTTTTGTCCTATGTATTTAATGTTGATTATATTTACATTACTGAAGACACAGAAGTCCTTCAACAAAAGCTTATACACCTGTCATTGTGGCCTTAAGAGATTAAAAAGTTCAAGGTGAAAAAATATGCAGATGTGGGAAAAACTAGTCAGCAAAAGTAATTATTGTGTAGCAAAAATACTTCTTGCTCCCCTAGCTTGAGTTTTTTGCTGAGCAATGTTTGCTCATTGATTAATTTATCACATTTCACATAATGCAGAGATGTGGCTTCATTTTTGATGTCTGGAATCCATGTGCTCAAACCACTGTATAATGCAGATGAGGTGAAATGAGAACTGAATCATAATATAACCATGGAGACTTAAAGAGGAGGATGAAAAAGAATACTAAATGATTAAAGGGAAAAAATATAAAACACAAAATCAGAGAATGACTTGTTGGGTTATTTTACCAAGATATATTCATCTTGTTGTTAGCAGAAATATAACAACACTAAATAACATATTCCATGTTCTCAATCCTATATACAGCAGTGTGGAAATTACTTCAGACCACATATCTCATGACTGGCTATACTACCTTTCGTGCCAGTTATTTCACAAGAAGATGTTGTTCACACCTCTGATCTTTCTAAACTTTACAACCTTCGGGAACTAAAACAAAGTATCCACATCATATCCTTTCTTATAGTTTTTCATATCTATAAAAAATGTTCAAACATGTTGAATAATCGTATCTTTACTACATCTCCAAATCCACCACCTGACTCTTGCTATAAGAAGAATGAGAGCAACTCTGTAGATATAAATGTTATTTCCAAAAGTAGGATTACCTCAGTTTAAATGTTATTTCCAAAAGAGGATTACCTCTTTTCTTACTACTTTTTTTCAATCATCAGAAATAAACAGAATAGATAAAATAACATAAAACATAAAAATAAGAGATTTCAACAAAACTGCTAGTTCTGTTGGATTCTGGGGTAAGGAGTATGTTATGAACATAAGGAAACTAAAGTAAGAAGTGATTTTTGGGTCCCATTTCAGAACACATTGTGATCACAGCCCTCATCACGCAAGTAGTCTATTTGTATATCTAGAAGCATTGTTTCTTAATAGGAACTTTTTGTTTCAATAGAAGTGAATACTTGCATCCTCTGTAAAATAGCAGGCATCAACAAAATCAGTGAATTAGCTGACCACAGCTAGGTCAGAATCATCATCCTGTTATATAAGGAAGAGAAACACATCAGAGAGAAAACTCATTGCAGTAATTTTTCTAAAAGTCCATTAGATGATTGGAGGGAATGGCACTCATCACATATTAGGAAAAAAGGACAAGCAGTACTCTCAGAATCATTCTATGAACTTTGTAAAAATGCATTAATAATAGTTTGTCACTGGCTGATTGAACATGGGCTAGTTTCAGAAGTCATGATGTAATAGATTGCATGTGACACAGACTTTATGAATACAAATATGAGGTAGAATAATTACACGAAAAAGATTTCAACCCTAAATTAAATCAACTTAATATGATACATGCCATTGCTTCGTTGGCATAAAGTTAACTTGGGTTAGATGATCGTTCAGATGGTGAAGTGTGAAGTTTTGCGCATCAGTACCTCAATATGATCCATTGCTTTCTGCCATACAGACTGCTTCTCCTCTGCACTGTGTCCGGGAATGGATAAGATATTGTGAATGTAATTAAAGACTTCTTCCTGAAGAGCACAAGACAATATAATTTATTCATTCACTCACTCAAGATTTAGTCCCTACCAACTGAACCAGTCTTGGTAAACATCTATTATCTGAAGATGAAAAATTATCTGGAGATAGTTAACTGATGGAAAACTCTGTCCCTAAAAATAAAGAGTAATTGTTTAAAATTTAGGGTAGACTCTTAGAAGCAAAAAATCAGTTCTAATTAATTTTGGTTTGAATTTATTAATCTTCAGTGACCTAATGAAGGAGTATCACACTTTGGCTTTTGGGGATCCCATTGTCCACATTCCCAATTTCAGCAGAAACCACTCCTGCCCTTGTCTATTATGCTCCACCTATACTGATTTTCACTTCATCTATATGATCTCTACTCAGCTCCTTGAACATGTCAATTTTCCCCACCTCAGGTCTCTTGCATATACAGTTACCCATCCTGGAACACTCTTCTTGGCTCTTTCCTTCACTGGCTTCTCAAATTCCAAAACTCAGTTTATATGTCACTTTCTCTGAAATTCCTTCCCTGGCTACTCTGTGTAAGTCAGTTCCCCATCATCCTCTAAAGTAGCACTCGGTTTCTCTTCCCTAGCATTTATCCCAATTTGTAATCATATTTGACTTTGTTTACTGTCAGTTTCCATCACTAAATTATACATTCCAAAACTGCAAGAACTGTATCTGTTTTAATTATCAATGTGTATTTGGCTCATACACATGCGCAAATATTTCTACTCAACAGTTATTTGTACTCAATAAGAGGGAAAGTTGAGTAAGAAAAAAGAGTAAAGCAGTATCTTGACTCACCTCTCGCAGAGGGTCACGTAAGTAGCAATCAATAATTTTATCATATTGGTGTTCTCTTTCATACATAAATTCACAAATTTGATAGCTAGAATGTAAAGGGAAAAACTTCAGTGTACCAAACAGGGAGGTTTTTGAGACATTTGCTCTGGCACACAGGTTAGTATTAGGAAAAGTGGGCCAGGTGTCCTGGCTCATGCTTATAATCCAAGCACTTTGGGAGGCTGAGGCAAGAGGACTGCTTGAGACCAGGAGTTTGAGATCAGCCTGGGCAGCATAGCAAGACCCCGTCTCTACAAAAAAACTAAAAGCCAGGTATGGTGGCATGTGCCTGTCATCTGAGCTACTACGGAAGCTGAGGCAGGAGGATTGCTTGAGACCAGGAGGTTAAGGCTACAGTGAGCTATGATCGCACCACTGCACTCCAGCCTGGTCAACAGAGGGAGACTTTGTCTCAAAAGAAAAAAAAGAAAAATTAATATAGTAGATGTGATTTCTATTGTTAAATAAAGTTACAGTGAATAACTAAGGGAGATGAGTATTTGCCGTTAACCTTTAACTATAGGTTCAAGAGGCTGCTAAATATTATGTTTATAAAAAATTTCAATGCTGAATACAAAGGAAATACTAAAACAATAGTGTATCACATAAGAAATAGTGAATATGTTAGATATTAATTGATAATTTACAAAAATTTTACATAAAGTTCCTCTGTTCAGAATTACATGTCATATAAATACAGCATACTAGGTAAGTAGCAATGTGATCATATCATCTTATTTACTACGTCAAATACTGCATTGTCTCTAATATATCTAAGATAACCATCAACAATTTATGAAACATGGAAATATTAAAGAAAAAATCTAAAATAATAAAACATCATAAGACTATTTCACTTTATGTTTAAACAATTATATAAAAGTTTCATATCTGCCCTATCAATTTCTGCAAATTTTACTAATTTCTAGAATTCAATTAAAAGGGAAAAATTTTCACCCTTAGCTTTTTGTTATTTGTATAATCTTTCCTAATTAAAAAAGCAGCAATGTATCAATAAACTGAGCTTTAAGTTAAAGAAATATAATTTAATATTTCTATGGCAAACTAATATACAGCCTCAAAACAACTTACAACTCAGCTTTTTCTGCCATCCGGATGAGTCGACTCTCTTCAAATTGAACTATGCCTCCAGCCTGCAGCAATTCTAAAAGGACCTGAGTATTTACAATAAATGAGTAAAAACACTTGAGAATTTACTAGCTCTTTAAGAGTGCATTCAGCCATGCAGACTATAACATTTAATTTTTTTCTTTTGTATTCTTAGTTGATGATATTTTGGCTTGCTGTCACATATGGAAGGGGTTAGACTGACATTATAAACTTGATCATACTGCATTTAAGCCCTATAAAAAGATAAATGGCTCTGCTTTCCAAACATGGAAAGAACGCCACAGTGTTTACAAATAAAGCCCTATTAGACATTGAGCTGACTCTCTGCTAAGCTAAAATGTCCATATATATCTTTCAAGAAGTGAATTTTTATCTCACTTTTATGTCTTACGGTTCTTTACAATCTGTCTATCCACAGCTGGTATCCATGTTTACATGTTAATTTTTTAAAAATTAAGTATTGGGGCTTTTCATAGCAGCACTATTCAAAATAGCCAAAGGGTGGAAACAATCCAAATGGCCCTCAGTGGATGAATGAATAAACAAAATGTAGTATATGCATACAACGGAATACTGTTCAGTAGGAAGAAAACCTGATACATGCATGCTGCGGCATGGATGAACCTTGAACACATTCTGCCAAGTGAAATAAGCTAAATACAAAAGAACGAGTATTGTGACTGCACTTACGTGAGGGACCTAAGGTAGTAAAATTCATAGAGACTGGTAGTTACTAAGGGCTGGGGAGGAGAAAACAGGGAGTGGGAGTTATGATTTAATTGGTATGGTAGTTCAGTTTGGGAAGATAAAAGAGTTCTGGGGATGGATGGTGATGAGGATTGTACAATGTGAATACCACTGATGTATACACTTAAAAATGGTTAAAATGGTAAATTATGTGTTACGTCTATTTTACCACAATAAAAAGCAAACAAAAATATTGGAGCTCATAGAATTAATTTTTACAACACTAAGCAGCTGAAATGAGGGGGCCCATATACTATTTGTATTCAATATAATTTAAGAGATAACCAAAATTTTACCAGCTGTTCTTTTACCTAGGATACTCTGCAGCAGTCACTGGGCCATAGCTGTGCGGATAAAGGGGTCACTGTTGCTATCCGATAGTCTCAACTTCCCAGCTGCGTATGATTACCACAGTGCCATAAAGCCATACTTCAGCACAGCTCTCATGGTACTTAATTTTAGTAGTTTACTTACCTGACAAAATCTGGCTATCAATACAAAATGGGTTGACTCTCTTAGTGCCCACAATTATGGTGGGTATGCTTTTTAAAGAATCCTACTCCTCAAGGCAACCTCAAGAAAGTGGCATGAACAGAAAGAAGTGGTACTCAAACAGTTACTATCTCATGATAATTAGCGGAGGGACAGGTGGATTCTAGTCTCCAGAATGGTCAGCCCTAATGCAGTGGGGTTTTAGGGCACTCTCAAAAATTAGGTATGTCAATACTCAGGACCCTGCAGCTTTTTTGTTTCAGGACCACAGCAGCTAGCAGTAGTTACCAGATTAATGATGCCAATGGAATGCAGGGTACAAGAAGTCCTAGCTGTTGCTATATAATAGGGGAAGTTTCTTTGATGTCACGGTAGATACAAGACAGATCCAGTCTACCTAGGAATTTAGTTTGATATAAGCTTCTTACACATGTACCTCTAACAATCATCCACTCTATTTTCTGGTTCCCACTGACTCTAACTTCGTATTAGGGTTTGGCACAAGTAATTGCCCCTCATGTGTAGTGAGGTCTAGCACAGAAGAATTCTTTCTGGCTTACTCTTCTTTCCTATTTTTTAGCAAAAAGAGTTCTAGTAGTTCATACCTGCTGTCTTTCAGAGTGTCGGGAGTCATCGTCAGGACTACAAAGGAATTCAAGGACCTGGCCGAAGAAAAAGTATTTTTTATTTGATATCAGCATCTAGACATTAATACTCTCATAATAAAAATAATAACTACCCTTTCAAATAACCAACTCATTCACACCCAGACATAACAAATACCACAGGTGTAGGCTACCTTCCCAACTGATTAACCCAGTACATGTAACATCAGGTGCAGGTGTGCTAACTATTTATTTATTTATTTATTTATTTATTGAGACAGAGTCTCACTCTGTCGCCCAGGCTGGAGTGCAGTGGCGCGATCTCAGTTCACTGCAAGCTCTGCCTCCCGGGTTCAAGTGATTCTCCTGCCTCAGCCTCCCGAGTAGCTGGGACTACAGGTGCCCGCCACCACGCCCGGCTCATTTTTTGTATTTTTTTAGTAGAGACGGGGTTCCACTGTGTTAGCCAGGATGGTCTCGATCTCCTGACCTCGTGATCCGCCCGCCTCGGCCTCCCAAAGTGTTGGGATTACAGGCGTGAGCCATCGCATCCGGCCTGGCAACATAACTCTAAGAGGCTAGGCGCAGTGGCTCACACCTGTAATCCCAGCACTTTGGGAGGCCGAGGAGGGCGGATCACTTGAGGTCAGGAGTTCAAGACCAGCCTGGCCAGCATGGTGAAACCCCATCTCTACAAAAAATACAAGAAATTAGCCGGGCGTGGTGGTATGTGCCTGTAATCCCAGCTACTTAGGAGGCTGAGGCAGGACAATCACTTGAACCCAGGAGGCCAAGGTTGCAGTGAGCCAAGATCGTGCTGCTGCACTCCAGCCTAGGCGACAGAGCCAGACTCTGTCTCAAAAAAAAAAAAAAAAAAATAGAGAGAGAAAAGAAACATAACTATAAGGCAGTGTTGTCAATATACCTTAACTTTAAGTTTCCTGATACGATACCATGGACCTAGCAAAGCATGGGCTTAGGAGTCAGGCCACTTGAATTTGGATACTAACTCTATTAAGACTTAATATTTACTGCTAATAATAACACACTAAGTATGACCTAACATGAATTACTTAATCTCTCCAGGCTTCAGTTTCCTCATCTATAAAAGGAGGATAACTGTCCCTATTTTAGAGCTGTTGAGAGGACTAAGGTAACATACACACAAAGCTTTGGAACAATGTCTGCCATTGTGAAGACTCAGAAAATGTTAGTCATTTTTAGTTACTTTCTCCAGACAAAAAGTATTTTCTTTGCCACCTGTGGAAAAATAGCTATTTAAGCGGGATTACAAGAAACCTTGAAAGTCATTTGTAAGTAAACTGAGATTGTACAAAAGTAATCTTTTCTCCAGGTGATGGTCATAATAGTCTTACTACCAGTGAGATGGGGGAGATTCTTAAATTGGGAAACTCTTGAGCAACGAATTCTAGGCAATTCAGAGCAACAGAATAATTGAGAGAACACAATCTCTGTAAACCAATCTCCACAAAACATACCCATACACCCATATACACATACCCCCCTAACTTAGATCCAAAACCTGAACAGGCCTCTCCTTGATAAGGTATTTACCCAATAGTCTGTCACATCAGGAAACAGTGTAATCCAGGGAACTGTGCGCAGTAAACAGGAAAAAACCTTTTAGTTTTCACTGCTAGACACTTACCTGATCAAAAAGTGTTCTGTTTACAAACAAGGTGTTGTCAGGCTTTGCAAGCTGCCGAGCAAGGAAGGTAAAGAGACATCCTACTTGTGAGGGGGTAAAGTCTGAATTCTCCACCATAACCTGAAGAGCAAAGGAGACCATTTATTCAATACACCATTTGGTTTGATGCAAAAAAAAAAAAATACAATTAGAAGACGGGATAGCCTCATGACTGAAGACGCGTAAAAAGATTCTTTTATTGACTGTGCAACAATTGAATTCAACGCCATTTAGAATAAGCACAACCACTTGCATACTCTGAGAGGAAAACATTTTAGTGATTTTTGGCCTATTTCTATCACAATTCGGATGAGACCTGAATTGATAAAGAGGTAGAGATGTAAAGTGTAGTATTTCAAAGAAATATTAATCACGTTTCCCTCAGTAATTCTTAGAGAATCCTTCTACAACTAATTTTTTTTTTTTGAGATGGAGTCTCGTTCTGTTGCCCAAGCTCGAGTGCAATGGCATGATCTTGGCTCACTGCAACCTCCACCTCTTGGGTTCAAGTGATTCTCCTGCCTCAGCCTCCCAAGTAGCTGGGACTACAGGCGTGTGCCACCGCACCTGGTTAATTTTTGTATTTTTAATAGAGACAAAGTTTCACCATGTTGGCCAGGCTGGTCTTGTACAATTAAATAAGCCCTACTAAAAATCTGTCCATCAACAAGGGAAGAAGAGAGCTGCTTTGAGGTTTGAGAGTAAGATAACTGAGAGTCAAGGTAGCCCAGAGAAGTCAGCTATCACACAGACCAATGAAGTGAACGGCTTCCGCTTTCTATTAAGCAGTTCCTTGAAGACATGGTTTTGTATAACAGGCTTTTAACAACACACACAGTTATCAAATCATAGTCATTCCTCTGGCTTTAACTCAGCTCTCATTTCCTAAGTACTCACTATGTGTAAGATGCTATAAGTGTCTTTAAGAAAATTAGGAACAAGAAGGAAAAGACATAACATCTTAAATAAAAGGCATAATATAATGACTGCTATTATAAGGGCACAAATGATTACAGAAGCACGGTGGAAAATTTTAATTCAACTGGTTAGAGAGGGAATTTGAAAAGAAATGAGAAGAATAGCTTTTAAGCTAAGTTTTAAAGCCCGTGCAGAAATTCTGACAAGGGGGAAATGTCAACAGAGAAGGCAAACCTGGCAAAGAGAAGAGTGAGAGCAAAATCATGGACACAGAAAAACACATTTGTTAAGGGGAACAACAATATTTATTAGAATGCAGCAGCATGCAGGAAGAGGGAAACTATAGATTAAAAGAGAAGATGAGGTCTCAAATGTCATCCTAAGGAATCTAGAATGTATTCTACAGAAAACTGGGGAGCTACTAAACGTGTTCCACCAGCGGAGTTCATCATGACCAGTATTGTGCTTAGGAAAATTATCCTGTCAGCAGTACATGGGATAAAATTAACAGAAGAAAGAAACAGAAGGCAGGGAGAGCAAGATACAAGTGACTGCAGGAGTCTAAGGGAGAGACTAAAGGGCTCTTAAGTAAGGCAGTGATCATGAAAATGGAAAGAGGCAGAGACAGGGGGGACAGGACAAGTATTCCTATGTGTGGAAACATGTGGTTAAAGGAACAATGAAACAGGACATTTTTTGAGCCTGATTGGCAGGTGGGATAATGATGCCATTAACAGAGAGAATGCAGAAGTGTAGGAGGGAAGACTATGTACTGTTTTGGGCGAGCTGAATTCATGGGGGCAACTCTACAACAAATCAGGGTATAGCACCCTCACACATCTATAAAAAGTTCCAAGTTCCCTCCTTCCACCCTCCATTCAAAGATAAAGTACCAGGTTTCTCCCATTATACAACATTCCCTAGCTTTTGACCTACTTCTTGCATCCCTCTCTTTTGCCCTTTCTGCTTTTAGTCCAGTAATCATCAATTGTCAAGTGCAAACTTATTATTAGAATATGTGGGTATTTCAAGTTATAAAAACTCTATCTCATATATATATATTCTTATATATATATGAGAATTCCCTCATCAACTCAGCAAGTGTCTAATTGGTTATTATCCTACAAAAGGCCATTTCCTTTCCATTTCTTCTCTTTAGCCTATTTCAGAGACCATGCTTACAAATTTTCTGGGCAATGTAAAAAGTCACAAATTAATAGATGTTTCCTCTGTCTGCAGCCATTCAGCACACATGATAACATCCACTGGCCTGTTCTCTGGTCACTGCCTATACTCCTCCTCTCACCGGATCCCTCACAAGTACACTTTAACCAATTAGCACATCTCTAGCACTAGAAATGAAAAAAATAATCTCAAAATCTCATTCTTCATTGACGCAAGATAAACACTATCAAGACAACATACAAGAATGGCAAGTCACCAACAGAAATAGTCAAATACTTACGGAGCTTTCTCTTCATTTGGATCACTCTTCCAACTTAGTATAGTTTTAAACTCAAATTACAATGTAACCAACTTACATTTATCTGACATCTACTGGGTTACAGGCATTGTGCTGGATCTGTTCTAGGCATGCTAAAACAATGACCAAAACAGTAATAATAATAATAATTAGAATAATCCTCACAGTCTCTACCTTCAGGAAGCTCAAGTCTACATAAGACAGATAAGAAAATATGTAAACATGACACTACAGTGTGCTAACTGAAGCATAAAGTGTTGCCTGAGCACAGACAAGGAGCAACTAATCAACCTAGATGTGTGGGAGAGCGTTCAAAACAGTTTCTCATAGATGGTATTTCAGTTAAGTCTTGGAAAATGATTAGGAACTTGCCAGTCAGTGAAAGGAAAAGGCATGACAGGCTGAAAGAAAACCCTTGCAAAGAACATAAACTATGAACACACCACAGAGAGTCTAGTGAATTCTAATAATTTAATATGGTTGAGGGTCCTAATACAAGGTGTGTGGGGTAGGATGACGAGATGGATGACAGAAGGGACCAGTTATAGAGACCTAGTCAGGACCAGAATATATAGAGGGATCTTGGATGTTCAACAGTTTAGACGGGTATGGCAGAAACTATTACTTATGCTCCAACATCTAGTCTTCCCTCCTAACTTAGAAACAGAACTTCTCAGGGCTGGGCACAGTGGCTCACACCTGTAATCCCGGCACTTTGGGAGGCTGAGGTGGGCGGATTACCTGAGGTCAGAAGTTCGAGACTAGCCTGGCCAACATGGTGAAAACCCCATCTTTACTAAAAATACAAAAATTAGCTGGGTGTGGTGGCAGGTGCCTCTAATCGCAGCTACTCTGGAGGCTGAGGCAGGAGAATTGCTTGAACCCAGGAGTAGTGAGCTGAGATCGTGCCACTGCACTCTAGCCTGGGCAACAGAGCAAGACTCAGTCTCAAAAAAAAAAGAAGAAGAAGAAAAACAGAACTCCTCATGTTTAGCTAAGCACATGGTTACAAGAATACAGACTATGTTTCTCCATCTCCCCCACCAACCAAGGGGCCTTACACGGTGTAAGCAGAATTGTATTACACAGTTTTTAAGAAGTTTCCTTAAGGAGAGGGAACATTTTCTTCATCTCTTTCTACATTCAGGCTGGCTAGAATGCAGAGGTAATAGCAGGAGCCGGAGCAGCCATTTTGGATGGAAAGATGGAAATCACGTACTAAGTGTAATACTAAGACAGAAGGAATCTGCGTCCCTGAGTTTATGAAGTCACTCTACTAAACCAGGTTGCCTACTTCCAGACTTCTATGAGAAAAATTAATTCCCATCACAATTAAACTATTGTTATTTTGAGTTTTCTCTCACAGCAGAACTCAATTCCAAATGACCAATAGGAAGCCATGGAAGAGTATTAGGTAGAAGAGAGGCAAGGTCACAAATTAAAGGAGGACAAGACTGGGAATAAATCTAGGTGAAAATTCTCCATACTAGCCAACTCAATCAAACTGGCATCATCTGACAGGTCAGCAATCCTATTTTCATAATCATCACTGCCTGTCTTACAAGGTTAAATTAATATTAATTGATAGCTCAAAAGAAATAACGTATATAAACATACAGAACTATTATAAATGTAGCATATTGATGTTATGCACAACTAGAAAACACTTTAATTCTGGTGTCTTGTCCAAAATAATTTAACATTAAAAGAAAGAAACCTCCACTTTACAGCCAAATGAACAAAAATAAAAACTCTAAGCTTTCAACTACAAGAGGAAACTGGCCTGCCTGAAGTCATGCAGATGGAAAAGCAAAGAACCTTTCCCTGCATTCTTCATTAGCAACAGCATCAATCTCAAGACAGCTTTCTCCTGAATCTAATTAGATTTATACTGGGATGATCATTTCTGTGTGCCTCAAATCATTCTTAAGTGTCATCCAGCATCTCAGTGCCATGATAGAATACGGCACTGCCTTAGCAACAAAGTGAAGTTGGCATGAGACACAGGAAGATTCTCCATATTAATTGTTTTCTCAAAGCACTCTGAAGTTAGTCTCTATTATTACACGTAATCATACTAACATAGCAATTATCACCATATGCCTTTCTCACAGTAGTGCCCTCTATTCCGGTCCCCAGTCTAAAGCCAACATACACTAAAAATTTTTTAAAATAAATAATTAGTACTTAATTCAGCTCTTGAGAACAAAGACACCGTAATAAAATTTTACGATATGATTCCAAGAAACCACTTAACAAGATTATTTTATAACCTGCTATAAAACAGCTCAACTATCTTAATATAAATATCAATATAAAGACATGTATTCTTTGAATACTTACTTTCAACAAAATATCCACAATTCGCTGTTGATATTCCACAGCTTGCTTGTCATTTTTAAAATCTTCAAAAGTCTAAAAGGGAGAAATAAATTTTTTAAAGTAATTATTATTTGCACATGTAGAAGAAAACAAGTTATTAAATTCTTGTTAATAAAATCCAAGTAATTTCTCAAATAAGATAACTATTCCTCATTAGGTTTTGTCTTATACACCTTGCGTGACATTATTTTTAGTGAGTCAAGTAGAAAGCTATGGCATTTAATATTGCACAGTATTCTGAGACTTAAAAAAAAATCACAAATAAGAATTTGAGAAAGGAAGGAAGGCAAAGTCCATAAGCAAAAAAAAGAGAGCGATAACACTAATGAAAAGAGGTAATTTGGGAGCAAAGGTTTGAGAACAGAAGGATAAAATACTACATGTTCAGCCATCATTCAGTCTGTTATTTGGAAATAACTAAGACACATTTTATTAACTGTCATAAAAATAACTTTCACAATTTCCATGACAATTAAGAAAAATGATGTCCAAAGATAGGCATTTTTAAAAATTATTATGGTAAAAAAAAGGTTAAAATTCTCAAGCCTACTTACTATTCTCAAAACACTGCCAACTATAGCAACTTTTATTTTATGTAACTGATCAAGCACAGCCAAAATACTTTGAACATAACATGCATCAAAATAAATTACAATACCAGATTCTGTTTGTCAGTATATGTAACAGCGTGTCACAAAAAACCTAGTACATATAGTATATATGAAGAAATTGAGATTATGTCCACTATCAAAAAATGGAAATGAAAATTTTTACTGAACAATAAGAATGATGAAAGACTTAAAGATAGTTCCTATGGTTTTCACTTAGTTCATTTGATTCTGAGAAATGTTTAAATCCACGTAGCACTAATTTATTGCTATTTCCTTGAAACAAGAAAATGAACTACGCATTGTCCCAGTAGACTAAAAATAAAAAGGAATTTCACAGCCATGAACTTTCAAGACTACATCATACTCCTGTTCAAACAAGAGTAGTTACTGTTCTTTAAATGGGCCTGAATTTCCCCCAATTTCTCCAAAGTACCTTTGCTCATGCTGTTCTCTTATTAGTATGTCCTTCCCTTCCTTCTCCTGTTTGATGCACAGAAAAACAAAATATTCTCAACTTTTTTTTTCAACTAGTCTGCTTTACTGCCAGGTAGCTGGGAAATGCTGAAACGAGTTACCAAGGAGACTGTAGGAACTCTTACTGTGGAAGGCTCAATAGAAGTTATTCTGATGTATATGTGGGTTGAATATGACCCTGACTGAAGATAGGAAGACGGACTACAAAGTCTCTCTCAGTTCTATCTTCGGATTCATGAGAACAACAAACACACACATACATAGACACCCATCCCTGCCTGCTAAAGTGAGATGATACTCTGCAGGTACAAAGGGAAGGTACCATCCACTAATATAAATGCTATTCAACTAAAATACAAAACCATGGAGAATTAACACATGCATTTAAAAACTACGGCAGTGACAGCAAGTAAAAAAGAATTTCCTTCACCATTTTCCTTTTGGCAGCAAGTAGTCACTCCTTTGAAACAGATATTGGTAGTTTGATTCTGTGAACATAATTAAGTGGTGATATACCACAGTGTGAATATTATGATATGCTTAATGACTATTTTGGTGGTAGTTAACATCTGCCACCAAAATGGCACATTGTTAGACCATTATCATCCCACAAAAATGCTTCTAATTATGGATGTTTACTAGAGGAATAATATGCAAAGATGTACTAATGGAGAATTACAGTTTCTGAAGTACAAAGGTAGACCTAAAACCCAAGTTGTAAGTCATCTGTGAATTTGGACATAAAAAAATATTTTTGTAGTACTTCAAAAATTACTATGGGGCTTCTGTAAAATAATGATAGCAAGCTACCTCCTAATCCACGGGTCAACATTCTCTGTAAAGAGCCAGACAGTAAATATTTCTGGCTTTGGGGCTACATGTGGCCTCCATCACCGATTCTTCTTTATGAGGCTGATTTGCCTCTTAAAATATCTTACACTTCTTGGTATCCCTACTGCCACTGCCCTAATTTAAGCTACCATTATCTTCTATTTAGATTACTACAAAATTTACTAACAGATCTCCCTGCCTCCATCTTATCTCATTTCAATCCATTTGTATGCCCCCAAATTCATGTTGAGAACCTAATCACCAATGTGATGGTTATTAGGAGGGAAGCCTCTCGGACGTGTGCCTAAACCAACAGAATCTGCCAGCACCTTGATCTTGGACTTCCCAGACTCTAGAACTGTGAGAAATACATTTCTGTTGTTTATGAGCCACCCAATCTATGCATTTTGTTATAGCAGCTCAAACAGACTAAGACACAAGAGTCAAAGGGAATCTTTTTAAAGTATAAAATTAATATATTTTTCTTCCTAAAAGGCTTCAATTGCTACCAACTGCTGTAGTATAAAGTCCAAATTTTGGCCAGGTGTGGTGGCTTACGCCTCTAATCCCAGCACTTTGGGAGGCCAAGGTGGGCAGATCACCTGAGGTCAGGAGTTCGAGACCAGCTTGGCCAACATGGTGCAAAAATTAGCCAAGTGTGGTGATGTGTGCTATAATCCTGGCTACTGGGGAGGCTGAGGCAGGAAAATCACTTGAACCCAGGAGGTGGAGGTTGCAGTGAGCCGAGATCATGCCATTGCACTCCAGCCTGGGAGACAAGAGCAAAGCTCCGTCTCAAAAATGAAGGAAGGAGGGAAGGAGGGAAGGAAGGAAGGAAGAAAAGAAGGAAGTCCAAATTTTTTATTGCAGGTTGCAAGACTCGGTATCTGCCTACCTCTCTGGATTTGTTTCTCTCTGTACTTCTCCTTATACTTAAAAGATGCAGCTATATTGAATTTTTTTCAATTACTTGAATACTCATTGCTCTGTCTCATTTCCAGGCCTTTCTATATATTCAGCCCTCTGCCTACAATGTTTTTTCCTACCCTTCCCCTGACTAACTTCTATTAATGTTTTGAGACTCAGTGTAGACACCATTTTATCTCAGAAACATTCCCTAACGTTCCAGTAGGTGCCCCTCATTAAGTGTTCCTATAGCATCCTGTACTTCCCCTAAGGCATATATTACACTGTGCTATAATTATTTATCTACAAGTCTGGATCCTCTTCCTCCACAAAAGCAGTTTATATCTTGTTGCCAAGGCTGCATCCCCTAATGAAGATAATACATGGGATATACCATGCACTCAAATATTTGTCAACCAAATCAGAGACTGTTTTGAAGCCTTACTATAAATCCCAGTGTCATAATTCAGACATCAGCATAATTCCAAATGTGTTTCGGTGCTACCACAGCCCTTAAAGAAATAAAAATTACATTAAGTTCTTTGTTTTCTCTAACACTCTTTCTAAACCTCCTCCTCCATCACTTCTTGTTTCTTTTTTTCCTATGTGCCAGTCACCAACTACCCTTATGTTCCCCTCTGGACATTTAAAATTTCCTAAACCAACTAGATCTGACTTCTAAGTTTCTCCCTCTCTTCTTTCTATGCAATTAAAGTTACTACTTCTGATGTCAGATTTTCAAATTAAACCAATTCAAATGATAATAACCTTCTCATGAGTACTTACCTTTTTAAAATAATTTAATAGTTTATTATATTTATATAATTCAATTTATAAAAGTAGTATAGGCTTATTAGGGAAATTTGCTTCATCTCACAGAGTTAATCACTATTAATATTTAGGTGTATTTCCGTCCTGTCTTTTTTTCTCCAAATACTGTGTATATGTGTGTTTTGCATATTCGTGTGCCTGCTGCTTTCGCTAAACACTATAAGCATTTTCCATAATATCAAAAGCTTTTCAAAAAACAACAATACCATTTAATTCAGAAGATACATTATATCTAATTACTCCCCAGGGGCATTTGCACAGACAACCTGGCTCACCCAAATTGTACATGTTCATCTCTAATTGAACACGTATAAAGGTGTTTTTTCAGCAAAAAGCTTCCGCGTTCCATTTCGACTCCAGCTATTTTTACTATCATCACTACCGCATCTCCTTCAGCATCTCCCTTCCATGTTTTGTATGCCAGGCCCTAAGTTCTCCTTAACTTTTTGATGAGTGTGTGTTAGAGAGAGAGGAAGGAAGAGAGAGAAGGAGAGAGGGAGGAAAGGAGGGAGGGATAGAAGGAGGGAGGGAGGAAGAGGGAAAGGGAGGAAGGCAAGGAACTAGAGAAAAAAATGGGTAGCACAACAAAATTAAACATTTGAAACCCTGACTTACTGCTAGTGCATAAAAACTGTACCTGCATAAGAATTATGGGATTTTTCTATTAAAAAATATTGCTTTTTCTTTTTTCTTTTTTTGAGACAGAGTCTCTCTCTGTAGCCCACGCTGGAGTGCAAAGGCACAATCTCAGCTCACTGCACCCTCCGGCTCCCAGGCTCAAGCAATTCTCCTGCCTCAGCCTCCCAAGTAGCTGGGATTACAGGCACCTGCCACCATGCCTGGCTAAGTTTTGTATTTTTAGTAGAGATGGGGTTTTGCCATGTTGACCAGGCTGGTCTGGAACTCCTGACCTCAGATGATCTGCCTGCCTCGGCCAAAGTGTTGGGATTACAGGGGTGAGCCACCACACCCCGCCAAAAAATTATTGCTCTGTCTTCTTTGAAAACACCTTAAAATAATACTGTCTCTTACCAGTGCCAATACATTTAGAAATTCTCTTGTGTCAAAATGTAGCAAAGTCCGAATGTAAGGATAGATTTCTTCCTCAGGAGAAGCCTCTGCTGAATGCAGGCGAATTAGAAATTCAAAAACCTGCAAGTTGGGAAAAAAATGTTGATTATTTTCTCACCTGACAAAGTATCTTGCTGAAGCAGTGATTCTCATTTGGATAAAATAAAGGCAGGCTGAATTCAGTTTAAATTGCTACTGTATTTTAAGTTCTCTCTTAAATTCTTTCTCAGCTCTAATTATTGACTTTAGTAATAGTGTGTAAGCTCTCTCCTGCAACAGGTGATAGCTCCTGACCCACGTGTAAGCCTCAACTGCAATTTGTCTTCAGTGCGTCTTAACCAGAGACGGAGAACAGTCAAAAGGCTATAAAAATAGTACCAACCTGGTTTTTAACCAAGGGAACCAGATCTTCAGGGATGTCACCAAGGGGATAGGCACGACCTGCTAGACAACAGCTAGAAGAAAAGAATGAGAATGGATATGGTGACTTGTAAAGGGGATAACTTTCAAGCGAGTAACACATTGTTTCTCAAACTTGAGATACTAGTTCAATTTGTAAGTAGGCTCAGCTTTTGTCAGTTAGGTCAAGTTCCAAAGCAGGTCAAGATGACACCCAGTTTAGAAAATGTGGGCAACAGATATGGAGGTGAGGTAATGCATCCTGTGACTGAGTGGGAGCTTTCGTTTCTTCGTATGTTTCCTAAGAAAAACCAATGCTCTATTAAAGGGGCAAGAAGGAATGAGGACAGACTTCTAAAGGCCTCATACCCAGCGTCTAGAAAGATGGTGCCTAATGGCACCATTATACTATGATTAATCTGTTAAAAGCCTGGCGTTCTCAGATACTGTTAAACCAGGGTCTCTAAGAATGGTATTAAAGATGGGGAAAGAGGCTAAATGTCTGGGAAGTCTGCGACAGGACAAACCGGGGAGAATTAGAATCTGAAGAGAAATTCACCCTACAGTTTTACCTCCAAATCAAACCTTCTTCATGGCTAAAGACTTGCCTTGTGAGCTGAATTACTACAAATGTCATCTGAACATGTCTACCTTTTTTCTATTTTTTGGCGGGGAGGGAGCAAATTTTAAAGCTTTTTAAACTACAATTTTCAATGTTAGACTGGAGACAACTGGACACCAGCATATCCTGAAGAGTTTAAGGTACAGATGATAAAGCACTAAGTAAATGCGTATTTCTTTCACACTAAAGAATCAATGTAACAAGTGTGAAACAGGTTTCAAAGTTAACTCTGACATTAGATATGAGCTCAAATGATGTTCTGCTAGGTTCTGCCACCTTCCTGACAAATAGTCATCTACCGAAAAGTTCTATCAGGGCTCAATTCTGAGCTGGCATAGTCTACTAGAATGAACCCTGCTCCAGGAGTCAGGAGATAAACATTCTAGTTTTACCTCTGTTACTAACTTTTTCATGATTTGAACAAGTCTCTTGCCCTCATATGTAGAAACAATACACATCCCACATAGGTGTCACTAGTAAACATAAAAAACCCGGGTTTCAACACCAAGGTTTCTCAACCTCAGCCCTACTGATACTTCGGGCCAGATAATTCTTTGTTGTGCTATTCTGTGCATTGTATGATGCTTAGCAGCATCCTTGGCCTCTGCCCACTAGATACCAGTAGCATCCCTTCTCTAGCCCCAGTTATAACAACCAAAAATGTCTCTAGATGTTGCCAAACATCTCCAGGGAGTAGGAGACAAAATTATCCATGGTTGAGAACCACTGCTCTACATAAAAGAATTGTGCAAAATTAAAAGTACTATATAGATAAGAGATCATAGTATCTCTAAAAATATAGGAAAAATATAGAAAGAACATACATGCAGATGAATAAATAAAACAATCTTACCTAATATATACAAGGAGCTTATTGCCCATAACAACTTGTTCATCTAAAATAGAAAGAGAAGTATCTTCAGCAATTTTCTCTCAAAACCTTTTCAGAAAAATAATCTTTATGTAGAAACAAAAAAATAAAACTTGGCATTTAAGGTGAGGTAAGTATATTCCCAAATAACAGGAAGTTAAGACCACTTTATTGGCTTTTGAGTTTCCATTAGATTCTTGTCACAGACACAAGAGCAATATAAGCTACCCTAAGATAGATGTAGAAGGAATAGATCTGAGGGTAGAGATCTATGTACTGTTGGCCTAACTAACTTGGGGCCAAGGGAAGGTGTAGGGCAGGCAATGAGCTGATGAACTGTACATCAGAACCAATTAATTAGTGTTAAGGCATAACCATACTGTCTTCTTATTTGTAATATGGACTTTTACCACCTACCGTGCTCTAGGGCTGAAAAGGCCATTGTTCCCAAATGTTTAAAGTAACAGAACTAAACTAAATGATCTTTAGGGCCCTTTCTATTCTAAGTTACATAAAAAATGTAAGATTCTGCCATCTTGTGATACGAGCCTGTTCTCTGACTAAAGAAATCAGAAAGATAATATGACAAAGTTTGAAGCCAAGGGGTCAAGGGCAATACAGAATGGAGCAGGAGCATCAACAGGGTGAAGTGACTGGGAACGCCCACAGCGCACAGATGATGGGAATCTGTGGTTGGCAATAATGAAGAGCTGGAGTTTCTATTTTTGGTAATATGAATACTGGACATAATGCAAGCAAGTGTATGCCTTTATCAGTAATCTTTCACAAATACTCAAAATCTGTGATGTTGTTAGTGCATGTAAACATGAATTGCTCCAAATGTATGAATAACTACATTTTGCTTCCATTCCAAATGTCATTTGATTCACATCAACTCGTATGACACATGGTGATCACCACCTGCATGGCATAACAACTTAATGTTTATTGGCTAACTAGATAAACACGAGTGAAAGAAAAATAAAGTCTCAGAATCCCAAACTCACTATGCCAAAAGGAAAAGTTAAGCTTCGGAATTGAGTCATGTAAAAAACAAAAACAAAAACAAACAAACGAAAATCCTGGCTACCTTTGGTTCCTAAACAGATTGCTGCAAGATAGAAGGCCATGTCTCCCCAGCTGGCCTCCCTCACCCTGACAATGTAAATTAATAGCTGATCTTCACAGGCACTGGACAAAGATAAGACTATAAATTATTCCTCAGCCCATCCCAAGACAAATGCATATTTGACTTCTTCCTCTATTCTATGTTTACTTTACTGTTGTACCTGAGCGAGTTAGAAAAACGCCACACTTTGAGACGAATTAAGAGTCTTTTATTCAGCCGGCAGCCAAAGAGAAGGCTAACGCTCAAAATTCTCTCGGCCCCGAGGAAGGGGCTTAACTTTTATACTTTGGTTTAGAAAGGGGAGGGGAGCTTAAATGCAACAACTCTTCAGAAGTAAAAACATGCAAAAAAATTAAAAGGACGAATGGTTACAGGGAAACAAACAATTTAAAAGACAAATGGTTACAAAAAAAGCAAGGTACCAGGTGCGGGGCTCTAAATCCTTCATAAGAGTTAGATATGGGCACTACGCCGGACACAAACTGAAGGCTTTATGGTGTTATCTTTTGAGCAAAATGCTGGGAACTTCATACATGGTTTGTTCCAGTACCTTATCAGTTAACTGGACTCCTTTGATATGTTGACAATCTGCTTACACAGGTTAACTCCTTGAGGAAAGAGGGGTGGGTAAGGAGTCCTTAATGTCTTGTAAATCAAGGGGGCCAGATGGAGCTCGTCCAGCTTTCTCAGCTAAGGGAGTCTATTCATGTGGAAACAAGGCTAGGTGATTACGAGAGCAAAAGGGAGAGTCTAAAAACAGGGTTAGTGAAAACAAGGTTGGGCATTACATTACCTTCTGTAAAATGCAGATTCACTGAGCATGAGACAAATGCATAATTAACTGTTCCTCTTTTCCCTCTTGCCCACTCTCTACCCTTTAAACACTGAAGTTCTCAAAACCCTCTGTGGAAAAAGCACAGGCCGAAGATCCTACTGTAGCTTGTGTATGTTTCTCCTAGTGTGTCCTCAACCTTGGTAAAATAAACCTCTAAATTGAGACTTGTCTCAGACATTTTTTGATTTACACACCTTTCTTGCTGGAAATCTCAGGTAGAATATATCTAGCTCACGATATTCCTAGAGAGAGCTAAACGTATTTGTTTAACTTACCCATCTCCATTATTCCACTACTGTGAGCCTCTTATGAGCAGAGTATGTGACATTTCTGTATTTCTAGCATCGAGAATAGTGTCTGGCACATACGTAGGTAATTAGTAAATTGTATGCTGAAATGAACTGACACAGTACTTAATTTTCTACAACCTTTCTCTTCCCAATATCTTCTTTTAGACAACTTTTCATTATAAAAGATCATCAATTCCATTCAGACGTTTTAATTCTCCACTTTCATTTCTGGTAGAGAGAGATGTGAAAGGCAATTTTCAACTTTGCCTCAAAAAGATTAGGTTCAGGGCTACTATTAGGTACGGGAAGTTAAGACTATAAAATGACTCATTCACCCCCACCCTTACAGTAAAAAATTATAAAACCTGGACATCATACAGAAAGTAACTACCTGAAGATACCAAAGAGTTGCTGAGGACTGAGCAGAAGCATGAACTGGTGAGGACTTCAGCCTCATTTGGGGGAGGAGAGACAGGCAGCCACACTGTCCTTCCTTCTGGCCTGTCCCTGAGGTAAGCGTACTCTGAACTGCACACATAGGGAGGCATGGAAAGGCCCCTAACCTTCCTGGCACGGCGGCGATCAGAAAAGTGAGGTCAGGGAACCACGAATATGGAATAGAGTTGGGGAATCCCAAAAGGTAAAGAATCAAAGAAGAGATCCCCAAATTGTCTGCCCACATCTGAAGTGGATCCATTTACTAAACCACCATGCAGGAAAAAGACTCAAAGCAGCTTAGTCAAAGACAAAAAACCAGGATCAAGAATGGAGCTCCCTCTCTGAAGGTTTTGGAGTGAGGAGAGAAACACGTGGGCTCTGGTGGAGAGTTCCTTCACTTGGAGAAGCGGAGATAGGGAGTTAGCTGTACAAGTAAATTACCACCTCTGTGGCTTTTGGCCTGGGTCTAAGTGCTGTCTGTGTGGCAAGCACAGCAGAGCTGGAGGCCATCACAGAAAAAGCAACAATCTTTCTGGCAAGGGAAACGTGAAGTTAAGAAACATAAACAGTTTAAAAATTAGGAGAATCTTGCCGGGAGGCCAAGGCAGAAGTATGGCGTGAACCCGGGAGGCGGAGCTTGCAGTGAGCCGAGATAGCGCCACTGCAGTAACGGCCTGGGCGAAAGAATGAGACTCCGTCTCAAAAAAAAAAAAAAAAAAAAAATAGGAGAATCTTGCAAAGAAAAGAGAAAGAGGAAGGATCCCCAAACTCTGTCTACCCTCATCACTGTCTGACCCCTGACCCATGCGTGTGGATCAGAATCAAAGCAGATCAGCCATCCAGAAATGACCTGAGGAGAGACTGGAGCTGCACAAGAGAGAGGGTTTGCAATTCAAGCCCACCAAGAAAATTATCTGATAAAACAATGGAAGACGATACTCAGTGGTGAAAAATACCTGATAGAGCAATGGAGAAAAATACTCACTGGAGAACCCATACTCTCCACACAATGTAACATTCATAATATCCAGATACAGTCCAAAATTATCCAGCATGAAAAACCAAGAAAATAAAATATATTCTTCTTAAAAGTGAATCAAGTCCAATCCTGGGATGAACAAAATGTGAGAACAAGCAAAGATTTTAAAGCGCTATTATAATTATCCTTAAGCAAAAGAAATGGTTTCAGTGCATGAAAATTTCAACAGATAAATGAAGAGTTGCAGCAGAGAAAACAAAAACAAGAACTAAATGGAAATTAGACCGAAAAATATAACTGTTGAAAATAAAAAAATCACTGAGCAGATTTAACAGTTGAATTGACATGAAGGAGTTAAGAGCAAATGAATATGAAGGAAGAGCAATAGAAATCATCCAAGGTGAAAAACAGAGAGGAAAAAAGACCAAACAGAACACAATCAAAACCCAGAGAAACAGACCTCAGAAATGGTGGAGTAAGGACCTGCAAAAATCTCCTCCATAAAAGCAATACAAACACTGGTAAAAACTGTCAAATTGGCTTTTTCAGAACTCTTGAAATTAACTAAAAATTTGCCATAATCTGAGGAATGTTTATTCAGAAAAATGCCTGAATCTCAGGAAGACCAGTGAATTTTAGAGTTTTAACTTTATGTATTGCCATCTCCCTTTCTCCAGCTCTACTGTAGTTTTGAAAACCAATATTGCCTTACAACTTGGGCAGCTGTGAAAACAAGTGGAACACAGTGGGTTTGATAGCGACAGGGGGTAGTCAAATGCCTAGGCAGATAGGGGCGGGTCCCTTGTGAAACCCCACCTTCAAGCCAAAAAACAGCCTGAAGGCTGAAAGACCAGATTACTGGTCCGGATGAAACCTGCAACTTGGAGTGAGAACTTCTGTTTCTGTCTGCACATCCTTTCCCAGTTGATTCTTTCTGAATAATGCCTTTTAACCAATCGAATGTTGCCTTTTCCAATACTGCTACAGCCTGCCCCTCCCCTATTCTGAGCCCACAGTAGCCCCAGACTCACCACATTGAGGGGACTTGCCCGCCTTCGGGTAGTGGGACCACCCCTGTATCCCCTCTCTGCAGAAAGCCATTTCATCATTCAATAAAACTCCCTACCTTGCTCACTCTTCAATTGCCAGCATATCCTCATTCTTCTTGGATGCTGGACAAGAGCTGGGGACCCACCGAGTGTGGGTACCTAGAAAGGCTGTTACACTGGCCTTTTGCCTTCGCTGGCAAAGGGCAGCCACCCCACACAATGGGGCCAGAGGCCGACCGAGCTGCTAACATGCTGCCGTCCATCAGGCTATGGATGGTAAAACTAAAAGAGCTAATTAGCACACTAACACCCCATCTGGGGCTTCAGGGTCGTGGGCACCCTTGTCTGGGTGCTGCTGCATTCCCCTCAAGACCGCGGGCCTCACATGGAGCTTGTTCCTGTGTCAGCACTTGGAGTGGCCAGCCGGATCCCACACTGGCTTGCTCATGTGCTCCCTCCCACAAGGGGCTGAGCGCAGCAGGCCAAGAAGACAGGGTGCCCCTGCTGCAAGTCCGGCAAAGGACCGAGAGAAAATTCCTGTGTCAATCTTGTAGCCCCTCAAATGCCCCATCCTCAGCGAATTGTCACTATTTGACCTATCTGGCAGCTTACTTAAAAGCTCCATTTTCAGGGCTTATTTTTTTTTGCCCTAACTCAGAACTCACTCTGTGGGAACAGCACTATCCCCAGGACATTTGTGAAAACAGTCAGTGCCATTGTTCAACATTACAGCAGGCTGAGACAGTGTTAGTAGTTGGGACTAATAAGTGGTGCACCAAAAACCTTAAAAGGAAAAACTGGAGAACGGGAGATCTGCGGGGCTTTTGAAAAGTTCTAACATATTCCTGGAGTGCTAAAAGGATGTATGCATATAAAGGGCTTTGCACATACCCAGGGAAATTCTCAAAGGCCCTAATTTATAACCCATGGCTGACTTTGCAGCTCTGTGCAAGCAGGAAGGGAAGGCTACAGCAGAATTCTAAACTGCCTGCCAAAGAACTGAAAATTCCAACATAAAATGAAGCAGGAACTGATAGGATTAAAGTGAGAGAGGGACAATTCAACAATATTTGGAGACTTCAATATCCCACTTTCAAAAACAGAACAATCAGTAGAAGATGAACAGGAAAAAGAAGACTTGAACAAAACTATAAGCAAACTAGACCTAACAGACAAAGAAGCCCAGAGAATTTCACCCCAAAATATGGCACCATGGTGTGCAGATTATTTTAAATTAAGGGTCACTGAAGGTCAGCATATGCTGGGAGAGACTTGTGAAAGGAAAATAAATCTTGGGACCCCAAAATCACTAAGCCAAAGGGAAAACTCAAGCTGGGAACTAATGTCAGGCAAACCTGATCCCATTCTATCCCTAAATAAGATAGCTACAAAGATAAGAAGCTACATACCTCCCTCACAATTTACCCACAAGGAAATTCCTTGTGGACAAAGGACAGACAGAACTCAAAGTCATCCCTCTGAGGCTCACTGGAGACAAATGCATATCTAATTTCTTTCTCTGCCCTATTGTTTATGTAAAAATGCAGATTCACTGAGCCAGACTAAATTGTGTATTCAGTGGAAGGTTGATCAAGGACTCAAAAGAATGCAACCTTTTGTCTCTTACCTACTTCTAACCTGGAAGCCCTCACTTCAAGCTGTCCTGCCTTACCAGACTGAACCAATGCACATCTTAAACGTATTGATCGATGTCTCATGTCTTCCTAAAATGTATAAAAGCAAGCTGCCCATCTTGGACACATGTCGTTAGGACCCTGAGGCTGTGTCACGGGTGCATCCTTAACCTTGGCAAGATAAACTTTCTAAACAGACTGAGACCTGGCCTAACAGGTCTCAGATAACTTTAACAGGTTAAAGATATTTTGAGTTAACAGGCTCTACTCTGATATTATGTGATCTACCTTAAGACCGGACCCTCCAAAGAAAACACAATTAATTGCCTTCCATCCCTTCCCTGAAATCTCTTTATCTACTGAGGAAAAGAAACCTAAGGAATACAATCGCACCTCTACAAGCTTTTTCACAAGATAATGTCTGCCTCTGAACAATGATCCAAATATTATTGGATCATTCAAATTCCAAAGAGGATCCTTTACAAGTTAACTTCTGTCTCCCAGGTCCATTTGTTCCCCTAATAATCATTTACGACCCCTTAAAAGAACTGCCTATTTCCCCATCTCCCTTCTACCCCTAAGAAAGGATGCATCTGTACCTCATTGGGTTTTTGAGTAATCATAGTCCTTCAATTACCCCATATTTATGCATGTTAACAAAAGTATATGCCTTTTTCTACCCATTAATCTATTATTAATTCATTTCGACAGACTTACACTCAAAGTTTCAGAGGGAAAGCTTAAATTTCCCTACACGGATATCTATGTAACACTCTATCCAACAACAGAAGACATTCAACACATTACTATGCTCAAGTGCACATAGAACATTCTAGAGAACAGACCTTACATGAGGTCATAAAATAAGTCTCAACAAATTCTTAAAAGATATAAATCATAAAAAGTACATTTTCTGACCACAAAAAAAAGTAGAAATCAATATGAGAAGGAAATGTGAGAAATTCACACATAGGTGGAAATTAGACAACACACTTCTAAATCACTAGTATCACAAGAGAAATTACAGAATACTTTAGGATGAATGAAAATGAAGACAACATATCAAAACATATTGCTTTGAGGAATATTTGTAGCTGTAAACACTTAATTTTAAAAAAAACACAAAAACAAAGACCTCAAATCAACAATATGAGCTTCTACCTGAAAAGCTGAGCTTCCAAAGGGTGTGAAAAATTCTAAGGCTTCTGATACATATATTGTGCTAAACTGCTCTATAGAAAGATTGAACCAATTTTACTCCCACTAGCAGTTTATGATAGTGTTCAATTCCCTAAGAAATAAGTATGATTTTTAAAAATATTTATTAATTTGTTTGGTTAAAAAAAAACCTCTTCATTTTAATTTGCATTTCTTACATTACTAATGAAGTTGAACACTTTCTCAATGTTTACAGGCTAAGTTTCTTTTGTGAATTGCCTTAGTGTTGTCTATTCTTCTATTAAGGTGTTAGTCTTTCTCACAGATTTTATTACTTTTTATATATTGATATTGAGCCCTGAACCAAAGAATTAAAAATATTTTCCTGTTCTGTCAAAAAAAAAAAAAAAAAAGAGCTGAGCTTCTACCTAAAGAGCTTCTAACCCAAAGAACTGAAGAAAGCAAATAGACTAAAGTTGAATGCATGAAATCAAAATTGATTCTATGAAAAGATCAACAAAACTGACAAACCTTTAGACAGACTAAAAAAAGAGAGAAGAGTCAAATTACAAAAATTAGTAATGAAAGAGACATCACTACTGACCTTACAGAAATAAAAGGAATTACAAAGGAATACTATCAACAACTATATGCCTACATATTAGATAATGCAGATTAAATGGTCAAATGTCTAGAAATTTAAAAACTACTGAAACACTCAAAAAGACACAGATAATCTGAGTAAACTCCAACAAACAAAGAAACTAAACTAGTGCTATGGTCTGAATGTGGCACCCAAAACTCATGTGTTGAAAACTTAATCCCCAATGCAACAATGTTGGGAGGTGGGGGCCTTTGGGGAGGTGTTTAAGTCATGAGGGTTCTACCCTCATGAATGGATTAATGCTGTAGTAAAAAAGGGCTTGATGGACTGGGTTCACTCTTTTTCCACTCTTCTGCCAAGTGAGGACACAATGTTTGTTCCCACTTGCCCTTCCAACTTCCGCCATGTGAGGACACAGCAAGAAGGCCTTCATGAGACACTAGGTGCCAGCACCTTGATTTTGGACTTCTCAGGCACCAGAATTGTAAGACGTAAGTTTGTGTTTTTTATAAATTACCCAGTCTTAGGTATTCTGTTACAGCAGCACAAAACAGAGCAAAACAACTAATAATTTTAAAACTTCCAATAAAGAAAAGCCCAGGCCCATATGGCTTCATAGTGAATTCTGTCAAACATTAAAAAAGTTAACACTAATCCTACACAAACTCTTCCAAAAAATAAAAGAGAGAATACTTCCCAACTCATTCTATGAGGCAAACATACCAAGATACACTCATAACAAGACTGGTATTCTTTTGATAACAAGATATCAAAAGAAAACAAAACTGTAGAACAATATCTCTTATGAACATACACACACAAATCCTTGAGAAATACTAGCAAACTGAATCCAGCAACATATTTAAAAGATTATATACCAAGTGAGATTTATCCCAAGAATGCAAGGTTGGCTTAACATACAGGATCAATTAAACAGATCATATCAATAAAATAAAGGACAAAACCCACAAGATAATCTTAATAGCTGCAGAAAAAGCATCTGATAAAATTCAACAGTCTTTCATGTTAGAAACACTCAAACTGGGTAAAGAAAACTTCATCAAATGGCTAAGACCATCTACATCAAATTTAATGATGAAATATTGAGTGCTTTCCCCCTAATATCAGGAAAACAAAAAGACGTCCATTCTTGCCACTTCTGTTCAACACTGTATTAGTGGGTGTAGTCAGCCCAATTAGGGAATAAAAAGAAAGGCATCTATATTAGAAAGAAAAAATTATAATTATTTTTATTTGCAGAAGACATCTATATTTTCCTTAAAAAGTTCTAAGAAGTTAAAAATTAGCACTAATAAATGAATACAGCAAGGACGTAGGATACAAGATCAATATACAAAAGTCAATCTATTTCACACCAGCAAATCCTGAAAATAAAATTAAGGAAACAATTTCATTTATAACAGCATCAAGGTGAATAAAATACTTAGGAGGAGGAAAAGGAGTATATGACCTATACATTAAAAACTGCAAAACATCATTGAAAAAAATTAATGAAGACCTAAATAAAATGAAAAGATGTGCTGTGTTCATGAACTGAAAGATTTGGTAATATTAAGACAGTAATAAAATTGATGTACAGATTCAAAGCAATCCTTATCAAAATCTCAGCTGCCTTTTCTGCAGAAAAGGGGAAAGCAAAGTGACTTTAAGACCAAAATAAGCTGGGTACAGTGGCTCACACCTGTAATCTCAGCTACTTGGGAGGCTGAGGTGGGAGGATTGCTTGAGGCCAGGAGTTTAAGACCAGCCTGGGAAACATAGCAAGACCCTGTCTTGAGAATTTTTTTTTTTAATTCAGCAGGGCATGGTGGCCTGTAGTCCCAGCTACTTGGGAGGCTGAGGAAGGAGGATCACTTGATCCCATAAGTTTGAGGCTGCAATGAACTGTGATCACACCACTGTACTCCAGCCTGACTGACAGAGTGAGACTCCGTCTCTAAAATAAAATTAATTTTTAAAAAGATAAAAATAGAAAAACATACCACATTCATACATTAGAAAATTCTACAGTTTTAAGATGGCAATTCTCTCTCCCAATTAATCTACAGCATCAATGCAATCTCAAAGAAAATCAAATGAGCTTTTTTAAAAAAAACTGATGAGCTGATTTTAACGTTTATATAGAAAGGCAAAGAATCTGTACTAGATAAACCAATTTTGAAAAAGAAAAACAATATTGTAGGACTTAAAATATGTGATTTTGAGACTTACTATGAAGTTACAATAAGCAAGACAGTGCATTACTGGACAAGGATAGACATACAGCTCAATAGGACAGAATAGAGAGCACAGAAACACATCCACAGTTATATGGTCACTTGACTTTTCATAAAGGTGTCAAGGTAATTCAATGAAAATAAGATAATCTTACCAATAAATGGTAAGACTTATGGGAATAACTGATAGCTGTATGGAAAAAAATCCTTGAACTTTACCTTACATCATTTATAAAAATTAACTCGAAACGAATTATAGACCTAAATGCAAGAGTTAAAGCTATTAAATTTCTATAAGAAAATGTAGGAGAAAATATTTATGACACTGAATTGAACCAAGATTTCTTTTTTTTTTTTTTTTGAGACAGCATCTCACTCTGTTGCCCCAGCTAGAGTACAGTGGCGCGATCTCGGCTCACTGCAACCTCCGCCTCCCGGGTTCAAGCGATTCTCCTGCCTCAGCCTCCTGAGTAGCTGGGACTACAGGCACGCGCCACCACGCCCGGCTAATTTTTGTATTTATAGTAGAGATAGGGTTTCACCATGTTGGCCAGGCTGGTCTCGAACTCCTGACCTCGTGATCCGCCCACCTCAGCCTCCCAAAGTGCTGGGATTACAGGTGTGAGCCACAGCACCCGGCTCCAAGATTTCTTAAACAGAATAGCAAAAGCCTAAATGACAAAAAAAAATTAATAAGATGAACTTCATGAGACGGAGTCTTGCTCTGTCGCCCAAGCTGGAGAGCAGTGGCAAGTGGCACGATCTTGGCTCACTGCAACCTCTGCCTCCTGGGTTCAAGCAATTCTTCTGCCTCAGCCTCCTGAGTAGCTGGGACTACAGGCACCCACCACCACACCCGGCTAATTTTTATATTTTTGGTAGAGACGGGGTTTCACCATATTGGCCAGGCTGGTCTTGAACTCCTGACCTCATGATCCGCCTGCCTGGGCCTCCCAAAGTGCTGGGATTACAGGCATGAGCCACCATGCCTGGCCAGCTTGGGAACTTTTAACAATTCAATAATATGAAGACAACCCCAGGTCATCTCCACCAATTAAAAAAAAAAAAGGGGGGGGGGGCTAAATATTTAAACAATTCACAAAAGAAGATATGTGAATGGCTAAACAAGCACATGAAAAAATGATTAACATCACTAATGATCACAGAATAAAAATTAAAATCACAATGAAATACCATTACTCATTAGAATGGCCAAAGTTTTAAGAAGATTTTAAAACACTGACAGTATCAAGTGCTTGCAAGGATGTGGAGCGGGAACTCTCAAGTATTGTTGATGAGAAATGGTACAGCATTAGGAAAAACCATATAGCAGTAGCTTAGAAAGTAAAATATATATTTACCATACAATCCAGCCATTCCAACCTTAGGTATTTGGCCAAGAAAATGAACACATTTGTCCACAAAGAAACTTACAGCTAGGGGTCAGGAATGGAGGGTAAGAGAACAAGGTGAGATACTTGAGGTAATGAAAGTTTTCTATATCTTGACTTTATCAATATGAATTCAATATGAATATCCAGTAGTGATATTGTACTTTATTTTTGCAAGATGTTATCATTGGGGAAACTATGTAAAGACTATATAGGATCTCTATGTCCCATTTCTTACAACTGCATGCAATTATCTCAGAAAGTTTAACTAAAAAAAAAAACAAAAAAAACCCAAAAAAACCTTAAAAAACTTGTCCACAAATGTTGTAGCAGCATTATATTATTCATAGTAGTCCCAAACTGAAAGCAACTCAAATATCCATGAAGTGGTGAATGATTAAACAGCTTATGGTATATTCAATCCATGGACTATCATTCAGTGGTAAAAGGGAACAAAATATTAATATACATAAAACAACATGGATGACTCTCAAAAATATTATGCTTCATCCACGTAAAGTGAAAGAAATAAAACACCAAAGGTTACATAGCACATAATTCCATTTACATGAAGTATAGTGACAGAAAGTAGATCAGTGACTGCCCAGAGCAGGGCTGTGGGGAAAGGATCAAGTACAAAGGGGAAGGAGGAAACTTTTTAGTGTGAGAAGCTATGGCTCCTTCTGCAGCTTGATTATGGTGGTGTTACATGACTGTACATGATTACCAACATTCACACTGCACACATATAATTGGCCAATTTTGTAACATTTAAATAATACCTTAAATACAGGAAAGCAAAAAATTAAGGCTTAGAAAATAAATACCTGTTAGTGTTTTTCCTGCATTCAGAGGAGGAGCAATGACTCTGAAAAGTTTCTGCATTAAAATTAATAGGAAAACAATCATCATCATCTCAAATGATATTATTTAAAAAATAAGAATCTTATGCTATTCATCACCATTCGCTAATGGAATTAGTCATTTACCATTAAGATTAAATATGAAAACCTTTAATCTGTACATGAAATGTTTAGAAGGCTCACTGAGAAACAATCACTGTTGTCATATTCCTCACCGAAAAAAATCATTTAATAAATACCAGTTATATAAAGGGCTTATCTGAGATTATAATTTTGATATAAAGTATCCTTTGGTTCTTAAACGCTTTATTCTTTTAAAAACTAGTAAGCAAGTGAAAGGATTTCCCACTAAAGTGGTAATAGAGATGATTTTAAACTGAAAACATCCAATCAGCAGCCACAGAAAGAAATATCATCTAAACTTAAGCAGAGTCTCCCAAATATTTAGCTCCCCCTTCAGAGGGAGATTCCTATTTGGGAAAAAACTGATCCTTAGCACCAGGAAATGCAAATTCAGCTGCCATTAGCATCAAAAAGCCCAAAAGAACTTTCCATGCTTTCCCACTGAAGACCTAACTACGTGCTACCCCCATTTTTGTGAAGCTGGTATATAAACGTCTACCTCTGGCTACTCAGCAGAGATGCTTATTACTGAGTGTTCCTGCACGTATGTGAATAATCCTTATCTTTTCTCCTGTTAATCTGTATATTGTCAGTGAATTCAAAGCCTTCAATCCTTTCCCTGTACCTCCCACCATTGGGACCTAAATTGGTAAAGAAAAAGTTTTTCCTCCCAACTCAAGGCACTATTCTTACCTTAGTCAAAACTAGAAAAAAGGAAAGATTTCAGAGACTATAGTAGTCATCTCAAATGTGATGACACGCTTTCATTCTAAAAAATCTAGACAATTTCAAGAGACAGGACACCTTCTCTTAATTCAGACCTCTTTAAGTACTAAAATAGCTAAACTTTAAACACTTCGAACACAAAACAAGGTAACCTCAATAGCTCAGTGTTCCATTTGAGATGTATCAGTATAAATGCAAACCAGATTTTATTAATATGAGGAATACAAAACCCATGCAAAACAAACATTTCAAAAGCAACGTTAACAGAAATACAGTAATCATCTTGTCAATGCAGAATGCATCAAAATAGAATCTGTTTTGAGGGATTATTTTGAGCAAAACTAGAAACTGTATTAATTCTTCTGAATTGTGGCTTAGTTGTGGCATGCAGGGAGGCACTGGACCTCACTGAGAAGGCAGCTGATGAGTCTTTTTCAGGGAACTACTGAACCTTAATGAAGGAGCAGCCGAGAGGTGTTCAAGACAAAAAAAAATCCTTGAGATAACAGACAATCAGGGCCAAACCCCCAAAACCAGAGGTAGAAGGGTGGGGGACTAACTTTAGAAACTAACCGAAAGAAGAGAGGTGCAACCAAAACTGAAGGGTTATGAATTAGAGGGGTACTCGCCCTACCAAACTGAATGTGCTTAAAGAAGCCTACCTATCATAGAATGCTGACTTCTTAATACTGAAGATAGTTTTGGATAGCAATAAATTAGCTAAATGGTTGACTGGATGCCTTTGGCAGAGGCCTGCTTTTTTTGAGGGACACTATAATAAAGCATTGGGCTAGGAGGGCACTACATGTGTCTACAACTCATTCTCCACTATTCTGCCATCAAACTGAAAACAAATAAGAAAACAGATATGGGGTTTGGTTCTTCTAAAAGTAAGTCCAAATGTTTTTTAGATTCTCTTGGTAAGCAGAATAAAAAATTAGAATGAATGCTATAAAATTCTGAGTCAGTAAAAGTGAAAAATGATCAATTAACAAATAATGGCCTCCTACCATTTTCAGGAGCCTTCCCCAGCAGAATATATCTACAAATAGCATTACTCAATAGTACATTGATTATATAAAATAATTATACAAAATAAATTTTTCGTATCTTTAGAAAAAGTTACTGCAGTATCAAAAATTCTTAGGAGAAAAACATGTAAAGCCTAACAAGCAAGCATTAATTTAAATTTTATCTATTGTTCCCTGGTATTTAAATACCTACTTATTTAGATAAGAAAGCAAGCAATGGCAGAAGGTATAAAATTGAAGACTATCTAAAAGCCCCAAGCTAAAATGGGTTCAAGGTCAATAAATATATAAGAATTTTTAAATAATTGGATAAAACTAGAAACTATTAAAAGCAAATGGAGAATAGGAGAAAAAAGTTAGTAGACAAAATTAATTACGTATCCAAGTTAGGAAGTATCTTACCTCCATTGGACTAATAAATTCATTCATGCCTCTGTTGTAGACATAGATCATAGCATCATATAAACGATTTTCCCAACACATGAGAACTACCTGTGAAAAGGAAAAGCCACTTGGTCCATACAATTCAGTCACCAATTATTTTCCTTAATGCTTTAAGAATGGGAAAGGTCTTGAATGCTCTTCCCTAATTTTTCTTGTTTCTTCTCTGATAAAAACTGAAATTCAAGTACTCAAACACAATGCAAGGGTAAGAGCTGCTGTAGGTGAAATTACTACTTTTAATAGTACAACGCTTACTTTAAGACATTCACAGTGTCTAATTTTGTTTCTTCTCTATCCTTCCCCTTTCTATATTCATTTTACCTTTGATCAATAGTTCTACAAATATTTATTGAACACATATTCAGACCCTCTCATAGGCACTGGGAATAAAGTGTTAGATAAGATAAATCCAGACTTTGTCCCTACCCTTATAGAACTTACATTGATCTTGGACACCCAGCAAAAGGACGTAGGGGTACAAAATGGCGTGTGAGTTAAGACTTGGGGAAGATACTCAATTACACAAATAATTCATTATTTACAAATGTGGTAAGTGCTATTAACCTAACTGGTCTGGAGTATTCAAAAAGTCACCCCTAAAGGAACAACATTTAAGGTGGGACCTAAAGAATGGATATATGTGAGCCACAAGCAGAAGTGCCAGCTAGGAATTCTGTAGGAAGAAGCAAGAGTGAGGATGAAGGACCTAATGTGGAAGTGAGCTTGAAGTGCTTAAGGACAGAGAGAAATCAGAGAAAATATTTAGGAAGAGGACTAGATATGAGTTTGAGTATACAGTACTCTATATTCTGTCCCTATGACAGCTATATAATACTATAAACAGTGGCAAGAGGAGAAGGGCAGAAGTCGGCAAAGGAGAATGACAAGAGGGAGTGAGAGGTAAGAGGGAAAATGGAAGTGAGATGTGCTGGGAGAGTCTTTCTAGAAAAAGCCTGTTCTGGGACTCCTACGACTCCCTCTCTACCCCTCTCAGCCAGTACCATGATCATGCATCTCTTCACTGATGACTAACACATTTACAGCTTCAGCCCTAACCTCCCCTCTAACCCATACATATATCCAACTACTTAATTCGACATCTTCGCCTGAATGTCCAGTAGTGATCTCAAAATAAAATGGCCAACCAGAACTCCTGATTTGTCTCTCAAACTTAGACCTGCCTTAGTCTTGCAATCTTCTCAAAGGAATCACTCACTATTCACCCTGTTTCTCAAACCAAAAACTAGTCATCATCCTTAAATTCTCTCATTCCCACACTCTCACACCCTCATATCCCAATTCACCAGCAAATCAATTCTATCTCTAAAACATCCAAAATCAGGCCATCTCTCTTCATCTCACTGTTACCATCTCTGGCCAGAATCACCTCCTGGGCCAGCTTCCTAACTAGCCTCTTTGCTTCCTCTGCACTTGGCCCTCATCCCTGATTCTGTTACCCCTAAAGCACAGGGTGCTCTTGCTTAAAACTTTCTAATGATTTTTCATAGCATTTAGAATAAAATGGAAAGATCTATACCTTGCCCTGCAAGATCTACCTCTGTACCAAGCTCCAGATCCGCTTCCTTTTGAACACCCGAGACAAAAATCCTTTTTTTTTAAATGCTAGCTGTTGCTTTTACCTATAACAATCTTCTCTTCCAAGATCTTTGCATTACTGATTCCTTCTTGTCATTCAGCTCCCAAGACTCAATGCTGCCTCCTCAAAAAGACTATCTATAATTAGCCAATCTAAGGTAGCCTCACATTATCTCTTTACTATATTTCCCAGTTTGATTTTTAACATAATACTTGTATTGAAATACTTTCTGGATTTTTGTACATTAATCTGTTCATTGTCAAACTTTTCTGCTAAAATTTAGGCTTTATGAGAGGACAAGCCTTGTTCACTAGGGATACTGAAGCATCCTCAGAGCCTGACATTCAGTAAACACTTCTTGAATTAACGAACAAATGCTGTTAAAAGAGTAAATAAAATAAGGATTGAAAAATACCATTTGGTGTAGTGGACAAAGAGGCCATTGTTGACTCTAGTAAAAGTAAGATTGAAGAGTTAGGAAGTGGGGGAAAAAAATGAAAATAGCAACCTAGACAACGCTTTCAAGAAATCTAGCTGTGACTGGGAGGAGTGAGATAGGGCAGTAACCTAGGAGGAAAAAGGGGAGAAGTCTTGATATGGAGACATAAGAAACTGAGGGGAGCATTTTGAAATTGTTGTTTAACATTAAAAAGACTAGAGTATATTTACATGGTAGTGGGGAAAGACTGAAAATGTTATAAAGTATTATAAATAGAAGAAATTAAATTTTTTTCCTGTATGTGATAGGTAGGCAAAACTAGATGGACAACATGCTCTCAAGTCATCAGACCTATTGTAAGACTATGAAGACTATGCCAAATTAGCCATATAATACAAAGGCAGGTATAAAACAGGATCTGGCTTTACTTTGCAAACTCACAGCCATTCATAAAGAGCTTCCAGAAATAAAATAATCATTTTTCCAAACCCTTAATTTCTATGTGATTTTGCACACTTTCAAAAAACTTTTGGTCTAAGACTTTTGTTAGTCTTCCATATTCAAGCTCAAGAGGGCTTGGCACCTTTGCAGGAGTAACATGCTCATTATTAGGACTAATGTGGAATTAAAAAATCAAATTGTGGGCCAGGCTCAGTGGCTCACACCTATAATCTCAGCACTTTGGAAGGCCACGGCAGGCGAATCACTTGAAGTCAAAAGTTCGAGACCAGCCTGCCCAACATGGTGAAGCCCCGTCTCTACTAAAAATACAAAAATTAGCTGGGCACAGTAGCGTATGCCTTTAATCCCAGCTACTCTGAAGGCTGAGGCACAAGAATCGCTTCAACCCAGGAGGTTGCAGTGAACCAAGATCACGCCACTGTACTCCAGCCTGGGGGACAGAGCGAAACTCTGTCTTTAAAAAAAAAAAGAGAGTGGGGGGGGGGGGAGGAGGAGGGGGGGAGGAGGAGGGGGGGAGGAGGAGGAGCAGGAGGAGGAAAAAATAAATTGTGAAATGTCTTAGGCCAGAATAAATACTGCACCTCAATTAAGAAACTTATTTCAAGAAACTCAATTAAGATAACTTATTGTGAGAACCTCAGATACAGCGGAAGTATTTATCAAACAATGGCTGGCTATTCATGCTAAAAAGTTCTATAACTTGCCTGTTATATACCATGCTCTGTATTTCAAAACTCTGGACATACATACCAGCTCTTTTTTAAAATGGCATCATATTTTTCAAGGTAAAAATATTCTACAATTCATGAGAAAGCAGCCATAGTTGAAAGTCACTTGCTCGATGAAAATTATATTAGTGAACGAACAAGCTGATAAAGAGGGATCAGTTAACAAGCATTTATAGAGCAACTTCTAAATGTAAACTCTATACCAAGTGCTACTGGGGATGTGAAAGAAACAGAAGACAACATAATCCCTGACTTGCAAGGCAATTATATTCTAGCTTTCACTTAAATACAGTCCTAGGAAATATATTGACAAATACAAGTTTATAATACATCTTACAAAAAGTGCTCAATAAATAATTACGGTTCTTAGAAGGCAGGGTCAGGCCTGATCAGTGAAGTAAGTGTTATCAATAAAGGAATGAAGTTTATTTCATAAGTTAGTAGACTGTCTATAAACTCACCTGCTGAATATCTAGGCTGGTGATATCCATATGTACAATGAGCGCTTCCACATTTTCCATTAATTTTTTATCTTGGAAATGAACAATCAAGTCTTTCATTACTTGGGGTGTGATTCCCACCAATTTATCACTTAAAATATATGGCTCAAGGCACTCCAAAAATACTCCTTTGGCCACTGAATTCTCACTTAATTTATCATACATCTGACTAAATAAAAGATCCCTGTAACAGAAAGGGGGGGAGAAAAACTTTTAGGAACATGCCAAATATCCATTAAATTTAGTCTCCCAAATATATCTCATCTTTTCCCTACTTCAACTTACTCATGAGTTTATTTAAAATGGCAATAATATTCACAGAGTTTTATACTGCAAAAACTTTGTGTGTGTGTGTATATATATATATATATATATATACGTGTGTATATATACATATATATAAAATCTCAATTAATCCTCCCAACACTTCTTTAACAAATCAGAAAAGGTAAGATAAATTGTTTGCTAATAGTGACATATCTAACAAACAAAAGAGTCAGATTTTGAACCCAGCCTTCCGGCCTAAATCCTGTGCTCAGTCTATTGTGGCATATTGCTTCTTAAAGACAACACTGACATGGGAACAGATAATTGGGTGGACATCATGAAGTAGGAAAAAAACAAAAGGACTACTCATGATTTATCCTTCCCTCCTTCTTGGTATTTAAATATTCCTAGCTGACCTGCAGTCAATATGCTTCTTTGTCTAGCTATAACCCTTTGCATCCCAAAATGTTTGGCTAGTGATTATTCATGGAAGAAGAAGAAAAAAAATGTTTAATCCTTAAAATATAAACCTAGAAACAATTTTATTGCAGAAACAAAAATTGTTTTAAATTACTTTAAATGTCAACAACCTCGACAATGTTTATTTCATATTTCTGGAAACAACCCATAAATAATTTGAGTTATATTGACCACAGACAGAATTCGGAATTCTGTTTTCATACATTATATGATAAGCATTATTCTAAGTTGCTATTTATTCTTCAAAATTACCATTTTGTCTAACACAATACTTCAATATGCTGAAAAATCAGAATATACTTAAGTATTCCTGTACTGTTGGATATATTACTTATTTCCAGTATTTCAAGTGATACTACAATGAACATCTACATATAAAGCCTTTCCCATTTGAAGGGCTTAATTCCTAAATCAGTCAACTTTTAGAAATTTATCTTAAGTGAAAAGATATGAAAAAATCTGTGGCACTTGAAATGTGCTATGAAATTATCTTCAAAAAGCATCACAGCATCAATTGACACTGCCACCCACAATGTATAATCCTACCAGTTTCACCAGACAATTGCAAACTTGGTTTTTCTCCCCTGACAATTTAATAATTCTTTTATGACCAGCAAAATTGAATATTTTCCATGTTTTCATTTATAAATTGTATTGCCTTGTATCATTCACTTCTTTGTTCATTCTGTTTTTTAAAAAATACAAAAACTGTGTGAATTTTATTTACCTGTTGAGATTATTTACTTTTTCCTAAATGTGTAATTTCTTTATATGTATATCATGTCAATTGTAGAAAGTGGTAAATGGTTTATTTATTCACAGGTATGGTCTTTCATGACAAGTTCCACAAAAACATCAAGGAAGCTCCTGAAAGGACTAGGATGGGGTTTTGACTCATCTGAAGTCCTGGAAGGGGACAGATGGAAAACAGACTGGCTACAACTGCACCAGAACTCCACACCACCCTGCAATTAACAGCATTTGCAACATTCTAGGGAAAATCCACAGCCATTTATTTTTTTCTCAAATGCACAAATGTAATTTTACATCATTTTTCCCCTCCATTTCATATTTATCAAAATATTTTCATGTCAGTTTCATTTGAATCAATAATTCATCATATTTTTGTGATGACCGATTACTAGCCAAGCAAAACAAACAGAGATTAATGGAGTTTTACTGTAAGAAAGAAAAAGTAACAAGATAACCAATGATTCAAAGAAAATGTCAGATTTGGAAGCCCTTGTACTCTGTAATGTGTTGTTAAAAGGAACATGCTAAAAAAGATAATTATATATTTTAGTTTAGTACAAAAAGCCTTGGGGAGAGAATTAAAGAGAGCTAAAAATTCAGTAAAGGCTACAAAAGTTAACTAAGAAGGCACTCCTGTTTACAAACAGCATGTGATGCTGCTAAGATAAATGCAAAACCACACGTTTCTTTCTTAACCAATCAGAAGCTATAATATAAAGAAGCAAGAAAAATAAGGCTCAGCAACTCCTATTTGCATCTCTACCTTAAAATAAAATTTTTTTTATATTCAACGACAAATTCTCATCATTCTGGGAGAATACTTATTAGTGCATCAGGAAAGAGGGGAGATAGAAAAGTACATACAGGCTAGGCCGGGTGCAGTGGCTCATGCCTGTAATCCCAGCTCTTCGGGAGGCCAAGGCAGGCAGATCACTTGAGGTCAGGAGTTTGACACCAGCCTGGCCAACCTGGGGAAACCCCGTCTCTACTAAAAATACAAAAATTAGCTGCGTATGGTGGCACGCGCCTGTAATCCTGGCTACTCAGGAGGCTGAGGCAGGAGAATTGCTTGAACCCAGGAGACAGAGGTTGCAGTGAGCCGAGATCGACTCCAGCCTGGGCAACTGAGCGAAACTCTATCTCAAAATAAAATTAAAAAAAAGACAAGTACATACAAAAATTTGTAGCTCTCATATTTTTTTCTATATTTAGGCACTATTCTCCAGGGTGCTATCTTTGTTTCCTAGAAGGGCTGACTTCAAAATTGATGTTTACCATTTCAAGCTTAGCCTCCCTATGGCCAGTGTAACAGAAAATCGATCATGAATAATAGAGGACCAAAGAGATATTTCTACAAACTTCACTTTATAACAGTACTCACATTAAAGGTATTTTTGAAGTTTATCATTTATAACTTCAAAAAGAGGACAACTGTTAAATTTACTTTGTACATTATCGATTTCATAATTTTTTAAATGTGAAGAGCTGCTTTGGTTATAAGAAATTACAAATTTAGAAGTATGTGAAGGGGAACAAGGGCATCAATCCTAACCCTTGCCAATCCATACTAAATATATAACCAGAACCAAACAAGTAAATTCCCACCAAATACAAGTGGTATTTAATATATCCAAAGTTGATGTGGGCTGGTTTCCTTATTTATAAAAGCAAAAGCAAAATTCAAATGAATTTTAACAAATTATGTTCAAAATGCTCTATTTTTTGATACAAGTACCACAGTTCGTAAAGATTTCCTTTAAAAAGGCATGTGGTGATACTTACACAGCTGTGAATACACTAAAAACTACTGAATTGTATACTTTAAAAGGGTGAATTTTATGGTATGTGAATTATATCTCAATATAGCTATTATAAAATTAAAAACGCCTTTTTTCCCCCAGCTTTGATATTAGGTTGGTACAAAAGTAATTGCAGTTTTTGCCATTACTTTTAATGATGAAATTTGCAATTACTTTTGCACCACCCTAATAAAATTTTAAACATCCAGTTCCTCAACAAGTCTTGATAATTAAGATCTTTTTGTTTCTCAAACAATAGTCCTGATGTTGAACAACATGAGTGAACAAATTAAAAGACTACTTCAAGTTCACTTTGGATTTAACAGAAACATTTTTGGTTCAGATGCATACATAACACAAGCCATTGGAACGATGGCTTCTTAACAACTGTGGATATTCCTTACAGTGATATAAACTCAAAGTCGTCGGTATCATCCATATAGAGCACCCATTTTGCTTTTTTTTAAAATAACTGCTTTATTGCTATATAATTCACATATAATCACATAACCCTATTTTTAAACAACGTTCAAAATTATAATTATGGTTTACATAAACTCTGGATCTATTTTCAAAGTAAAACTGACATTAGGGCTACCCATATATATGCTAACATATAGCCTATATTTTGCATAGGTAAAATGACAAATCAGAAGTATTCACAAAAAGCCTTAAGACATTGTGTCTTTTGTCTAATACTGAAAAAAAAATACACAAAACCAAATTGAAATGAAATTGTGGAACAGAGACCAAATTATGAAAATAAAGTATAAGTCTTCAAAAACAGAATTCCTGTCATTTCTGATATTAAGTAATTTACAAAAGACTCTAATGCCAAATTTTAACCAAGAAAGATGTCCATAATACACTGAGTAGTATGCCCTACAGAGAAAAACAAATGTGATTACTGTGACATAGTAAAAATGATTTTACATTATAAAAGTGTTATTAAATATAAATAGGAATACATATATCCACTAGCTTAATTAATATTACTGATGGGTACTGAATTATCTGAGTTATGAAACTATGAGGTAACAGTGATTATAGTGTAATAATGGTTGTGCCACTAAGTTAAAATTAATTTCAGAGCATGTATTATGTTTATAATTTCACCCACCTAAGAAACAATATAATATGTGAAAATAAAAGGACTGCCTATAAAAACAACATACTCAATCAGAAGACATTAATATAAAAGGAATCTGGGGAACAGGATTGAGTGAGTAATGAATCTAGAAGTGGAAGAAGTTACCTGAAATTGGCTAGCTGAGTACTAGATGACATTTTGTAAGACTGTGTTTGTATTATGCAAAATCTGAGCATTCCTTAAAGCAATGTTAATGTCACAGATATTTTGCTAATTTGGAAATGCAGAAGAGAAGACCTTAGACATAAATAGGACCAAATGTCAAAAAGGATAGTATAAAGAGAGGATCCAGTTTAAGGAGAAAAAATACTATGCTGGGATGAAGCTACTTACATCTGACAATCCTCCGCTACAATTTAGCATAGGGAACTGACCATTTTTAACCTTATTATCTATGGCAACTCTAAGAAAAAAATTTTTAAAACTCTACCATTTAAGTGGTTAGACTGAACTATTTAATTAAACATAGAATTCTTGTATCTAATAAATCTTTAGTCATTGCATGTTTGAAATAGAAGGGAAGTGAAAGATGGCCTAGATGCAAACAATTAAAGTTGATCAAACGGCTTATTCAATCTTTCCTTCTAAGTTCAGGCCCATATATAGAAGAATCTTAACATTCTGATGAAAAAGAAAAGCCAGTATGGTGAGAAGCAAACAAGCACAACACAGACCTAGAACAAAAGAGGGAGCGTTTGACCCAATGCCTAGTTTCACAGCCCCGACCTTTCTTACATCTCTAGGAATGCTGCCCTCCCGCTTTTTCTCCTATTAGAATAGAACCCAAAGAGTAGAATTAGGGAAAGAGACAAGGAGGGAAAGAAAGACAATAAGAACACACATGCTGGAACTTCTCCCAAGCAGAGGCAGGATCTAGTACAATCTAGTCTTCGGTGTTAGAAAACAGAATTGAGAGAAAGGGAAGCCATCCATACGCTCTTTGTACTATGGTCCAGGGAAAATGTCCATGGCCTTGACCTAAGAGTGTGTATGTAAGAGCAGGAGGAGGAAGAAAGAAAAGAGGTATGAAAAGCACCAGGAAGAGCTGAACTGAGGAAGGATTCTCTTCCTCTTGGAGGTGAGGAGTATATACTATGACTGCTGTTCCTGTTATTTCTGAGATCTCCAACAACAAATATTGTATTTGTTTCTGACACAATACAGAGAAAGCATGCTAAGGAATCAGGAAAAATTATAGGAAAGAAGTTGACAAAAATAAAGAAATAATAAATGGATCCTAATTTGGTGAAAATCTAGACCAGATTTTATCTTCTATGTTATATGCTGTGGTTCAATACAGAAATTATTGCATTCTCAGACAGTCAATAGGTGAAATAAATGTTAGAGAATATTTCCTTTCCAAATCATATAAAAAAGAAAAGCTTATCTCCAGAATATTTTAGGGAATAACAAAATATTCTGGAAAAACATAATCAATTTTTTTCCCTATATAATCTTTCATCTTACAACTGTTAGGCCCACTTCAACTTTATGTCACTGTGACAGTATTCTAGTATTCAAGATAATGATCACAAGTCACCCTGCAAACCAGGAGGCAGAATTACTTCATCAGTTCAACCATCAGGTATTGGATAGCTATATTGTGTCAGGTATCATTCTAGGTAGAAATAGTCCATTTTATAAAAATAAGCCGTTTTACTCTAAATAAAATTTAGTCCTTCAGGCACTTCACTTCATCTCATTTATAAATTATCTCAATTTGAATATCAGAGTTGATTCCAGTACTTATTAGTACTAGAAATACCTCTACACCTCCACTTCCTCATCTGAAAATGAGGATAACATTTTCTCTCTTTACACTGTATTTATGAGGGTTAAGTAGAATATGTAAAACTGATTCATAACCTATTAAGGCTGCTTTAAAAATACAGGACATATAACAAGGAATTGAGTGTGAAAGTGAGGTAAAGAGAAAACTAATTTAGAAAAAGATAGGGTCAGGTTAGCAGACATATCATGGCGCTTTGCTTTCTAGGAAACAATGATTAACTACACAATCACTGTCCATCAGCTAAAAGTCAACTAGCTATTCAAGAGACACAAAGGTATTTGTGGCCCTAACACCGGAAAGAAATTTCTCCCGTAGGCCCTCATAAAGCAGACCATGTGTAATATAAAGTAATGTTCTTGGCCGGGTGCGGCGGCTCATGCCTGTAATCCCAGCACTCTGAGAGGCTGAGGCGGGTGGATCATGAAGGTCAGGAGATCCAGACCATCCTGGCTAACACGGTGAAACCCTGTCTCTACTAAAAATACAAAAAATTAGCCGGGCATGGTGGCGGGCGCCTGTAGTCCCAGCTACCTGGGAGGCTGAGGCAGGAGAATGGCGTGAACCCAGGAGGCAGAGCTTGCAGTGAGCTGAGATCACGCCACTGCACTCCAGCCTGGGCGACAGAGCGAGATTCTGTCTCCAAAAAAAAAAAAAAAAGTAATGTTCTCAACAAGATCCCTACTGTAAACACGATGTGTTTTGCTAATTACGTAACACTAGAGTTAAAACACTGGAATAAATTTGAGCCCCAAGTAAGCAGAACTTACTATATAGCTATCTATGACTTCATCAAAGGTCTGACATAGCAAATTACTGCCCTCTTGACAATCTTTACTGATGCTTCAAAGTATGACCCAACCTTTTCTGAATCAGGCTACTAGAATTTACATAAATTCATGAACCAAGTCATGCTGCATAGGGTTTTGGGAGCATCTACATTAAATCTTCACATTTGTTCTCTATCACTTACAAAGTGGTACAAGCTAGTGGTTAAAACCAAGAACACAGGAGCTAGACTCATGCATTTGAATCCCACCTTTGCCACCAAAAGCTGTGGGACTGAGTTTTGGCAAGTAACTTAATCACTTTCTGGCTTTGGCACATCTTATATAAAATGTGGATGATAATAATCCCTACCTCACTGTTATAAAAATAAATTGCTACAAAAATTAGATAAATTAATGTAAAGCGTTTAGAACAATACCTGGTTATCATTATTAGTGTGGAAAAAAAAAAGAAAAAAAAAACCCTGTGCATTAGCACAGGTTGGTTGGTTTATTTTTTATTTTATTTATTCTTGAGATAGGATCTTGCTCTGTCACCCAGGCTGGAGTACAGTGGTGCAATCATGGCTTGCTGCAGCCTTGACTTCCTGCGCTCAAACGATCCTCCCACCTCAGCCTCCTGAGTAGCTGAGACCACAAGCACATGCTACTATGCCCAACTAATTTTTTAAAAATTTACTTGTAGAGACAAGGTCTCCCTATATTACCCAGGCTGGTCTCAAACTCCTGGGCTCAAGGAATCCTCCCACCTCGGCCTCCCACAGTGCTGGGATCACAGGGGTAAGCCAGCACGTCCAGCCAGGTTGGCTAGTTTATATAGTTACAATTTAAACTAACAAAGCCTAATCAAGAGTTTATTTATACTGATTTATTTTAAACAAACAAACAAAAAATAGTACTGCATAAGCACAATGAATCTAGCCTTTTTTGAATAGTATAAAATACTATGTTCTAGTGATGGTTCATAAAAGCATATATACCAGGCCAGGCATGGTGGCTCACGCCTGTACTCCCAGCACTTCAGGAGGCTGAGGCGGGTGGATCACAAAGTCAGGAGTTTGAGACCAGCCTGGCCAACATGGTGAAACCCCGTCTCTATTAAAGATACAAAAAATTAGCCGGGTGTGGCAGTGCATGCCTGTAATACCAGCTACTAGGGAGGCTGAGGCAGGAGAATCTCTTGAACCCGGGAGGCGGAGGTTGCAGTGAGCTGAGATCGCACCATTGCACTCCAGCCTGGGTGACAGGGCGAGATTCCGTCTCAAAAAAAAAAAAGTATATATACCAAAAAAAGAAGAATGTGTGTGTGTGTGTATACATATGTGTGTGTGTATATGTGTATGTGTGTGTGTATATATATATGTGTGTGTATATATGCGTGTGTGTGTGTATATATATATACATATAATGAATCATACACTTTTTACTTTTAAAACCCCTAAGTAGTATTGCTCTTTTGCTAGTTACGTTCTTTATCTCCAATATCCTGCCACACAGACAAATAAATGATATATCCATAGCATCTGTCTTAGGGAAGTTAATTTTATTAGGTAAATGAACTGAAAACTGTTAAAGAATCAAATTTCTATAAATTAATATTTTTAAATCTATTCAGTCAAATTCATAGAATTCTTAGCAATGGCTTATACATAAGAGGCTACCTGGGTTCAAAATAATTGAATGTGACAGGCAACGCATACTCACTTTCGCTGCAGCAGAAGGCAGTAATCAACTATGACAGGCACCATATCCTGTAGAGGAACCATAAAGAAAGCATCAGCCCCACAACCCTGTCCAGTGGTCCACTGATAATGACAGGTCTGCTTAAGATGCTTTTAGATTGTTAGGAGGATATAACTTCATATCATGCTTTTGGTAAGCAATTTGGCATTATGTGTCAAAGTCTGAAAAACAGAACATTTTGACCTAGTAATTCTATTTCTGGAAATGTACCCTAAATATGTTTAAGAATAAAAATTATTTTAATGCATTAAGGTGTTCACTGCATCTTTCTAACAGAGGGAGCAGAAGAAGGAGGGGAAGGGAAAATGGGAAAGAAAAAAAAAGAAATATGAATTACATTCAACAACATGGGAAAATAAGTAAATTTTGTTATTTAAGTAAAACACTACATATATCTTACAAGCTTATCAAGAGTTTACAATATCATTAAAACAAATACTAGGTGAAAATATGCATTCGTCTCACAGATCTGTAAAGAAAACTCGCAAAAAAAAGAAAACCATAAGCAAATAAATCAAATTGATAACGGGATACAGTTGGTCCTGCTGGTGGCTCAGGTGATTTAGGTTGCCCATATTTTGTCACAATCCTCCAAACCTGCTATTGTAACGTTGATTTAACTTCTCAGTTTCATAATATTTTTATTGCTTTAAATTCATCATGTACACACACGTATCAAGTAAATGATAATCCATAATTTTGACCCTTTTCAATGGAAAGAGTCTGAGGGAGAAACAGTAGCTTATTATGACTGGAAATTGTCAAGTAACCAAGCATCAAACTTCGGCAGTATTCTTTCCTTTTCTGCTGACTACAGGGAAATGGTTTCCCTTTAAAAATCCTGGAAGGGTTATGTTCTGGGCAGAAATCTCATCAGGAGGGAGAAGGCACTACGTGAAAAAGAGCTCCACATACTAACACCTGTCTGATAAAAAGGTCAAAACTAAGGAACTCTTATTATTTGAGAGAGAGGTGACTAAAGAAGGACCTACAATCCTAAAAGGATTATAGGGCTATCCCTGATCCATCCTGCTTCCTTTACTTATGAATATTATTCATGACTACATGTAGATTTGATTCTTCAAAAACAGGAGGTAAAATGATAGATTTGAAAAGTGTTAGAGCTACAGCAAATCTCAACCCTGACTGAGAATACAGTGGGCTAGGTAATGGGGAGTTGGTGGCAGGAGGACTTCCCTAGAAATGCTAGAGAAAATAAACATCTTTTAAAATACATAGCTGAGCTCCTAAGATAGTAAGGGCAATACCCAGGTCCAAAAGTGAAAAGGGAACTGAAAACCAAAGCAGTAAGTTCCAAGCTGTTACCAATCCTATCGTGTAGGTTTGCTGGTCACAGAAGAGCTTGGGTTTTAATGCCAGAAAGAAGCTGAGGTCTCAAACCCTTTTAACAGAGGGAAATGAAGCAGAGGACCTGCCTAAAACTGGGATTCTTAAAAAGCCACATCCTCAATGAAAGGAAATTAGAAAAAAAAAATCTGCCTGTTAGCATAGGAAGATGACAAGGAAGTTTGTCTGTCTTAGCCTGGGCTCAGAGGGGGTAAATTTATACTCACCAAGAATCTGTAATCAAGACCCTGTCTACAGGTAGAGCTGGGATTTGAATTTATACTATCTCCTTAGTATGAGAACAACTGAGCCAAGAGGTTCACATAAAAAGTGATCCTGAAAATACTATGCAGCCATAAAAAAGGATGAGTTCATGTCCTTTGCAGGGACATGGATGAAGCTGGAAACCATCATTCTGAGCAAACTATCACAAGGACAGAAAACCAAACACCGCATGTTCTCACTCATAGGTGGGAACTGAACAATGAGAACACTTGGACACAGGGCGCGGAACACCACACACCAGGGTCTGTCGGCGGGTCGGGGGCTGGGGGAGGGATAGCATTGGGAGATGTACCTAATGTAAATGACGAGCTGATGGGTGTAGCACACCAACATGGCACATGTATACATATGTAACAAACCTGCACGTTGTGCACATGTACCCTAGAACTTAAAGTATAAAAAAAAGTGATCCTGAAAAAGGATACTCCTCAGATACTTGAAAGAAGCAAGTTCAAAAACTCCCCAGAGATCACCCTAAACACAGGCAAAATAGCTACTGATAAAGTCCTACTGAATATGTGCTCAAAATAAAAAATTTGAAAACACTTCATTAAATAATGTACCATACAAGAATGTCTGGAGGAACTATAAAGGGCAGTAGTATACCCCAAGACTTCAAATAATATAATTATCAGGTAGAAACTATATTTTAAAGTATATTTAAAATAATTAAGGGCATAAAATAAGGAATTAAGTGCCTGGCCTGGTACTAAGTACTATGGATATACTGTAGGGCTTAATGGAGTGTGAAATCATCAGATTCATACATTTAGACAGATCACTATGGTGACTGTAGGGTGGGGGCATCTGAAAAACCAAGACTGGAAACCAAGGCTATTACAGTCATCAAAGAAAAAAAATGGTGGACTAAACTAGAGTACTGACAACAGGTATAAAGAACCGTGGACAAAATTATTTATAACTATAGGGTTTGGTGACAGATTGATCATGGTTTGGAAGGCATTGAGAGGAGTCTATAATTCCTAGGTTTCTGGTTTAAGTGATGGTTGAATGAAGAGGTCACAAGATGACATAAGAAATGTGGGAAGAGGTGTTAGAAGGAAGAAGTTAAGTACAATCTGGTCCACAGCAGATCTGAGGAACACCTTCACTTTGATGTTGAATAACAAGAAATTGAGTATAGTAATCTGAAACATCTGGGTTAGAATTACAGATTTCTAAGTTATCAGAGGAAACAATGAATAGAAATAAAATTGTCCAAGGACAATAGAGTGAGATGAAAAGCAGTCACAAAGGGACTACATTTTGAGGAAGACCAATATTTATGAAATGGTCAGAGGATAGAAACAAACTGATTCAGGAAAAGTCACTGGGGTTTAAAATCAGAAGGGCACACAGTCACAGATATCTACAGGATATAGGCTTTCAAGAAGGAAGAACTAATCATTGCTATTTAATACAGAATTGAGAATGAACAAGATCTGAAAAATATTTATTGCGTTTAGCAATTTGGATATAATTGGTGTTTTTAGTTAAGGTGTTTTATCTTCCTGATTAGAACTGACAAACTTCTAGCAAGACTGACAAAGAATAAGAGAAAACATCAGGAATGAAGCAGAGGATATCATTATAGACATTGACAACATCAAAAGGATAATAAGGGAATACTATGAAAATTCTACACACATAAATTTGACAATTTACATGAAGTGCACCAATTTCTCAAAAAACACAACTATCAAAACTCACTTAACATGAAACAGCTCATTTGAATACCCCTATAGTTATTAAGGAAATTGAATTCATAACTTAAAATCCCCCAAAAATAAATCTCCATGTTTAGATGGTTTCACTAGAGAATTGTACCAAACATTTAAAAAGTATGAAAACAAATCCTATACAATCCCTTCCACAAAACAGAAAAGGAGCAAACATTTCTCAATTCATTTTGTTAAGTTAGTATTACCCTGATACAAAAACCTGAAAAGCCATTACAAAAAAAACTACAGACCAATGTTCTTCATAAAGATGTAAAAGTCCTTCACAAAATATTAGGAATGATAATTCACAATTACATAAAAAGAATTATACCTCATGACCAAGTGAGGTTTATTCCAGGATGCAAGACTGGTTCAATATTCAAAAACCAATCATTACGATATGCCATGCCAATAGCCTAAAGAAAAAAAATCACATGATCATATTAATTACATAGAAAAAGCAACTGACAAAATTCAATATCCATTCATGAAAACCCTCTTAGAAAAACTGTAATAGAGGGGAACTTCCTCAACTTGATAAGAAGTAACTACAAAAAATCTACAGCTAATATTATACTTCATAGTGAAAAATCAAATGTTTTTACCCTAAGACTGGGAACAAGGCAAGGATGTCTGCTCTCACCTCTCTTCAATACAATGCTGAAGTTTTAGCCTATGCAATAGGCAAGAAAAGGAAAAAAATAGCACACAGATTGGGAAAGAAAAAAAAAAACTGTCTCTGTTGGCAGATGACATGAGTGTCCACATAGAATATCCCAAGGAATCTACAAAAAGCATTCTAGAATTAATAAATGAGTTCTACAAGATTGCAGAATATAAAATAAACATTCCATATGCCATTACTGAACATATGAATACCAAAATTAGAAATTCAATACCATTTAAAACTGCTAAGAAAAAAAGAAATATTAGGCGTAAATCTAAAAAACCATGTATAGCACCTGTATACTAAAAATTACAAAAAAAGTGAAATAAATGGAAAAACTAGGAAACTCAGCATAGTAAAAATATCAGTTCTCCTCAAACTGATGTGTTTAATGTAATTTATATCAAAATTCCCACAAGATTTTTCATAGATATAGACGAGATTATTCTAAAATTTATATGGAGAGTCAAAGAAATTGGAATAGTTGAAGCAATTTTCATAAAGGAGGAGGAATCGGTCTACCCAATTTCAAGACTTACACAGCTACAGTTATCAAGATTATGTGGTACTGGCAGTGGGATAGGCACACGGATCAATGGAACAAAATAGAAAACCTAGAATTAGATTCACTATATAAGCCCAGCTGATTTTTGACAAAGCTGGTAAAGCAACTGAGTGGAGGAAAGAAGGAAAGTATTGCCTTTTCAACAAATAATGCTGCAATTAGGTATCTATACACACACACAAAGGAACTTCGACCTCAGTCTCATATCTTATGTAAAAATTAACTCAAAATAGATCACACATTTAAGTTACACACAAAACTGTTAAAACTTCCAGAAAAAAACATAGGAGAAAATCTTCAGGATCTTAGGCTAGGCAAAGAGTTCTGAGACTTGATTTCAAAAGCACAATCATACAAGGAAAAGCTGATAAATTGGATTTCATCACAATTAAAACCTTTGGTTTGCAAAAGATCCTGTTAAGAAGGATGAAAAGAAAGCTACAAACTGGGAGAACCAAGTCCAATAACGGACTAGTGCCTTGAATATATTAAAACCCTAAAAATTCAACAGTATGATGAGAAACAATCCAGTTAGAAGAGAGGCAAAACCCATGCAGAAACATTTCACAAAAGAAGATATACATGTGGCAAATAAACACATGAAAAGATGTTTAACATCATTAGTCATTAGGGAAATGCAAATTAAAGCCACAATGAGATACCATTATGCACCTACCAGAATAGCTAAAATAAAACAGTGACTTCATCAAATGCTGGATGTAGACTAGAAACTGGATCACTTACACACTGCTAGGGGAATGCGAAATGGTACTGGCATTCTGGAAAACTATTTGGCAGTTTCTTTTAAAATTAAACATTCAACTATCATATGATCCAACAATTGTAAACCTGGACATTTCTCCTAGAGAAAAGAAGACATGTTCACACAGCAACATATACAGAAATGTTTAGAGCCACTTTATTTTTAACAGCCCCAAACTGGAAACAACCCAGATATTCTTCAACCGGTAAAATTGTTAATCAAACTGTGGCTCATCCATACTATGGAATACTACCCAGCAATAAAATGCAACCAACTACTGATATGTGCAACAACCTGGGTGAATCACTAAGGAATTATTATGCTGAGTTTAAAGAGTCAGTCCCAAAAGGTTACACACTCTATGATTCCATTTATATAGCATTATTGAAATTATAATTTATAGAGATGAGGAACAGACTACTGGGTATCAGAGGTTAAGGAGGGGGTGGGAGCAGAAGAGAAGTGGGTGTGGCTATAAAAGGGTAAAATGAGGGATCCATGTGGTGATGAAAATGTTCTGTATCTTTACCTTATCAATATCAATATCCTGGTTATGCGACTGTACCATAGTTTCATGAGATGTTCTCTTATTGGGGAAAATTGGTTTAAGGGTATGGGATCACTTTGCATTATTTCTTGCAACTGAGTATGAATTTACAAATATCACAAAATCACTAATTTTAAAAAAACCAAATACACATACTTTTTATGCCTGCCACTAACTGTTCCTAACTCAATTAAGGCAAAACCATCCAAATTAACACTTTCAATCTGGCTTCTTAAAGAAGCCAGGTCTTTATCAATTTAGAACATTTAAAACCATAAGTAAAACAGAGTATTAGTTAAAGCCAAATCTATTTCCATATTTTAAGCTTTGCTTCCCAGAATCAGATTACAGAGAGACAAACTATATTGTCCAGTGGATAATCCCTGATGGCAATCTCTTAGATGCCTGAAAATGAGCTAAGTGGGATCAGTAGCTCTCCATCTCCCAACTGGCAAGGGCTACACAAAGACTCAACTTCCTACAGAATCCTCACAGAGTTGCCTTGCTCCACAGAGCTGGGCAGCTGGCATTTCCCGGACTAGTAAACAACCACCTGGAGTAGCTGGTGCCCAAGCTCAGATAATATCCCTCTAAACTCATTTGGAAGGCTCCTCTCATGAGAGCCCTGAAAGAAAGCAGAATGGGAAAGAACAAGTCCTTCTCTTGCAGCAAAGCCCTCAGTTCATACAGCCAGACCTGGTCTACATATGCCTCTCTACAGGATGCTGACAGATTAAGGGCTTTCGAGATAGACACTGTGAGCAATACCTGCTTTAAGAATATTAAGAATATTCTACTCAGTCTCAAAAGCTTGCAGGATGCAAGAAATCACTGAATTTGGGGTCTCCAAAATTAAAAAAAAGAAAACAAGTAACTATTTCTCTAATCTCTTCTTCAATGTATGGGCTATAATGGGCCAAAAAAGACTGCTTCTCTTGTCGGATATTCATGTATATTTAAGATGTATTAAAGAAGGCAATGTGGATATACAAATAAAAAACTGAGCTGACAGATAACCTAAATTTGAGCCTGTCAATGGTTTGAGTGACTGAATAAATCATTTTATTGCATTGTGACTATCTTACCATCTGTGAAGTGAAGACATAATCTCTGGTTTTCCCTATTTCATGGGATGATTTGAAAAGAAATAACAGATGCAGATTCCTTTGCTTTTTGGAGCGATGGTACTAATTCTCTTAATTTATATTCTAAAAGACTATCAGATAAGGAAAACTTGACTGTGTGAAAATGATTCAAAATTATATATACATACATATGTATACACGCATACACCAAAACAGATAAACATATCTATCTACACACAGATATACACACACAGATAAATCTCCACAGGCTACCAGAGCTAGGCAGCTGGTATCCCCAGGATTGGTATACAAACATCCCAAACAGCAATATAGATTAGATTATCTCTCTGCATGTATATGTGTGTATGTATTTTTCTTTTCTTCTTTCAGGTATGATGATAAAATAATCTAGGAAAGACCTGACTCCTCAGAACCAGCACTTTAATCAAGCCTCAGGGATAGGGCAATGTGCTAGACATCAACACTCTTTTCCTCTCCTCAAATCTTCTCAGAGGAGGTATGGGTTAGACAAGGAAAGCTCCTACTGCCTCGCTCTGTGTTTGGCTTGTAGTCACTGTCCACTCTTTGACATTACCTCTTAATGCAAAAATATATGCCTACAGCTGCTACAAAAATAGCCTTGAATTATCTGACCCTCATAGAAATGTGAAATGAAGCTGGAAGGAGAGCTTAGTAACGATTAACATAAGGCTTCATTAAGATCTTTTAGGTTAGGCGCAGTGGCTCACACCTGTAATCCCGGCACTTTAGGAGGCCGAGGCGGGTGGATCATGAGGTCAGAAGTTTGAGACCAGCCTGGCCAACATGGCGAAACCCCATCTCCACTAAAAGTACAAAAATTAGCTGGGTGTGGTGGCGGGCACCTGTAATCCCAGCTGCTCAGGAGGCTGAGGCAGGAAAATAGCTTGAACCCGGGAGGCAGAGGTTGCAGTGAGCCGAGATCATGCCACTGCACTCCAATCTGGAGGACAAGAGTGAGACTCCATCTCAAAAAAAAAAAGGGTCTTTTAAAATTATATTATTTTTCAAATCCTTTAAGCTTGATTCACATTACAGCATTAAAATGCCTCATTATTTATACCTCTACGTTGTTTCAAAAACAAATAAAAACACATATATTAAGCATAGCAAAATAAAATAACCCAAAATACTGTTTCCACAGTTAACTGATTAGCAGTGGTTTCTTAGTTTGAAAACACTGCTAGCAACTCAAATCAGTCAATTGTTCAGGTATATTTACCATGGTTATGCTAAAATTCATTTGTATTTTCTTTTTCATATATTTCAATATCCTCCCAAAACTCATAAATTACTTAGTCCTCTCTGTTTCAAAGTGAGTTACATAACAACACATTGGTCTGAGATTATCAAAGAATAAACTGTGGGATGAAACATAGTACAGTACAGGGTCGAGGCTCCTGAGCCAGGCAGCCTGGGTGTGTATCTATGGTGGTTCTATTCACCGGTTCAATGATATTGGGCAAGTTACTCAACCCCTTTGTGTGTCTATTTCCTCTGGAAAATGGAGGTAAATAATAAGCACTCCTCAAGTACGTTATAAGGACTAAATAAGATAGCCATCAGGCATACAGCACACCACATGAGCCATCATTATGACATATGTGTTGCAAATACTAAGTCCTACATTTGGTTCTTAGCTCAAACCTCTTAAATTGAAAGCATGCTTTCAAAGCAAGCTCTACAACATAAGTTCATATATTTTTAAAAATTCTCTCAACAACTATTTATCAAGGACACTGAACCAGATGCTGGGCATACGGCAATGACAAAAAACAGACATGTTCCTAAACTTACACAGGTCCCTAAACATACATAGGCTAGCTGCAGAAAACTGACATTGAATGAGTGACTTCAGTGCATAGTATTTTAGAAAGAAATGGATCTGAGTTAATCTGGGGGACAATTACACTGAGACCTGAAAATAAACAGAGCTAGTTGAGCTACAAAGAAATGAGAAAGGATTTTTTATGCAGAGAGAACACTGTGCACAAAGGCTCTGGGTAAAGAGAGAACAGGGATGTTAAGACACTGGAAAGAACTCTAGTATAACAGCAATACAGAGAATTAGGAGCAGTTAGGCAAGCGTAGACCATGCAGAGCCTTAGAAAATGTTAGGGAATTTAGTCTCTACCTCAGAAACAATAGGAAGTCCTTAAAATATTTTAAAATTAGGAAAGCATCATATCTAGATTTGATATACATTTCTCTTTGGCTGCTGTGTAGAAAATGAAATGAAGTACAGTAAGAATGTGTACAAAGAGATCGATTTGGAGAATTCTATAATATACCAAGAGGGAAATGATGGGCACTTAGACTAGGATAGTGGCAGAATTAACAGCATGGTGGAAACAGATGAGAGAAACTGTCAGGAGGCAGAATAGCCAGGAACAAGTAAAAGACAAGAATCACCCAATTTGCATTAGGTGCATGGTGGATCCACTCACTAACACAGGAATCCTCAGAAAAGGCTTTGTGAGGAAACAGAGTCTGAGGTACCTACAAAACATCCAAGCAGAAATGTAAATGGGCAACTTACTCTATAGACCTCAGAATTCAGAAGAGCAATCTAGGTTGTTAACACTGGTTAGATAGCCATGTGCCTATATCACCTAGGGAAGAATGTAAAGCAGTGATTTGTAAACTTTAATGTGCTTAAGGGACATCTTGAAAGCTGACTACAAATCCTGGTCACCAATCCCAGAGAGTCTGATTCAGTAGGCCTGGGAAATTAAAAAAAAAAAAGCATTTTTAACAAATATCTTCAAATGATTTTGAAGTAAATGGTACACAGACATCTTGACAAACATTGATATAAAAATAGAAGGGTATTGTGAAGAATCCTAACATTTCTTGGTTAAGTAAAGAAAAGGAAGAAGAATAAACAAAGAGAATCAATAAGCAGTCAGAGAGGTAGGGAAAAAACTGGAATGCATGATATCAGGGAAGCCAAAAATGGACAGACTATTTCAAGAAGTCTTCATGTGCTGAATGCTGCTGAGGACCAGTAAGATGAGAAATAAAAGGGTCCACAGAATTTATAGACATGGAATAGGTTAAGGGATGAGAAGGAGGTAAGGAAATGGAGACAACTCTTTTTTTTTTTTTTGAGACAGGGTCTTGCTCTGTCACCCAGGTTGGAGTGCAGTGCCGTGATCTTGGCTCAGTGCAACCTCAACCTCCCGGGCTCAAGTGAACCTCCCACCTCAGCCTCCAGAGTAGCTGGGACTATAGCTGTGCACCACCATTCCCAGCTAATTTTTTTTTTTTTTTTTTGTAGAGACAAGGTTTCACTATGTTGCCAAGGCTGTCTCAAACTCCTGAGCTCAAGTGATCCACCCGCCTCAGCCTCCCAAAATGCTGAGATTGTAGGTGTGAGCCATCATCCCTGGCCAGAGACAGCTCTTGTAAGATGTCTGGCTCTATAAAGAATGGGTGAACAAGAAAGCATAGGATATTAGAGACGGCGTGAGGCAAACAAAAGAATTTGTTTGCTGCTTGACTTAGTTTTAGGGTGGGAAACACTTGAACATATATAAACGCATATGAGGAAAGCCAGAAGAAAAGGCAAGTCTCAAGATGTATGAGACAGAAAACACTGTAATTCCTTTTTATCCTACCATAATAATTATGATACAAATAAATTATAATTATAGGTTGAAATCTTTTCTCAGATAAATAAAAGCCACAACCTGTCCAAAATGTGACAAGATCCAAAAGTTATTTTCTATAACTAAGACAGGACAAATATTGATTGATCTTTGGAGAAAAGCAAAAATAGTGAATAGCCTTACATATTCTGACTCTAAGGAAAAGGTGAGGTTCCTCACCAAGGGTAAAGATTAAAATTGAGGCAGCAGGCAGGAGGTGCCACCTGCTGGTAAAACACAAATTCTCAGTATTTTGACTGTGACAGAGATCAGTCTTAATAGGAATTTCAACTAACCGAATTAGAGGTTACTTATGTCTCCAATAATAGCTTCTTGAGACAGATACAGAATCTGAGACCTTCCCACTGAGCAAAAAAAAAAAAAAAAAAAAAGTTTTAAAAACACTTCCATCAGTTGGTCATCCTGCCTTTATCTGAATACATTCCATAATAAGAGATGCATAAATCCAAGAGCTGTTACATCATAAGTAGGTCATTTTAAACTGAAATACATCTCCTGATTTCCACCCACTATATACTAGGCCTTCCCTCTGGAGCAATACGGCTAATCCCATAGGACAGCCTTCTACCATCTCTAGGCAGGGATGTCTCCACTTACTTTCTCCTCAGATTAAACAACCCAGTATTTTTTTTAACTGTTGTTTTTAAAACCTTCCACCATCTCAGTTGTGGGATGTGGCTGAGTTTATCAACAGCCTACAAAATGCCTTAGCAGTTTTATTTCAAACAGGCAGCCCAGTAGTACCAGTACTTTCCTGTATCTGAGTCTTAACACACAATTGGCTCATACTAAGTTTATGGTCAACTAAAACCCTGTCCACCTAGATCTTCCCAATCCAGTACTCACGTAATTTGATTATTTCAATCTAATGAATCTAAGTCTTGATGTTAATCTTCATTAAATTTCAACTCATGATGATTTTGATTGCACTTTCTTGTCAAGATCACTTTGAACCTTGATTCTTGGCGCTACCTAGATTTGACAGGCCAGTCACTAAATCTTCACCCAAATCAATGATAAAAACTTGGGTATGAAAGAGTCCTAGGATGTAATTAATACTAAGCCACCAAAGAATATTTTTGGGTAGAAATATTTATCTAGCTGCAAATCTATTTACTATTTACTAATCTATTCCAGCCACAAAGATAATGGAAAAATTAGGCAAATGCTTTAATGAAATCAATTATGTTACGTCACAGGCATTCCAGGAATATACTATCTTTATATTCCTTTCAAAAAGGTAATTATATGAGTTTAACATGGTTGTTTTGAGATGAATTCAAGGAAAACCTTCACAATTCACACTGGGGATGTCAGCAGATAGTCTCCAAAGTCCACTCTACTTAAAAAAAAAAAACACTTTAAAAGTCAACCTATATAATTATTTTATGATTAAATATGATTAAACAAAACAACGGATTTGTGGCTGACGGTGCATGCACTTCACCTATCCTAATGCACTGAAGGTCACGTTTTCCAGAGAAAACTGTCCTCCTGAATGGAATAAATTGTGTCTCCCTGTATATACTCCACACTTAATCAAGAATGCCTTATTTGAAAATTGACGCAAAGTTACTTGCAAATTATTCATGTTGGCCCAGATTGTTTCAACAGTATCATGGGTTATAATTCTACTGGGTCTTGAGAGTTGAACAATCATAATGATATTACACATTACATATGGTCGGCTTCAGTTTTTTAATACACTTATCTGGACTTTTCCACTTTAAAACCATTCTCTGTGGTCATGAAAATGGAGTCAAAATGAGGAGCATTGTTCTGTGGTATAGTGTGGCAGTCTGGATGTAAACCCTGAAGCCCACTGCTTGAATTCAAATTCTAGCTCTCTCATTTATTAGCTTTGTGACCTGGAACAAATAATTTAACCTCTCTGTGCCTCGGCATCATTTACAAATGTGAATAGTAACAGTAGCCACCTTACAGAGTTATGATAAGAATTAAATGAGTTAATAAATATGCATAAAGGGTCTGTAACAGTGTCTGCCACACAGTTAAGTATTAAACAGTTTAGATGCTTGCTGTAATTCTCATTCTTGGTGATTTATTAACATCACCCCTTCTCACTCATCTTCTCCCTGTGCTTGCTCTTAAAATAACAGTATAATACAATGATTAGCTAAGAACTGGGCTTTGAAGTCAGAAAGACCTGGATATGAGTCCCATCTCCACCATTTACTGCAATATTACCTTGGAACTTCACTTCACTCCTCTAAGCCTGTTTCCTCATCTATAAAATGGGGATTAAAAATGACACCTACTGCCTTAGGTTGTTTTGAGAATAAAAATACATGTCACATACTTTACATAGTATCTGGCACATCGTATGTGCTCAGTAAATCTTTGTTAAAAATCCCTATTTTGTACTCCACAGCATTGTGGTAGGCACAGTCTGGACCATATCATTCTCCTTTCTGACAGTCTTACAAGTTCATGATACTTCTGGTATGTATCTTTAGTTATATGCCTTTCTCCATATTTATAGATGTTCTGTGATTTGCAGATAGAACCTTCTTTCAACATTACTTTCTCCTTGAATGGTTGAAATTTTAGAATTTCCTGTTCCTTGTGAACCCATTCTTTTTTTGGAGCCTGTAGCCATGTGATTGTGCCCATATTTTTTTCTGAGATATTTGCTTTCTGAAATAGAGGACTCATGCTATGTATATTTTTCATCATTATTATGATTGTTAAAATAAAGTGATAATTTTTCTCTCAAGGGTCTATCTCTTCTACTTCCCCAATCATTAGTAAAAATTAAATCCAGAGAAATAGTCCCCTCCATTGTTTCCTTCACCTCCTATGAGACTAATCACTGAAAAATCAAAAATTTTATCAGATACTCTTACCAACAGAATGAGACTTCTAACAGGAAGCTAGATGGTTACAGAGCACATTACTACTAACATCTGTTAGTAGTAATGCATCTCTGTACGTTCTGCAGTCAGCATCAGAAACCACCATCTACAGGAATGCATCAGAAACCACCATCTACAGTTCCCGTATCTGAGATTCTTTACTATTTCTCCATCAGAACGTCACCTTTGTTCCTTTCATCTTTTAGAAAGAAGCTCTCTACCACGTTTTCCCCCAACACTGTGGTTTCTATATTCTCCACACACACATACACACTCATTCCATTCACCCCTCCTAGCTTTTTCTACTAGATGATTTTTTTCAACAAAGTATACCTTCCAAAGGCCAGAGTTCCTACAACCTCTTGGTGATAGGTATATTCTTGTTACAAATATTAAGTTTTCTATCTATACTGCATTGGTATACACAAGTACTTATATATAAAGTATTGTTTCCAAACAGTTTTGTTCCCAAATGCTTTCTTTCTACCATATGTCTTCTTCCTAAGTTATTTATTTTTATAACTTTATCTAGGCTTATTTCTCCTTCTCTACTGATAAATTTAATAAGCATCCAGCCAAACAGAGTAATAACAGTTACTCTACCAGAAGCTCACTAGCATGGCATTGAACAGCACAGTTCAGGAAGCCAAATGCTTCTCTGATACCAGCCAACTCTTAACTGCCATATCTATTCTTGTCTTCCAATGTTACAAGCATCAAATAGAATATGAAAAGATAGGACCTGTGCCTACTCTTTAGAACTTCAAAATCCCTAGATTTCTTCTAAATATGTCCATTAATGTAAACCAAAAAAACCCATTATTTTGACTAGACTACAAACTTTAAGATAGTAAAGATCATGTAAATTTTACTATTGCCCAGTGCCAAGTACATATCAGACCACGGGACGCACACTTTAGCCAAATCCTGCCCATAGCCTGTTTCTGTATTGTTCACAGCTAAGAATGGACTTTACAATTTTAAGGGGTTGCTTAAAAAATCAAAAAACAAAAGAAAGGAAGAAAAAGATGTGACAGAGACCACTGTAGCCTGCAAAGCCTAAACTCTGCTATCTGAGTCTTTTTAGAAAAAGTCTGCTGATCCCTGTATTGGACACTCAAATATTTGTTAAAAGAGGAGGTAGGCAGAGGGAAGGGAGTAGTAGGAATGGGGAACAGCAATTTGCAACAAATATAACTGGAGAGCACTGCAGAAAGTAAAACCTGCATAATAAATACATACACGTCTACATTGTTCTTTGGCTTTCATTTTCATTAAGTTCCAAGATAAACTAAAGGTCTTTCATTAGCATATTTTATAGATCATATTTTATATATATATATATATTTGTGATTGATCTATTATTCTTAAGTCATAGGTGCTCCTAGGAGAACTAAATTTAAACCTTGGCAGTACTAAATAACCTGGTTAACATAAATATTAGACGAGCAGGATGTCAGCCACTATAAGGTATCAGTTTACAGCAAAGGATCTTCACACGTATATCCTTTCCTTCCACACGCCACTAAGCAGCTAAGCGCTAAGTAACACTCCACAACGTTTTACTCATTTATACCCATTACTTAAAAATATAATCATTTAGAATGTTCTACAAGCCCTGAAATAAAGTTTTGAATACTAAAAAAATGTTTAACCAAAAATGAAAGTCACATTCTCAAGTAACATAAAAGAGGAGTATTAGACCTATCCAGAGCATCGTCTACTGGAAGCACATGCAATGTGTACCTGAAAATGCTGCTCCATCACTTGGATTTTTCCTTGGTCTGGGCACTTTTTCAGAGCTCGATCTGCATAATGGAATAGGATTTCTACCATCTGTAAGGAAAACAGCCTGGCATAGACATTAAAATATATCTCTAAAGTTTTTCAATATGTATGTGGCTCTCCTAAATAATACATAATTAGAATTTGTTATTAAAATTTAACTGAAAATTTTAGTGGCTTTATTTACCAACTTTTTAAAACTCTAGCCTCATTTCTTCCAGTCTCAGGGCTAGTACTAATTTGCTAATCTTTCTTAAGAAATATCTCCATGTTCTAGACCTCAGTGGCATCTATACTGCTCAGGAAATGAAACATTCAAGTTCTTCAGTAATCCTCGCTGTAGGTGTTTCCCTAAAGAGCACAGATGAGCAAATCATTCGGAGTCTAAGGAGTAACCAATTTCTATCCAGGTTTTCCACAAATGTTTATACTAATTTGGAATATAATTTTTACCAATGCATTTACACAACAAAAGGGAGGGAATCCTATAGTCAATTAATTCAGCCCAGTCTAGAGTAGGAACAGAAGGTCAATATTAAATATTAGCATCAATTATATTGATGCTAATTAATAATAACATTAAAACATTAATCCTCTCTGCTAGTTCTGGGCAACACAAACATTTGCACATACACTAGTTCTCATAATTACTAGTAAGTTTATAAAAACTAACAAATGTCAATTTTCTGTGGGCTATTACTTGGTTCAGAAATAATCCAGATTCCCAGGTTTTCTTCCTCCTCCTTCCTGCTGTCTTTTGGCTATGTACTTTATTATCTTCATAAAAGAGTGAGCAAGGGAAAAAAGAAAAGGTGATTAAGAAGGAATTTTAAAAGTATTCAAGATGACACAGGGAATTATAACCTGACTGTTTTTTTAGATACAGGTCTCACTCTGTTGCCCAGGCTGGAGTGCAGTGCCGCAATCATAGCTCACTGTAGCCTCAAACTCCTAGGCTCAAGTGATCCTCTGGCCTCGCCTCCCAAGTAGCTAGGACTACAGGTGCACACCACCATACCTGGCTAATCTTTCTATTTTTTTTTAGAGACGGGGTCTTGCTATGTTGCCCATGCTAGTCTTGAACCCCTGACCCCAAGTGTGTGTCTGTGTGTGTGTGTGTTTTTTAATACACTCTCTTCTAGATTGTAGCCATTTATCTACTCATGCCCAAAGATACTGGCAAATGACAAAAGCAAATCTGCACTGTATTCTAGTAAAGACCCTCTTAAAATACTCACCCGGTCTGCAACAATAGCCTTTCGCTTACTGGCATCCCCTGATAATCCTGCAGAGAAGGAAAATCCAACAAAAAAACAAAAGTTAGTCCACATCTTTAGGAGTGAAACTATGTCTGGTTTCATATTTATAAGATGTGAAACAACAGGTATAATTGTAACAATTCTTAGCTATCAAAATGTTGGATAATACACCATAATAGGAACACCTCAAATCTACTGGACCGGATAGCATATCAATGTACTTCTCTTTCATTCCAATAGTAATTTCCTTACAAAATAATTTTAAAAGCGACATTTTAATTTCTATACCCTCTATTTGTCACATTATTTGTCACATTAACCTTCTTAACTGAAAGTCTATAAGGTTTAATTAGCATCCTGTTTATAAACACTTCGACACTCAGCTAAAAGTGTCCTATGAGTGGTTAGTACTAACCATTCCCTCTACTCCAGGAGAACCACGTCTACTACACTGGAATTCTGCCTACTCACCCACTACTGCTTTTGCTTTTCCTTCATGGAAAGACCACGCAAGAGCCAACGCTTCTGTAAGACAATCTTGTTTCAGGAGATGATCCACTCTCTAAAACGGAAAAATGAGAGAAACCAGGCCCCTTTGTCTGACCAGTCACCAGTCAGAATTCCTATTCCACCTAAAATCCTTCCAGAAGTTGCTGCTTAGTGGCTAAAATTATTTTAATAATTATGTGAATATCTTGTTTCAAAGAAAAATAATATCTTCAAGCACTAGATAGTATAATGACTATATATGCTAGTATAGAGAGCCACGGGGCCTAAATATGAAAAGGGGAAATAGCTGGAATGCCATTGTAGCAGAAATGGCTAGTTGTTTATCACAACATTGATTTCCTCCTCCTTGGTAGTAACAAACCCCAAGCTTATTTGAGACAGCAATATACCAGCTGAAGGATATTTCTAAGACTACCTTGTAGCCACTGGGAACAATGTGACTGAGCTCTGGCTAACGATAAGTGGAAGTGTTGTCTGGTATTTCTGGGATGTCATCTTAAGAGGTAGGAGACAGCCTTTATTTTTCTTTCTTCCTTCCTAAAATGTGGTAACAGCTGGAGCTCTAGCAACCATACTGAATTATAAAATGGCCCTGAGACCAGAATTCAAAGACAAACATGGTGGAACAGGACAGCACGCTTAAGCTTATGGAATTCCTACAAGAGCTGCGGACCACCTAGCTCCAGGTGCTTTTACATGACAGAGAAATCTTATTTAAGCCACTATTATTTTGAATTTTCTAATATATGTAGACAAACCTAATTCTAACTTATACTGTCAGTTCTAGCAAATCAAGTACCTAACAGCTATAATGGTTTTCTTGTACACTTCTGAAATTAAGAAGCTTACCAAATAATCTTCTTCTGAAAAGTCAAAACAGAAATGTTAAGAAGCTACCAATTCAGTAACTCTGACATGTGAAATTACTTGGAACTCACCTCTCTCCAGCTCCTCAGCATCATCACATAAACAGACTGGAAAGTAAAGAGATGGAAATTAAAATGATCACCCTTAACAGACTTCTTTGGGAGATACATTTGTCCTAGTCCCACATCTCATTTGATATCCCTTTAAGTAAAACATTTCATACTACAGTTAGAAGTATATCTTAGAATTTACTAATGGGTCTTCAAGAACGCTTTTCTTTTTTTTGAGACAGAGTCTCGCTCTGTTGCCCAGGCTGGAGTGCAGCAGCGGGATCTTGGCTTACTGCAACCTCCACCTCCGGGGTTCAAATGATTCTCATTCCTCAGCTTCTCGAGTAGCTGAGATTACAGGCACCTGCCACCACAACTGGCTAATTTTTGTATTTTTACTAGAGACAAGGTTTTGCCATGTTGGCCAGGCTGGTCTTGAACTCTTAGCCTCATGTGATCTGCCCGCCAAGACCTTCCAAAGTGCTGGGATTACAGGTGTGAGGCAACGCATCTGGCCTAGAACTCACATTAAAGAGTAAGTCTATTTAAAGGTCTACAGTCCAAGAAGGAGTTAATTCCATGGACAAGAAGCAAGGAAAGCCCAAGCTCATTTCCCTCTACTGACTTGGCAATATTTTGGTTAAATTTTAATAATGAAGAAATGTTTCTCCATGTTTTTTAAAAAGCACAGGAACAAACTGAGATAAATTGAGGTACAGAAAGTTCCTATTCCAACAATTCTATTCTAAGTCAAATACCTCAATACATTTTAATCAGCATCCTAAGCTGATCTAAGCTAACAGCCATCTTAAGTACATGACAAATATCCATGATTAGGTAGCTGCCTGGTCATAAAAACATAAACGTGAAGGAAGCTTACAAAAGCACATCTCTGAATCAAGAAAATAAGCATCCTATTAGCCAGCACCTAAACAAAAGTAAAGAATATGTCTAAAAGTAGAGGAAAAAAATAATTAACTAAAAATCATGCCTACCTAACCACAAAGGGTTTAGGATAATTGCTGACCAATATTCACTTTGCAATATACTGCCCTCTTTACCAGCAATCTCCTTCAGCCTCAACTACCCTGATACATACAAATACCAACTCACAGAGTAAAAGAGCTTACTTTTGTCCCCAAATAAAAGATCTGACCACCATAGCTACTGATGGATTGATAACAAGCCTTCTCTCCAACCAAAGCCTGGAAGAAAAACATACATACAAAAAAGGTAAAAAAATTCCTTTGTATTTAATATATTTTTTAACATTTCATCACTATTAATGACTTATTAGTTACACGTCTTTTTTAGTGATTATAGTTTACAATGTGTAACTTATCTCAGTCTACATTTAAATAATATTTGGCATATACTGTAAGAACCTTGCAATGATGTACTTTCATCTCCTACATCCCAGCGCTACATACTATTTTTGTTATATATATTGCTTCTATAGATCATAAACTTCACAACACATTATTTTTGTTTTAAACAGTCAATTGCTTTTGTTAAACAACAGTACTGAGATATAACACACACCATAAAATTCACTCATTAGGCACAGAATTCAATGATTTTTTAGTAAATGTACAGTTGTTCAGCCATTATCAAAATCCATTTTGAGAACATTATCATCACTCTGCAAAGATCCTTGTACCCACCTGTAGTCACTCCCATTCCCACCTCCAAACCCAGGTAACCACTAATGTACATCTGTCTCTATAAATTACATTTGCCTTTTCTGGACATTTTATATGAATAGAATTAAACAAAATGTGCTCTTATTGCATGTCTTCTTTTACTTAGTATGTTTAAGATTCATCCATGTTGTAGCCAAGTATCAGCTGTCATACTTTTTACTGTGGAACAGTATTCTATTAAATGGCTATGCCACATTTTGTACATCCCTTTACCAGTTAGTGAATATGTAGATTGTTTTCACTCTTCGGTTATTAACAATAATACTGCTATGTGTGTTCATATACAAGTTTTTATATAAGCGTGTGTTTTCAACTCTTTTGGAAACACACCTAGGAGTAGAACTTCTGAGTCAGATTGGTAATTCAATGTTTAACTTTTTTTTTTTTTTTAAGATGGAGTCTCACTCTGTCCCCCAGGCTGGAGTCCAGTGGCACCATCTCGGCTCACTGCAACCTCTGCCTCCTGGGTTCAAGCGATTCTCCTGCCTCCACCTCCCGAGTAGCTGGGATTACAGGTGCCTAGCACCAAGTCTAGCTAATTTTTGTATTTTTAGTAGAAACAGGGTTTCACTACGTTGGCCAGGCTGGTCTCGAACTCCTGACCTCAGGTGATCCTCCCGCCTCGGCCTCCCAAAGTGCTGGGATTACAGGCAAGAGCCACCACGCCTGGCCTCAATGTTTACCTTTTAATTAAGTGCCAAACTATCTTCCACAGCATTTGCGCCATTTTAGTTTCCCACCATCAATGTATGAGGCTTCCAATATCGCCACATCCTTGCCAACACTTGTTATTCTTTTTTTTATGATAGCCTTCCCAGTGGGTGTGAAGCAGTATCTCATTATGATTTTGATTTGCATTTCCCTAATACCTAATGATGTTGAGCAGCTCTTTAAGTGCTCACTGTCCACTTCTAAATCTTTACAGATCACTGTTGACTGTCTGATGAGAAATGGGTTCTCATAATTATTGCTCCTCTGCATTTAATGTGTCTTTTTTTCCCCACTGGTTGCTTTAAAATTTTTCTACTTATCATTAATTTTGATCAATTCGTATACAGTTTATTTTAGTTGTGCTTGGGTTCACTGAGCTTCTTAAATGTGTGTGTCTACAGTTTTAGAAAAGTTTTTGACCATTAGTTTTTCCAATTTCTTCTCTCCTTTAGAGATTTTAACTGCACGTACATTAGGCTATCTGATGTGGTCTCACAGTTCACTAATACTATTTCTTAAAATTATTTTCCTGCGTTTCATTTTGTATAATTTCTATTGTTGTATCTTCAAATTCATGAATCGTTTTTTCTGTATTGCCTAATCTGCCATTAATCCCATCTAGCGCATTTTTTCATCTATAAGCACTATAGTTTTCATCTCTAGAAGTCTGATGTGCATCTTTTCAAATATCTTCCATGTCTCTACTTAACTTTTTTAACTAAAGAGTATAGTCATAATAACTACTATGTCTTTGTCTGCTAATTCTAACATTTATGTCAGGTGTGATTTAGTTTTTATTTTTCTCCTTGTTATAGGTTGTTTTTCTTCTTTGCATACCTAGTAATCTCTAATTGGATGGGAGACATTGTGAATTTTACCTTGTTGGTTTCTGGATCTTTCTGTATTCCTATTAATATTCTTGTGTTTTCTTCTAGGAGATAAGTGATTTGGAAACAGTTTGATCCTTTCTGGTCTTACTTTTAAGATGTGTTAGCTGGGACCAGTGCGCCATTTATTCTAGTCCTAATGAGGCAAGATGCCTCTAAGTACTCTACCCAATGCCCTGTGAATCATGAAGCTTTCCATTCTAGCTGGTGTAACAAGCACTGTTTTCAGCCCTGTGTGAGCACTAGATACGGTTCCCTCTAAACCTTTCAAATGGCTCTTCCCTGGTCCTTGGGCAATTTCCTTCTATGCATTTGCTGATTAGGAGTCTGAGGAACACTCAAGAGGGACTCTTTCATAGTGCTCTTTTCTCCAGTACTCTCTCTTGCAAACTCAACCCAATTTTGTCTTCCTGCAACTTGGCTCTGTCTTCTCAAATCATGGAGTCTTCCAGGCTCCATTTGGGTTCCTCCACAGCCCAGATGCTCTCTCAAGGCTGGAAGCTAGGACAATCACAGAGTTCACAGCATTTGTTCCCCATTTGGTGAGAGATTGCTGTCCATCACTACAGATGTCCAGTGTCTTAAGAACTGCTGTTTACTTTTCTTCTTCTTCTTCCTTCCCCCTTCCCCTCCCCCTCCCTTCTCCTTCTCCTTCCTCTTCCTGGGTTATTTCAAGCAGGAGAGTAAATCTGATTCCCCATAACTCCCTCTTGGCTAAAAGTACAAGTTCAAAGTCCACTAGTATTTTTAATACCATTCAAACACAAGAAAATAAAGTATGGAACAGTAATTATTATTATCACTTAGTGAATTATATTACACTATCATTTCTTATTCTGACTTTTCTTGGTTTTTAAAGTGGGAGGCTGGAAGACCCTTTCATATATATTTTATGCTCTGAAGTTATAATATGAAGGAGATTTGAGCAAAGCCTACACATCATGCTGTAGTCACTCATTAAATATGACCATCATTACTATTTTTTTCAAAAAATTATCCAAGGAAGTTCGCACAATGGTCTAAATTTCCTACTTAAAGATTTGTGGTTTAGGAACATGAGATCACAATTCAAGGTGACTGAACTATAAACTATCTGTGGAAATTGCTTAAGGCCATTACTGTAGTTGCTTAATGATACAATAAAATTAATGCTAAGGCCATAACTTTGTTGCGTCCTCCTTCTCTCTAGGCTCCTGCATCTCATCTATCACCTATTTCTAGAATATCTTCTTTCTCTCAAAGCCATCTTTGTTTTTTAATACCCACAGCTACCATACCTGTTCAAGCCTTTACCATTATCACCCAAATATTTCCAAAGCCTCATAGAGTACCTGTCTGTAGTTATTTATCCCTTAAATCTATCAGGCTTATTACTGCCAAATTAAGCTTTCTAAAAATATTTTGATTTTTACAATTTTTCTCACAAATTTTCCATTATACGTCATTATTTTAGTATAAAAATTAAAACTCTTTGTTATTAAGTAAAATAAGTCACATTTCTGAATAGAAGGGAAGAAAAATGATTGTTTTAGCTTGTATTCCCAAACACTTATAAGCACATCCACACCCACTTCAACCTAGTGGCTTGTAAAGAAACACCTCAAGACAGAAAAAGGTAACTCCCCAGAGTTCCTATTTCTAAAACAACTATAACAAAATACCAAGTTTATCAAAGTATTTTCTAGGATAGCAAGATAAGTGATTATCCTTACCAGTGCCTGGCTAACATTTCCTCCAGTGGCTAGTGATTTGAAATGGCTGCTATTGTAGACCAGCTGAACTTCTGAGATCTCCACTGTCTCCAATTCCTCTTGTGTTTGCCGATCAATCACATGCAACTTCTCTACGCTGTCTAAGAGCACAACTGTGCGTGAATTTATCCACTGTAATTCAAGCACACAACAAAACAAAAGTGAGACCACACCCGCTTCATCATTTGGGTCAAGAAGAAAGCTTGGCTGCTCGATTAAATTACATTGAGGACTTGATCCATTTAACAATTTACATGGCAACACAATCAAAGCAAGAACTACTCAGTGACAGGCCAGAGAACAGTAGGTACAATATACTACTGACTTTTGAAAATGTTAAAATGACACTTTCATAGTGTAAAAGAAGACTAAAAGCTGTAGGTGGATTAGAGCATATCGTTTTTTATAAAAGATTTTTTAAAGCAATTGGCACAAATGACTTCATTATCATGACAAACTCTGCATTTCTAGTTTTTCTGATATTGCTGAAACAAAAGAACAAAGTAAAGCCGATAAACCTAGCTGGTCAGAGGACAATTGTTAGCACTGAAACAATACATATTTTAAAATAGAAGCTATTTTAACAATCTACTTCCTTCAAAATCTCTCTTAAAATTATGAGAGTCCTTTGTTCTATTTCTCTGTATCTCCCAAATTTTCTTTAATAAGTACTATTATAATGTTAAAAGTATTAACAATAATAACTTTAAAAATCTTCTGAAGGATGCCATTTTAACAAATTTCTTGGGTTATGTATAAAATCAGATTTCTTATTTTCAAATTTTTTTTTGGCAATCCCAATCGTTTCCCAAGAAATAAATCTTAAAATCTGCTCAATCAGAATTCAGAAGTCGCCAGAACGAAGTGCGTCCCCTGCCCTTTATGTCTCTGGTATTCATGCTGGTGTATTTGTATGTTCTATTCCATGTCATCAGATATTATTTGCATAATGTCCAATTAAAGATAACCAGTTGAAAATGCTAAAAAATACACTCTATTACTGTATATTAGCCACTCTAAGGGAAGAGTTTGTTCCCCTCTCCTCCTCTAAAAAATATCTTTCAGAAAACAGGGAGTTTGATATGCAAATCTTTTACAGAAAGCTCTTATAAGGTGCTCTCTTAATTATTTTATTTAGAAAAAGTATTTTCTGGGAAAAATCACATTATTTAGCCTTATACAACCTTAATCAGTGCTAGTTCTTAGGTACTCTCAGAGGTCACCTGGTGAAAACAAGAGAATGGCAGAAAAAAATGAACCTCAATAAGTTTAGTAATTATTCCTGAGATTAGACCCGCAGCGTTGCAAGTGTTGACATTGTTGTAAATAAGCCTTTTAAGGGTAATTTACAAAACAATGCAGTTAATGGTCACATACACTTCTGCAGATTTTTAAAGTACTGTATCTCAAACATCTTAAACAGAAATTATGATGATAAATTCTGAAAAACTGTATGACATGATTCAACAAGACAGTTCTGGTGATGACAACACTGATGTCTTCTAAGAGTCTGAACAAAATTATTTCATAAAATGTGTATGGAAGAAAGAATTATTTCTAAACAACTGTCTGCGAGTTAAAAATGTAATGTACAACTAAATCAATAAATCATGTAAAGAAAGGATTTACTTCATCTATATCCTAAAAAATTACAGTTATCAAGTTGAGGAAAAAGCACTTTTTCATTCTTTTTATTAGAAAAATGAGGCATTGCCTTATATTTAGGGTTGCCTATATTCATGCATCTACAGAATGTTACTGGACACCAGACACTGATGTGCTAAAATGTATTAATGATGGGAACCCAGAAATATTATAATTACATTGTTCTCAAAATTAACGAACCATTTGAGAGAGAAAAAATAAAATTTGATACAAAAAGAAATCTCTTTTTAAACCAAGAAGTTGGCCAGGTGCGGTGGCTCATGCCTGTAATCCCAGCACTTTGGGAGGCTGAGGCGGGCAGATCACGAGGTCAGGAGATTGAGACCATCCTGGCTAACACGGTGAAATCCTGTCTGTACTAAAAATACAAAAAATTAGCCAGGCGTGATGGGGGGGCACCTGTAGTCCCAGCTACTCGGGAGGCTGAGGCAGGAGAATTGCTTGAACCTGGGAGGCGGAGCTTGCAGTGAGCCGAGATCGCACCACTGCACTCCAGCCTGGGCTACAGAGCAAGACTCCATCTCAAAAAAAAAAAAAACCAAGAAGTCACTCAGGATTGAGATGCATGGTAGAAAGAGAGCTCTGCAAAGTTTTTAGCCGCAAGAAAAAAAGAGGTTGCACAAGCTGCTGAATCAATGAAGACAAAGCTCAAAAATACAAAAAATGTTTTACAGAGAAAGCAAGGCAATGATTCTCAAAAAATTCACCTAAATTCTTCTGAAGCCAAACTCCCCTTTGAGCTAAACAAGACATTAAATTTCTAATCCTGCCTGTGTTCAGCAGGACATAGACTGAAAGGCAATAATTTGTGGCATCACACCACATTCAGAGTTTATTCAATATAACCAGGACTCCCTCTTTCTGTGTGTGTGTGTGTGTGTGTGTGTGTGTGTGTATGTGTGTGTATACATACATATACATATATATACACACATATATACATATATATACATATATACGTATACATACATATATATACGTATATATATACACACACACATATACTTTTTTTTTTTTAAGAGACAGGGTCTCACTATGTTGCCCAGGCTGGAGTGCAGTGACTAGTCACAGGAGCGATCACTGAGCACTACAGCCTCGAACTCCTGGGCTTAAGCTATCCCAGCTCGGCCTCCCAAGTAGCTGGGACTACAGGCACGAGCCTCGGTGCCGGACTGTCCATATTTCATATGATCTTAAAGGTAATAATTCTTGGCAGAAATCCTGGTAGCTTTAATATATCATAGATTCAGAACAATTACATGAACTAAATGGGGATATTTAATTTGAATAATACTCACGGTAAAGTTGATGAGGTCATAGTATAGGTGAAGATGCTTTTGCTTAGTAACATGTATTGCTCCAGATTCATCTCTCTTTACCTGATGATGAAATAAAAACAACCTAAAAACCAGCTACTGTTTGAGGGACTTTTTTAGATATTTAATTATACTCCACCTAGAGTATCACATTTACCCATTATCCCATTCCCTGTAGATAAGCCAAAAATACTGATAATTACACAAATGATTATGAAAATAGAAAAAAAATTATTTGTTCCATTATTTACACCAAAATGCAGGGCATATCTGGGGGTGGTCTAGTTGTCAGTACTGACAAATGCTGTGACATAGTTTTCACTCTGTTATAATTCAGAACAACCTAACTTTATCACATCAATGACTATAATTAAAGTACAAAAAGGAAAGGTGACATGGTGTGAGGAAGTCAAAAGTCCATTAAAGAAAAAGAGATGCTGCAGTGATGTAAACCAGACTTTTCTGAACTATGATATTATTATGAGAGGACTCAAAAAGTTCATGGAAAATGTATACTATGAAAAAACTATGCATGGATCTCAAAAATTGTCTGCACCAAAATAAACTCATACTAACTTGTTATAACATGTCTGAAAAGGATCTAGTTTGAGGCATTAAAAAGGATAAGACATCAGTTTGAAAAGAGCCCCAAAGAGCAACATAAATTCTGCTAAAATTTAAGCAAGAACAAACATCAAATTTATGGTGAAGCTTCGGTGGAAGAATGTAAAATCACTGATGCTTAATAAAAGTTTATGGGAACAATGTCCCCAGAGAAATCAGCAGTTTACAAATGGGTAACTCGTTTTAAGAAGGAAGGAGATGATGTTGAAGGTGAAGCCTGCAGCTGTAGACCATACCCATCAATTAGTGAGGAAAAATATTCATCTTGTTCATGCCCTAATTGAAAGAGATCAACGATTAACAGCAGAAACAACAGCCAACACCACAGACATTTCAACTGGTTTAGTTTGCACTATTCTGACTGAAAAATTAAAGTTGAGCAAAGTTTCTACTTGATGGCTGCCAAAACAGTTGTGTCCAGGTCAGCTGCAGACAAGAGCAAAGCTTTTAATGGGAATTTTAAACATGTGGAATCAACATCCTGAAACATTTCTTTGAAAAACTGTAACAGGAGATAAAACATGGTTTTATCAGTGTGATCCTGAAGAAAAAGCACAAGCAAAGCAAAGGCTATGAAGAGGCAGATGTGGTCTAGTCAAAGCAAATGCAGACCAGGCAAGAGCAAAGGTCATGGCAATAGTTTTTTGGGATGCTCAAGGCATTTTGCTTGTTGACTTTCTGGAGGAACAAAGAACAATAATATCTGCTTATTATGAGTGTGTTTTGAGAAAGTTAGCCAAAGCTTTGGCAGACAAATGCCCAGGAAAGCTTCACCAGAGAGTCCTCCACCACAACCATGTTCCTGCTCATTGCTCTCATCACACAAGGCCAATTTTGAGAGCAATTCGATCCACCATACAGTACTGATTTGGCTCCTTGTGACTTTCGTCTTCTAATCTAGAAAAAGTCTATAAAGGGCACCCATTTCTCTTTAGTTAATAATGTGAAAAAGACTGCATTGGCATGATTAAATTCCCAAGACCTTCAGTTCTTTAGGATGGACTATATGGCTGGTATCATCACTTTAAAAAGTATCTTGAACAAGATGAAGCTGATGTTGAGAAATAAAATTTATTTTTATTTTTTAATTCCATTTTTCCACAAACTTTTTGAAGTTCCCTTGTGTAACTCTTGCAGCCCAAAATTTCCCAAAAGGACCTTGAGTGTCAATCTTTTATTTATATGTATATAAGTACACACTCTATATCCTCAGTCATCCTTATAATTTGCTTCTTCCCCTTCTGCTCCAAGGTAACAGAACACTGAAGAAATATAAAGCACAAGATACACCCGACCACCTGAAATTCATGGCATTCAATTCAACCTGGGCTTTCTTGCACACTCCCCATAGTAGTATCATAGATGTCTTTCCCTTTAAGTTACCTTCTGATCCCATCACTTACAGTGGTGACCTCACCTGATATCTTAACAAAAATCTGAAACCACTTAATGTGGGCCCTTCATGTGGACCCCTCTTCACTTCACTAAATCACTTCTCCCTTAAGAAAAGATCTTTTGGTAAAATGAACATGGGATCTAGAGCCATATATCTAAGTTCCACTATTATACCCGTGTGACCAAGGGCAGTCACCTACTCTTTCTCAGTTTCCCGAGAATATATGGTCCACAGATACTAAAATATTTACTTTGTGGCCCTTTACACAAAAAGCTTGCTAACCCCTGATCTAGATTAATAATGATTGGCCTAGACTGGTAATGGAGTCATCACAGGTTCCTAAGTAATTAAAGTCATAAAGACGGGATTAAAGTGACATTTTAGGAAGATCAGTCTTGAAGTAGCAAAAAGAATACACACAGAAGGGAGGAGAAACATTAAAGGTTTTTCTCTCATAATAAAGCACATGTAAGGTGTTTATACAAAGAGGGTTGGTTGCAGTGAGAGTTAAGGGATGATACTTTCAAGGAAAAACAAGCCTTCTCATCATATTGGATCTAGAGACTGAAGGACATGAATGAAACATCCCATTTCTGACTTTACATTTTAGAATCAAGAAATATTTGAAGAGATACTGTTTAGGAAGAAAATGATTAAGGAATATTTCAATGTGTTGAGTTGAAAGTAAAGATAGGACTCTCAAATGTTGTATTGGGGATGTTCTAATAAAACTTTATTTATAAAAACAGACGGCTGGCCAGATTTGGCGCATGGGCCATAGTGTGCCAACCCCTACTATCAATCCACCCCATCTATTCAATTATATTTTCCACCACAAGTTTCTCTTTGTCATTAATTCTATAAACATTTACTGAATATTTACAATATACAAGCACTGTCCTAGTGGCTGGAAATATAACAGTAAAGATGGTCTCTAGAGTTATGGAGCTTTCTGTCTAGTGGGGAAGAAAAATATTAGACAAGTAATTTTAAAAGTGCTGAATGTGGCCAAGCACAATGGCTCACACTTGTAATCCCAATATTTGGGAGGCTGAGGTGGGAGGAACGCTTGAGGCCAGGAGTTCGAGAGTCAGCCTGGGCCTTGGTTGGAGACCCGCAAGACCTCGTCCCTCTTTTGTTTTTTTTTAAGTGCTGAATGTTATCAAAAGATGCATGTAACTAACTTAGTTCAGAGGCCAGGGAAGGTCATGTTAATCATGAGCTCAGAGACAACAGAAGATAGCACAGAACTTTCCTGGCAGAGGCAACAGTATATGTAAAAGGCACTGAGGCCAGAGACTAGCTAGGAAGCTATGGCAGAATCCAGGCTAGACATGTACATGATTTAGACTAAGGAAACAGCAATGGGGGAGACAAAAAAGGAGAAATTCAAGAGATTTTTGGAGGTAGAGTCAATAGGACTTGGTGATAGAGCACATATGAAGAGAGAAAGGTAACTGAAAAGTAACTCGTAAGTTTCTGGCTGGAGAAACTAGGTGGACAGTGGTGAACTTGCTTCACTGAGCTAGGAAACGCAAGAGATTATTAATACAAAGGCACATTCTTGCCTCTGTGACTTCAGTTCATCTCACTTCCCCCAGTATGCATACCTACCCTTCCTGCAGTAGTTGCAGTATATCCTTCATAAAGCCATTAATACTCTCTCTAGTCCATACTAATCACTTTGTACTCTGAATTTACATCAGCTTGATTTTCATCACATAGTTCAATCCTTAAACCATTTTCTGTAGTAATAATGAACACACTGATTTTGCTTTTCAAACAAGATTATAAGCTGTGTGGAAGATGAAATTATGTTGTATACTTCCTTCTTTCCTTTGCTGCTTGTGCCCATCACAGTGTAGAGGACATAATAGGTGCTCAATGATACTTGCTGTCATTAATACACACATATGTAGTTGCACATACATTAACACATATTCACATTCATATCTTTATACATTTACATATACCATTAATTATTTGTCAGTCAAAGAAATGAAGCTGAGAAATAAACCATGAGAAGTTATGTAGCTGAGAGTGATCACCATTTTCCGATGCTAATCATTAAAGCCTTAGATAAAAATTAAATAGGTCACTCTCTCTCCAAAGACTTAGGATAGTAACACAAATTTCTCTGACACATTATTAATTGCTGATGAATAAAAAAAATTGTAAGAGGCTTTCTAATGGTCATATTAGGACTTACCAATAGAAAATGAACAACATCTCCTCTGCAGAAGGCAAGCATGGGATTCACGTAATTTTGTACTGCTACAAAGTGCCAGGCCAGCAGTGGCACACTGGAAGGATCCATCTAAGTAGGGAGATGGAAAAAAAAAATCATCACAGTTAATAAACAAGGGGACAAAGAGAAAACTATGGTTAAAAACAGCATCTGACTAGTGTTCCTTGATAAAAACTTTCCCCAATTTCTCAGTAAAGCAAGAACTAACTGGGAGGTATCATGAGGGAACTTTCTGGGTTGATGGTAATGTTCTACATCTTGATAGGCATTTGAGTTACAAAAGTGTTAAGCATTTGTCAAAGTTCAGCAAATGTACACTCAAGATCTGTGCATTTCTTTGTATGTATATTCTACACCAAAGGAAAAACCTAAAGAAGTATTAAACTCTAGCTAATAATATGCATGCTAAATATTTAGGGGAAAGAATACTGGTTTCTGAAATTTCCTTTGAAATACATAAAAAATATAATTTGATAAGTGGACAGAGGGATGGGTAGATGGACAGATATGTAATAAAGGGCAGTAAATGTTAATTATAGAATTTAAATGGTAGCTATACAAGTATTCAATGTAAAATTCAATTTTGTTTGAAAATGTTTATAATAAAATGTTGAAAAAAAACAATAAAAACATACAAAAAGAAGCAAACACATAACACCATGAAAAAAATCTCAATTCGCCAATGAAGCTAATCTAACAAATGTTAATGGCCATCTAAGCCAGTTTTGCCATCTGAAAGGATAGACCTGCTTCCCCTAGGGCCCAGAGACACACAGGGTACCAACAAGAAAACAAAAGTGAGTTCCTTCACCATAGGGAACGCTTTCTGCACCAGCCAGAGTTCTGTACCACCATTCTCCATCCCATCCTATCAACACCTCTCCTCATATATACATTGGAAGATTACAACTCTGAAAACAATCAAGAAGAAAAAAAAGGGAAAACTGGGATATAAATAACACATGCTAGGAAGTATCATCCTCCAAAGTAAATTATCAGAGGCAGAAGCCAGGGAAAGCACATGTAATAGCAATCTATGGCGCATATTACAGTGGGGTCTACTCTATCCATAGTTCAGTGCCAAAGCTGCAGGCAGTGAGTATAAGCCTGTCTCAGCACAGCAGCCATGTAAAAACAAGTATCTTTCAAACACTGAAAATCAGGGCTTGGACTCAATAAATCAACTTATCCTTCAACTTTAAATCTGATAAGGGAATTTTACTGCACTCAGAAGGGCAACGAATGAAGCTAGGAAATGCCATGCATGAAGTTAGGTGTGACCACAGAGTACCAGGACAGCAATATACAGGGACTGTCAAGTTAAGGTTAAGAACAAAAGCCAACTGTATGCTGTCTATGAGAGAAAAGCTTAAAGTGATAAAGTGGAAAAGTACAAGACTCATGATCCCTAGGACACTGTGCTGGTCATCAGCTTTATGATGCTTTGATCACCTTAAGGCAAGTCCAGCCAACGATCTCTGGAGCACTGACTTTCATCCTGTCTAGTTTTCTGACAATCTCATAGAATTCACCCCTTGCAAGCCATCTCTCTCAACCTCCTGACATGGTCCTTCCTTTGGCAAATAAGATGGAGGGACGTACTCACCCGGCCATAGGGAAAAGTCATCCATACTTTCAAGGATGGTTTCAATCCAATGACCAGTATCTGTAAGAGAAAAATATGTTTTCAATATTGACCTTGGAATTTTCAAATATTTGGTATTCAAAGCTTCTAAAAGTTCTGAGTTTTAACTTCTAAATACACTTACTTTTGTCAAGGATGCCATGGCCAATAATGAAAACTGTGTGATGGGATGATCTTTCAACTCAGGCTTAGAATGCAGAGGCTCAATACAGCAGACTTCACCCTTGGAACCACTGAACAGACATCTAGATTCACAGGTTCTCACTCCCATCACTCTCCTGAAAATGCAATTTGAAAATTCAGAATCAATTTAGCAATGATCCAAGGCACTACTATCTCTACCTGGACTACTTTCATAGCCTCCTACCTCCTACCTCCTTAACCCCCAACAATCCAAGCTCCACAGGACAGCAGCATGGTCTTTTTATTATACAAGTCAGATTCATTTATTTTTCTGCCAAAAACAGTCCACTGGCTTGCTACTGTACATAAAAAATAAAATCCAAACTCTTTCCCATGTCTTAAAAGGATATGATCTGGCTCTCCCTTCACTCCTCTCCCATTATTGTGTTCCTGACAAAGTCACACTCCAGCCACACCTGCTTTCTTCCATTGCTCTAGCATGCCAAGTTTGTGGCCACCTCAAAGTCTTTGTGTCTGAATGGTCTCTGCCTGGAATATTTTCCTCAGATCTGTGCATTTGTTGACTGGCTCACCATTCAGTTATTTTTCCAGATGTTGCCCCTTCTGAGAAAGGCATTCCAGAATTATCCTCAAGTACAACCTAGTGCAATCCCCTGTCTTGTTTTCTTCACAGCACTTACATCCATCTGAGGTGATTTCATTTACGTGCTGGTTTGCTGTTTCCTTACCCTTACTGCAGCTAGAATGTAAGTTCTCTTAGAGCAGAAACTTTGCTTGGTTCACAGCTATAACTCTGGGATCTAGATAAATACCTACACATAGGAGATGCTCAATAAACATTAACTGAATAAGAAGTATGTTTTTTTCAGAAATTACTTTGTACTTAGCATTGTTAGAAGCTATGAGAAACACAAGAAACAAAGATAGTTGTTAACCTTGAAGAACTTATGGAGACATAATATTCAATGAATATTATGTTCTACTTTTCAAAAAACTCTGCTTCCTAAATGTTCTTTGATGTATCTAGACAGTCTTTGCTCTTAAAGAGCAAACATGGCAATTCTAAGATAATTAAAAACCTGTTTACACCTGCCCATTATGATTAAAATCAACTGGGCCTTGAGCCTAAACCAAAATTAGTGAGCTATTCCAGAAGAGTGGTCCCAAGCTTGACAGCATATAAGAATCTTCTGGGGAGTAGGAGTCTAGAATCTCAACTCAGACCTACTGAGATAAAACTCGGGAGGACCAGGCCCAGAACTCTGTTTGTTCTATTAATATAAGCCTTCCCAGGTAATTGTAATACACAGTCATAATCTACTCTCAATTACAGGGGCTTTCTAGTCCTCTTCATGTTCAATTTCAAATCATTAAAACAGAGCTAGTCTTTTCATTTGTCAACAAATGTCCACTAGTCTCTTACTTAAATGTCAATTCAAAAACAGAGCCTCCGCTGTCGTTGCAAATTGCAAGAGTTGGATCATCTGTAAACTAAACAGAGAAGGAATTTATTTTCTTGTACATTTTTAAACAGTCAAGTATTAAGGAGGAAAAAATTATACAATTTTGAAAAACTACAATATACACATTTAATAGCTTTTGAAATAACCTAAACTAGATTCAGTGCTCATCACTCTAAACTTACAAACTTACCTTTATTTAGAGTAATAATGGTCCAATATCTTTAAAAAAACAGAGGCTTTCAAAAAGCAAAACCACCTTTCATCACGATAAAAGAAAAATACAAACTATGATTGATTAAAAACCCTAAAGTTCTCTATTTGGGTTCTTACAATAACTTTTTGTAACTTGCTATTACTAAGTAAATGAGATCCTTTGGTTACATTTACACCTGCCCAGTTTTAAAGAATAAAGACTCTAAAAAATACTTGGTATCTTTGAGAAATAAACTTATCTGAATATGTCTTCTGAATAGCTGAAAAGTAAGTCCACTATATCTAAAACATTTTAACTTTTCATATGTAACTCTTCCCAAAACGTGCTACCTCCTTGATCTTCTTCCACAGCATATACTTCAGTTATCACTACCTAACTTAGAAAACTCAGAATAATAAGTCATGTTCACAATGACAGACAGTCCTAAGGTGACCTGAAGTATGGTCAATGCTGCATGACACAAAATGGAATAAACTGAACTTGTACCATTTACAGTGACTATCCTCCCTAAACTCAAAGGTTAGTGAACCATCCTAAATAGCACGCCTCAGGTTCCCAGTCAGGGATGGCTGAGGTACTGGAGGCCACTGTAAAATTCTTCTTCCTTGACCCAAACACACGCATAGTTAAGAAGCCCCACAACTTTGCTCTTACAGCCTCGATGAGCAGTTGCCAGAGTGGGAAGCATATACCCTAGGTGTGTGCATGACATGGTCCGCTGGAGTGCAGGAAAAATAACAGAACTTGTATTTCTGTTTAATTTTCTATTTCTTTTGTACGTGCTTTATAATGTACATAAAAATTAGTAAAGTAGTGTATTCATATAAACGCACACACACACACACACATAAATATCCATAAAGAATGAAATTCCAAATTGTTATTGATGAGATACAGGCTTAAGTTTGGAGAACAACGTGTAGGAGTATTAAAATGCAAGTGGCTGATGTCAGTAGAAGACTTCAGAAATATTCAATCCTATGTGTCTTACTCCAGTGTTATTATCTACATGTACCACCTTCATCACCATTGTCAAGCAACACAATGGCTCCTACTATATGTTATTTATCTCAACTGCATTCTTCTCTTTTCTCTCTGCTTTTATCTCTTCTGTTTCTTATTCTTTCTCCCAGTATTTTTTTTTCTGCAAAAGGATTTCTCTTGTATAAACACCACCATCTAGTTTTTCCTTCAATCAAATATTTATTGAGCAGCTACTATGGGTAAAACACAAAAATAAATGACAAACAGATTGTGATTTCAAAGACATTCATCCACTAAGAGAGATAAGACATATATACAAACAACTATAACATATTAGAAGTTGGCACAAGCCATATGAAAAGAGGTCAAGATACTTTGCCATAATGCTCTGAAAGAGAAGAAATTCTCTCCACTTTTACTTGTCTTGGTTGTTTTTATTGTTACTAAATGCTTCAACGCTGCTCTGTCACAGAAGACTTTTTTGTAACTAACTTAGATACAGACATACAAACTCCAGATGCTTGCAGACTTTAAAAAGCATACTTACGGATGACAGAGCTCTGCAGAGCTAAGCAACAAAATGTGTAGATGATTAAAATCTAGAAGATCTGATTTTAGACTTCTCTAGTTATAATCCTTTACCTTTTATGCTTCTGAACATGGGCTTGACAGCGTGGAAGAATCAACATTCACATTGTATTTATAAATGAAATCTGTTACCTAAGTCAGTTTATTTTTTCAGGCCTATAAGGAGAAAGCCAAGACTAGGATCTTAATGCTTTCCCTTTAGAGGCCTGAAAGAAAATAAACCAATAGATTCATTTCTAAACATAATCCAAACCTTGGTTTTTTCACGATCTGTGCCTTGAACCTCAGGCAACTCCCAAAAAAGGGTGACAGAGCACACCACCTCAGCAATAAAATTTTGATGACCTAAACAAAGGTAAAAAGACCTTTTAAGAGCTCCATATGAGTTTCAGCAGGGTGCTGCCCATCTTTATGGCCAAACTCTAGTCTAGCAACACACCAATTTGCCCTTTTTGCCGCTGTATCAATTAGACTTCAATACAACTTGAAGCTGAGTATTTCCATACTAGCCCATCTCTAGTTTTAACCTGGAAAAACATCATGTTGGGCTAGTCAAATAAAAGACAGCTCAATGTTGAGGATTCTATTTATAAGGTAATGTTCAGCTTCATGTTAAATACATTTTTTGGACTCTGATCATCAACATAGAGAAATTTACTTTAAAATAAACACAAAGGCATAATAAAAAAATTATTAGGAAAAGAAAATAAAGCTCTTACCTTGATATGCAATATTGCTGTTCCTGGAGGATGAGCATCTGTTATTGATCTTAGAAGTTTTCCACTGGCCAAATCCCACATGGTGATCTATAAGACAACTAAGTGCTTCAAAAACAAATTTATTGCTCTTTTTTTGGACTTAAGTATCCTGCCTTCTGGCTGGAATAATCTATTCCTTGACTATAAACATTGCAGGCAAAGAACTATAAAGTTAAAACATACCTAAAGGTTGCAGATCCATTAAAGCATAGAGCCTTTATTCGATCTTCATTTACCCTTCATCCTGCCCATCCTACTTCTCCCTTTAGATTTTAAATGTTGTTCTCATACTGAGAGACAAAAGATATTTCTCTAATAAGTCAATCTGTTTAGCACTAGTAAAAAGTATCGGAAAGGCTTACTGCCAAACTAGCTAGTGATGTATGAATCAGAAGATAAAAAAACCATAATCTAATGCCAGTTTCAGAAGAAGAAAGAAATGCAAAAATCGTTATCCAGGAACACAGAATCTTTCTAAAAAGCAGCCTCCATTATTTACACGACTGTAAGGAAGTACATTTTATATAACATCCCTGGTTGGTTTACAAAAATTATTTACTCAAATAGACACATGAACTAGGATATAAAAAATTACAGACTCTGGGTCAGTCGATAACAATTATGTAAAATTTTGAACAAGACAAAACTCAGATTCAGCAATCTCTGGTTAGCTCTACAAACATATTACTTCATAACACGTATTTTGGTCTTTGATCTAAGATGTAAGTTTTTGTAAATTCATCTTGTTTTAACATTGTCTTATGAATTAAAGGAGGTTCATATCTTACCTGTCCTTTAGCAAAGCCACAAAGAAGTCTTGAGCAATCATTGTTGATACTGAGGGCAGAGATAGCGCCATACTGACCTCCAACACTAGTGCTACCCAGACAGAGTCGCAAAGCTTGATTCTGATCTAAAGAAAGCAGTTTTTAAAGTCAAGTGAAGGAAATGCAAGAGAGTAAATACATCGAGTACAGGCATGCTTTCAAAGACTTGGGAGGTGACAAGAATCAAAAGCAGCAGATAATGAAGTCACATTCATTTTTAAATATATTTATTGAGCAACTAGCAGATGCTGGGCGTTGAATTAGACACTTAAAAATACAGAAAAAAAAGGCCGGGTGCGGTGGCTCATGCCTGTAATCCCAGCATTTTGGAAGGCCGAGGTGGGTGGATCACCTGAGGTCAGGAGTTCGAGACCAGGCTGGCCAACATGGTGAAACCCCGACTCTACTAAAAATACAAAAATTAGCTGGGCATGGTGGCCCACGCCTGTAGTCCCAGCTACTCCAGAGGCTGAGGCACAAGAATCACTTAAACTTGGGAGGCAGAGGTTGCAGTCAGCTGAGATCACACTACCGCACTCCAGCCTGCACAGCAGAGTGAGACATGGTCTCAAAAAAAAAAAAAAAAAAAAAAGAATACAGGAAAAAAAAAAGATCTACAAGGAAGCATAATAAAAAATGCTAATGATAAGCCAAAAAATCCACATGTAATCTGTATCTCCTTAAACAAACCGTCACCTGTCTCATCCTAGAATTGTATTTCTTGCTATTTTTAAGATGCAAAGTTATCGGGAATACCATCGTCTTTTAAAATAACTATAAAACTTCAAAACTCAAGAAACTTAATTTAGAATTTGGCTGAAATTTACATTTATATTATCCATAAAGAAAATTTACTAAGCTAATTAACGGTGCAAATTACAGAGTAAACATTTAAACAGCTTCAGAAAATTATTTCAAACATCAAAATTTGATATGCTAAAAGTGGCTAGGCACGGTGGCTCACACCTGTAATCCCAGCACTTTGGGAGGCTGAGGAAGGGAAGGTCACTTGAGGTTAGGAGTTCGAGACCAGCCTGGCCAACACAGTGAAACTCCATCTCCACTAATATAAAAAATATAGCCGGGTGTGGTGGTGGGCACCTGTAATCCTAGCTACTTGGGAGGCTGAGGCAGGAGAATTGCTTGAACCCAGAAGGCAAAGGTTGCAGTGAACTGAGATCATGCCACTGCACTCCAGCTTGGGAGACAGAGAAAGACTCCATCTCAAAAACAAACAAACAAACAAACAAAATATGCTAAAAGCAAGCAATTCAAATATCTATTAGATTAAGTTTGTTAAGGGTGATAAGGGCGAGGATCTTGCCTTAATCACCTCTGATTTCTCCAGGAGGCACTCAAATATTTATTAAATTCTGTTATCTAATAATTAAAAGAAATTTCTCTAGGGTTTCTCCTAGGCAATGCTTATTTTGTCTAGAGTTCATTATTATACCCACTTGAAAACAATGAAATTAAAAATTTAAATGTCAGAATGCATGCCTACAAAATTTAACTATTTAGAAAAATGCAAAAAACACCATATTTCCACAACTTGGAGTTTTCGCAACTTCCCCAGCACTGTTTGTGTCTCCCTTAATTATCTACATGTGAATTTTGGGGTATGTCTTACCTCCCCTATTACACTATGACCTCTCTGAGGGCTAAGATCATGAGTGAATTAACACTCCCAAAGCACCTTGCTTAATGCCTTGTGCTTAGAAGGCATCTGACAATCATCTGAATAGCTTTCACATTTGCCAGTTCTCCTTCTATAAAAGTAAATCTAGTTATCAGACACAGTCACTCATTCTCAGGTCTAGGGAATAATATTAGGTCAGTCCTTTTGCCCATTCAGAGTGAATACTGTAAGAGTCCTTTTCTGTGCTCATAAAATGACTTAAATAGTAATCCCTCCTTCCCAAAAAAGAGTTCTGAAACAATGAGTATAACTACATAGCACATAGAAAATACTCTATTTTTTTCAATCATTTTGGATTTTAGCCTTCCAAGGTGAACACTGAAAAGGAATAACTCATAAATATACAAGGTCTGATGTATTTTAAAAGTTACTGTCTTTATTCACATCTAGAATTTTACAACTACAGATATTTTTCAATACATTCTGACTGTTCTCCTCCTTACAATTTTTTCACCCTTCCTCGATTTAATCCAAATTATAAAACTTCCCTTTATTCTATAATTTTCCTGACTCTAAATATAACATCACATTTTATTTTGCTCTTCCAAAACTACCTACCTAAAATAATGTTTTGCATGATCCTTATTTCATCAGAACCACGCTGTATAGTTAGTGGATTCTCCACATACCTTAATTTGCAAACTGTCATGATATGATGGTTGGGCAACAGTATTCCATATATACCTCTACTCTGGGTCACATGTATAGGTAACAGATGGACTGAAAGTAAGAGGACAAAGATAGAGCTGGTATGAAATTTCATACCCTGGAGTTTGGACCGCTTGCCTTCCAGGCACAGAGCGATGTCTAAGCAGCATACTGCGAAGATCCTTTGTAGTCCCTGCTTTGAGATCCAAACTTCACAGAGTTCTGATTCACCAATACTTAAAGACTCTCACTACTACTTTCTAATTTAACAACGTTCATACTTTAAATCGGACTATTTCAGGCACAGGAAGTATAAGCAGGAGAACTGAGAATATGATAACAAAGAGAATAAGGGTGCCATGAAGAGGAAATAGAGAAGAGTGGCAATGGATGAAATGAGGGAAGGAAAAGGACATAACTTGTAGATTAAAAACCAAACATGACTGTGCTTTCCTGACTGTTGTTCCCACATACCATCAACTAGCTAAGACAGGGAAGTAAATTATCAATCTTAGCCATTCCTGCAATATGGATTAAATTTACAGCCCACAAATCTGTTAATGGAAACATTCTCAACTTTTTTCTGGATTTTTTACAATATATTTGTTGTTTTTATAATGTTCCTTTAGAAGGTATCATGACTATGAAACCAGATACCTGGATTTTAATTCCACCCCTACCCCACAGATAGTTACAAGCCTTACAACTACAGTATGTCTTGGTAATTTTAGGAATGTTTCTTAAATTCACTTAGCCTCCCTATCTTCATCTGTAAAATGTAGAAAATGCCCATTATCTCACTGTGTTGCTAAGAGGAATAAATGAGTAAAGTAAGATAATGCACAAAGGAACCAATTCAGTGTCCCTTGAATATTACTAAGTGCTCATCACAAACTAATTTATAGATTACATTCATATATACACTTAAAAAAAAACAGCAGTGATGGTGAGAGACATGATGGACAGTGTAACAAATGTAATCTACTTTGACTCCATAAAGATATTTATCAAGCTCTTATTGGTACCTTCATACATTTTTTTTTTTTTTTTTTTTGAGACGGAGTTTCGCTCTTGTTGCCCAGGCTGGAGTGCAATGGCACGATCTGGGCTCACCGCAACCTCTGCTTCCCGGGTTCAAGCTATTCTCCTGCCTCAGCCTCCCAAGTTGCTGGGATTACAGGCATGCATCAACATGCCCAGCTAATTTTGTATTTTTAGTAGAGACAGGGTTTCTCCATGTTAGACTGGTCTCGAACTCCCGACCTTAAGTGATCCACCTGCCTCAGCCTCCCAAAGTGCTGGGATTACAGGCTTGAGCCACTGTGCCTGGCCACTCCTCTTCATATGTCCTATCCTTATAGTACCATGTTAACAAACTTGCTGTTATATAATTTAGACTAAATTCAGAAAAGGTAGAATTTCTGTGGAAAGAAGAAAGCAGTCTTATTGAAGAGGTTTCTCCTGCTAGAGTAACTAAACATTCTGTAGTCCAGAAAATTCTGGACAATTCTGGGAAATATTTGACCAAAATAAACATAAAACCTCTTCAAAACACTTAAATTCCATGGATACATGTAAAGAACAAAATGACCTGGACAGAAGGTGAAAATGAGAGCCACTCCAGGTTACTCTTGATTTCATGAATTTAAAAGGAAAAATTCTATTCTCCTCCTCCTCTCTGAAGTCTCCTTTGTCTACAGTTGGAAAAAGTTATTAAATTAACAGCATATCTAATTTCTTTACAAAGTCACATAAAGGTATATTTGGTTACTACTGTCAAATCTGTGTTTTAAAAAAATTGCAGGGGTCTTAATAATGGTTACCCTGGCAAGAAATATGAAATGAGACTATCACCTTTCTTATAAACTTCACTGAGTTGACAAAGAGTTTTGCCTATGAAAAATTAGAAAATCACCAAATGGCACAAATGCAAGGAATTACTGTTTATGACAGTAATATAGCTTACCAATTAATTTAGATAACTTGAAGGCCAAATATCACAAACAACACATCTATTTGGCATTGCCCTGAATTATATCTGTATCTTTTATTAGCATGTCTTTCAAAGTACACTTTGCTTAGAGTAGATCTCCTCAGCATATTCTGGACTTAAGAATAATATGCTGAATAGCAAAGAAAAGTCACAAATAATGTACAAAGTCTGTAACAGCCCTAAAATCTAAATTTGAACATACTTCAAGAATTTCTGTTAACTCTTTCCATATACCAAAATTAGCCCAATCCTCTATTTCTCAAAGAAGGAAATACCTACATCCTAGTAGGAATCCAGTTTAATTGTGTGTGTGGAACTCTACCTTTATTGGCCAATATTCACTATTCTTTAATACTATTCTTTTCTTATTTTTTATTTTTTATTTATTTATTTTTTTTGACAGAGTCTCACTCTGTCACCCAGGCTGGAGTGCAGTGGCACGATCTCGGCTCACTGCAGCCTCTGCCTCCTGAGTTCAAGCAATTCTCCCACCTCAGCCTCCCAAGTAGCTGGGATTACAGGCACATGCCACCATGCCTGGCTAATTTTTGTATTTTTAGTAGAGACGGGTTTCACCATGTTGGCCAGGCTGGTCTCGAACTACTGACCTCAAGTGATCTGCCCACCTCGGCCACCTAAAGTGCTGGGATTACAAGTGTGAGCCACCACATCCAGCCTTTTCTTATCCTTTATTCACACTAAAATATTCTCTAGGACCGAGGGAGAAAAGATCTAATCAGGAAACATTTTTCATCGATGATCATAAAACAACAGAAGCACTTTTACCTGACCTCCAGCAAACCAACTCACAGAATTCAAGTTCTCCTTCCCTCTGTAAGGCTTACTGACTGAAGCCAGGGCATACTGAATCCCCATTGCTAGTTGGATATTTTCCAGAATGCTTATGCTTACTATGAGTCAGCTGTATTCATTCCCAAGCCTGTTCATGCCATTGTAATGTTACTGTACTTTAAAACTTAAACAGTAAATAAACCAATGAAACAGAGTGAAAAAGAAAGAGCTGTTGTTTCCATGAACATTAAATGGGATGATTTAGAAAAACTTGGTAAAGATGAGTTTCTATACAAAACTGTCACAAAATAAGGTGTTCATAATATAACAGGAAAAGACTGAAAGTTTTGTTAAAATCTAGGATTTTGCATGCATTGATTGACTCACAGGTGCTTAAGCTTTCACCTCATTTTTAAAATTTAAAATGGCAAATCTTGCATGACCCATTAATGATGAAAGTTTATGCCAAAAAAGATACTTCAGAACCCAAGTGGCAAATACAAACTCAAAGAAAAGGTTTGGGACTACATCAAAAGATCAAAGGAAAAATGAAAATGTATATACTTTCAGTTAAAAATTATATTTTTCAGTTAAAACATTGAAGGTATATATATATTTACAGTTTTTCACAATTTCCCACTTAACTAATTTTTCAATTAGCTGGGTTTTTTTCAATAAGCATTTCGTAAGAGGACATTGACTATAATTGGTAGCATTCTCTTCCAACATTAAAAAGACCAAAAGAAACCATTCATGCAAACTAAAATTACTTACTATACCTTTTCCTTTTGAATCCATGAAGAAAAGATCAAGAAAGATAAAGAAAAGCAAGAAATCAGTTCAAAAGTTCGAAGAAAAGGCAGGTAAAAAATTTCAAGAATATAAGTGACAAGCTTTAGTTATCTGTGGGAATGATACTAAATTTGATTAAGTGATGCCTCTAGTATTTATGATTATGCTCAGCTATGGGTTATGGGAAAAAATCCATAATACTCTCATTAGAGCAAAGTAAGTAAATCCATGTTTAAGTTAGATAAAAACAAAAACAATTTCAAAAAGATAATCTACTGAAGTACACTAATAACCAAAAAAAAAAAGAGGAAAACTAAGAACCCTGGGATGGGGAAACATCTTTATTAAGATTTGAACTTTTAAGACTCTGTATAAGGTAAGTACCAATATATTTTTTTAAACACTATATGCCTATAATTACTTAAGAAGAGGCAATAAACATCAGTCTTCAAGAAACTTATAATGGTTTCTTTCTTAATGACCTGGGCCTCTGTTTCAAAGAGAAACATTCAGTACTTAAACAAGTATAGCTCTTCTTGCTACACTTTCTCCTATGATCAACACAGATGTTTAACAGAGATGAGATCTAACCCAGGCCTCTAGACACTTTATAGTATTATTACTCTGCCATTTGTTGCCAGGCTTTCAAGCATATTTTAATCCATTTGATAAAACACGTTGTCCAAACATCTGATTCCTATAAACAGTAATGAGTAAAATTTATTAGCTACACTATTAATACCCAAAGCACAACCAGAATATTATGATTCTTTCTCAAAATGTTCACTTAGACATACTTTCTTTTCCATGAGACTGTAATGAAAGATTATTTCCTCATATCTACAAGAAAGCTACTGGGGTCTAAAAAAAAAAAAAACCAGGAACCAGGCCCAAGGAAATTAAAAAGACAGTATCAAAAGACAATGTTCTCTTTTCCTCTGCTAGTTTTTATTTGTAAAGTATTCATTTTAAATTGTTTGCAGTAAGCTATACTTGAGTTTGATGATAAGCAGTCACATATTCTTTTTTTTTTTTTTTTTTTTTTTGAGACGGAGTCTCGCTCTGTCACCCAGGCTGGAGTGCAGTGGCGCGATCTCGGCTCACTGCAAGCTCCGCCTCCCGGGTTCACGCCATTCCACATATTCTTATAACATTGACAAGAAAGGGATGTTAAAGCAGATAGAGGTGAGGAGAAGTGAGTACTGGTAAATGGGAACCAAAAATCAACATGCAATCTGCTGACAAATATATGTATTATCATCTATTCTCATTCACCTTAGTTCTTTTATTCTTTTCTTCCTATCTTAGAATTTGCCTCCTTTTCTCTCAGGATAGCAGAATTGCTTAGAATAGTGGAAATACACTTATACAGGATTCAGCATTCCTCAATGAACTTGGCTGAACTTGGCTCTGTGCATCTCACTTAACCTCTCTGATCCTCAGCAGCCTCAGATGTAAAATAAGGGGACTGAACTAAATGACCTCGTAAGTTTCTTTCCCAAAATTCTATTTATCTAACATTAATTATGCCCCACAGGAAGACCACCATTCTGAACACCTGATAGGAGAGCAGGCTGACAGAACTTTTCTAGGGGGCCATTAGATGATACATATCAAAAGTCCTTAATGTTCATCTCCTAATCCAAGCAATTCCACCTTTAGGAACATCTGTCCTAAAAAAGTAATCATGGACACAGAAATGTAGTAACGAAGATGTTCATCACAGTACTATATGTTTACAAACAACTTAAATGTCTTATAGTAGGAAATGATTAAGTAAATTAGGAAGAATCCATTTAATAGAATACTATATAGCCATTAAAAATGATGTTACAGACAAAATATATAACTGCATGGAAAGATATTCATTAAAATAAAAAGCAGTTTACAAATTAACATGATCCCATTTGAGGGTGTATAGATACACATATATAGGTACAGAAAAAAAGACTAAAAGATTACATACAAAAATGTTAGGGATTATTAATACATGGCAGGATTTGGTATATCTTCAACTTTTTGCTCATCTATATTTTCTATATTTTCTACTATGACTATATATCAACTATATAGGTTTTAAGAGTCTTTTTCAATCAATTCTAAATTCCTTCAAGGGAATTATAATTTTGTTTCTACTCTTCTGGTCCCCAAACAATAAAACTCTTATTTAAATCAATTACCTTTGAAAAGACTAGGTTTTACAATTACATTTTAAAAAGCTTTTGTCATAATACAAAATTTATAATAGTAAGCCAAATCATTCAAAACCAACAGAAAATAACTAGTTATCCACTTCCATGGTAAATAAGGATGCAAGGCCCCACAGAAATCAAATCGTGGTTCTGCTATTAAGTATTCTCAGGTAATCCATATAGAAGTCTGTAGATTCCTTACTAAATACAGTGTCTCAAGTCTTTCATTTAAGGGAGATGAAATGACTTAATATCCAGAAGAGAACACTAAAAATGACCCCCCCCAAAAAAACTAATAGTTTTTTGTTTATTATTATTATTATTTTTTTGAGGTGGAGTCTCACTGTGTTGCCCAGGCTGGAGTGCGGTGGCACAATCTTGGCTCACTGCAACCTCCGCCTCCTGGGTTCATGCGATTCTCCTGCCTCAGCCTTCCGAGTAGCTGGGATTACAGGCGCCCGCCACCACGCCCAGTTAATTTTATTTTATTTATTTTTTTTTCAGTAGAGACGGGGTTTCACCATGTTGGCCAGGCTGGTCTCAAACTCCTCAACTCAGGTGATCCACCTGCCTCGGCCTCCCAAAGTGCTAGGATTACAGGCGTGAGCCACCATGCCCGGCCACAAAAATCTAACAGTTTTTAAATTTAAAAAGAACAAAATATTCTACTCATACATTGAATTCAAAAGCAAAGAAGGTTTAATGAAACTATAGTCATTTAGTCTCATGTAGAAAAAAATGAGAAAATACAACTATCTTCTACTATACAAATAAAACTAGTTCTCTTTCAACCAAGAAAGCAATGTGATTACAGGCCAAAAAAAATTCGGTTTAGAGTGATTTACAATGGAAATTTTTTAAAAAAGCTTATTGTCAGTGAGAGCTCCTGAAAATTACTGAGAAAGCCTGTTTTCCTGAAGATCTTTTAGAATACCCATTACTGGAAGGTGATTCAGAATCAAAAATCCCCACCACCAACAACCGGAGGCAGACAAGATGATAACCCAAGGTTCCCTTCAACTTTATTCTTTTTGTCTAGGTTTGCAGAGAGATCAATAGATATGATAGCTTATAAATTCATGAAGAAGAAAATAAACTTGCAATAAGCAGCAAAACAAAGCTGTGAGGCAAATAATTTTTAGCTATAAAAATACTGACTGCTACTTTTCAAGTTTTTCTGGTTTTGTTCAAGAAAATCAAGTACACTATATAAACTGTGATTAAAGGACATTATAAAACCCAAAAGGACACTTAATATTTAAAAGCAGGAAAGCACTTAAAAATTTACCAAATATTAAAGCCAATCCATGAGATGTACCCACTGCTATCAGACTGGATACTGCCTGAAAACAAAAGGGAAGATTACGTTTTAAGACATTACATTAAGAATCTTGAAATAATCAGAGTTGAATTTGTTGGCCTGCCTTCCTCTAGGCACCAGATGACATACAAACTATTGTAAATAAGAAGAATTTCATCCAGGAGGCAAAACGGGAAATGAAACTCAGGACATTTTATTTCTGAGAATCCCTCTAAATTTACTCTAGGAGTAACACTATCAAAATATCATATGTTCAACATTATAGGCAATAACATGCCACTTAGCTTCCTCTAAAGCAACTTTCAAATAAAAAATCAGGGATCCAGGCAAAGTAAGAGGCACTTATGCTACCCAACCTAGAGCTTCCTACGAGGCATGGGGAAGAGATGAGAACACACTTCTCTAGTTTATCCGCAGGGGCCTAAAGCCATCCAAAGTGTTCAAAACTCACCCACTTCCTTACCAAAGACTGACTAAAAGGAATGCTAAAAAGGCACTGGAGGAAGACAAGAAGAGAGAGTACCAGCGTGCTTTCAATATCCCCTAGTTCTCTACAATACTGCAACAGAGTTCTATTTGGCAAGCCTGACAATGGAATCCAGAGCTGTTAAATGTACTATTTTCCACAAAGTGATCCTATCAAATGATGCTTTCCATTCCTTGTGGAAGGGGAGCCAAATCACAGAAGAAGCAAATTTACTTGGGCAGGGTAGTACTACAAACAAATAAACCTGGAGAAGGCTAATATTACTCCATTATCTGCTTCTCAAACAAAAGCCTAAAAAGTAACAAAAAATTAGGAAAAAAGAAAGCATTCAACATGGATAAATGTTAAACCTGATTACTGGCAGTAAAATGACTTGTGAATTTATTACCATAACAACTTATGTAGTATTTTGAACAATGTAATGATAAATCTAAGAAAACCCAATCAAATAGAAAACTTACCTTTAAAAAGTTAAAGTATACTTACAATTGCTGTAGGCAAGCCAGCATCTACTTTGTCCTAAATGAAATTTTAAAGAAAGTATTTGAAAAATATTCTCATTTTAAAACAGAAAATGGTATATGGCTCTTGCTTTACATATACTTGCTCCAAATCAATTTAGATTAGAGGTAGAACCTTTATTTTTGCCCCCAACTAACAGAAATTACAAAAGCTATATATCTCAACAAAATACAAAGGGCATGAAAGGGGATTGTTTTATTTTACTAAGTATATAAGTGCCTTTGCTAAGTAAGATGCCTCAGGGAGGGTACTGATTATAATGGAAATGCAAAGGAAAAAGAGGAAAGATGTTCCATTTTCTATACTTGAATAAACTATAAGTACTATGGGGTCAAAATGGTAGGAGTACATAAAGATTTGAGAAAAGTAAACATGTTAAAGATGTTTCTACTACTAAGTAGGACTTTCCTATCTACCAATTACCTAATAACCTCTAAATAAACCCCAACAGGGTATATTAAATCAGTTCTCAAGCATAAGAAATTAAAACATAAAGAAGTACTAGTCCCAGCTCCTTACCGGTAACTACATGGCATTTGAAAAGTCACCTAACTTTTCTGAACATTAGTCTCCTCATCTGTTCAAAGAAATAGCAAATACTGCACTGTTTACCTCAGTGAGCTGTCCTGAGGATCAAATTAAATGTGAAGAATCAAATAAATATGTAAGAGTATCAATTCTATGCTCACATAGCTTTAAATAACCCTAAGAGTTTGTAGTGATACAGTACTGTAGCAGCAAAGAGCTTGCGTATACAGATATTACACTACTTGATTCTCAGACCTAGAGAGATGTATAGAACAGGCAATGTTATTCTGATTTTCCAGATTTTAAAAACAGACATTTCCAAGAGTTTAACTGACTTGACAAAGGGTACTTGGTAAGTGGCAGAACTACATCTCAAACTCAGAGCTTCCAAATCCCAGGACAGGCTCCTTGTATCACTTACACATCTTCTTTTCTATGTCTGTCCTTGTCAGCGTGGTCAATTATTATCATCTCTCAGAAGGCAGACTCTACAGACTCTATTTAACAAACTCTGTAGAGCTTCCTGGGCACTCACTTAAACTTACTCCAGTACATGGAAACAGGAGAAAAAAGCAATGAGCAAGGCTGCTACACACAATGCTCTGGATAGCAGCATCTATCCAACTTTGAGTGTATATGTCTGTGTGTCAAACATGCCTAACATAATGCTCGACAATTAAGAAGCATGTAATACATAGTTAATAAATGACTGATTTGCATCTAGACAGGGAAAGAGAAATGAGACAGCAGATGAAGGTCAAAAACTCTAGTAAGACCTCACTTAATGTTGTCAGTAAGTTCTTAGAAACTGACTTTAAGCAAAACAACTTAAACCAATTGTTTTTTCTTCATTAACATTATAACAAAATGACATTGAACAAAATGATGTTATTCGAAGGTCTGTTCTATATTCAAAATAGAACCTGAATAATGGAATCAGAAGTCACCTGACTTCAAAAGCTAAAAAAAACACAGATATTAGGAAGCATTGTAGAGATTACAGAATTTTAGTACTGGTGTTGCAATATCTGAGGGTAGTGGGTCTCAAAAGTCAAAATGCATGGGAATCACCTGGGATGCCTGTATGCTCGGGATTCTGTAGGTTTGGGGTGAGCCCCAGGAATCTGCAATTTAATCAGTACCCTAGGAGATTCTTATACAGTGGACGCATTTTGAAAAAAAACACTACACTAAGCTATCTCTAGTATTTTCAAGTTGATCATAAAAATAATAAAGATCCTTAAAAAAAAGTTACTTTGAATTATTTTAAAGTATAGTCACATGTCATACTACTTTGAAAAGGATCCCAAATTAAAAAATGAGCTTCACAATTGCAAAAATTTCATCTCTCCAAGTGTTTTCCATGCATGAATCCCAAAACTGTGATCAAGGCCCCAAACAGCCCTAATAACATCACTAACCACATGGCTGAAGGCACTATTGAGCAATTATTCAGGGAGAAATATCCAAAAATATAACTAGCTTTACATGTTAATAAACCAACCATCACAGGAAAGCATGCAATTTAAATTGAGCTGGTAATCCAAAAATAGGAAGGCACCGTATGATGACTGTCACAGGAAAGGCAGTTTTCATTTTAACATACCAAAGGAGCTCAGCCATAGCAATCAAATAAAAACAGAATGCAAACACTCTGGGATTTATTAGAATTTCCCCTCCTCTTCAAGGGGAAGGAGAACTCCTTTTAAATAACAGATTTATCTAATCATTGTTCAGAGTCTGAGTTTTAGCTCAGTCTCCATTACTCAAAATATTTTTAAAACTGCACAGGTGGGTCAAATGACTGTTCTGGTTCATCTTGATTTTGAAAGGAATGAATTTCATCACCTACATAAGGATTAAATTCAGAAAACGTCATGGAAATGTAATCCTCAACAGGTGGTTCCCATTCTAGCAAATATGAGTTACTCTCCACCTAAAAGAGGAAGAACAATTGCCCAGGTTTCCTCTATTGCTTGAGCATCTCTCTATTTAAATTCACTTCATGATATATGAGCTAGGTCAGGATACCCCAATTGTTATAGTAAATACTTTTGTTGTTGTTGTTGTTATTTGCACTAAGGGCTTTTTCTGATAAACCTGAACATTGAAGTGCAATTGTGGTATCTTGTAATTCTGTATCAATCTCTCATCCTCTTGAAAAATCCAAACTTGGCTGGACGAGGTGGCTCATGCCTGTAATCCTAGCACTTTGGGAGGCTGAGGCGGGCGGATCACAAGGTCAGGAGATCGAGACCATCCTGGCTAACACGTTGAAACCGTGTCTCTACTAAAACTACAAAAAATTAGCTGGGCATGGTGGCAGGCGCCTGTAGTCCCAGCTACTCAGGAGGCTGAGGCAGGAGAATGACATGAATCCGGGAGGTGGAGCTTGCAGTGAGCTGAGGTCGTGCCACTGCACTCCAGCTTGGGCGACAGAGTGAGACTCCGTCTCAAAAAAAAAAAAAAAAAAGAAAAATCCAAATTTTTATTTCTTGTCCAACTTGGATATGCAAAATGCCAATTAAATGCCCCAAAAAGAACATGAAAATACATTAAACTTCCTGGAGTATAAATCTGTCATTATCATTATATACAGAATCTGTACATTGTACTCAGAAAACCAAAATTGAAAGACTACATAAAACTATGGGCTTTGGGGTCAAAAGAAAAGTCTGATAGTGTCAAACGAAAAGTTCTGCTGTCTATGGACCATTAAATATCGTTTACATTAACCCAGTGCTCTACATAATTTTCAAAAAAGGCCACAGATACTCTGTTCCAGCCATTTTACACATTGACCACATTCACCAATGCCACCTCCATTTCACAATAGAGGCACTACACTTGAAGCCAGAAACCCCAATTTTGAATAAATGCCTTGCTACCTCCTAACAGAATGATCTAAGACAAGTTAATATCACCTTCCTGAGCCTATCTTCTCATTTGTAAAATAGAATACAGCTTTACCTAGTTTCCAAGTTGTAAGAATAAATGAAATAAGGGACATGAAAATACTTTTGTGAATTACAAAAAAAAAAAATCATTCAGTTGTAAAAGATTCTGATCAATCATTTCTCCATATGAAAAGAGAAAAAAAAAACAAGCACACAATCTCAACAAATACACAAGACGGCAACTAAATGAAAAGGAATTTAAAGAAAAGGCAAATAGTATTTATTTTAGGCTTGCTGCCATATTTCATTTAGGCACAGCCTAGACTCTGAGCAGAACTTTATTTTCATGGCTGCACTAATTTCTGTCAAGACGTGTAGCCATGTCTCATAAGTCAAAAATCATCACACAAAAACCATGAAAGCCAGATTCTATTTTTCTTAAGCCTCGGGCCAAGAGAAGTGCTGTATTTTGTTCTATGCTCATTCCTACTTCATTATGCCATTGCAGGTTACAAAGTTGAGGGAAAAGAACAAAATACTTACAGCTGCAGACACTATCTGGGCAGAAATTCCCTTCAAAAGTGAATGGCGCATAACTGATCCATGAAGTGAAAAAGAATCAGGTAATTTCTTCTTCCTGAAAAAAAAAAAGAAAAACATTTAAAAACAGATAAAAATAGTGAAAAGGAGAGGTCCCAAAGCTTTGAAAGAAAACACACACGCACAAAAAGCAGAAGACAACATTGTATGTAATTTGTTAGATCTGTTTTTTTTTCTTTTATTATTATTATACTTTAAGTTTTAGGGTACATGTGCACAATGTGCAGGTTTGTTACATATGTATACATGTGCCATGTTGGTGTACTGCACCCATTAACTCATCATTTAGCATTAGGTATATCTCCTAAAAGAGGTATGACGGATCTAACAATCCCACCTTAAAATGTATTAAACCCGCCTTGAACCTCAAAGAAGCACAAGCAGGAAAATGAATCAAATCACCATTCCTTTCTCACGATTCAAACTGCTCCATGCCCACCTTAGGGAATGCGGCAGTAGGTTCTCATGTTCTCCAGAAGGCTGCCTACAGAGCACTCCTCCGGCCTGCAAGTCTACATTACCCTACTGCCTTCTTACCCTTGCTCACCTTTCCTGTGCTGCTGCTTCTCCTATGACCACCCTCTCAATCTTCAACCACCTCCTCAAATTCCCCCTCTACTCATCCTCATACAAAAAGTAACTTTTAAACTTTTACCCAACATTACTGAGCACCTACTTTGTATCACTAGAAGTATGCTCTGGGAATACAAAAATAAGAAAGTCAGTTATTACTGTCAAGGATTTCATAGCTGAGGGGCTGAGAAGTAACTCTAAAGGATAAATGTTATATTAGAGATATGAATTAAGTGCCATATAAATGCAAATGAAGAACAGTTTAATTCTGTTTATTTGGGGGGCATTAGGGACAGCTATAGAAAAGAGAAGATGACTAATTTGACCTTGATGGATGACTAGGAGTTTGTCAGGCAAAAAGCACAGGCAGAAATATGAAGATGTAAAGGTGTACAGTGTGTCTGGGGTACACATACACAAAAGGTACAGACTAGGAGGGCTGAAGTGTGAGTGCTTAGAGATCAGGTCAAAACAGTAAGCGTGGCCCAGACTGATGCCATGCAGAGGAGTTCTGACTTAATTTTGCAGGCAACAAGATGATACCATATCTTTTAAGCAGGTAGTGACCAGATCATCAAAAACATTTAAGTTATCTATTTGAAGGACACATTGTTGAACAGGTTAACATATCCAGCAACAGCCCCTATCCCATAAGAGATAACCTAAAGAAAAGAACATTGACACAGGCAAAATCGAAGAAGAAGAAAAACAGATCACTTTATCAATATTAAAGTTACACGTGAATTCAATAATGTATTTATAGTATGATTCCTCCAATTCTCTTTCCTTTTCATAGTCTCTCCAAGAACTTGGAAGGTGAAAAGCAGCCCAAATTTAAGTTATTTAGGGTTAGAAGTCCTTTTCCTGAATTTTTAATCGTCTTTGTGATTCTCTGAACCCACTCCAAGAGCATGAAGGAAGGCTGATCTTAGAGAATGCGGATGACAGGGAGGTGCGGGAGGGTGGGCAGAACAGTAGGGCAGTGAACCAAGCTGCATGTTTCCACCACAGACACTGTGCCAGGTTTAATCTGTGCTTCCTCCAAGGGCTCTCCTGCTTCCAGAAGTCCCTGGCTATCATTATGGTTTCCTACCGAGAGTTCAGACTGTGGTCATAGCACCTACCCTTTTACATTCTTCCTTAATGGTACCAAAATTTTCAAGATATTATATCCCTTCTACTTCCCATGCAAGGCTTCAACAGACCATATTGTACTTTAAAAAGTACAATATTTACATTTGAAACAATTGAATACTTCAACTGTAAGCAAGTATGATTGACATGAATACCTACCTTTTTAAGTTGGTCCTGTCACCACTATCTGAGCTTGCCACAGATGAAGTATCATAGGAGTGAGAATCAATAGTATCAATGTTTAACAATGTAGGATCCTCAAGAATAAAAGACTCATCTTCATCATCAGTCTAAATTGGAAGAAGATAAATCAATACATTCAAAATCCAAATACTCTATGAAATGAGTCAGGCATTAATGGGTTTCTCCAGAGCACACAAGTGCTTATTTCTGCTTTTCGCCTCTATTCCATGCATTCTTATTGACCAGAAAGAAACCATACAGAATTACTAGTATTAAATTCTAGACAGCTATTTCTCTCTACAAAGAAGTCACCCCAAAACTTCTTTCGTGTAGCAGGAAGAAGCAGGAGCAGTATGCAGATTACTGTTAGCTGTAGAATATTTCTTAAAAATCAAGCTTTTACAGATGATTTAGCAGTTAACTAACAGCCAATGGCTAATTTGAAGAAAACAAACACCATCTGACTATAAATAGTCTACTATAAAAAAAAATGACAAGCAGACAGCAGAAAGGCATTCTGGGTAGGAAACAGTGCAGAAAGGCATTCTGGGTAGGAAACAGCACAGAAAGACACAGTGATTTCACAATACAGATTTTGTCCATGGGAAAAGTAGTAGTCCAAAATGTCTGGAGGATATAAGCAGAAGTTGGAGATGACCCTAGAAAGATAAGCTGGTACCCAAACCATGAAAAGCCTTATATGCCATTACACTAGATGGCAGCAGGGCCCATGTCTATCTTGTTCATCATTGTACCTCTAGTGCCTAGTATAATGCCTGACACATAACCAGTACTCATTTAATGAATATTTAGTATACTATATATAGCAGGCAGTGGGAAGGCAACTGACATTTTTAAGAAGTGGAAAGACATGATGGGAACCATGTTTTAAAAAGATAGGTGGGGCAGTATGAAGAATGGATGAGGCGAGACAAGAAGACTTTAAGGACCAGTAAGAGGGCTATTGCACTATCAAGGAAAAACGGGAGATCCCAACCTAAGAAGCTGCAGAAGAAGTCAACAGAGGGAATGATGAACACATTACGGAGAAAAAATCAAACGTCTCTGGTTACCATTGAAATGGGGGGTTGAGTAGGAGTACGGATGGGAGGAGAGGTAAGGGAGAAGTCACAGAAGAGTACAAGGTTTCCAGCTTCTACAACCAGGTAAAAGGTGACTCTACTCACTGAAATTAGAAAGCAGACAAATGGCAGATAAAGCAGGATGAGGAACTTGGCTTTGCCCAAGTTGATTCTGAGTGACAAACATCAGAGAACAATGTCTCACCGTCTCTTTCAGCTGCACTACCTTCTGCCTTACCACTTCCAATCAATGTACTTGAGAGATTAATGTCTACTCACTACCTCGATCCACTCATTACAAGCTCCTACCGACCTTGCTGATGCTACTAGCCAAATCCACTGGCCTGCTTTCTGTTAGCATGTTCTTGTTCTCCAGGCATCATTTAATCCTGTTGACCATTCCCTGTCACCCAGGCCGGTGTGCAGTAGCACAATCACAGCTCACTGCAGCCTCAAATTCCTGGCCTCAAGCAATCTTCCACTCCAGCCTCCAAGAAGCTGGGACTACAGGTGCATGCCACCACGCCTGGCTCATTCACTACATCTCGAAGCTTTCTTTTCCTTTAGTTTTCGGTACATCTCTCCTTCCTGGTTCTCCGCTAACTTATGTGTCCTCCTATTAGTCACATGCTAGCTTCTTCTCAGCCCAACCTTTAAATACGATTGTCCCCCAGGATTATATTCTAAGCTCTCATCTTCTCTTCCTACTTCATGGACTTCCTATTTGAGTAAGCTCATCCATATCTATAGCTTTAAGAACCATGTTATCTAATGACTCCAAAATCTGTGTCTTTAGCATCAACATTTCTCAAGGTTTAGGTCCAAATTTACCATTGCTTTCCAGATATCTCTACACATAGGTCTTCTAAAAAGAGGGTTAGGACTGGCAATAAGACATTATGTTGCTTAAGTGCTATAAAGATTGGAACGATTGCTGTAGGAAAAGGGAAGGAAATAATTCAGAAATAAATACAGCAGCATCAAGATCTTAAACAAGAGAGTCAATCAAAATGTTATTTGATTTTCTTAAAAAGCCTGGGGACATAATTAAAGAAAATGGATCAGATGAATTAAGCCAGGCTTACAGGATAAGTGAAAGAAAAAGTGAAGGGAAAAAAAGAAGTGAAGATGTCAAGACTGAATTTAAAACTACTGCTACACAGTAAAAGTATCAATTATCCCCAAACTGATGTGAAAAAAACTGCACAATCCTTTCAAATTTCAGCTGATTTGTGTGTGTGTGTGTGTGTGTGTGTGTGAACTGATAAACTAATTCTAAAACTTACATGAAAATGCAAAAAAATAAATAAATAAATAAGGCAATCTTGAAGAATAACATCAAAGCTGGAAGATTTTAAACTACCAGATATCAAGACCTATTATAAAGTTTCAATCACTAGAATGTGAGATCGAGGCAAGTATGGACACACCAATGGACTCAGATCCACACCTATATGATTACCTGATTTATAACAAAGGTGACACCAGATGAGAATACTCTTTTTAGTACATGGTGCTGGCTCATAGCTCACACTATCACACCCAAAAAAAATTCCAGATGAATTACAGATCTACATATGAAAGGAACAACAATGAAGATTTTAGAACAAAATAGGGTAACATCATCATAACATCAGAATTGGAAAAATTTTCTTAAATAGGACACACACACGCACACGAATGGAAAATTTTAATAAGCTGAACTATATTAAGAACTTGTGCTCCTCAAAAGAAACCATTAATAGAGTGAAAAGGTAATGTACAGAAAGAAAGAAGATAAAATATGTACATCAAATAAAGGGCTTGTATTAGCATATATAAAGAACTCCTATAAATCACTTAAAAAATAAAACGACAGAAGTGGGCTAATTATATGAAAAGGCAATTCACAAAAGAGATATTCAAACGGTCAAAACCTATGTCAAAGTACCCAATTTCATTAGTCTTTAGGGAAATACAAATTAAAATCATGATGTGATAGCACTACAAATCTTTTAAGAATGAAAGTGAAAAAGACAGAAAAATTCAAACGTTTACAAGGATATAGTAATCAGAAATCTCATATACTGTTGCTGGAAGTGTATATCAATACCACCACTTTCAAAAACGGTGCCAATATATACCAAAGCTGAATATAACTATACCTGATGACCCACTAATTCCCCTCCTAGGTATATGCCCAACAGAAATGTGTATAAAGCTGGGCACAGGGGCTCATGCCTGTAATACCAGCACTCTGGGGGGCCAAGGCAGGCAGATCACCTGAGGTCAGGAGTTCGAGACCAGCCTGGCCAACATAGCAAAACCCCGTCTCTACTAAAAATACAAAAAACTTTGCCACGTATGGTGGTGCATGCCGGTAATCCCACCTACTCGGGAGGCTGAGGCACGAGAATCACTTGAACCCAGGAGGAGGAGGTTGCAGTGAGCCCTGATCGCGCCACTGCACTCCAGCCTGGGTGATAGAGTGAGACTCTTGTCTCAAAAAAAAGAACAAAATGAAAACAGATAAAAACCAGAAATGTGTGTAAGTATGTACATGCCAAAACACATTAATAAGAAACTTTACAGCAGCACTCTTCATAGTAGTCAGAAATTAGAAACTACACAAATACCTATCAACAGTAGAATGAATAAAGGTATATTCACAAGGAATTTTACACAGCAATGTGAACAAATCTAAAAACATAATATTAAGGGAAAGAAGTCAGAAACAGAAAAGTACACACTATATAATTCCATTTATATAAAGTTCAAAGCAGGCAAACTTAATCAATGCTGGTAGAAGTTAGAGTAGTAATTACCCTGGGTTTGGGTACTAAAGGGACACAAGATGAGCTTCTAGGGTACTAGTAATGTTCGGCTGCTTTATCTGGATTCTGGTTACACAGGTTGTTCAGTTTGTTAACATTCACCACACTGTACACTTATGATTTGTGCACCTTCCTCTATGTATGATATACTTCAATGAAAAGTTCAAAAGAAATTTCTGGCTGCACAATCCAACAGCAGGATTGAAGTAAACCTAGGACTATTCTCAGAAACTGGGAGATTAGAAAGGGTCAAAGACTTGGTCTTAATGAGGCCAAAAAACAGTTTCAATGGAAGGAAATAGGGGAAAAAGGTTATAGTTAAAGAATGGAATTTCAAAATTAAAAATCTCAGAAGAAGCATAGTTTCAAAGGATGGCAATACCTAGTAACATTCTTTCATGTCCTAAATTCTGAGATCTAGGATGTCTCAGTAATCTCTAAATTTCTACTTTAAAAAGCATCGGCCAGGTATGGTGGCTCATGCCTACAATCCCAGAACTTTGGGAGGCCGAGGCCCGCAGATCACTTGAGGTCAGGAGTTTGAGACCAGCCTGGCCAACATGGTGAAACCCCGTCTCTACTAAAATATAAAAATTAGCTGGGCGTGGTGGTGGGCACCTGTAATCCCAGCTACTCAGGAGGCTGAGGCACGAGAATCGCTTGAGCCTGGGAGGTGGAGGGTGCAGTGAGCCAAGATCGTGCCATTGCACTACAGCCTGGGCGATGGAGTGAGACTCCATCTCAAAACAAACAAACAAACAAAAACAAACAAAAAAAGTGGATGTCCATTTCTTCCCAGTCTCCTTTAAGGTTGATATTAATGAACATTATAGAATATATGCATCCACATATCCTGAGAAAAGGTCTTATTTATGTTTTCTACTTCGGCCCTTTTCATTTTTCCTTCAGTCATTTTCTTTAGTACTCCCCACAGCCCCCTTATCGTCTTCATAATGGTCTACAATTTGAACTATGTTTTCTTCCACTTACGACTTGCCTGGTTCCCTGGAGGTGTAAAGTCTGGCCAGTTCCCAGCCTCATTTCCTTCTCAAGCACAGAGATAGTCATATTGCACTTTATAACCCCAACATCTAACACCATGACCCAAATACACTAGACACTCAAACTACTATTGAGGATGATAACAGTGTTATCTTCTTAGTAAACCACTAATGACTATACTTACTGTTACTCACAGATAAGAAAGTTGTTGTGCAGGAACAGTTTTCCTTCATTATGAACCACAGCTCATTCACATGAGCATTATTTTCTTTGCTGATATAATAATTTACAAACAAGGCCTTATACACAGTCCTCTAAGATTATTTTTATTTTACACTTAATAATTGAAATGAGGATGCAATTAAGGCCATTTTAACAAAACTGACTAAAATTAATCTTCTCACCTCTAAATGAAAGATTTCCTCTATATTAGAAAGTAAATAAAGGACATTTCACTGTAACAGAATATTCTTTCATGGACCAAAGCCTTCTTTATCAAAACTAAAAATGCTTAAGTCTTCACACAGAACATATAGGACACTTCTGAAGTTAGAACACATTCAAAGTTAAAATACACTCAAAGTAACAGCAACATCAAACTGATGTAAAACATAGAAATAAAAGCCATACAAGAAAAATAAAAGACATAATTGACAGAGAAAGTAGTTTGCATCCTATAAAGTGCTGCCTACAACCCTCACAGGATAGGCAAAGAAATAATAAAGACAGAGGCCCAACTCACTCGGAGCTTTGGTATACGTGGGCCTTTCTGTCAGGGAACTTTTGGGTCTTTATCTTTTGGAAAACATAACTGCGGATTTGAAATAGATTTATACATTGCAAGATCTTTCTCAAATTAGAAGCTAAAACCTCCAAGGGAAGTCTCAAGCAAGTTTTTAAAAAATGAAGACTGAGTTGAAGGGTTGTCAGCAGATGCAGGGTATATAAAACAGGCGTGCTTCACCAACCATGTCCTCTCACAGAGCCCCTTTAGAAAGCCTTTGATCTCCCAATTCAGAAAAGAATAACACCATTTCAAAACTCTGAAAAACTTTTCATTAGAAATGGTATTCATAAGATAAACTATAAAAGATTAGTTTTCTTCATGTAGAAGAGTGATGAAGCTTATTATAAGGTTGCAAGATGTTCTTTAGCGTCAGAGGACAAGCTATTTGAATATCAGTGGTAGAGACAACTTAACCATTAGCAACACATAATACAAACCTCAAAAGTGACATAAATTTTGCATCTCAATTCACTTAATAAAATATATTTTAAAGTCTGCCAAGTATTAGGCATTGTTCTGGGCACAGAGACCCTAAAGATGAACAAGAGATGGTTTATGCCCTTGAGAAGCTCACAATCTAGACTACTGCTGTCCAAGAGAACTTTCTGTGATGACGGAAATACTCTTTATCTATGCTGTCCCCTAGCCATATAGTAGCCACTAGCCACACGTGGCTATTGAGCACTTGAAATGTGCCTTGTGCAGCCAAGGAATTAAATTTTTATTTGATTATAATTAATTTAAATTTTAAACTGACACACACGACTAGTGGCTACCCTACTGGAAAGTGCGCATCTAGGTGCATGTATGATAACTAATCCAAAAAGTATTAAGATGAATGCCACACACAAAATGACAGTAATCATTAATATTCACTTACCTCATTTAGTATGCTTTCCAGTGTTGGAGGAGTATCAACTTGAGGAATATCAAACTCCTTGTCATCAATCTAAATAAAGAAAAAAAATAGTGCTCACAAAATGATGCCTTTCTGCTTATAATTGTGAGGGGTTTTAGTTGATTAAAACCACCATCAATTAAAAGACAAACTTACCACCAAAATGATCAACTCAAAAATCCACAGTAATAATCAAGTCAAGACTACAGAGTGGTTTCCTTTCCTATCTACACGTTCAGTTACCATCAAGGACATATATGCACTAACTGCACTATCCTGACAGCCCTTTCCAGAACACTTTTTTTTTTTTTTTGAGACAGAGTCTTGCTGTGATGCCCAGGCTGGAGTGCAATGGTGTGATCTCAGCTCACTGCAACCTCCACCTCCCGGGTTCAAGCAATTCTGCCTCAGTCCCCCAAGGAGCTAGGAGTACAGGCACGTGCCACCACAAGCAGCTAATCTTTTTTGTATTTTTAGTAGAGATGGGGTTTCATCATAAGGCCAGGCTGGTCTTGGACTCCTGACCTCAAGTGATCCACCCATCTCGGCCTCATAAAGTGCTGGAATCACAGGCGTGAGCCACCACGCCCGGCCTACTTTCCAGAAAACTTGTGTTGAAAGACTTTTGCATCTGCTTTCTTAAACATGACAAAACAACATCTAAGAAAACCCCTAATTTTCTAAGTTTAGACATAAGTCATAAGCAATAAGCAAAAGTCTGACATCACATTTCTTAGTTATTTCATAAATTATGGTGAGAGATAATTAGGTCAAGCAACATGCTGTTATTCTCATACTCATAGAAACCCATTAACATAATATTAAATCAAAGGGAAAAAAAAATGCTGTGCAAGATAAGGAACTACCACTGGCTCTGTGACTTTGAGAAGTCATTTACATAGCTGCATGCCAGTGTCTTCATCTATACAATGGATTATCAGAGTGTTGTGAGAGTTGTAAAGCTCAAATGACAACATGAATCAAATTGTTTCATAAACTGTAATGGACTATACAAATGAAGAGTAATGTTATCTCATAAAACTATACACGTGGGGGCCAAGAAGGGAGAACTGCTTAAGTCCAGGAGTTTGAGACCAGCCTGGGCAACATGGCGAGACCCTCTCTACAAAAAAATTAAAAATTAGGCGGGCGTGGTGACACACACCTGTGGTCCCAGCTACTTGGGAGGCTGAGGTAGGAGGATCACTTGAGCCCAGGAGGTTGAAGCTTCAGTGAGCCATGTTTGCACCACTGTACTCCAACCTGGACAACAGAGTGAGACCCTGTATCCAAAAAAAAAAAAAAAAATTATACACAGACTCCTATTAACCCATGCAAAAATGACAGACTTAGAGTCTCTGGGTCACAAAGCATACTCTAATCTACACTGGTTAAACATTATCACTTGACAGAAATTGAAATTTTTACCAGATCATTTTTGAACTCCAGTTCCTTGTCCATATCTATGTAAGAGAATTTTGAAAGTGAAGCTTCTAGATTGAAAGACTTATTCAGCTCTTCTTCGCTCGTCTTGGCACAGAGGCTCTGTTCCACATTTTCATGGTCTGGTTCATTTTCCATATTTACTTCTAATAACAGTATTCAGTCCATCAAAGCAAGTGTTTTTTGTTTGTTTGGCCTTAGCTCACGAAGACCTGAATGATTATCTCTTTTCAAAAAAAGAAAAAAACAAAAACAAAACAAAACACTATCATTTAGATTTCCTCCTTGTCAATTGGACATTCCAAAGACTTACTTGGTCAGATTTCACCTAAACATCCGATTGCAGGCAAACTGAAATTAACAGTGGGGTACAGGGTATGTTATTAGGAGAGGGTTTCAATGAGAGCATAAAGGAGGAACAGCTAACTTGGGCTCAAGGACTTTAGGAAGTGGCCCGCCACCCAAAGTCATGAAACTGGTGATAGTGATAACTTAATAGGCTCAGCCACTAGACCTGGTACCAACTAGATTTATTTACCTAACAGCATAAGGGTAAATCGGTGCCAAAAGCTGCAATTAATGCCTTCTTTACATTCCAAACCCCAGGGTAGTGCTCCAGTTCCCCTGGAAATAAGCATATAAACCAGTTTTGTTGTTGGCCTCTGCACAGGGCCACAGACGTCTCTGGGAGCTTAGCAGAAACACTGAGGATGAACAACTAGCTATTTAATACAACACGAGCAAACCTAAGGGTTCAGATCTATTAAAGGAAACAACAATGACCCCAAGATAAAATAACTCCATAGCCTACCAGAGATTTCTAGAAACAGAGCCAGTCACAGAGAAACATGGACATTTTCAGAGAGAAATGAAATACTAAAGAAAACTAGAAACTTATACAGCTTTTTATTATTTCAGAGCTCTAAATGATAGATCACACTTATATCAAAAATCACAGATAATTTGGTTTACTTGCAAAACTGTCATTTTTAGAAAGCTAAAATATACTGAAAACATTACTGTAAGTTTAATAATTAAGTCTGCTTTTAAATGATTTTACTTTGTGTTTCAATTAGGCCACAAGTGACCCAACTTTAAAAAGTCCAATTAGCTTTACCTGTTTAGGATAAAGCAAAAATATGAAAACAGAAACAATGCCCTAATAATAATAATAATAAAGATCATTTTGTTTCCTAAACTAGATGTTTTTCACAGTACCAAACAACTGGCAAAACTCTCAGTGCAAAGCTCTTTCAAACTACATACTGCCTTTAGCGTGTATAAACACCACTACCACCAACCCTTGCCCTGCAGTGAGCTTCTCTTAGTAAATTAGATTGTGTATGTTAGTAAAGATGGATTGTGCATGTTAGTGAAGGCAGAAAAAAAAGACTTGTAATTACTGAGCCACTTAATTTCTTTTAAGAAATGGAGTCTCACTATATTGTCAACGTGGCCTCCAACTCTTGGGCTCAAGCCATCCTCCAGCCTCAGCCTCCTGAGTAGCTGGGACTACAGGCATGTGCCATCATGCCTGGCTTGAAATAACTAATTTTTTAAAAAGTGAACTGAGATTAGTTGTTTTTAAACAATATGCTAAAAATTCACTGACAATTTTATCTAATGAAGCTCATTATTTTAGTACCTATAATTAATTCACTTCCTTTGATGTTTCATTTTTATCATATTAAAAGAAATGAATAGTTACCTTGTATAAATCATGGACTTATGAAACTGACTTTTCAAGAGCTGAAACCAACTTTTCTAGCTATTACACTATTTGGTATATTACCAAATACAGACTAATTTCTTTCACGTTACAGAAAATGGGTTTTCTATTTATAGGGTTGTGTCCTAATAAAACACACACTATCAAACACATTCCTAGAACACATAACTGAGGCCACTCTTTGCCTGGCAACATTTTAAAGTATCTTTCCAACATCAGGTTCTAAATATAGGGCTCCTTTTGCAATAACCCAAATGCAGTAGCAATACTAATGTTTATACTCATTTCTTCAAAGACCTTAGCTCATGACAAATTACTTTTTAATAAAGTCTTTCAACTCCTATTTGTACCACTAAGCAAAAAGGGTTGCAATTATTTAACAACTATTTACAAACATGCACAATCTAATTCACGTTCAGTGGTTCCTAAAGATAGTTATTAACTTTTATTCTTACACATTTTTCAAAAATAGTGGGAAAGACCATACAGGAAAATAATATTTAACTGATTTAATAATCTAAAATGTTTCATATTTTATCTCTTTCCAAAATAACTCAGAAAGGAAAACAATTTTTTCCAGCTCTTTTTATCTCATATCTGGAGTTATTAAGAGGTTCCAAGACCATGTAACAATTCAGCATCTGTGAACCCCAATATCACACTGAAGAAGTGTCAGGTGATCAGGCACTCCCTGAAGACATCATCCCACCAAGCTACCCTGCCCCATTTCTGACCTTCATTTCACTGAGCTCCTTTTACCAATGTAATGTGCTGGCAAAGTGGACAGAACACAAGCCAAAGAGTCTATTATTAGGTCTGCTGTTGTGGCCACTTTTCTTAGAAATGACCAGGAAATAATCACTTCTCCCCACCCCTGACCCCCCAAAAAATAAAATAAATAAATCAAGTCTGAATCTGGACTTTATGAGTTCCTATCTGTGACCTTGGTTAATTTGTTTACCTTTTCTGAACCTCTCTATTTCTATATCATTAAAATGGAATATTGTGGACATTTGTGTTGTTTGCTCAGAACAGCGTCTCTTGTTCTGGGAAGGGCTCCTTCAAACCATGTGTTCTCGTAGAGGCTAATGGTCAAAAATCCCTTAGTATAAGGGATTATGTGATAGCCAGAGTCTTTCACCAGGATTCATTAAAATGGAACTGATGAGGAAGAGATATTTCCATTGTTCTCTATACAATGAATAATGTGGCTGAGCAGATCCCACATTCCCCACCCAGCTCGCTTCTGCAGAAAAGAAATCATTCACTTAACACACACCTAACTAAACACTAAGCATCTGTCACTGGAGATGAACCTCTATTGATAGAACTTAGGTTCTAGGTACAGATTCTCTAGCAAGCATGAAACCTATCTAAAAAAACGAAGTAGAGGCCAGGCACAGTGCCTCACACCTGTAATCCTAGCACTTTGGGAGGCTGAGGCGGGTGGATTTCCTGAGCTCAGGAGTTCAAGACCAGCCTGGGCAGCAACACGGTGAAACCTCGTCTCTACTAAAATACAAAAAAAAAATTAGCCAAGCGTGGTGGCGTGTGCCTGTAGTCCCAGCTACTCAGGAGGCTGAGGCAGGAGAATTGCTTGAACCCGGGAGGCGGAGGATGCAATGAGCCAAGTTCGCGCCACTGCACTCCAGCCTGGGCAACAGAGCAAGACTCCGTCTCTAAAAAAAAAAAAAAGTAGAGAAGAAAGTTCTGACATTATTCAAGCCTCAGATTCTAGTCTTCTATGAAGTTAGCTCTGCCCATAGCCTTCTGGCAGTCTGGCTACATAAACCAACATATACTCTCCCAACTTCCCCCTTTCTTTTAGCACTTAAAATTGAGAGTCCTGGCTCTTATAAATGCAACTACCTACTCTGCAGGGCTCCTGTGAGGAACAAATGATATGATTACAAAGCATTGAGAATAATGTCTGGACATAATTTTCAACAGATATTAGCTATTACATTTAAAACCTCAAAATTTTCAAAGTTTTCTAAAGTTAAAGATTCTAAAACAAAATCCAGTATTTTTGTAAAGGTCTAGCCAGTGCTAAGCATATCAGAACGATATCCTGGATATCACAGCAGTTCTTCATGAGCTGAATGATAGGGGTTTTGTCTAAGACTAGTACAGCCCCCACCAAAGCAACAGAGACACTTAATAAAAACTTTAATTATAACAGAAGTGTCTTATTGTTACTAACTCATTCTAAAATCATGTTTTAGGTTTTTTTTAACATCAACATTAGTCTACACTTTATTAGTGAAGCCAACTATGTCCCCTTCCCAAGTTCCTCTTTTGTCACTTACCAGCAATTATTCCTTTCTTCATTTTAGTCAGTAAGTTTTTCCAACTCAAAGAGACCTGGTGAATCAAAAGGTCACCATGCTCAAATTTTTTTTAAAAGGAGAGTTCACATGAGCAGCTTCTGTGAATTTTTCAGAAAGTACCTAAGCTGGGAATCTACCAGTGGTAGGCAGTATGAGGGTATCCAACAATGCCAGTCCTAATCCCCAGAAACCATGAATATGTTACTTGATATGGCAAAAGGGATTTTGCAGGTTAAATTAAGACCTTGACAGGAAGGTTATTCCGGATGATTTGGGTGGGTCCAATGTAATCACAAAGGTCCTTGAAAGGGGAAGAGAGAGGCAGAAGAGAACGCCAGAGAAAGAGATGTGACACCATGTCACAGGCGTTGAACACGGAGAACAGGGCTCAGGAGCCAAGGATGCAGGCAGCCTCTAGAAGCTGCGAAAGACAAGGAAACAGATGGTCTCCGAGAGCCTCCAGAAGGACTGAAGTCGTCTTGATCTCTTAATTTTAGTGAGACTGGGGTGAGACTTGTGAAGTACTGAACTGTAAAATAAATCTGCATTGTTTTATACTACTAACTTTACGGTAATTTACGGCAACAATAGGAAATGAATAGACAGTGGATCCTTGAACAACACAGGTTTGAACTTCAAGGGTCCACTTACAAGTGGGTTTTCTTCCGCCTCTTCCACCCAAGACAGTGAGACCAACCCCTCCTCCTCCTCCTCAGCCTACTCAACGTTCAGACAAGGATGAAGGCCTTTATAATGATCCACTTACACGTAATGAAAAGCAAGTATATTTCCTCTTCCTTAGAATCTTAATATCTTTTCTTTAGCTTACTTTATTGTAACTAAATACAAATAACACACAAAATATGTGTTAAACAACTGTTAATGTTATCAGTAAGGCTTCTGCTCAACAGTAGGTAGTAGTAGTAAAGTTTTTGGGGAGTCACAAGTTGTACTCAGATTTTCCACTGGTTGAGGGGGTAGTGCCCTTAACCCCCGCATTGTTCAAGGGTCAACTGTACTAATAAATATAAGTTAATTTGTTTCTGGTCACATATCCAACATTCTGAAATATTAACCCTTACCTTGTGGGTTGGTGTTGCCCATGTGTTTATTAAGCAGGCCCTTCATTCCAATATATGCACCAATGATGGAATGCTTACTATATGATGCTTAATATTTCACTCTTGATACTGATCCTGCTTCAGCTATCCCTTAAATGTTATCCCAGTAAAAGGTTGATAATGAACCACTCATAAATTCCTGCTGGGATGCAATTCTACAACTAGTTCTTCACCCAACCATCATGTGAGCTAGTGTTTTTATAGTTCTTAAGAGGATACCATACCAGAGAGTACTTGCACATAACAAAACAGGCTTCATGATTTCTTAGTCTCTCTTAGAATGAAATCAGATTAATCTGATAGGAAATACATGTCATGGAATCATAATTACCCAGTATGCTGTCTCTTCTGAGTGCTGATAAATGAGTATTTTAATAGTTCAGACATAAGATTATCTGACATCTTGATAATTCTGTTATTTCCTCTTAATTGTTATTCCCAACCAATTAATAGATTCAAGGACCATTAAAAAAAGATATGCGCCATATAAACAGCAATGACTTAATTATGACACTGGCTAACTGAATAAGAACTCTAGAATGTGTGACCTATATTACGCCAAGTTAAACTTGCACCAGTTTTTTTTTAAGAGATGGGATCTTGCTATGTCGCCCAGGTTAGCCTTAAACTCCTGGCCTCAAGCGATCCTCCTACTTCACGTCTCCCAAGTAGCTGCAACTACCAGCCTGTGCCACCATGCCTGGCTTTTCACCAGTTTTCACCTTGGGAAACATTTATTCCTAACTGTTCTCAAGCTCCATGATCCTGTTTAATCCTGACATTCTTTTCCTCCTAAAAGTGTCATATGAGATACTTTTTCACATTACAATGAAATAGAATCAAGTTTTTATTTACTATATAATGCTAGAAAACAATCACAAAATCATGATATAGTACAACATTACATGCAAATTTTATTTTTGGCCTTCCCAATCCAAGCATTTCTCTTCATTCCTTTGTTTTGTTTTGTGGTTTGCTTTGTAAAGGGAAAAATAAAATGCAATGGTGGGTTAACTTCTATTAGTTTTCTATTACCTTCTGGCAAATGGACTTTTTTTTTTTTTTTTTTGAGACAGGTTCCCCCTCTGTCACCCAGGCTGGAGTGCAGTGGCATAAGCTCGGCTCATTACAACCTCTGCCTCCCAGGTCAAGCAATCCTCCCACTTCAGCCTCCCAAGTAGCTGGGTCTACAGGCGCACACCACCATGCCCAGCTAATTTTTTGAATTTTTCATAGAGATGATGTTGGCCAGGCTGGTCTCAAACTCCTGGGCTCAAGCCATCTGACCGCCTCAGCCTCCCAAAGTGCTGGGATTACAGGTGTAAGCCACCACGCCCAGCACAAGTGGACTTATTTTTAACAGATTCCCAATGCCTCCAGGATAAAATCCCAAATTCTAAGCCTGTGACTCCAGATATCACACGAGCTGATCCTTCTGCCTCCTTCCCTTACAATTGAATTTATTATTTTTGCACTAAGAGTCCTTCATGAATAGCTTCCACTTTCCCTTCATGTCTGCTCAAGCTGATTCACCTTCCCTTTCCTTTCCTTTTTCTCTACATTTATCTAACTTCCTTTCTTCCTTCTGGGCACCGTTCAAACTGGATCTGCCTATGACCTCTTCCTTCCCTAACCATCCTCTGAATTCAGAAAACATGTCTTCTTTTAAAACAGTGGCTTGGCTCTTTCCTCATGCTGATTCATTAGTTAATTTACCATGTGACTCTTTTCTCCCCAGCTATATAATAAAAATGGGGCCATGCTCCTTTGAATATTCCACATCACTGGGCTTACTGGCTTGCACAGCTAGGTAGACATTCGAAAAATGTTTGATTAACATAGGAACTAAGAGACAGGAATAACATCTGTGTTGCAAATTAAATCTATCAGTGTTATTACTTGTAATTGTTAAGCTCCAGAGGATATTATTTGACTCACAGCATATAGGAATCTATACCATAAGAAGCCAAGTTATAATTGAATACTACTTATATGTAGTCAAGCTTGTCAACCACTGCAGGTCATATTTATCAACTATCGGCTAAAACTTTGCTTCCTTAGGAAGGCCTTTTTTTGCCCTGCTCAACTAGGCTGTTTCCTGTTAGTATGCACCCATAACATCGTTCTCCTCTTTTACTACACTTACCACATTGTAATGATTTCCTCATTGTCTAAACCACCATTCCTTGCCCCCAGTTGGAATGCAGGTTCCATGAGAGAGCAAAGACCAGATCTGCCTTGTTCACCATTCTATTCCCCGTGCCGATATGACACAGCAGCTGATCAACCCACCCATCTACCCATCCACCCATTCCTCCCTCCCTCCCTCCCTCCCTAGGTAAATACCCAAGCAAGACTGCATCACTGGCTTCCAGAATCTCAAATAGCAGTTCTGGTCACGTAATACAAAGTATGGTTAGTTACACTACTCCAAAACGCCTCCATCTGTGCAAGTTCCATTCTTTGCATCTAGGAGAGATATTTTTAAATCACTTAGCTCATTTATAACATGATGCAAATCCCACAATCTCAGATGTTTTATGTTCTTTTACGTTAATTCAGCTTAGAGGCCAAGATGAATACAGTGGAAATGTACCATACTTCCATTCAATTTGCAGGATTTCATCTATTATCTTCAGCAACGGGAAGGAGAGAAAGAAATGATTCATATAGATGATTCTATGAATCATGATTCATGATTCTGCATACCTCCACTCAATAACTTCTTGCTTCACAGTGGGCACAGAATAGGAGATGGTCAGCTGCTGTTCTATGTCTCAGTTCTCACATGCCTCACACCCAAGCAGTTCACGTCACCTGTGCTCAAAATAACAAACGCCATGCAGTTCCAACATGGAAAAACAAGATCTGGCCGTATGGGGCTTCCTGAGAGACCCACCGCTTGTCAGTCTCTGATATGACTCCCTCTTGGGGTACTTTGAGGGTACTCAATTTTCACCTTATTCATTTAGATACAGACCCTATTTAGAGAAACATTACTATATACTGGGATGGGCTGCTTTACTTGACCCTGGAATTTCTTTCCAAGAAGGCACATTTAGGTAATTGTAGCTCACAGTGCCAGAACTGCCACGACGAAAAAGCCCAACCCTCTGTTTCTCTTTCTGTTGTTGGTGAATGTCTAAATGAGGAGAGTGATCATAAGTACATACAGATTAAAAAATGTTAAAAAGAAAAGTAAGGGGAAGGAACAGTGCCTAAGACCTTCCTGTATACAGTGAGTGCTAAGTTACTGCTATGAATTGTCAGACAATCAGCTCCAGCCTAGAAAAGAAAAATCTAATCCCCTATCACAATATACAAAACAATAATATGAACGAAGTCTACAAATATCTAGATAATGTAGAAATTCTAACTTTATTGATCAGTTTTATATCAATATGTGTGTGAGGTAATAAGTGAAATAAATAACAGAGAAAAATGATCACTTCCAGCTTCTATAATACTGTCTCCACTATCATGAGAATGTCTCTTCTCAGACCCACTTCAGCTCCAAAGAACTCCTCCTAAAAAGCACAAGGGCCTTGTGTACGCTGAAATATATTCCCTTTTCTTCTTCACATAACTGACTGATGCAGGTAAATTCTTGTAAGTTAAATGCGCAAAAGACAGGATTCCACTTAGGTAAAGGCTGAGTAGATGATGGCCTTCTTTATTAATTTGCAATTAACTGTCATCTCAATTTCTCTTGGTTAGGTGTCAAGAAGGATATAGAGTCATGAGAGATTTATTCTTTTTTTTTTTTTTTTTTTAAGAGCAGGAAGTAACTGGAAGCGTCTTGCTGAACTGCAACGGAAAAAACAAAGGTTAAAACACCCCAGCACCACTGCCACCTTTCCTGGAGGGCAACTGCTTCTCCTCCATTCCAACCATGTGATTTTGGTGGTGCTGCCAATCAAGTACCCTATCTGCCTAGCTAGCGGAGCAGAAGAGTAGGCACATCACATTCTTGGGTCCTATGTGGCCAATCAAGGTACTTCTGGAATTTCTCTTTATTCTAGGGTGCTTAATCTTGGATGGCATAACACAGGAGTCATCTGCAGTCACATCTTTTATGCATTTATATACAGTCATGTGCCCCAAAAAGACGTTTTGGGTCAACGACAGACCACATATACAACCATGGTCCCCTAACATTACACATAATGGAGCAGAAAAATGCCTGTAGCCCAGTGATGTCACAGCTGTTGTAATGAATGCATTACTCATCTGTCTGTGGTGATGCTGATGTAAACAGACCTACCGCACTGCCAGTAGTATAAAAGCTAAGCACATACAATTATGTGCAGTACATAATACTTGATAATAAACTATGTGCCAGTTTATGTATTTGCTATCCTATACTTTTTATCTTTAGAGTGTACTCATCCACTTATTTAAAAATTTAAAAATTAGCTGTAAAACAGTTTCAGGCAGGTCCTTCAGGAGGTATTCCAGAAGGCACTGTTATCATAAGAGATGACAGTTCCCTATGTGTTACTGCCTCTAAAGACATTCCACCGGGACCTTCCTGACTCTGTGTAGGCCTAGAGTAATGTGTGTGTTTGCGTCTTCGTTTTTAAAGATTAAAATTTTTTGAAATAGAAAAAAGCTAACAGAATAAGGATATAAAGAAAATATTTTTGTACAGCTAATTGTACAATGTGTTTGTATTTTAAGCTAAGTTTTATCACAAAGAAGTTAAAAACTTTTTTAAATTAAAAAGTTTATAACATAAAAGTTACATTACAGTAAGCTAAGGTTAATTTATTATTGGAGAAAGAAAAAATTTTTAATAAATTCAGTGTAGCCTAAGTGTACAGTGTTCAAAAAGTCTACAGTAGTGTACAATAATGTCCTAGGCCTTCACACTCACTCACTACTCACTGCCTCACCCACAGCAACTTCCAGTCCTGCAAACTCCATCCATGGTAAGTGCCCCACACAGGTTCACATTTTTCAATCTTTTAAACTGTATTTTTACTGTACCTTTTCTATGTTTAGATATACAAATACTTGGCCATTGTGTTACAACCACCTACAGTATTCAGTACAGTAACATGCTGTGCTGGTTTATAGCCTAGCAGCAACAGGCCATCCCACATAGTCTAGGTGTGTAGCAGACTACACCATCTAGGTTTGTGTAAGTACACTATGATGCATGCACAATGACAAAATTTGCCTAACCACACATTTCTCAGAACATATCCCCTAACTGTCCCATGACTGTAACAGGAAGAATGAGGCTTGCAATTACAGTTGCAGAGGAGATAGGGAACTGGGGGTTACTGGTCCTTTGCAGAAAGGGAGAGAGACACAAGTACTCCATCACTGGAGTCACTGGATTTAGTGATATAGTGATACCCCAGCCCCTTCCAGGTTTGGAGCCAATAAATCCCTTTTAGCTTAAGCCCATTTGAATTTTCTGTCACTTGCAACAGAAATATCTTTGACTAAAAAAGTATAATTGCTATTACAGTAAACCTAAGAAATTCATAACAGTGAAAAATCCAACGCAAAGCTATATTTCCTTGCTAAAACACAGAACACATTTAATAATGTCATACAGCGTGAAGATAAGTCAAATATTCATTCAAGATTCAGTTAAGAATACAACAGTTTGATCTTACCACTATGTACCGATGACACCTACAGCTGTGGATCAAGAGAACATACGATCTAAACTCTATGAAAGCTATCAATAGATCCAAAGTTAAACATACTTCATTAAATTCAAAAGATCTTACTTCTCATTCACATACATAACTGACATTTTGTGTCACACTGGTTGAAATGTCAATGGAATAGTGAGATACAGCTAAGAATCACCAACATGTCCCAATATTCTGGAAGACAGAAAACATCCATCTGCTGACAATGGTCCAGATACGAAGCAAATATATTAAATATAAAGAAAAAATCAACATATTACTCTGTTAGAGCTCTGGAAAGAATTTTCTCACAAATGCCTCTTTGACCATATAAAGCCCAGTAGTTCAACGAATTTTTTTTCCATTTATCTTTATTGCATATTCTATGGAACAGGCCAGCTATTGCCAGAGGATTCAATACCTATTCTGTGCTTAAATTTAACCATGAGCAAACCCACGTCTTACACAAACATATGCAGATTCTCCATCCACATTTATATTAGATATACCTCAAACCCACACAGGCAGACATAGACATACACAGACAATTAACATGTAATTGTCTCCCAAATGCAGACATTTGGAGTAAGGTTTAGCACCACAAGCTAACATCCATGCTTGTTTTGCTTGGGTTTTGGGGTTTTTCAGTAGGGGAAAGTAGAGTATGGTAGAGGGTGGATGGTGCAGAGGCCAGAAGCCTTCCTATTCATTCTAACAAGAATCTAAGAAGTGGAGGGGGCCTGCTTATTTAAAGAAGGCTCCCCAGCTAGCTATTCCTGATAACCCACGGCCATGGAACCTCTCACCGATCCTACCTCCTCCCACCCTATCCTCCTGTAAAGCACCCCCATTTTGTACACCCAGACACTCTGAGCAGCTGTTTCCCTCCTTCCCCAGATGCCAAGCACAAAGAACTGGCCAAGGCACAGGAGTAGCCTCGAACTTCAGAGGCCCACCTTTCACCCTGCTGCCCTCACTCTGGTGCACAACTTGCACGCGGAGACAAACTGGAACCAGCCTCACAGGGTGCGCACCGATCCTAAGAGGTGGACACCCCATCTAAGCCTCAGGCTCAGGCACCTTGATATCAGTCCCTGGAGGCTAAAGGGGTCCACACCTGTTTCCCAGGCCCGACAGACCGGCTACACACCTGTTCCGCCCGGGAGTGGGGAGGGGCATGACACCCGCCGCCTAGGCTCACAGTCGGGGGAGCGGGCGCGCCAGTCCCTCAGCCTAATTGCCGCACGACTGTAACAGGACAGAATGAGGCTTGCAATTATAGTCGCAAAGTAGATAGGGAACTGAGGGGTTACTGGCCCTTTGCAGAAAGGGAGAGATACACAAATACATCACCGGAGTCACTGGATTTAGTGATACCTCAGCCCCTTCCAGGTTTGGAGCCAATAAATCCCTTTTTACTTAAGCCCATTTGAATTTTCACATTCATTTGGAACCAGTAAGTGGAAATTGCCCGACCCAGTTCCGGGCCAACGTACGACACGCCCCTCCACTCGAGAATCAACCCCGCCCGGCCCGTGGCTCGGGTCCGGTTAGCCCGTCAGGGGCTGCTCTGTTCGCTCCCCGAGGTCCCGCCGCTGTCGCGCGGGGAGGAGACGCCGAGGCTCAGAGACCTGTCGCGCGCTCTCCTCCTACCCTGAATACGGCCCCTCAATCCTGTCTCCTTCCACGGGCCCGCTCTCTGGAAACTCGTTACCTGAGCTTGCTGCCATTCCGGCCGTGGACCGCCGGCCCACGTGACCGCACCCACTGCTCTAGCCTCACGCACGCGCACTACCTACCACTGCGGGCAGCGCTTCCGCTTTCCTCCTCGCACTGCTCCCCCTCCTGGGCGGTCCGCGCCTCTTCACCACGCCCCTATTTAAAGGGCCAGAGATACGCCGTCTTCCCCCCTACGGAAAAAATGGGTGATTCACATCTTGAGGACCAAGAGAATGGAAACGTCGAAAGAGTAGCGCAGACAAATAAATAACAGTCCTTGAGGTGAGAGGAGAAAGCTCCTCCTTTAAGAAAGTGAACTTACTTGCAGCCAGCCCAGAAGGGAAGTTGATTCCCTGCCTTTTGGAGTTTGCAACCAGTAAATTTTTTTTAACTTTTTTTTTTTTTTAAAAGATGAACTCAGAATTGCCTATTTATTGTGTCAAATAAGTACAATAGGCACACACATACTAAAATACCAACTATTATCTTGTAATATATCATCAGTGTTGCTCCCCAAAATACATCTTAACACCAAAAATACAGGAGAAACATAGTCTCAAATAAAGGAAACATCTGAAAAATGAACAAAAACGTATGCTTATTTCTCTTATCGCTCCTGAAGAAAGGTGAAAGCTTTCAGAACAGACTGGTTTCTAGAGTCATCACTGTACGTAACATTAGCCCCAGGACACAGATTTTAGGCCTGCTGGGGGCTATATAGGTCAAGAAAACAGGAGGAAGAACACCAGAAGATACTCTTGGAAGGAGATACAGAAAATATTCGGTTGGGCAGACATTTTTGAGCATCAGCTAGGTTCACTAGACTTCTGGGCCTTCAGAAGACCCGAAGGTGTTGCCCTGTCCTCCAGGTATTTATTTTCTAAGAATTCAGTGTACAGACATAACAAAATACAAGGCAGGCTGTTTTGAGTAATATAAAGAAAGACATTGAACCACCATTTTCGCACAGACAGGGGGAAAGGGTGAAACACTCAAGGAAGGATGTGGTATCTTGTCAGGGCCTTGAAGGATTTCAGTAGCAGAGAGCAGGGAGAATGCCTAGCTGAGGGAAGGGTGGGATCAAAGGCAGTACAAAGCAAGTTTGGGAACTAGTTATTGGCCTGATGTAGCCGTGGTGTGGCCAGTGGCTTTCAACCTTCTTTTAATCATCCCTCACAGTAAGAAATACATTTCAGGCCAGGTGCGGTGACTCATGCCTGCAATCCCAGCACTTTGGGAGGCTGAGGCAGGTGGTCAGGAGTTCAAGACCAGCCTGACCAACATGGAGAAACCCTGTCTCTACTAAAAATACAAAAATTAGCCAGGTGTGGTGGCATGCACCTGTGGTCCCAGCTACTCGGGAGGCTGAGGCAGGAGAATTGCTTGAACCCAGGAGGCAGAGGTTGCAGCAGTGAGCCAAGATTGTGCCATTGCACTCCAGCCTGGGTAACAGAGTGAGACTCCGTCTCAAAAAAAAAAAAAGATACATTTCAGCCATGGCCTAGTATAAAAACACACACAGTATGCGCATATGTGTGAGTGTGCATTATAGATAGATAGATAGATAGATAGATAGATAGATAGATATGCTGAAACAGTAATTGCCCTTAGAGTGTACAATGCAACTTGGTATTTTCTATTCTATTCTCTTTTTTTAAGTGCTGGTTACTGAATTCATTTCAGTACTCAGTGATGCAGAGCAACCCATAGTTTGAAGACACTGGTGTAGTGTGTATTAGAGATGTGGTGGGCTATGAGGCTGGAAAGGCTAGGACCAGATCCAGGAAGACATTGCACGCTAAGCTGGGGTGTTCTGCTCTTCTGGTGAGAGTCTCCAGAGGAACTCGAGCAGAGGAGTGGCAAGATGATAGCTGTGCTTTAGAAGGCTGGAAACCGGCCTTTGGTTCTGAATATCACATTTTTCTAGTAAAGCTATTAAACTAGAGACTGTCTACAGAAGGATAAGCAAGCTGGTGAGACCAGAAAGCCTGTGTGACAGAGAACTTTTGAAAGTATCCAGAGGAAAAGAAATTAGCAGAAGTAGGGGAGAGCAGGGTCATAGGGGTGAGCAGTGGAAAGGTAGCTATTAGGTTGGTACACAAGTAATTGCGGTTTTTGCCATTACTTTAAAAAACTGACCCTTTTGAAATATCTCTGCAACACTCATAGACTTATTCTGAATAGCTGTAGAAAGAAAGCAAGCCTACGACCTGTGTATGGACGTTGCAGAGAGGCAGATTTCAACTTATAATAAAGAATATTTTAGGATGGTCCAGACTGACTCTGAGACCTCTCCAAAGTAACAGCCCTTTTATGTACCTCTGTTCACAGCAGGAAGTAATCTCAAATGCTATCCTTTCCAGGGCTGTTTGCCTTAATAATAATAAAAAAAAATGTGTGCTTATTGTAGAAAACTTGGAAAATTCAGGAAATATTTTAAAATAAAGCAGAAATTACCCACATCCCAGAAAAAGGCACTTATAGTTTTGGCTTATCCGTTGGATCTTTTTCTTTGTATATTTACATTTGTGACATAATAGAACTGCATAGAATATTTAGTTGTGTATTCTATATATTTATAGGATATATAGTTAATAATCCATCCTCTTTTTTTCACTATTATATCTTGAGCACTATCCACCATCACTAAAATTGTTCACAAATATTATTTGTCATGGCTACATAATTATTAATGATATAGTTTCATGTATTTCATTATTCCACTATTTTTGGACATATACAGGAGTTCCTATTTTTTACTGCTAACAAGAACATTGCCATGAATATCCTTACACATTATCTTTGCCCACATTTTAAAATTATTTCCTTCCTTAGGCTAGCAACCTATAAGTGGAATTACTGATTCAAAGGCTTTGAAAACTCTTAAGTCTGTGAATACCCGTGGTCAAACTGCCTTCCAGAAATGTCAGGCCAGTTTTCATTCTCACCAGAAGCTCTCAGTGGTGCCCATCACACGCACCCCCACTGGCATTTATTTTATCTTAAAAAAAAAAAGATTTGCCAATATGATAGATGAAATGGTCTCTCATTTTAACCTGTATGGGATTACTATTGGAGTGGAATATCTATATAAATTTATCAGCCCTTTATAATTATTCTGGGAATGCAGTTTCACTGCTGGATTTGTGATTGCAAATAGTACTGAGTGAATTGTTACAGACTTGTGAGGAAAAAAAAACAGAGAATGATGTTTAAAATAAATGATGTGGTCACACCAAGTTATAGGCAAATTATATTGTGGTGTGCTGCACTAACAAAGGGTAGTGGGAGAATTGAGTCATCACACAGTATTACAATATTCATGTGAATATTGGCTCCAGCAAAATATCATTCCTTATATTAAATCAAAATTGTAGATTTGCATTTCCTCATTTGGTAGTTTTGTTTGTATTCAATTTATTTTTTTAGTTTTATAGATGCATAAAATCTATAAAAATCAGGAGCTCTTAGTTTTGTGTTTGCATATATACATACACATATATGTATGCAACATTATAAAAAATTATAAGCTAACTCTAGATATCTGTGAGAATCTTTTCCCCTTACAAAGGATCTGAACGATATCCAAGTTTGAGAAACAGTGATACTGGAATTTCTTAAAGTTTCATTTGTACTTATCTAAACACAGGTATTGAGATTTTTTTGCAAGGCAAAATTTGCATCAGCTTATATATTGGAATTTTTCCATATAGAATAGTGTAATGATTTTCTTCTTTTTGGAAAGAGTACCAAAAGCTCTACTATGTTTGGGGTTCAGAGAGTATGTTTTGACTTAAAATGTACCATTCATCAGTTAACTTTCTACAGGTCAGTAAGACCTAGACAGAAGAATGTTTGTGTTTACTAAACTTGTAAGTAAGAGAAAGCAGTTGAGCAGATAGTGATTACAATGGAGCTTTTGTGAAGTGGTCTTAAGAGAAATTAAGCCAATGAGAAAAAAGGTTGCATGTGAGCTCTCAGAGCCTTGGGAAGCAGTGAGGGCTGGCCTGCGGGGTGCACAGGAGCTAGAAGAGGGCGCCACTGAGGGCTGCCACAGTTGGATGGTGTCCTTACACCGGCTCTATTGCCTCCAGCTCTCCCCAAGAGTGAAGGATGCAGACCTCGACCCAGACATCACTATTACCCCTGCATCTAGAATAAGCCACATCTCTTCTGAAGGAAAAAAATGTCTGTTCCTGAGAGCAAAAGGCAGAGAATAGGAGATGGATGCCTTTGTCATTTCTTTTTTGCTCACAATCACAAAATAAACTGGCCTCTTTTCCTTTTTTAAAAAGGGAACTTGTTGGAGCACAGAGAACTTTTAGGGCAGTGAAATGATTCTGTATGATGCTATAATAGTGGAAACATCATAAATTTGTCCAAAGCCACAAAATGTACAACACCGAGAATGAACCCTAAGGTAAACTGTAGATGTGGATGATAATGATGTAATGATGTGTCAGTGCAGGTCCATCAGCTGTAACTAATGTAGCACTCTGGTGGAGGAGACCATCTGTGCCTGGGGCAGGCAGTGTATGAGAAGTCTCTGTACCTTCCTCTCAATTTTGCTGTGAACCTAAAATCACTCTAAAGAATCAAGCTTATTAAAATAATTTGGCCGGATGAGGTGGCTCACGCCTGTAATCCCAGAACTTTGGTAGGCCAAGGAGGATGGATCACCTGAGGTCAGGAGTTTGAGACCAGCCTGGCCAACATGGCGAAAGCCCGTCTCTACTAAAAATACAAAAATTAGCCCGGCGTGGTGGCACCTGCAATCCCAGCTACTCAGGAGGCTGAGGCAGGAGAATCGCTTGAACCTGGGAGGCGGAGGTTGAAGTGAGTCGAGATCGTGCTACTGCACTCCAGCCTGGGTAACAGAGCGAGACTCTGTCTCAAAAAAATAATAAATAATAATGAAAATAATAATGATTTTAAAAGCCAAAACCAAAACCTGGTGTACAGGGTTTTTAATCTAAAAATCAGGAGTCTTTAGTTTTGTGTTTGCATGTATACATATGCAAACTTCATTGAGTCAAAATGTCCAAGCAGGCTGGAGAGGCATAAAATTGGTTCTCTGTAAGTGATTCAACCTAGTCCAGCTGTCACTCTCATGTTCCCTCTGCCTGGGGTGTTCCTCTCTCAAGATAACCACTTGGCTCACTCACTCACCTTCTTCAGGGCTTTGCTCAAATGTCACTGCATTAGTCAGGGCAATAAATACAAGGAAGATGAGGAGCAGTTCTCTTCTCCACTCAGTTCTCGGGAACCCAGTTTCTTTCCATCTGGTGACACTGTTTTCTAAACACATGGCCTCTAAATGCTCTGAGGCAGAAGAGAGGGGTGCAGAAAGCCCACTGACTCTGAATTGCCTTGGCCTGAAAGTGACATGCGCCCCTTCGGCTCACAGTCCATTGGCCAGCACCAGCCACCCAGCCCTGCTTTATTACGACAGAGGCCAGGGAGTGTAGAGGAGCACAGAATTCTAGGGAGTATAGCTGGCTCCTGCCACAGTCACCTCCGGGAAGTCTTCCCTAGCCACTCTCATCCTCCCCACATTCTGTCACCACTCTCCTATGCTTTATTTTTTTCTATAGTACTTGTCATCATCCAACATACCATATGTGTACTTATTTATCTGTTAAGTTTCTGTCTTCCCCACCAGTACATAAGCACTATGAGAGCAGAGACTTTTGTCTAGTTCGTTTATGGTTGTACTCCTTGCATCTAGAATAGTACCTGGCACAGAGTAGGAGCTCCATAAATTTGTGTGACATAAATGAACAAATTCTGCAATGACAGCCTATATTTGTGTGTGAAGGAGGTGTCACATGCATGAACCTGAGAATGCTTCCAAAGTCAGGATCGAGGAATAAAGATCTCCCTTACAGCATACTCCAGCATTGACTGAGTACCTATTATGTGCCAGGCACAGTGCTTGTTGCCAGGAACACAAATATGAATGAAAGCCAGTACCTGATCCCTAGCCAGGAAGACAACACTAAAAAACACAACATTTACAAGATCCATGATAGAAATAAATTATGGAAGCTCAAAAGGCCAAATTCTCCTGACCTATAGCAAGTATCATGTTTTATATCCAAACATTACTAGAATAGCAACAAAAAAAGAGGGACTCAGGAATCATAAATTGCTTCCCAAAGTCGTAAAAGGAATAGTATCTATATTCTCTACCGTTTTGTATTCTCAACAGCAGGCTGGCTTTCACTTTTCATTCACTCATTCATTCTAATGCCTTCCCTCATCCCTCTTTCTTTCAGCCTTAGAAAAAAAAATTTCTCTTTCTAATAATTTCACAATTCCAGAAATGTTATCATTTGAAATCTGCTTATTTTGTCTTCCAGCCCCACCCCTGCCACTGCTCCTGTACTCCTGCAGCAAATAATCACATCACTTATCAGCCTTTTGAACTTAGAACTGGGCATTCTGCCAGAACTCAATAGCAAGAAGAGGGTGGAGAGAAATGTCCAGGGCTAGGATCTGGGCTTTAAAGGGGATCCTAGGCAGGACTGGGCATTAGACAAGGACTGAAGAGGACTGAGCATTAGACAAGGAAAATGTCAAGGAAAGAGTAAAGAAGATGCAGAAACAACTAGGATATCAGAGGCAAATTTGACCTATTTCGCCACTTTGCTTGGACATAGCCTTGTTTACATAAAAGGGTAACACAAAAAGAGGAAGGGTTGAAGTCAGCTGAGAAAGAAAGACATTTCAAAATCATCACGGTGTCAGGGCCCAGACTTCTATTATCTCATTGTTCCTCCATGTAGGGCCTCAATCCTCAAGTCTGTTTTATTGTCCAAGATGTCTGTTCCAACTATCACATCCATTTTCCAATTAGCAAGGAAGAAGAAAGGAAGAAAGAAGGTATATTAGTTATCTATTGCTGTGTAACTACCCAACAAATTAGAGGCATGAATCAATAGCATGCATTATCTTATAGTTTCTATAAGTCAGGACTCTGGGCATGGCTTGACTGGGTCCTCTGGTTTGGGTCTCTCACAAGTCTGCAACCAAGGTGTTGGCCCAAGCTGTAGAAATCTCCAGGCTCAAATTGGGAAGGATTTTCTTCCAAGATCACTAACATGATTATTGGCAGGATTCTGTTTGCCACAGGCTGTTGGACTGAGGGTCTCAGTTCCTCACTGGTTGTTGGTCAGAGGGCCCTCAGTTCCTTGTCACATGGGCTTCTCCATAACACAGCTCACAGCATGGTAGCTTGCTTCATCCAAGTGAGCAAGCAAGAAGAGCCAGCAAGAATGTCAGGGAGATGGAAGCCACAGTCTTTTGTAAGTTGATCTTAGAAGTGACTTCTGGCTGGTCATGGTGGCTCACACCTGTAATCCTCGCACTTTGGGAGGCTGAGGTGGAAGAATCACTTGAAGCCAGGAGTTCAAGACCAGGCTGGGCAATACAGCAAGACCCTATCTCTACAAAAGATAAGAAAATTAGACAAGCATGGTAATACATGCCTGTAGTACTAGCTACTCTGGGGACTGAGGTGAGAGGATAGCTTGAGCCCAGGAGTTTGAGGTTACAGTGAGCTATGATGGTGCCACTGCACCCCGGCCTGGGTGACAGAGCAAAGCCCTGTCTCTAATAAATAAACAAATAATTTTAAAAAGAAGTTACTTTCCATTGTTTTATGCTACCCTCTATCTGTTAGAAGTACAAGCTCCAGCCCATACTCCAGGGGAGGCAACTACACAAGGGCATGACTTCCAGGAAGTAGGGTCACTGGGAGTTGTTTTAGAAGCTGCTGGCAAAGAAGGGTGTGCCCACTCCCTTTAATTTCTGAAACTGCATACACCAGTCCTGCTTACTTACCATTGGTCCATTTCTAGCTGCAAGGAAGGCAGGAAAATGAAGTCTATATTCTGGATAGCTATCAGCCTAGCTAAAATTTATGGATTCAATCCTAAAGAACTGCAGAATTCTGGAGGGTAGAAGCCTTAATTGTTCTGTATGCTTCAGGGCCAGCCCCAGACATTGAGGAGGAGAAAAATAGGGCTGGTTAGAGTCATAGAATCTGGGGTTCAAATCCTGCCTCTGTCACACCCTATATGCTGAGTAAATTAAACCTCACTGAGTCTCGGTTGTATGCTCAGACTAAATTAAATGACCTGTGTAATGCATCTTGCACTTGGTATATTCTCGATATGCCTGCAAAGTCTATTTCATAGGTAGCTTTAATATCTCAGAGCCTTGGCCGGGCGTGGTGGCTCACGCCTGTAATCCCAGCACTTTGGGAGGCCAAGGTGGGCAGATCACAAGGTCAGGAGTTTGAGACCAGCCTGGCCAACATGGTGAAACCCCATCTCTACTATAAATACAAAAATTAGCCAGGCGTGATGGTACATGCCTGTAATCCCAGCTACTCAGGAGGCTGAGGCAGGAGAATCACTTGAACTCGGGAGGCGGAGGTTGCAGTGAGCCGAGATCGTGCCACTGCACTCCAGCCTGGGTGACAGAGCGAGACTCTGTCTCAAACAAAAAAAAATTTCGGAGCCTTTTAAACCCGGCTGTGACAGCCAGTGAGCTTGCCATGTGACTCCATGCCATTTACCCAATTTCTTTGGGCCCCAGCTTCCTGTCAGGAAAAGATAGTACCAAATCCTACATATCTCTTCAAGTTGCTGAAAAGATAGCATGTGATCATGTCAATGATTCTTTTTTTAATGTGAAATGCCTGGCAAACCTAAGGTGGCATTAGTGGCCACCAAGTGGCAGTGGGGAGCAATGGGCTTGGGTTATGGCCCATGGCCACCAGATGGTGCTGGCATTCAGCAGATACCTGGTTTTGCTGGGAGCCTTTACAAGGAGCCCCAGGAGGCCAGTGCTACCCTTCATCTCTAAGATGAGAGAAATGAGGCCTGGGGGTGGTAGTGGAGGGTACAGAGAGTGGGGGTCCACACAACAGGGAGGCCTAGAGCTCAGGTTTCCTGACTCCCAGCCTGGGGTGGCACATCCCTACCCAGTAATGATACCCTCACATCCTCTCTGGAGTTGCACTGGAGACCAGTGTCCAGACCAGTGTCTTCTTGTTCGTAGGCTCGCCAACATTTAACAGCCTGCAGGATGTCCACAAGTATCATCTGTCTCTCTGGCTGTATAGCACAGTGGTTAAGAAAATGCTTTTAGGCCGGGCGCGGTGGCTCACGCCTGTAATCTCAGCATTTTGGGAGACGGAGGCGGGCAGATCGCTTGAGGTCAGGAGTTCACAACCAGCCTGGCCAACATGGTGAAACCCCGTCTCTACTAAAATACAAGCCAGGCATGGTGGTGCACGCCTGTAACTCCAGCTACTCGGGAGGCAGAGGCAGGAGAATCGCTTGAACCCAGGAGGCAGAGGTTGCAGTGAGCTGAGATCAGGCCACTGCACTCAAGCCTGAGCGACAGAGTGAGACTCCGTCTCAAAAAAAAAAAAGAAAAAAGAAACAAAGAAAAGAAAGAAAATGCTTTTAGAGTCAGGAAGATCTCAATTTGCATCTGCATATCAGCTTCCTCACCTGCAAAGTTAGGATAATAATTTTTACTCCATAGGGTTGGTATAAAATGTAAGTTAAATGAGACAAAATATGTGACTACAATAGGTAACATCAATTAGTGCTTATAAAGTGCCATACACTCTTCTAAGTAGTTTACATGTATTTAATTCTCGCCATTACCTTTTGTCGTATATACTGCAGGCGTTACTAAGCCCATTCTACAGAAGAGGAAACTGAAGCATAGAGAGGTCGTAACTTGCCCACACTCATAGTTAGTAAGTGGAGAAGCCAGGATTTGAACCTCTCTTCAGAGCCCATGCCCTTAACCATATTTGTTACTAATTGCTTGACCCAATATGTCAATTATGCCTGATAAATGACAGATATGGATCCACAGGGCCAAGCTGAGGGTTCTTGCTTTAGGCACAGGAGTTTGGAATGAGCAAAATAACCACACTGCACCTGCACTTTCAGAGTGGCAGGAGTAATATACAGGTGAAAGAAAAATGTTAAGTACCCAAGTTAAAAATAAAAAGGTAGCAATAAAATGTTAAAATTAAAAAGATAACTGAAACAAAGCAGCTGGGATAAAAAACATAGACTTTAGAGACAAAGAAACCAGTGCTTCAATTCAGATCCTGCCTTTGGCTGGCTATGGGACCTTGGTGAAGTCGTTTAACCTCTTAGAGTGTCCATCTAAAAATTAAATCTAATACCCTACCTTGTAGAATTACTGTAGGTGTTAGAGACCATTGTGGTTAAAATGCCTGTACACATTATGGCAGACATTTAATTTTTATGGTTCTTGTTATAATAGATAGATAGGTAGATCAACTGCTGGCTGAAGAGGATTCAAAGACGGTAAGCTGTTGTCCCTTCCCTCAAAGAACTTGTATAGCAGAGCGATGGATGTTCATACCATAGGTGCCTCAGGAGAGGTGAAACATGCACATGACATGAGCTTTAGAAAGGACAAGATGTTTCTCTAGCAGCGGTAAATTGGAGGAGGTTTCATGGGTATGATCCCTAAGATGAGTCTTGATGGAAAGGAGACAAGGAGTACATTCCAGAAACGTTATCAGCAAAGGTAAGGAGGCCAAGAAGAGCTGGGTTTGTCTGGGGAGTAGTAAGCATTCCAGGCTGGAAACGTGAGTCAGGCTGAAGAGTGTGGCAGCAGGGACAGGGAGAGAATTTCTGGTTAGACTTGGCACATTTAGCCCATGTGTTTGACTCTGTTCCTACAATGACAGTAAAGTAGTAAAGTCTAAACCCACAAGAACTATCAGAACAAGAGAAAAGACAACAGCTGATGGATGATGTCAAAGAATTTTGGAAGAAAGATCCCATTGGATGAGTATTAACTGACTTAGCAGATAAAAAAAAGCTGGCTGCAGGGCAGGCAAGGGGCAGAGATGCTTTCAAAAAGGAAGCCAATTTGACATGAAAAACAACAAAAAATAAGAACGGAAGAGTTTAGAAAATGGAGGTATGGGTAACTGTGAAGTTAATGGGATGGAGTGGGCTGCAAACATAAGGATGAGCTGAAAGTCAGCTTCTCCTCTCCAGCCCTGGCAAACAGCTTTGTTCATCCCACCCTGCAAAACACAGGCTTAATCTCTGGAGAGGCTGAAGGAGAGATTCTGGATCTGGGGAAGGCACCAGGCATGGAAGATGAAGAGGTAAGGCAGCATAGAGAAAGCAGGATGATCAAGTGAAAGTCTCATTCTTTTTTTTTTTTTTTTTTTTTTTTGAGATGGAGTCTTGCTGTGTCACCCAGGCTGGAGTGCAGTGGTGTGATCTCGGCTCACTGCAACCTCTGCCTCCCAGGTTCAAATGATTCTCCTGCCTCAGCCTCCTGAGTAGCTAGGATTACAGGCACGTGCCACCATGCTAACTAAATTTTTTTGTATTTTTAGTAGAGAGGGAGTTCCACCATGTTGGTCAGGCAGAAGTCTCATTCTTGAGCAATGTGATCACCCACTCCTTCTGATGGGAAGGGAAAGCGGGGGAGCCCAGAATTCTGGAAGCCTGGCTTACATTCTAGAGGAAAGAGGCTGGGGAAGGTCCTGCTGGGTAAACTGACTGGCTCAAGAGAAAGACCTGTTGATAATGGCATTGGTTGACCTTGGTTGGGGAATCCCCAGTAAAACATTAGCTTCCTACCTGATAACCTTAAGGTGCGGCCTGCCACTAAACCAGCCCTGCCCCAACACACAGAGATTTCAATGAGCTTTTCAGTGCCTCACTCTTCAATATGAACGGATGGTGAGGAAAGGAAGAGAGGATCTAAAGCAAAACCCAGTAGAAGAAAAAGGGGGAAGAAGAGGTGGAGAAGGGAGAAGAAGGAAAGAAGGAGGGACGAAGGGAGGGAGGCAGGGAGGGAGGAAAACTCAGGCGAAGCAGAGACAATTCAGAGAATTCACTGCAATTTTAAACGGCATATTTAATATCCTTAGAGGGCTAGAAAACCATTGAACCCAGGAAACAATATCAGGGGCTATGGAAAAAAAACCTTCAGAGAATAAGAATGGGCTCTTGGAAATCAAGATTGCTAAAGTTTTAATATTGTATAGGTTTAGAAGACAAAAAACTAGAAAATCTCCTAAAAATAAGGCAAATAAAGACAAAAAGAATTAATAAAAGAAAAAGATTAAAGCATCAAACAATTACTCCAGAAGGCTCAATGCCAGAATAACAGGAATTCCCGTAGGAAGAAACTGAGAAAAGTTTGGGGAATAATTACCAAATAAATTCTTTGAAAATTTTCCAGGATAGTAAAAAAAAATCACATTAAGGCACATCATTGTAACATATCAGAAATAAAGAGCAGAACCTTGTAGAGAGGAAAAACTAGGTCACCTACAAATGATTGGGGTTCAGAATACACTGGGAAAAAATGCTGGAATGGGCATGAGGGATCTTACTGGGGTGATGGAAACATTCTAAAATTTGTTTGTGGTGATGGTTGTAGAACTTGGTGAATTTAAAAGTCTTTTTTTTTTTTTAAGGTGGAGTCTTCATATATTGCCCAGGCTGGTCTCAAACCCCTGGATTCAAGCAGTCTTCCCACTTCAGCCTCGTGAGTAGCTAAGATTATAGGCAGGTGCCACTGCGCCCAGTGAAGCCATTAAATTGTACACTCAAAATGGGGAAATTTTATAAAACTCAAATATACCTCAATAACATTGTAAAAAACAGAATTCATAAAATTAAAAAATTGCAGAATTAAATATATAAAGCATTTCAAATGCAAAAATGTATAATCATATTACAAAGTAGCTAATAAAATAATACATGTGTAAGTATTAAATATACTTTTGAAATAAATTACTATGTAAAGTAAAATAGAAACAAATAAAAGCAGGAGCTCCAGAAGGAGGAACTGAGAAAAGTCTGGGGAATAATTACCAAATAAATCATTTAAAAATTTTTAAATCATTTTAAAAATTATTTAAAAAAAAGAAGAAGCTAGAAGACAGTAGACAAATTTCCACCAAATTCTGGGAGACAATTTTTTTTCTAGAATTCTCTAGCAAGTCAAATTGTCAATAAAACACGAACAAAGTTATTTGCAGACATTCCAGATTTCAAATAATTTGTCTCTGATGTACCCATTCTCATAAAAGACGTGAAGAGAAAGTAAATCATGAAAGAAGACATGGGACACAGACAATAGGGGAATTCATATAGGAGAGAGAGGGAAAAGAACTTTCTAGAATGATAATGAAGGGAGCCCCAGGATAATAGTTGCGTAGCAAACCAGGAAAGCAACCAGTCCACATTGGAGCAGGAAAACTCCAGGCTTCAGGAGTGGTTTCCAAGGAAATAATAGAACATAGAGATAACATGATTTATTTTACTATATAGAGTTCTACTCTATAAGAGAGTTGGGGACAAATTAGTGATAAGTACATAGAAAACTAAGCAAAGAAAAGAAAGAAGGTATTATTAACTCTAAAGGGAAATGCTTTTTTAAAAAATATAATCCTAGTTTATGTTGCTCGGTTGCAAGCAATATTTACATAGTCATAATAATGTATATACTGAATGTTGATTTAACTAAAAACCATGCTACAATGATATTAAGAGAATGTGTTCAGGGAAAGAAGTTGGCAGGAAGGTAAATCCTCATCTTCCTATAAGGAAGTTATCTTAGTTTGGGTTTCCCCAGAAGCAGACTCTGAGACTTAAGTAGTTTATTTGGGAAATGCAGGGGACAGCTTGCACAGGGAGTTGGGAAAGTGATGTAGGGAAGGGAAAACAGCCAATAAAGAATGTGTGATTAAGCCAGGCACAGCTGTGGGCGATTGGAGCTTAATCTTACTGGGAAAACTCTGGGAAATGGGGCAAAACACATGCTTTGGAATTATCGCACCCATGGGGGAGGGAGCTGAGGTATTTATACTCCAGCTCCTGACAGCCATTAGTTGAGGACTGCTGGGATTGGGGGAGATGGCATATTAATTTCTAGGTATGTCTAGTCTGTGAGGGCAGACCCCAGAAGCTTTCAGATACAGAGATGCAGCCCCCGGCAGTTAGAAGTAAGGAAGAATGCTGCTTAGAAATGTCTAAGGCAGGGATGTCCAAACTTTTGGCTTCTCTGGGCCACATTGGAAGAAGAATAATTGTCTTGGGCCACACATAAAATACACTAACACTAACAATAGATGGTGAGGAAAAAAAAAAAAAGGCCAGGCGTGGTGGCTCATGCCTGTAATCCCAGCACTTTGGGAGGCCAAGGAGGGCGGATCACGAAGTCAGGAGATCCAGACCATCCTAGCTTACACGGTGAAACCCCGTCTCTACTAAAAATACAAAAAAAAAAAAAAATTAGCCAAGCGTGGTGGTGGGCGCCTGTAGTCCCAGCAACTCAGGAGGCTGAGACAGAAGAATGGCGTGAACCTGGGAGGCGGAGCTTGCAGTGAGCTGAGATCGTGCCACTGCACTCCAGCCTGGGCGACAAAGCAAGAGACTCCATCAAAAATAAATAAATAAATAAATAAATCACACAAAAACTCAACGTTTTAAGAAAGTTTACAAATTTATGTTGGGCTACATTCAAAGCCGTCCTGAGCCACATGTTGCCTATGGCTGAAGGTTGGACAAGCTTAGTCTAAGGCATACAGATGGGATATTGACAGCATCTTTATTAAAAATCAATAGATAATGTCCAGAATGAAAAAATCTAAGATTACCATTTACCGCATTTGAAAAATGGAGGTAAATACCTGAAGAAACAGCAAAAAATGTTGCAATTACCTCTAAGGAGTAGTAATCACAAGTAAAAAGAAATGACACAGGGAGCAATCTGTTTTTTCATTATATACTTAGTAGGACTATTTGGTTTTAAGTAGTACATATGAATTATTTCAATAAAAATAGCATTATATTTACAAAAAAATGAACACACCAGTGCAAAGGAAGATGGGGTCATGATCTCAGGGTAGGACAAGGGCTGCAGGAAGCCAGACCCAGCCTCAGTCTCAACTTCAGAACTGATCTTCACTGGGGTCTCCAAAGCATTAGGCCACAGCAGGTGGATGGCCATTATGGGCACTGTGCCAGCGGGTGGTCCGTGTGGTCCAGGAGGATTAAGAACGGTGGTACCACTTACAGGCATAGCAAGGTCACAGGGGAGGACTGGTTTGGGAGGAAAAGGTGGTGAGGTCCCTTTGGGACATGTTGACTTGAGGTAGCTAGCAGGACATCTGAGAGATATCCAATGGGCAGCTCAGGAGCAGAATCAGGGCCTCAGGGAGTTTCTGGAAATTGCTCCCAGCAAGGTACTAACTAGCAGATGGTGTGGGAGTCCATGGAGAAATCAAGGAGACAGTCAAGCGAGGGAATTCAGGGGCAGAGTCTTGACACATGAGGGTGAGACAGAGGAGACAGTGAGAAGATAAGAAGACATGGTGACAGAAGTGTGGAGAGAAGTGTGAGGTCCGGGATCAGATTTCAAGAGTGCTGTTCGCCATTGTCCAAGGCTGCTGTTCTGTCAGGAAGAAGGAGGTGACAAAGAAAGCCCTTGCATCTGCCTGCACTCTGGGGCGGCAGAAAAACCTCTGCTTGAGGAGTCCAGCGACCTCACCGCCGGCCCTCTTTTCATCCTGCACCCTGGGCAAGTTACTCACCTCTCTGGACCTCGGTTCCCACATTACCACAATTGGACAGATAATTACAGACCATGGTAAGCACTAGTACAGTTCAATCCTGCTAAAAAACAAACAACAAAACAAAAAACAAAAAGAACAGAGGCTGGGCGCAGTGGTTCATGCCTGTAATCCCAGCACTTTGGGAGGCTGAGGCAGGCAGATCACCGGAGGTCGGGAGTTCAAGACCAGACAGACCAACATGGGAAAACCCTGTCTCTGCTAAAAATACAAAATTAACCAGGCGTTGTGGTGCATGACTGTAATCCCAGCTACTTGGGAAGCTGAGGCAGGAAAACTGCTTGAATTCGGGAGGCGGAGGTTGTGGTGAGCTGAGATATTGCGCCATTGCACTCCAGCCTGGGCAATAAGAGCGAAACTCTGTCTCAAAAAAAAAAAAAAAAAAAAAAAGGAAAGAAAAAGAAATAAAAAGAAAAGGAAAAAACAGAAATGCTTCCAGACTGCTTGGCAAAAAGCCACTTCCCTGAATCCTTCATGTCTGCCCCCACCCACACTGGACTGCCCCAGACTTCCAGGTCCCCACGCCAGTGCCCCCTCCCCCAGACCTTGCTCCAATAACTAAGAGAAGATGCCTCCAGGGCCCTCTCCAGCACTAGACCTGCATCCACTCTGATGGTTGAGCCCATCATATATGGGCTGTTAAATATTTTGACTACCACCCTCACTAATAATACCTTCCCTGCCTACCTGACAGCAACCTGGTGAGGATCAAATGAAATAACAGATGTGAAAGGCCTTTGCAAAGGCTCCAAGTGCTGTCATATATTGGGTAAAATATTGTTTTAACATCAAAATGCAAAAGTAGTGGTGCAGAGAGACGCGGTCACAGAGGGCAGGGACACAGAGCTGTGATGGATTGCAGGGCTGGAGACAGTGAGGGGGAGGGGGAGGGAGGGAGCAGCAGAGCAGAGAAGGGAGGGAGGAGCAGAGAGGCTGCAAACAGCCAGGCTGACTGTGCAGCCTCCATCCCCAAGTCACCATGATGCTGTGTGCAGGACAGAGGAGATTTGAATCCCCCGGGCCCTGCCCCAAACCCAGAAGCCAAATCCAACTCAGACCACACCCTGGGCTTTTGCCCCTGCACCTGACTTCATGGGTGTATGGGGTGGAAACAAGAACATTATGCACATGTTCTTGTTCAAGCAGCTTGATGTGGCTTGTGTCATTGTTAAAAGTCCCAGGACAGCAGGAACCACAGCTATTGTGTGGTTTGTGCCACCTCTAGAGGTCTGACACCTCAGAGCCAAGCCAACATGTGGGGCCTTCCTGTATCAACCCCAGCAATCCTCTAACTCCCTAGGACCCCTACCATCCACAAACGTGTTCAAACACCTTTCCTCATGCGATGCTATTGATGGTAATGCTATTCCTGTTTTACAGTGGAGGAAACTGAGGCTCAAAGAAGTTAAAGTGGCTTGCCAGAGGTACCCAGGTTCGTTGGTTCTTTCTTTCTCTCTCTCTTTTTCTCTTTCTTTCTTTGTTTTTCTCTTTTTATTGTCTTTCTCTCTTTTTATTTTCTTTCTCTCTCTCTTTCTTTCCTCTCTCTGTCTTTCTCTCTCTCTCTCTCTCTCTCTCTCTCTCTCTCTCTCTCTCTCTCTCTCTCTTTCTTTTTGAGACAGGGTCTCATTCTGTTGCCCAGGTTGGAGTGCAGTGGTGCAATCTCGGCTCACTGCAGCCTCTGCCTCCCAGGCTCAAGTGATCCTCCCAACTCAGCCTCCTGAGGAACTGGAACTACACATGTGCACCATCACACCTGGCTAATGTTTGCATTTTTTGTAGAGACAGGGTTTCTCCATGTTGCCCAGGCTGGTCTCAAACTCCTGAGCTCAAGCGATCCACCCACATTGGCGTCTCAAAAGTGCTAGGATTGCCACCATGCCCAGCCCATTTTCTTATTTTCTAAACAGACCAGATGGAACTTACTGGAGAGGTGAAGGTAACAGTGTTTGAAAGAAGGAGGATCATTCATTCTTCTGTTTTAATTCAGGCCCTCTAGATACAGGCCCTCTAATACAGATACATATTAACATATGCAAGTCAATAAATGTGATACACCACATAAACAGAATTTAAAACAAAAATCACATGATCATCTCAATAGATGCAGAAAAAACATTCCACAAAATCCAGCAGCCCAGCTGGGTACAGTGGCTCACGCCTGTAATCCCGGCACTTTGGGAGTCTGAGGTCAGTGGATCACCTGAGGTCAGGAGTTCAAGACAAGTCTGGCCAACATGGCAAAACCCCATCTCTATTAAAAATACAAAAATTAGCCTGGCATGGTGGCGCATGCCTGTAATCCCAGCTACTCAGGAGGCTGAGGCAGGAGAATCGCTTGAACCTGGGAGGCAGAGGGTGCAGTGAGCCGAGATCACAACACTGCACTCCAGCCTGGACAACAGAGTGAGACTCTGTCTCAAAAAAAAAAAAAAAAATCCAGCATCCCTTTATGATTAAAACTTTCAGCAAAATCAGCATACAAGGGACATACCTCAATATAATAAAAGCCATCTATGAAAAACCCACTGCTGACATAATACTGAATGGGGAAAATTTGAAAGCATTCTCCCTGATAACTGGAACGAGACAAGGATGCCCACTCTCACCACTTCTCTTCAACATAGTACTGGAAGTCCTAGCCAGAGCAATCAGACAAGAGAAAGAAAAAAAGGGCATCCAAATCAGTAAAGAGGAAGTCAAACTGTCATTGTTTGCTGATGATATCATTGTATACCCAGAAAACCCTAAAGATTCCTCCAGGCTGGGCCCAGTGGCTCATGCCTGTAATCCCAGCACTTTGGGAGGCTGAGGCCAGAGGATCACCTGAGGTCAGGGGTTCGAAACCAGCCTGGCCAACATGACGAAACCCGGTCTCTACTAAAAATACAAAAATTAGCTGGGCATAGTGGCAGATGCCTGTAATCCAAGCTACTCAGGGAAGCTGAAGCATGAGAATTGCTTGAACCTGAGAGACAGAGGTTGCAGTGAACCAAGATCCTGCCACTGCACTCCAGCCTGGGCAACAAAGCAAGACTCCTTAAAAGAAAAAAGTGGGCTAAGGACATGAATAGACAATTTTCAAAAAAAAAGTATGAAAATGACCAACATATATATGAAAAAATACTCAACATCACTAATGATCAGGGAAACGCCAATCAAATCCACAATCTGATACCACCTTACTCCTGCAAGAACGACCATAATCAAAAAATCAAAAGATTATAGATATTGGCATGGATGCAATGAACAGGGAACACTTTTACACTGCTGGTGGAAATGTAAACGAGTACAACCACTAAGGAAAACAGCATGGAGATTCCTTAAAGAACTAAAAAAGTAGAACTACCATTTGATCCGGCAATCCCATTACTGGTATCTACCCAGAGGAAAAGACATCATTATACGAAAAAGATACTTGCACAAGCATATTTATAGCAGCACAATTCATAATTGCAAAAATGTGGAACCAACCCAAATGCCCATTAATTAACAAGTGGATAAAGAAGCTGTGGTATATCATATATATATATGATGGAATACAACTCAGCCATAAAAGGAATGAATTAATGGCATTCTCAGAAACCTGGATGAGATTGGAGACTATTGTTCTAAGTGAAGAAACTCAGGAATGGAAAACCAAACATTACATGTTCTCCCTCATAAGTGGGAGCTAAGCAGTGAGGATGCAAAGGCATAAGAATGCCACAATGGACTTTGGGGACTCAGAAGGAAAGGATGAGAAGCAGGTGAGGGATAAAAGACTACAAATTGGGTGCAGTGTAGACTTCTTGGGTGATGAGTGCACCAAAATCTCACAAATCACCACTAAGAACTTACTCATGTCACCGAACACCACCTGTTCCCCAATAATCTATGGAAATAAAATTTTTTTTAAAAAAAACAATAATTCAGGCTGTCTAACTCCAAGTCCAGTCCAGAACTATGACTCACCTGGAACAATTGCTACTACTTCTGCCTGAAGAAGAATTCTCCAGGAGAAACCATTTGACCCTTGTGCCTACTAATTTCAATATTGCTTCCATCTCTCTCCCACCTATCCCATCTTCTGTACTCATCCCATCATGCACTCCTCTGTTTAACAACCTTTAAAGACTCCCAAATCCCCTCTTTGGCATGGCACACCAGGCCCTTCAAAACTTCATCCAAACATCTAGCCCAAGGGTTGCAAACTCAAGTGCCCATAGGAGCAAGATGGGCTAGTTAAGTAAATGGGTGAAAATGGAAGTGCTGGGGAGTGGTGGGGGTTGAGGCCAGCTGGGGAGCACATGTTCATCTGAAGGAGCTAGCAGCTTCTTAGGGCTCAAAAAAGGTGGCCATATGGGAATACATGCCTAGCGTTACTTAGGGTTATCTTCTGGTTTTTCAAGAAAAGCCAAAAGTCCAGAGTGTTTGGTGAAATCACTCAATTTTTAAATGTTGAGACAACTTAAATATGTGTATATACTGTACACGCCAAACAACTCACATCTGCAGTTGACTTTGGAGGGTGGGCTGCCATTTTGTGATCTGTATTTTGAGCAATCTGGTCCATTCACTATTCCCCAAGCACTGTTCAGATCTAGGATGTTTGTCCAAGCTGTTCCACCTAGAATGCCATCTCCTCCCTCCACTAATCTTAACCCTTTGGCAAATCCCTACTTGTCTTTGAAGACTCAAGTCAGCTCTCATCTTCTTTCTGTGACTGCCTGTCTCTGCCTCTGCGCCCCGACCCCAGCTCTAGGCAGAATTAACTGCTCTCTCGCCTGCTTTCCCATGCGCTTCGTGCTAATGTCTAATAATGTCCTTCCTGCCTGGGATCATCACCAGCACAGCAGAGTGAGGGGAATACCTGTGCTGCTTATCTACTCTGACTCCAATAAACCACCTGGTTTAAGTCCTGGCTCCATCCTAGGTCAAGTTCAAAACCTTTCAATGCCTTCACTTTCTCATTTGTAAAATGGAAAGAAAAGTAGTTTCTACCTCATGGGATAATAATGGGAAGTGAATGTGTATAAAGAGTGCCTTCTATAGTGTTCACTAGGTAGAAGTGCCTGCTTGTATTTTAGCCACACACACACACACACACACAAACTGTAAACACTTACCGAGCACCTATTGTGTGCCAGGCTGTGCTGGAGTGGGGGAGGGGGTACTTTCATTTCTGTGCTTTATGTTTCCATGGGGAAGGACTGCAGCTAGAATAACCCTACTGGCCTCGCTCCCTACTCCTCCCCATGGGAAGAGAAGGGATTTATCTGATAGTGAATTTGAAAGGAAGATCTGAGCCTGAGAAGCTCAACCCCTTCCTCTCCCTTTCTCTCTCAGAACCAATCTGCCTGCCAGATACCTGCTTCACGTTGCTTCTTCAGGTGAAGGCTCCAGGCAGAGACTTGCAGTGTCCAAGCTCTGCCTGGTCAGGGGAACATCAGGAAGCCTACTGTGGCCACACACTGAGGTATCATCTTCCACCCCAGAGTGATCAAAGATAAAGCCGATCGGGCTGGGCGCAGTGGCTCACGCCTGAAATCCCAGCACTTTGGGAGGCCGAGGCAGGTGGATCACCAGGTCAGCAGTTTGAGACCAGCCTGGTCAACATGGTGAAACCCCGTCTCTACTAAAAATACAAAAAAAATAGCTGGGCGTGGTGGCGGGCGCCTGTAATCCCAGCGACTTGGGCGGCCGAGGCAGGAGAATCGCTTGAAACCGGAAGGTGGAGGTTGCAGTGAGCTGAGATTGCGCCACTGCACTCTAGCCTGGGCAATAAGAGCAAAACTCCGTCTCAAAAAATAATAATAATAATAAATCAATCAACAAATAAAGCCGATCTTCCTATCTGCATGATTCCTGTGTCTGTCTCTCCAAAGGTTCCAAAATCAAGTTGAGAGGAGTGTTATTTGCTGGTTCCTCCAACAAAATCCCAACACTGGGACTACAGAGGAGAGTGAGACACAGCCTCGGCTCCCAACAGCTCACAGTCTAGTTTCTATGGGTTCCTCAGTGGAGCAGGAATTCCCTGAGTCCATGCAGTATGGGGCAAAGTGCACAGATGTGGGAGCAGACAGATTCGTTTGAACCCTGGTTCTGTCACTTATGAGCTGGGCAAGATTTATGCAAGTTGTTCTGGGTCTTGGTTTTGTCCTCTGTAATATGAGTTGTTGCAGGGTCAGAACCTGTTACAGGGGAGGGTCATTTTGCATGTTCACAAATCAGTGCTCAAATTAAAATGTTTGATGTTATGCCCAATCGTGTTTCCTTCCACAGCCTTCTTTTTCTCAATAAATGGCAACTTCATTCTTCCATTGTCCAGGTCAGAAACCTTGGAGTCATCCTTCTCTCCCACCACACTTCCAACCCGTCAGCAAATTCTGCTGGCTTTACGAAATATATCTGGAATCTGAGCACTCCTCCTGATCTCCACTGCCACCTCCCTGGTCTGCACAACCATCACTCCTCACCTCGGTAATCACGGCGGCCTCCTCAGTGAGCCCCTGCTTCCACCTCCCCTCCTGTACAGTATGTTCAACCCAGCAGCCAGATGGAGCTCGTAAAAAGTCAGTCAAATCATGTAGCTCCCTACTCAAAATTCTTCCAAGACTTCCCATGGCATCCAGAGTGAATACCAATGTTCTTACAGGGGCCTAGGAGGCACTCTCTGGCCCCCAGCTGCCTTTCCCATCCAGTCCCCTACTCTCTTCCTCTTGGTCTCCCTGCTCCCGCCACACTGGCCTCCTTGCCATTCCTCAAATAGCCAGGCATGCTCCTGTCTCAAGCCTTCGCACTGGCTGGCCCCACTGCCTGGGAGTCTTCCCCAGATAGCCACATGGCTTGCTTCCTCATCCCCTTGGTGTCTTTGCTCAGATGTCATTTTCTCACGGAGGCCTTCTCTAACCCTCTTCTTTTGAATTGCAACCCTTCTCTCTTTACCGCCTGTCTCTCTTATCCTGCTTTATTTTTCTCCATCAGACAATTGGTGTTCCATATGGGGCCACCAGATAAAGCTGTGCAGATTGGATGCCTTGCCAAGCAAGAGTGAGCCCAGGCTCTGCTTGCCGAGCTGTGTGCCCTGGCACAGGGTTTCCTCCACCCACACACAAGTGTGGCCTTTTTCTAATTTGCATGAAGGTGTTGTATAAGCCAGTGGATACCCAAAGATTATATATTTTATTTCTTCTTCTGCTTATCATTTGTTTCCCCACCCTCCCTAGCCAGGAAATAAGCTCCTTAAGGGCAGAGATTTTTGTCTTGTTCACTGATGTATCCTCAGCTCTTATAAAGGCCCAGGCACACACCAGGTGTTCAATAAACTTTGAGTCAATGAATAAGGCAACTGCTTGACAAGTTTTGTTGTATTACACTAAAGGTTGACACTAAAAATAAAAGATAGTTGTGCCTTTATTGAAGTCCCCTCTCTTCAACTCACTTAAGAATCCCCATTGTCTAGTGGAGTGAATATTCTGATCATCCATTACCACCTTTATCCCATCCGCTTTGATCACTTTCTGCCACATCTAACAGAGTCTGGGTTCGTTGCCATCCAATACCGCCTTCATTTCTTCTGCATTAATCACACTCAGCTGTGCCAATGCCAGATCCCAGCGTCTCATGTTTCCTGCCACTGTGCTCCCAGTGAGGGACTGTCTGCAGGATGGGGCAGAAAAGAGGGAGCTGTGGCCAATGGCCACCAAGACCTGCATATCCAGTTGCCTGCAGCTCTCCACATACTTGAAGGCCCCACAGGCACCCCAAAGCAGCATGTCCAGAATTGAACTTACTGGTTCCCTTCCTTCCCCTTCTTACAAACCTGCTAGTGGCCATAGCAGTTCCCAAGCCAGAAACCGAGGACTCTTCCTCTACACCTCCCCCGCCTTACTCCCCACATGTAGTTACCACCAAGGCCTGTTGATTGGATCTTCCAAAAATTCCTGTTAAAAAGATGTCTCCTTTCACTGTCTTAGCACAGTACCCAGTGATTTCACTGTCACTGTTATGATAGTCTCCTAATTGTTCTCCTTTGCTGCCATCAACCCAAGTCATCCTGCAGCGAAGAGTGGTCTTTCTTTTCTTTTTCTTTTTCCTTTTTTTTTTTGAGATAGAGTCTCACTCTGTCACCCAGACTGGAGTGCAATGGCATGATCTCCGTTCACTGCAACCTCCACCTCCTGGGTCCAAGTGATTTTCTAACCTCTGCCTCCCGAGCAGCTGGGATTACAGGCATGGGCCACCACGCCCTACTAATTTTTGTATTTTTAGTAGAGAAGGGCCTCTACTAAACATGGCTTCACCATGTTGGCCGGGCTGGTCTCAAATTCCTGTCCTCAAGCAATCCGCCTGCCTCAGCCTCCCAAAGTGCTGGGATTACGGGCATGAGCCAGCGCGCCCAGCCAAGAGTGGTCTTTCTTAAACGTGTACCTGTGACTCTGTCTCTAAGAATCCTTCAGTGATGCCCCATGACAAGAGCAGGAAATCCAACCTCGCAGACCCATCTACTTCTCCAGCCTCACATTCCACTCCTTCCTGCTCTCACACTTCCTGTTCTTGTAATACTGAGCCATGTGATCTCACGCCTCCATGCTTTGCGTATTCTATTCTCTCTGCCTGCCATGCTTTCCTCTACTTCTTATCCCAGGAAGGCACCTTCATCATTTAATATCTTAGAAAGGCAGTCAAATGTAATGGCATCAGGCCAGGTACGGTGGCTCACACCTGTCATCCTAGCACTTTGGGAGGCCGAGGTGGGTGGATCATTTGAGGTCAGGAGTTCAAGACCAGCCTGGCCAACATGGTGAAACCCCTGTCTCTACCAAAAATATAAAAATTAGCCGGGCGGTAAGTGGTATGCCCCTGTAATCCCAGCAACTTGGGAGGTGAGGCAGGAGAATTGCATGAACCTGGGAGGTGGAGGTTGCAGTGAGCCAAGATCTTGCCACTGCACTCCAGTCTGGGCTACAGATTGAGACCCTATCTCAAAAAAAAAAAAAAAATGTAGTTGCATCAAATCCTACTTTCCGTCTTACTAGCTATGTACATTTGGATCGCTTTCCTAAGCCCTCTGTGCGTCTGTTTGTAAAATGGGAATAACAGAACCTACCTCCCAGGCTTTTCTGATAATTGAGTTCATTGACGGAAGGTTCTAGCACCATGTCTGGAACGTGGTAAGCATGGAATGCTGGTTTTTATTATGTATCCCTTAAAGTCCACCTCAGATATCACTTCTCCCCTCTTCTACGCCATTTCTCTACCTTCTTCAAACATCTGCCATTGCACTTACCTCAGTACGAGATGATAAGTTACATTGTCTGTCCCTCAGAGTGGACTCTCTGGACTGTGAGCTCCTTGAGGGCTGGTCTTAAATGTCAGCTAAATAAACATTGATTTCGTTTGATTGACCACATGAAGTAATGACCAACCTTAGGTAAGACATTCAGAAGAACTGTGCTGAGAGAGAGTGGTGCAAACTTTAACTTTTCCCCCAAGTTCATGGCTCTGCTGCACTATGTGTGTTTGCAAGGGGGCCTGGAAGCCATTCTGCCTCCGTGGCTGAGAACTCTCCATTTCAGGCCTCCACATCGCTGCCAGCTGTCCCCAGCACCATCTTGCCCAGGAGAGTCTGGGCAGGGGGCCTCCCTTCCATGCTGATGGTGGACAGGCAATATTCCAGAGCCTGCTGCTGACATTGGGCTCAACAGCCACTGCTAGGCAGGACTAATAAGGAAGCTCTGATGAAACTGCTCAGGAAGCCGGAAGTGGGACTGCGGTGGGTCCAAGCCTGGCAACACACAGACAGCTCAGCCCTTCTCGTGCTCTCAGCAACTTCAGCTTTGGCTGGGGTGTGATGTTTCCTTAGCTCCGGACCTGCCTACCAGACTCCCAAAAGACTGCTGGGTTTCTTCCTGCAGCAATTCTCACTCTTTTTGGTACTTGTCACTGTTAACAGCATCAGATGCTTCTTGCCTCAATCATGAAAATCAGAGTGTTTTCAGCTTTCCATAGCCATTGAGAAACGTGGGCTGCCCTCCTCTCTCTCTCTCTCTGGTTTCTTACATAACATACTGTATATGAGCCACTGCCATCCCCCAACGAAATCTGGAATGTCTGAGGTCATTGCTGGATAGCCATGAGAATCTTGCTTCTAAACGTTTGCTGCCAGTCTTCCCTTTGCAGGAAACGGCTCCCAGCCCTCGGCTCCATCCCACAGGAACAGCTCCTGGTCAGAACCACTGTCCAATCTCACCAGACATGCTGAATCGGCTGCCCAGGGGACTGAAACCTCACTTCTGGGACACAAAGAGCCCACCACTTTCTCAGCATTTTGCAGACCTTATTAGTCCCCATCTGTCTCATATTTACAATTAAGCATCAAAAACGTCCTGCTGAGCCTGGAATTTGAAGTAAAGGAGAGGGTACCCCTAGCACATCATTGAATTTTGCAGTTTGAGTGTGCCAAGCACTTTACAGAGAGTGATGCAATAAAGAAATCAGAAACTATATATACGTGTGTGTGTGCGCGCGCGCGCGCATGTGCGTGCACCCTGTTGAAGAAGCTGGCTTGGGAGAGGAAAGATGACAACGCTGTTAATCTACCCTTAGCTCAGCTTAGTTCATCAGAATCGCTGGGGACTGAGACTCTGCTGCCTACACTTCCTGCCGTTCATTCTCTTTTCTGCTTCTTCCCATTTTTCCGGCTCCTTTTTCTTTCTGCGATCCCTGACTTTCTCTCCCAAAGCTTTATTCCCACCCTTGGCTGTTGCCCTGCACCCACACCTTCCACCTCAGCTTGGCCTTCTCCAGGGACCATGTCTTTGATTCTTTGGCCATCGCCATGGGGCTAGCACACGGCCTCTTCTTCCTGAGCTTCTCTTTTCCCACGTCTCAGTGCTGTCTGAGTTTACTCCTCCTCCTCCAACATGCTCCTCCTGAGCATGTTGCCCACCTCAGTCCATAATCTGTGTCCCTCCGCAAAAGCCTTCTACGCCCAGGGGCTCGGGCCCTTCTTGGGGAGATCTGCCTGAGGAAGGGAGGGCAGAAATCAAGTCATGGTTTAGGGGAGCTGGCTGCCACGGACTGGGACCATTGAAAGCTTGCCCACGAGTGGGAGGCTTTTGGCTACAAAAGCCCCATTCATCTAATACATTTTACAGACACCCTGGAGGGCTATGAGCACCTCTTACCCAGACACCCAACTCCACGGGAGAGAGAATCTCAGTCAGCCCTAAATAGCAGATTTAATTCCTTCAGATTAACCACAAATTCGGTTTGTATCCCACATGCAAATGAGCTTCCTGTAGCCTCTCTGCACAACGACCGTCATGCACAAAGACCAGAAGGGGTAACCTCAGGAAAAGTGTATTTCATCTTCCTCCTGTGCCTAATTCCTGAGCTCCTTTCTCTCTAATCATGTTTATTCTAATGTAAGAAGATGGCAAATGTCAGAATGTCATGAGATGAATCTATGATCTAATTTATTTTTTCAGGGAAAAAAAATGGGACCTGAAACACCTATTTAAGTCAGGTGTTCTGAAAATGATTAAATAAGAGGAACAAGAGGACGAACTAAGTGTAAAATACAGCTCAAGAGGCCTGGTGCCGCGGAGTCAACCTGCTTATTACGCTGTACGATGTGAATAATTTATCACGTTTTACCCTGCATTAAGTACCACTGAGGATTAATCTGCAGTTTATTTGCAAACCATATTAACCCCTGCCTGCCTCATTCTGCCGTCTCCTAGGGGAGGTTTGTGGAAAATCTCTCTGCTGCTCTTGTGCCACATAAGCAAGGACTGGACAGCAGAAACTAACCAGCCTAACTAACTAGCTCCCTTCTGGGAATGCATCTGGGAACATCAAGTCCCCATGTTGTCTGCTTCTGGGGCATTCTTCCCCTCGTAACCTTCCTGTGTTCCTACTCAGGCTGCCCCCTCCTATTGCCACGTCCCTTCCATTTCACTTCTTATGTATTTATTTATTTTTATTTTTTGAGACAGGATCTTGCTCTGTCGCCAGGCTGGAGTGTAGTGGTGCGATCTCAGCTCACTGCAACCTCCACCTCTGGGTTCCAGCAATCCTCCTGCCTCAGGCTCCTGAGTAGCTGGGATTATAGACGCCTGCCACCATGCCTGGCTAATTTTTGTATTTTTAGTAGAGACGGGGTTTCACCAAGTTGGCCAGGATGGTCTCGATCTCTTGACCTCATGATCCGCCCTCCTTGGCCTCCCAAAGTGCTGGGATTAACAGGCGTCAGCCACCGCGCCCGGCTATTTATTTTTTGAGAAGGAGTCTCACTCTGTCGCCCAGGCTGGAGTGCAGTGGCACGATCTCGGCTCACTGCAACCTCCACCTCCCAGGTTCAAGAGATTCTCCTGCCTCAGACTCCCAAGTAGCTGGGATTACAGGCGCCCACCACTATGTCCAGCTAATTTTTTGTATTTTTTTTTTTTAGTAGGGACAGGGTTTCACCATGTTTGTCAGGCTGGTCTCAAACTCCTGACCTTGTGATCTGCCCACCTCGGCCTCCCAAAGTGCTAGGATTATAGGCATGAGGCACTGTGCCCGGCCTTATTTATTCTTTTCTTTCTTTTCTTTTTCTTTTTTTTTTTTTGAGATGGAGTCTTGTTCTGTCCCCCAGGCTGGAGTGCAGTGGTGCTATCTCGGCTCACCACAACCTCCGCCTCCCAGGTTCAAGTGAGTCTCCTGCCTCAGCCTCCCGAGTAGCTGGGACTATAGGCGCACGCCATCACACCTGGCTAATTTTTGTATTTTTAGTAGAGACAGTGTTTCACCATGTTGGCCAGGCTGGTCTCAAACTCCTGACCTCAGGTGATCCATCTGCCTTGGCCTCCCAGTGTGCTGGGATTACAGGAGTGAGCCACCATACCGGGCCTGTTCTTTTATTTCTATGCCATACACGGCTAGGCTAGGTCCTTACATCTCATGCGGGACTCACAGCCAAAACCTCCTAACTGACCTTCCTGACTGGTCCTCCCCCATCCTCCAGTTTATTCTATATATGACTAATGTTCCTAAAATCCTATTTTCACCCAAACTTTCTTTGGCATGGAAGCCTCCTGCTGGGTCCTGCTCAGGGACACAGATCTGCTTCCTTCGCCCAGCACTTACGCCTCCTTTGATCCGGCACCACCATCTCTCCATCCTCACCTCCTACTCCTCCTTTCCAGACACCCTCCCTTTGAGCAGACCAACCCCGGGCCTCCCTGAACAGCCAGACTTGCTCCCATTGCCTTAGGCTTTGTCTCTGCCCTCCTCTCCGAGGGAAGTCTGCCTCTGCCCTCCCTGTGTCCAGCTCAGCTGAAAATCCCCACTGCCCGTGAACTCCTGACCACACAGGGCTTTCCCTTCCTCCAGCACCTCCTGGCCACTCTGTTCGTTGCGGAGTACCTTTGGAGCTGGGACTCTAGGGTGTCTGCCTGGGAGAAACTTAGAAACAGCAATCTGGTTGGAAGCAGGGCCAGGGACTTGTCTCAAAGCTGTGGTAGAATTCAACTGATTTATCTTATTTTTATTTTTTGAGATGGAGTCTTGCTCTGTCACCCAGGCTGGAGTGCAGTGGTGCCATCTTGGCTCACTGCAACCTCTGCTTCCTGGGTTCAAGCGATTCTCGTGCCTCAGCCTCTAGAGTAGCTGGAATTACAGGCGCCTGCCACCATGCACAGCTAACTTTTGTATTTTTAGTAGAGACGGGGTTTCACTGTCTTGGCCAGGCTGGTGTCGAACTCCTGAACTCAGGTGATCCACCTGCCTTGGCCTCTCAAAGTGCTGGGATTACAGGCGTGAGCCACCACACTCGGCCTTCATCTGATGCTTTACAGTAATTTTTCTAAAGGGGCTTGTACTCACATTTTCCATAAGAGTAAGAAGACATCCCCCGCCCATGTCAAAAACATGATTTTTAGTTGTTTTTTTGAGGGGGGGAGGCGGGGGTGATTCATGAAGATGAGGGGCATAAAACATACCTCTCCAAGCCACTCCTTGGCACTGCCACTGCCCTTGCACTATTCAAGGAAGTGGAACAGACATGCTGAAACAAGTCCTTTGCATATAAAAGCATGATATACAAAGTGCAACTCCCAGGTGTCAGAATTATTTGCAGAGAGGCCAGGCGCGGTGGCTCACACCTGTAATCCCAACACTTTGGGAGGCCAAGGCGAGTGGATCGCTTGAGGTCAGGAGTTCGAGACCAGCCTGGCCAACATGGTGAAACCCTGTCTCTACTAAAAATATAAAAATTAGCTGGGCCTGGTGGCTTGCATCTGTACTCCCAGCTACTTGGGATGCTGAGGCAGGAGAAATGCTTGAACCCAGGAGACAGAGGTTGCCGTGAACTGAGATCATGCCACTGCACTCCAGCCTGGGTGACAGAGCAAGACTCCATCTCAAAAAAAAAAAAAAAGAATTATTTGCAGAGTTATAAGAGTCCAAGTTTTTGACTCATTTATTTGCCTCACATTCTGCCATGTTATTTGATATTCCAGACATCTTAGGAGGTCTCCGCCTGTGCTTTCCCAGTGCAGCAACCCTCTGGGATTAGCGGGCAAGCTCATTAGGAATGTGCAGCCCTCTGCCCCTCCCACTTCTCCAACTGATCCTGTACCAGGTCCTCTAGGGCCTCCTCCGCTGCATTCTCCTCCTCACCTTGAGGTAGAGGTCGCCTGACTTTACAGGGCCACCCTCCCTTCTACTTCCTTTATTCCCACTTGAGACAATCTCAGACCTTATCTTATCCTCTAGATCCTCAAAATCATTTTTCCTTTGTCCATTTTCCAGTTGTGTCTCTTGCCTTAAATCTCTAACAACAAGGTAGCAATGAATGAAGGAATGAATGCCGCCTCTTGCGTCTCCTCACCTGCATCATAATATCAGCGTTGCCCACGTAGTGACCTTTCATGCACGTTGTCTCATATCAGCCCTGAGGTTCAGAGGGGTGAGGTGACCTGCCCCAGGTTAAGCAGCTGTAAATGGATCACCCTTTCCCAGGGACTTTTAGGCCACTTCAGAGCACCCCATGTTTCTAATTGAGCCAGGCTCAAGGTTGATGTTGACATGCTCCCACAGTAAATGACCTTCACCAGTAGTGACCTATATATCTATCCAAAGGACAGAACAGGGACAGGTTTGTGAGCCCAAACAGGATGGGTGGCAGCTTTCAGCGATTCCTCTCTGTGGTGAGTAACTCAGCCTTTATCCCTGGAATGCATCATAGAACTGCGTTCCAGTCCTCCCCTCACACGATGGCCTCATTGACTCCCCAGCCACACAGGTTACTTCCCCCTTCACTTCCTGCCCAGACCCATTTCCAACTGCAGCCCCAGCCTGCAGGCCTAGCAGGCACCTGGGAAACAGCTGCAGGTGACCCAGGTGGCTTATGGTCAGGGCCAGCCTGGCCCAGCCTGCAAGGATCAATCCATGGAACCGAAGACAAACAATCCCAGGACCTCTCATCGGGTGGCCAGGGAGGCAGGCACAGGTGGCTGGTTGCACTGGGGCCGAGGTCTGGTCTTAGAGAGGGCCAGCTTCAGGACTGCAGGGACCAGATGACCCAGGGACACCCCAGCTCCACTCCGGAGTGGGGTTCAGTCTGCACTTGGACAGGGCCTCCTGGCCCCACTGCTTAGCAACTTAATTCAACATCTGAACAATCAGCATCATACATAGACTAAGAATTATTCAACATCAAGGAAGCAAATTGGGAGGAATCTAGAAATCTTAATGAATTTTCTGCACTGGAAGAAGGGATTAAAATCTAAGCGAGGTAGAAGACTGAGAAGAGAAAAAAAAAACAACCCAAGTGTGGCAAGAGAAACTATAATTAAAATAGCAAGTTGCAATTCGAGGTGGGGGTTGGAGAAGGAGGATAGATGGCTGTAAAGACCAAGGGACATCCAGTGAAGCATCTGACAGAAATGATTCCCAGGGATGTTCTGGGGAGAAAAATCCATCTGGAAACAGAGAAAAGGAAACGAAACAAGAATTTGCTGCATTATTTAAAGCTTTCAGGCGGAGGGGGGGCGTTCCGGAGAGAGGAGGTTAAGAGAGAAGAGAATGGAATTGCTCTACCAAAAGGATTAAAGGAAATCATAAGGGCTTTTTAAAATGACTCAAGCAAAGAAAAAAAAAAACAAAAAAAAAGCGGGGGAGATGCAAATAATTGTAAGCTGTGAAATTAATGGTGGCCAAGATTCTGAGTTCATTCTTTAAATCTGCTTAATGGGAAAAAAATGAAGGAGAGGCATTTGTATGCTTGGGGAGTAACGGAGTCCTGGAAAATGCAGTTCCAGAGAGCACTGACAGAAGCGAATGCATGGCAGAGAACGTGTGTCCTGGGAGAGGGCAGGGCTGGCAGGAAAATCAGACACCACCGCAGGGCGATCCGCTTACATAAAATACCTGCACTAACTCCCTTTGATGTTTGCCTTCCCAAATATTTGACTCTTTCATAGAAGGCTCCACATGATGTCCAGAAATTAGCAAAGTCAAAAGATGCTCTTGCGAAAACACCACATGGCATCAGAGGCCTGGGTTGGAATCTTCGCACTGTTACTAGGTTTGTGACCGTGGGCTTGTTACTTTACCTCTCTCAATTCCATGGCTTTAGAGGACCGCACTGAGGATTCAGCGGGATTAAGTCCGAGCCTCACAGACAGGGTCTCACTCTGTTGCCCAGGCTGGAGTGCTGTGGTGTGATCTCCACTCCCTGCAGACTTGACCTCCTGGGCTCAAGCAATCCTCCCACCTCAGCACCCCACCCACCCACCCCAAGTGGCTGGGACTACAGGCAGGCACCACCATGCCCAGTTAATTTTTTGTACTTTTTTTGTAGAGACAGGTTTCACCATGTTGCCTGGGCTGGTCTCAAACTCCTGGGCTCAAGTGATCTGCCTGCCTTGGACTCCCAAAGAGCTGGGATTGCAGGCGTGAAGCCACCGCACCCAGCCCAGGAGAGTCTTAACATCCTCCCTCACCTAAACTTCCCGTGCACAGTAGCCCACCTGTCTACCCACCACAGCCACTCACATTCAAGCCCACCTCGGTGCTTTGTCGCATCCGGGCTTGCCAGCCCCCGAGCTCCTTCCCCTTAGCCTTTTTCCAGTCCCTTCCCAGAGGCAGCCCCCACTCTTATGAGATGTCTATACATCCTGGGGGAGTCCAGCAGGTGAGCATGCAGCACTGGTTCTGGGAAGCACGGACACTAAAGCTGCCCTGTCAAGGGAGGCTGTAGGGAGAAGAGAAAGGGAAAACAGTTTGGAAACAAAGCTGGACTTCTAAGCAAAGAGTGAAAGGGCTTGGGTCTCAGGAGAGCAGCGGGATTGTTGAGGCGTGCTGGGGAAGGAATCAGCAAGGCCCCGTGATGAACTAGCTCCGTGGCACAAAGATGACGGGGTAGCCTACATGGACCCGCACCCGCTTCTGCGGGGAACCCCAGGTCTGCCTCTCCAGGGCTGACGGTGGTGGATGATTTTCCCGAGCGCTGCCCCGGCTGCACTCGACTGCCATTGGCCACTTGACGCCTGCCTGTTTTTAAATAGCTGCATCAGACTTTTCATTCTTCTTTAACGGAGTTCACTGGGACCTTCAGCTTATGTTTGGGAGTGGAGTGGGTGTGGAAAATGAAGCTTTTCCTAGAGTTGCACTCCCCAACCCTGCTCTGGCTCTAGGGATCCTATCTAGCTACAGCCTTTCTGCAATGCTCACCCGGCCCTCCTGAGCTCGGCTGTAATCACATGACTGGCGGTAGTAAAGAGGAAATTACACGTCTGCCTCTCATGCCCACCATTTTCAGGTCTGTGATGAGGCTGTGACATAGCCACTGAACCCAGGACCCTCCAGCTTGCATTTGCGCCGGCTGAGGCTCACCACGCATCACTGTGCTGCTTCCAGAGCTCAACTGTGCTCCACTGTCTGGGAGATGGGAGAGAGCTGCTTATCCATCCAAACCCCCAACTTGCCAACTCTCCTGTGGCAGAGGCAGTCGACCTCCATCTGTAACCCTCGCCTGGTGCACCCGCCTCCCCGTGGGAGTCTGATTCAGTTGGGAGTAGTTTGGGAATTATAGTCATCAAATACCAGACAGTGACATGGAGCAAATCACTTACCTCCTCCAAGCCTCAGTGTCCTCCTTTGTAAAATGGGGACAATTATACACACTTCATGGCGCTACTGGGAGGATGAACTGGGAAATGCAAGTGCAATCTTTTGGTAAAATGAAAACTCTTAGACAAATGAATGTAATTATTGATTGCTTATGCATACCCCGGGAAGCATGTCAACCCACGCCCCTGGTGGAATCTTCCTTAGGCTCCTTACATAGAAGCTGGACTAACACCCTCTCCCACTCCCCCTCCCTTTTATTTTAGCTTCCATTGTATCCTAAGCTCACCTCTATAATTACACTAATCAGCCTGTATTGTAACTGTTGCTTTGCATATCAGTCTTCTACAGTGGACTGACCTCTTCTTGGGGGTAGGGGATGTTCATTCATTCAACAAGAGTAAATATTTCTTCCCTGGCTCACAGCAGGGGCTCAATACATCTTTGATAAATGAATGGACTGTGATACTGGGGTGAGATGTCAGATATGGCCACCAGGTGGCAATCAAGTCCTTCTTAAGCAAGTCGACTTGAGTCATTGCAGAGGCCCGTCTCAGAGCAAGAGAGGGCTCTGCAAGAATTTCTCGCTGGTGGGTGAAGGCCAGGGCCTGGGTGCTGGGCCTCAAGTTCTCTTTGTGTCTGGCACCAGCTCTGTGCAGACAGGACCATCCACCATGGTGTCCTGAGTCCTACATCTGCCTGGAGCCTGAATGCCCAAGATGACCCTGGAGGAGAGACCCAGGTTATATCTGGGGGAGCCCTGGCAAGCTCAGCTGATGGGATCCGAGGGCCAGTGTACACGTTCTGTGCACGTATGCGTGTGAGTCCATGAGTGGGCATGTTTATTAGCACCCTTGGATCCCTCCGTGGAGACGTGGCCATTTGCCTACCCTTGTAAGCAGCAGGGTGGAAAAGTAGAAAAGTGCAGAGAACACTGAGGCCCGGGCTGCAGGACCAGCCCATCGCTGACCCACTGTGTGCCCTAGGCAAGGAGCTTTCCCTCCCTGGGCCTGTTTCCTCATCTGTGAAATGAGGGCAGTGGGTTACACGGCTAAGGGCCTTTCAAGCGCTGACATTTCTTCTTTGTGTCTCTGAGGTATGGACTGATTCAAGGGCTCTGGGTCCTCTTCGGGATTCTCAGACTGGATTGGGACCTGAATTCTTAGGGAGACTGGATGCTACCTCTGGCTTCCGACCTGGGCAAAACCCTGCCTCACTTGGGTGGCTACCTGACAGATGCTGCCCTGGGTTCAGAGAGGAAGGCTCTCAAACAGCCATGGGGATGGTCACTTGCCTGTCTGTCTGTGGATGTTTCCCAGGTGGGGCCACCTCACCAGGCCTCTCCTTGTTCTGTGCTTCCCCAAGTCCCTTCCTTTCATTCTCAACCCCCCAAGTCTCTCATCTGGCGGTGTGTGTTGCTATCAGCTGGAAGGTCAGAACCTGTGACAGACCTACTGGTCTAACACACTGGAGGCAAGCACAGCCTGAGGCCTTGGTCTCCTGGGGCCTCTTGGGACCCCCACCCCAACCTACTCCTTTTACCTCCAGGCAGGACAGACAAGACAAATGAGAATCTACCCAAGCACAAGCTGCTGTTGAAATAAAGGGAGAGATGTCTCTTTATAACTTTCCCCTTGAAATAAACCCAGACTTAAGAACAACAGAAACACGCAAAATGTGTTTTTAGTGGAACCCAGATGAAGGGCTGAAAGCCCAGAGGGCTCTCTCCATCTAGGGTTCTCCTCTTTGGAATTCTATCCTTTCCTCCCCACCCCCCTCAGGCACGTCCCCGCCCAACCTCTGGGCTGGGGCTCCTTGGCCTGGAGTAGGCTACCTCCAGCCATCCTGGCATTGCTTCCAGGTAGGCAGAGCACTCCGCCCACCATCACCCTCCAAACACAAGGCTGAGCCTGGCATCTAATGAGATCTGTGGTTTCAGAGATTTGGGGGACAGGAGTGGGGACCAGGACCAACTCAGTGCAAATACCTGGATCTGCTGAAATACAACAAAGAGAGAGTGAATTAAGACATCTGAAAAAAATACTCTAAGGAATTCTGCTCACCCACGTGGCCCACTGCTTCTCATTAAATAGTTGCAGTTCTCCATATTAACATATGCAAATCCAGCCCTGTGCAGGGGCTGGGGAGATACAAAGGCAAGTCCTTACAACCCCTTTCTCGCTCCCCTAAGTTTGGTGGAAGGAGTTCCCTGTGGGGTGAAGAACTCTCACAGGTTCCATTTCGATGCTTGAGAGTTGTAGCCATGGGATGCTCCTTCCCTGCGGGGAAACAGATGAGAGCAGTTTCAGGGAAAAACGAGGAAACTGATCTGTAGAGGCTGCATCTTCTAAGTTGTACGGGTCATTTTTCAACATTCCTGGATGCCCGCCATATGCCAGGAGCTTACCTTGGGTGCTGGATACACAAGAGATAACCAAGACATCGGGACTAGCATCAGATTGCTCATAGTCTAGTGGAGAAGAAGGAGAAGGAGAAGAAAATCAGATATTATAATTAAACAGCTGATGGAAGGTGCTGAGTTTGGTCATGGATGCATTGCCTCTGGGACCTCCAGGTGAAAATCATCGGATGTAGAGGGTCTGATGCTTAAGAGTAATTTTTAGGCAAGAAATGTAGATTTGGGGACAGATGAGCCAAGGTCAGAAGGTGCAGGGAATGAGGGGAGGATAGTATCAAGGAAAGAAGGAGGTGCAAGAACAAAGAAGGATTCAACAGGGTCCAACACCACCAGTAAGGACTAAAATGGGTTTCCCAGCAGCTTCATCAGGACATCACCCCTGCCCTTCGTCAGAGTGGTTTCAGTGGTGTTGTGGGGAAAGAGGCCAGGTGAGGAGGTCAGAGGAGACGGTGAGGGGAGAGGAGGCAGTGGGCAGAGCCAGAGGCAGGAGTAAGTGCCATAGAAGAGATGGGAGGACATGCATGTGCCCGCCTCACAAGGCCACAGCAGAGAGCCTGGGGCAGAGCAAGCCTTCAGCAGAGAGGAGAGGAGTTTTTTTCCTCCTCCCTTCTGCCCCTTCTAGAATAGTCAAAGGCCACCTTGGGTGAGGAAATGGCTAGAGAAAGGCACCCTTCTTCCAGTCATTCAGTAAACATTTATTGAACAGCTACTAGGTGCCAGTCTCAACACCAGGTGCTGAGGATACAGTAGACAGCAAGAGACACGGCCCCGCCTTCCTGTGTGGGAAGGTCTTCCACCCCATCCCACTTCTGAGTGGCTAACAATGGCCACAGGACACTCACAGCACAATTCCCACTGGGGCGCAGCCCAGGCAGGGGTGGGAAAGCATGTGGGGCTCATCTATGTCCTCTGGAGTTTCCCCTGGTCCCCAGTTCTTGGCCCGGTTTCTCAGAAGACTGCATTCCTACTAAGGATTTAGGGGATGTAATTTAAGCAGCAGCCCTTTGATGGTGGGGGTGGGAATATTGCATTTTCAGAGGCAACTCTTAAAGAACAGAAAGCTTTCCTGCCAGGATGGCTCTGGAATGACAGCAGAATGTCAAGCAGCTTAAGAAAATTGAGGGGAATTTTTTTTTTTTTCTGGAAGGGCATAAGTGGTCAGACATGATGGCTCATGCCTGTAATCCCAGCACTTTGGGAGGCCAAGACGGGAGAATTTCTTGAGGCCAGGAGTTTGAGACCAGCCTGGTCAACATAGCAAGACCCTGTCTCTACAAAAAAAAAAAAAAAAAAAAAAAAAAAAAGAATAGAAAAAATAATAATACTAATCAGACTTGGTAGTACACACCTGTAGTCCTAGCCCCTTGGGAGCTGAGGCAGGAGGATCACTTTGAGCCCAGGAGTTTGAGGCTGCAGTGAGCCGTGATCAGAAAGCCGGGGACGTACAGTGTCCTTTTGGCTCCCAAATCATTCAGATCCTGTTTTTCTATTTTGCTTCCTCCTTTTTTTTTTTTTTTTTTTTTTTTGAGATGGACTCTCGCTCTGTCGCCCAGGCTGGAGTGCAGTGGCGCCATCTTGCCTCACAGCAACCTCCGCCTCCTGGGTTCAAGCCATTCTCCTGCCTCAGCCTCCCGAGTAGCTGGGCCTACAGGCGCCCGCCACCATGCCCAGCTAATTTTTGTATTTTTAGTAGAGACAGTGTTTCACCGTATTGGCCAGGGTGGTCTCGAACTCCTGACCTCGAGTGATCTGCCCATCTCCGCCTCCCCAAGTGCTGGGATTACAGGCCTGAGCCACTGCGCCTGGCCTTCATTTCCTCTTAGCTGAGGTCCTTCCGGTCTGCAGATCTTCCTCCTGGCGGCCTCCACTCTTTTCCCTTTCCTGTTCCGTGTCTACCTTTCGTGGGGGAGAGAGTGGAGCACCGCACGGAAGAGGTGCCATGAGGACAGGGGCCGCGTCTGCTTCCCCAGCTCCTGGATCCCCGCCTGGCACACAGTGGGCCTTCAAGATGGATTCGTTGCCTGAAGGAAGTCAAGAAGCCAGGCTAGCGTTCCATTTTTCCTCTCCCTTCAAGGCCTGTGCAGGGAGGGCCTGGCTGCTGCCATGAAGGGGAAGAGAGCCCGGGACAGTGACTCGCCAAAGGGCCCCGGCCAAGGCCCAGCGCAGCAGGAAGGCCGGCCGCATCCTGTCGGAGCCGCACCTCTGGCTTTCGGCCGTGACACTGGGACCCAGGGAAGCCCTGGGATCTCCCCAGGGACCCTCCGACATGAGCCCTGTTCCATATGCCTGAAGAGCGGGGCCAGGAGGGAAGGAAGTGCCCAGACACAGGGAGACAGAGCATTAAAATTCCAGCGGCAGTTCCACGGGCAGGAGCTCGCGGTTCCTAACTGACCGTAAACCCTTTCTCCTGACAGCTCTTGGAATCCATCACTCCAGCCTCTCCCCGAGCAGCTGACACATCGCAGCAACGCTTCTCCAGAAGTCAGGGTCTGCTGACTCCGGCAGGGACGGGAAGGCAAGCGAGCGCGAGCAGCTGAAATGGCCCCTGTCTCCCCTGACTTCGGGGCCGAGGGCAGGCGGGCCGGGGAGGCCCATGGAAAGGGCTGTCAAGTGTAGCGCGATTCCCAGCCACAGCCCGAGAAGGTGGTTTGCTAACTGTCTGCCTCTGGGTGGAATTCTATTAACCTAGTGGGGGAAACTCGTTTTCTCCCCACTGAAAGCTCTGAGTGGTGTGTCACATATGTCTTTTATTAATAAAAAAAAAAAAAAAGAGAGAGAGAAAATAGAGTCATTATGACTGCATAATTACAGTTCATTTGGTAGGCCAGATCTTTCAAACCCGGGTGCTGGGGGTGCGGTGGAGGGGGGGGTGATAATAAAAGGGACCTTGATATGAACCGCTTGGGAACCACCTGTGTAGGAGGCAGTTCGGGAGCAACTCTCAAAAGGTGCAGTGGCTTGCAAGATTCAGAGCTGGCGTGGGCAGGGACACCCCTCTCAGAGCTAACACAGTGCACCGCAGCCCTGGCGCCAGCTCGGGGAATCAGGTGACCTTAAGCAAGGCCCTACCCTCCCAGAGTTTCTTTCTTTCTTTCCTTCCTTCCTTTCTTTCTTCCTTTCTCTCTCTTTCTTTCTTTCTTTTTCTTTTCTTTTCCTTCCTTCCTTCCTTTCTCTCTCTCTCCCCCTCCCTCCTTCCTTCTTTTCTCTTCTCTTCTCTTCTTTCTTTCTTTCCCTTCCTTCCTTCCTTTCTTTTCTTTCTTTCTTCTTAAAGTTAAGGTGTATAGACTTAACTGCCCTATAGTTATGTTTCTTTTCTCTTTCTTTCTTTCTTTTTTTTTTTTTTTTGAGACAAAGTCTCACTCTGTCACCCAGGCTGGAGTGCAATGGCACCATCTCGGCTCACTGCAACCTCTGCCTCCTGGGTTCAAGCAATTCTCCTGCCTCAGCCTCCCAAGTAGCTGAGATTACAGGTGTGCACCACCACACCCAGCTAATTTTTGTATTTTTAGTAGAGACGGGGTTTCACCATGTTGGCCAGGCTGGTCTTGAACTTCTGACTTCAAGTGGTCTGCCCGCCTCAGCCCCACAAAGTGCTGGGATTACAGGCGTGAGCCACCGCGCCCGGCTAGGAAGGCTACTTTTTAAGATGCTAACCTATCTCAGCTCTAGGACTTGGAATAGAGCTTTAAAGGAGCGATCTTGTGCTCCTGGGAGTCAGCAGAGTGGTAGCAAATATCAGAGGGAAAGTCCCCTCTTTGTTTCCACACAGAAGTGGCGTTCTGGAGGCCAAGTTCAGGCCACATTGTCAGCCACCCCTCCCAGCTACAGTTTCTCCTTCCAGTATTCTTTTGAGTCAAAACTTTGGAACATTTCTGTGTTTCTTTTCATGAAGAAGATATTTTACTTATAATACCTGTAAGAAAATAGAGCCAAGATTAAACATAGAGAACCTCCCTCTTCAAACATGAGGGAGAATCCCTAGAAAATGGGCTAGGACTCATGGATGGGACCTTCATGACTTATTCTGCGGATGACAGATCCTATTACTGGTCCGTCTGCCAGCACCACCAGGGGCAGCCACGCCAGCCGGAGAGTCACACAAGATGGGGTCTGTTTCCTGGCTCAGCAAGGGAGAAATGTACATCCCTCACCTCTGGGCCTCTAATGAATTCTGATTCAAGCTGAACAGGCCTAGGAATCGATAGTTTTAATCATTTCAAAAACTGGACCCACTCTGGGTAAAATTACAATGCGTAAGAAGCTCAATGGAGCTTAAAGGCCACAACCTCATCATCATTTCATTAGACTCACATTTCAGCAAGATAGAAAGAAACGTTCTCACACACCGCCCCCTCCCACAGCTCCCCTGTCCTCCCCAGCCCTGTGTAGTCATGCTGGAGGACAGCGATGGTTTACAGCAGCCGTCAGCCACCACAGCCACCGGCCCCCTCCCAGCGTGCGCTCCGCCCCGGAGGAAGCTCAGCGCAGTCGCTGGAGACCTCCGTGCAAATCAGTGCCTATGCCTCCCAAGACAAGTTTGCAGTCCTGGGAAGTTTAGGAAAAACAACCCTGCTGTCAGTGTGGCTTCTCACAGCTGGAGGGGTCAAGTTATCAACACAGTATAAACCCAGGCCAGCAGAACCTTGTCCCACCCGGGGCCCCAGACGCCCTCTGGGAAGCAAAGAGTTTGAAAATGTCTTAAGCTTTTCCAGTTTGTTTATTTTCCGATGTTTAATGATATTGTCCATGCAAGGAACAGAACCCCAGCTCCTGCTAACAATTAAAGAGGTTTTCTAATTTAGGAGAGAATGTGATTTTTTCAAAAAGGGAGAAAACTTGCACAGGAAGTAAAGCAAATACTCCACATTGAGAACATGCATGCAGAAAAGCCTAGCGTCAAGAAGACCCTGACTGCCTGGTGAACATATGGAATGAAAACTGTTCAGGGCGGCTGACCCAACGAGGAGGCAACATCGGAGGAGGCTGGCAAACGTCTGCTGGACCTTACTGCACCGCTGCCACCACCAGACTGTTTCATGACTGTGGCTTGTATCTGTGACCCCAGACCTCACCATCCATAGGTCCAGATGGGCTCCCATCGGTGAAATGACCAGAATTCACTGTGCTTGTTTCTGTCTGCTGTAGGCTTACTCTGACTTGGAGGACCTCTTGGGAGTGCCCCGCGTGTGTTCGTGAACAGGACTGTCAGCGAGAGTCCCTCTCCCCACGCGGCTCTGCGCTGATGTCGTGCTGCCACAGTCACTCCAGGGTCACCTCGTTTGCTGGCCTGCCCTGTGGGAACGCTGCCACCCATACCCAGGGCGTTGCCTTTTGAAGACCCCAAAACTGCAGTGCCTGAGGCTCCAGAACAGGGCTGTTGGCCTCATGCCCTCAGCACACAGGAGCCTCCCTGTGTCCTGGGGTGTCCTCTCCACTCTGTCATATGCTGTCAACTGGACACCCTAGAGGACTGACCTCCCTGAGTCTCGCAGGGTAGTGAGGTGGGATGGGGGGTGAGGTATGTTTCTCTCTACTTCCCTTTCCTTCCATCCACTGCCAGTAGACATTTGTGCCCCACACTTTTCCAAACCCAGCAGACTAGGAAACGGTTGAGGCTAAAATTAGGATCCCTACTCCGTGTCCTCAGACCAGTGGTTCCCCACCTTGGCTGCGTATTAGAATCACCTAGGGAACTTTAAAAAAACTCTATTTCCTAGGCCATACCTCGAACCATGAAATCAGAATCTTTGGGCATCAGTAATTTTTAAGTCTCCCTGGGCAATTTCAACGTGCAGCCAAGGTTGAGAACCACTGCCTTAGAGGAAGGAAAGGAAGGAGGCAAGGAAGGGAGGAAGTAGGGGTGGTGGGAGGGAGGACAAGGCCAAAACTGGAAGCCCTTTCCCTGTGATGGAAGAAAACTGACGTGAGCCAGACCTGGTGCCACACCCCGGGACACACACCGAGAAAACCCAGTGAATCTTCTGCCAAGCCTGCCGGTGACTCGGGGTGCTGTTGTCAGTATCTTTTTTCAGCTGAGTCAACACATCGGGAGAGCCGAAGAAGACAAACACAGGGCGACTCGCCGCTGATGACTTTCCACTTCATACCTGGTGGCATCCGAGATGCCCAAAGGGAGGAGGCCTTGTCAGTGGCGACAGCGGAGACAGACAGAACCCTACACTTGATGGGATGTCGGGAGAGCGTCCAGTCTAGCCCTGTGTAGATTTCTGAACTACCCAAGACTGCTGGCCATCTGTCCCAAGAACAGGTGTGACCAGGAACCAGCCTCTGTTAGCTAGGAACACAGAGTCTGTTCATTCATTCATTCGTTCACTCACGCATTCGCCTAATCACAGCTCAGCATGGCAGAGCCGTGAGTAGGGGCCCTCAGATACCACATGCAGCTCGGCGCTTCCCAAGCTTTGTTTTTAGTTGAGGAATGCTGGGTTTAAGTGAAACCGTATGGAGGCATAAACAAATACAAGAGAGCCGCTCCAGCTAAAGCAGGGGAGGGGGCCCTGCGCCCGGCCCACTTGCCTCCCTTCCACTAAGGGGGCTTCACCAGATTCTCCTGTTTCAAGGAGAAATAGAGTTTGGAAACCTCTCATTTTATAAACGAGGACACTGAGGCACAAAGCAGGGTAGTTGGTGCCTTGCCTAAAGTCATACAGATTTCATGTAACAAATTGTGCTGGCTAGGTATGGGAGGATGCAGAGCTCACAGCACAGATGAATACCTCCATCGCAAAGGCTGAACCAAATGCCCCGTTAAATCAAGAGATCTGCCTCTCTCAGCTTTGTTTTCTGAAGAAATCCCTTCCCAGGGTTCTTCCCCAGCATGCGGCACTCAGGGAGAACCACAACCTTGTCCTCTAGGGCCCAGCAGGTGTAATGTTCAGTGGGCATGCGCTGGTGCAGCATACTGCCAGCATCCACGCCGGTGTCCTGGGGGTTTACCTGATTGTTAACTATTTTAAAGATCACACTTGGATCCCACTACCAATGTTTCCAAAGTACAAGTAAGAGCCGGACGCGGTGGCTTATGCCTGTAATCCCAGCACTCTGGGAGGCCAAGATGGGCAGATCATTTGAGGTCAGAAGTTCGAGACCAGCCTGGCCAACATGGTGAAACCCCGTCTCTACTAAAAATACAAAAATCAGCTGGATGTGATGGCAGGTGCCTGTAGTCCCAGCTACTCAAGAGGCTGAGGCAGGAGAATCACTTGAACCCGGGAGGTGGAGGTTGCCGTGAGCCAAGATAACACCACTGCACTCCAGCCTGGGCAATAGAGCGAGACTCCTTCTCAAAAAAATAAAAATAAAAGCAAAATGTGACTAAGAATCAGACAGTAACAGAAAATATCAGTAACAAAAGAGTCCACACCTGCCTTTCTCATTGCTATTATTTGATACCAGAACTACCTGAAATCTTTCAGAAAGAGGGAAGAGCATTCTTTTCCTGGGAGCTTTCTAGGTGCAGACTTCCGCTCATAGCTGACAGTGCACAATGGGCAAAGAGTGACCAGGCTGACTTCTTCTTCTTCTTCTTTTTTTTTTGAGATGGAGTTTTGCTCTTGTCGCCCAGGCTGGAGTGCAGTGGTGTGATCTTAGCTCACTGTAACCCACGCTTCCCGAGTTCAAGCGATTCTCCTGCCTCAGCCTCCCAAATAGCTGGGATTACAGGCACCCGCCAACACGCCCAGCTAATTTTTGTATTTTTAGCACAGACGGGGATTCACCATGTTGGCCAGGCTGGTCTCGAACTCCTGATCTCAGGTGATCCTCCTCAGCCTCCCAAAGTGTTGGGCTTACAGGCGTGAAACACCGCGCCTGGCCTATGCTGTCTTCTGGAGATGGACTGAAGGCCACACCAGGCCTCGGGACACAGCCTGAGGGCTTCAACCCCTGGGAAGGGATTTCTTCAGAAAACAAAGCTGAAAGAGGCAGGTCTCCTGATTTAACGGGGCATTTGGTTCAGCCTTTGCGATGGAGGTATTCACCTGTGCTGTGAGCTCTGCATCCTCCCCTACCTAACCAGCACAATTTGTTACATGAAATCTGTATGACTTTAGGCAAGGCACCAACCACCCTGCTTTGTGCCTCAGTGTCCTCGTTTATAAAATGAGAGGTTTCCAAACTCTATTTCTCCTTGAAACAGGAGAATCTGGTGAAGCCCCCTTAGTGGAAGGGAGTTCCATCCCTGCCCCTTCCACTTGCTGACAGTCTGCATGTGGCGGGGGCACGCGTTTCTCTAATCCACAGTGTACGTGTAGTGGGTGCTGTCCCCCCCAGGAACCACCCTTGGCTGAAGGGAGCCGTCTTGCCTGGGTTTCCCCCTCCCAGAGGGCACAAGGATCCCATCGCCTCAATGGGGGCACATCTTAAAAGGGCCACCCAAGCTTCAGCACACCAGCCTCGCTGCCGTTCAGCCTTTCCTGTGCCAGCCTGCCTTCATGACTCCCCAGCGGGGCTGCTCCGTGAGTGCTCCCAGTTACCCTGCATGCCGACAGCCCATGAGTGCTCCCAGTTACCCCGCACACCCAGAGCCTGCGTTTTGAGAACCTGGCCCAAAGCAGTACTCAACCACAAAACAGGGGCAGATTCCTACCTCTCGGCTACGGTGAGGGTTAAGTGAGCACACTGCTCACATGAAATTTCCTCTCCAACGCAGCGCCTGGACTATAGTAAATGAGCCATACATACTTGTTCATTTCCTCCCTCTCTCCATTCTTTCTTCCCCCAAGTGTGTTTATAGTCTTTATTGTGAGTGTTCTCTATCCTTGGAGAGAGACATCTGGCTCTCTGTTCATTGGCAGAACTGAAGTGATTGACACACTCTAAACCTAGTAAGTGTCTCATCCCTTTCTGACATACAATTGTTTATGTAGCTGTGCTCACTCCTCATACCAACACACACACACGCACACACACACACACGTACAGACACACACACGCACACACATGCCCACAAGTGGTATTGCCGAATCCTGCAGTCTTTGTAGTTTCACAAACATCCAAATCTTGACACCACTGCCACAACACACAGAGAACTGCTTGTGTGGAGACCTGTATGCCAGGTGCTGTGAGACATCCCAGGAGGGAGAAGCTCATTTTCCAATGATGGAATCAAGGAGGGCTTCATGAGAGAGGTGACATTTGTCATGGGCTTTGAAGGCTGCATAGAAATCCAGCAGGCAGAGGGGTGGGAGTGGCTTTCCAAGCCAAGGGAACTGTGGAGTTGGGAAAACACAAAGCATGTCTAGGCAAATCCTCCAGTCTAACTGAAGATAAAGCTTCAAGAGGAGGATGAGAGGGAGGAGCCAAGGGTGGGAAGGTAGTTTGTGACTTGACTGGGTGGGGCCTTGAGTGCCAAGCTGAGGCCAGAAGTAATGAGATTCTACTGACAATTTCTGAGAGGTGGAGGGAGAGCTTTTGGAAGGTCAGTCATGGAGATGATTGAATGAAAAAGATACTGAGGTCAGGCCAGACGCGGTGCCTCATGCCTGTAATCCCAGCACTTTGGGAGGCCAAGGTGGGTGGATCATATGAGGTGAGGAGTTCGAGACCAGCCTGGCCAACATGACAAAACCTTGTCTCTACTAAAAATAGAAAAGGTAACTGAGAGTGGTGGCACACACCTGTAGTCCCAGCTATTCGGGAGGCTGAGCTAGGAGAATCGCTTGAACCCAGGAGGCAGAAGTTCTAGTGAGCCGAGATCACGGTGCTGCACTCCATCCTGGGAGACAGAGCAAGACTCCATCTCAAAAAAAAAAAAAAAAAAAAAAAAAAAGGAAAGATACTGAGGTCAGAAAAACAGTGAGGAGGCCGTGGTAACAGACAGAGCTAGCAAGGACCCCCCTCCTGGAGAGGGGATTGGTAGACCAGGAGAACAGGAGGAGTCTCAGGATAAGAATGTGAGCATCCACCCCTTCCAGATCACCACTACCACGAAAACCTTCAGGGGCAGCTGTGCACATACCCCCAGCTCATCATCTGAGAACGGGTGCCAAGTGAACTCCATCTCCAGAAATTGTTTGGGGAAGTGAAAGAGGAAACCGAACTCAAAATAAGGGTGCCTGACTCACTGTCTCTCAGTGACCATGTGCAGAAAAATCCTCTGAGCCTGCCACCAGCCACCTCCTCTGTCCACACCTTACTTCACAGGAATTCAGACACCAAGAGGGAGTCCCACACACGAAACACCTGGAGACGTGAAGAAACAGACTCAGCCCTACCTCCCTCCTCCCTCGCTGCGAGGTCTTGGGCAATCACTGACATATTTCCGGGCCTCAGTTTTCTCATCTATAAAATGATAATAATAACCAGCACTACCCATTTGTGGGACTTTTATGAGATCAAATAGCCCAATAAACTCGAAAATGCTTAAAGCTCTTTGGAAGAAATGCAAGTGTAATTGTTGAAGTTGTTATGTCATTGGATATTACTATCGCCACTACCGCTATAAACTTGCATATCTCTTTTCTCTGAAGAGGTCAAATGCTGTTCATGGTGTTCTTCTTTCATGAATAATTTCCAAACACCTCCTCTTGTTTACAGGTGGGCCCTACACGAGAAGGTTCCACAGATACTGCCTGCCTAAAGTGGATCTTGAGTCAGATCCTACGAAAGCCAGAAGGAGGGCATGGCTGAGAGTACCTCGGAGAGGCAGAAAAAGGGGAGCTGACTCAACACTGCTCTGTTGGGAAGGTGCGGTGTCCCGGGGAGGGAAAGGCAGGTGACTCAAGGTGAAACTTTCTGGACACAGAGGAGCTGGGATCTCTCATCCAATTCATGCAAATCCTTGGCTGCCTCAACCCAGATCCCACCCCTCCCCATACGAGGCTACCTTCTGGTCTCACTGCCTTGAAATCTAACAGTGCAGCCAACGTGACTCACCAACCATGTGGCTTGCAAACATCACTAAGCTTGTCTCATTTTCCTCATCTGTAAAATGGTTTAATAATCTCTGAGCTGCCTGCCTTCCAGGGCTGATGTGGGGAGGAGGAACCCATGGGCTGAGGATGTAAGAATGCTTTGGTGACTATGAGGTGTTGTATCAAGGTAAAGGGTTGTTGAGGGAATGTTTTAAGATGATTTCTGGGTCAGGCGCGGTGGCTCACACCTGTAATTCCAGAACTTTGGGAGGCCAAGGCAGGTAGATCACCTGAGGTCAGGGGTTCGAGACCAGCCTGGCCAACATGGTGAAACCCTGTCTCTACTAAAAATACAAAAAATTAGCCAGGCGTGGTGGCAGGCACCTATGATCCCAGCTACTCGGCAAGCTGAAGCAGGAGAATTCCTTGAACCCGAGAGGCAGAGGTTGCAGTGAGCCAAGATCGCGCCATTGCAATCCAGCCTGGGCAACAGAGTGAGACTCCGTCTCAAAAAAAAAAAAAAATGACTTCTGGCTTGAGGGTGGTGGTGGTGGTGGCGACTGGAGGCTGCTCTGGAGTGGTTAGGGGAGATGTTGGGGGAATCCCAGGAAGCCAGACCCAAAGTTCCAAAGTAGGGAGAATTCTCTTGAACATAGGTTTAAAGTATCTCTTAGTATTCTGGTACAAAGTTCCTTCTTCCCCCAAAAAGCAAATCACAAGACCAGGACAATGTGTGGGGATCACGATCTTCCGGCAGCCCACAGCTTGGCTGTTGCACTCTTCCTGAATGCCTCTGGACTTTCTAGACAGAGGCACGGAGCTGGTCTGGGACAGTCCCTCCAACCAGACTCTGATCACACCCCCAAACTCAAGCCCACCAGGCTGACTGATGTTGACTTCTACCAGTTGAAGGCCATCCTTAGCCACACTTTCCCTCCTTGGTGTAGTGGCCATAGACTCCGGAACTAGACTGTCTGGGTTCAAACCCCAGGTTTACTAATAGCCAGCCATGTGTGCTCTTGGGCAGGTTATTAACCCTTCTGGGCCTTCACTTCCCCATCTGTATTTGTGGCTAATAGGGCCCATCTCATAGCCTTGTTTTAAGAGTTAAATGTATTAACAAAGTGTTTAGCACAGTGCTTGCCACTAAATAAGCACTATTTCTGTACTGGCTCCTTCTGCCAAGATTGAGCTGAAGGTCTGTTTTTTGTTTTTGTTTTTGTTTTTGTTTTTGTTTGAGATGGAGTCTCGCTTTGTCACCAGGCTGGAGTGCAGTGACGTGATCTCGACTCACTGCAACCTCCACCTCCTGGGTTCAAGCGATTCCCCTGCCTCAGCCTCCTGAGTAGCTGGGACTACAGGCACGCATCACCACGCCCAGCTAATTTTTTTGTATTTCAGTAGAGACAGAGTTTCACCATGTTGTCCAGGATGGTCTTGATCTCTTGACCTCATGATCCACCTGCCTTGGCCTCCCAAAGCGCTGGGATTACAGGCATGAGCCACCACACCTGGCCTTAAGGTCTGTTTTTGAGAGGCCTCTGTGACTGCTTTCTGCTGTATTGCCTTCCTCCACAGTTGCCTTTTTTCCTTGTCATGTTGGTGCTTCCTGGTCACACAGAAGCAGAGAGCCAGCATTCATCCTTCTTGGGAACTCTCGGTCCTCTCCTCTTGCCTGGGTTTGAGATCCTCCTTTACAAAGTCATGTCCCTCTCATCATTCAAAACTCTGCTCAGTACCTATGTCCTTCATGAAACATGGTAGTGGTGGCCATAGTGGGAGAAGCATAAACTCTGGGATCAGACAGACCTGGGTTTGAATCCAAGCCTAACTTGTCCCACCAGCTGGGTGACCTTGGGCAATTACTTTACCTCTCTTAGTCTCAATTTCCTTACTTGTAACATGAGGTAAGTATCTCTTCCTCATGGATGAAGATGAGGATGACGCCTGAGGCAGTGATGGCACATAATAGGTGCTCAACAAATGTTACTCTTCCCTCCTCTCAACCTTGCTCTGATAGCAGTTTCTTCTCTCTCCTCCAGCCCTTAACAGCATCTTACAGCCTCAGTAAGAGGTGGAAACATACATACACACTGTGTGTATGTTCTTAGATATTTATCATGTGTTGGCTCTTCTTTCATTCATTCAACATTTATTAGGCATTTGCTATTTGTCTGATGCTCTGCTAGGCCCTGGGGAAGACTAAGACTGAATCTTTTCCCTGAGGAGCTCACAGAAAATTGAGAGGATCATCCTAAGGTCAGGAGTTCGAGACCAGCCTGGCCAACGTGGCGAAATCCTGTCTCTACCAAAAAAATATGAAAATTACCCGGGTGTAATGGCAGGCGCCTATAGTCCCAGCTACTTGGAAGGTTGAGGCAGGGAGAATTACTTGAACCCGGGAGGTGGAGGTTGCTGTGAGCCAAGATCATACCACTGCACTTCAGCCTGGGTGACAGAGAGAGACTCCGTCTCAAAAAAAAAAAAAAATTTGAGAGGATCAAATATATGTATGTTTAGATAATCTCAGAGTCTACGGTCAGTGTTCTAGTGGGGGGCGTGTCTGCACGGCACTTTCGATGACAGCATATGGTGCAACTAACAAGGCTCCTTTCAGCAGTCAAAGGCCTTCAGTTCAACTCAGCCAGTGTTGACTGGGCCCCTGCTGTGTGCCAGGCACTCTACTAGGTACCAGGAGTTCAGGATGAAGAAGACAGTGCTTCCACCCTCAAGGAGTGCAGGATCCGGTAGGAAAGACAGACAGAGGATATAAGGGTCACACCGTGTGGACAGTGCCTCTATGCCCAGGTGTGGTCATGCAAGAGGGAGACAGCTAAGTGTGAGGGGTAAGGATGACTTCCTGGACAAGGTGGCATCTAAGACTTGGAGGACAAGTAGGAATTGGCTAACAAAGGAGGGACAGAAAGTCCTTCCAGGTGGAGGGAAATAGTCTGGGAGGAGTCAGGCCGGGCCTGGGGCTCAGGGGATTAAAGGTAGTTCCGTAAGGTTGGACGCATGCACAGGGAGCTTGGAGCCTCCAGCAAGATCCTCTTTTCTTCTGTTTCTGTCCCCAACACCCTTTCCCTGCTCACATCCCTCAGCCCCAGCTCCAGAAGACCCCTTTTCTAGAGGCTTCAGCCTCTCTGATGCTAAAACCTATCCTACCTTGGGGGCTATGCAGCCCAGGCTCTTCCGGAGGGACAGAGAAGCTGTGGAAGGAAAACGGGATGGGGAGCTGAGAGTGGGCAAGAAAGAGGAGAAGTCCCCACCCCTCCATGCAGGGACACTGACCAGCGTCCAGGGTGATCCCTGTATTGGGTCACTGCATACTCGTGGCGACAGCTGCTGGGTGTCAGGAGAGATCCTGCTTCCTTGGCTGAGGCCTCCCCACCCCAGCGCCTGCTCACCTGTTCTGTGCTAAGCCTCCACACGTCCCCTCCTCCTGCCAAATCAGTTTCCGCTAATTAGGTCAAGGTGAAGGTTATCTCCCCTCCCTGGAGTTTGACCTTGCAGCCAGCAGCCCAGGAGAGTTCTGGCACACCCCATATTTGCCAGGGGACATGTGGGCAGTTACCACACTCACGTGCACACATGCGCACACCCCCTCCCACACGCCAGCTCACAGTACCCACGCTCACACACAGACACTCACACCACTTACCCACGCATCTGCTTAGAGACACACTTGCACGCACGCCAGAGGGCCCAGCTTGCCTCTGCTCTATAAGCTCCCTTGGGAGAGAAGCAGACCTCCAGAAGGTTCTGGGCCTCCAGCCCAGGGATGTCAAGCCCCATGCCAGAGAACCCTCCTATCTCTTGCTGAGAGGTTACCAAAGGGTTAAGAGAGAACATTTCCAGGGAGTTTGCCTCTTAATCAACACAGTTAATTCTTTTCCTTTTACAAATATAAATTCTTGGCAGTCAGTAACCAAGAAAGAAAGGAGAAAGAAAAAAAACTTAACCCAACATTAGTCAAATCTTTGCCTCTTCCTATTTTTTTTCAAGTTAAGACCCAGAGGAATTCAAAGCAATGAGACAAATCCCAGCCCAGATGGAATGTTTTTGCTAATATACGTCTGCAAGTTATTTAAATGTATGTTTAAGTGTGTGTGTGAGAGAGCGAGAGAGAGAATATGAGAGCAGGCAAGCATGGTTGAGCGGTGTGTGTGCATGTGTGTGCCTCTGTGTGTGTGCATGTGTGTGCCTGTGTGTGCATGCATGTGTGTGCATGTGTGTGCGTGTGTGTGCACACATGTGTGTGGCTAGAGCACACAGCAGAGCAGAGGAGCCACCAGAATCCCTGCCTGAGCCCCAGCTACCCTCTGGCCCTGGCTCTCTGGTCTGGACCTGGAGCAATACAAGGCCATTGCCCGGAAGGCTGTCCTTGTCCCTCAACATGGGGTCTTCTGGGACAATAGCCCCTGTTTCTGCCCCTCAGCCCCAAGGTGGCCTCAGTGACACATTCTGCTAAGGAAAACCCACCCACCATACGCATGTCTTGCCCTCGTTTCCTGCTTAGCCAGAAGGTTTGGGGCTGGAGTTTCCAGGCCTGGAGGAGAGGGATAGTTGAGAGGACCAGGCTCCATGGCACAGAGCTGCTCCCCACACCCCGCCTCCAAGAGTGGACCTGCCTGGACTTGAAATCTGGGCTTAGACTGTGTTCCTGGCCTCTCTCTATCTCCTCTCAGACCTCTCTCAAGATCTTCAGCCCCCTGTGGTATTCCCTCTCACCCCAACAGAATCCCCCATGGATGACAGGGTCAACCCTTACCCACGGACTGCACCTCAGCAGGACTCCCCACCCCCTGCCCCTAGAAGCACCCTCAGTTGGGTTCAGGGTGCAGGGGCCTTGCAGACAACCCCTGAGCTCCCCACCTGCCCCTAGCTCCCTCTCGTCTGCTCCCTTCTGAGTTGACTTTAATTCTTTTAATCTTTCCTCTGAAATCGCTCCTCTGGCCTTGCCATCAGCTGTGTGGGTTCCAACTTCCTGATTTCCATAGGGAGATTAAACAGCTTTCTCCATCCAAGGCAGTTTGGATGTCCGGGCCACCCCCTGGGCTGGCTAGACCCCTCTCTGCCGAGGGGGCTGCTTTCGCTCTTTTGAGCCCTGGCCCACCCTGAGTCCCGGGCCTTCCACATGGAACTTCCCATGCCCCCTCCCTGCCCTGCCCCACCGAGAGATTCCCGCCCTCCCATGTCTTCCCTTTCACAGAGGCCTCTCAGCATCTCGAACCAGGCCCAGAGCCTGGAGTGCACGACTTCCTCCATCAACAGCTCCTGGGAAGCAGGCAGGCGGGGAACAGGGTCTGGGATCCGCAGAGAGGATCCCCTGCCTGGCTACTGTCCCCTTGCCCCAGCCCCTCTCCAGGCTTCTCTGCTCCTTCCACCACTCGTGCCCTCCGAGGTCCTTTTCTGAGCATGGGGCCATCCGCCGTCTGTGCTGGCTGCTGAGGGGACAGGACTCACCAGCTCTCAGTGTCATCTGCTCTGCTCTTCTGTGGGTGCCAGCTCAGGACCTGGTGCTCAGCTGAGCCTGGCAGGAGACAGAGCAAAGTGGAGTCAGGTTCAGGGGACTAAGTGGGAAGGGAGTTTGGGGAGGGGCACAGAGAGGGTGTCCAAGGGAAACTAGAAATGAGGCTTTTTTTTTTTGAGACGGAGTTTCACTCTTCTCACCCAGGGTGGAGTGCAGTAGCGCAGTTTTGGCTCACAGTAACCTCCACCTCCCACGTTCAAGTGATTCTCATGCCTCAGCCTCCCAAGTTGCTGGGATTACAGGTGCATGCCACCACACCCGGCTAATTTTTATATTTTTAGTAGAGACAGGGTTTCATCATGTTGGCCATGCTAGTCTCGAACTCTTGACCTCAGGTGATCTGCCTGCCTTGGCCTCTCAAAGTGCTGGGATTACAGGCGTGAGCCACCACGCCCAGCCTACAAATGAGTTTTGTATGGCATGTCATTTGAACTTGCCCTGAAATGTAGCTAGGGGATGGAGGAAGCTGAGATCTGACTTCAACATGGGAGGAACAGTTGCTTAGAAAGGAATCTCTGAGGCAGAAAAGGGGAAAGAAGACCTTCTGTGGAACGTGTCCTGGAATGCCACCTTGTCAGGGCTATGATTTGCCTCTGAAATGAGTGGGGTCCTGGGGCCTCCACGCATGGACACCAGCTTCCCAAGGCCTAAAGATGCCAGATGGACTCTTGGGTCTGTCCTAGACCGAGGGCTTCTGGGAGTCCCTGAATCTCCTGACATTGTGTGCAAAGTATTGTGGATCTGGGCAGCATTACGGGGCTTCATTCATGTTCTCAAAGGGTCTCTCACCTCAAGAAGCTAAAAACCACTATGCTGGAGGTTAACACAAAGGTGACCCTTGAGGCTGGCCAGAGTGACCCAAAGGTCACGCCACAAGTGGGCCAGAGTGGCACCAGATGACTTCTGGCTGAAACAAGTAGACCGGGTCAGGCTCAGGCAGTCACATGAGACACATCTCATTTCTAGATGTGGGGAGAGATTCTGGAGATGACCTTGGCTCCTGGAGATGGCATCTTAAAGCAGATCTCTGCCAGGCGAGATCCCGTGGCCCATGGGACACACCTTCACTGGGCCTGAGCTGTCTGTCGGCTTCATCTACTGGGACACTGGCAGGTATTCACAAGTGAGACGGCAAAGGTGACCCACGGTGGGCCCCGGGTCTTCCAGTGTCAGTGAAATGTGCACAGAAGGGTCTGGGCCTATACCTTTCACAATGTGTATGAAGGTCATCTGTCTCCGAGGGAAAACAGTGGCCAGTCTCCAAGGAGCTATGAGTGTGCCCAGCGCTGATGTGGGCAGCTCAGGGGATCAGAGACAGGGCGGGGAGGTCATTAACGCCAAGGAAGCAGAGCTGCGTAGTGAAAGGCCCTCAGCCCACCTCCACACTAGCCTCTCTGCGCCGCAGTTCCCTCCTGGGGGAGGATGGAGCTGGCCTGCAGGGTTTCTGAGGGCCCCTTCAGTGCCACCATCCTAGGTTTTAAGAAATGTCCCTCCTGGCCGAGCGTGGTGGCTCATGCCTGTAATCCCAGCGCTTTGGGAGGCCGAGGCAGGTGGATCACCTGGGGTCAAGTGTTCGAGATCAAGCCTGGCCAACATGGTGAAACCCCATCTCTACTAAAAACACAAAAAATTAGCCGGGCGTGGTGGTTCATGCCTGTAATCCCAGCTACTCAGGAGGCTGAGGCAGAAGAATTGCTTGAACCCGAGAGGCAGAGGTTGCAGTAAGCCGAGATTGTGCCACTGTACTCCAGCCTGGGCGACAAGAGCTAGACTCCATCTCAAAAAAAAAAAAAAAGAAATGTGTCCCTCCCACTCCCTGGGCTCCTGTTTGGGGGGTGGGAAAAGTAGAGATTATCCAAAAGCCACAGAAATTTCCCAGCCCTCTCCCCACTGCACTTCAGGACCACCCACCCAGGACCTGCCCTGGGCTCCCTCCTCCCAGAAAGTCAATTTCCCTACAAAGGAGGCTGGGGAGCGAGAAGGGCTTTCTGCTTTCTCTTTTGGTTTGCTTGTTTGCTTGCTCTCCCGCTCACATTGTGCATATGCAGGGGACTAGCTGGTTCTCTCGGTCTCGTAAGAGGAAGAGTGGTGACCCTGGCTCAGATAGGTGTGGAAGGAGCATCCTAGCACCGAGGGGCATTGGCTGCTGAGCCAGACAGGGGGCAGGGTGTGCACTCTCCTCTGGGCCTGCAGAGGCAAAGTCCAGTCTTTGCTGTTCTAGAACAGACACACTGCAGTCCTGGATAACCCCCTAAGCTCTCTTTCTAGAGCCTGATGGCTGCAGAATGTTTTCTCCTGGCCAATGCGTGCCTGTGTAGTTTATATACATGTGCGTATGTCTGTAGATATGTGTGTATAAATATAGATAGACGGATATAAATCAAGGGTTTAGGAGGTAGGCGGCGGCGCTGACGGCAGCCAAGCCACTGCTAGTTCTTCCAAGAGGGCAGCTCGGGTGTCTCCCTGCACTCCTCTCCCGTCATTTCCGCCTGTGGCTCCTGGTTCCCACTCCCAAGCGTCAAGCTGTCATCATCACCAACTCCTCCCTCACTTCCCCCCACAGGCAGGCTGTTGCTATATCCTCACTCATTCCTCCGCAGCAACTCTGAAATCTGTTTCTTTCTGGGTCTCACCCGCTCCCTCAGCAGCCCCCTCATCGTGTCCCCATCTCTCTTTCCGCATCTCCTTGCCTCCTGGCCTCTGTTTCCTTGGCTTCTCATTCTCTTTGACTCTGAGCTCGTCCATCACCCTGACCCGCTCCTCTGTGCATATTCTAGGGACACACCGAACTCCCAGCCCCCTCTGGATCCTGTTCTCCTTCCCTTCACTCTGCCTCTCTCTCTGTCTTGTGTGTGTTTCTCTCTCTCTCTCTATTCATCTCTGTGTCAAGTACCACAGCCAGGCACTTTCGTTGGGGAGGGTGCATTTCTAACCTCCTTTTTTCTAGCCTCACTGTCAAGTGCACGTTTGTCCTGGCCTGGGCTCCGAGCAGGGGCAGCACAGGGAGAACGGCCCCATGGTTCCACCTCACCAGCTGTGAGAACCCGTGGGCCTGGGGAAGAGCAGCTGGGCCAGGAACCAGTGATGCAGCCCTCTCTGTGACGGAAACAAGACACAGGCCTGGCTCATTTGCATGTCAGGTCTCTTTTACATAAATCTGCATGTCAAGCTGGAGGCCCTGGAGCCAGGTAATGCAAAGTGATGCAAAATAAATTAATCAGTGTGCCCTGCTGCAGGTGTAAGCCAGCCCTTTCTTCCAACTGACAGAGCAAAGCCAGATGAGCTGGTGTTCTTATAAGGCTGGAGGTGGAGGGTGGGGTGGGGCAGGGTGCTGGCCCTGAGCTGCTCCACCTACCAGCCCCACTCCAGAGTGGCTCTAAGACAGAGGATGGGCCCCGGTGGCTGACCAGGGCCATGAAGCCTGCCAGCCTGAAAGGGGGGATTAAGGCTCACCTCTTCCCATGGGGAAACTGAAGTGCAGGAAGTGGGGGAGGAACTTTTCCAAGGTTACCCAGCTGCCTATGGCTGTGCCAGATCAGAAGCGTACACTTTGGCTCTCAGCAAAGTAACCTTCCTGCTTCTTACTACTGGCTAGAAGCAGGTGAATTTTACCACTTCATTTGAGCATCTCCAGCGACTTTGGGGGATCAGAGATGAGACTCTTCCCTTCTCCTCCAGCCCAGCCTTCAGGGAGCACTGCCCTGACTCTAACCACTTTGGGATGCCCTCCAGCCCTTCCTGGCCCACACACAGGGCCCTGCTTCCCCTTTAGGAAAAGGCGAAGTGTGAAGGAGCTACTAGTAGATTTTCCAGCCTCTGGAAAGTGTGACTTCTGGGCTTCTCTTGGATTAGGAAATGGCTCATGAAAGTCCAAGGCTTCCTCCACATGAGAGCAGGATGGGGCAGGTCATGAGCTCCAGAGCCCGCCCCAGACCCAGCTCTATTCCTCCCATGTCAGGCAAGGATGAGCCAGCCCTGGGAGCCCAAACACTCCCAAAGCCTTCACGCTTCTCCAGATGCAACCTGCAGCTTGTTTTGAGGAGATCCGCAGCACATGGCACGTGTTCTGTGACTGCTGTCACGCCCCTCTGCTGCAGGAAGCTGACCAACAGAACGCCTCCTGCCACTGGAGAGTGTAGGCTGACTGTGTGTGCTGATGGCCATCTCAGGAGGCAGGGCAGCCCGTGGTCACAGCCAGGGGCTTTGGAATGAGCCACACCTGTCCTGGTGCTACCACTCGCCAGCTGTGTGACCCAGGGCAAGATGCCTGGCCTCTCTGAGCCTAGTTTTCTCATCTGTAAAATAAGAGTTTCTACCTCATAGGGTTTTTTGGTTTTTGTTTTTGTTATTTTTTTTTGAGACAGAGTCTCGCTCTGTCGCCCAGCCTGGAGTGCAATGGTGTGATCTCAGCTCACTGCAACCTCCGCCTCCTGGGTTTAAGCGATTCTCCCACTTCAGTCTCCTGAGTAGCTGGGATTACAGGCTCTCGACATCATGCCTGGCTAATTTTTTATTTTATTTTTAGTAGAGACAGGGTTTCACCATGTTGGCCAGGCTGGTCTTGAACTCCTGACCTCAGGTGATCCACCTGCCTCGGCCTCCCAGAGTGCTGGGATTACAGGTGTGAGCCACTGCGCCCGGCCTCCTCATAGGGTTCTCCTTCTTCTCCCACCACCTCCTTCTCCCACCACCTTCTTCTCCCAATACCTTCTTCTCCCACCACCACTTTCTCCCACCACCTTCTTCTCCCACCATCTTCTTCTCCCACCACCTTCTTCTCCTACCACCTTCTCCCACCACCTTCTTCTCCCACCACCTTCTCCCACCACCTTCTTCTCCCACCACCTTCTTCTCCCACCACCTTCTTCTCCCACCATCTTCTTCTCCCACCACCTTCTTCTCCCACCACCTTCTTCTCCTACCACCTTCTCCCACCACCTTCTTCTCCTACCACCTTCTCCCACCACCTTCTTCTCCCACCATCTTCTTCTCCCACCACCTTCTTCTCCTACCACCTTCTCCCACCACCTTCTTCTCCCACCATCTTCTTCTCCCACCACCTTCTTCTCCCACCACCTTCTCCCACCACCTTCTCCCAACACCTTCTTCTCCCACCACCTTCTCCCATCACCTTCTCCCACCACCTTCTCCCACCACCTTCTTCTCCTACCACCTTCTCCCACCACCTTCTTCTCCCACCATCTTCTTCTCCCATCACCTTCTTCTCCCACCACCTTCTCCCACCACCTTCTCCCACCACCTTCTCCCACCACCTTCTCCCAACACCTTCTTCTCCCACCACCTCCTTCTCCCACCACCTTCTTCTTCCACCACCTTCTCCCATCACCTTCTCCCACCACCTTCTCCCACCACCTTCTTCTCCTACCACCTTCTCCCACCACCTTCTTCTCCCACCATCTTCTTCTCCCATCACCTTCTTCTCCCACCACCTTCTCCCACCACCTTCTCCCACCACCTTCTCCCACCACCTTCTCCCAACACCTTCTTCTCCCACCACCTTCTCCCATCACTTTCTTCTCCCACCACCTTCTCCCACCACCTTCTCCCACCACCTTCTCCCACCACCTTCTCCCAACACCTTCTTCTCCCACCACCTTCTCCCATCACCTTCTTCTCCCACCACCTTCTCCCACCACCTTCTCCCACCACCTTCTCCCACCACCTTCTCCCACCACCTTCTCCCAACACCTTCTTCTCCCACCACCTTCTCCCATCACCTTCTTCTCCCACCACCTTCTCCCATCACTTTCTTCTCCCACCACCTTCTCCCACCACCTTCTCCCACCACCTTCTCCCACCACCTTCTCCCAACACCTTCTTCTCCCACCACCTTCTCCCATCACCTTCTTCTCCCACCACCTTCTCCCACCACCTTCTTCTCCCACCACCTTCTTCTCCCACCACCTTCTTCTCCCACCACACCTTCTTCTCCCATCACCTTCTCCCATCACCTTCTTCTCCTACCACCTTCTCCCAACACCTTCTTCTCCCACCACCTTCTCCCAACACCTTCTTCTCCCACCACCTCCTTCTCCCATCACCTTCTTCTCCCACCACCTTCTCCCACCACCTTCTCCCACCACCTTCTCCCACCACCTTCTCCCACCACCTTCTCCCAACACCTTCTTCTCCCACCACCTTCTCCCATCACCTTCTTCTCCCACCACCTTCTCCCACCACCTTCTCCCACCACCTTCTCCCATCACCTTCTTCTCCCACCACCTTCTCCCATCACTTTCTTCTCCCACCACCTTCTGCCACCACCTTCTGCCACCACCTTCTCCTACCACCTTCTCCCAACACCTTCTTCTCCCACCACCTTCTTCTCCCACCACCTTCTCCCACCACCTTCTCCCACCACCTTCTTCTCCCACCACCTTCTTCTCCCACCACCTTCTTCTCCCACCACCTTCTTCTCCCATCACCTTCTCCCATCACCTTCTTCTCCTACCACCTTCTCCCAACACCTTCTTCTCCCACCACCTTCTCCCATCACCTTCTTCTCCTACCACCTTCTCCCAACACCTTCTTCTCCCACCACCTTCTCCCAACACCTTCTTCTCCCATCACCTTCTTCTCCCACCACCTTCTTCTCTCACCACCTTCTCCTTCTCCCACCCCCCTCCCCATCTAGTCTCCACACTTGCACCAGAGGAAACATTCTAAAACACAAACATTATCATGCCACTTCCTAGCCTTTACTCCTTTCTGGCTCCCTATTGTGTTCAGGATAAAGCCCAAGCTCCTTGACACAGCCTTAGAAGGCATTTTGGGATCTGGCTTCTGCTTATCTCTCAAGCCTCATCTCTTATCTTCTTGCAGCCCAGCCTTCCAACAAGGTTGGCATATTCATGTTTGCACTCACCTCCAGGCCCCCACCTGGGCTGCTTCCTGACCCAGCTACTCACTGCCTCTCCTCTTAGCGTAGAAGCTGCTTCCTCCACAACACTTCCGTTCCCGTTGCTGAGGATTCAAAGAGAAGGGCCTACGGGGGTCCCAGTCCCAGGAGATTGTGCCTGAGAGGTCAGAGCAGGAAGGACCCCTGAGATCATCTAGGTCAACCTCTCCTTTGGCAGAGGAGAAAACCCAGGCCCCCGAGGGAGGGGGTTTCCTCCAGCTTCCACCCAACCCCTCTCCACAATTAGCACAAGAGGGAAGCCAATCAGTAGGCCTCCTAGGCACCACAGGCCATTCATCCAAATACATTTGCATTTAATCTCCTCTCCCAGGGAGAATAAATACAGAGGAAAGAATTGGAGGCCCAAAGGAATCAACTGCAAACTCCAGGAATAGACTCCAGGTTTGCCTGTCATTGGGGGCAGGGCTATCTTACAGCTTCCCTCAACCATCCCTGGAGAGGTCACTCTTTTGTTTTTTTTAGACGGTGTCTCGCTCTGTCTCCCAGGCTGGAGTGCAATGGCATGATCTTGACTCACTGCAACCTCCGCCTCCCGGGCTCAAGCCATTCTCGTGCCTCAGCCTCCAGGGTAGCTGGGACTGCAGGCGCTCACCACCACACCTGGCTGATTTTTGTATTTTTAGTAGAGACAGGGTTTCACCAATGTTGGCCAGGCTGGTCTCGAACTCCTGACCTCAAGTGATCCACCCGCCTTGGACTCCCAAAGTGCTGGGATTATAGGCATGAGCCACCACGCCCAGCTGAGAGGGTCACTCTTTTTATCTCTTCATGAGATACTGTCCTGCCTCCTCTGCCAAGGGAGCTGGACCTGTGACCCTGGGACTAGGGCAATGAAGGGGCCTTCTGGGGAGCTGCTGACTTACAGGACAGTCAAGTGAGATCCAGTCCAGGCCACCACCGGCCTGTGGAAAGCACACAGGCCTGGAGTCAGAATACTTGTGTTCAACTTCCACTTCCTAGCTGAGCGAATGGGCAAGTCACTTGACCTCCCTGAACCTCAGTGTCCTCAACTGTAAAATGGAGGTAAAGATAGTTTCCTCCTCACCAGGCTGGCATGCAGTCATGTGATAGAGGAGAGAGTGTCCCCTAAACAGTTCAGCTTTCAAACATGCATTCTCCTTAATGAGACAGGACGAACCCCGGGAGTTTCAGATCAGGAAGCAGCCCCCCTCTGCTCTTGCTCACACTTTGTGCCTAATCTGCTGTGGACCGAAAAGTGCTGGGCTTATAAATATTTGTTCCTTATGGCCAGACTTTCATGAGTTTTATCAGCCTAGCTGATAAGATAATCCTGGCCTGTTGGGTGAGCTCTGGCACCTGGTCTTCTGCATCGCAGGTGACCTCTCAGACCTAATTTTTTAATACCTAGCAAGTCAATACAGAGGCTCTCAACTTACAGGCTGGAGAGGAGGGGCATCTGAGGGGGCCTCCGAAATTAATTCTCTTTGTTTCTGGATCTGATGTCTAGAGTTGACCGGAGACTCCGAGTTAACACCTTTCATGCCAGATGGTGACTGGGTCTCCACTGGCTCCACTGAGCTCAGAACCAAAATGGTTTTGAAAAGACTTGAATTGAGCACACTTCTCCTTTAATTAAGTGCGAAATCTCCATATCTATTTCAGCCTTTGAAAACCAAAACCCAGGAAGGCAGGTTCCCCGGGCAGAGAGAAGAGGTGTGCAGAATTAATATTCCATCTCGACTTTTCCTGTGTAACTTAATAAGTTGCCTAAGCTTATCAGGGACCCTGGCTGCATTTAGCCACGGGGCCGGCCTGGATCACACGAGGCCGCGTCACCTTCCCAGTTGACAAAGCTCACATTAGCACGGTTGACCAGCCAGAAGGGCCACGAGGCAATGCAAAGCGAGCCAGGGTTAAGGTGAAAAGCTGGGACCCGTCTCACCTTGATGAGTAGCACGTTACCATTTGGTAACATGTCCCTTCTCTCTCAGATGTTTTCGCTGGATCCTCCCAGAGTGCCCCCCACCCACCCTCCATGCAGCCTGAACTGTACCTGCTTTCCTGGGTGCTGACTTTGGGGCCTCCGATTGGCCCCAACTGCCTTCCACTTCTCCCAGGCTCATTTTTTCTAGAACTATTCTGGGACTGCCCCAGCTCTGTACGTCCAAGAGGACAGGCAAGCGCCTGGACTAGCTCCATCCTGACCGGCAGCAGCCTCTCCCCCAACTTCAGCCCCTCCTCTGCATCCAGAGGCCAAGCCCAGGCTTGCTTCTCTCTGGAGCTGCAGGCTCTCAAGGACTCTTGTTTCCCAAAAGGAAAGGTCCCATAGAAAATCAGAGGATCCTTGCAAGGGAATCCTTAGAACCAGTGTGGGAAAGGCTCCCCTGGGCATTCACCTCTTTCGGAACATCCGCTGAGCTGAGGATTCTCTCCAGAAGAGGCACCTGGTCAGGGGAGGGGAGGAAATACCAAAATGGAATTTTCCCCATAATAACAGAATTCTAGAGCCAGAAGAGATTTCAGACACCAACTAATCCAATCCTGCTTTTTAACAGACGGATAGACGGAGGTTCCAGGAGGGAGAATGGTCTTTCTAACAAGTTCTAATAACTAAGGCAGGACAAGTGGGGCTTTAGCTCAGGACATGAAAAAAATACAGAGAGAAGAATGAGAGAAAGATGAGAGAGATGCAGAACCCCTCTGTTACAGGAGTTGGCCCACATGCTCGAATCACAGAGAAAGTGGGACGTCTTGGTCCTCTGCGACATGCCCCCTGCTCTAGGACACCTCTGTGGTCTTGGTAGAGTGTCTGTCCCTTTGAACGCCCGAACAGGCACCATCCGTGTGCTCCTGCCAGCGAGGGGTGATGTGTCCCGCTAGAGGGGTCAGAGGCAAGGGCTCTGGGGTCCGGCAGACTTGGGTCAAATCTTGGCTCCGCTACTCGGTTGTGTCTGTGAGACTCAACCAAGTTATTGAATATTCTTTGTGCCTCGGTTTCACCATTTTAAGGATGGGGATAATAGAAATCACTTCATATGGTCCATAAATGCAATAATGTGTGTAACATGCCTGACATATATTACACCTGAACATAAGCTCCACGAAGGCAGACACTTTATTTCCTGCCATTTCCTCAGCATCTAGAACATGCTGTATATATAGAATGAATGGATGCAGCATATGTTCATCAATTATTTTCCTTAATGGTTATTGTTATCATTATCATTATTACTGCCCAGAATATCTTTTTCTTTCTGTCTTTTTTCTTTCTTTTTCTTTTTCCTTCTTTCTCTTTTTCTTTTCTTCCTTTCTTCTTTCTTTCTTTTCTTTCCTTCTTTCTTTCCTTCTTTCTCTTTCCTTCTTTTTCCTTTCTGCCCTCCTTCTTCTTTCTTTCTCTCCCTCTCCTTATTTTTTCTTTCTTTCTCTCTTCCTTTTTCTTTATTCCTTTCTCTCTCTCTCTCTCTCTTTCTTTCCTTTTTCTTTTTCTTTTCTTTTTTTTTTTTTTGAGACAGGGTCTCTCTGTGTTGCCCAGGCTGGAGTGTAGTGGCATGATCACACAGCTCACTGCAGCCTCAATCTCCTGGATTCAAGCAATCCTCCTGCCTCAGCCTCCCAAATAGCAGGGAACACAGGCACATGCTACCATGTCCAGCTAATTTTTTTATTTTTTGTAGAGATAGGGATCTCATTTTGTTGCCCAGGCTGGTCTTAAACTCCTGGGCTCAAGCTGTCCTCCCGCCTCAGCCTGCCAAAGTGCTGGGACTACAGGCATGAGCCACTGCTCCTGGCCCCAGCGTATTTTCTGGTTCTACTTCATCCACCTTTTCTTTCTTACCCTGGACTCCTTTCTGTTGAAGCCAATTTTGCTCACACAGTACTTACTACTTGCATCAGTGTGTGCATGTGCACCCCAGCAGCCACACATATTCACACCTGCGCATCCCTAAGCTGCTGTTTCTGACTCTCAACTTGTCTCTTCTCACCTGCAGGGGGAGAGGGAGAACCATGAGGCTGAGTCCCAGCCCTTGCTTTCCTACCCAGCCCCTTTTCCATCCAGTGTTCATATTGCTGCCGCTTCATGTACTTTACACTCCTGGCTACCCTTCTCTAGCATGCTTTGTGCTGCCTAATAAGTCGAGGGTGGTTAGAAAAAAAATCCCACCACTGTTTCTTCCTTTCCAAAGAAGGCTGTCCACTTACTTCTGTTTTGACTGATTCAAAACTGACTGATGTAATTCCCTTCTGCTTTGACAAATGGGGACCTCAGCAAAGAAGGAAATAGAGCCAGAGTGAAAAGAGAAGGGGTCAGGGGCTTTCTGGAGATTTATGAAGTTCCCATTCGAGCACAGGCAGCTGGACAGCTCTCCTCCTTGTGCAGGCCTTGAGTTTCAGAAAAACACAAGACTCTGAGACGCGCCTTCACTTGAGTCATTTGGGTGGAGTTGGTGTGTTTATCTGTGCTATCTTCCCATTTTCCTCTCCTTCTAGAGTTGAGAACAGTGAGTGGTGAGCGGCAATGTCTGCTTTCTTCTATTCTTGGGGTCCAGGACACTGGGGCAAGATGTAGAGAGATCATCCTTCAGTTCTCAAATCCCATTCTAACCCCCTTTCCCCACCCCCGGGTTTAGAGTTTTAATTTACTCTGTATTAATGACAATCTGGAGGGGAAAATGTGTAGGAAATTGATAGACTAGATCAGCCATGGTGGCTCAAGCCTGTAATCCCAGCACTTTGAGAGGCTGAGGCGGGTGGATCACCTGAGGTCAGAAGTTTGAGACCAACCTGGCCAACATGGTGAAACCCCATCTCTACTAAAAATACAAAATTAGCCGGGAGTGGTGGCACGTGCCTATAGTCCCAGCTACTCGGGAGGCTGAGGCAGAAGAATCACTTGAACCTGGGAGGCAGAGTTACAGTGAGCCGAGATCGTGCCATTGCACTCCAGCCTGGGCGACAAGAGCAAAACTTTGTCTTGAAAAAAAAAAAAAAGAAATTGATAGACTAGATTGTAATACAGCATGAATAACTCAACCATGCAAATTAACACAGGCTCACAAGCCTAGGCCTGAAAGAATCAGACCACTTATTTGCTTCTATTATTAAATAAGAATTTGCTTAATAATAGAAAATAATAATAATTTAAAATAAGGCCTATGGCCTTGTAACACCAGTGGTCTGCCAGAGACTGGATTGGTGTGACCTGAAGATACACTGTAAAGTGAAATATTCAATCAGACAAACCTTAGGAGTTTGCTTGTGTGCCTCCTTAACGTACACAGCCAAAAAACAGATTCTATTCACTTTCTCTTTTTTTTGAGACCAAGTGTCACTCTGCCACCTAGGCTGGAGTGTAGTGGCGCAATCTCCCCTCACTGCAACCTCCGCCTCCCAGGTTCAAGCAATTCTCCTGCCTCAGCCTCTAGAGTAGCTGGGATTATAAGCATGCACAGCCACGCCCAGCTAATTTTTATATTTTTAGTAGAGACGGGGTTTCACCATGTTGGCCAGGCTGATCTTGAACTCCTGACCTCAGGTGATCCAACCGCCTCAGCTTCCCAAAGGGCTGGGATTACAGGCATGAACCACCGCACCCGGCCTCATCTTCTTTTTAAATACTTCACTGAAAAAAGGTCTCAGTGTACTAAATTAATGGAAATGTTGGCTCTGTGCAGATAAGTGGTTTCCATCCTTTGGAGGCTGGCCTCCTTCTGTTTGTCTGAGCTCAGGTCTCAATGGGCATGGTGCCTGATGCCGAGTTAAGTGTCCAGCAGCCCCTGCCCCAGCCAAGCAGGGAGGCCGGGTGAGGTGGTCCCCCTAGTGGGGCACCAATGGGCTAAGGTAGGTGGCAGGAATGTCTCTTACCATGATCACAGGCCCTTTGAAGGGAGGGAAGAACCTACTGAGTTGAGAGTAGGTGTGTGCATCGAGTTCAGCAAATCGACAAAGCAGGTTCCAGTGCATTACTGGAGTAGGAGAATCTGAAGTTGCATCAAGGCCAGAGTGTGGAGCCAGGGAGTCATACAGCTGAGGACATTCTCCCCTGGCCTGGCCCTTATGCCCTAGACGCATGCCCTGCCTGTGGCCAGAAGAGCTGCGCACAAGGCACTGCCTGCTCATCCGTTCAGTGTCCATGGCTCTGTTCTGCCCCAGATACGGGCTCCCTCTTGGCCCCAGGCGCTCTCCAGTACATCCTTCCTGGCTTGTCCTACCTAGACTTGGGCACTGGTTCTATCTCTGCTTCATGACTGTCTTGGAAATCCCATTAGTCTCAGCCATCAAGAATTGCCCCTCTCCCCAGGTGCCAAAACCTACCTTGGTCCCTGCAGCTGCACCTGACTCAGGGGCCTGGAACACCATAGCATTCCAGACTCCTGGCCTGGGGGGTGGAATGGGGAGGTGGCGTGAAGAAGGGGTGGGAACTAGAAAATAAGAGACTGGGTTGAAGTGGACAAGGAGGAGAACAATTTGCGTGGGTATTACAAAGACAGCTAAAAATATTCTCCCTGGGTGCTCGGGGTGGGGAGTGGGCTGAGTGCTTTACAGGCCCCGCGGTAGCAAGATTGCAACATTCAATTCATTTCCAGTACCCCTGGGGATAAACTGAGAACCCCTGCTGTCAACCCCAATGATGTGGCCTCAGCCTGATTCTTTGGCTTTCAGGTATGACCTCTAAGGAATGACAGAAGGGTTGTTTAAGTGGAGAAAAATGTTTTCAAACTCCAAGCAGTGTGCTAAAGCACTTTTTTTGTCCATTCTACTTTTGCTCCAAGAATGTCTTCTTTTTTACTTCTGGAGGTCTTGATGCTGACAGCAAGCACCTGGCTTTTTCTGATCTGAAAGTCCTGTTTGTCGCCTCACAATGGGCCTTGCTTCTATTTTATGATATCCTCTATTTCACACCCTCAACACTTGTCAGCAGAGGATATAGGAAACAATCAGCTCTATGAACTGGGCGCTATCAGTATTTGCCTTCCGGCCTCGTCATGGGTCACAGGCTCTGACGCAGGCATGATGCCATGGGAGACTTTACCTGGTTACCCAGCCGCTCACACCCCCAGAGGTGCACAGCGCTCGTCGTCACTCAGATCCATCCAAACAGAAATCTTTCCTTCAGAGTCACTCTCGCTTGGCCTCATCTTCCTCCATAAACCCAACCTCGGAAAATTTTCCTATCCAGCTTTAAAAACAATTAGTGACTACCTGAATGGGAACACAGGTGGCATATTTATCAAAATTTCAGATGATACAAAATCAAGTAGGAAATCATAAAATAGGGTAACAGAATAAGGTTCCATGTCCGCCTTGATAGGTTACAACAAGGAACTGAATTTAACAAGATGAAATTTATCAGCAGTAAATGTGAAGTCCCACCCTTGGGCTTAAAAAACAAACAAAAAAACCCAGCACAGCTGTACAAATTCAGAATTTGGAAAAAGAAGCTAAAAGTGCTACACATTGATTGCAAACTCATTGTGAGTCAAGAGTCAAAAAACCTAAGGCAAGTTTAGGCTGCATCATTGGAAATGTAGAATATGAACAAGGGAGATAAGGGAGGTGATGATCCTGCACTCAGCATTGCAGGACCACACCTGATGTGCCGTGTTTCATTCCTATATCACTCTATTTTTTTATTTTTTGGAGACAGAGTCTCGCTCTGTCGCCCAGGGTGGAGTGCAGTGGCACGATCTCAGCTCAGTGCAACCTCCGCCTCCCGGGTTCAAGCAATTCTCCTGCCTCAGCCTCCCGAGTAGCTGGGACTACAGGCGCACACCGCCACGCCCGGCTAATTTTTTGTATTTTATTAGAGACGGGGTTTCACTGTGTTGCCCAGGCTGTTCTTGAACTCCTGAACTCAGGCAATCCACCTGCCTTGGCCTCCCAAAGTGCTAGGATTACAGGCGTGAGCCACCGCACCCGGCCCCTACATCGCTTTAAAATGAACACTGATGAGCTCTGGTGCTTCAGAGAGAGGTGGAAACAGGGAGATGGAGAATCTGAGAATCTGGAAATTAAAAAAACAAATGAAGACCATGGCCATGAAAGAACTAAGGAAGTTTAAGCCAGAAGAGAAAAAAAGATTTAAGGGAGACATGAAAGCTATTTTTCAGGCCAGTCACAGTTGCTCATGCCTATAATCCCAACACTCTGGGAGGCTGAGGCAGGTGGATCACTTGAGGTCAGGAGTTCCAGACCAGCCTGGCCAACATGGTGAAACTCCGTCTCTACTAAAAATACAAAAATTAGCTGGGCGTGGTGGTGAGCACCTGTAGTCCCAGCTACTCGGGAGGCTGAGGCAGGAGAAACACTTGGACCCGGGAGGCAGAGGTTGCAGTAAGCCAAGATCACACCACTGTACTCCAGCTTGGGTGACAGAGAGAGACTCCGTCTGAAAAAAAAAAAATTATTTTTCAGCACTTTATGGACTGCCCTATACAAAAGGGATAAGGCTTCCCCTGCCCTGCTGCCCACCCAATTCTGGAAGACAAAGCTGGTCCATTTAAGTTAAAGGGAGCTAAATTTCAGTCCAGCTGGAGAAAGAAAAGAGCTTTCTTTCTCTTTCTTTCTTTCTTTCTTTCTTTCTTGCTTGCTTGCTTGCTTGCTTGCTTTTTGACAGAGTCTCGCTCTGTCACCAGGCTGGAGTGCAGTGGCATGATCTTGGCTCACTGCAACCTCTGCCTCCCAGGTTCAAGCAATTCTCCTGTCTCAGCCTCCTGAGTAGCTGGGACTACAGACAGCACGCCACCATGCCCAGCTAATTTTTGTATTTTTAGTAGAGACAGGGTTTCACCATGTTGGCCAGGATGGTCTCGATCTCTTGACCTCGTGATCAGCCCACCTCGGCCTCCCAAAGTGCTGGGATTACAGGCTTGAGCCACTGCGCCCGGCCAAGAGCTTTCTTTTCTAACAGTGAGAACAGCCCGAAGTTGGGATGGTCTGCTGGATTAGGTAATGAGCTCCCTGACACTAGAGATATTCAGCCAAAAGCTGAAGGATCACGTATCAGGGATGCTGCAGAGAGTATTCTTGTATTCGTCAGAGGATTAGATCTGATGACCTTCAAGGACGCTTTCATCTCAGAGATGCTCTGATTCTGGGGGAACTCTATTATAATTTATTATACCATCCCCTACATGAGAATATCTAATTCCTTTTGGTAAAGCAATAAAGCTTGTGAATTTAGGCAATATTTCCCAGTTCTTTTCAGACTCAGTTTTGAAATTTCGGATAAAAAGCATAGACTCTAGAGACAACTGCGTCTCTAGACCTTAACTCTGTTACTTATCAGCTGTGTGACCTTGGGCAAGTCACTTAACCTCTCTGGGCCTCATTTCCTCATTTATAAAATAAGGATAAGTATAGTGCCTACTTCATTGAGACGTTATGAGTATTAAATAAATTAGTATTTGAAAAGCACTCAGAACATTGCCACCACATAGTATTATAAATGTGTTTATTACATTAAAAATCATGTAAAATAGCTTAAAACAAGTACTAGGAACAGTCTCAAATGGTTTAACAAATGGTTTAAGGAGGTCCTCCTTTACCAACTTATCACCAGCAGCTCTGGAGGTAAAATAGCCAGGAGCACAGGGGTAGCAAAAAACAAAAAAACCAAAACAAACAAAAAAAAAACAAAATCACATAGGCTCCCTATGCTCTCAGAAGGAAGAAAAAGCTTCCTGCTGTTGGTGTACGGTAACCTCCACAAAGGCCTGTGTGTTTAATGACACCAGATTATCCCTACCTCCCCCATCCCTCCTCTCCCTTCTTGGAGTTGCTGGGAGGCCAGGGGTGTGCTGCAGTGTAACAGAGCTGCGTCAGGGGAGGCTGGGGGCCAGAGCCTGTTAGATATACAGGGCCTGTTTGAGGGAGCTTAATATCCTCTTACTGGAATAACTATTGTCCCAGCTTCTCAACAAATACCAACCGTCATTAATAAAAGGACTAATAAAAGCATTTATTGCACTCAGGCACTGGTCTTGCTTTCTGTAGCTCCAGGGCCTTGGCAGAGGCAGCCGTTGAGGATGAGGGCTGGAAAAGCTGAGGCTCCCCCTGCACCCAAGAGCTCAGCCCAGGCCTCCAGCCCAGCCCATCACCCTTCCTAAGGCCAAGGGCCGCAATCGGTGAGATCTCTCGTCAAAGAAGAGCCGGGCAGTCAGACAGTGGGAGACTGGAGCATGAAGATAATGTATCATTTAGGCATCAGACTCCTGGGTCATTGTAAATAGTGACTATAGGGTGGCGAAAAAGAAAAGGTTGCTTATCATGACTTTATTTCAGGAAGCTGAAAGCACATCGTCTTGCAAGACTTTTTCCCACATTTTACAGAGGGGGAAATGAAGGTACACAGGCATTTAGGGGCACATTCAGTCATGTGATATATGGCATCCTTGCCAGAACTGACTAGACTCCAACAGTCCTTACTCCCAAAACTAGTACCACACTGATAGAAAAAGGAAGTGTGAGGCTATATCTATCTCCGCCCAGTCCCGGATTCTGTAAACGCTGTGATCATTGCCATCGCTTCTCTAAATTATTATTGTTATTATTGTAATAACTAGTGGGTAGAGTTGAGTGGGTGGTGTCAGATAATTACTAAGACCCCAAAATTAAAGTGGTTGAGTCCTTAATTTTCCACGGCTGCTCAAGATGAAAATGAAAGCTGGCCTCCAGGGGGCCCTGGGAGGAACCCTAATCTTGAGATAGAGGGAGCCCAGGTGGGGAAGGCAATGGAAGAAGAGCAGGCCCAAAAGGCCTAGGAAGCCACACTTGGAAACTCTAGATCCTGGATTACAGGACCCTGAGTGAGAGAGCACAGTCAAACCAACCTGGCTTCACGTCTTGGGTCTGCTTCTCCTTTGCTGCATGACCTTGGGAATTTACCTAGCCTCTCTGAACTTCAAGTTCCTCATCCATCAAATGAGGATAATAATCATAACTAGTCCCTAGAGCTGTTGTTGTAAGTAAGGGTTAGAGGACAGAGTGTGAGAAATCCAGAAATGTGGGCTCTTTGCTCCCTGAGCCTAGAGCTTTGTCAGTGAGGAGACCACTAACTGTGGGGCTGCAGAACTTTCCTGGCATCGGGGACATTAGGAGGCAGAGTCCTATTCTCAGGACTAGCAGTTCAGTGGGAAACAACTTTAGCCTCAGTTTCCCCCCTATTTAAGACAGGGCAACAAAATCTCTTGGGCCCTCGGCCCCTCCCTGCCCCAAGGGCTGTCAGATGGATAAAGGAGACATGGTCCTGGGAGGAAAGGTGGGCGTTAATAACAGCACCGTGGACCTCTATTATTATTGTCATTATTCTGGCTCTGTCCTGTAAGCAGCGGGGACCCAGGTGACTCACTGTCTGCCTGCAGCAGCCCAACATCGGCCTGTTGGGACTTGCCGGCCTGCCGGGATTCCTCCACCAAAGAGGCCTCTGCTTCTTTCTCAGCTCCCGATGGGAGCTGTCAGGGTCCCCATGGCTGGGTGGAAAGGGAGTGGGAGGGGGCATTTGAGACCACAGTGCACAGCTCAGAGAGGCTGGGACACCTGTGCCAACAGCTACGAGTGAGCCTAGGGCATGGAGTGGCAGGAGCTGGGGCTCCTGGAGGTTGTGGGGTTCGCACCTGGAGAGAGTACCTGATTCCTTCGGAGTGGTCCTGGGAATGGCAGGCCCCAGGGAGAGGGTGGTGAGAGACAGTGACAATTCAGGCCTGGGGCTGACCCTGGGACAGCTCTCCCAGGTGGGATGGGATGGGCAATGGGATGAGGACCAAGCCCCCTCCTCCTCCAGGGGAGCCGCTCTGGGTGGCTGGGGCCTGGCATAAGAAGCCGGTGGCATCAGCAGATGATTCTGAAACTCTGTAACCCAAATGCCTGGGTCCTAAAATCTCAGCAATTGTTGGGGGTAGAGAAAGGGAACTGGGGTGCCTCTGACAGCCACCAAGCCCCCTGCCATGCGAGCTCTCTATAAATGTGATTTGAACAGCTATGACTCACCCGCACACACCCCTGCAGTTTCGTGGTGAGGACACAGCTAATCATAGCTGTGTTTGGGGGAGGAAGAGGGATTTTGCCACAAGCTCCACAACAGTCCCTCCTTCTCCAGGATGGCAAAGCGGGTGTGACTGGCCAGGAGTTTGGCAAGTAGGAGTTTCTGCTTCCCTGGGGATTGGCTCTGCCCAGGGGAAGAGCACACCCCTAGAAGGGCCATTAAGGTCAGGGTTGGTTCCCTGATTTCTGATCAGAGATGACACCAGGAAGATCTGAGCTGGATTCCCTCAGATCTGTCAGTGATGATGTTTGCTTGGGTCTTGTTTTTGTTTTGATTAGAGCTGAAAGGCACCAATTACAGGACACCTAGTTGTATCCCAAACTATTGATGAGGAAATCGAGGCCTCATGAGGGTGAAATGACTTGTTCAAAGTCATAAAGGGAGAGTCTCAGAGGCAGAGCCACAGCCCCAACTGCAGATCTGTTGCTCTTTCTGCGAATTCTTCTATGTCTATTTTGATTCCCGAAGAAATGACAACAAAAACAAAAATATCAGCCACCATTCACTGACTAATACCTGCCAGTTACTAGATTAGGTGGTTTATGTATATTACCTCAGGCTGTGAATGCAGATGAGGCGTTCAAACATCAGGTTTACTTAGATCAACTCCACATTTTCTTCCAGGTCTGAGGTACAATCATTCTGGGGCACATGCTCTCAAATTCCCAGCCATTCTGGCTGTGCTTGCTTTATTTAATTGATCTACTACTTTCTACATGTGAGGATCTTGATTGGGCTCTGGGAATCTACAGATAAAATAGGACAAGTTCTTGACAGTGCACTAGGATCAATGATTTACCAGAGTTATAGACAAAGGATCAGGAATACAGACAAATGTGTACTGAGAAGATGAAGAAGGCTTCCAGATTCAGTGACATTTAGGCAGGGTTTTGAAGGCTGAGTAGGAGTTTGCCAGGTGGGGCTGTAGATGAGAAAGATGAAGTACATGCAAAGATAATCACATGTGGAAGAGCTGGTGGAGTGAAAGTGTTCTGTGTGTTTGAGAACAACAGATAGTTTGAGATAGAGTGTGGTGGAATGAAGGGGAAGGTGTTAAATCACACCACAGATGCGGGTTGAGACTACCTGAGCAAGGCCTTCCTTCCAGGCTAAGGAGGGCACCGCTCAAGAGGTTTAAGCAGACATCTGCTTTGGAAGGCTTCTGAGACTCTTATTCCTACTTTATGTAAATACATAGTCTACCTCTGATGTAGCCTGTCTCTCTCCCGCAGACCTCATTTGTCTGGGCACCTGTGAATATGTTTGTCCACCTGGAATGCTAAGAGGTCGTTCAGTGAGGATGACATGGACTGCCAGCTGTGGTCACAAACTCCTGCTCTTTGCCTCTGCACAAGAACATTCTGGGTGCTCCTCTGGCGTTCCTCTCATTGACTGGGTATTAGTGGGGTCTTTACACCCTGGCATTCTGCTCGGTCAGGCGCTGTCAGATGGCCCATGCAGTGGAGCTGGGCCGTGGACCCACAATAAACCCTTCCCTGTCCCTCTTCTGGTCCCAGCTCCTAGCCTACCCCAAACCAAGCTCTGCCCCTGTGAGAACTGCCCTCTTCACTTCTCCACCCCAACTCACATCCCAGGGTGCTTTAACCTTCCTGTTAGAACATGCTTTCTTTCTCCTGCTTTCTCTCTGGCTGGCTTTCCAGCCCACCCTGGTCTGGGTGCCTGGAATACAGAGGCATTCTTAGTTCTTGTCAGGTTGAAAAAAAGGACCTTTCTTTCATGTGTCTTTTCATTTTTAATCTCAGTTAATCATCCAAAAGAGGCTTCCTGACGGAGAGAACAGAAGATGCCTTTTGGAGCCCGAGAGGCTTGAAGCCAGGCTGTGTGACCTTCAGCAATCATTTCACTTCTCTGAGCTCCAATATCCTCATCTGTAAAATGGGGACATCAGCCCTTACCGGGCAGGGATTATGAGAGATAACATGCTTGTCAATCAATCAAGGAAGGGTTGAGTTCAGTTGAGAGACCCGAGCAGGAAGGGACACATTCCTATGCTTCCTCTAAGAACTGGTACCTTTGCTTCCGGCTAAAAAAACACAAACAAAACAGAGTGTGTTAAATCAGGGCTTGGTGCCGTTGCAAGTGACGCTGTAGTGAAATGGGAAGAAGCCCACCCTCGGTAAGGATCCTAAGGCCTCTGCCAACAGGAGGAAGACGCGTCCTTCCTGTTCCTGAGGGAAATGAAAGGCTGAAGCCAAAGCTATCTTCCAAAGCCCGCAGACAGGTAGCTCTCCGGCTGACCTTTGCCAGGCTGGTAAGCCTCACAGTTTCATTGTTCCACCCGGGCTGGGGAGCTGGTTGGTGGAGTTGGCTTAGAGAAGGATATTTTGTATCTGGCTTTTGGAATGACTAATGAATGAGCTGTCTCCACTGCAGGAGAATTATGCCACTTAAGCAAAACCCAGCCGGGCTGGTCGGCTCTGAGATAGCTAATAGGAAATGCCTGTCAGAGCACTGACGCTTCAAAGCCAAATATATTCTCACTGTGTTCTCTGTTTGCTAAGTTTACTTTATGCAAAATATAACTCAGCTGAAAATATGTAGATGGCAGAGTGCTCGCTCCTTCTCTCTGGAAGAAATTGCAAAGATGGGGAGGAGAGCAGTTCGCAGTTAACTCTACCAGTCCTGCCAGGCTGAGGAACAGCCGGTCCCAGAGATCTACTCGCTAGAATGTCTGTGCCTCTGATGGGTCCATAGCAACTGCAGTCTTCAAAATAGAGGCAACTGCCCTCCTGCCACATTTCCAGACAATGGGAATACAGGGAGCGTGGCACTGGCAATCACAAACAACCCGTCTGTCAACTTGCCCAGTGTTGCAGGGGCCAATAAGGCCATGTGGGGACAATTGAATTTTTGACCTGTTTAGTGGCCTTGCCCACCAATACCCACCTCTCATCGGTGAGGCACAACATCCTCCAACCAAGAAGCAACCAAAACAGTCAGTGACTCCTGTAACCCCTGGATGGAGCAATAGCCAGGTGGATGCTGAAGCAATGTAATCTATGAGAAGAGCACTGGATAGGGAGTCAGGGGAGCTGGGTTCTGGTCCTTCTTCTGCCTCTTCCTCTGCGACCTTGCAGGAAAGGTCTTCAGGCCTTGGCTTCACCATCTATAAATGGAGAGATTGGACCAGCTTGGCAATTTCTAGTGTCACATGACCCTAACATTCCGTATTATACACAACAGAATGGAGGCAGGAGTGAGGCAACTGCACCCCATTCTCAATTCCCTGACGCTCTCCCTCTCTCAAGAATTGCCATAAGGTGCTGGGCATAAAGACAGGATCATCTTTATAGAGATTTCTCAATACCCAAAGTGGAAAAGATCCCCCGAGGCCATGACCGTGGAATGAGCATGTTGCAGATCCCTTGCTGAGGAGGAGCAAAGAGACAGGAACTCCTGCAGCCTTTGACCTGGAAACATCCTGATTCCCATAAGGCCACAGTCACCAGGCAGCCTGCTGGCAGCTCATTCTTCTTCCCAAACACCCTCCCTGCATAAAAGGTCTGGCCTCCTTTATGGAAGGCATTTGGGTTTTACTCCTCTGGGACAGAAGTGGTGAGGGCTGGGCCTAAGGAGCTGTGTGGGCTTCTCAGAAGGACCTGGAGAATAACCATGGAACACCTAAGTGTGTGATGCAGAGTAGGGATGAAAATATGCATTAGACATGAAGAGCTCCCTGTTTTGTTGCAAGATGAGAACATATAGAGGAGGCTGGGCACGGTGGCTCATGCCTGTAATCCCACCACTTTGGGAGGCCGAAGGGGGTGGATCACAAGGTCAGGAGTTTGAAACCAGCCTGGCCAACATGGTGAAACCCCGTCTCTACTAAAAAAACAAAAATTAGCCGGGCGTGATAGCAGGCACCTGTTATCCCAGCTACTCGGGAGGCTGAGGCAGGATAATGGCTTGAACCCGGGAGGCAGAGGTTGCAGTGAGCCAAGATTGAGCCACTGCACTCCAGTCTGGGGGACAGAGTGAGACTCCAACTCCAAAAAAAAAAAAAAAAAAAAACCAATATATAGAGGAAACAAAGAATGTTGTAGGGTAAATCACTTGACACTGACATTGCTTTTTAAGCACATTAGAAGTTCAGAGAGGTAACGCCCTTGGGCCAGTTGCTGAATCTCTGAGCCTCAGTCCTCATCTATAAAATGGGGATGATGATGACTTCCCGTCACTACAGAGACAATGTATATAGAATGCCTCACACACCACCCAGCACATTTTAATCACTCAATAAAAAGAAGCTATTAATATTTTTATAGTCAAGGCTTAGAGGAGAGCTTCTCAACAGAATGGGTTCCAGGTGAGCAGAGACCTGACCCATCCCTTTAGCCCTTGGGGCTTGGCCTGGGGTGTCTGGACCCCCTAGCTGGCCCTTCTCAGGCTGCCAGCAGTTCCTGCAGTGTGTCACACAGACAGTATCCATTCCTTCGTGTGCAAAGAACATTGGGAAGCCCTGACTTAGAGACCTCCAAGTAGGCTTCAAAACCTACAAGGCCGACCAGGCATGGTGGCTCAGGCCTATAATCCCAGCACTTTGGGAGGCTGAGGTGGGTGTATCACCTGAGGTCAGGAGTTCGAGACCAGCCTGGCCAACATGGCAAAACCCCATCTCTACTAAAAATACAAAAATTAGCCGGGTGTGGTGGTGCGCCCCTGTAATCCCAGCTACTTGGGAGGCTGAGGCAGGAGAATTGCTTGAACCCAGAAGGTGGAGATTGCAGCAAGCCGAGATTGTGCCACTGCACTCCAGCCGGGGCAACAGAGCAAGACTCTGTCTCAAAAAACAAAACAAAACCTACAAGGCCTTTAGTGAGGTGGGCAGCATGGAGGGGCTTCTGCTGCCCTAATAGGAATCAAGGAAAACAGCAAAAACCAACCACAAAGAGTGAGAGATGGCGGGCCTGAGAGTCAGGGGACAGCTGGGAGGTCTCAGTGCCCTATACAATGTCTTGCACATAGACTCCCAGCACATATTATTAGGTGAGTCATTGATTCTGCTTTATGGGGAGCAGAGTCCAAGTTGAGAGATGTTGAGGGAAAAGGCTGGAAAATGTCCACTCAAGTGGGGTGAGACCAGGCAAGGGTCATGAGGCAGGGCTTGGGGCTTGTGGGGACATGCTGAGGCTTAGGGGCTTGTGCTGCTCAGGGGTCAGAGGAAGACAAGAGACAGGAGTCAGTGCAGACACTCAGGCAGGCATCAGATGGCAGAACAGGGTGGAACGCAGGCATTCTGGTCAGCAAGCAGCCGGGGGCCGCAGGAAGCATGAGCTCTAGTGCTGAGGAGGCATTGAGCCAGGCTCAGCCATAGAGACTGGTCTCAGAAGGGGGGTACCAGGGCTGTCACTGGTGGATAGAAGTGAGGGAGCTACATGAAGCCCAAGAAGCCAGGGAGAGGTGCTGACACTCGCTTAGCCCACCTTAGAGAGCTGTGCAGGGATTAGAGCAGGTAGCAGCCCAACCAGCTGGCGGATGGTGGTGGAAAGAATCACACGAAAACCTCTCCACGCACATGGCGACCGCCACAGACACCGGAGGGCAGGGTTGGGGACCGGAGGAAGCTGGGCCAGAGAAACTGATTTGGCTGCCGCGTGGCCAAGCACAGCACTAGAGGGGCACAGAAGTGTGCTCCGTTCAGGTGGGGCTGGGAGGCTGGCCCATCAGGCAGGTGGGGTGGAGCCAATGGGAGGTCAGTAGCAGGAAGGCAGCTACAACCTGGTTCTGGGTGGCTGGACCCCAGCTAGAAGCAGGGTTCCCAAAGGGGAGTAGACGACGATCAGAGTCCAGCCCTTGTCAGACACCCTTAGAAGGAGTAGTATAGCACACGGGTTTCAGTCTCAGACAAGCCTGGTTTGAATCCTGTTCCCCCACTTCAGCAGTTGTACAACACTGGCGGTAACACTTAACTTCTCGGTTTCCTTATCTGCAAAGCGGAGAGAATCCTAGCACCTACTTCACAGGGATGAAGGTTAAATCAGGCCATTTGTGGAGCTTCTGGTATAGATGGATGCTCACAAAATTGTACCTATTCTAACCATGATGATTAGCTCCTGAGATTGTCAGGTCCCCAGAAATCAGGAGGGCTTCCCAGGTTAGATGGGTAGAACACGGCAGAAGCCCAGCCCGTGTGAGAAGGAAACATCACAAAGGCTGCGACCACAGAGAAGCCCCTGTTCAAATCCCTGTGAGTCCTTAGCAAGTGACGTAATCCCTTCAAGCCTCAGTTTCCTCTCCTATAAAATGGAGATACTACTGTCTGCCTTTGGGGTTGTCGTGATGGTTAAATGAGATAATGTATATGAAGAGTCCAATCCAGTAAGAGCTTAGTGAAAAGCTACTCTGTGGACTAGGATGATACAGGAGGGAGGTGAGTGAGGATGGGACCCCGGGGGTAAGTGGGGGCCCAGGGCTTACCCTCTGTACTCCAGATCCCAGACCTCTCACAGCAGGGATACTTTCTCCCTGCAGAAGCAGATGCAGCCAGAGATAAGGGGGCTCCACAGGAATGCACTCTGCAAACGCACTCACATACTTTCTGATAGGATTCCTCCTACCTGGATGGAATTGACTCAGGAACCAGGTAAGCCACATCTGATGGTGGAGACAGCTTGTGGCTGTAGCTGGGAAGGGAGAAGAGAAAGAATAAGGGGGATGTTGTTGGGGGGGCGCTGGTGGAAGAAAGATATTTCCATTGACTCTGTAAGTAAGTAATTACTTGTGCACTTTCTACAGGCCAAGCCCTATAGATACCAGGGTGAACAAGACTGTCATGGTCTCTGTACCCTCAAAACTGAGCCCAGCAGGGGAGCCTAGTACGGGAGCAATGAAAGGGGAGCTTTGGGGCTGGGCACGGTGGCTTACGCCTGTAATCCCAGCACTTTGGGAAGCCAAGGCAGGCAGATCACTTGAGGTCAGGAGTTTGAGACTAGCCTGGACCAACATGGTGAAACCCCATCTCCACTAAAAATACAAAAGTTAGCCAGGCATGGTGGCATGCACCTGTAGTCCCAGCTACTGGGGAGGCTGAGGCAGGAGAATCACTTGAAGCCAGGAGGCAGAGGTTGCAGTGAGCCAAGATCAAGTCACTGCATTCCAGCCTGGGGGACAGAGTGAGACTCCATCTCAAAAAAAAATAATAAAAATAAAAATAAAAAAAATAATGAATGAAAGGGGAACTTTGGGGAGATGATTCAGTGACCACATTCTGGCTGGAATGAGGCAGGGCTCATGCAGGTGGGAATGTGTGCTGTGATCAGGTGAGACGGGGTGAAAGCAGCTGAGGATGTAGGCTGTGTCACCTAGTGGAGAGAGCACTGTGTGTCACCAGACAGACCCCACGTCATCGCAGCTCTACCTCTTACTAGCTATTTGGTTCTAGACAAGTTAGCTTTGGGGGACTTCAGTTCCCTCCTCTGTAAGATGAGACTGCTAGTACCTGCCTCACGGGGTTGTTGGTGACTATTAAATTAGGTGATAAATAGAAATCTGGCCTCTTAGTAAGTATTCAGCACATGAGGGCTATGGTTAATAAGAACATTAATCACAAGGAGAATCTAGGTGACCACTGGAAAGCATAAATGAGGACTTGGGAAATATTTTAGTTGATAACTGGGCAACTCTAATGTGTTGAGTATCTTTTGCGGGTATAGGAGAGGTTTGGACTGGAGCAGGGTGGGGAGTGGCTCCTCAAGAAGAAGGACCCCCAGGTCAGCTCAAGCAAGGGGATAAGGTTCAGCTGAGGAAGAAAGCACTTGCAGCCAGTGTCTAGGTTAAACATTTCCACCTTTACTTTCTCCAAGACGCGTCCCGGAAGGGCAGTCGGAAGGATGGCCTAGATCCCCAGAGCCAGCTTTGGGCTTGACCTGGCCAAACTCTGAGAGAAAGATCCTGGACCAAAAGTATAGTGTGAAAAGGAAATGGCTGCTCAATCACCATCTTTCTTTTTGTAGCCAGAACAAACTCTCAATAAACATGTTACCTTTGGCTTTTTAAAGTGGCAGTCCCATTGGAAGCAAAGGACTTACAAGACAAGGTCCTCGACAGGAACAAAAGAGTCACCCCCACCAACGCTCTTGCCAGAAATGAGCTGAAATTCTTGGAGAAGTCTCGGAGCCAAAATTCTCAGGGAGAAGTCCCAGAAGACTGCCCATCAGGCGAGGAAATGTAGGGAAAATGTAATGTGTAAAATGATGAGCTGGAGAACCATCAACGAGACTGCACTGAGCTATGTCTTAATGAGGCGAACTCCAAAGACGCTTTTCCTTTAATCTGGCATTTGAAACGAAACACTGCTAAGACGCCCCCACCTCACCCACCCCACCCTCATGCGTTGCCATGACTACTCAAGTTCTTAGACCATGAAAGAACAACCTCAGCATTTTCCTCTGCAACAAAAGAAAATTATTCCAGGTTTCTAGGTAAAGAACTCCAAGGAATGGGACCTGTTACTGGATAGCAGGTTCTTCAGAATTGCTAGGGATGAAATCTGAGCCTACAGGGACCACAGCTGTCTGAAAAGCCAGTGGAAGGAAACTGAGGGTGACAGGGCCCCCACTCTCACCCAAGCTCACACAGCCCATGCTCTGTCACCATGGCTGGTTCCCTCCCCTCAGCTGGACCTCATTTGCTCCTGCAATGAAGCAAGTTAAAAGAAAACACATCCCCTGTCCATATGGGAAGGGGCAGGGGGTGGGAGAGAGCAGGTCCCGGCTCAGTAGGTCCCAGGGTGGCAGCAAAAGGTGACTTCGCCTGCTCTCTAGTTTGGCGTGCTCTCGAGACAACCAAGGGAGGCCAACCTGTGGCATGGCTAGGAAGCCCCTCCAAGACCCCCTTGAAAGCCTGAGGTCCTGCTAATGAGGGCCAATCTAAGCTTTCTCCCAAATCCAGAAAGCAAAATCGAGGAAGCAACAGCTGGACAGGCAACCTGCTCCCTCACGCTCCCTCCTGAGCCTGAGCTTCAAGTGGAAACCCAGACACTGCTCTCGACGTCTCCCTTTCCTTCATCCTCCACATTCAATCCTTCATCGCCTTTTGAGACTACTTCCTAAACATTTCTCAAATCAATCCACCTCTTTCTCCATCGCCATTGTCTTGGTTCAGGCCTCACCATCTCTAGTCTGAAGTGTTCCTCCAGACCACGTCCACACTAGGGCGAGAGTGATCATTTCAGAACACAAATCTGATCAGGTCACCTCCTGCCAAAAATGCTTCAGTGGCTCCCATCGCCTTTGGGATAAATTTTCACATTCGTTAGAAAGACATGCAAGGCCTTTCATGATGGACGCCCCCATTCCTACTCACTCTACTCCAGACATAAAGAAAACATTTCCCCAACTTACACATTCTTGTGTAAGAATGGGGCCTTCACAAATTGTTCTCCTCTTCTTAGAAAGGCCTTCCCTGACCCAGCATGCTGGATATCTTCTGCTTACCACGCCAGATCCACTCTCCAGCCTGCTCTGTGCCCCAAAGTCTGCCCTGTATAGATCACATCAATCAGCTCCAGTGCCCTCTGGCTCCTGGTTGGGTTTGGCCAATGGGGACCACCAGCAAGAGTTTGGAAGACAGGAAAGAATGAGGTCAAGGCAATTGATTCCCTCCTTGTAAGGTTGCATCAGGCTGGCTGATTCCCTAGAGGGAAGCTGACCTGAATGACACGACTCTCCCTCTTTCCAGGGTACAGGCTGCCCCTCTCCCATGTCTTCTGGCCTAGGGGTGGAAACAGCTCTGCTGCCACTGACCCTGAGTTTCTGTACTATCTTGTGTTGTTCTCCCACACTCTGCCTAAACCTTTGCAAATAACCTCTTTGTGCATAAACCCTCATCAAATCATCCTAACTTAAGGGGGCCTGTTCCCTTTTAGGACCCTGACCAATGCACTCATCCTTTGCCTTTGCCAAATCATAGCCATTCCTTGGGACTACACTCAGGCATCCCCTCCTCCAGGAAAGCTTCCCTATTCACCCCAGGCTGGTTCAGCTGCCCTTCCCCGTGGGCTCCCAGAGCTTCTGTATGCTCCTGTTGCAGCTCTTCCCACACTACTGCAAAAGCCAGTCATTTGTACTAAATCTGAGTCTGCAGAGGGTGACTGAAGTTGAGTATCTTTTGTGGGTCTGAGGGGAAGGTTTGGAATGGGGTAGAGTGAGGAGTCTGGCTTCTGCTGAGGGATGGCCCCCCAAGTCACCTCCAGGAAGGGTATATGGTTTAGTTGAGGAAGAAAGCACCTGAGATCAGTGTGGGATGGGACAATGTGTCGTTGCTCATCCCTGCACCCCAGAATCTGGCACAAAGCAGGCCTTCAGAAAACATTTGCTGAGTGAAGGAAAGAAAAAGTTGTAGCTCAGAGTGAGACCCTGCCAGAGACCCACGGGGAAAAAGTGCAGCATCCCTTTGTGGTTGTCAGTTGTAGGAGCTGGTGTTCCTCAGACCAGGACACAGGGGGTCAGTCAGATCACAGACCAAAGGGCCAGAGGAAAGGCTGTTATTTGAAGAAGACCCCCGCCGGGAGCGGTGGCTCACACCTGTAATCCCAGCACTTTGGGAGGCCGAGGCAGGCGGATCATGAGGTCAGGAGATCGAGACCATCCTGGATAACACGGTGAAACCCCATCTCTACTAAAAATACAAAAAATTAGCCAGATGTGGTGGTGGGCACCTGTAGTCCCAGCTACTCGGGAGGCTGAGGCAGGAGAATGGCATGAACCCGGGAGGAGGAGCTTGCAGTGAGCCGAGATCGCACCACTGCACTCCAACCTGGGTGACAGAGCAAGACACTGTCTCAGAAAAAATAAAAAAATAAAAAATAATAAAAATAATACAATAAAAAAGACCCCCAACTCCAGGACATGAAAACCATGTCCGTGTGCATGGGGAGAGGGCAAGGGAGATGTGCTGATCGGTTTCAACAGCTGGGCTTCCTGAGGAAAAGGAGTGAACAGCCTCCCTCAGCCTGCGGGGACACAGTGGAAGTGTTCCTCCTTGTCCTTGAGCTGAGAGCCCTGCGAACCCCGGCATCAACCCCAGGGAAACTCACATAAGTTTGCTGAAATCAATTATTAAAAGCCCAGGGGCTCTTCCAAAGGACCCAGCAGTACTCTCCCCGATACGTTACCAAATCATTCATTCATTCTTTCAGCAAAATTTATGGGGATCTGCTCTTTGCAAAATTCTTCCCTTTTATTTATTCTGTTAAAATTCTATCCAAAAGGGAAAAGTCATTTTTTTCCTTCCAGTCAGTGTCCCCAGTGGACCCTGCAAGAAGCCTAGCAGGGGCCGGGCGCAGTGGCTCACGCCTGTAATCCCACCACTTCGGGAGGCCGAGGCGGGCGGATCACCCGAGGTCAGGAGTTCAAGACCAGGCTGGCCAACAGGGCGAAACCCCTTCTCTACTAAAAATACAAAAATTAGCCGGGTGTGGTGACGCGTGCCTGTAATCCCAGCTACTTAGGAGGCTGAGGTAGGAGAATCACTTGAACCTGGAAGGCAGAAGTTGCAGTGAGCCGAGATTGCGCCACTGTACTCCAGCCCGGGCAACAGAGTGAGAGTCCATCAAAAAAAAAAAAAAAAAAAAGGAAGGCTAACAGGGGCAGAGGGTGGGCTTCCAGGTAGAAAGGCCCTGCGGCACCTGGACAAATCATGGAAGATTGGGCAGACATGGTGGGTGGAAGGTGGAATAGTGAACTGGTATAGCAAGAGGGCTCTAGAGCTCTAGCTCCCCGCTTTTCTAGATATGTGGCCTTAGGCAAGTTACCTCATGTCTCTGTTACTCGGCTTCCTCCAATGCAGAATGGTGATCATAATAGGACCTAGTGAAATGAATTTGCTGTGAAAATGAGATAAAATCAAATATTCTCCATGAGGTCACCTAGAGCAGTGGGTCCCAAACCCTATCAGACCCAGTGCTCCCGTTTTTACATCAAATATTTTGTAAGTCCACCTTGACTATTCCGAAATGAAATTTATAGATGATACAACCCACCTATGCAGATATTTTTTAGAAAATCAATATACCACCCTAACTATAAGATAATGAACAAAAAGGAAAATAACTCAGAATAAACGAATACACATTGTGATCTAGAAATGCCTGGGCATAACTACACTAGAAGAGATAATGTAGTCAAAGGATTGCACTTATTTGTAATAAATGAGTTTGAATGTAAGAGAGGTAAAATAATATTTACTGGAACATTATGGGTACTTCTTTATATTTGGTGTTCTGAAACAAGACTAAATAAGTATTATACAGTCATACAGATATGTAGAATCATTACTCATTTATAAATGCAGATGAATAGAGGTGTGTTGTTTTGACAACTCAAATACTATGAACATATTACTGTTGGTATTGTGGTTTTCTGAAATGGTAAACAACTCCTGGGAAAGATAAAATACAGTGTTCTTTCCATTTATATGATGGTAGCATTCATTAAAAATTCAGTGAATATTAAAATTTTACCACAGGGCCGGGCGCGGTGGCTCACACCTATAATCCCAGCACTTTGGGAGGCCCAGTCGGGCGGATCACTTAAGGTCAGGAGTTCAAGGCCAGCCTGGCCAACATGGTGAAACAAAAATACAAAAAAATTAGCTGGGCGTGGTGGCAGGCATATGTAATCCCAGCTACTAGGGAGGCTGAGGCAGGAGAATGGCTTGAACCCAGCAGGTGGAGGTTGAGGTGACCAGAGATCATGCCACTGCACTCCAGCCTGGGCGACAGCGAGTCTCTGTCTCAAAAAATAAATAAATAAATAAACAAAATTGTACAAAAGTACTTTGTGTTTATATACAAATTAGAATTAGGTTCTAGGCTCAGACCAATATGAAGAGGTTTTCTACCTACATGAGTATCTGGTGGGGCATTCAAATGTCAGGAGACGTGCGGGAGAAATCTTCATCATACAAGACTGCCTTGCCTAGGGCAGGGAGTCTGGCTGCCCTCTGACTCCACCTCAGTAGTGCCCCCAACCAATGTAACAAACACCACACGTTTCTAAAGTGCCTCTAGGGGGCAGCACTATCCCCATTGACGATTAGTGGGCCAGAGTTTATGGGGTTATCCAATAGGTAGCCTACCAAGGAATGCAGGATGACAGGCATACAATCTCCAGAAATGCAGAGCAGACAGTCAGCGTTAGGGAACTCTATCAGCACTTCACATTCCGACTCTGCTGTTTTGCTGTGTTCTGCTACGTTTTTGTTTGGTAGGGGCCATAGGGCAAGGCCATTCCCCAGTGGACAGCGGATGAGATCTCTCCTGAAGAGAGTGAAGAAGAAATCAGCACCAAAACAGACAGAGCTGTCGCACAGACTTCCAAGTTAAAAAAAAAAAAAAAGTCTCTCCAAACTGATACACCCTTGTATTTTTCTTCCCTGGACGATTATTGGGAGCTCTTTGAAAAGAATATCATCAGCATTCTTTGCAAATAACCCTCAGTTTGCTCACCTCTTGCTCCACTGTGAACATCACAGAGTATTTCACAAGGTTGTAACATTTCGCCTCTCAACTGAATGTATCTAAAGAAAAGCCACTGTCTTTTGCGGATATAAAACCGCACTTCTAGCAAGACTGGTCAAGGCACTGGGGTGAGGTAGTAAGCTAGTGTTTGCCCACCCCATTCCTTCTTGATGCAGCCTTAATGATCAAAAAACCTCACTTGAATCTGAGGTTTATTTACCACCAAAAGGAGCAATCATTTCTAATCATCCCAGGAAGAGACAGATCCTCAAACAGAACTCTGGGATTCAGATGGTGGCACCAGACCCAAGGGGAACTCTCATTTCCTTCTCAGCTTCATTCTTTATTTAGTGGGTCCATCTGAACTTTCAAGAGCACAGCTGTCCCAGCTTCTGCCCCGAGGCCAGGGCTGGTGCCATGGCACTGACCACGCGGAGGCAGCCCCCACACTGGTGAAGGCAGGCCCTGAGCCCTCACAATCAAGTCGTATCTTGTAAACCAGATTTTATAGGCTCATGTTACTCTCTCTGTTTATTTCTGTTGTTCTCCCCAACCTGTGGTAAAGGCTGGTCTGAGGAATCCAGCCTGGTCTCAGCTACCCTGTGTGTGTTGAAGGGTGGGGATGATGGGTGAGAAATCTCAAGGGGAAATTCTAGTCACTCCTCTCCACACAGAGACTCTCCCTTTATTGCTAAGCTTGCAGGAATGGGCTTTAATTCATTAGAAAAGGTGGCGACTTTTCCTCCACAGGATCTGGTGGAGCCAGGGAGGCCCTAGTTTTAGATGAACCAGGTAAGACACCAGGAAGGGGTCTCAAGCCCATGGGCTAAGCCCCCTGGCAGGTTATTAGAATTTGAGAATAGCATGAAGGCTGACTTGGTAGCAAGGAGCTGTGATGTTGGTGCCCAATTTGTAGGCTGCAGGGAGCACATTTTGTATCTATTTGCCAGGAGACAAAGTGGGCCCACCAATAGTTGATGGGGGTAAGTGTACCTTTCAGAGATAGTGGCTCCGTCCACAGATAGAATGGATCCAGCAAAGTTGGGAACCAAGCAGGCTGGACACATGTCACCTACTGTATCAGTCCATTTTCACCCTGATAATAAAGACATACCTGAGACTGGGTAATGTATAAAGAAAAAGAGACTCACAGTTCCATATAGCTGGGGAGGCCTCACAGTCATGGCGGAAGGTAAAAGGCACATCTTACGTGGTGGCAGGCAAGAGAGAATGAGAGCCAAATGGAAGAGGAAACCCCTTATAAAAGCATCAGATCTCATGAGACTGATTCACTACCATGAGACCCGTATGGGGGAAACCTCCCCCATGATTCAGTTATCTCCCACTGGGTTCCTCCCACAACACATGGGAATTATGGGAGCCACAATTCAAGTTGAGATTTGGGTGGGGACACAGCCAAACTATATCACCTACATACGTTTTTGAGGACAGAGAAGGAGCCAAGAGAAAAAGAGAACAAATACGCAAATAAACAAAATAGAAATAAAAACTAAAGGTGTTTTCTCAAGATTTATTTCTCATTATCTTCCACTCTCCTCAGGAGTCAAAGTCAGCATGGTCCCAGGAAGCCCCTAGAGGCAGGGGAAGCTGCATCAGGACGGGGACTAAAACAGCTCCATCTTAAAGAGAAACTGACATCATCTCCGAAAGCCCTGAGGAACGTGCTCTTACACAGACCTGAGTGTTGGGGCCGCTCACTTTAGCAAGCACAGCAGCAGCCTAAACATCGCTGACACCTCCACCATCTGGCCTTTGGCTCCACAGAGCTGCTACCCCAACTTGGGGCACACTTTGGGAGAGAACCAGAGGGAAAAACCTCTCAGTAGTAAATGTGGATCTCACAAAGCCTGTGCGCGCGAGCAATGGTTCTCAGCCCTGCGTGCACTTTAGAATCACCCGCGGAGTTTTTAAACACCCCCATGCCTGGACCCCACCACCAGAGGTTCTGATTTAATTGATCTGGAGTAGGACCCAGGCATGGATATGTTTTCAAAGCTCCCCAGGTGATTCTAATGTACAGCCAGAGATGAGAACCACCACGTTATACAATAGGAGAGGCCCTCAGGCTCTCACTCAGATCCCAGTTACTCTTAATTTATATATACTTCGAACAATCCTGTTGTCTGGTTTTCTAGCTGTTATAAGATTAAAAGCAGTGCTTTTAGAAGGGGAGAGAAAGGCTGTTAATGAAAAGACACTAAAAGCAGCAAGACAGAACACATGGAAGTCTGATCACAGGGTAAAGATAGAAAACCTATAAAAAGCAAGCACAGCATCCAACCTCTCCCCACTCCAGCATATCCTATTTACAGTCAAGGCCTGAGGGCTCACTTGATGGGGAGGAGGGAGCATGATGGCTGCAGTGTGAAGGGCAAGTGATAAATATTGACTGTCCGTGATGTGAAAGGCGTGTGTAGACAGTTGCTACAAACGTTAGCTCATTTAATTCTCATTACAGCCCTGTAAGTATTATTATCCCATTTTATAGGTGAAGATACCAAGACACAGGGAGGATCCTTGGTTTGCTCAAAGTTGCACCAGCAGTGAGCTGCAAAGCTGGATTTGAATGTCAAATGTCAATCCGTTTGATTCAAAAGCTCACATCTGTTAGAAAGTGCCACATCTGCCTGTTAAGCTGATATTTCTGCCTGTTAAGCTGGTATTTCTAATGATGACCCAAAGTCTAGAGCTGCGTTACCTTCAGTGTCCAGCTGTTCAAGATGTTCACTTTAGGAATAGTTACACACACACACACACACACACACACACACACACACACACAAATACGTGCTTTTTAACAGTGATGAAAGAATTGAGTACCCATCTGGGAAATAAATAAATAAATAAATAATACACGTTATTTCCCAGCTCACGCCATTTGTCAAAATGAATACCAGATGGATAAAGAAGGAAATGAAATCATAAAGGTACTAGAAGAAAATATGAGTGAATATTTTATAATCTTAGGATGGGGAAGGACTTTCTAAACATGTCAACAAAAGTAGAAACCATAGAGGAAAAGATTAATAGATTTGACTACAAAAAAAATCAAAAACTTCTGTACATCAAAACCCACCATAAATTGAAACAATATTCAGCCTCACTAACATTCAAAGGAAAGAAAATTAAAACGGCAATAAGAGACCTTTTTTTGCTGATCAGATTGGCAATGATTAAAAAGAATTATCATACTGAAGAGCTGGCGCGGGTGGGGGAATTTGCACTCACTCACGGTTGGAGGGGGTGTAAACTGGTATAAAGGCATTTTGGCAATATGTATGAAAAAAGCCTAAGAAGGCACATATCTTTGACCCAGAAATTCCATGTATAAAAATGGAAAGGACAGGATTGATTCACTATACACACAAATGCATATGTGCAAGGATTTTATTCACTGATACACTGTTTGGAATATTGAAAAACCGGAAGCAACCTGAAAGTTTAACAAAAATAAATTAGTCAAATAAATTATGCTACACATAAAAAGCAATACTATATAGCTATCAAAAATGGTGCTGTATAGACAGACCGATGGAACAGACTAGAAAGCACAGAAACAGACCCAAGGAAATATGAGAATTTGGTCTTTGAAAAATATCAAATCAGTGAGACAAAGATAGATTTTTAAATAAATCGTATTTGGCTAACTGGAAAAAGATAGAAGCTGGATCAATATTTCTCACAGTACGCCAGGATAAATTTCAGCTGGACCAGAGATATAAATGTGGAAAATAAAACCATAAAATTGCCAGAATAATAATAGAACTCTTTTATAATCTTGGAGCAGTGAAGACCTTTCTGATTCAAAAATCAAGAAGTCATGAAATAAAAGACTGAAAAATACATCTACATAAAAATCTTAAAACTCCTGCATGGCAAAAACCCCATGAGCAAAGTAGAAAAATAAATGGTTAACTGAAAAAAAAATTACAACTCATTTCACAAAAGGCTAATCACTCTAATACATATTTGTTTCTATAAATCAAAACCAATATCCCAATAAAAAGGTACCCATTTTCAGAAAAAAAACACAAATGGCTTTTAAGCATATGAAAGAATGTTCAACCTCATCTATAATAACAGGAGAGCAAATTATATAGGAATTGCAATGATATACTCACTTTTCACCTATCAGATTTGCACATATCCAAAATATACTCACTCGCTAATGTTGTAGGGAAACAGATACCCTCATTCTTTGCTGGCAGGAGTGCAACATGGTACACCCTTATGAAGGGCAATTTGGTATTTTCTATTGATGTTACTGCTAATCTATTTTCCCCTTGATTCATCAGTCCTACTCTCAGAATTTTTCCTGCAAATATATTTGCATATGGACAGAAATGACATATGTACATATTATAGAATTAAGTATAATAGCAGACTATCAGAAATATTTCAAATGTCCAATTATATGGGTTGGTTAGATATTATGATCCATCCATACCATGAAATACCAGGAAGCTCTCTATATACTGATATGAGAAGTCTCCACTACATGCCATGAAATTTTTTTGGTTATATATGTTTTTGTTTTGTTTTGTTTTGTTTTTTTGAGACAGAGTCTCGCTCTGTCTCCCAGGCTGGAGTACAGTGACCCAATCTCGGCTCACTGCAAGCTCCGCCTCCCATGTTCATGCCATTCTCCTGTCTCAGCCTCCCAAGTAGCTGGGACTACAGGTGTCTGCCACCAGGCCCAGCTAATTTTTTGTATTTTTAGTAAAGACGGGGTTTCACCATGTTAGCCAGGATGGTCTCGATCTCCTGACCTCATGATCCGGCCGCCTCGGCCTCCCAAAGTGCTGAGATTACAGGCGTGAGCCACTGTGTCCGGCCTTGTTTTGTTTTTTTAAGGAAGGTGCCAGAGGGGAGGGATGAACAGGTGGAAACGGGGGATTTTTAGGGCAGTGAAAATACTCTGTATGATTCTATAGTGGTGGATATATGTCATGATACATTTGTCCAAACTCACAGAATAAAAAACACCAAGAGTGAACCCTAATGTAAAATATGGTCTTTGGTGATAATGACGCCAATGTAGGTTTATCAACTGTAACAAATGTATTAATTGTATATTAATCCCCCACCAGTTGATACATTTGTTACAATTGACACATTTAACAAATGTAATACATTTGTTACAAAAGTTGACACATTTTTTACAATCAATACATTTAACAAACGTATTACAACTGATACATTATTATTTATTATACATTTGTTAATACATTTAACAAATGTATTACATTTGTTACAATTAATACATTTAACAAATGTATTAACATTGATACATCATTATTTATTATACATTTATTATTGTTACAATTGATACTTTTTAACAAATGTATCAATTGTAACAAATGTATCAACTGGTGGGGGATGTTGATAAGTGAAGGAGGCTATGCATGTGTGCAGACAGGATACATATGGGAAGTCTCTGAATCTTGCTCTCAATTTTGCTGTGAAACTAAAACTGCTAAAAAGTAATAGTCTCTACAAAAAACAAAAACAAAAAAAGTAAGGGGCCCAATAGCGTATACAGTGTGTTATCTTCCGTGTAAGAAAGGATAGGGAATATATATTTGCATTTGCTTGTAACTAGGAAAAGCAGTGACCTATGGGAAGGGAAGGCAGAGAACCAAGTGAATGGGGATGTGTGGGAACGTATGCTTTTTAATGTTGTTTTGATTTTTGAACTGTGTAAAAGCATTTTCTATTTTTAAAATAAAATTAATACATAATGGTACAGGTTCATTTGTGTTGACATAGAAAGATTTTCAAAATCAATTTAGTGCATAAAGTAGGTCACAATTATATGTAGAATAATCCCAATTTTAAAAAATATATCATACTTATATGGTCCTACTCATCTATATTGGGAAATAGGAAAGACTAGAAAGATACAGTCTAAAATATTAGTAGTGGTTATCTTTAGTTGGTGGGATTTAGGGTTATTTCATTTTAATTATTTTTCCTTTTATCTGTATTTTCTAATGTTAATACAAATTATGTTTTATTTTTATAATTATGAAAATAAAGAGGAAAAAACTTATCTCAAACAAGTCCCAAGGAAAAATGAATAATCCAGGAAAGATATTTGCAACATGACAAAAAATTTCATATCTTTACTATTTAAAGAACTCCTGCAAAAAATAAGAAAAAGAAGAACGGTCCAGGAAAAACTCAAATAAACAACAGGATGAGTGTTAGACACTTATACAATGTATTATTAGAAAGCAGTAAAATGATAATATTGAACACTATTTAATGACAAGGATGGTCATTATCTATTAAGAAAAAGCAGGCTAGAAAATAGTATTGTTTTAATAAAAATATATTTATACCAGACTTACAGACTTTATTCAATGTATCTATTTATGTATAGATATAAACACATGCACACAATTAAATCTGTGAGGGTAGGCACTGAAAGGTATATAGCTATGATTTCTGAATGGTAACATTTCAGGTGTTTAATTTTTTTCTTGCCTTAACTTACATTTTTCAGCAATAAAATGATTACTTGTATAAGAGAAAATATTTATAATATTGCTGTGTGAAAAATTTTGCCACAAATAAGTTCCTCACATTGTATTTAAGAATGAAAAACTGAAAACAAACTAAATCTATAACAATAGGCATTAAAGGTGACATGGCATCCATGGGCAACTTCAGTCACAAATAATTACCTTATAGGAAAATATTAATTAGAGTGAAAGTTTCAAGGTATGTGAAGAAATATATGTTATTCATATACAAAGCCACAGTATACATGCAGTGTACACAAAATGACTCCATTAAAAAATAAAATTGTATGTGCTTAGAAAAATTGGAGGAGGACACCCACCAATGTATTTGTTTACTGTAGTTACCCCTGCATGGTGGAATTATAGGTGTTTTTCTGTTTTTGTTTTTTTCTTTTTGATGGTCAAGATTTTCTCAGTTTTCTACAATAAATAGTATCTTCTAAAAATTAGGAAAAAAAAGCACTAAGTTATTTCGTAATGCTTTAAAAGCAAAGATGATTCAAGAAACAAATTACGAACTACATAAGAACTGGCTCCTCCAGAAAGACCCATATGAGTTAGGGATTTTGACTAATTGAGGTGGGCTATCTCCATCTACTGATGACAAGCAGAAGTCAAGCACGACCTTGGTCCTCAGCTGGGATGCTTATCCCCCCTTCCTCCTTCCCTTGAGTCTCTCTTGACCATAAGGTGTTGGCCACCACACTAGGTAAAACAAAACTGCCCACCAGTGTGTGAAGGCTGGATGCAGCAACAAGGCAGTGGTCCTCAAGAATCGCTGGTCCAGCCACTCACCTTCCAGCAGGTAAGTTAACAGACCTGTTGGGCCAGAAGGTGGTTGGAGGGCAGCATCGTTGATGAAGAGGCCAGGGCACGAAGGTTATCTGCAAAACTTGTTCCTGGCCCAGAACCTCCTTTCACTGCTTCTGCTACAACCTCCTTGGCCATCTTAGTGTTACTGCCGAGTTTGTTAAAAGAAAGGAGCTGCCGGGCTTGGTGGCTCATGCTTCTAATCCCAGCACTTTGGGAGGCTGAGATAGGCAGATCACCTGAGGTCACGAGTTTAAGACCAGCCTGACCAATATGGCGAAACCTCGTCTCTACTAAAAATACAAAAATTAGTTGGGCATGGTGGCACACGCCTGTAGTCCCAGCTACTTGGGAGGCTGAGGCAGGAGAATCACTTGAACCCAGGAGGTGGAGGTTGCAGTGAGCTGAGATGGTGCCATTGCACTCCAGTCTGGGCGACAAGAGTGAAACTCCATCTCCAAACATAATAAAATAAAATAAAGGAGCAGCTACAAGGTGGGTGTCTCTCAGGCAGCCCCCTCCAAAAGTGCCAGGGCAAAGAGGTGAGCTCTGAGACCCAGGCAGCCCCCAGGCCCTTTATGTCTCTGGAGAGTTTATTGCAACAGCCTCCTAACTGGCCTCTTGCCCTCAATCCCCGCCCTGCCCAAACTATCTTCCAGGCCCCTGCCTCCCATCTTGAAATACAGCTATCGATTTTATTCCTGGGATCAAAACAGTTTGTGTAAAATCAGCGCTTCTCAATCTTTACCACTGAAGCGCACCAACAGTAGACAAAAGAAATGCCTTATGCTCCCCCAGGGTGCTGCAGAGCCTGAAGCTCCTGCCAGCACACCCAAACTCTCTTTGAAGTCTCCTGTTTTCTCTTAAAAATTCATGAGAATTTTGCATTCTACTCCATGATATATCTGAATTTCTTTTAATATGAAGATGTTTAAAATTATTCACCTCAAGGAAAACTGATGTTCCCGAAAGAAATACTGTATTTATCTGGAGGCTTCAAGTATCCTCCTTGGAGAATTATCTACAGGATAAAGTCCAAACTCCTGACAAGCAAGGCTCTTTAAAATTTGGCCTTCACAAACCTTTCTGCTTTTCTCCTCCTCCACCTCTGCACACACTCCAGTGTCTGGGCCACCTGGACTCTTGTCATTTCCTGATATGCCAGCTTCTTCCCAGTCCCTGTGTGTGTTTTTGCTTCCTTTGGGACCACACTCCCTGCCTGTTGACAACCCACTATTCCTAAAGGCCTCAAGGGGGATCAAACACCACCTCTCACAGGAAACCTCTGATCGCCCAAGACAGATACGATGTGAGAGATGCCGTGAAAATAGCCTGTGTTTTGGAATCAGAAGGCTGGTGTTCATCCTGTCTCCAACTATTGACAGTGGAAACATTACCTAACTTCTCTCAGATTTCATTTGTAAAATGGGGAATAGTTATGCTTCCCTCAAAGGGCTGTTCTAGGGATTAAATAAGGTTCAAGCAATTTTGCAGTGCCCAGCGTATACTCCCTTCCACCCCTCCAAATTCCCACAACACTTTATTGATACCACTGATGTCAAGAGCAGACATTTACGTAGTCGTTCTTTTTACAACAGCTTATTTCCCCTAACTAGATCAGTGGTTCCCAATGTCCCAAAAAGCTTCTTGTATTACCCCCATGGTCCCACAGCTTGAAAGATTTTGGTTATTAAATCAAACACATTTATGAAATAATAGCCTGCTTTTCTCAGTTCTTGATCCTAGTAAGCTTTCTGAACATTGAGAGCGCTGCCAGCCTTTCCTCTCATACCTAACTCTAGGGACTTGGAGTTGGGAGCCACCCACCAAGATCATAAACGCCTTGAATCTGCAGCCCTGTCTCCACACTTCCCATAGCACCTTACTCAGCGCCTTGTGCTTAAAACACACCTAGTAACTGCTTGTGGCATAAACAAGAAGTTTCACACACATGACAGAGGGAGAAGCCCTCTCCAAATGAGCTGGTTGGTGTGCAGAAAGGGGTCATTGTTAAAGGAGGCAGAGCTGGAGGCGAGCCCTTCTCCCTCCATCCACCCGGAGCAGCACCCCCAATTACACCAGCTGGCCTCCAACTTCTGTGTGTGAGCCGATTAAAAAGCACCCTCTCTTCAGTGTCTGGAAACTCCTGCAAGGAAAGTTTGCTGCCCAAAGTTGGCTTTTGACTAGAGTCTTAATAAGAGGCCTCAGCAGGCTGTGGTTAGAGAGACAATGTCACTTAGAGGAGCAGCTTGAAGCGGCAGTTAGGAGAAGAATTATTTTAATGAATACATTTCCTTTCAATTGTATGGGAATATCAAGATCCCATTAGAATGGGGAAGCAATTAGAACTAATAAAGATGAATGCACAGTGCTCTGTGCGTGCGGAATAACAAGCAGCCCACAAAGGGGCTCCAGAGAGGCCGCTGTAATCCAAGCAAACTGGCGGCCAGCAGAGGGGAAACGGCTCTGTTCAGCCGCTCAAAGCCCCTGCGTCCTGCACATTCTGATCACGGCCTGCGAATGGCGTGAGGTGGGCCTTCGAGGTGGGGGTTGGGCCCCCCGCCCTTGCCCAGCCTCTTGGGGATTGAGATGGGCTGTTGGCAGCCCCTTGGCAACAGCCATTCAGACCAGGGCCCTGGCTCCTGGCCAGGCTCTCGCCCGCCCCTTGCACTGGGCCTCATTGTGTCCAGGTGGCAAATGCCTTCTCGCCAACTCTCCTTCGAGGTTTAGAGAGGGGGTGGGACAGTGGAAGAGGGAGAAGGGGATGAATGAGTAGGGGGCCCTCTGCCCCCTGCCATTCCCCCTCCCCCGCTGGCCAGGGTCTGCTCCTCCTCTGGGTTTGGTGTTATATTACAGACACTGGTGAGTCACTGGCAGCCAAACACAGAAGTACTGTTGCTTACACAATTACTCTTCAAAAAGTAACAAACAATTTTCATTACCCAAGTCAGATCGAATCATTCGCCTGGCCATCCTGCCTCAATCCCAGCCCCATAGACGGGACCCAAAGCCTCACACTCTGCCCATTCTGCTCTGACAAAACCAGCTTCAATTTGTCCCGGCCTAGGGATAGGGACAGAGCTCTTCCTCTGATCCCTGTTTGGAGCCAGATCAGCTGCACGGCTGTCAAGACTGTCAGGAGAAATAGGGAAGACACAAGCACCCACGCAGCCTGGAGACCATCAGATCTGGGGTGACATGTTACTGAGCACCTGTGTGAAGAAGGCATTCAAGAGTTTGGAGGACTCTATTGCCAAGTTTAGAAGGAATCCAACAAGATAACCCTGGCTCTGCACCAAAGTATTCACTGGCCTCAAATGGAGTGTCAGTACTTGACATTTCTTTATTTAATCTTTTTTGGCCAGACAGTTTTTTCAATGAGGAATGTGTAAGCTATTCCGAAATGTCTGTCTAAGAGGCCAGTCACCCTCATTACTGGGATTTTTCCACCATATCTCTTTTAGAAAAGGGTCTGTAACATTTTATATTTATTTCTTAATGGTGGAGCACTTTAAACGCATATTTACATGTATAATCTTGATTGAACTTCAAAATAACTCTGTAAGGATGGGCAAAGCAAGGGTTGTTGGGGCCTAAAGATGAGGAAAAGGTGGCTCAGAGAGGTTCAGCACCCTGTGCAAGGTCACAGAATGGGCGAGTACTGACCTGGTTCAGCACTTTGTCCCAGGAAACCTCCTCCGCGTCTCCACAGAGTGCTGGGCATTTCAGGACAGCTCAGCTGCAATTCTGCTTTTCCAGTGGAACATCCTTCTCTCTTCCACGTATGAAACTTTACGAAGCACTGTGGGCTTTTGAAGACTCTAGTCTAGGCTAAGAAGGATCCTCTCTCAAGAAGATTCCAACCCAATAGTCATTAAAGCATATGTTTCGTCATCTCCCAAACCAAAGGCATATATCTTTTGTCCCTTTTAAAAGTTTAGGTAAGGAATGTGTTAAAAGTCTGCCTGTTGCCGGAAATGGTGGCTCATGCCGGTAATCCCAGCACTTTGGGAGGCCGAGGCAGGCGGATCACGAGGTCAGGAGATCGTGACCATCCTGGCTAACACGGTGAAACCCCATCTCTACTAAAAAAAAAAATACAAAAAATTAGCTGCATGGTGGCAGACGCCTGTAGTCCCAGCTACTCGGGAGGCTGAGGCAGGAGAATGGCGTGAACGTGGGAGACGGAGCTTGCAGTGAGCCGAGATGCGCCACTGCACTCCAGCCTGGGCGACAGAGTGAGACTTCGTCTCAAAAAAAAAAAAAAAAAAAAAAAAAAATTCTGTGTGTCCGGTTACATGGTGGACATAACAAAAAAAAAAATGGGAAAAATTATTGTTTGCATTCCTTCCACTGTAACATGGTAACATCTAGCGATCGGCAAGTGGTAATGCAGAGTCCATTCACCTTTCTTACTCCTCGCCTCCTCCCATACCTAAAGGGCTGTTCATTTTTTAAAATCCTTTTTTATTTTTATAAATTTTGAGGTATGATTCATACACTATGAAATGCATACCTGGCTGGGCATGGTGGCTTACACCTGTAATCCCAGCATTTTGGGAGGCTGAGGCAGGCAGATCACTTGAGGTCAGGAGTTTGAGACCAGCTTGGCCAACATGGTGAAACCCCGTCTCTGTTAAAAATACAAAAATCAGCCAGGTGTGGTGGCAGGTGCCTGTAATCCCAGCTACTTGGAAGGCTGAGGCAAGAGAAGCACTTGAACCTGGAGGCAAGGGTTGCAGTGGCAGGGGTTGCAGTGAGCTGAGATTGTGCCATTGCACCACTCCAGCCTGGGTAACAGAGTGAGACCCTGTCGCAAAGAAAAGAAAAGAAAAGAAAAGAAATGCATAGCTATTAAGCGTACAGTTTCACAAGTTTTGACAAATGTATACCTACATCCAAATCAAGACACAGAACGTTGCCATCACCACTGAAAGTTCCTGGATACCCCTTTCCAGTCAACACCACCCCAGGCCTCCACTGTCCTAATTTCTATCACCATAGATTAGCTTATCCTGCCTCGAACATCAGATAAATGGAATCATATTATACGTATAATCTTTTGTATCTTTCATCTGTCACTCAACATATCTGCCAGACTCATTCACATTGTGTCAGTAGTTTGTTCCTTCTTATGAGTAGTATCGTCATTTATTCAGTTCTTAAAATCCAGCCCTATTACCACAGATTTGTCCCTCAAAATTCTTTTCATTTAATATATCTTCTGCATGCTCCTTTCCGTGCATGTATCTCCTGCATATCTCCCTGGCAATCCTTGTAGTGAGGAAAATATGTAAGTGGACTATTTTATCTCTAGCACTGTCCTTTTAGGTATGGGTGGCTCTCTCTACCTTCAGGAAAAACAGATAACCAGGCAGTCTTGCTTCAGAGTTTACAGATCTGGGTTTTCATTTCTTGTCTAGCACTTAACAGATGGGTGGTTCAGGGCAGGTGATTTAACCTCTCTGTGACTGTTTTCCCATTTGTAAATGTGGATAATAATACCTTCTTAATAGGGATTTGTGAGGACAAAATTATATTGTACATAGAATGTTTGGCACAATGAAAACTAATAATAGCCTCAAGCTAGGCTATAATAAACATCCTCTCCTGCTTCATTCACATACTTCCAGGTTTGTAAGTCATATGATACAAGTGGGTATAAATTTTCAAAAGTTTTTAAAAGGAAGATTTCATATTTAGATTTAGAAAAGTCTATCAGATATTTACTTAAAATAAGTAACTGTTATTTCCTAGGGAAAAAAGTAAAGCCTTCTGTCATTTATTCATTGGCAATTATATATCGAGTATTGACTAAGAGAAGCTCTTCAAAAGAGTTAAAAACATAGCCCTAGCTTTTAGGATGTTTGGTTTGGGGAGGGTAATAAGATAAGCACAACAAATTATAATACAAAATATAGTAAATGATAATAATAATAATTAACATCTATGAATGTAGTGGTTAAGAGCACAGTCTCTGGAGTCATACTATATGGGTTCACATCCCAGCTGTGTGATGTTGGGCAAGTTACTTAACCTCCTTGTGTGTAACCTCACCTGGAAAATGGGGCTAATACCACTTACCTAGCAGGGCTACAGTATCAGAAAAAAGTGGCCCAGGGTGTTTGAGCATCCTGTACAAGGTCACAGAATGGGTGAGTACTGACCCGGTTCAGTGCTATGTCCCAGGACACCTCCTCCGCATCTCCACAGAGTGCTAGGCATTCCAGGACAGTTCATCTTGCAATTCTAATATTGTATATTGCATATAAAAATATGCATTAATTAACAGCTAACATGTATTGAATATCAATATGTGCCAAGCACTGTGTTAAATGCTTATGTGCATTACTTCACATAATCTCCACAATGCTGTTACTACTATTATACTCATTTTACTGATAAGGTAACAGAAGGGCAGAAGTTTAGGTAACTTGCCCAAGATTACATAGCTAGTAAGTAGCAAACTGTGTCACAGAAAAGATACAATCATCTATAAAATGGGGATGATGGTATTAGTACCTACATTAGTGAGAATCTGATGAATTAATATTTGAAAAGTGATTAGAACGGAGCCTGGCACCTAATAAAGCCTATATATGTGGATGTTAACAATTGCTAAGGTGATTCAGAGATGACAGTAAATAACTTCTATGCGTGGTGACTAAGGAAGGCTTGGGAAGGTGATGTTTAAACTGGGCCCTGAATAGTGGACAGGATTTGGAGAAATGGAGGTGATAGAGAGGGCATTTCTGACAGGGAAGGAAGGGAGGGAGGGAGGGAAGAAGGAAGGAAGGAAGGAAGGAAAGAAGGAAGGAAGGAAGGAAGGAAAGAAGGAAGGAAGGAAGGCAGGAAGGGAAGGAGGGAAGGGAGGGAGGAAGGAAGGAAGGAGGGAAGGAAAGAAGGAAGGAAGGAGCAAGAAGCAGAAGAAAGCTCAGAGTGTGTAAAAAGAGAAAAAGAAAAGAAATACATGGGAGTAGTCAAATTTGACTTGCGCAAAAAAAAAAAAAAAAAAGAACAAACTTCCCCTTTCTTCCAACCAGTCCCTATTCCTGCTGTACTTCTCAGTATTTTCCTCTTATCCCCATGGAATCTGCTGTCCTTACTCCCTCATCATAATGATCCATTGAATATTTATTGAGTTCCTCTCCGTGTCAGGCACTGCTCTAGGCACCGAGGATACAACCCAGTAAATAGGCCGGGTCCCAGTTCCTAGTTTGCACTATAATAATCCTCCAAACTGGATTCTAGCTTTTAGCCGGCCGAACTCCAATCTATCTTCCACAATACCGCCAGAACCGAAGACACAGATCTGGTCTGGACACTCACTTGCTTAAATCCCGCTGCAGTATTTTCTCTTTACGTCCAGAATAAATTTCAGTCTCCCTAGCATCCTTTACTAATTGGTTCGCACAGTCTTACCTCGCAGCCTTCACCGTGCACTCTGCACAAGAGCCCCGGTAAAGCACTGAAAATCCCAGATACACACACTCACAAATAGGCACTTGCAGAAAGAACGTGGGGGGCACTCCATCCCTATTTCATCTCTTGTACACCGAAACATTCCCCAGTCTGCATGCCTTGGATGGGAGAGTCCTGGTTACATTCCCCCGCCCCCGACTTTTCAAGCCTAAAATCCGTCACAGGGCGCACCCCCGTCCCCACCCTCCAGGGCATTTCCACTTATAGCAGCCTGGGCACACCCCCAACCCAGAAGGGACCGGAAAAGGAGGGGCTGCGCGCGGCACTAGGGTCGCCGTCCTGGCTGAGGTGGCCGGAAGTGGCCCCTCGCGCGGGCGCGGACTGAGGCTGCGCGCCGCAGGTTCCGGCTGCTGGCGGCGTTGCGGCCGCAGGTTTGACTCCCGTGCGGTGCGGCCCAGCAGCCACAAAGCTCCCGCTGCCATTGCTCCTTGTACTCCCGCCGTCACTGCCGCTGTCCAACCCCTCCCCCGGGGCTTGCGCGGCGGCTCCCACACCCCTCGGCCCGTGTACGCGCTCTGCACCTGCCTGCCCGAAAACATGTTGCAGACACCAGAGAGCAGGGGGCTCCCGGTCCCGCAGGCCGAGGGGGAGAAGGATGGCGGCCATGATGGTGAGACCCGGGCCCCGACCGCCTCGCAGGAGCGCCCCAAGGAGGAGCTTGGCGCCGGGAGGGAGGAGGGGGCTGCGGAGCCCGCCCTCACCCGGAAAGGCGCGAGGGCCTTGGCGGCCAAAGCCTTGGCAAGGCGCAGGGCCTACCGCCGGCTGAATCGGACGGTGGCGGAGTTGGTGCAGTTCCTCCTGGTGAAAGACAAGAAGAAGAGTCCCATCACACGCTCGGAGATGGTGAAATACGTTATTGGAGACTTGAAGATTCTGTTCCCGGACATCATCGCAAGGGCCGCAGAGCATCTGCGGTATGTCTTTGGTTTTGAGCTGAAACAGTTTGACCGCAAGCACCACACTTACATCCTGATCAACAAACTAAAACCTCTGGAGGAGGAGGAGGAGGAGGATCTGGGAGGAGATGGCCCCAGATTGGGTCTGTTAATGATGATCCTGGGCCTTATCTATATGAGAGGTAATAGCGCCAGGGAGGCCCAGGTCTGGGAGATGCTGCGTCGGTTGGGGGTGCAACCCTCAAAGTATCATTTCCTCTTTGGGTATCCGAAGAGGCTTATTATGGAAGATTTTGTGCAGCAGCGATATCTCAGTTACAGGCGGGTGCCTCACACCAATCCACCAGAATATGAATTCTCTTGGGGTCCCCGAAGCAACCTGGAAATCAGCAAGATGGAAGTCCTGGGGTTCGTGGCCAAACTGCATAAGAAGGAACCGCAGCACTGGCCAGTGCAGTACCGTGAGGCCCTAGCAGACGAGGCCGACAGGGCCAGAGCCAAGGCCAGAGCTGAAGCCAGTATGAGGGCCAGGGCCAGTGCTAGGGCCGGCATCCACCTCTGGTGAGGGTTGGTGAAAAGTTGGCCAGTGGGTCCCCGTGAGGACGAACTACTGTCCTGAGTCATAAGTAATATGGGTGGGGCGAGGGTCTTATTTCTGTAGAAATCGTGTGACTTTAAGGATTTAGATTTTGTATCTTATGTTTTGTAACATTTAATAATTACTGTTAAAATGCTGTTTGTAAATGAGATTGGTCTACTTTTTCCTGTAGGATTTTATTGTAGAGTTTTGCTGGTTTTGTAAAATGGATGGAAGAACTTTGTATTTATACTGTGATTTTGAACAGATTATGCAACATTGGAAGGAAGGCTGTACTTTGATGGTTTGAAGGAACTCAGCAGTATGATGATCTGGTTCCAGGGGAAAAAAATAGCTGGTTGGTGTCTAGCCCCCCAACACTTTTGTCTGTTGTGTATAAAAGAAGAAAGACTGGCATGTACCTTCATTTGCTTAGCTATTTGAGTATCTAGAGAAAAATTAAAATGCAATGAGTTAGCAGTATACCCTGGCACACTTAATAAATTAAACATTTGTGGAGCATCTTGTTTTCTGTGATGCACTGTGTGGGCACTTGGGGATAGAATACTAAACAAGATAAAGGTCCTACTTTTTTTCAGAATTGAAGAGTAAGTAAATAAACAAGAAATTAGCAGTGCAATGAGTTGAAGTCTACAAAGGGATACTTAACCCAGCTGGGATGATTGAGTGAGGTTTGCTGTAATCCCAGCACTTTGGGAGGCCGAGGCGGACTGATCACCGGAGTCAGGAGTTCAAGACCAGCCTGGCCAACATGGTGAAACCCTGTTTCTACTAAAATTACAAAAATTAACCAGGCGTGGTGGCACACACCTGTAATCCCAGCTACTTGGGAGGCCAAGGCACAAGAATCTCTTGAATCTAGGAGACGGAGGTTGCAGTGAGCCGAGATCATACCACTGCACTCCAGCTTGGGAGACAGAGCAAGACCCCGTCTCAGAAAAAAATAAGAAATAAAAATAATGATTTCAGATCACAGCTACTCCTCAGTAATGTGAGCAGACTTGATACATGGCAGATCTGGGAAATACTCTACCTTTGCCAGTGCTGTCTTTCCAGACCAGATTGTTAACAGTGCACAAAGATGTTGACTGTCAACTTTTTGGCCCTTTCTGTCTCCTTTTCAACCTCTACAGGGTTCCCTCCTCTACCAAAGCCCTCAGAGATCAAATAATGTAACACCTCTGGAATATTATGTAGTGTGGATGAAGGGTACCTAAATCTACTACTACCAAGAAGTTCCACTTCAAGATTTCTCCTCTGGCACCAGGAAGCCCAGTTCCCCCTTCCATGTTTCTGCCTGCTGCTTTCCACCTGCCACCTCCCATTTACAGGAGACTTGTGAGGTATCCCTCCCCTTCATGTTATCCGTGGAGAGTCATCTGTAAGGAGCTCTGGCTTCTTCAATGCCCACCACCTTCTGCGTGAGGGTAAATCCTGTAGAAAGGGTACTTAGAATAATAGGGAATTTAGAGAAGTGATTCCCAAACCAGAGAGTGGGTGAGGGTCGGGGGCAGGGTGGGCGGATGGTGAAACTTCCCCTGCAACTGCCATAAACAGAAGAGCTGCTTTCTTTTCTCTTATCAATTTTTTCTTCCAGTTGTGTCCAAGTAACATCTCTGAGGATGTTAAGGTTGGCATGGAATACAAACTACTTTGGGACGTAGGGATCCAACAAATCAGATTGGGACAAAAGCTACCAGCTTAGGGACAAAAAAGTTGCTAACGGTTAAAAATACAACTTCTGGGTAGTTTATGGTTCATTAAACATAAATATTGAGTGTCCACTCTGTGCTAACAACTTTGATGGGTACCAGAACTATTAAAATGAGAAGACTTGGCTGGGCGCGGTGGCTCACACCTGTAATCCCAGCACTTTGGAAGGCTGAGGTGTGCAGATCACAAGGTCAGGAGTTCGAGACCAGCCTGGCCAGCATAGTGAAACCCTGTCTCTATTAAAAATACAAAAATTAGCTGGGCACGGTGGCGCACGCTTGTAATCCCAGCTACTCAGGAGGCTGAGGCAGGAGAATCGCTTGAACCCAGGAGGTGGAGGTTGCAGTGAGCCGAGATCGTGCCACTGCACTCCAGCCTGGGTGACAGAGCAAGACTCCATCTCAAAAAAAAAAAAAAAAAAAAAAAAAAGACTGGCTTTGCCTTCAAGGAGCAATAACGATAATTTCTCACATTTGTATTTTCTCACAGTGATGAGAGGTCAGATTACTCGGTGATTTGCCTAAGGCCTTTTGGTTGGTAAAATGCAGTACCAAGACTAGAACCCAAGTCTGTTGCCCCGAAATCCAGTGTGTTTCATTCTAGTGCATTGTTCCCCATTCTTAGCCTTCAATTTTAGTCATCACAACTCCAAGAAACAAGTGAGGCATGTGTAATTACCTCCAGACACCACTGCAGTTGTTACGGGAGTGAGATAGAGTAGAAATACTCCCCGTCTTACCAATGACAGAGGTGGCTTTGCTCAAGGTCAAACATGTAGTGGTGCATGGCAAAGACAGGACCATTTCTAAATATCTACTGCAGGCCAAAGGCATTCTTTTTCTCCTTTTCACAAGCACATTGCAAATATCTCTATTTTACAGATACTAATGTTAGTAAATTTGCCAATTATTTAATACCTAAGATGAACTGGCTTTTTATGCTTTACATGTTTTAATGATTTTTATAACAGTCTTAGAAGATATCATCTGTTCCATTTTGCATGAAGCAAACAGACTCAGATGCTATAAAGTTCTCACAGATAGACTATGACAGAACAAGGATTGGAGATGAAATCTGAGTCAAGAGGTCGCACTTTTCACTATTGTACATTTCCTTCTTGAGACTCCTTCCAGACTTGGGTCATCTGTCTTCTGAACCATCTTCTTTCTTCAGACACTGCTGTCTCTTTGGAGATACAACAAGGGCTGTGTGGCCAAGGTAATTATGATAAGATGCTGGCCAGCAGGTACAAATAAGGCTAAAATACAGTTGGGGCATTATCTTTTAATGTTGATCCCAGCTCTACCTACTCTCCCCAGTGTTCTCAGAGTGCTGGCTACATGTAGAATGTATTTTTGCTCAAACTTAGCATATTTTGCCCTTACAAACTGTGTTTCCTCAGTCTTTAGTCTGCCCTCTCCACTAAACCTCAAATTAATCTTTCATGCCATGGAATAATCAAATAGCATTTGTGGATCTGCAAATATGACTCCCAGCACTGTTTCCAAATAATACAAAGGGCTGGCAGAACTGGTACCCTTGCCTCAGGATGAAAGACCTCCATTGCAGATGTTGTTATCAGCTTCCCAGAAGTGCTAAGAGTGTGGCCTCTGGGCCCGTATGTGGAGCAGACATTGGCCATGTTAAGGGCAAGACATAGATTCTTCTGTTGCTTTTGGCCACTCACATGAGGGAGAAGGATGGCCTAGATCCCCCATCCTGCCCCCTTCAGACACAAACAGAACTAGATCTTCCTGGGCGAAACACTGTGTGTTTGGGGCAGGGAAGATTTAGTTGAGGGAGTGTTGGCAGATGGATTACTCCAAATCATATTTATTATAGTACAACCAGAAAGCAAAGTCAGTGAAGGAAATTCCCTTGAAAACTATGAATCAGAGACTGATTTGAGTAATAATAAAACTCTGGTCTCTCGCACAGCCAGCTCTGCATGAATTACTCTTTCTCTATTGCAATTCCCCTGTCTTGATGAATTGACTGTCTAGGCAGCGGGCAATGTGAACCCCTTGGGCAGTTACAAATTTGGGGGCTTATCCGAGATACATCACTGGAGGAGGCCCAGTGAACCACGGGCAGGTAGCCCCCCTCCAGTGATGGATCCAGAAGCCAGCCCAAGCAGCCACCTAGTTCTCTTGGACTGGGGCTGACTCCCGTACTCTGTACTGGCGGGGCACTGCCAACCCAATGTGCATGGATTTAATTGCAATGGAGAAATAGTTCCAGGGAGACATCCCTTAACTGTAGGCCTATCACAGGGTGTCTATCTGTAGCCCCATTGTGGGATATCTGATTGGTGAGTATCCTAGGTGCTGCCAATGCCTCCTTCCTTCTCCTGACTGGTTCTGTAGCCCTATGGTGGGGTGTCTGTAGCCCCATTGCGGGGTGTCTGTAGCTCCAGCATGGAGTGTCTGTGTCTGTAGGCCCACCATGGGGTGTCTGTTTGGCTCCTGGGTGGGGGTCTTGGTTGGCTCTTTCTTTCTAGTAGGAAGAGTCCCGGTTTGGGAGACTTCTCCTCAATCAGGAAGATTTCGAGGAGGTTTCTCAGATGGAGAATAGGAGAGTAGCTTGGAAAGGATACTCTTGGAGTTCTTGGTTAGGGATCTGATTTGGAAGGCCATCTGTCTATCTCATCTTTGTGTGTGTTTGTGTATGTAGCAGGCATCTCAGAGGGGTTGCTGATGAAAGTCCAGCAGGCCTAAATCAGAGAATCCTCCTTATTTGTCTGGTCGCATTCAATGGGCTCTAAAGAAGGTTCAGCAGGCCTCTCGGGGTGACTATCTGCTCTTCCCCTTGCCTAGAGACCCCATTGTGAATTAGCGTTCAGAGGTCATCCATCCCCACCTGGAGTGGGTCAAAGACAACAGGGACCAATGGAAAAATTTTGAGCTTTGCCAGGCTGATACTGGGTGCTGCACGAGGTGACTAATGTCTGTTTTGTTATGTGTATTTTGCTGGGATGGAAAATGTTAATTCAGTTCCCCATGCAGCCCGTTGGGCAGCATCTTGCAATTTGAGAATCTTGTCTATGGTTCCATAAAGCAGGAAAAGGTGATTTTCTCTTGTAAAGTGGCTTAAACCCCGCAGCTATAGCACAAGCAAGCAGGGTCATCAGAAGCTGCTTCATTCTTCTGGAAGCTCCAGAGAAAGGGAATGCAGAAACCTGGTATCCCAAAAAAAAGGGCAAGAAATTCTTACCAACCAAGTTTCTGGTCTCTCTCTCTTTGGATAAACAGTAAACTATTTGTCTCCTCTGCAAGGATTTGATTAATAGAAAAAAGGACTTGTGAGACTAGTCTTACGCTGTAACACATCTGGTGTATTTTGTGCAAAGAATTTGTCTTTCTGTGTTCTGTAAGGGAGACAGGGGTATCACAGGATAGAATGTGGGTTTAGGACCCCTATAAGCCTCCTTTTCAAGTCAGCTTGGCAGGCTGGTCAGTTACAAACTTTGCTACCGGTCCCTGAAACCAATACTGTATGAAATTTCTCTGTCTTGTTTTGTGTCCTTAAGAGCTTAACCTTGTGACCATGTGTGGGTACTTTCTTTTGGTTTCCACCATCCAGAGCACAGGAATTTTGGGGTTCATGTCATAGTCCTAAACGTTTTTCTTGAGCAGTTAAAAGGCTTGCAAGCTTGAAATTGGCTTCTCTAGGCTCCTTCTGGGAAAAGCAATAGAAGCTGCTCCATGCTGTATAACTCAGTAGCTAAGGCTTTATCTTTTGACAGTGGTGGCCTGGGTTCAATTATCGGCTTCTGGAATGATTCCTTTCTGGTTTGTTATTTGTGGTTTGCCATTTATTGAGATTTTTTTCCCTTATAAATAGCTTCTGATTTCCTCTCTTGAATTTTCCTTTCTCTGAACTACCTTGTGGAGATTCTAAATCTTGTAAAAAACAAACAAACAAACAAACAAAAACTGCTTACCATGTCTTCGAAGCACCTAGGAGGTTACCTTTGGTAAAGTTCAGAAGCTAGAAATATTGGCCACTTGGCATGCTAAAGTTGGGTAATAATAGTTTTAAAAGGATTTCTTTTTTAAAGAGCACTATGGTTTAGAGTCAGCTTCATTAAAAGTGGATAAACAAGCTGTAGATGCATTTAAAAGACCTTTATGTGTTTCTCTTCTTGGAACTTGTTTTTCTGGAAAAATTCTTTCTTCTCAGTCGGCTAAATTATTTTTCTTCATTTTTTTTGTCTTGCCACTCTTAATGCACACAAGAGGCCCTAACATAACTTCTGGTAGCCTGGTAGCCTGGGACTCCTTGGGAAAAACAGAGGAGGCACCACACACCCTGTTTTGAGAAAACAAAAACAAAAACAAAAACAAAACCTCTGTTTTCCTCATGAAATGCCAGGAATTAAAAACGGATAGATCCCTCTCAAAATCAAAGGCTCTGTTCTCTTTTGCACTGTGTTATATCTGATGGTTTTGAGTTTTGGGGGTATCAGAAATTACTTCTCATGAGAGAGCTTTGGTGTGTAATAACTAGATAGGAAGTATACTTTAAGGGATGGCTAATAGTAGTTATGGAGGGATACTTGACTCTTGGCACACTTGGATCAGAGAAGCATGCTCAAGTTGGACACCTGGAAGATAAGGGAACATCCCCACCCCACAATGGAGATGAGACTCCCATGAGGGATGGGCTGATTGCAAAATGGGCTGATTGGCTTTGGGCTGCCTTGCAAAATGAAATGCAGAGTGGAAGCACTGCACTGTCTTCTCCCATAGTATTTGCCTCCTTTTGGGGATTCAGGAACCAGTATAAAATGGCACCGTTAATTTTGGGGATCTGTCTTTGCCTTCAGCTGCTTATTTGCTGCTTATTTGGCCCTGGAAACGCATGCTTTCCTGGCCCTGTTCCTCCACAGGCTCCACCCTGAAGCCAGTCATCCAATTAAGAAACTGGCAAATGAAAAATCTTACAAGTGCTGAATCTTCTGTCTGTTTGTGTATTTACATGTGTCACATGTTTCTATATAAAACAGCTCTGATTAATTGGCTTAGAAAAAGAAGTGCTTAAATCAAATATTTTGTCAGAAAAATAGAAACCTTAATGTCTTTTTGTTCGTGTGACTTTAGTACTCTTTGGGAAATAAAGACACTTTTAAAGATTATTGGTAAAATAAAATGTCTCAGAAATGTAGACATTTGATCTAAATTAAGGTCAGATATCAGATTTGCTAGATACTTTAAGGTCAAACTGTTTCTTTGACTTTTGAAAATTATTCAATTTACCTACTTTGGCGCATTAGATTATAGATAAGGCCTGGGGACATCTGGAGAGCCATGGCCACTAACTATGCTACAAGGATTCAGACCTTATCTTCATTTCTGTCTGATGTCCTAGGCTCCACCCCTAGTACATAATTAAAATTGCTTACTTATCAGGTTTTTCAGTAAAAATTAAAGTTGCTAAGAGTTAACATTGTAACATGTAGTTGAGACCACTGGAGAAACAGTTTTACACACAAGGTGGGTAGGGAATGTGTTTTTGGTAAGAGATTATAAGAAGGCATGGGAATATGGCTTCTGTTAAAGGGAATATAATTTTGTCTAGTTCAGAGGGTTTTATTTTATTTATTTATTTTTGAGACAGAGTCTCGTTGTTGCCCACGCTGGACATGATCTCGGCTCACTGCAACCTCTGCCTCCCAGGTTCAAGCAATTCTCCTGTCTCAGCCTCCCCAGTATCTGGGACTACAGGCGCATGCCACCATGCCTGGGTAATGTTTTTGTATCTTTAGTAGAGATGGGGTTTCACCATATTGGTCAGGCTGGTCTCGAACTACTAACCTCAGATGATCCGCCCGCCTCGGCCTCTCAAACTGCTAGGATTACAGGCATGAGCCACTGAGCCCAGCCCAGAGGGTTTTAAAGATTGTCTTAACCTAGAAGAGTAACGGAACAAAACTGAAGGTTTAAGCAAAGTGAAAAGGGCTTGAAAAGTGTTGATCTTGTAAAAATTCTGTGGGTGTAAACAAGTTGGCTAAGATTTAAAATAAACTGTTTAGCTTTTTTCCGTAGGTTAAAACATTAAAATCATACTGATGTGGGGCCAGAATCGGACCCATTTGTCAGAATAACAGGGTTTTCTTAGAAAATTGATCTGCTGTTTGATGGAAAGTTGTAAAGGGTTCTAAAAAGTTGAGGAAAATCTTACCTTATGGTCAAACTAATTAAAACTGGATAGAGATATAAGATGTTATTTTAAAAACTAACTTTAACATTAAAGATGCACTAATGCAAACATGAAATTTGGTTTTCTCTTTTGAAGATGATTTTTATGTAATGTTAAAAGATAATGAAAGGGTTTTGTTTTCTCCTTTGGGTTAACAGCAGGGGACAAAAAAGAGGAGAGAGAGAAGAGAAGATTCAGTTGGCCTCCTGCTATCTTCATTGGGTCTTGTTGGAAAGCTAAGTCTCCTCTATCAGAGTAAAGGTTTTTCTTTTTTTTTTTCCTTTGAGACGGAGTCTCGCTCTGTCGCCCAGGCTGGAGTGCAGTGGCGGGATCTCGGCTCACTGCAAGCTCCGCCTCCCTGGTTCACGCCATTCTCCTGCCTCAGCCTCCCGAGTAGCTGGGACTACAGGCGCCCGCCACCTCGCCCGGCTAATTTTTTATATTTTTAGTACAGACGGGGTTTCACCATGTTAGCCAGGATGGTCTCAATCTCCTGACCTCGTGATCCGCCCACCTTGGCCTCCCAAAGTGCTGGGATTACAGGCTGAGCCACTGTGCCCGGCCAAGGTTTTTCTTTTTAAAAAATTTTATTGGAATTATCATTTGGCCAAATGAATGACTTTATGGTGACCTGTGATTCTATTTTAAAACACTATCTGGTGTTTTAAACCTTTGATATTTGACAAACTTTCCAAAATCAGATCATAAATTACATCTCTTTCTAACCTAATATTTTAGATATTAAGTCCTCTAAAGTCCAGAATTGACATTTGGCTTATTTGCTACAAAAATCATACAGGAAGCATTGTCCAATATGAAATGGTGTTTGGCTTTCTTTGGTCTATATTTGTGTTAATGTGTTATTGATATGTGTTCTGAAATTATGTAAAATTCCTGTAATTCTAATATGACTTAGTATATGTTATCAGTAATAATTATAATTATTATGTTAACAGGCTGTATGCCACAGAGGTAACACATTTCCTTGTCAATCATGTCTTTAACTGTTGCTGCCCTAAAATGTTTTTGTCATTCACAGACAATTGTTGTCTTGTTTTGGTCTTCTTTAAAAGATGGTTTTATAATCAGCTATAAAATTTAACAGGTGCTCTTAAATTCAGGATTCTGATTAATAACTCTGGAGATTGTGACATTAGAATAGAGGAAAAACTTTCAAATAGAAGAGTGAATGGTCTTTGGTTCACTTTGGACTGCATTTGTATAAATATGTTATTAGTATGTATTCCAAAATTATGGGAAACTTCTATAATGTTGATATAATTTAGTGCACATTATTAATAATTATAATTATTATGTAAAATCGTATGCCACAAGTGGCCAGGCACAGTGGCTCGTGCTTGTAATCCCAGCACTTTGTGAGGCTGAGGTGGGTGGATCACTTGAGGTTGGGAGTTTGAGACCAGCCTGACCAACATGGAGAAACCCTGTCTCTACTAACAATACAAAATTAGACGGGCATGGTGGCATGTGCCTGTAATCCCAACTACTTGGGAGGCTGAGGGAGAAGAATCACTTGAACCCAGGAGGTGGAGGTTGCGGTGAGCCGGGATCGCACCATTGCACTCCAGCCTGGGCAACAAGAGCGAGACTTCGTCTCAAAAAAAAAGAAAAAATAAATGTATGCCATAATCAAAATTCTTAGTCAATTGTAGCTTTAATGGTGGCTATAGACTTTTGTCATCCACAGATATTTTGTCTTGCTTTGGTCCTTTTCAAAAGGAAGTTTATAATCAAATATAGGACTCTTAAGTGCAGGTCTCAGATAAATTTGATGACTTTAAAAATTGTGCTATTGGAATAGAGGAAAAAACCAAACTTCCAGGACTCTCATGGAGAGCTAAAGTGTTAAACATTGCTAAACTTTTTGTTTTCAGAGTCAAGAGAACTTATTTCTTTAGAGCTATTTGCAACTTTTAACAAGTGAGTAAAATGTACTCCTGTGAACAAAATTTGGAGCGTATTTGCTCTTCTCTACCTAATTTCTCCAGAATTTGGTAACTATTTGTGAACATTCTCAATTTATGGCAGTATGGTTAATTGCATAAGTGCAAAAAGAATCTGTTTTCTTTTGTAACAGGACACAATTGGAGAAATTGGTTATTTTACCAAGGCTTTGACCGGAATGGCATGCTTCCTTTAAAGAATCAAAGTTGACTTATAGAGCCAATTAAAGCCTGTTGGGGCCTCTGGTCTCATACCTTGTCCACACAGAGTCCCTGTACAAAATTCCTGACCTGTGTTAAGTAAAGAATGTCACTTTCTAACAGGCCCAGGAACCGCAAGTTATCTTGGGACCTCAAGAGGAGAGGAATTTGCCCACCACATAGGTATCTGAGGGTACAAACCCATGGCTGGGCTCGGCTTCTAAAAAGTCTTATCTGAGAGTCTACATGGAACAGAGTTCTGTCATAAGCCAATTAAAAAAGCCTAAGTGAAAAATAATTATTCTTGCTGTACATTATGTAAATAATCGGTAAGACTAAGGTTTATTTTATAAACAAATCAGTTCTATAGTGATTCGTGTTTAGTAAAAATAGGGACTGGAGAGAGAAAAATTATGCTTCAAAAGAAAAACTGTAGTACACTGTTGTTAGCTGTTCTTTTTTTTCTGCAGTTTAGACTAAATTCTTAATTCTTTGTGGGTTAGAAGTCCCCAAACTAATGCTTTCAAATCTTTGCTTTTAAAATTGGGAATTGTACTCCTCATCCTAGGACTCATTATTTACCTTATAGTAGGCTGTTTCACTTAAACACTGTAGTAAAACTGTAGATGAGAGTGCTAATGTTTTTGCCATGAAAGCTGACCCAGGCCTGCACGAGTCACTCAGAGAGTTGCAAAGCAGTTCCACTCTTCTCACCTTGGGGTTCACTCCCATTCCCACTACATCCCCTGTTAGCAAGAAGAAGACAGAGCAATCGATGGCCTTTTCCATCTTCACATCCTATACCTTAAGATTAAGGTGTTATAAAACCCAAAGGGAGGACTGAAACGGCCTTTGCAAAATTATGACTGAGACAGTGGAAGAGATCTGACTTAATTGACTCCATCTTGCTTCTAACCTCCAAGCTGTCCTTGTTCATTCCTGGGCGTAGGCTGAACTAACTTTGGGAGAAACTTAGTTTATAGTTTAAACAAAGACGGTAACAGCCCTTTCTCAAAGCAGACCTCCTTCTTGCCTGGGGACTAGATTGCCTTGGTAGGACTAACATTAGCCATTAGAAACCATTAGCCATTTCTGACCATTAGAACTTATGGTTTAGGAGTCAGGCAGCTGGAGGTTACAAGGTCCTGACCCTCCCTAAACTGCTCCTAAGATCAGTGCTTGAGATATTTTGCAGACCCTGCACTTGACGGATCAGCTGGCACCTCCCAGATCAATAAACTGGCTCATCTGATCCTGTGGCCCCCACCCAGGAACTGACCCAGTGACCAGCTCTGACTCCGTGTGATTTCATCTCTGACCAATCAGCACTCCCAGCTGACTGGCTTCCCCCACCTACCAAGTTGTCCTTAAAAACTCTGCTCCCCAGGCCAGACGTGGTGGCTCACGCCTGTAATCCCAGCACTTTGGGAGGCCAAGGCGGGTGGATCATAAGGTCAAGAGATCAAGACCATCCTGGCCAACACGGTGAAACCCTGTCTCTACTAAAAGCACAATAATTAGCCGGGCGTGGTGGCGCGCGTCTGTAGTCCCAGCTACTCGGGAGGCTGAGGCAGGAGAATCGCTTGAACCCGGGAGGCGGAGGTTGTAGTGAGCCGAGATCATGCCACTGCACTCCAGCCTGGCGACAGAGCAAGACTCCATCTCAAAAAAATAAAAATAAAAAAATAGAAAAATAAAAAAATCTGCTCCCTGAATGCTTGGGAAGACTGATTTGAGTAATAATAAAACTCCAGTCTCCTGCAATAAATAAATAAATAAACAACTCTGAATCATGTCTTGGACAAGGGGACGTTCTCTCGGTTCAGCCACACACTCTGCAGGGATCATGACACTCACCAAAGTCAGGACTTTTGACGCATTGGAACCGAGAGAGCCAGTGTTTGGAAACAGGCTCAGGTTGATTACAGACCTATATCCAGTAGGCACATAGTGCTCCAGAGGTGGCGGCTCATTTGTGGTCCCTGCAAATCCGGCCTCAATTCACAGCCTCAATCACAGTTTCCACTTGAGGTAATTATGCTTCATGCCTTGGTCATGGTGGCAATTGATACTTGTGCAAATTATTCCACAAATTGTGCAGCCCAGCAGAGAGGACAGCTACCTCCCAGCAGAAACAGTGTACTGACTAAGGAGGTTAGCTATTCTGAAAAGTGTCCCAATCAAAGCCTTTTCAAAGTCCACTATGTGACCTTGATCAGGGAAATTCAGTGTAAGGACTGAAGATTTAGGAAAGAGGTTAGTGGATTATTGGAGTAGGGGTCAGATGCCGTCCACATGCCACACACCATCCTACCAGCTGGTTTCAGACTGCCGAGTTCCCAAGCCAGCCATGACCAATAACAGTAGCAGCCAGCATTTATTAAGCTTTGTATGCCAGGCACAGTGCTAAGTATGATTAGCCCATTATCTCATGCATCTGCATGACAGCCCTATGAGGCAGGTTCCACATTTGCCAGCATTAAGATACTCCAAGGAAACCATGAGGAAGGAATAATTTCTTCCATTCTTTCAATGCACAAGTTAAATGACTTGGACAAGCTCACAACATAACCAGTGAGTGGCACATCCAGAACTTCAACCTAAATCACCTGGGATATTGCTGGCACTCCACCCTCAGAGGGTACTTAGGGAGCAGCCAGCTCCCATTACAGAAGCGGGGCTGTGGAGGGAGGAAAGAAAACCTCTGGCAGTGTTCATGTGCGTCACAGCCTAGAGCACCCAAACCGGAGGGCGGAGGCAACGACGAGGGAGCGGGGCAAGTTGGCTTCTCTGATTGTAGGGACCTTACTTGGGAGAGGAGCCCATTTTTAAGGGATGATGCCTCTGAGGCATCTCCCAGACCTGCTGCAGTAGCCCTGTGGGCCATGCGCTGGGGCAACCAGTGCAGAGGAAACAGCAACCTCAGCCTAAGAAAGACTTGGGAGGGCTGCTGTGTATCGAGCACGGTGACGGACAGCCACATACCCAAGCCACAAAGGTAGAGGAGGGCCAGGGGCAGCGGCTCACTCCTGTCATCCCAGCACTTTTGGGAGGCCGAGGCAGGACTGTTTGAGGCCCAGAGTTCAACGCCAGTGTGGGCAACATAATGAGACCCTGTCTCTACACAGAATTTAAAAATTAGGGGTGGTAGCATGCACCTGTATTCCCAGCTACTCTGGAGGCCTGGGCGGGAGGATCTCTTGAGCCCAGGAGTTTGAGGTTGCAGTGAGCCATGATTGCACCACTGCACTCCAGCCTAGGCAACAGAAACAGGAACCCTGTCTCAAAAATAAAAAAATAAAAAAAAAAAAAAAAAAAAAAGGAAGCCTCCTGAAATGGAAAGCTCCCAGAGCAGACGCTCCATTCCCGCTTGCCGTGTGATAACAGTGCGGCGTCAGCAGAGTTATATCTGACCTTTCTGAGCTCGGTTTTTCTCATCTTTAAAATGGAGATAATGCTGCCAACTCCTCAAAACACTGAAGACTGGGGGCGTTACTAACCACCTACCACAGGGTCTGGAATGTGGTAACTATAAATGTTGATGGAGCATCTTCCAAACGCCAGGCATGCACATGGGTAGTGCGATTACAGCAGACAACCCGAAATAGACGAAAACCCTTGCCCTCATAGAGCCTACATCCTAAGGATATAGATGATGACGTGTGTCTTAAGGAGAAATGAAGCCGGCAAGGGGGAAAGAATGCTGGGAGGGTGTACAGTTTTAAATAGCTTGGTCAGTTTGAAATGGCTTGGACCCAATAGAAGGGTCCTTTCCCTTCCAGCTTGGGAAAGCCTCACCGAGAAGTGACGTTGGAGTCACAGATGAAAGCCATAAGCAGGGGCCCAGAAGCTGTCTGGGGGGACTTGGGGGAGGGGAGCTGGCAGAGTTAACAGCAAGTATGAAGGCGCAGGCTGGGAGCAGGCCAGGCGTGTTCTGAGAAATAGCTCCAGCAAGCAGAGTAAGTGGGGGGTGGGGTCGGAAGAGGAGAGATATTCCTGATTGTGAAAGAGCTGGCAGAGCTGGCGCATGTACCTGCAACAAGAAATAGATGCTCATCTGCCCGGACTGAGTGTCAAGGCCCGCACCTGGGAGGTACTGTCGGCATGGCCACAGGCAGCGGGAAGGGGAAGGAAAGATAGAGTATCTTCTTTATTCATAGCTTTTGTTTTTCTAATTACAAATACTTATGGTGGAAATATTGGAAGGTTTCACAAAAATACAAAGAAGAAAAGGAATTCTCTACAATACTGGCACCCAGAGGCAACCATGGTTAACAGTATAGTATGGCTTTCTATCTCTAGTAATCTTGTTTTCACTTGCCCAGGGTATAAATGACTTATCGCTACTTTAACAGTGAGTTACAATGACACTGAGCCCACCTTGTACAATACTTTCCGCAAATACTTCTGAGAGCTCTAGTGGATGTCTCACATGATGTCACAAACCCATGTGTCCACTGCAGTCATAACTAGGGCTCATGGAGGCCCAGGAAAGGACCCTCTGCTGGGAGTGTGCCTTGAGGGGTCCCCAGCATCCATGGCTGCCGCTTCCTCTAATGCCAGTGGAGTTCTGGAGAGATGCTGGGTTCCCTCCAAACTGGATACAATGTCCTTTCCCGCAGTCTGTGCCAAGATATGTCACCTAGATCCCAAAGCAACAGTGCCAGGGCCCTTCAGCCTCCTCAGGAAGGCTGTCTCTGTTTCTATCTCTTGCATCAACTCTCCCAAATTCAGCTGAAAATAGCCGCCTCCATCGGGACAAGTCTAGGCTCCCTCCGTCCATAATTTCTCTCCTCAAACCTCAGGGTAAAAAAGAAGGGAAGGCAGACCAGGTTCCCAAGGCAGGGCCATCTCCATCGCTGAACCAGAACAGTTAACATCTGTATTTAGGCTGACAGTAACTATAGAGTTTTAGGTTCGTGTTGATTTTCCCAAAACAAAGCAAAAGTCTGCCCCAGAGGTGAATTAAATTCTCTACCTCTAGCAAACTGCTAGCAGTTTTGCTCCCTTCCCCCAGCTTTTTTTTTTTTTTTTTTTTTTTTGAGACGGAGTTTCCAGGCTGGAGTGCAATGGCACAATCTCGGCTCATTGCAACCTCCACCTCCCAGGTTCAAGTGATTCTCATGCCTTAGCCTCCCAAGTAGCTGGGATTACAGCTGCACACCACCACGCCTGGCTAATTTTTATATTTCTAGAGACAGGGTTTCACCATGTTGGCCAGGCTGCTCTCGAAGTCCTGACTTCAAGAGATCCTCTCACCTTGGCCTCCCAAAGGGCTGGGATTACAGGCGTGAGCCACTGTGCCTGGCCCCTTCCTCCAACTTTTCTAGCCTTCTCCTCACCCTTTTTTAAAACCTTAGGGTGCAGCTTAGCCAGGGATGTCACCTAGTGTTAAAGATGGTGAAAATGTAGGGGAAAGGTTAGAACGGGGAAAAGGATTCCAGGCAAGGGAAACAACTCCGCCAACAGTGGAAGGGTAGCCGGAGTGTGCATTGTGCCCCAGGAACAACGAGGGGACTGATTATGCTGGAGCCAAAAGTCTGGAGGAGAGGAGAGGGTGCTGTGGATGGAGAGGAGCCCCTGGGGGAAGCGGTGGAGGGAGGGAGGGAGAGCAGTGAGCTCATGGAGATGCTTGAGGAAGATGGACTGGCTGGTTGTGAAGGGGGAGGTTGGAGGCATGGAAGCCAAGTGGGAGGCCTCTGCAATAGTCCAGATGACAGCTTGACCAGGGCAATGGCAGCAGGAATGGGTGTGGGAAAGGATTGGCTGGGGGAATAACTTGAAATGGTTTGATAATGGATTAACTGTGGGAAATGAAATGGAGGAAGATGTAAGATATGACTCAGTGTTTCCAGCTGAAGCACCTGGAAGCGTGGCGGAGTCACTTGTCAGAACAGCTGGATGCCTGGGGAGATCTGGTTTGGGGGCAGGAAGGTGGATATGGCTTCAGGCACACTGAGCCTCAGTTGCTGAGTTGGACAGTCAATGGACACTTAGAAATGGGGCGGAGGAGGGACAGTGAGGCTGGGAGTAGACACTCTGAGTCACCTTTTTAGAGAACATAACCAAAATCATGGGCTTTCTCCTTGGGAGACAGTCTAGAGCAGGGAGAGCGGGAACGGGACTCACCTCTCTTCTCACTCTGCAGGAGGAAGCAAGAATGGTGGGAGTCCTAAGCGGATCACTAAACAATGCAGTTCTGCTCCCACAGTTGCCTGTTGAGGGCTGGTCCTGGGTTTACCTTCTAGATCCACTTTTACAAGTGACCTGGGGGATTCTGGGAGGGTCTCAGCAGGGAGCAGCATGGCCAAGATGTCACAGAATTGGGAAAGAAAAGCTGCAAGTTGGTGTAGGTGGGTGTCAGCAAGGGGTGGCTGAGGATTCTTTGTGTGCACTACAAACAGAACTGCAAGCGAGAGTCACGCTGCAGCTGGAGAGACTCATGACAGACCTAAGCCAAGGCTTTAACGGGCCAACTCCTAGGATTCCAGACTGAATGACCTTTTCTCTCTATTAGTGGGCCTCCTTGCTCAGAATGGAACAGGCAATGAATGCCACCTTTAGTGAGACCTGAGATATCTCTACAGCACAAGGCACATCCTGGGGGGAGGAGATTATCACCTGGGGAGAACCCACACATTTAGACCTCTCAGACACATGGGACACCCCACCCAGACACAAACACATACTTGGTATATACATGCAGAAACAGCTCCACCAACTCCATAGGAAACATGAAGAAAAAACATCGTTTGGCAACTATCATGTATCAGGTATTTTGCTTAGAGCTTTCCAAGCATTTGCATATTTAGTCTCACAACAGTTGTGAGAGAAAGAGATTATTTTCCCATTTTATGGAAAACCAAGGCTCAGAAAATATTTTGCCCAAGATCACATGCCTGGAGAATGGCAGATGTTTCCTGACCCAGGTCTGCCTGGGCACGTATGTGTTATTCTCCATTCCTCGCCTGTGTGTGCACCGTGGACTCATACACACAGCACTTACCCATCCCCTCCGGACACGAAATTCCCATCGACCTCACATTCCTCGAGTGCACGGATCTTCATTCTGTTCACAGGTGTATCCCTAGCATCTAGAACAGTGTCTGGCACATAATCCACACTCAGTAAATATCTTGTTGCTGTGTGAATGCACACACACACACACACACACACACCCTTCACATACACTTACATACACATACAATCTAGCATCTGAAAGGAGACCCCTGCTGGGAGAACCAGGCCTTCCCGGCTGCCCCCACTGGCCTACTCCTGGAAGGGAGGCCTCACACCATCAGGCCACAGCTGGTCCCCCAGTCTCCTTCCTGGAACAGGCGACCAGCTCTCTCTCTAGCCTTAGGAGGGTCCACCTCCTTCTTTTTTTAGCTCAGTGAAAACGAAGAGTTTCTCTAAAACATCTTTGCTGAGAGAGAAAGTAGAAGAAAATGAATCAAGAGACTATAAGCACTTGAGTGGGTGAGTTTACAAGATTCTTATCTTAAGCGATCCTGGCTGGGCTGCTGGAGCGATGGGCTCACGGAGACCGGGCCCTGGCTTGGATGCTCTGGCCTCATTAACTCAGAAGTGAAGGGGGTGGGCACAGCTGCTCAATCTGGGAGATCCTCTCTTCCTCCAGATCCTGCTGCCGCTCCTGCTCTCAGGCCATAGACCCTTCTGCCATTGTGGCCTTGAGCTAATTGCAATTTTATACCCTCCTTGCCATCTGCTGTGCCTTAGGCTGTAAACCAGGCAGCTCCAACCCAAACCATTCAGTTGGACTGTGTCAGTCCCCTGCTGAAAACCCCAGCAGTCTTCGTTCCTTCCTAGAGACCCAAGGCTCTGCCTGGGGTGACTCCTGCCTGGAGCCGCCTCATTCCACTCCACTCCTTCACTGGGTCTCCAGCTCCATTTGCAAAGCAGTTCTGAGTGATTTACCAGAGCCTAGGAAATAATCCAATCCTTCTCACACCCCTGCAGCCCCTGCCACCAATACACAGACACACACACACACACACACACACACACACACACACCCCAAGCCTTCCCAAGGCTCTACTCATTCAGACACCTCAGATGACTCCAGATCAGACTCTGGACCAACATGTCAATATCGCCAAGGCCTCTGGATTAAAATGTAAATTCCTGAGCTCTCCCAAGATCTGCTGAAACAATCTCTGCGGTGAGGCCCAGAAGCCAGCACTTTTAGCAAGCTGGGGAGCAGTGCTCACACTCCAAAGTCCAAGAGCACCACCCCGAATCTAATAATTCCACACACATCCCAATGCATATATAATAATAACAGCTAAAACATTTATTGAGCACTTACTATGTGCCAGGAAGTATTTTCACGTATTAACTTGTTTACCCTCACAGTGGAGTTGGGGGGCATGCTGTTATCCCTGCTTCACAGCAACTTGCCCACGTTCACACAGCCAGTTGGTGGGAAAGTCAGGAATGGAACCCAAGTCCCGTGGCTTTTGAACCTCCATACAGCCACCACACTTTTTCTAGTACACATAAGGGTACACCCATGCGGACTCCAACACCTACCACACACAGGACCCCACCCCTCAGATCTGCTCACCAAAGGGAGCCCGAAGTCCAGGGTGTTGTAAAAGGCTCCTGGTTTCTCTTTCACCCCAAGTCTGGCCTACTCGTGTCTGAGCTGAGAGCCAGCAGCCACAGCCAATGGGGCCAGGGAGTTGGTGAGCTGCGGCTCCAGGACTTTGGCAGCAGCCACAGGCCCCCAGGCCCAGCACTGCCTGCCTCAGTGAGTGTGCCCACCACAGGCCCTGACTGCCAGGGGCCCTGCACCCTGCCCGCCGGCCCCCCCTGCCCAGCGTGTCCTGGCTTCCCGAGACCTGAGCCCCCTGACAGGGCCCTCCCGGAATGCTGCAGTCAGAGAGCAGATGTGCTTGCAGCGCTCTCCAAAAACGAGTCTTCTTAGGAATCCTGCCATGGGGGAAAGGCAGGGGTTGGGGGAGGGATTGGAAAAACAACCCAAATACCATAACACAGAAAAGCAATCCAAATAAAAAGCAGCAACTGTGTGTCTGGAAGGAATAAACTGAGGAGGAGAGGCGCGGAGTTGTGCAGCGTGGCCGTGAGGCTGCCAGCCCTGGCAGCCCGCAGATGGGGGCTGGGCAGCAGCTGCCAACAGGCCACGGGGCTGCTCTGGCCAGGGGCTGGGGCACTGGTGGAGCAGAGTCTGGGCTGACTCGGGGGCATAAGGCGTGACTCGCAACCCGAAGCTTCCTCCTTCCCGGGGCTCCGGGTGCTGCCTTCGGCAGTCCCCAGTGGGCCACAGAGAGGAAGTGTGGTCTCAAAGGGGGCTTTTGGAGCCCCAGCCACCCCATGACCTATCTGGAGGGTTCTTCTCACCCTTCTCCACCTAAAGGGTCTGCTTGAGACCATGGAAAGAGCCAGAATGATGCCCCTTCACACTGGCATTCTGAGCATAGGGCAGGCGGCAGGGGTCTCACAATAAGGCAGGGGAGCCCTGACTGTAGAGGAGAGAGTGGGAACAATTTATTCTGGGGCCACAGAATGCAGAATCACAATGCTGGGGTTCCCACCCAGCCCTCTCCTGACGAGCAGGGTGACCTTAGGCAAGTCACTTACTCTTTCTGAGCCCAAATCTCCTCGATGTCAAATGGGTACAATGAAGTTTTCTCTGCTCACCTCAGGGTAGAACAAGACTGATAATGATCGTGAGAAGCATTTGGAAGCAGGAGCTGCTGTCAGCTCCCGCTGTCCTTAGAAGCTGGGTATGAGGTGCAGAGCCGGGCGTGTATCGCACCGCGATGCCTGTGTTTCTCTGAAAGAGGTGTCACTCCCATTTCACAGATGAGAACCGTAAGGCTCAGGGACGTTAAGGAACTCTGAGAGCTGGCAGATGACAGAGTTGACTCTGGAGCCCATGTCCTCTCTCCTGAGCCACATTGCTGGAGGGGAAAGTATTCTGATATTGCAGTCCAGTGGGCAGGAATGGGCAGTGTCACCACTGGTGAGCCCAGGGAAGAGGCAATGCCTAGAGCCCGGGCAGAGGAGACTGGCTGGGAAGGCTGGCAGCTGGTGGCAGGAGCCCTGTTTGGGCTCGGGCCTGGGTGAGAGGCTCAGTGGAGTGAGCTGTGCCCAGACCTGGAGGAGCCGAAGTCCCCAGTCCCCTATGAAGGCCTGGAGGCTGGCACACCAGCCGGGGTAGCCAGGAAAAGGGCAGCACCCAGGTGACAGAGGGTGTCAAGGCGCTGTGAGGAATTGTGATACAGGTCAGGGCTGAGGAACCAAGCAGGGAGCACATGATCTGCGAAGCGAGGCAGCGCAGCACCAGAGTGTTAAGAGAGGCGGGAGGAGCTGCACCGTCGATGGGGCCAACATGAAGAGAGGCCTAGGCAAGTCCCCGGGTTGGCCCAGGAATAAAATCCACAGCTGCTGCGGGGCCCTCCTCTCACATCACCTTCCTTCACTGCTCCGGGAGGAGGAGGGGGCTTCTCCAGGCCTGGGCTCGAGCACAGAAAGCAAGTCAGTGGTATGTCACAGGATGTGGAGCTGAGGAACGGGGTTTTAAGATGTACTTATGAGCTCTGTGACCTTAGAGTACACACTTACCCTCTCTGTGCTCAAGAGAGCCAAAACCTGGGCCAGGTGCAGTGGCTCACACCTGTAATCCCAGCACTTTGGGAGGCCAAGGCAGGTGGATCACCTGAGGTCAGTAGTTTGAGACCAGCCTGGCCAACATGGTGAAACCCCGTCTCTACTAAAAATACAAAAAATTAGCCAGGCATTGTGGCGTGCACCTCTGATCCCAGCTACTCGGGAGGCTGAGGCGGGAGAATCGCTTGAACTTGGGAGGCAGAGGTTGCAGTGAGCCGAGATTGCGCCATCGCACTTCAGCCTGGGTGACAGAGTGAGACTCCGTCTCAAAATAAATAAACAAAGATAAATTTTTTTAAAAAGCCAAAACCTAGACAGGAGCAAAGCCGAAGGTGCTTTCCCTCCAAGCCCCTGCCTGTTACCTCCTCCACGAAGCCTGTTTCTCTGGCAAAGTGAGTGAGCGGCTCCCTTTCCAGCGCCCTGTAGTGCCCCGCATGTCTCCCACAGGCCTTCCAGGCAGTTGTGACCGCTTCATTCTGGCAGCAGGTAGCAGAAGCGCATGTCTGTTGCCCCATCAGGGCTGTGGGCATCTTAAAGGAACCCCAGCTGGTGCCTGACAGAGGGGCTGGTAAATGCTTGAGAAATGGAGGGACTAAATGAACAGAATTTTATTGGGGAGCTTCCTAAAGGTAGTGGTTGGATCTTTAAGGAGTTGATGTTTTTGGATCATACTTTTTCTTTAAAGAAATCAAAGCTCTTTCTCGTTCCCAATGCTTGGTCTTAGCCGTACCCGTTTCTAAATGTTAGAATTCTCTTAACAATGTTTATTTATTCATTCCACAAATGTTTCTTAAGCATATACTATGCGCCAGGCTAGAAAGCAAAATCTTAGAAGACATGGCCTCTGTCCTCAAAGATGTAACTATGAAGTGGCCAGAAATGGGTGCAGACAAGCACGTGGATAATTTTAAGCTATGACCCTCTGGAGGATTCTATAGGAACCCATGAAGGAGGCTCCACCAAATCCATCCAGGAGGGACCAAGGAAAGACAAGGCTGCCACGTGTGGCTGCACAGGTCGTGCACTGCACAAGCCAGGATACCTCTTGGAGTTGTGTGATGCGGCGGTCTAGTCCTTCCAGGCCAGGAGCAACTGAAGCGCTGTTGCTGCCCCCACCCCAATGCCCAACCCCATCCATCTATCTGGTCCCAGAGCATCTTTCCCCTCTGGCTCCTCTCCTCAATAAAAATTCCTTTGTCCGACCTTCCAGAGGTTTCTTTAGAAAAACTCTCCAGTAGTTCTTGCTGTCCCCTTTCTCCTGCCAGCTCTATAAAGCAAGCTGGCTCCTCTCAGAGATTTACGTTTTTGGGGAGTGTGAGTCACGGGGAAAGAACTCTTTCCACAGCTTTCTAACCTTTGATGTGACCTCCAATACCCTGTGGCTAATACAGAGTGATCTAAATCTCACAAAGCTCATACACACAAGAGCTGCACTGCATTGGGCCGTGAAAAAGGCCTCTGGCTAGCCAGCTCCTGCCACCAGCTGGAGGAATGTTCTCCATTCCCACCTACACCAACAGCCCTCCTCCAAGATCCTTCCACTCTCCTGGCAGCTCCTGCAGGGGCAGTGGCCCAGGGCCCCAGTGGCTGGGAGAGAAGGTTTGCTAAGCCCTCCCCCGACCCCATGTCCCACCAGTCCATAGCTGGACCCAGAACCTCAGCTCCTCCAATTCTGGCAAGAAAGGCCTCAGTTGTTGAGCAAGAGAGAGAAAGACTGGAGAAACAGACATCTAAAATACAGCCTCCTTGATGAGAAGAACAGCTGGGACCAGAAAGATGCTTGTGAATTATGGGTGACATGACTGTTGAGGTCATGCCTGATGTGGACACAGGCGGCTATGGGCCTGGCTCAAACTGAACTTTCTGGAGGTTTTCCTGCAAAGCAGAACGATGTAAGTGAAATCTACTTTTTCCATAAAAATGATGGCTTTTTGAAGACCAATCCATCAGCAACAAATTTAATGAGCTAGAAATGACATGCCTGCTCTCCACACACTATACCTCTTTCTCAAGCAGGATACAGAACAAGCAAGGCAAGGTGGTAACTAATGAGATAATATCAATGAAACGCCTCGCCCAGTGCCTGGCCTATAGTAGGCGATCAATAAATGCTCACTGTTACTATAATGTTTTATTTTACTATTTGAGCAATCCCTGAGAGAGGAACTGAGTAGTGCAGAGAGAGGGGCTATAAAGTTTCCAGGAACTAGTCTGAGGGCCTGCCTGCCCGCGCGCCCGGGGAGGGGCCCGGGAGACCTCCGGCTAGGGTTTCACATCAGGAAGTTGGCTGACTGCGCAGAACGACACTTGCGCGCTACTACTGCTCATGCTGAAAATAGCACCACCACACAACCGGCCACAAAGGCAGGGGGACAGGCAGTGGCAAAACCGAAGTCATGGCCGGCTTCAGGATACTCAGTCTGGGATGGATGCCCTTTCCTTCCTCCCTCCCCTCCTCCCCATTCCCCATAGCAATCTGGAAGTCAGAGGGACTCAAAGCATGTCTTTGTCACTGGGTTTGGGCCCCACAGGCTGTGGGGTCCTGGGCCACCACACCCTCCCAGGGCAGGGAAATGGAGCCTGGGCTGGCTGCCAGCAACCTTCTCCTGGTCTCCGCAAACCCGCCCCATCCATCCCTCCCGTTCTAGGAAGTAGGCCACATGGACATTTGACCCAGACTCAAGTCAGGAGAGGGAGTTCCTTTCCTGCCCCTCTGAACACTGCGGGGGTCTTGCACCCTGGAAAGCCTTTTCAGAGGTTTCTCTTCTCCCATGGCCGGGATGCATCAGAAGGGACACAACAGCAGGAACCTTGGTTCTCTTTCCCGAGGGTTGAGGCTGGGTTGTGGGAAGGACTAGGTCATATTCTGCTGGGCAGCCACCTAAGAGGCCCCAGATGTGGCACCAGCTAATCCTCCGTACTCTCAAAACACCACCTTTGACATTGAGGCATCTGCCTTCTCAGCCTGTTAATCTCTTACCCAATACCCGGGGAAGATTACCCACTACGAGTGCAGTGGCGCGATCTCAGCTCACTGCAGCCTCCGCTTCCTGGGTTCAAGCAATTCTCCTTCCTCAGCCTCCTGAGTAGCTGGGATTACAGGTGCCCACCACCAGGCCAGGCTAATTTTTTTTGTATTTTTCGTAGAGATGGGTTTTCGCCATCTTGGGCAGGCTGGTCTCGAACTCCCGACCTCAGGTGATCTGCCTGCCTCAGCCTCCCAAAGTGCTGAGATTACAGGGGTGAGCCACTGCACCCGGCCTCTTTTTTTTTTTTTTTTTTTTTTTTTTTGAGATGGAGTCTCACTCTGTTGCCCAGGCTGGAGTGCAGTGGTGCGATCTCAGCTCACTGCAGCCTCCACCTCCCGGGTTCAAGTGATTCTCCTGCCTCAGCCTCCCAAGTAGCTGGGATTACAGGTAGTCCCACCATGCCTGGCTGGTTTTGTATTTTCAATAGAGACAGGGTTTCACCATGTTGGGCAGGCTGGTCTCTAACTCCTGACCTCAGGTGATCTGCCTGCCTCAGCCTCCCAAAGTGCTGGGATTACAGGCGTGAGCCACTGAGCCCAGCCTCCCCTACCACCAGTCTTGTTTCCCCACCTCCCTTTTAGTGAATTGCTCCCTTTCTCTACTGAACGGAGAACCAAAAGGACTTCCTTTGGGCATGTGCAGGGGCTCCAGACACAGGGAGAAGCCCCAGGAGGCTTCCTAGAGTTCATGTTTACTACACTTATGTTTAAATTCCAGGATTTGTGGTCAGGAGACATTGTTTTATCACTTACCTCTCATCATCATCGTCATTTACCCTTTAGAACCTCTGTGGCCTCATTTGTGAAATGGAGATAATAACGTCACCCACAAGGTTGTTGTAGAGAGGAGTAGATGAGGTACGAGAAAGTACTTTCCAAACTGAGGGGCCACATAATACTTATGATTATTATATTGCTGTGAGTTTATAAAAGCAGCCACTGTCCCTCAGAAATACCTCCAACGCTTGTGTATGTTGTTCAGGGAAACACTCCCAGAGCCTTCTAGACTGGAGACTGGAGTCTGTCCCCTAACTCTGAGATCCTATGGTGGGGCGTGGCCGGGGCTGGAAGGTGGGGAGGGGGCAAGGTCAGCCCCCTCACTGTCCTCATTCAACCTCCAGCAAGGACAGTGATTATAACCCCCTAAGAAACAGCGACATTCTCTCCCCAGGAAGAATGCACTTCTGAGGGATTACCTCACCCCTTCAGAGCCAAAGAGACACAAAGAAATGGCTAAATAGCCAGCCTGAAGTCACATGGCTTTCCCAGCCCCAGCCCCCCACACTCAGCCGTGAGAGCAGAGCATTAAAAGAGGCCAATCCCTAAAGTCAAGTCCAGGGTCCTCCCCCAGCCCCAAGAGCCTGGCTTAGGAGGGGCCAGGAAGACAGAGGCACCAATAACAGCTATTGTGTGTCGAGGCTGTTCAAGGTGCTTTATGTCCATTTTCTCTCCCTTGACCCAAATCACAGCCCTGTGAGACAGGAGTCATTATGTCATTTTCCAGATGAGGCTCTGACTGCATTTAATTTTCCTGAGGTTGTTCATTTAGTAAGTGGCAAAACTGGATGAGATTTGAACCAGGGTCTGATTGGGTCCAAAGCTCATGACCACTCCACCCACTGCCTGCTTTATCTGGGGACCAACCTAAAATGCCAGGGTGGGCAAGGCTATCTTCTGGGTGGGGCCTCCCACCACGCCGGGAAGAGGAGAGAGCCTCAGAGAAAAGGGAAAGTTGTTGACTCTCAGTGACCACAGTTCTGGACACCTATCAGCCCTGCAGGCACCAAAGACCATAGGGCTGCCTTTGCACCCGGCTGGGAAAAGGGTCAAGGTTGGCTTGCTCCAGAGCTGGGCTCTGAACCCAGGGGAGGCACTAGGAGCCCCATTAGGGGAAAGTACACCTGCTGCAGTGGTCTCCCACTTCCCCTCCTGCTCCCTGCAGAATGACAGGGACCTGTCCATGGGACCGAAAGGACCCTGTTCCTGGAGCACAGTTGGAGTGAGGATACAGCCCTTCTGTCTTCCACTGCCAGACTGGGTGTGGGAAAATCTGACCGAGTCACCACCCCAGAGCAGGGCCTGGTGGCCTTTCCAGCGGGCTCACAGAGCCTCCCACCTCTGTTCCTGTCCTCTTCTAGGAAGGTGTGGAGGAGACAGAAGATGAAGGAGTGCGGGTCAGATTCGATGGTTTTTGTTGGGATGGATTACCCCCAAAGGAATTTTTCTTTCCCTTTATTTAAGTCCTATAGACACATTACAGAAAATTTGGCAAATAAAAGAAATAGAATTACGTGTGATTTCACCATCATATCACAACTGCTGGGAACATTCTCATGTATTCCTCCCCCGCTCTCCTACCTCTTTATTTTCCTTTTTTTAGTGTTTAGTAATGGTGATTATGCTACTTTTAGAATGTGGATCGGATGCTGCCCCCACTTCGCGGCCATCATCCTTGTCTTTCCGTGCCACTGTGCGGTTTGCCCGTCCTCCTTCTGAATGGCTGCAGGTGAGTCCATCATGTGGGTGGAGGCACCTCTGACTTAAGAACATTTGTATTTGAAGTCTTACAAAAGTAGAAAAACTGAATCCCGTTTAGTCAAGCCTTTAACACACCACCTATTTTGAAAACAAAGCAATTACATGGACTCAGAGCTGGTCCAAAAAATCCAGGCAGCCCTTGGTGGTGGCAGATTGGGGAGGGGACCTGCAGGTGGTGGAGGCACTAGTAGGGTAGGGTTAGGGCACCTGCCACCCACCCAGGAGCCACCAGAGTCAGGTCTCTTGCCTTCTTGACCATGAAGGACCTGTGCTCTCAATAGTGTTCCTGGGTCAGAGAGTTGCTAAGAGAGACTGAGTGTGGGAGAATGATACATTAGAATCCAAGGAGCCTCTCTCATTCGCCCACTGTCCTTTTCAGAGCTGTCCTGTCCTTGTTAGAGGCCTGCCTGCGGAGGGCAGCCCTGAAACTCCCCTGGCTCTGAAACTGCTCGGCGCACAGCAGAGCGCAGCACAGACCCGAATCCTTATGGGCCCCGAGGCTAGCTCTCCAGCCTCTCAGCCTGCTTTTGGATACTCTCAAACAGGTACTCTGGGATGGAGGTGGCGGCACACCTGTAATCCCAGCACTTTGGGAGGCCAGGGCGGGTGGATCACCTGAGGTCAGGAGTTCGAGACCAGCCTGAGCAACATGGAGAAACCCCCGTCTCTCCTAAAAATACAAAATTAGCTGGGCATGGTGGTGCATGCCTGTAATCCCAGCTACTCAGGAGGCTGAAGCAGGAGAATGGCTCAAACCCAGGAGGCGGAGGTTGTGGTGAGCTGAGATCGTGCCATTGCACTCCAGCCTAGGCAACAAGAGCGAAACTCTGTCTCAAAAAAAAAAAAACAAAACAAAAATTAGTTGGGTGTGATGGTGCCCACCTGTAATCTCAGCTACTCGGGAGGCTGAGGCAGGAGAATAGCTTGAAGCCAGGAGGTGGAGGTTGCAGTGAGCCGAGATCATGCTACTGCACTCCAGCCTGTATGCTGTACGCCCAACCTGGGCAACAGAGCGAAACTCCATCTCAAAACAAACAAACAAACAAACAAAAAACAACTCAGGTACTCTGAGGTTTAGTCAGTATTTATCAAGGGGCTGCTGAATGCCTCATTTGAGAACTGTTGCAAACAGGAAGAAAGCACCCTACCCCTGGACGTGTAGATTCTTGTGACTGAATCACTGAAAGCAAAGGCAGCATAGTCTAGGGAGCAATGGCTGGAGTCAGGCTTGCCGGGGGGTTGAGTGCTTCCTCCTGGCTCCCCTCCACTGATTTAACAAGTAAGTTACTTTAACCTTTCTAAGCCTCAGCTTCTTCATCTGCAGAATGGGGTTAATCTAATTTACCTCGCCGAGTTGTGATAAGGATTAAAGATACTATACGTAAAGTGCCAGATGTTCAGGAAAGGTGTCCAGGTAGGCATTCAGGAAAGTTGGTTATCATTAAAGTAGCACAAAACACATGTAAAATGCTAAAGGGACAGCATATAAAGCACAGGGTCAGAGCATTGAGGGGTGAAGGAGCAACTGGTTCTTCTGGCGCAGGAATTCTCAACCCTTGCTATGCATTAGATTACCTGGAGCCCTTTAAACTATGCTGATGCCCAGGTCCCAACCTGACCAATTAAACTCACCCTGACTCCGATTAAGAATGGAGTCCGGCTGGGCGCAGTGGCTCACGCCTGTAATCCCTTCGGGAGGCCAAGGCGGGCGCATCACCTGAGGTCGGGAGTTCGAGACAAGCCTGACCAACATGGAGAAACCATGTCTCTACTAAAAATACACAATTAGCCAGGCATAGTGGTGCATGCCTGTAATCCTGACTACTCAGAAGACTGAGGCAGGAGAATTGCTTGAACCCAGGAGGTGGAGGTTGCAGTGAGCCAAGATCACGCCATTGCACTACAGCCTGCGCAACATGAGCAAAACTTTGTCTCAAAAAAAAAAAAAAAAGAGTCCACTCACGCCTGTAATCCCAGCACTTTGGGAGGCCGAGACGAGTGGATCACCTTAAGTCAGGAGTTCAAGACCAGCCTGACCAATATGGTGAAACCCCATCTTTCTAAAAATACAAAAATTAGCTGGGCATGGTGGTGTGCACCTGTAGTCCCAGCTATTTGGGAGGCTGAGACAGGAGAATTGCTTGAACCCTGGAGGTGGAGGTTGCAGTGAGCTGAGATCGCACCACTACACTCCAGCCTGGGCAACAGAGACAGACTCCCTCTCAAAAAACAAACAAACAAACAGAAAAAGAATGGAGTCCAGGCCTGGGCATATATATATATATTTTGTTGTTGTTGTTGTTGTTTGTTTGTTGTGTTTTTTTGTTGTTTTTTAATAGAAAACTTCCCAGGTGATTTCTGGGTGCATCCAAGGAGAACCAGTGCTCTAAAAAGTGTTTTGAAATGTGATTTGGAAAGGACAAGGAAGGAAACCAACACGTATTGAGTTAACTGCTCTCTGCTAGTAGATTTCACAGCTGTTGGCTTATCTCTTTCTCCTAGTAATCATCTGAAGCAGGTACTTTTAATCCCATTTGGAACAAAAGGAAATAGAGGTTTGGAAAGGTTACATACCAAATAGCACCGAAAGGGAAATCTGCCCACAACCCAGCCCAGGTACTTTCACTGCATGGTGCTCCAGAGCAGGCTGGCTGGTAGACATTACTGCAAGCCAACATGGGAGCCACATGGGTAATTTCACACATTCTAGTAGCCACATTTAAAATGTAAAAAGAAACAGGGGAAATTCATTTTAATAATATATTCTATTTAATCAAATATATCCATATTATTTTAACATGTAATCAATATAAAAATTATAAGCATTACTAATGAGATAGTTTACATTTCTTTTTTTTTTTTTTTTTTTGAGATAGAGTCTTACTCAGGCTGGAGTGCAGTGGCATGATCTTGGCTCACTGCAACCTCTGCCTCCCAGGTGTTCAAGTGATTCTCCTGCCTCAGTCTCCCGAGTAGCTGGGATCACAGGCGCCTGCCATCATGCCCAGCTAATTTTTGTATTTTTAGTAGAGATGGGGTTTCACCATGTTGGCCAGGCTGGCCTCAAACTCCTGACCTCAGGTGATCCACCCACCTTGGCCTCCCAAAGTGCTGTGATTACAGGTGTGAGCCACCGCGCCCAGCCTACATTACTTTTTTCATGCTGAATCTTCATTATCTGGGTGTATATCTTACAGCACATCTCAATTGGGATTGGCCACAAGTGCTCCATAGTCATGGGTGGTTGGTGGCTGCCATATTGGACTGTCTAAAGGGACGGGTGACCTGGAGCATCTTGAGCAGATAATAAGAGCAGGTGGTGGGGGCTGAGGACTTTCAGGCAGTAGGGAATAACCGCGGGTTCTTGAGTGAGAGAGTATCCTGGCACAGCGCTCTCACGCTGTGGAGTTTGGAGGCTGCCAAGGAGCTAGAACAAGAAGTTCAAGGACAATGAGAGATCGAAGGAGGAAACCCCAGCAGATGACCAGCCCCACAAGTAGGACTGGGAGCCTTGGCCCTTGCCCTCACCTGAGACTGGAGGAGACCCCAGACGGGGACTGTAAGTATGAATTTACCTCCATGGGGAGGTAGGCAGGTCACCTTGGCAGGCCCTGGTTGGGAGAAGGCTGTTGAGGACCCAGGGGCTGTTTTACGGTTCCTTTGGCTCCCCATTCACGGAAGCAGACTCACACCAGATCCCTCCTGCCTGCTCCCCCCACCACTCCTGCAGCCCATAAAGGGTAATGAAGCTGAAGTTAAAACAGTCACATGAAACCCACTCATTTGAAAGGGCACCTGCTTTAAAGGCCAAATTTCCTGAGCCCAGGTTTATACATTAAGCTACAGAAAGACCTAATTAATTCAGACCCCACTCACTCTGAATTTGGGATAAATTCTGCCTCGGGCTGGTCTGAAGTCTTTCCTTTTGCACTATCTATGAAGAAATGGTTTGCTAAGCAAATAAATAGTGCAGGCCAGATTACAGAGACAGGTCTGGCTTACTTAACTGTTTTTAAGAACTTTAAAAATCACTTTAGCAGCCTCATTCCCAGAAAGTTAATGAGATCATTACAGCTGGTCCTTATCTATTTATTTCAGCATTTCAGTTTTCCAAGCACCTTTATACCCATTAGTTAATGTGACCTGGGGTGGGGAATCCTGTTATTTCTCAGCTTCCAGCAACAGACTTAGTGCCTGGCACACAGTTGGTACTTAATGTTTGCTAAATGAAGGAAGTAGGCCTGGTAAACAATACTAGTCCCATCTTACAGATGAGAAAAAATGAGGCTCAGAGAAGTTAGTTATAATATATTCTGTCCTGGCCACAATGGCTTTGGGGTGTCCCTAGAGCTAGACCAGCCACATAGCTAGTTAGTGATGATATCAGAGCTTGAACCAATGCTGGTTGCGGGTTTCTCTCCACTCTATTACATGTTACCAGGGCTGCTGCTTGACAGCAGTTTATTATCTGAGTTTGAGGAACAGTCTGTTCTTAGGGACCACAACAAAAAAGTCCCATTTTTTTTTTTTTTTTTTTTTTTTTTTGAGACGGAGTCTCGCTCTGTCGCCCAGGCTGGAGTGCAGTGGCGCGATCATCTCGGCTCACTGCAAGCTCTGTCTCCCGGATTCACGTCATTCTCCTGCCTCAGCCTCCCGAGTAGCTGGGACTACAGGGGCCCGCCACCACGCCCGGCTAATTTTTTGTATTTTTTAGTAGAGATGGGGTTTCACTGTGTTAGCCAGGATGGTCTCGATCTCCTGACCTTGTGATCCGCCTTCCAGAGTGCTGGGATTACAGGTGTGAGCCACTGCGCCCGGCCCATTTTTCTTTTGTAAATTGCATTTTCCCCAGGGAAAGGAATCACTGCGTTCTGGAATGTGTGCCTCCGCACTAATCAGCAACAATCCCCTTCTGTGCAGCACCTGACTCTGACACAGGCCTCCTGACACCCGTGGCCCTTGGGATGTCAGGGCCAGTACAGGTCACTTTCCTCCCTGGGGTGGAAGAAATGGGGGCTGCTGCAAATCTATCTGGTCCTGGCTCCTCCGGGGAGTGCTTCCCGAGGCACAGGCCTCCCAGGAAGGATGGTCTTTGTCCTCTGGGTATACCCTTCCCCCACATCAGGGGAGCAGCCTCTGTGGGCTGGGTCTTTCTTGCCACTTATGGGGGGATAGGAAGAGGCCGGTCTCTGTCTCTCTGCCCTTTGTTCTGGAGGCTTGGCTGACTTGGAACACTGCGCAGGGAAAATTCCCTGACCGTGAGATCTGCAGGCTGCAGGGTCCCTGGGGAAGGCTGGCCAGGGGCTCTTTCGAGCTGCAGCTGGAAAGAGGGGTTGGGTTTCAGCGAGCCGGGCTCGGGGACGGCAGCCCGCCTCCCTGGCGGTAAGGGAGCTGGCCCGGCGAGCCAGCTGTGCCTGACAGCTTCCTGTCGAGAGCTGAGGGCCCACATGACCGCTCCCCACTTTGTGGATTAGGGGGCGAAAGGCCCAAGAGGGAGGGAGAGCAGGAGGGGCACTCAGGTGCTCTCTGGCCCAGCTGGGGATGGGGTGAGAAGCAGAGCACCAAAACATTTTTTGTGAAATGAATTCTGCGGGCTCCCGGTCACACGGTCCAGCAAGCTGGCTCGCCCTGGAGAGGGGGTGTGGGGCTGGGGATGCGGTGAGCCTTGGCACTGACTGGGGCCATGGACTGTTTGTTTAAAGTCCCCCTCCCTGCAACCTGACTACACACATCCCCACAGTGTCTGCCAGAGAGGCAATGTGGTAGCCACAGCGCTATGTGTTGAAGAGGAGATGGGATCTGGCCGTGACGCGGGAAAGAACCCAGGCCTGGATTAAAGGGCAGTGCACGCTCTGACCACCCTGGTCTCTCCCGAACTGGACCCCCTGAGCCAAGGGCAGCTGAGGCCAGAGAACTGGGCCTCCCACTGAAGCCGTCCTGACCAGGGATGCCAGGCCTGGCCTAGAGATGCCCCGTTCTGTCCAACAAGCGTTTATTGAGCACCTACTGTATATGGAAGTGTGCACAGAGATAAGTCAAACACAGCCCTGTCTTAAGGAGATACGCTTGAGATGATAAGCTCTGAGTATGACAGGGTGCAGTGCAGGCACACAGAGAAGCTTGGCACCCCAGGGTGCAGCCTTGGGGTTCACAGAGGGCTTCCTGGAGTCAATGATGCCTCAGAGGGAGGAGGAGGCCAGCAGGGCGGTGAAGTCCCTAAGGACCCAGTTTAGCAGTGGGTTTCTGGGGACAGTTGCAGATCCCCACCTCATAGGCAGACCTGTGCACACCTGCCCTGCCATCACCACGTAAGAGTGGCCTAGAACCCCAAAGGTCTCCGGTGAGGAACAGCAAACTGGGCACAGGCCTTGCCGGGGTTTCTGGGTCAGCTGAGCTCACTTCCCCTGTCCCTGGTCCACACACCTTGAGAATGATGCAATAGATGTCAGGGAGAAGGAGGGGGTGCCGTGCAGCCCACCAGGTGTGGGCCTTCCCCTTCACTGACCTCTAAACAAGACCCCACAGCCCTGGGGCAAAAGCCCCGGGCACCGACACTTCACTAATATCTGAGCTTTTGTGCTGTTGAACACCAAGGAGCCTTGGCCTCCTCCCTGGAGGGATTTCTGGTGCAGCTATCGGCCCTGTAGGTGATTTTTGTTCCAGCTCTATCTCTATTGTTTACATAGCTCAGAGTTCCATGGAGTGAGAGAAACATGCTTTCCTTTCCACTAAAGGTGCTATGAAAAACAGCCGGTCTGTGGAGGGGCAGGAGGGAAGGCCGTGTGTGCTGTTCGGCCCCTCATTCTGACAGGCTCTTCTGGTCTCCAGAGTCCTCTCTGTCCAGGATACCTGTTTGTCACGCTCTCCCTGGAGCTGGCTCAGCTGGAGGCTCTGGGACTCGGAAGGAGCCCCCATTCTAGAACTCTCACTGGGAGTTCTGGCTCTACGAATGGAGTTGTCCCTGCATGGAGTCCTACAGGCCTGGATGCCACCAAAAGAGGGGGCAGTGGAATGCTACTCCCCCTCTAATCTGGCCACCAACTGCCACCTTATCTGCAGGCCCTGACAAGGGTGACAGAAGCTGATGCCTGGATGTCCAGCAGGCAGGACGATGGGAGAGCGGAGGGGGCAGATGGTAGAGAAGGAGGCAAAAAGCAGCCCCACTCACCCTGGGGAGGGACCGAAATCTCCTGCTTTAAAGCCAGCAGGTTCCGCCTCTGGGTATTCTCTCCAGCACCATTTTTCCTTCTTCACTACAGAGATTTTATTTCTCTCTTGCTTGGTTTGAGAACTGTCCTGATGCAGCGGGCAGATGTCTGAGTACTTGAGGGCTCCGGTGATGACTCCTCAGGGTCTCCGCCTGAAGACTTGGTTCAAAGCTCCCAGCCCTCTAGCAGACCTCACCCCTGCCTCTTACCGTTTCCTCTTTCCTTCCTCCTGCAACTTCCCCTTTCTCTGCCTGCATGCAGCCCCTGTGTCTCCAGCACATTCTCCTTTGGGTCTCCGCGTCTTTGGCACTCACGTTCTGCATGTTACTTATCCTGTCCATCGGCCAACAAGCAATGGGTCATGTCACTTTACTTCCCTGGTTTTCATGTCTATGAAATGGTAAAAGTCATGGATGGTGGTGGGTTGTCTGGTGGTCTTGAGAGTCCCTGCAAGACCTTCTACCCTAAGATTTGAAGTATTTACTTATTGATGCCCTGATGCCTGAGCGGGCATTATGGAAAAAAAAAAAAAGAGGCTGCCCAATACCAGCCTGACCAACATGGAGAAAACCCGTGTCTACTAAAAATGCAAAATTAGCTGGGCATGGTGGCACATGCCTGTAATCCCAGCTACTCAGGAGGCTGAGGCAGGAGAATCGCTTGAACCCGGGAGGTGGAGGTTGCAGTGAGCTGAGATTGCACCACTGCACTTCAGCCCGGGCAACAAGAGCGAAACTCTGTCTCAAAAAAAAAAAAAAAAAAAGAGGCTGCCCAATATGTGCACTGGGACTCTCTACCCTTCTTCATTCGAGGCCAGCCTAGGGCTGAGGAGTGATCCCTTTACAGATTCAAGCTGCCACAGGTCAAATGATAGAATGGCGTGCAGCAGGATGGGGAAGCCCAGTGGGAAACGGGGCAGCAGGATGGGCTGGAACAAGCCTTCAGCCCTACCTCTCTCCTTTGACTACTCCAAATATTCTTGACTTCTGAAAAATTCCCAAATGTTTCCGAGCCAAGAATCCCCCAAAGGAGTGGCTCAGTGTCTGGGGTTACAGAGACTTTGTTACTGCAGCAAAGCATACTACAACCCATTTACTGGTTTAATTTAATTATTTATGATAACACTTCAGAGTAAAAACTACACTTGTCAAAATAAAGGGGACTTTGTGCTGCAGTGACCCAGATTTTATTGTTGCATTACCTAATGCACCGAAACCTGGTAATCGGCACCAGATCTCCCTGCCACTTGGGCAAATCAGCACTGAATGAGGAAGGCTGAAATGGATTACTGCTTCCTGGGGGAATTATTTTCAACGATTCAAACAAAATGGCATTTTGATTTTCTTCCTCCCACTCTAGTTGCATCCCCTTTCCCCCAAATAACCTGGTTTCTACACATATATTTGACTGTTTGCCGTTACCTCTGTGCCCTTAGATCACCTCCCTTTCTTTGCACATACAGTTTCTTCTGCCTAGGATGCCTTCTCCACCACTCACTAGACAAATCATTCCTAACCATGTCGGCACAACAGATTCCCCCATGCATTTGAGAAGAAATTCAGATTTGGCCAGGCACGGTGGCTCACGCCTGTAATCCCAGTATTTTGGGAGGCTGAGGTGAGTGGATTACCTGAGGTCAGGAGTTCAAGACCAGCCTGGCCAACATGGGGAAACCCCGTCTCTACTGAAAATACAAAAATTAGCTGGGCATGATGGTGCATGCCTGTAATCCCAGCTACTTGGGAGGCTGAGACAGGAGAATCGCTTGAACCCAGGGGTCAGAGGTTGCAGTGAGCTGAGATTGTACCACTGCACTCCAGCCTGGGTGACAGAGTGAGACTCTGTCTCAAAAAATAAATAAATAAATAAAAGAAACCCCGCCTCTACTGAAAATACAAAAATTAGCTGGGCATGCTGTCGCGCGCCTGTAATCCCAGCTACTCAGGAGACTGAGGCAGAAGAATTGCTTGAACCCAGGAGGCGGAAGTTGCAGTGAGCTGAGATTGCACCACTGCACTCCAGCCTGGGCGACAGAGCAAAACTCTATCTAAAAAAAAAAAAAAAAAAGAGAGAGATAGAAATTCAGATTCCCGGGAGCCACACTGAAGAACTCCCACCGAGCTTAAATCTTGCCTCTCTATGAAGCCACCCCTGGGGTCCATGCCCTGTCCAGCACTTTCTCCTCCGTGGCTCACCAGCCCTCTGCCCTTTCCCCGACAGCTTCTACTCCTTGACCATAAGTCCTCTGAGGGCAGGGTCTTTCTCTTTTACCTCTGTATCCTCAGCAAGCATAGTGTCTGCCCACGTGGAAGTTCAATAAAAGGTGGCCGGTTGCATGTTGGGCAGTATTTTGAGGAATTAAGACTTTGCTGGAGTTATTCATACTAAGGTCAGAGCACCAACTTCTGTCCTCACCCAGACCCTGAGCCCCTCTCCTTCCCACCTGGAACCTGCAGGTCCACATTCTTCCTTGGGCAGAAATGGCCTTTTTTTTTTTTGGTTGAAAGACCTTTGAGGGTGAGAAATTCCCGGCTACACTGTGTGATGGGGCTTAGGGAGATGTGGATTCACAGCAGGGTACAATGGGCATGTAATCTGGCCTCACCATTCACAGCAAGCCTGTCAGGACCAGCTTCAGATGCTTACTCCTTATTAATGGCCCTCCCCTGAGTCCCAAGGCTAACAGGTTCTCTCAATACCCTACTGCCTCCCTCAGCTCCTGACACTCCATTATTCACAGCAGTGACCGTGGTGATGACAGCCTAGGTGACCCATGGCAAAATCTAGTGATAAGTAAGGAAGGGAAATTCACCTGTGGAAGGCCCCATCCACCCATCCATCCATCCACCCATCCATCCATCCACCCATCCATCCATCCACCCATCCATCCATCCACCCATCCATCCATCCATCCATCCACCCACCCATCCATCCACCCACCCACCCATCCATCCATCCATCCATCCACATAGTCATTTATTGCTAAGTCAGGAGGACACACACACACACACACACACACACACACACACACACACGACAAAGGAGACCTGGTCTCTGCAATTAAGGTGCTTACAATCTAGTTGGGGAGACAGATAGGAGTTACAATTCCAGTGCCCCAATCTCCATCCTCAACAACTCCATCTGTAGTAATTTCCCAGCGTTGGTGCTTTACGTTCACAAAGCACTTCCCGTCTGAGCTGGGGGTCCTCCCAAGGAGAGGAGGAGCACTCCCCAGTTTTGCCATCTCTAAAACCAAGTTGGAAAAGGTGGGCTCTGGGGTCCCTTCCTGCTCCAGTCCAGGTGGGTTTCTTTAGGAAGAACTCCTGGTACAGGAACTTCTTGGGACCCACAGTCTGCAAACTGATGGCTTCCTGGAGGTGTTTCCTAAGCAGCCAGGACTTTTCAAAGAAGACCTGATAAGCCATGAGGTCAGAGACCTTGGGGCTACTCAAACCGATTGCTGCATGCTAGAATTGCTTGAGGGCCTGAGGGGAAGAAATGGCAGTGCCTGGAACCCAACTGAATCAGTAGTTCCTAAAAGTTCCTCTGGTGACCCCAGTGTGCAGCCGGGGTTGAGAGCTGTGGACCTAACAAACTCTTCTATGCTTGAGGGGTCTGAAGCCAGGAGAGGCGTAACTTGAGTAGAGACACATGTAGAAAGTGCAAAGCTCAGAGCACAGATGCAGCACAGCTGAGGCCCTGTTTCCCATGCTGCTGGCTGCTTCTCCATGTCTTGTGAAAGCTTAGTCCTTTCTCACCCCACTTCCAAAGACGACCAGGCCCTGCTGGCCCTGGAGATCCTGCTCTGTCCCCATTCTGAGGACAGTGGCTAGAGCTGCTCCTGACCCCTTGATGTGTCCTTTCCTAATGTCCAGAGGAAGAGGGACAGGTGGGTGGCAGTTGAGGCAGGCCTGGGCCTTGAGTCCAGGGAGCGGCTTTTGCCAGAGAAGATGGTGATCATTTGATTTAAACAAACGGGGCTTGTTCCTGGAAGACGTTTGTCTGCACGGGGCAGCAGCGCCATTCATCATGGCAGCTCTGAGGCTGGGGGCAAGAAGTCAGCTTTTCAGGGCCCCGGCCCACAGGGAGGAGCTTGGGGGCTGCTCTCCCAGGACCAGCCCCGAGAAGATGTTAGGAAAGCTAATGAGCAATGGGACAGCTGCAGCTTGTTACAGAGCGCCCGGGGCCCATTGTAACTGAGACCTTTAAATATACATTGTAGTCAAATAACCAGCATCCTCCCGCCCAACTGCAGGTCCACCAGGGCCAAGCTGGTCCACGCCCGGCCCACCCAGCTCCTCCCTCCTAGCCTCATCCTTCTGTCTGAGGGAGAAAAACCACTCTCCCACCCTCTTTGACTGGAAAGGAATCGATTATGACTGCAAGAGCTGGGTGTAGCCAGGTTCTCTGACCATCCTCACTCTTACTTCCCTCTAAATGGACACAACTGTAGCTCCATCACTGCCCTTGTCACCCTACCTAAGTCCCACTGGATTTCAGAAAATCAGCATGGCACTGTGGGTCTTTGGAGAACCTCTATAGGACGTATCTCCCACCAAGTCAGAACCTCCTGAAGCCACTGACAGCCAGCCTAAAATGCCTGTTCCGTGGTCCTCCACTCATATGCCTCCTCCAAAGCCCACTTCGGAGATTACCAACTCTGTCGAGCCTTCCCCGGCTTACCAAGGCAGAGCTGGTGGCCTGTCCCCTACACTGAATAAGTGTGTGGGTCATACCTCTTAGCCCAGGTGAAGCCGGGGGCCTGTGTGAGCTCCTTGAGAACAGGGACCAGTTTATATTCCCGTCTGATCCCCAGAGGCCAGCAGGTGCATGACACCTCGAAGACCTCAGGAAATGTGTGCGAAATGGACTCCTGTACTCCATCCATCCCATCCTTAATGGACGCATCCATCCAACACGTGGTAAGTGGGCTCTGCACAAAGGGAACTCTCACCCAGCAGCACACAGTGCTGGGAGCCAGGACCCCAGGTGAGAAGCCACTGGTTGTCCTCAGGGTCATGTCTGTAGGAGAGGTATTTTAGGTCGATTTCTAGGGAAGGAATCCTGAGCAGCGATGTCTAATTTGAAAGTGGAGTAGTAGAGGCAGGAAGAGAAGGCAGGGTTATGAAGCAGAAGGTAGCACTGCTTCTCAACAGAGCATCTGCCCTCACCAGTGAGCCTCCATTTACCACTGTACTCCACTACATCCTGGGGTACTCACCTGCCACGGTGTGCCCCACTTCATCATGGGGTACCTCAGCTCCCCACACTGTACCCCACTTCATCATGGAGCACCTCAGCTCCCCACACCATACTCCATCATGGGTAGCTCAGCTTCCCACACCGTACCCTACTTCATCATGGGCCTCCTCAGCTCCCCAACCATGCCCCACTTCATCATGGGGTACCTCATCTCCCCACACTGTACCCAACTTCATCATGGGGCACCTCAGCTCCCCATACCATACTCCATCATGGGTACCTCAGCTCCCCACACTGTACCCCACTTCATCATGGAGCACCTCAGCTCCCCACACCATACTCCATCATGGGTAGCTCAGCTTCCCACACCATACCCCATTTCATCATGGGGCACCTCAGTTCCCCACACCATACTCCATCATGGGTACCTCAGCTCCCCACACCATACCCCACTTCATCATGGGGCACCTCAGCTCCCCACACCATACACCATCATGGGTACCTCAGCTCCCCACACCGTACACCATTTCATCATGGGGCACCTCAGCTCCCCACACCATACCCCACTTCATCATGGAGCGCCTCAGCTCCCCACACCATATGCCATCATGGGTACCTCAGCTCTCCACACTGTACCCCACTTCATCATGGGGCACCTCAGCTCCCCACACCATACTCCATCATGGGTACCTCAGCTCCCCACACCTTACCCTACTTCATCATGGGCCTCCTCAGCTCCCCAACCATGCCCCACTTCATCATGGGGTACCTCATCTCCCCACACTGTACCCAACTTCATCATGGGGCACCTCAGCTCCCCACACCATACTCCATCATGGGTACCTCAGCTCCCCACACTGTACCCCACTTCATCATGGGGCACCTCAGCTCCCCACACCATACGCCATCATGGGTGCCTCAGCTCCCCACACTGTACCCCACTTCATCATGGGGCACCTCAGCTCCCCACACCATGCCCCACTTCATCATGGGGTACCTCAGCTCCCCACACCATACCCCACTTCATCATGGAGCACCTCAGCTCCCCACACCATACTCCATTCATCATGGGCACCTCAGCTCCCCACACTGTTCCCCATTTCATCATGGGGCATCTCAGCTCCCCACACTGTACCCCACTTCATCATGGGGTAGCTCAGCTCCCCACAGTGTACCCCCTTCATCCCAGGGTACCTCAGCTCCCCACACCATACCCCACTTCATTATGGGGTACCTCAGCTCCCCACACCATACTCCATTCATCATGGGCACCTCCGCTCCCCACACCATTCCCCACTTCATCACGGAGTACCTCAGCTCCCCACTGTGTACCCCCTTCATCCCAGGGTACCTCAGCTGCCCACACCATACCCCACTTCATCATGGGGTAGCTCAGCTCCCCACACCATACCCCCACTTCATCATGGGGTACCTCAGCTCCCCACAGTGTACCTCCTTCATCCCAGGGTACCTCAGCTTCCCACACCATACCCCACTTCATCATGGGGTAGCTCAGCTCCCCACACCATACCCCCACTTCATCATGGGGTAGCTCAGCTCCCCACACTGTACCCCCACTTCATCATGAAGTACCTCAGCTCCCTACACCGTACCCCACTTCATCCCAGGGTCGCTCAGCTCCCCACAGTGTACCCCAATTCATCCCAGGGCCGCTCAGCTCCCCACGGTGTACCTCACTGCATTGCAGTGCCAGTCAGCATACCACCTCATACTTCAGCATAAGTGCCTGAGAGGTGCCGTGTCCGGCGTGTGGCATGCTCTGTGAGGCTGTGCCGTGGGCAGCAGAGGAGGTCTGTCTCTAAGCCTGCTGGTTGGGAGAGGAAGAGAGGAGAGATGAGGGACCTCCGAGCAAGTGGACAGTAGGAATTTCTCTGCTGCAGATAAGAGTCTTTCCCGTCACCTGTACCAGCCCCAATGATATGGGCCAGGTGTCAGACCTCACTGATGTGGACATCCCAAACCAAGTGGTTGTGCACACGCATGTATTTGTGCATGTGAGAGAGAGAGAGAATGTGTGTGTGTGTGTGTGTGTGTGTGTGTGTGTGTGTGTGTGTGTGTGTGTGAAATGACATCCCCTGAACATTGGTTAGTTTGTACAGGCATTGTGCTGGGTGTTTTATAAACATCAACACATTCCATCTTTATCAACTCCTAGGGGGATGGTATAATTGAATCCATTTTACAGGTAGGGAAACTTGAGACTTATCCAGGATCACTTAGCTTATAAATTGTGGAGCTGGAATTTGAACACTGCTTTCTCCGACTCAAAAGTCTGTTACCCCGTGTCATAGATAGCCCAAAGATCATTATCTTGCTTGTGCTGACAGTGGGGAAGGCAGCACAAATCAGATGCAGCCAGGCCTGCCGGCCTCTGGTTAAAATTGGTTACAGGCATTCTGCCCCAGGGATAATTCAGAGGAGTCGAAGTTGACCGGCTCTCCCTGTATACCAGGCTTAGTACGGAGAGGCTTCACCTCCCTAAGGCGACCAGCAGCAAGTTGACTTCTCCAGGCAGCAGGCAGACTTCCTGCACACCTCACACAGGTGTGTAGTGTCCAGGTGCCTTCCTCCCCAGCCAAACCGGGCTCCTCCCAAGCCTGGACACCAAGTCAGCCCCTTCAGCCCCTCCCCACACCCCCGTGGCCTTGACCTGCCATTGGGTTTGCAATGAAGGCCCAAGTCCAGTCCCTCCTGCCATCTTTTGCATCCCTGCTTCCTGGCCTTAGAACCCCACAGAAGCAAAGTGCATGAGGTTCAGGGTCATGCTGTCGAAGACCTCCTCTCTCTTCCCCTGGCTCCTTCAACACTTGCAACATTAGATAGTTCAGAGCACGGACTGGTCTTCTATAGCTAAGAAAACTCTGCAGAATCTAGCACAGTGCCTGGTACACAGGGCTGATGATGCATCTGTGTAAGTTGCTTATAATATAGAGGCTGTCAGCCAAGTGGCCAGGTAGGGGTTGAACTCCCCCCTCCCACAGAGATATTGTTTGCTAGCTAAGCCCTGCACCCAGGAGACTGTATCTGCCTGGGAAAGAGGTAGTGTTTGTTCTCTGATTCACGCAAAGGCGCTATGTGTATGCTGGTGCTGAAGTACTGTACCTCGTTGAACAAACGAATGGTGAATAAGTCCAACCTATTCTCTAAACCTTAGCCATAGCAGGTGGGGATAGACCTGGGCGCTTGGGCTCACTCCCGTTCCCTCCTCCACTTCTATTTCTGTATCTCCCTTTCCCATCTTCACTCTGTGCTCTGGGTAGATAGGGTTCTGTTTTTTTGAGATGGAGTTTCGCTCTTGTCGCCCAGACTGGAGTGCAGTGGCACTATCTCTGCTCACTGAAACCTCCGCCTCCTGGGTTCAAGCGATTCTCATGCCTCAGCCTCCAGAGTAGCTGGGATTACAGGCGTCCGCCATCACGCCCCATTATTTGTTGTATTTTTAGTAGAGACAGGGTTTTGCCATGTTGGTCTCGAACTCCTGACCTCAGGTGATCCACCCACCTCAGTCCCCCAAAGTGCTGGGATTACAGGCATGAACCACTGCTCTTAGCCAAAAAGTGTTCTTTACACATTTCCAAAACCATCCCTGTTGGGACACTCAGGGACGGTCCTGCCATCCAGGAAGACTTCCTTCCCCACTTCTCCCCTACTTCTCTGGGAAGTGGGGTAATTCTTTCTACTTACCTATTTATTTTTAATTTGTTTAAATTATGATTAAAGTATACATAATATACAACTGACTATCTTAGCCACTAAGTTATAGATTGTTGTGCAACCGTCATCACAATGTCTCCAGAACTTTCATTTTCCAGACTGAAACTCTGTACCTGTTCAACAATAACTTCCTATTCTTCCTTCCCTCAGTCGCTGGCAACCACCATTCTGCTGTTTCCATGAGTCTGACTGTTTTAGATACCTCATATAAATGGAATCATACAGTATTTGTCTTTTTGTGGCTGGCTTATTTCCCTTGGCGTAATGTCCTCGAGGTTCATCCACGTTGGGGCATGTGTCAGAATTCCCTTCCTTCTTACGGCTGAATAATATTCCATTGTGTATATGTGCTACATTTTGGTGATCCATTCATCTATCGATGGGTGCTTGGGTTGCGTCCACCGTTTGTCTATTGTGAATAACGCCGCTGTGAACATGGGTCTTCCCTGTTTCTTAACATCCTCTCTATCTTTTTCTTTACTTGTTCCTTCCCCTCTGACTGGAAACCCACACGATAAACAACCTCAAAGCCTAGATTTGCCAGGACAATCCCACTTTCATAATTCTTTTTTTCTGTTGTCTCTACAATCCACAGAAAAGTCCTAGAAATTCCAATAAATTTTCTCCTTCTTTGCCTTTTATTTATTTATTTATTTATTTTTTTGAGGTGGAGTCTTGCTCTGTCACCCAGGGTGGAGCGCAGTGGTGCAATTTCAGCTCACTGCAACGTTGGCCTTCCGGGTTCAAGTGATTCTTCTGCCTCAGCCTCCCCAGAAACTGGGATTACAGGTGTGTGCCACCGCGCCCGGCAATTTTTTTATTTTTTATTTTTTATTTTTAGTAGAGACGGGGTTTCACCGTGTTGGCCAGGCTGGTCTCGAACTCCTGACCTCAAATGATCCACCCACCTCGGCCTCCCAAAGTGCTGGGATTACAGGCATGAGCCACTGCACCCAGCCCTTCTTTGTCTTATATTCAGAAAAGGCACAAAAGTCCTTTATAAGATCCTGATTTTTGATGCAGGAAATTTTATCACTTTCAAAAGTCCCTCCCACATTAAATTAAGAATAAACATCCCTACCTGGCCTGGCTGCCTCCGGAACCGCCTCTGCCCTTCCATGTCCTGCCAGCTCTCTCTCCGAGTGTTCCACGCACTTCTTCTGCTTCCTCACCCCCTGCTACTTTCTTAATGCCCTGCAATCTGGCTTGTCGGTACAGCTCTACTGAATCCACTCCTGCCAAGGTCACCAATGACTTCTTTTTTAAACAAGTTTCAATTGTTCTATTTCTTGGTTATCAAATAAATGCTCATTGTAGGAAATTTGGCAAGTGCAGAGCAGCCCATAGGAGCAGGAAAAGGATCAGGCATGCATCCTCACACCACCCAGAGGCAACCATCATGAGCATTCTGCTATATTTCCCTCCAGTCTTTTTTCTCAATGCCAAACGTTGTCTTATTTTTCACCATCCTCATCTTTCCTGATCCCTGTAGCACTTAATGCTATTGAATATTTACTTCCTGAAACTCCCTCCTCCAGCCTCCTTCTCTGGTTTCCGTTCCTATCCCACCAGCCATTTCTTTTGTGAGCTGCCCTCTAACTGAGCCTTGCCAGGATGTAGACGGTGCCTGAGTTGAGTTTCCACAGGGGTACCAGGACCCTCCCTGAACGCCAAGTAATAACCTCGGGCACGTCCTTATCAGAAGGCAGGAATAGAGCTCAGGTGATGCACCCCAGCCAGCAAATCTCAAAGTAAACAACAGTCGAGTGCTCCCATCCTCTTCTGTGTATGACAAACTCCCGTGATGCTTCACGTCACTTCTTCTGTAAGGTTTCATCCGACTGCCCCCGGCAGGGTTGGTCACTGTATCCTCTGATTCTCCTCATTTCCTCTCAGTGTGGTGCTGTTCATCTTTCTATTGCAGAAATAACTGCATTGACTTACAGCAATCTGTTTCTTTGGCTGTGTCCCTCTCTAGACTGTCAGCTTCCTAAAGGCAGGGACCCTCTATTATTGATCCTTACATTTCCTAAACCCAGGGGAAAGCTCACTGGCCAGTTTTGAGTCCCAGAAGCAAGAGGTGACTTACCCAAGTTCACAAGGCCACACGCAGGCTGAGAAACCACCACAGCCCGGTGAGACTCCTGGTCCTGAGTTTGTTCTTTCTTTCTTTTTTTTTCTTTTTCTGAGACGGAGTCTCGCTCTCACTCTCTTGCCCAGTCTGGAGTGCAATGGCACGATCTCAGCTCACTGCAACCTCCACCTCCCAGGTTCAAGCAATTCTCCTGCCTCAGCCTCCCAAGTAGCTGGGATTACAGGCACTCATGACCATGCCTAGCTAATTTTTTGTTTTTTTAGTAGAGATGGGGGTTTCACCATGTTGGCCAGGCTGGTCTTGAACTCCTGACCTCAGGTAATCCACCCACCTCAGCCTCCCAAAGTGCTGGAATTACAGCATAGCCACCGCGCCCAGCTGAATTCTTCCTATAACACCATGTAGGAGCCACAGATACGCAGCATTAAGAGGAAGGGTTTTGGTGTGGCCAGCACGAATCTCCAGGCCTCCACATGCACAGGAACACTGCGGGACTGTGAGGAAGGTGAGGGAAAGCAGAGGCCCCGCCGGGTCTGTACCTGTGCCTGATGCTGGGAGTGGGGGCAGGCTGTCCCCACACTCAACTCACCAAGAGCAGCATTTCTCTATGACTCACTCAAGCTTCCCAGATTGGGACTCAAGAATCCCCACTCTGAAATTTCATCCAGGAAGCACTTCCTTAAACATAACCCACCCTCTCTCTTCCAACCATTTGAGCCAGATAAATAGGGGAGGCCCCAGGTCCTACCTGCTACATGAAAGGCAGACAGAGAGTTGAGGGAGGGGGTGCACAGCTCTGGTTAGGAGATCAGCGGGGAGTTATGAAGAAGAGTCATCGGCGTCCAGTCCTCAAGGATGGGTAGGATTTGACATGAAAACAAATGCAAGAAGGAAACAGCACGAGCCAAAGCCTGGCCGTGAATTGGCCTGGGGAGCTGGAATACAGCTAGTCAGTCAGCAGCCTCCTGGGGCAACCCTCCTATGCTCTAAGGACATTCTCAGAATGACTCCCGGGTCCCTCCCTAAACTCCCTTCCCATAGATAAGAGCTATGCTGGGCCCTGGGCAGTGGGAGAACAAGACAAGGATTTCCAAAACGTTGACTGAACACCTGGGGTGTGGCGGCAGGAGCTTTAACACACCAACATGTAGGCAGCTCCAGCAACCATATGCGGGTGTGCAGAGGGCGGTGCGGGGATGGAAGGCAGAACAAACCCTTCTGCCCTTTATTAGTTCCCTGACTGTGGGCGAGTCTCTGAGTCTCTGTTTCCTCATCAGTAAAATGGGGATTATAATACTTACCCTGGGAAATCGTTGTAAGGATTAGAATGCCACAAACGTAGGCCAGGCATGGTGGCTCACCCCTGTAATCCCTGCACTTTGGGAGGCTGAGGCCAGCGGATCACGAGGTCAAGAGATCGAGACCATCCTGGCTTAACAGGGTGAAACCCTGTCTCTACTAAAAATACAAAAAAATTAATCAGGCATGGTGGCGGGTGCCTGTAGTCCCAGCTACTCGGGAGGCTGAGGCAGGAGAAGTGTGAACCCAGCAGGCAGAGCTTGCAGTGAGCCGAGATCGCGCCACTGCACTCCAGCCTGGGTGACAGAGTGAGACTCCGTCTCAAAAAAAAAAAAAAAAAAAAAAAAGAATGCCACAAAGGTAATAGGTACTCAGTAAAGAACAGCAACCTCACTACTGTTCCTGTTTTGAGAACGACCCTTTCACACGTAAACAACCCTGGGGAAATAACGCAGTCCCTGGAGGGGCTCGTTCAGGTTTCCCTGCCCGCACCCTCGCCCTTGGACTCCAGCCTTCTTCTGTCACTTCTGCTTTTGCTCTAATGAGGTAGAATCAGAAGATCTGGGATCTTATTCCATTTGGCTATGTGACTTTAAGCAAATAATTTCAACTCTTGTTTTCAACTCTTGTTGAACACTTGTAAAAACGGAGCTAGTGTCTCCTGCCCCATGGGCTTGTTGGGGGGATTCATGATGTTGGTGTGTTAAAGCCCCTGCCACCACTCCCCAGGTGTTCAGTCAACGTTTTGGAAATCCTTGTCTTCTTCTCCCACCTCCCAGGGCTCAGTATGGGGTCCAGGGCTGGGCTGCAGGTCTGAGTTGCTGGGTGGTGGAGTGGGGTGGGGTAGAGGCAGGGCCCAGAGATGAATGCGCAAATAACCAGCCATCCTGGTCTCGCTTCAAAAGTCCTGGTCTCCAACCCTTTAATCATGGAGCTGCTCTTCCCTGGCCACCTTCCAGGGCCCCGCCCGCCTGCTTCCCATGCAGAGAGAGCCCATGGAGGGAGCCTGCATCTTTTCAGCCCGCCTGCTTTGCGTGGCTTGCTCGCTAATCGATCCCAGGAACCCAAGATGCTGACTCTCTCAGCTGACTCACCCCATACCTCAAATCCCTCACCCCACGTGGCTCCCCCCGCCTCATAGGCTTGCCTCTGGGCTCCCCACCGTCACCACCCTCTCTGACCAGCTTGCCCTCTGACCAGGCCTGCCAGGGTAGAAAATGGGTTTGACAGGACAGCATCCTCCTCTTCCGGGTGACCTTATTGTACCAACCAAAACATCAGTCCCCAAGGCCCCAAGTTCCAAGTGTTCTTATGGGACAATGGAAACCTAATATTAGAAAGTGAGCCAGTCTCAGAAAATCCTGGACATGTGTTTGCCATGTTGGTTTCCAGCCCCGCTCACTGCCGGCGAACCTCTCTTTATGAAAGGCGGAGTGTTCCTTTGGGATCAGGAGTGAGAAGTATATTGGGGGTGGGGGTCGGGAGGAGGGTTGTATATGAAATCACATTTGGCAACTTGAATTGTATTTTAATGCACTAATAGAGTTGGCTTCTTGAAGAAAAGAACCAGTGATTCATTTTCGTATGGGAATGAATTCATATGGGAAAGAGCTCCAATAGAAGGAGCTATTTTTAGATTTGGGTATATTGGATTTGCTTAAACTGAGGCACACCGGTATTCAGTTTGCAACCCTTTCATGTGAGGTTTCCTTCTCTGAGTTTCCTTGGTACTAGAATTCAACTGCCGGTTCTGTGATTTGCACTCCTCCCTAATGGAGATGAGGTGTGGGTGGCATGGCACAGTGGATGGCACCTGGCCACTGACACCAGCGGGCCTGTGTTTGCATCTCTGCCCCACTATGTCCCAGCCAGGTGACCTTACTTCCACTACCTGATGGACTGCTGAGCTGGGATGGGGGAATACGGGGAGACACGGGGTGGGAAGTAGGGGGCAATATGCTCCCCTAATAGATCAGGTGGGATGATTAAATTAGGTCATAGGAGAGACAAGACCATAAGATTCCCTCCCCGCAGGACTCTGCCTTCAGAAGTTCTTAAGAAATAACATCTGCCAGCCGAAGGAGCACATCTGCCTGTTCCCCCCAGCACACCGTCGGGCCCCGCTAACCTGCGCACAGCTTCCCTTTGTAAATCATCTTCAACCAGGGCTCCCCTTATCCCAGCGGAGCTCCCCCCTCCTGAGTTCTGAGCTCTGGCAGACAATGAAACCACAAGATTAAGGCAGACCGAGGCACCTTTTCCATGAGAATCCCCGCTGATCACCACCTCCCTGCACCCAGGCATAGCTAGCCCAAGGCACTCTCAGAAGTCGCAGAATCCTAGAATCCCAGGGCCGGAGTGCTCTTAGAAAACCTTATGCCTCCAGCTCCTTGTGGTGCAAATAGAGAAACTGAGGCCAGAGGGGCATCCCTTCCTCAAGGCCCCAGGGCTGGTTAGTGGCAGAACCAGCAGGAGGGCAAGACTCCTGTGAGATGCAGTTTGTCCTCTCTCACTCCCTTTTCCCCCTGGAGGGCTGGCTGCAGGTCTGGCCGCCCTCAGAGCCTGCATTCTGCCCAGGCGAGGACGAGGACAGTGTCCTTCATTAGTCCACGCCCAGAGCTCTGAGTAAGTGGTGTTGGCTGATGGCTGACAACATTCTTCACAAAGGAAGAAGATTTTAAAAGAGCCCTGGAAACGTGGTTTTCCATCCTTGTCTTTGAGAGGCAGTGTGATGTTGGGAAAGAATGTGGACCTGGAGCCAAGCCACTTAGGTTCTGGTAGAAATGCAACAAGCTCACATATGCAAAGGACCCAGTGCAGGGCCCAGCACATGGCAGATGCTGGACAGTGGAGGCCGTTACCTGGAATGTTAGTCCTGATTCTGCTGCTGAGTGACCTCAGGCAAGTCAACCAACCTCTCAGAGTCTCGATTTTCTGGAAAATAGGAACAATAACACATCCCCAGCCTCCCTCCCAGGGGAGTTAGTTCTCCCAGGGACTCTACAGGCCTTCATAGAGCAGATGACACTTGAGAACTGAGATGAGCTCGCTACAAGTTCAAGGTAAAGGTGGGAGTTCCTAGGCTGGGCACGGTGGCTCATGCCTGTAATTTCAACATTTTGGGAGGCAGAGGCAGGCGGATCACTTGAGGTCAGGAGTTCAAGACCAGCCTGGCCAGGCCGGGCACGGTGGCTCATGCCTGTAATGCAAGCACTTTGGGAGACCAAGGTGGGCGGATCACCTGAGGTCGGGAGTTCGAGACCAGCCTGACCAACATGGAGAAACCCCATCTCTACTAAAAAAAATACAAAATTAGCCAGGTGTGGTGGCACATGCCTGTAATCCCAGCTACTAGGAAGGCTGAGGCAGGAGAATGGCTTGAACCTGGGAGGCAGAGGTTGCAGTGAGCTGAGAAAAAAAAAAAAAAAAAAGCAGCCTGGCCAACATGGTAAAACCCTATCTCTACCAAAAATATGAAAAATTAGCCAGGCAGGCGTGGTGGCGGGTGCCTGTAATCTCAGCTACTTGGGAGGCTGAAGCAGGAGAATCACTTGAACCTGGGAGGTGGAGGTTGCAGTGAGCTGAGATTGTGCCACTGCACTCCAGCCTGGTGTCTCAGAAAAAAAAAAAAAAAGATGGGAGTTCCAGGTTGAGGGAGCCACAAGGCAACAGTGATTCAAGGAGGAAACTATGGGATGGAGAAAGAAGGCCCTTTGTGGTAGCCACTAAAAACAAAGCCCTGAAGCTCCTATGTGCGCACTGCCAACCCTCGTGCCCCTCTTTGTCATCTAAGGACTGCGGTCCCAAGGGGAACCAACACTTCCTGAGCCCCTCCTGCCTGCCTGGCATGCAGCATAGCTTTTCAATCCTCCCACAGTCCTGGTGGGGTATCTATTATTCCTACACAATAACTTCACTTGCCTCAAAGTCACACAGGTGGAGTGTGGAGAAGCTGCAGTTAAACCCCTACCTACGGGCTTCCTGGTCTGTGGCCATCTTCCTGTGTGTCACAGGCCTGAACTTCCTCAGTCTTTCAGACCCTCCTCAGCTCCAGAGAGCTCTCCTCACTGCTATCTCGCACCCAGCCTCTGCGGCCAGAATCCTGCTCCCCTGGAAGGACTCCTAGCAAGGCAATGTCCCTGCCAAGACTCAGGAGCAGGACTTCACCTAGCTCCTGGAACACGCAGAACAGGTGTTTGTAAGACCTCTACACTCATGTGCAAACCGTGTGTGTGTGTGTGCGCGCGCGTGCACGCGCACATGTGTCTGCACTTTTCGATTTTTTTTTTTTTTTGAGACGGAGTTTTGCTCTTGTTGCCCAGGTTGGAATGCAGTGGTGTGATCTTGGCTCACCGCAACCTCTGCCTCCTGGGTTCAAGCAATTCTCCTACCTCAGCCTCCCGAGTAGCTGGGATTACAGGCATGTGCCACCATGCCTGCCTAATTTCGTATTTTTAGTAGAGACGGGGTTTCTCCATGTTGGTCAGGCTGATCCTGAACTCCCGACCTCAGGTGATCCACCCGCCTCGGCCTCCCAAAGTGCTGGGATTACAGGCATGAGCCACTGCGCCTGGCCTGTGTCTGCACTTTTCTGATACGCAGCCTCTAGTCCTCACCAGATTTTCTAGGAAGGCCGTGTCCCAGAATGGTTAGGAACCCCCAGGCCCCACATTCTCTGCAGGCTCAGTTATTGTTCCTCCACCCTGACACTGTGGGCAGGCCCTGGGAAGTGCAGGTGAGAAACAGGCTTGGCCCCTGCTGACTCCAGGCCCTGCAGCAGGAGGGCAGCGGAGGAAGCCTACAACTCCTTAGGCTTCAGGAATCTCTAGCCACCTCCGGACAGGCTCCACGCCCCTGTGCAGGCTGTTTCTTTCTACCGCATCCTATGTGGAGCTGGGTCTAGGCAGCAAGAGGCTGGGGAAGGCTGGCAGGTCCAGCACACTGGGACTGCAATGAAGGGGCAGGTTGGGTTTGGGCTTCTGGAGGCATCCGGGCGGGGTGTGCTGTCAGAGGAGCAGCTGGCCCTGGGCTGTGGGCACTGACAGAGCAGACAAGATCTGCCCTTCCCCCTTGGGTCTGGGCAGATGAGGAGTGAGTGACAGCAGCAGGTCCAAGCCAAGTGGCCTCTTCAGCCACCACGGAGGCCCCGGAAATACCGAGGCTGGGAGTGGCCATGGGGGGACAGAGGCCAAACCGCCTGTCACTTGGGTCTCTGCCAGGCCATCCTTCAAGCCCTGGACACACTGCCTGTCCCTCCCGGGCACCCTTCTCTGCCATCAGACCCCTGCCTTTCCCCCAGCCAGGCCCTGAGCTTCTTTTCCTATAGGCTCCAACACCATACTCAGAAAGACCTTGTATGTTTTTCGAATTAATGCAATTAAGAGCATTAAAGTTTGAGAACGATAGAGTTTTTCATTTTCCTTTTATTTGATTAGAGAAATTCCCACCGCACAGTTCCTCCAAATGAAACCCAGACCCGAGGCCCATTATTCTGGGGGCTTCCATGAGAATGTGTTACCTTTCAATCTCACACACTAATGTGTTTAGCGTTACAGTCCCCCCCAGGCGGCTGCAGGAAGGATCTGGAGGCTTGATTAAAGCGGCCTTTGCCGGGCAGGAATGTGGGCTTCTCCGCCTGGGAGTCACAGAGGGGCTGGATGTTTGCTCGGCAGAGCCTCTACTCAGATGGCCGACTGGGGACTGGGCTCAATGGCCATCGTGCCTGGGTGTAATCAGGCCTTTGTCCTGCTCGCTTGTCTTTCGACTGGGCCTCCTGCACCTCCTGCTGAGCCCCAGCACAGTCACGTGTCTAAAACACAATCCCAACCTCCCCCCAACACACACACACACACACACACACACACACACACACACACACCTCTCTTTTCTTTCCTCTCCTATCATCCTCCTCCCTATTCTTTTTCTCCTCTCTTCTTCCCATCTTCTGGTCTCCCAGTGGTCGCTTGGGCTTCGCGGCAGCCTCCCTTTGGCCAGTTCTGTTCAGAGGCAGGATTCAAGAAATCAGACTGCTCCTCCCTCGGTCAGGCCCAATGCTCCAAGGTAAAGGGCAGAGTTAGAGCCAGAAGTTAAAAATTGATTAGAGGAGTATGTAAGGAAGGCCTGGGAGAGGGAGGAGGGGGGTCATAACCCCTGTTAAAAAATTCGGCTAATGCCAAATTTAAACAGGATGTTAAGTCTACGCCCCTCCCACCCCAAATCACCAAAGGCTCAGCACGGGGAGGCCCAGGTTCCTTCCTCTTCCAACTGGGGCAGCTGGTCCAGGCCCCAGGGTGTCCAATGCCCTGGGACAGGAAGCTGGTGGGACTTCCCTGCCCCAAGGCTTGAGTCCTGCAGACCTTTCACAGCCCAAGCCAGGGTCCTAGGAGACACCACTAGGACCTGGCCCAAATTAGGCAAAACGGAAAAACAATCCGGCTTGCGAACTAGAATCCAAACTAAAAATAAGCCTGTCAACTCTCAGAGGCAGCTCTGCTACTCCTGGGTCCCATGGAATTGGGGAGAGCCTGGGAGAGAAATGAGATACATTCTCACCCCCGACTCCAAATCTGCCTTGACCCTGGGGCATTCCCAGATGCCTTAGAGTCATTCCACAAACATCCAGGGAGGCCCACACCTTGCAGAGCCCAGACAGTATTGTAGGGGCTTTAGAGAGGAGTGTTCTCCTCTAGGGGAGTTAAAGACATGGGCAGATGGCCGGGCGCAGTGGCTCACGCCTGTAATTCCTGCACTTTGGGAGGCCATGGCAGTTGGATTACCTGAGGTCAGGAGTTCAAGACCAGCCTGGCCAACATGGTGAAACCCTGTCTCTACTAAAAATACAAAAATTAGCCAGGCATGGTGATGCGCGCCTATAGTCCCAGCTACTCAGGGGGCTGAGGCAGGAGAATAGCTTGAACCCGGGAGGTGGAGGCTGCAGTGAGCCAAGATCATGCCATTGCACTCCAGCCTGGGTGACAGAGCAAGACTCTGTCTTAAAAAAAAAAAAAAAAAAAAAAGTGGGCAGCTTATGACTTCAGGTTGTCCCTTGTGATAACATTCTCAAAGGGCGATGAGTCCTCCCCCAAACCCCAACCTGGATCAGCAGGGACCAACCCACACTTGGAGACAGAAGACTTACCTGGCCCCTTCGCACTAAGGAAGGGGCCTAACCCAGACTGAGCCTCCACCTGCAATCCCCCTTCCAGTCTTCTGCTGAGCTGCGCATCTGGTTGTTCTTGGGTATAAATCCCAAGCAATCACATGCACAGATTTACTTTTTAAAAAGCTTACCCTAGGCCAGGTGCCATGATCCACACATGTAATCCCAACACTTTGGGAGGCTGAGGAAGGAGGATGGCTTGAGACTAGGCATTCAAGACCAGTCTAGACAACAGAGAGATCTCATCTCTACAAAAAATCTAGAAATTAGTCAGACATAGTGGCGCATGCCTGTGGTCCCAGCTGCTCGGGAGGATGACGTGGGAGGATCGCTTGAGCCCAGGTGGTTGAGGCTACAGTAAGCCGTGATCACCCCACTGAATTCCAGCCTGGGGAACACAGTGAGATCCGTCTGAAAAAAAAAAAAAAAGGCTGCCCTATAGGGAAGCTTGGAGATACAAGAGTGGAGGCAGGAAGACCAATGTCTACCTGAGTCAAGGAGGATAAAGGCTGAATTAAAGCTATGATGGAGGGGCAGGGATAAGTGGGAGGGAGAGAGGAATGACTCAGCCAGGTCCTGAACCAGATCTCCTCCTCCTACCTGGGTTGCTGCCTCATTTACTCTTCTCAGTGTCAAGGGAGATAAATAACATCACCACATGGGCTGGGCAAGCGGGGGGACTGATTTGCAAGGCTAAGAGAGGGGAATTCACTGTCCTTTTGTTCATTCAGACACTCAGGCAACACTTGGCCGATTAGATAAATCCACCTACACCTTTAAGCTGTACCTCCCCACGCAGGGCCTAGAAGGTCTAACCCTTGAATCAGTCCCAGGGTTCTGCCGCAAACATCTGCCAGGGCCAAGAGCCCCCAGGGAGCAAATACATAATGTGAACTGCATTTGGATGAAGAAGCAGTTAGAGAAGGCAGCATGAGGGAATCTGGAGCACAGTGGAAACTGCTCAGGAATTTGGCTTCATGTCTAAGTTGATTCTTCCTAGACAATCACCTGAACATGGGTATCTCCAGGTTACCCATGCTGCAGGGAAGACTGGGAAGGGGGCTGATGATGCCAAAGGTGAATAATCCAGAGACTATTTCTGATTATCCCTATTGGACTTTACCAGTTGGCTTTTTTTCCGCCTCTGCTGGGAAATTTGCTTCCCTAAGCAAGAATTTCTTTGACTATTTTTCAAAATTTACTCATGATTTCCAACCACGAGCAATACTTCCCCCAAGATGATCAGGCTTGGCTTTATCCTGAGCTCCATTCAAACCACACAGACAGAAAGCGGAGACAAAGAACCATGCAGGGCCACACAGAAGCCAGTGCCCATGCCCTGGGGTCCTCTGTGGCACCAGGAAAGGGCGGGGAAGACACAGTTAGTTCTCTAGCCCGTGCACATTGCTCCCTCCCCATTTAGCCCACAGTCCAAAAGGCACTGCAGCAAAGATTCATCTCTGAGTTTCAATTTTCATGGAAATGAACCATTTTATCTCAGAACACAGGGGGAAAGAATGAATTCCCTTTTTTTTTTTTTTTTTTTTTTTTTGAGATGGAATCTTGTTTTGTCACCCAGGCTGGAGTGCAGTAGCACTATCTCGGCTCACTGCAGCCTCTGCCTCCTGGATTCAAGCAATTCTCCTGCCTCAGCCTCCCCAGAAGCTGGGATTACAGGCGAGTGCCACCATGCCCAGCTAATTTTTGTACTTTTAGTAGAGATGGGGTTTCACCATGTTGGCCAGGCTGGTCTCAAACTCCTGACCTAGTGATCCGCCCTCCTCAACCTCCCAAAGTGCTGGGATTACAGGCGTGAGCCTCCGCGCCCAGCCGGAATTCTCTTTCCTTGACACAGATAGACTAAATCCCCCTTCACTTTCTTGCTTAAAAAAAAAAAATCCAAAAGCTGCTGCCATTTGCTGCGTTGGATGCTGGCTGATCATTCTGAAAGGCAGGCAAATAAATCCAGAGGCCAGGCCAGGCTCCTTCCCTGGTCCTAGTGGAGCTTCCACAGCCATCTCTTGGGTTTGGCAGGGGCTCAGGAAGGATGGGAGGAGGGCCGGGGAGCAACCTGACTTAGGAAAGCAATGGCCTTGAGAAGGAGGCCTGTAACTCTGAACCAAGAGCCCAAGTGTCCTCAGGAGGAGTTTCACAAAATACTGTCTGTCTAGCTGGTTGCCCAAGTCCCAGCCCAGGCCTGATGTGCTCCACTTCAACCCACAGGAGCCAGAAGCTTTGTCAGCCATGTGCCTTCTGCCTAGTGCTCCATGGCAACCCTGGTGCTGGCTCCTACTGGCTCTTACTCTGTGCCAGGCTGCATTCCCTCACTAAAGATCCTTAGAGTGGGTACTAATATTAGCCCCAGTTTACAGATTATGGAACCGAGGCTCTGAGAGTTTAGATCATCTCTCTTAGGTCACACAGCTAATTAGAGGCAGACCAGGATTTGAACCCATGTCTCTGATTCTGAGCGTCTGCTCTTCATTTCTAAGCTAGCCCATGTTTGACTGGGGTTCTGGTCCACCTTGCCAGCCTGTTCTGCCCTGTTCCTTAGACGGACGTTGCAGTTCAGCTCCATAAATGAGCCCCCTAATTTCCTCCTGGGCTGCCTCCTCTACCTGACATGCCCCTCAGCCTCACCTGCAACTATGTCATTCTACCCTGCTTCTGCGTGCCAAAAAAGACATCTCCCTCTTCTGGGCTCCTGTGGCATTTTGTTTATCTTAGTGGTTTTCAAAGTGTGTCCCTGGACCAGCAACATCAGCATCAGATCCCACCTCAGATCGGCTGCATCAGAAACTCTTGGCATGGGGTCCAACAATCTGGTTTGAACAAGCCCTCCAGGTGATCCTGATGCATGCTCAAGCTTGAGAACCACTGGGCTACCTCTTGTTTCTCCAGACCCCAACAAGTCTAGGTGACCATTAAGGGTAAGGTTAGCTCTTGTTGTGGTCTTTGACACCTGAGCCCAAGTCATCAGGTCTTTTATAAAGGAACCCTGAGTGACTAATAATGAAGTGGGTAAAGCTTTTTTTGGCCTCTGCTGCTGCTTTCCATTCCATTACCTGGCATCCTCTTCTGGAACAGCTGACAAAAGTAATCATTGCCATATGGACACTATCACCATGCCCTTCAGAACTGGTTCAATGCCTTCAACCATTGCTTCCTCACCCCAAGTGGGGCCTGAGGCTCTCCATAAAAATCACCTGAGACCATCAGTGTCTCAGCCTCAAAGAATCTTTCCAGTCTTTGTCATTAACTGCCTGCCTGACTCCCTCCTGGCCTCTTCCCTGAAGTGTCTTAACACAGCCCACAGCCCACAGCCCACAGCCCAGCCTTGGCCTAGGGAATGGCCTCCCAAACCCATATGTCCTGAAGGTGAAATCAGACTTCACCCTTACTGATGGAATCTCCAACTTTGATCATGGTATTTTCTGTTTCTTCCTTTAATTCTGTCAATTTTTGTTTCATGTCTTTGAAGCAGTGTTAATAGTTGCATACATGGTTATGATCGTTTTCCCTTCCTGATGAATTGACCCTTTCACCATAACAAAATGTCCTTCTTTTTCTCTGGTAATACCCTTTGTCTCAAAGTCTATTTTATCTGATATTAATGCAGCCCCACCAGCTTTTGAATGTATATAATTTTTCATCCATTTATTCTCATCTTACTTGTGTCTTTATATTTAAAATTCATCTCTTGTAGACTGCAAATAGGTCTTTTTTTAAAAAAAAAAAATCTTTTCCAACAATCTCTGCCTTTCAATTGGAATGTTTATCCTGTTAACATTTAATGTAATTATTAATATGGTTGAATTTCATTTTATTTCCCCCCTCTGTTTTTTATTTCTCTGTTCCTCCTTCCTGCCTTTTTTTTTTTTTTGGATTTTTTTTAGAATGCCATTTATTTTTTATTTTATTTTATTTTTTTCATTTTTTTTTTTTTGAGATGGAGTCTCAGTCTTGTTGCCCAGGCTGGAGTGAAATGGCGCAATCTCTCGGCTCTCCCATGTTCAAGCAATTCTCCTGCCTCAGCCTCCTGAGGAGCTGGAATTACAGGCGCACACCACCAGGCCCAGCTAATTTTTGTATTTTTAGTACAGATGGGGTTTCACCATGTTTAGCAGGCTGGTCTTGAACTGCTGACCTCAGGTGATCCACTCACCTCGGCCCCCTAAAGTGCTAGGATTACAGGCATGAGCCACTGCGCCCAGCCTGAATGCCATTTAAATCTATCTATTGGATTTGTAATTATACCTCTTTATATTAATTTTGAAATGGTTGCCCCAGGGATTACAACATATCGTTAAATTTTCACAGTCCACTTAGTTACTATTTCAAGTAAAATGTAGAAACCATTGCCCGCTACCCCCATCCTTTATGCTATAGTTATCATATGTATTACATCTACATACATTATAAAACCCATAAGACAATGTTATATTTTTTGCTTTAAATTATCATGTGAATTCTAGAGCAATTAAGAGGGCTCACTGCCAAAGGGAACCTCAAAATTAGAGGAGGCCTTTCTCAGGAATCTGATTTCGCTCATCAGTAGGAAAGGAAACCTGGATCTTTCAATGTTCTTTCACTTAATTCTAGCTGAAGGTGAGTTCTGGGGCCACAGATCAGAGCCACAGCTGATTCATCTTTATCTCGCCTTTGAGAGTCTTCATTAAGTCTCCTGGGCCCCGATCATCCTACCCAAAGTCCTTTACACTGTTTCCCACTGGTCCTTGGTGGTCAGACATGATGACCCAGAGTGACTATGCAGATTAAGACTCATCAGTATCCTGTCTTCCTCTCCTTCTCTCATAAGAGGCACTTTTGCTGATCTTTTTATGAGTTGTGTTTTTTTTTTCCTCACCTCTCCTCCTAGGTTATCTAGTTCCTGAAGGTAAGGAATCTGGTCTTATGCATAGTAGGTACTCAGACAACTTTACTGAAAGAGCAAATGAACCCTAAATGCATTTTCTGGCCCTTCTAAGGGCAGTCATGCACAGAAGGCAAAGTGTACAGGGAAGAGAAGGAGGCACATGGGTATCTGCCTCAGGAGTGACGGGAAATCATTTCCAGGGGCAGGAGGTATAGCCAAAAACATCACCGCGGATTGATGGCGGGATTGCAGAGAGCCTGGAGTTGACTGTGATGAAATGTACATGTGGGCGTTGAGAATGTGAAGGCTGCAAAACGGGGGAGGCTACCAGCCCAGGATGTGTGGGTGGAACCAGGATTTTCAGCATGCTTGTGTGTACCTGGAGGAAGTATGTCCTGGGCCACCCAGAGCTGCTGACACTGCAGCCTGGAGGGCTGAGGCTTTTTAGAGAAACCATTAGTCTGGTGACAGGGAGAAGAAGGAGAAAGTGGCCAGGGCCAGGGTAGGCACAGGGCTGGTTTGCAGGGCTGTGGGCCTCACCATAAGGGAGGCAAGTGGAGGGCATTCATCTGGGTGCTTGTGGGAGACATAGAGAGTCGGGGTTCAAGGGAGTGGAACTGAGACTGATCAGAAAAGGTCCTTCGTTCTGGAACAAAGGGTCCCAAGAGTGTCCTTTGACCTAAGCCTCAGGAGGAAGAAGGTTGTCTTGGCACAACAGGGTCTCCCCGGGGTCAGGATAAAGGAGGAGCCCATGACTGGGAAGAGGTGAAACTGGGAGTGTCTCTGAGTCATGCCCTCAGCCTGTGCCAAGCTAATTGAATGACATGAGACTTGCAATACCTAATTTCATACGAAATATGATAATGGAGTAATGGGCCAGATTTTTGCATGTGGCTTGTAGAAAAGCTGAGAAGGAGGAGAGATGGAGCAGGAACAAGCCGCAGCACGTTTCAGCTCATGAGAGCCAGTTAGCCAGTCTGCTGGGCACTGCCAGCTGCGGTGAATGAAGTGCCTGTTGTTTCAAGGCAGGGGAAAATGGGTGACCGTTATTTTTAGTGAGGAATTCATATCCAACATGGTGTAAGGTTAAACAAATCTACAAGCGAGACTCGACCTGTTATAATAATCTTAAGTGGTTTTGGCCCACAGCAGGAGGGAGAGGCAAAGGTACAGCTGCTTGTGAGACCTACTGTGTGCCCATCCCCACAGCAGGCTGCCTACTAGGAGGGTGCCACGCTCAGGCTTTGTGGGAGCTGGAACATGGACATTGTGAGAGTTTGGGGTTGCTGGAATTTTCCTATTTTATAACACAGACTAGCTAGCTCTTTAATGTATTAAACTTCTTCCCAACACTATATGGTCAGCACAATTTTGCAAAAAGACGGTGTTAGGCCTTCCATGAGGTTTCTGGGTATTCAAGCCAAGAACAGTGTGAACCCCTCCCCGCAACCCCTTTCCCATAAGGAAATGCCTGAGTATTTGAAAATGCTCTTTTACTTCCAATCCAGTCTAACTGCAGCTTCCCTTACATTCAAGGTGACTGCCATTGTGGTTAAGGGCCTGGACAAACTGGATCTTTGCAGAATTTAAAGCGGATTCAAACAACTCCTGAAGGCCACCAGCCTCCGTCAGGAAGCCTCCTCCAGTGTGGGAGTGTGGAGGCCACTGCTTCAGACTGATCTCTTGGCTCAGGGACAGATGTGGTGAGCTCTTTCTTGGCTGGAGCAGCTGATCCAATTCTGTAAGGTGGCCCTGCTTCTCTGCCCAATACGGGAGACAGCAGGGCTTATTCCTAGTCTTTATAAAGTGGGCTGCTCATCACTATGGGGAATTCTGAATGCAGCAAGGGTGGTCAGGATCAGCTGGACAGGAGTCCTTTCTGGACTCCACCATGAATGGTTCTGCCTGGACACTTGGAAGTTTAGGCAGATCCATCCTGCTTGAGGTTCTTCAGGGTCATCTTTACAACAAAGAAATTACTAAATTCCTGGTAAATAGCCAAATCACAGAAAAAATCAACTACAACTTTATCAAACGACTAAAGTAAGCATTTTGCTTAATTACAGATGTGCAGCATGGTTGTCTTTCTGGTTCTCATGGCCCATCCCTGCTCCTCCAGGCAGGGGTGGGTGAGCCTGCGTTCTGACCTGGACTCAATCGCCTCTCCATGTTGTCAGTTTGTTTTCTTCATCTGCCCATGTTGCCAGGGACCTAGAGACCCTATTTCTATCTCTTCAATACATGGTGGTTATACTGCAATGCCTGGCTTTGCAATTGGCAGCGGCTCATGAGGGCTTTTCTGCTGCCAACTCTGCGTGCTTCTGACCCCCGTCCCTCATCGCGTCACCCTCTGCTGGTTTGTCCCTCTGGCCTTGCTCCCCGGAGGTGCTACATCCAACCTCTCTCAGCGTCCCTCTCAAGGCTCCCTCCTGCAGGTCCACACTGTCTATGGCCCTCAGCTGTGAGGGCTCTGGAGGCTGGGTCATTGCTGCACAAAGCCACTTTATGACAGAGAGCCCTTCAGCCAAGCATGGAGGTCAAGGCTAACAGTTGGCATTTTGACACCTGCATGCTTATTTTTTGTTTTCCACTACACATCAGTCCTGCAATCACAATTATATACCTCAAATGTTTTCTAATTAGTCTATTGGCACACAAAAAATTCCTTCAGTATAGCATTATTGCGGTGACCGTCACGATCATCCCAAGCCATTAATTCATAAGTATCATCATTAGTAGTTTAATAGTTAACCAAATAGTAATATATTTTGTTTAATAATTAAAATAATTAATAGTGATTTATTATTAAATTATTACCATCGGTCTGTGCCTCTGCCCAACTCCATGAGGGCTTTACCTGGCCCTTGCAGGTGGCACCTGTGACAACAGGTCACACAGTGGAACTCTGACCGCAAGGGTGGCCAGGAACCTTTTGTCCCTTGTTTGGTGCTGAATGTTCATATTGCGCCCCAGCACCCACCACTTCCTGTGCCTCCTCCCCATGGCTCTCTTCATGTCATGACTGTGTGACCATCACAAGCTCCCGCACATGCACGTCACACAGGTCTAGGTGAGTGCGTGACCCCTGAAAAACAAAGAGGATAAAACTCAATGTTTCTGAAGGCTTGTTAGTGGGAAAACTCCCTATCTGCAGTGTGTATGAGGTCGATCATCTAGGTTAGATCTAGATGACCCATCTAGATGACCCATCTTACGTTAGCACACTCACCTAACGTTTCTGTGTGCAGGACTGTGAGGAAAAGGGGACAGGGACAGGCCTTTGGAAAGTACAAAGTGCTGGCTTTGATACTCACATCCCCGCTGTGAGGCACTCAGGGTGGATACCATCCCCCATTTCACAGATGGAAACTGAGGCCTCGAGAGATGTCATGACTTGCCTCTAGCCCCACAGCTGGTGGGACCAGGAAGAAAATCTGGGTCTTCTGTCCCTCCAGCCAGAGGTTTCCTATAGTTTGTTTACTGAAATGGAAGATAACACTAACCTGTTTCTTTTTTCTTTTTCTTTTTCTTTTTTTTTTTTTGAGATGGAGTCTCTCTCTGTTGCCTAGGCCGGAGTACAGTGGCACGATCTCGGCTCACCGCAACCTCCACCTCTCGGGCTCAAGCGATTCTCCTGCCTCAGCCCCCCAAGTAGCTAGGATTACAGCCACCCACCACCACGTTCGGCTAATTTTTGTATTATTAGTAGAGATGGGGTTTCACCATGTTAGCCAGGCTCATCCTGAACTCTTGACCTCAGGTGATCTGCCTGCCTTGGCCCTCCAAAGTGCTGGAATTACAGGCATGAGCCACTGCGCCTTGCCTTGCCTTCTTTTCTTCCTTTCATTTCTTTCTTCCTTTTTTTTTCTTTTGGTCCCTGGTTTCTGGGGAGATATAACTAGCTCCCAGTTGCTGTGAGGAGTGGGAGAGGCAAAAATCACACCGGCTAAGTGGGCTTGGGGCACTGAAAAAAGAACTCCTTTGCTTTCCAGAGGCTTCTAATAGGAGCGGGGGCAGGGCTCACATGGGACTAGAAGAGCGGGTGGAATCACTTGCAAAACGCTAATAAATCTGCAGGCCCAGCTGTTCCTCGTCCGATGATCCTGAAGGGAAAGTGTGAAATAGTAGAGATGCTGATGGGTCTGGGGGGCCCCTTCAAAGGCAACCCAGTTTTCCCAAGGTCCCTGGAGCTGGGGTGGGAAGTATCCGGAAACGTCTGAAGGGTGTTTGTTAGCATTGGGAGGCCTGGGCCCCTAGAGACCACGTGCACACATGGAGTGTGCCTGGGAACGCCCCAGGCTTGGAAGTTCTGGAGGGGTGGGCAAGTCCCATTTCCCAGAGCGAGAGAACAGGGCTGGCAGTTCGGCAGACCTGAGTTTCCCTAGCTGCTCCAGCACTGAGCGGCTGTGTGGGCTTCAGTGAGGTCTTTAACCTCTCTGAGCTTCCTGCCTGTCACTTATAAAGGGAAGATCATAACCCGCCCTGTGGGGTTGCTTGAGGATTAAATGTGCTAACGCATAGAAAGCCCTGGCACATGCTAGGTGCTCAATGTTCTTTCCCTGTCCTCATTCCCCTTCCCCTGCCCCGAATCAAGAAGGGCCTGGATAGGAAGTTCTTGTTAATATAGTGGTGAGTATTCCCACCTGTCATGCGGGAGACGGGGTTCAATTCCCTGATGGGGAGGCTGTTGATGATGCTTTGGCTGGGCGTGGCGGCTCACGCCTCTAATCTCAGCACTTTGGGAGGCCGAGGCAGGCGGATCACTTGAGGTCAAGAGTTCAAGACCAGCCTGACCAACATGGTGAAACCCCATCTCTGGTAAAAATTCGAAATTAGCTGGGTGTGGTGGTGCACACCTGTAGTCTCAGCTACTACTTGGGAGGCTGAGGGAGGAGAATAGCTTGAATCTGGGAGGCGGAGGTTGCAGTGAGCCAAGATCGCGCCATTGTACTCTAACCTGGGCAACAAGAGCGAAACTCCATATCAAAAAAAAAAAAAAGGTGGTGAGGGGAGCTTGGTCATGCTGACCCCTGAGGCCAAGTCCAGGGAGGAGGAGGGGCAGCCCCCAGCATATACAGTTATGTACAGACAGACGAGGTTCCCATCCTTGGTCTCTCCAGCCAAGAGCCCTGTGGGAGCAGGCCACAAGGAGAGTGCAGAGTGGCTTTGACCACTCTCAGCAGACAGGGTCTATGAACCTAGGGGCTGAATCCTGCTTGAACTAGAGGCTTCCGAGGCAAAGGGCACCCTCTCTGTAGCCAAGGTCTCTGGCCTGAGTTGAAAAGCTCTTAATTGGGTTCTAACTTCTCAATTCCCCAGAGCAGAGCCATCAATCCTCCCAGCAGGCAGGCCAGCCACAAGCCCAGCCTCAGAGAGCAGGCACAGGCCAGCCCAGGGGGATCTGGAGGCTACGGGCCAGCTGCAAGATCCCAAGGGTTGGGAGCATCCCAGGCTATTAGAGCTCGCAGCGGATAGAGCCAAGCCAGGCTTCTGTGCCTGGGTGCATGAAAACTCTGTGTTCTCCAAGGCCTAGAACCTGCTCTGGGCTGGAATCCGATCGTGCTGGGTCTAAGACTCAGCTGCCCCTTTCACCAGATGGGGAACCCTCAGGCAAGCCACATGAGCCTTCTGAGCGAGGATTCCCATTCTTTTTTTTTTGTTTTTTTTTTTGAGATAGTCTTGCTCTGTCGCCCAGGCTGGAGTGCGATGTCACAATCTCAGCTCGCTGCAACCTCCACCTCCTGGGTTCAAGCCACTCTCCTGCCTCAGCCTCCCAACTAGCTGGGACTACAGGCACATGCCACCACGCCCAGCTAATTTGGTATTTTTAATGGAGATGGGGCTCCACCATGTTGGCCAGGCTGGTCTCGAACTCCTGGCCTCAAGTGATCCGCCCGCCTCTGCCTCCCAAAGTGCTGGGATTACAGGCATGAGCCGCCGTACCCAACGCCCCATCCTTAAAATAGTAACACTCCCTGGAAGGGTGGCGAGGATTGCTGAGATCCACCTCAGGGGCCCCATGGATGTTAACGTCTGCACCCACGTATGTTAATTCCCTCTTGCATTTCTTTTCCACTTTTTCTTTCTTTGATTTTTCTCTCTTCTTGTTTCTTGGGCCTTTTTCAGCTCCAACTCTCTTCTTGGCACTTTCTTCAGTTCCTTAGGCTAGTTGCTTTTCTCCTTTCCACACACGGCACAAGTAGGGAAGCTGGAGAAAAATCTTCACATCTTAAACCATGGGACCCTGGACTCACAGGCCTGGCTGGCCCTGGGTCAGCTTTAGCCTTCCAGCTCCTGAGCAGATCATGATACTGCCTTCAGCACCTCCTTCCCTTCTCCTTCCTTCTAGAGATTCTACCTGGCCAAGAACAGGAAAGAAGTCAGGAGAGAGCAGGCTGAGATGCGGAGCAGAGGTGGTGCTCCTCTCAAAACACAGACCAGGCCGGGGGCAGTGACTCACACCTATAATCCCAGCACTTTGGGAGGTCGAGGTGGGCAGATCACAAGGTCAGGAGTTCAAGACCAGCCTGACCAATATGGTGAAACCCCGTCTCTACTAAAAACATAAAAATTAGCCAGGCATAGTGGCGTTCACCTGTAGTCCCAGCTACTTCAGAGGCTGAGGCAGGAGAATCACTTGAACCTGGGAGGCAGAGGTTGCAGTGAGCCGAGATCACGCCATTGCACTCCAGCCTGGGTGACAGAGCAAGACTCCATCTCAAAAAAAAAACATAGACCAGGGGAGGCTGCAGGAAGTGAACATGACCCCCTTGGGTGGCCGAATAATAGGGGGAAGAAGTCAGTCCATCTCTTCCCCTCCCCACATCACCGCCTGCTGCACCCCAAGCCCAGAAGAAAGTCCTTCCTCATGCCTAACTTGCACCCCTTCTGCTGCAAGTCCCGCTTACTTCCTTTTGGTCCATGTGGATGATGCTATCTCATCATCCCTCCACTGGTGCCTCAAAAGGCCTTCTCCTCAATCTCGTTCAGCTAGAAGCCCCAGGGGAGTGAAAACGAACTTTAAGAGGATGTTTAAAGTTTGGCTTCTCATCACCACATCTCAGCTGAGTCCATAAAACCGCCTTATAAAGCCCACTGGCCAGCCAGCTGCCCTCAGCCTCAGGGGCCTCCTGGTTTTATGATTGGCCCCAATTCAGACACCAGCTGGATGTAGGAACTCACTGGCTTTTATGAAGAGATGTTAACAAGAAGCATCTCTTCCCCTCTGCCTTGTTCCCAGAGCCTCCACTCCATCCCTCATTCACGTGTTCCTTCAGTCGATAAACATTTACCAAGGGCCTCCTCCAGCCAGGTTCTGGTGTAGGCCCTGGGGTGGGGGTGGGCACAGGTAAGGGCTGGGGGTGGTGCTTTCTTCCTTGGAAGGGCTGGCCCTGCAGGAATCAGCACCTGGGTGGCACCTCTGCAGTAGCTGGATCACACTGAGTTGTCAAGTTTGTAAATTGCACAGTAATTGTGAAACAGTGTTGGAAAAACAAACAATTACCAAGCAGCCTGATAAGAGCTGCCAGGAAGTGTGAGCCCAGAAGCCTGGAGCAGGAGACTCCAGCTGTGTTGGGGATCAGGGGTATTTCCCCAGAAGAGGTGCCCTTGCAGCGGGTGCCTGAAGAATGCTTAAAAATGTTCAGAGCAGGCAGGTTGGGGCAGGTGGAAGGCCTGGTGGAAGCCCTGGGCTCTCCTTTGCTAATGGACAGGAGGGAGAGATGGGTAGTTGGGGGCTGAGATGGGAGCAACACAGGGTCAAGTTTCTCCAGGGTGCTCAGTCTATCTTTAAAATGGATATAGTGTTGGTCAGTTAAAAGAAAACCCAGAAATTTATTTTTATTTTTGAGACATAGTCTCGCTCTATCCCCCAGGCTGGAGTGCAGTGGCACGATCTTGACTCACTGCAACCTCCGACTCCCAGGTTCAAGTGATTCTCCTGCCTCCCAAGTAGGTGGGATTACAGGCACACGCCACCACACCTGGCTATTTTTTGTATTCTTGGTAGAGATGGGGTTTTACCGTGTTTGCCAGGGTGGTCTTGAATTGCTGACCTCAAGTGATCCGCCTACCTCGGCCTCCCAAAGTGCTGGGACTACAGGCATGAGCCACTGCACCTGGCCCCCAGAAATATTTAATGACAATACCTGGCACATGTTGATAGACTTTTACCAGGTCCAACTACTTTCCTATGCATCATTTCCCTTGATTTCTGCAATAATCCTGTGAGATAGGCAGGACAGGTATTTTAACCCCCATTTTACAGTTGATGAAACTGAGTCTCAGACAAGTACAAAGACTTGTAGCTGGAGAAACAGCCAGCAAGTGGCAAATGGGGAGCTCTTATTCTCAAGTCCCTGCTCTTTCCCCTGGGGATAGCTTAGAGCTGCTTAGGGAAGTTCTGAGGGTTACAGAGATCCGTGGGGAGGGAGAGGCAAGGGAAGCAAAAGTGTCCCCTCTCGGCAGCATCTGTCATGGTGGCCAAACTCTCCCCCTCTCAGTTTGCCACCTAATGGGGAGGGAGGACTCAAGCAGGTAAGAGGACATGGACATGGACTCAAGCAGGTAAGAGGATGTCTTGGATCCTCTGGAGCAGGGGAAGAAGGAGGACTCCCTGAAGGGCAGATTCTGGAGAAGGAGGGGACTGGGAAGAATCACACTTACAGGAGATTGACAAAAAGAGGGGCTGCAGGCTTGGCATGGTGGCTCACACCTGTAATCCCAGCACTTTGGAAGGTCAGGGTGGGTGGATCACCTGAGGTCACAAGTTCAAGACCAGCCTGGCCAACATGGTGAAACCCCGTCTCTACTAATAATACAAAAATTAGCCAGGCGTGGTGGTGCTGGTGCTCACCTGTAATCCCAGCCACTCGGGAGGCTGAGGCAGGAGAATTGCTTGAACCCGGGGGGCAGAGGTTGCAGTGAACCGAGATCGTCCCATTGCACTCCACTCCAGCTTGGGTGAGAAAGCAAGACTCCATCTCAAAACAAACAAACAAACAACAACAACAAAAAAAACGAGAGGCCGCAGACTTGGAGGGAGAGGAGCTTGGGCAAAAAAACAGACTGAGGGTCAGTCATGAGCCCACAGGGCAGCCACTGTCCTCAGGTGGGGGTGCTGGGGGACTGAAGGCCTCCTTCCAGCTTGCTCCAGGTGGGAAGGTAGCCTTGCCACCCCCTGCCCCACTTTCCCGTTCCTCATTTGTAAGTGAAGCCCCAAGGACTAAGGAAAGAAGCAGACTACTTGATGCACCTCTATAGTGGGGCATTCAGAACCGAGGGGTGGTGGGAACAGGCCTCACACACAAGAATCCTTAGTCATGCAGTGTCACCTCGTTCAGACACTGCATGCAGATCTAGCCAACAGCAGATGCGTCTCATGCCTGCTCTCCCAGGCTCCAACACACACACCCCAAAGACACTCTATATACACCCAAACTCACACAACCAAACCCCTACTCCCCCCCACACAGGAGCCCACAGGCTCGCACACACATGTGAACAGTGCACACCGTGATTCACAGCTTACAAACTGCTTGTACTCACAAGCACAACATCCCCAGATTCACAAACAAATCCGTATTCACTTGCACACTGAGGTAGATGAATATGCGTGGAAATAATGCTCACACACACAGCCCAGGGGCCTTAGATAAGGGACCCAGAGAGCTCTGGAGTTGGGGAGTGGAGGTACTCAGCAAGGGTCCCCAGCCTGGCTTTCTTCAAGCCTGTCATTCTCTTCTCCGCCCCTCCACTCTCTCTCACCTCCAGCAGATAAGAGTTGACCAGATTGTGACCAGGTTCCCAATCCTATCTCAAGTCCCCATCAGAGGGCTTGGGACACACCAGGGACTCTGTTAATAGTGGCCTCCCCTCCCCCTACCATTCTACAGAGAGCCTGGGGCCTGAAAGTGTGGGGTCAAGAATGGCTGCCTCATCCTAAGGCCACTTGAGGGGGGTGGAAGTGTCACAGGAGCAGGAAACACTCCCACCAGGCCTCCCTCCCCAGGCCTAGGACTCCCAGGCTTCCCTCTGTGAAGCATAGGGCCTGGGAGGGCTGCTGAGGGAGGCGGCAGTACCCACGATGCAGAAGAGGTGGTATCTCCCGGCCAGCAGCCTCTGTCTACATCCCTTCACTCCACACGCACACACTTGCGCGCACACTTCCCCCACTGTAATTAGAATGGTTGCTCCAGCACCCGGGGAATGGCTGTGATTTATGAATGGGAGTTGGTGTAGAGAGATTCCGGCACCATCTGCTTGGGAGCAAACAGGAAGAACTTCAATGTGCTGCAGACCTGGGGGAGGGGGCCAGTTGGTGTAACAGGCTCATAAATGTAGTTCCTAATGGCCACAGGTGCTCCCCCACACCCCCATCCCCCAACCCCATTGGAGATCTACATCCCTGGAAATAGTTACAGCCTCTGCCAGGGTCCCGTGGCACATGCTCCCCAGCCAAGGCCAGGCTGCCTGGAGGTGGAGCACTGGGGGAAACAGCATGGAGTGTCCAGACCACCTGAGTGCAAATACCTACAGCTGCTTACAACTGGGCTTCAGTGTGTTCATCTACAAAACAGGATGATGGCAATAAAGAGCTGCAATGTATCACACATCTACCCTGTGCGTGATAGGGTACATCATCTTAGCTCCATCTCACAGATAAGCACCTTGATGCTGTGAAGGTTAGACTGTCCCAAATCTGCAGTAGTGAGCTGCAGGGCCAGGACCTGAAGTGGAGTCAGTGGAGGCCACTGCTCTGAACCATTTGTTTTCTGCACACAGCTCTTCATCATGGGGAAGTTGTAGAGATCAAATAAGATAAATACTCCAAGTTCTGGACATGATAGGTGCTCAGCATGCATTAGGTTTCTTCTTTCTAGATATCTAGCTCTAGAAACTGGAAGATTTAAAGACAGATTGAGAAAGAGAAAGAGATAGGGGGAGAGCCTCAAAGCACACTGAGGTTTCTTATTACTGTGATTAGCACTCATGCCTTGAACGATAGCCAGTCCTGAGATGCTTACAGTAAAATCTAACGTCACCTACAAAAACTGACCTTCACCTTTTAATGCCATGCCCAATTGTTATTGTGCTTTGCAGTGATTGGTTTTGGGTTGTGAGGAGGGCTCATAAGTGACTGTCATTTGCATACCCAGCATATGGCAGTGAGTTCAGCTTTTCTTTTACTACTTTGTTAGCCCCACAGCCAAGGCGGGTAGATCACGAGGTCAAGAGATCGAGACCATCCTGGCCAACATGGTGAAACCCTGTCTCTACTAAACATACAAAAATTAGCTGGGCGTGGTGGCCCGCACCTGTATTCCCAGCTACTCGGGAGGCTGAGGCAGCAGAATCGCTGAGGCAGCAGAACACTGTATTTCCCCAAATCATGGTTCTTGACCAGAAGATTCAGAACCACCAGAAGTTTCTACAAATTCAGAGGTCCTGACCCTTCCTCGCCCCCCTCATCTATCATATCAGAATCCCTGGGTGTTGCCTCTGTAATTTTGAAAGTTTCTCCAAGAGGCTTCATGGTATTCCCACTCCCCTCAACCTGCCCCTGGATCCACTGGTCTTCAATTTGCAGATCCTAGCCCTGGAGATCCAAGAATCAATTCGAATCCACCAACACTATGTTCAGAATGTGAGCTCCTTCCCAAAGGACCATGTCTTATTTGTACCCATGGCCCCTTCAGAGGCACTGACTTCAAGAATGAAGTCTTGTAGATACCATCACATAGAGGATGATGGTTAGTATCTCCAACCCCCAACTCCCCTTCATTAAAAAAATGAAGTCTTGGCTGGGCACGGTGGCTCACACCTGTAATCCCAGCACTTTGGGAGGCCGAGGCGGGCGGATCATGAGGTCAAGAGATTGAGACCATCCTGGCTAATATGGTGAAGCCCTGTCTCTACTAAAAATACAAAAATTAGCTGGATGTGGTGGCCCACGCCTGTAGTCCCAGCTAGTCGAGAGGCTGAGGCAGGAGAATCGCTTGAACCTGGGTGGCGGAGGTTGCAGTGAGCCGAGATCATGCCACTGCACTCCAGCCTGGGTGACAGAGCAAGACTCAGTCTCAAAAAAAAAAAAAAAAAAAAAAAAAAAAGAAGTCTTATAGAAAACACAGACTCTTAGCAACCAACTTTAAGATGGGTGAAAACAAATGCCAAATGGAAGGACCAAGAATCTAGCCAGCAAAGTAATTGACGTGGAGAAGGGAAGATCAGAAAGAAGGTGAGGCTCCCTTGATTGGGCCTTGAAGGCTGAGCAAGATTTTGATAGCAGGTGAAGGGAATCAGGTATTGCAGACGGGGTTCCAGATGCCATCAGGCCTCAGCCCATGCCTTAATATTCTTGAGGCTTTTATTGGCTTAATTTTCCATGTGCAAAATGAAGGGTAGAAAAGCTCCACATGTCCCAGGGAGATGGGGTAGGGGTGGAGGAGCCCAGCCTGCTGGGCCCAAAGTAGATGGTGTGGCTTGGCCCAGAGCAGCCCACACTTTCACTAACCCAAGCTGCGGTCAAGGCCTCTTTGTCCTGTGTCCATGGCCCATTTCTCAGAATACACTGGGGCCACAATACACAGAAGCCACAATCCACCCATGGGAATTCTGCCCAGTGATCTCTGGAGGAGAGAAGCAAATATTGGGGCTGTGGATACTCAAGGGTTAAATGGAGTCTTTCAGACTCAAAGAACAATGAAGGTCAAGAAGAGAGTGATCAGACGAGCTTGCTGGAGGTGGCACCTGGCCAGGCCGGACAGTCAGCATTCTTCCACCTCTCTCTGCCACCCAGTCCATGACTCTTCCTCTCCCACTCAAAACCAGACCTCCAGGTTCCCACCATCCAGCCACACACCCCTCACCCAACCTGGCTGGGATCACCCATCCACCCAGAGGTCACTCAACGTCTTTTGAGGACTTGGGCGCCTGGCTCAGGGTCTTCTTCTGTCTCCCACCTCCTGCTGTCAGTCTGGGGGACCTGAATGTCCACATGGACTTCCCAACACCCTCACCCTTGGCTCTCCTATCTCCCCTTCCCCAACGACCTTCTCTCCATTTCTGCCACCCACATATCACCTGAAACGTCTCCTGTGAAATCTTAAACTCCAGCACCCCCATCTTGGGCCACAACTTTTTCCTTCCTTTCCATAAAACCTGGTCTCCACTCGCAGAGATTCTCCAATTCTCCCGTTCTGTCTCACTCGTTCGAGCACCGGTGCTGCAGTGCCGGCTTTGGACAAGGCCTTCCGCCAGCGCATCTGCTCCTTCCTGGCTCTACTTTCTCCTCTCTTGACCTGCCTGTGATTGGCCACATCATTCATTTTCCCGACACCCTTGATTCCCACACCCCCTCACCCTGCCTTTCCCAGCCCTGGAGGACTCCAGTCATCTGCTTTGTCCATTGCAATTCCCAGGCTACTAGAAGGCATAGGAAAACCACTCAACCGTGCAAACTAGTGCCACTCCAGATTTATGGTCCCTGACTTCAGCCTGGCCCTTCAGCTCCTGGGCTGCTGGTGATCAGCTCCTGTTCTGAAACTTACCACCCTTTCAGGCTTCCGGCCTGTCCCCTCCGTCATGTGTAATTGACAGAGAAAATAGAGATTCTCAGAACTCCCTCAACTACCCTCTCCTCCTCTTCTTTGCTAACCACAGACCCAACCCCACCTCTTCCCAAGACCTAGTTTTCACTCACAGACCACCCAGCCCTGGTGCAACTTGCTCCTCCCTTAGCTGCTGCAGCACCACCCTCTCTTCTGGACCTTCTCTTATTTTCCATCATCCCTTCCCTCTCTCTCCCCTGCTTCTCCTCTGTCCACTGCCTCTATGTTGTGGTTCCTAGAGCTCCAATTCTTGTCTTGCCCTGCTCCTGCACCCCTGATATTCTCATCTAAACCCATGGCTTCTTGCTCTAGTAATTCTGATATCTGTGGCTCATGTCCAAGCTCCACATCCTGGTGAACTTGGATGTTCACCTGTGTATCCCTAGGCACCACCAAAGCAGCATGTCCCCAACTAGTCCTCTTAGCTCTTGCCTCAAACCTCCACCTCCGCAGTCTCTGGATGTTGAGTTAGAGCATCACCTTCCACCCAGCCGGCCAGCCAGAGACCTGGGAGTTGCCTCAGCTCCGTCCTGACCCCTCCCAACACCCCACACAACATCCTATGTATTCTGTCTCAGACATGGTTCCCAAATGCACCCTCTCTCTTCCGCCACACTGCTATGTTTCTTTCCTGCTGCATCATCTTTTGCAATAACCTCTAGTTGCTCCTTGCTTCTGACTATCTCTCACTTTTGTATTTAAGCCAAATTTCCTTCGATGGCCCACAGAGGCCTTCACATTCCAACACATCCAACCTCTCTCTGCTCACCTTCCCTGCCTCTCTCCCTGCCAGCCCCTAATCCAGCTGCCTCCTGGACAAGCTAGAACTGCTCTTAACCCCATGATCATCCATCTGCTGAACCCTCTGGATGGGATAACCTCTCTCCCGCTTCCTTGACTGGGAAACTATTCTTCCTCCAAGATCCACCTTCCCAGACACCCCAGCCCCTCAGGCAGAATTAACTGTGCTCTTCATTCTGTTTCTCTGTACTCAGTTTATCCAATCTACAGCTGTTGGATATTCACTGGTTCCAGTCTGGGGCCTTCATGAATAATGCCTGCCACGAACATTCTTGTACACGATTCACCTCTGGAGTACACATGTCTGAATTGACTGCTTAGATGCTGACCGGCTGCTTCTGAAGAGATATTTGAGAACTCCTGGTCCAGATCTTCACCAGCCCTTCGTTTTATCAGACTTTTACATTTTTGCTAATCTGGAGGGTATGTAGTAGAATCTTCTTGGGATTTTAATTTGCATTTCTTTGATTCCTGATAAGGTCACACACCTCATATATTTATAGCCATTTGGATTTTTCCATATTTATGCATTTGATCCAGTTTTTCCATTGAGTTGCCAATCTTCATACTCATTTGTGGGAGTTCTTTACACATTCTGGAGCTGAGCCCTTTGTCAGTTGCATGTGTTGCAAAACCTTTTCCTGCTCTGTGGCTTCCCTTTTACTCTCTTCATGTTGTCTTCTGAAGAACACAGCTTCTTCATTTTAATGCACCCACATTTGTCAATCTTTTTCTTTATGGTTAGTGTTATTTTTGTGTGTTGTTTAAGAAATCTTTCCCTACCCTGAGGTCACGGAGATTTTTTTTACATTGTCTTATAAAGGCTTTCTTGTTTTGCTTTTCAGATTTAGGTCCTTGCTCCACCTGCAACCCCACGGCACTTGGTACTTATTTCTGTAGCACTGCTAACTCCATCTGTTTATATGTCTGCCTCCTCCACTAAACAAAGACCTCCTTTAGGGCAAACTACAAATCTGTGTTTTAAATCTTTGTATTCAGAGGTCCTAACACAGTGCCCGGCACACAGTAGGCACTTTATCAATGCCCTTGAGTGCCTGGATTGCAGAACCGAGGTACAGCTGCTTCCAAACAGGAAGGCCCTCTCTTCTCAGGAGTCCCACTTTTGCTGACTCTTGCCCTCCCATCAAAAAGCACATGTGTATACTGAGTTCATGTGTGCTGAATGTATGGCACAAGTGTGTACTGAGTGCCTACTGTGTGTGGGTGCTGGGCACAGTTTTAGTGATGCAGAGCCAAAGATGGCGAAGTCTCAGCCTGTACAGTACTCATCACCTGGCACCTGCTTTCCTGACGCAGTTCAGAAACCCCCACACTGATCTGGAAAGCAGAGAGTCCTGGGTGCAAATCCCAGCTCTGCCTCCTGTCATCTGCACCACTCTGGGCAAGTCAATTCAGTATACTGGGTTTCAGCTTTCTACTTTGTCAAAAGGGAAAACAACAGATAACTTTGTGGGTTGTGGTGAGGACAGAGTGGAAGAATAAACATGAAATGCCAAGCGGGTGCTGGAGGCATGGTAAATGTCTAAAGATTGTTGAGTTGAGTAAATGATGGAATGGATGAGTCAGTGAATGAACTGGTTGGGAGGGGGGATGGGCAAGGAGAGCTAGAATTGGGAGGGGCAGTAGGCAGGAGGCAGGGGCTGCTGGGTTCTCCTGCAGGCCTTCCTTGTCATAGTAACTGCTGTCAGCAAATGTTTCCCAGACAGGAATCCCCTTCAGGGCTCCCTTCCCCAACCCACTGCATTTGTTGACTCAAAACCTCCCCACTGCCAATTTAGCCTGCAGTAAGGAAGCGGGGTGGGGAGGGGGAGAGAGGTGTAGGAGGGAGTAAAGCTGTGCAGAAAGGGGTCTTTGTCTGAGCACTGTGTGGCATTTCAGATTTCGGTGGAGGGGTTTTTGTTGCTTTTTTTTTTTTAACCTCCTAAAGAGTTGAGTGGGCTGCACTTGCAATAAGAGGTATCAGAATGAGACAGCAGGGAGGACTTCCAGTGGGCTCTCTGTATTGGACGGTGGAACAATGGAATGGACTGCCAAGGGCCTGGGGAGTCTCTCTGAGGCTTAGACACAGATGCAGGTGCGCTGTTCCCATGGAGGAACTCTGAGGGTCTCAGCCCTGTGCTCCCTCCACAGCTCCTCTCCTTGCTGAGGTGAGAGGTTCCATGTCCAGGAAGCTGTTTTTTTTTGTGTTTTTTTGTTTGTTTGTTTTTTGTTTTAAGGAACAGGGTCTCACTATGTTATCCAAGCTAGTCGTGAATTCCCGGGCTCAAGCGATCAGCCTCCTGAGCAGCTGGGACTACAGGCATGTGCCACGACACCCAGCTCCCAAGAAGCTGTTCTGAACCCAGTAGCCACTGGGCCATCCTGCTGCAAAGCTTAACTGGGGCCTCTTGCCACGTGCTGTTCTCTGGTTCCAGCTCCCTCTCCTGGGGCTCCTGTTGGGGCAGCCCTGGATCCTGGAGGGTTCACAGCTGGACCCAGGCTTTCCCCTGACCCCGCAGAGCCCTTCCACGCAGCCCTACTTCAGGCCTGCCCCATCAGCCTGCCCACCACCCCTGACTCACGTCAAGGAGAGGAGCCGACAGGCCCAGCCTCCCGCCACCCAACCCCAGGCCCTGAGCGTCAGGCCTGTGCCTTCTCCTCCCCGACACCCTCCCTCCACCTTTAGGTGGCTTCGTGCCTCCTCCACGCATGTGCGTGCCTGTGTTTATGGGCTTCTCTCGGGCTGCCCTGTGCCCTCATGTCTGTCTGTGTCTGTGTTTCTGTCCCTGCCTCTCTCTCCCCACGCTGCCTCACTCCTTTCTGTCCTCTCTGTCTGCCTTCCTTTTTGTCTTCTGGTCTGTGTGTCTCTCTCGGACCCTGTCTTTCTTTCCATCAGTCTGTTTCTTTGTGCGTGTCTCTAAGTCACTCTGTCTCTCAGTCTGTCTCTGAATCTGTCTGTCTCTCTTTCAGCGTATGTGTCTCTGTGCCCCCCTCTCCTCTTCTCTGTCTCTGTCCCTGTTGCCGTGTCTCTCTCTGTCCCTCTCACTCAGCGTCCCTGCCATGTCTCTCATGCTCTGGCTCTCCCTCTGAGCCTCTTTCTTCTGGGCACTCAGCAGGCCAGTGTCAGAGTCAGATCCTGGCCAGCCGCCAGACCACTTGCCCCGGTGGCCCGCACCTCTGGCATCACCTCTGGGAGCAGGTTTCCTCACAGCTGCCAGGCGAGAGCAGGCCTTGTGGCCCCCAGTCCTGCCCTGAGAGTGGAGTCCCAGGGGCCTACAACCTGCCTTCACTCAGCGCCTGCTAAGGGCTCCTTTCTTCCCGTCCCCTCCTCCTCCCTCTTCCCGACTTAAATTCAATGCCCTGCAGCCCCAGTCCCCAAAGTCGCTGAGTCCTGGCTGTGAGCCCAGTACCACTCAGAGCTCCACAGGGGCATGGCTGCAGGAACTCCACCCTGACACCCTCAGGAGCTCCCAGGCCAGCTGGGGTGGCCCCACACCCGCACGTAGAAAACAATGTGGACAGCACAGGGCAAAAGAGTCAGGGCCCAGTGTGGCCACAGACTGAAAATCCCAAAGGAAGGGAGACACGAGTCAACATCAGGGAGGTTAGATTCAAGCTGGACAGGACTGTGTCAAATGGAGATGGCCAGAGAGGACATACGCATGACAGGACCCTGCCTGGCACAGGCGTCGAGGATGGACTCATTAAGGGACCCTGAGCTGAAGGGTAGTGGTTTCAGGGCTGGAATTAAAGTTTGTACACACCCTTGAGAGTAAAAAGATTAAAAACGATTCTCATGGAGGTATGTGTGGGGAGGCAGAAGTTTTCAGAAGTGAAGATGATATCTAAATTGGATTCCAAATCCACTCAAGGTGAAGGAGAGGGAAAAGCTATTTCAGGCTAAAGAGCCAGCAGAGAGGAAGGGAAGGGCTCAGAGAGAGTGGTGGGAGGGACATGGGACAGAACGGGGGCCCTGGTGCGGCACCCCAGGGCTCTAGACTCTATCTGCAGCTGCCAGGGGAGCGTTTTGAGAAGGAGAGTGACACTATACGCTTTTATTTATTTTGGCTTTTTAATAAGTTACTGGCAGCTGTCTGGAGAAGGGATGGGCAGGAAGGGAGACTGAGGGTGGGAAGAGCAGCTAGCAGCTCCTGCAATAGTCCTGGCAAGAGCCGAAGAGGGGCCTGCTGGGGCTGGGTTCATGGGAGTGGGGACAAGAGGACACCTTCAGAGCACCTTCTGAGGCAGACCAGAAAGGGTGGGGCAAGGAAGAAGTGGGGGTTGTCTGAAGCTTCCGACTTCGGGACACCAGGGAGAAGGAGAGGTTTGGAGAAAAAGACCAAGCACCTTGGGGTTGAGATGTCCACGGGACTTCCTGGGGTGGAACTCCCTCCTTTCCACTCAGGGCAGCTGGACATAAGATATGGAGGCCTACAAGTGGCCCGGGTGGCAGAGAGAGGTCTAGGAGTTGGTGGTTCCTGAGGCCAAACAGAGGCTGAGCTTGGGGCCGGGCGAGGTGGCTCACACCTGTAATCCCAGCACTTTGGGAGGCCGAGGCGGGCGGATCACCTGAGGTCAGGAGTTTGAGACCAGTCTGGCCAACATGGTGAAAACCCGTCTCTACTAAAAATACAAAAATTAGCCAGGGGTGGTGGCGGGAGCCTGTAATCCCAGCTACTCAGGAGGCTGAGACCAGAGAATTGCTTGAACCCAGGAGGCGGAGCTTGCAGTGAGCCGAGATGGCGCCGCTGCACTCCAGCCTGGGCGACAGAGCAAGACTCTGTCTCAAAAAAAAAAAGAAGCTGAGCTTGGGTCTGATCTATTATGGCTGGTTCCAGCTCCAAAGCAAGAAAGGGGTACACAGTCACTCCAGAAAGCCCTGAGTCCACTTCCCCAGTGTCTTCTCACCCACAGCCCCACCTTCCCACACCCTACACACACACACACACACACACATATGCACACACGTGTGCACACAGAGAACCGGATCAGCAATGGCACCCAGTGTTTCAGGCCAACCAACAAGCATTTTCAAATGCAAATTCCCTCCTTCCACCCCCACTCGTTCCTCACACAACTGCTCTCTGAGCAGCTGGGGGCAGAGTCGGGGAAGGGGGGGATGAGGGGCAGCAAAAATAAATCCCATTTTCTGCTCCTTTTCAATGCTGGGCAGCAATCCCCTGCTGCCTCCCCTCCCTCTCCACAGATGGGGGATTAGACTGGCCTCAGGTTCGGCTCTGCCCGAGGGGAGGGTGACAGGCAGGGCAGGGGCTGAGCTGGGGAGGGGTGCAAGTGTTCAGTGACAGGGCTAAGAATAACAGCTTCCATCAGGCCTGACGCCCTCTCCCACTTGCCATGGCTCAAGTTGTTCCTGCGTGAGGGAGACAGACAGACAGATACAGGGCTGGGTGTATCTGTGCATGAGACAAAGACCAAAGCTGGGGGTGCAGTTGTAGGGGACAAGCTGGCAGGCAAATCGCATGGATGTGACTGGGAGAGGCTGGAGACAGAGTGACCGACCCATGTGACAGTGAGATGGCAAAGGAGGGAGAGCATGTTCCATGTGTTTGAGTGTGTGTGTGTCAGAGGCTGTGTGAAGGCCCTTGTGAGAGAGGCTGTTGATATGTGGAAGAAAAGGCCGCAGGCAGGAGCAGGTGGGCAAGGCTGGGTCTGAGCATGTGGGCATCCTCAGGGCATTTATGAGTGACCGAGATGGGGGCAGCAGGGGCGGCCTGGCAGCAGATCTTGCTCTGCTGGGGCTGGGAGGCCTCTGTGCAGGGCAGTCAGGTGGCGGCAGAGAGCGCCGGAATGCTGCCTTCTTCTGTCTGAAGGGCAAGTGGGGAGGGAAGGTGTGTGTGCACGTGGGTGTGTCTGAGGGTGTGGACTCAGTGAACAAGTGTGTGCTGCATATAAGGGTGTGTCTTGTATTCGTGTTAACTGTGTGTCTGTGTGAGAGTGTGTTAGGGTATGTCTCTCTTTGTACATGTGTGTACAGTTTATTTCTGAGTGTGTGTGCTTATGAGCATTTGTGAATGAATGTGTGTCTGTGTGTGAGTGTGTGTAGATAAATGGGCACATCTGTGGGTGAACATGCATGTGTATATATGAATGTGTATACATGAGTGTGTACATGTATGTGTATGTGTGTGTATGAGTGTGTGTATGAATGTGTGCATATGGCTGTGTGTGTCTGTGTGTATGTGTGCTTAAGAGTGTGTGTGGGGGCTGGGAGCGGTGGCTCACGCCTGTAATCCCAGCACTTAGGGAGACCAAGGCCGGTGGATCACTTGAGGTCAGAAGTTTGACACCTGCCTGGCCAACATGGAGAAACCCCATCTCTACTAAAAATACAAAATTAGCTGGGCGTGGTGGCACATGCCTGTAATCCCAGCTACTCGGGAGGCTGAGGCAGGAGAATCACTTGAACCCGGGAGGCAGAGGTTGCGGTGAGCTGAGTTCGCACCATCACACTCCAGCCTGGGCAACAAGAGCAAAACTCCATCTCAAAAAAAAAAAAAAAGAGTGTGTGTGTGTATGCATGCTTAAGAGTGTGTGTGCATGTGTGTGTAGGCACACGATGGGATCCCCAGGCCCTCAGCCTGCCCAGCCGCCCTCACTTGCCTGTGGCACCCAGCAGCTGGTGAGGGACTGTGCAGCCGGGTCTCTAAATCCATCTCCTGGTTTCCAGTGTAGAGCGAGCTAAAGATCAGGGCCACGGGCAGGAGGCTGCCTCATTCTCCTCCTTTCCAGGATGGAGCAGGAAGAGCCAGTGCCAGCGTTCCGAGCTTGCAGTGAACGCACCCAGCCGCCCGCCTCAGCCTGCAGTCATTAGCTGGCAGTGCAGCGATGCCTCCGTTTACTGACAGCATGTGTTCGGGGAGGGGCATACCATTTGAATTTTTGTACGTGAATCACAAACGCCAGGGGAGATCCTTAAAACAGACCTAGACCTACGACAGACCATTTCTCCTCCAGCCAGCGCTTCACGTAGCGTGTGGCGCCCTGGCCTCGTCCAAGCAGCTGTCTGGGAGGATGGCTTCTTCCCCGGATTTGCCCAATCTGGGCCCTCCGCCTTGACTTCAACAGCCAGTGAGGGTCCACCTCGCCCAGGTATCTGCCCATCTATAACATCACCTAGAGGGGTTCTTTAATTCAGGACCTTATGAAGCCAACTAAATGGTTCGTTGAGAATGACTAAACTCCACCTTGGAAAGAAAATCATAAACATTCTACTACCTGGCTAAGCCAAGCATGATTACATATGGAAACTATGGACGCTACTCAGTGGGATTTTTGGTATTAATTTCCAATTTCCTCTTCACTGAGGAACTGATGAAAACCCAGTCTCTGCGCTATCCAGGCTAGAGTCAGCTTCTTACATTGTCCGTCTAAACTCCACTGCTTCTGGCCGCGGCTTCCCCACTCCGGCTCCATGCTGGCTGCTCCTGAGTTCAGCTTTGGCCCTTAGTCTCCAAGGGGGCTCACTGGGGGTTCACTTAAGTACAACCTCTGCCCAGCATATTAAGGAGAGCCTCCAGCGGCCATTCTGTATGCACATGCCAGCCGCCTGCTGTCACGAGGAGTGCCTCCCCCGTGGGCTCCATGCTGAGCTCCTGCGCTCTGTCCCAGTCCTAGCACCTTGTGTGCTGTTTGCCAGTTTCTGGCCTGTTCTTCCTGCTCCTCGTAGGGATGCCATATTCTGCGCCCGTGGAATAAAGGCAGATGCGTGTTATTCCCTGCTTTGAGCAGGAGGCTGAGAACAGCTTGCCCCTTAGGTGGGAACAAGACACATCGGAGCTTTCTGTGTCATTCCCTCCCTCTGCTCTCTCGCCGAGGGGGCTGCCAGTCCATGAGCAATGTCGGGGGACTCCACTTCACCTCCGCATCGCATGAGACAGCAGCTCCAAGCGGGACCTAACTCTGCAGAAGGGTCTAGAACAGGGTTTGCGGGCAGGCACACCTCAGTTTGACTCTCCGCCCTGCATTGTGTCTTTGGGCAAGTGGTTTATTCTCTTGAGCTTGAGTTTCCTCATCTATATGAAGGTATATTCACACCTTTCTCAAAGGGACAATGAGAGAATGTATTAGCAGATAAAGCGCCTGCACCTCGTAGGCATTTGGAAACCGGGCTCATCGCTGTGACTACTAGACTGACTCAGGGGAGCCTGGACAGCATCCTGTGTTTCCCAAGCGTTGGAGGCGCATCAGAGCCACTTGGAATGCAGCTTAAAATGCAGATCCCTGGGCCCAAGGCTTTTGCATCAGTGCGTCAGGCCTCAGGCCCTCCATCTGCCCCGGCTTTGGAGTGCCAGAGCTACTTGTGGGAAGGCTGGGCTACCCCAGCCTCCCAGCCCCTTCCTGCATTTATTTCAGAGCTACCGAGGCCTCAACGTGCATAGGGCTCCCAGAGAAGCTGTCCCAGGTGAGGGCCAGATTGAGTTTGACATCGTCGTTGCCAGAGAGCACCCTGGCCGCCGCTTTGGTTTTGATTACAGGCGGCCCGGCACCGGGCTACTAGCCATGGCCTCTTCACCTGAACTGCCGGCATGAGGCACAGATGCTAATCACACGGGTAAGTACTTGCAGATTTCCCAGGAACAACAAAAATAATTTGTTTGCTCCATGGCTTGTGAGGAGGGAAGCTGGGCGCTGGTGACTGGGTGGCTTGTAGATTAGGCCCATGGCCTTTCACCTCCTCCTCCCCCTGCAGGCTGATGCTCCCAGCGGTGCTGATTAGAAGCAGGAGAAATTAAGATCCCCTTCTCACTCCCTACCCCCGACAGGCGGGAGAAGGTGGGGGAGGAGAGAGGGGCTCGGCTGAGAGGCTAAGCCAGGCTGCAGACATGTAGCCGCGGTCCTGCCCGTGCAGCCTGGGCCTGTGGAGACAGTAGGCCGTGAGCAGGAGGCGGGGGCCTTCTCCGCCTTCCCTCTGAGCGTGCTCAGCCTTGCTGTCAGTGCTGAGTGCGATGCCAACCGGCACCTTTCTTGGGGTCACAGCAGCTCAGTCCTTCTTTAGCTGAGCAGGGCAGGAGAGGGACAAGAAGGGATCACTCAAGGGGCTGCTGGGACTAGGGCTGCTAAGATCTCACAGAACTGTTGGGATTAGGGCAGCTGAGAACTCACGGGGCCGTTGGAACTAGGGCAGCTGGGATGGGTCACCCCCAGCAGCCCCAGGTGGTAGCCTCCGGGGCCTGATTATTATGGGGGGCAGAAGCGGCACCCTACCCAGCTGAGAAGAAGGTCAAGCCATCTCCTAGGTGTGAATGGCGCTATGCAAGAAGAAAGTGAATGTGGAAATTAGTCAGAGCCCATCTGCCCAAGAACAACAAGAATCTCTCTATGAGAAGTCAGTCATCAGGCTGGAAGGACGGCAGCGTCCTCCCTCCTGGCTTCCTTCTGCCTGGGTGTAAGGAGGAGGGCAGGATAATTGCCATAATTATTATTATTGTTGTTAGCTCTTATACTTTTATGTGCCTTAATGGTTTTTACATACTAATGGTCACTACTTATCAACGGCCTACTGTGTGCCAGACAAAGAAATCGGGGCTCTGCATGTATGATCTGGCCTAAAGGGTAGAAATCACTAGGTCCCTGTTACAGAAGAGGACACTGATGCTCAGTGAGACTACATACCTTGACTGAGATCAGAGAGGAAGATGCAGAAAAAGGATGTGCAACCAGGGCCCCCTGTCTTCCCCTCGTGTCAGGTGACAAGCTGTCCTTCGATGGGCTCTTCTCCGGAGGCCTGCAGGGGCCAAGTCACAACCAGAAGGCATCCAAACACAGGTGAGTGAGGGGACTGGGGGTACATGTCCCCTAAAGCAGTGCAATGATGAGCAGGCTTACGGGGGTTCCAACCTTATTCTGGGCTGGTGGAAACACCCTCGGAATAAGCTTGCTATGCTGCTGAGAAGAGGGTCCTTCCCAGGCCTCACACCGCTCTCTCCCTTCCTTCCCTGCCTTAGGCTGCAGGTGGCTATGGAAGGGAAATGGAAATTGTCTGTGCAGGGTAGGAACCTGGCCTCCCCCCAGTGCAGAGCTGGATAATTACACAGGTAAAGGGTCAGGGTAGGTGCAGGACCTGCTCTGCCAGTAAACTGGGGGCAGGGGTGAGTGAGTAAAACAACACTGTGTCCCTCCCACCATCAGCTCTCTGTGGCCCCTGGACTGACTTCTTTCTTTCTTTCTTTCTTTCTTTCTTTCTTTCTTTCTTTCTTTCTTTCTTTCTTTCTTTCCTTCTTTCTTCTTTCTTTCTTTCCTTTCCTTCTTTCTTCTTTCTTTCCTTTCTTTCTTTCTTTCTTTTCCTTCTTTCTTCTTTCTTTCCTTCCATCCTTCCTTCCCTTCTTTCCTTCCTTCCCTTCTTTCTTTCCCTTTCTTTCTTTCTTTCTTTCTTTCTTTCTTTCTTTCTTTCTTTCTTTCTTTCTTTCTTTCTTTCTTTCTTTCCTTCTTTTTGAGTCAGTTTCACTCTTGTTGCCCAGGCTGGAGTGCAATGGGGCAATGTCGGTTCACTGCAACCTCCACCTCCTAGGTTCAAGCGATTCTCCCGCCTGAGCCTCCCAAGTAGCTGGGATTACAGGCACACGCCACCATGCCCAGCTAATTTTTGTATTTTTAGTAGAAACAGGGTTTCACCATGTTGGCCAGGCTGGTCTCCAACTCCCGACCTCAGGTAGTACACTCGCCTTGGCCTCCCAAAGTGCTGGGATTACAGGCCTGAGCCACCACGCCCGGCCCCCCAGACTCACTTTCACACTGTATCCATTTACATCTTTTCATTCTGGTTTCACTAATCAATAGGCCTGTACAATCCCTTCAAAAATTGTTGAAAAGCTGCTAGTTTTGGAGAATTTGTTCAAGGCAAGTAACTTCTGACCAGGGCCCACCCCCTTCCACCTCTCTCCTTCTGCCCCTGGGCCGAAGACTTCTACCTCTCAGCCGTGGAGAAGGAGGTCTCTCCTGACATCATTCAGCCTGTCTGAGATGACCCTGTTTGCCCATATTTGTGTTCCTTCAAATTAAGGTGATTCATTAAACCTCTGGCAGATTTCATTTTTATTCCTTGATAAGAACTTTCAAATAAATATATTCAGCCATGGAAAGAATCCTTTGACAGAGCCATGTCCTAATTTTGGCTCGGGTACTGTAGTTGTCAAGTTGTCAGCTGGGAATGTGCAGGAGAGACCGGGGCTGCTTCCCACCCCCACCCCCCACCCCCACACTGCAGACTTTGTGGGAGGGAAGTGAGCAGGTTGACCTTGACTCTGGCTACTTGGAGGGATGCAGGGGAGGTCTGGCTCTACCTCCAGGGGCTTAGGAGCAGCACCAAGGTCTCAGCAGGCCCTGCAGTCCCCAGAGCCTGGAAGAAGACGTTCCTTCTTTCCCCTGGGAGCCTGTTCAGAACGTGCTAAACCCAGCCCCAGAGTAGCCTAGAGTTGCCTGCCCAGGGACAACCCCCGTCTGCAATTTCTATTCTGAGCAGGGCAGAACCTGCGTCACTCCCAGCATCAGGTGTCCACAGAGGAGGCCACATGCTATTGGAAGGCACCTTGACAGAGGCTCCACACGCTAGAGTCTATCCCCAGTTTTGCTACATGATGGGCTCTATTTATTTATTTATTTATTTATGTACTTTTGAGACAGAGTCTCACTCTGTCGCCCACGCTGGAGTGCAGTGGTAAAATCTCGGCTCACTGCAACCTCCGTCCTCCAGGTTCAAGCAATTCTCCTGCCTCAGCCTCCCGAGTGGCTGGGATTAGAGGCATGTGCCACCACGCCCAGCTATTTTTTTTGTATTTTTAGTAGAGACGAGGTTTCACCATATTGACCAGGCTGGTCTCGAACTCCTGGACCTTGTGATCCGCCCGCCTCGGCCTCCCAAAGTGCTGGGATTACAGGCATGAGCCACCGCGCCCAGCCTGTGATGGGCTCTTTGCCACACCTCTTTGAGTGTTCAAATGGAAGACATTTATTAGGCCCTTACCATGTTACCAGATTGGCAGTTCTAAATCTTCCAGCAACTCTGGCATCCCTATTTACAGGAGAAGACTGATACTCAGAGAGATTAAGTGACTAAGACCATACAACTGGGCTGGGTGCGGTGGCTCACACCTATAATCCCAGCACTTTGGGAGACCAAGGTAGATGGATCACCTGAGGTCAGAAGTTCGAGACCAGCCTGGCCAATATGGTGAAACCCTGTCTCTACTAAAAATACAAAAATTAGCTGGGTGTGGTGGCACACACCTGTAATCCCAGCTACTTCGGAGGCTGAGGCAGGAGAATTGCTTGAACCCAGGAGGCAGAGGTTGCAGTGAGCAGACACTGCGCCACTACACTCCAGCCTGGGTGACAGAGTGAGACTCCATCTAAACAAAAAAAAAAAAAGAAAAGAAAAAGAAAAAAAGACAATACAACATACAACTGGTAAGGGAAAGAGCCAGAAATGAATCCAGGACTCTTGGCTCAAAATTCTCTTGAGACCTCAAAGGGAGCCAGCAACAGTGTATCTTGAACACAAGGTCCTTTTTCAAGCTGCTCTTGAAAAAACAAACAAGGCTCAGGGACTATAGAAGCAGCTCTCAGACTCTGAGGGCTGTTGGGAGCATCCAGCATCAGAAAGAGGATTCCACCCACACTACAGGTGGGCAGGTGGTAAATGTCTTGAGCTGTGGAAATCCAAGTCACCAGTTCCGAGAGAAAACTTAAACTCTATCAGGACGGGAATCTGAATCCCAGGTGCTATCTGAGAGAGACAGGGCAAGGTGGTGGAGCCTTGCCTCTGTTAGGAAGCATTTGACTGCAAGTAACAGAAAATCTGACTAACAAGGGTTTAATCAAATAGGGAGGATAATTACCCCCCCAATTATCAAATAATGATTATCAAATAATCAAATACTTCTCCCACATAATAAAAAGTTAGAGGTCGATGGTATTGATTCAGCCACTCAAATGGTGATATCAAGAAACCAGGGTCTTTCTGTCTCTTTTCTCTCACCCTCCTGTGTTGCCTGTTTGTGCTAACGCTTGTCCAACCCTATAGGTGTCATGTGGCTGCCGCAGCTCCAGGCATCACATCTGCATTCAGGGCAGGAGGAGGAAAGAGAGATGGCATCAATGACATTTTCCCCTTTAATTGGGATATTAAAAACCTTCAACTTCCTAGTTCAAAGATTTAATAAACTGGTTAAAAACCTGAAAGGAAGGAAAGAATTCTTCCACGAGCCCAAAATGGAGTCACATGGTCACTTTTAGCTGCAAAAGAAGCTGGGCAAGAGATTATCTGGCTTTTACCTTCTATGGTGGGAGAATAACATGAAAGAAGGAGACTGTGAACGGCTTCTTAGTTTGCCAACCAGCAGAATCTGCCATAAAATTCTACATCTTGGCCGTGTCATGGTATTCAAAGGATAAATTGCAGAAGTCTGTCCTGGTCAATGCACCTTTATACATGCTGTTTCTTGGAATTGGGACCCCCATTCAATTTCTATACCTCTCATATTTGCCTAACAAAGCCCTCAGTGTATTCTGAAACTACTTTTAGAAGCAATTTGGCAACATGTTTCAAGGGCCATAAAAGTGTTCATAAATTTTGACCCAGTATTTCCACTTCTGAGAGTTTATTTGTTCCAAGGAAATAACCTAAAAGCGGGGGGGGAAAGACCCTACATGCTCAAGGATGTTCATTGCAGCATTAGTAATAAGAAACAACCTAAACAGCCAACAATAGGGGAATAGGTAATTAAATCAGAAGCACACTCACTGGATGGCAAATTCCATAGTCATTAACAGATGATGACGATACATATCACTTAGTAATGTAAAAAGAGGCTGTGATATGATGTTATACTAAACAACAACAACCAGCCAGGCACAGCAGAGCACACCCGTAATCCCAGCTGAGGAACCTGGGGCAGGAGGATCACTTGAGCCCAGAAGTTCAAATCCAGCCTTGGCAACATAGCAAAACCCTGTCTCTTGAAAAAAAAAAGAAAAGTGTGTGTGTGTGTATATGTATATATATATATATATACACACACACACATATATACACACACATATATATATACACATGTATATATACACATATATATATACACATATATATAATCAAATGTATTATTTGGATTGTATACTTAAATGATAAGTGTCTTGTGGACAAAGAATTGAAGGGAATTTACAAAAGTTGTTGGGTTAGGGCAGTGAAATTATGGGTGAATTGTTTTCTCTCCATTATTCAAAATTTCTGTGATGGTGTTATGTAGTTTTCAACATAATTGAGGTGGGGTTTAGGATTAAAATTATCCTGCTTTCAAGTCCCAGCTCAAACGTCACCTGCTCTAGGAAGCTTTCCTTGCATTTTCCAACCACATCTTTTCTGAAGTTTGTTTATTTATTTATTTACTTATTTATTTATTTATGAGATGGAGTCTTGCTCTGTTGCTCAGGCTGGAGTGCAGTGGTGCCATCTTGGCTCACTGCAACCTCTGCCTCCCGCGTTCAAGCGATTCTTATGCCTCAGCCTTCCGAGTAGCTGCCACTACAGGCACACGCCAGCACACCCAGCTAATTTTTGTATTTTTGGTAGAGACAGGGCTTCACCACGTTGGCCAGGTTGGTCTCGAACTCCTGACCTAAGGTGATCCACTTGCCTTGGCCTCCAAAGTGCTGGGATTACAGGCGTGAGCCACTGCGCCCGGCCTCTGAAGTTCTTCTTTTGCTGGACCATGTACTCTCCTGGGGCCATATGACCATGTCCAATTCTCCCTTATTCCCAACCCATGATAGGCACCAGGAATCAAGAAGGCCACACGGCACAGGCCAAGAACCCAGACTAAGAGCCTAGTATGATGGAGGTGGCGAGGGGTCAGGGATGGGGACAATCAGGAACAAGGCACAGGATCTAAGTTACAGGTCCAGGGCACCGGCAGTGAGTAGGGCTTGAGAAGTAGAGGCATAAAGCTGCCAGGCATTGAGTGACAGCTGGTCTTTCAAGTTATTTTAAATGCATTATTATTATTACATAAGTACAACACATATACATACGCACTGTAAAAAAGTTAAATAGTTCAGATAAAGCCCCCCTTGGCTCTCACACAGTCCCAGTCGCCTCCCTAGGGAGTGTCAGTTTGGTAGGTACCTTCTAGAGTATCTTTTCTCATGCACGGTTGTGAAGTGCGCATCCATGTTTATACAAACAGATCCATATTGTTTTGTGACCTGTTTTTCTCTTGTAATGAGACCTTTTCATTTCAGGATATAAAGGTCTCTCTCATTGCTTGGTCCCCAGAAAATCATTACTAGTGTACACATTCAAAGATGTATTTAGGGCTGGGTGTGGTGGCTTACACCAGCACTCTGGGAGGCCAAGGCGGGTGGATCACCTGAGGTCAGGAGTTCGAGACCAGCCTGGCCAAGGTGGTGAAACCCCATCTCTACCAAAAATACAAAAATTAGCCAGGTGTGGTGGCACGTGCCTATAGTCCCACCTACTTGGGAGGCTGAGGCAGGAGAATTGCTTGAACCCAGGAGGCGGAGATTGCAGTGAGCCAAGATTGCGCCATTGCACACCATCCTGGGCCACGGAGTGAGATTTTGTCTCAAAAGACAACAACAACAACAACAGAGATGTATTTGGCCCTTTCTCTACCGAGGAACATTTCAGTTGTTTCTGATTGTTCACATTTCCATCACTACTGCCACGACCCGAAGTGAAGGCGGCCCCTTGTACACTTGGAGCGTTTCTCTCGGCAGAGATTTGGAATTGCTCTTGCGAAGAGTTTGGGTGTTTTCCACTTTAGTAGGTACCGCCAGATCACACTCTGCAAATGCCAGGACAATTTCCATTCTTACCAATGGTGACGAAGGTATTCATTGCCCTTAGATTCTTCCCAACCGTGGCCATTGCCAATCTCTTTTATTTTTTATTTTATTTATTTATTTATTTATTTTTCAGATGGAGTCTTGCTCTGTCCTCCAGGCTGGAGTGCAGTGGCAGGATCTTGGCTCACTGCAAGCTCCGCCTCTCGGGTTGACACCATTCTCCTGCCTCAGCCTCCCGAGTTGCTGGGACTACAGGTGCCCACCATCACACCAGGCTAATTTTTTTGTATTTTCAGTAGAGACGGGATTTCACCGTGTGTTAGCCAAGATGGTCTCGATCTCCTGACCTCATGATCCGCCCGCCTCCGCCTCCCAAAGTGCTGGGATTACAGGAGTGAGCCACCGCGCCCGGCGCAAATCTCTTTTAAATTTTGCAAATCTGACAGGTGAAAACCATTAACTTGGCGTTATTTTTACTTGCATTTCTTTGATTACTAGTGAGGCTGGGCACGTTTTCATATGTTTATTGACTATCTGCAGTTCCTCTTAGGTGAATTGTCTATTCCATTCCCAGCACCCATTTTTTCTTTGGGGTTGTTTATCTTTTGCTTGTTATTGTAGGAATTCATTACAGATCCTGAATATTAATCTTTTTCTGTTGCATATGTTCTAGATACCTTCCAGTCTGTCACTTGTCTTTTAACAGTATTTACAGCGTCTTTTGTTATACACCAGTTTTGAATTTGGACATAATCAAATTTAGCAATCTTTTCCTTTATGGTTTCTGTGTTTTGTGTCTTGCTAAAGGAAGCCTTTCCTACCCCAAGGTTATAAACAAATTCTCCTATATTTTCTTTTAATAGTTTTATAGCTTTGTTTTTTTCACATTGAGCTCTCTAATCCATCTGGAATTTATTTCAGTGAATGGTGTGAAGCACGAATCTAACTTTATGGTTTTTTTCCACAAGGATAGCCAATTGTCTCTACAATACTTGCTGAAGAATCCCTCTTTTCCCGATTGCTTTTTTCTAGCTTTATTGAGGTCTAATTGACAAATAAAAATTGTATATATTCAAGGCCTACAACGTGATTATTTGATATACATTACATTGTGAAATGATTACCACAATCAAGCTAATTAACACGTTCATCACACAGTTACCTTTGTGTGTGTGTGTGTGTGTGTGTGTGTGTGTGTGGTGAAAACACTTAAGATCTATTTTCTGGGCCAGGCATGGTGGCTCACGCCTGTAATCCTAGAACTTTGGGAGGCTGAGGCGGGCGGATCACGTGAGGTCAGGAGTTCAAGACCAGCCTGGCCAACATGGTGAAACCCCATCTCAACTAAAAATACAAAAATTAGCCAAGCATGGTGGCACGCACCTATAGTCCCAGCTACTCAGGAGGCTAAGGCAGAAGACTCGCTTGAACTCGGAAGGCAGAGGCCACAGTGAGCCAAGATCGCACCACCGCACTCAAGCCTGGCTGACAGAGAAAAACTCCATCTCAAAAAATAAAAAATAAAAAACAAAAGAAAAACCGATTTTCCTAGCAAATTTCTAGTATACCATACAGTATAATTAACTATAGTCACCATGCTATACATTAGATCCCCATAATTTATTCATCTTATAACTGAAAGTTTGTTCTGCTGCTTTTAAATGCTACTTTATTACACACTGAATTCCTCTTAATGCAGAACCCCTTTTTCAGCTCTCTGTTCAGTGACATTGATCCATCTGTCTTGTCTCAGGCCAGCACACGATTTTAAAGAGTACAGCTTGGTAGTGTTTTGATATCTGATAGGGGAAGTCTCCCCTCATTGTACTCCTTTTTCAAATATTTTTTGTTTATTGCGACACAGTTACTCTTCCAGATTCGTTTTAGAATGGCCTTGTTAAATCTCTCCCCCGCCCTGCCCCAAAAACCCTGTTGTGATTTTGCCTGGCATTACTTTTTGAATTTAAAGAATTATTTGGACAGAGCTGACACCTGCACAGTATAAAGTGTTCTCACCCAATGGCTGCCTGTTTGCTTAGGGCTTATCATCTGTCTCAGGCCTGAGTCTGACTCAACCTCCCTGAGCCCCGGCTCAGTCATCTATGACACAGGAATACTATTTCCTGTCCCAGAGTTGGCGGAGGATTCAGTGAGAGCAAGCGTGAGAAGCACCTGATGGTGAGCTTCTAGAGGGCAAGCCTCTTCCTATTTAATTCTACAATCCAAGACAGGGAGTTCTTTGAACAGCCCCAAAGGGAACACAGTGTTTGTATTTAGGTAGACTCAGGGGCTATGGGGTGGAGGCAGGGGCCACTGGCATGGAAAAAGCAAACAACAAGCACATCAATTACTGTGTTTGCTACTTTACATATATTATCTCATCATATCATTTGTCCTCAGAACAAGTCTGTGAGGTAGGTACTGTCATCCTCATTTTATAGCTTAGAAAAACAAGACTCAGACAGTGGCCTGTCTGGACTCCGAGTCCAAGGCTCTAACAAGTTACCACCTGCACCCTCTGTCTTGCCTAGTTTGGGAGCTGATGGGAGCCTCTCCTTGTCATAAATGGTCCATAAGTGCTAGATGGTCAGCTGCTGCCTGTCCGAAGTCTAACAAGCCTAGAGTAGATTTAGCCCCCAAGATACCCACAGGAACATACAGCACTCAGCAGGATGTCCAGCCCATATGAGGAGCTTGTTGAATTGCGTGGAGACAAAGTTGAAATGCCATAATGTGAGTGCTCCAGATAGTGCAGGGATTGCTAGCTGCGATCAGAGGAAGAAAAGAGCTACATGGGCTAGGGAAACCGGGGAAGGCTTCCAGAGAATGTGGGACTGGAACTCGGCCCTGACAGAGAGAGAGGATTTAGACAAACAAGAAGAGAAGAGAGGATTCCAGAGTCAGAGTTAGTATAATGATTGCAGGTGAGCCCAATGGGCAGGATAGGCAGTAAGAGTAAGTAGAGAAAGGCATTTCCTGATGACCGAGGGCTGGCATGGGCTGGCAGTATCTCCAGGCTGGAGCAAGGCTGGGAGGCTGGAAAATCATGGACCTGATATCTTTTAGGCTCATTTAGCTCCCCACAGTGTCTTAAGGTTAAGCTTCACTTTCCACGTACAGCCCCCACAGCCAGTTGCCATGACACCAAAACATACAGACCAGCCTGGGAAGTCAGCAGGGAGGGGCAGGAAGGGGCTGCTTTCCTCGTGCCCTTTGTCTGCCCCACACTACATCCTGACCCTGTCTCTCCACCCTAACTTTGTCTCCCCATCCCATGCATGTGTGTGTATCTGTGTGGGCACTCAGGCATGAGCTGTGTGGCCTCGGGTGAGTCCCTCAGCCTCTCTGAACCTCAGGAGGCATAGGTTTTCTGGTATGTGCATATTCTCCTGGTCACAGGGCAGTCCACCTTGCTCCCACTGGAGACAGAAACAGCCTCACAGCATGGCCACTGTTAACACCCACACTCTGAGAGGAAAAGAGAAGAGAACCTAGTATGTGCCAGGTGCTTTACAGACAGGTTGCCAGGTTGAATTTGGAGGGTTAAAAATCAAAGCACATTAGTTCAGGTCCTGTAAGAAGCCAGATCCCAAGACAAGATTAGATATGCAAGAGATTTACTGGGGAAAATATCTGCGAGGGGAAAAGGGAAATGAGCCAGCAGAGGCGGGAACTTTCAGACCAGGCTGTGGGTCTGACCCTTGCCAGGAAGAGGGAGAAGGAAGGAGGGTTGGATGAGCAAAGTCTCAGACTCAGCACAGCTCTAGGAAAGTTCCGGTCAAACCAACTGGGAGTCCTTGAGCTAACGATGTCCTCAGAGCAGCCCTGCATCTCCCAAGATTGGTCCTGTCTTAGCGCCCCTGCTGTGCTCAGCCTTGGGTGGCAGGAAGCCCATGGGAAGCATGGCCTTAGGAGCCGTGGCCTTGGTCGATGACACTCCCAGCAGTAGGAGATCTGATGGGGCATTTTCATGGCTGCCATCCAAAGCAACGTGCACACCACCTGCTTGATACTGACATGATTTAAGCCCAAGGGAGGTCACATTTTGAGGTATAAAGATGGTGAGTTTGGGAAGACCAGGTTGTGGGGCTCCTCTGTTACTGACTGTGCGATCTTGATCAGGTTTTTTACTAACATGACTAAGTTTTTCTACAAAATGGAGCAACAATGCCTTTTTCATGGGTTGTTAAGAAGATAATCTGGGACCTGAAGCCTTCTCCCCCTACTCCAGTGGGGTAAAGCTGGATGGAATGGACTGATTGACAGCCTGACTCAGAGGCCCAGAGGAGGAAGCCCTTTTCTTTTTCCTAAGGGAGGGTTGAGAGGTCCGAAGACTGAGGAACAAGGAGAGAAGGCAGAAGCTCCCTGAGGCACACTCTAAGTGGACATGCTACGGCCACGCTAGAGGACAGCTCCAGATGGGTCTGCACCATCATCTGGACATCAAGTGCTTTATAATCTCATGAAGATTTACAGTTTCTACAATTATCCCAAAATAAAAAGTTTACTCACAAAATATATCAATTAAGAGTCCTTCAATTGCAAATGTCAGAAAATCCAACTAATTGTGTCTTAAGCAGTAAAGTCATTTAATTACCTCACATAATGGGAAGTTGGAAGGAGGGGTGTTTAGACCCTCACTGATGCCAGGGTTCGGGATCAATGTTTCTGCACTCTTCTTCGTCTCTGCCTCATGGTCACCAGGTGGCTGCTACAACTCCAAACATCATACCATCACACAATAGTGTCCCAAATAAGAGGAAAGAGGAAGGCATAAAATGGAGCATTTGCTTCTGGTTTCTTTTTTTTCAGGAAGAAAAAGCTTTCCCAGAAGATGTCCTCTTAACATCTCCTTGGCCGGAATTATACCACTCCTCAACTGATCACTGGCAAAGCTATCTCTAGGCACGTGGTTGCCTGAACAAGATCAGGGTCTGTTAGCAAAGAAGACTGCTGATTTCTCTGCTTCAGAGAGCAAGAAGACCCAGCAGTCTTCTTGGGTAGGCAGCAAGACTGTCTTGCTGCTGCTGCTGCTGCTTCTCCTTTTCCTCCTCCTCCTCCTCCTCCTCCTCCTTCTTCTTCTTCTTCTTCTTCCTCTTCCTCTTCCTCTCCTTCTCCTTCTCCTTCTCCTCCTCCTCCTTCTCCTCCTCCTCCTCCTTCTACTTCTCCTTCTCCCTCTTCTTCTTTCTTTTCTCAGGCAGAGTCTCGCTCTGTTGCCCAGGCTGGAGTGCAATGGCGTGATCTCAGCTCACCGCAACCTCCGCCTTCCATCTTGCTGCTGCTGCTGCTGCTGCTTCCTTTTCTTCCTCTTCTTCTTCTTCTTCTTCTTCTTCTTCTTCTTCTTCTTCTTCTTCTTCTTCTTCTTTTCTTCTTCTTCTTCTTCTTCTTCTTCTTCTTCTTCTTCTTCTTCCTCTTCTTCTTCTTCTTCTCCTTCTCCTCCTCCTCCTCCTCCTCCTCCCCCTTCTCCTTCTCCTTCTTCTTCTTTCTTTTTTCAGGCAGAGTCTCGCTCTGTTGCCCAGGCTGGAGTGCAATGGCGTGATCTCAGCTCACTGCAACCTCCGCCTCCCAGGTTCAAAAGATTCTCCTGCCTCAGCCTCCTGAGTAGCTGGGATTACAGGAGCCTGCCAGCACGCCCAGCTAATTTTTGTATTTTTAGTAGAGGAGATGGGGTTTTGCCATGTTGGCCAGGGTGGTCTCGAACTCCTGACCTCAGGTGATCCACCCACCTCGGCCTCCCAAAGTACTGGGATTACATGTGTGAGCCACCATGCCCCGCCTGTCTTGCTTCTTGTTGCACAAGACTGATGGTTCAGTTGCACAGTGGAGTACTTCTTGGGTAGGCTCTTGGGTAGGCAGCATGACTGTCTTCCACGGGAAGAATTTCTGGAAACAAAATGAATCTTTCTATCCCTCTGAGCATAGCTAAGTGAGCATAGCTAAGGGGTTACACAAGTCCATAAACACATACAGTGCAGTGGGCACAATGATAAATGACATGCAAGACACAGCACTCACACCGAGAAAGGAATCCATTCAGTTGATGCAGGGCAGGGGTTCTGGGTGTCGAGAATAGTGGACACAGTCCATTATAGTGCAGCTGACAGACTCTTTGTCCTGGGGGTGGGAACAGGTCAGAGAAAGCCTCACACAATCTACATGTGAGCGGAATGCTGCCGGATGAGTAGGAGTGCACCAGGCAAACTGTGTAGGAGTTAAGGGATTCCAGCTGCAGGACTCAACCCATGAAAAGCTACGTTTGTGCAGGTGAACAAATGGCTCAGTATTCCTAAAGGTGAAAGTTCAAGGGTAGGCAGTGTGTGAGATGAGTCCAGATCATTCAGGGGCCTGGAATTTGGATAACGGGGAGCCAATGAAAAGTTTTAATAGGAGACTAATTTAAATAAATACTCACTTTTAAGTGATTGTGATGACAATGTGAAGGAATCTCAAAAGCATTTTGCTGACCAAAACAATGCAAACTATATGATTCCATTTGTAAGAATTTCTATAGAAGAGGCAAAACTAATCTAGGGAAGAGATCAGAAGAGAGATTGCCCATGGGAAAGGGGATTGATTGAAAAGGATTCTAAGGAACATTCACAGAGATAATGGAAATTTTCTCTATCTTTATTGGGGTGGTGGCTACACGGATGCAATATATTTATTAAAATTCATCAGGCTGAGCGCGGTGGCTCACGCCTGTAATCCCAGCACTTTGGGAGGCTGAAGAGGGCAGATCACCTGAGGTCAGGAGTTCAAGACCAGCCTGGCCAACGTGGTGAAACCCCGTCTCTACTAAAAATACAAAAATTAGCTGGGGGTGGTGGCGGGTGTCTGCAATCCCAGCTACTCAGGAGGCTGAGGCAGGAGAATCACTTGAACCCAGGATGGGGAGGTTGCAGTGATCTAAGATTGTGCCACTGCACTCCAGCCTGGGTGACAGAGTGAGACACCATCTGAAAAACAAAAAACAAAAAATCATCAAACTGTACACTTAAAATATGCACATCTTATTGTATTCAAGTAATGCCTCAATTTTTAAAAAGGTATCCTGGTAGATGGATGGTAGGAGAATCTAAAGGTGTGGAACAATTGAGAAGGCTGCAGGTGTCACCCAGAAGGAGGACACCATGGCCTGGCTATAGCAGATGTTGGAGCAGAGTAGGACAGGGCTGGAGGAAGGTGCTGGTACCATCAGGAATAAGGCTGCTTAAGGGGCTGGATATGGAGGTAGGGGCGGGAGGGCAAAAGACTCAAGACAGCTTCTGGCTGCTGGCTTAGGTGACAGGCAGTCACTGAGACAGAGACCCCAAGAGGAAGAAGTTTGGGGGAAGAAAAAGTGAGCTCAGATGTGGCAACATTGAGTTTCTTTTTGTTTTTTCGAGATGGAGGCTTGCTCTGTTACCCAGGCTGGAGTGCAGTGGTACAATCTCGGCTTACTGAAACTTCTGCCTCCTGGGTTCAAGCGATTCTCCTGCCTCAGCCTCCTGAGTAGCTGGGATTACAGGCGTCCTCTACCATGCTCGGCTAATTTTTGTATTTTTAGTAGAAATGGGGTTTCACCATGTTGGCCAGGCTGGTCTCGAACTGCTGACCTCAGGTGATCCTCCTGCCTCCTGGGATTACAGGCGTGAGCCACCGCGCCCAGCCACATCATTGAGTTTCTGATGGAGATGTTCTTTAGGCCCTTGACTATGTGGATGCAGATTTCAGGAGAGATGGGCCAGGGAGAGTTTGGCCCTCAAATCTATGGAACTAGATGGGTCATCCAAAGGAAACAAACTGAATATGACAAGGTGGGAAGAAGCAGAGAGGAAGCCGGGAACAGAGGCCTGGAGGGTACTGACATGAGTGCTGGTCAGGAGAAAAGTTTCCAGTTCCAGAAACTAAGAAGGAAAGGCGAAATATGGGAGAAGTGCTGGGCTGGAGGACATCGTCTGAGGCCCAAGGAAGAAGAGGTAAATAATGGGGAGTGGTCAGTTGTGTTCAATGCGCAAAAATGCCAAACAGGATGGGCTCAGCAAGATGTGTGGATAGATCTGAGACCCGCACACACGGACGAAAGAGCCTGCATTCAAACTCACATCTTGACCAGCGCACTTTCTATACATTCAAAACACTGGCTCCAAAGGAACATGGAAGATGCAGAAGAGGAATCTACAAAGGCCCTTCCTCATTTTTGTTCATTCAGTCGGTGCCCTTCATCAAGCTTCCAGGTTTAAATAAGTGATGGTTCAGCTGCACAGTGGAGTACTACGAAGCTGTTTGGAATCATGGGCCAGATATATACATACTTCTAAAAGATGCCCGTGACAGCTGCCTATTTTGTAAAAGGAAATGATACATCTGGGAGGATATACATCGAAATGTTGACAAGGTTAACTCTGAATGATGGGATTACGCATTTTTTTTTTTTTTGGAGATGAAGTTTCACTCTTGTTGCCCAGGCTGGAGTGCGGTGGCACAATCTCAGCTCACTGCAACCTCCGCTTCCCGGGTTCAAGCGATTCTCCTGCCTTAGCCTCCCGAGTAGCTGGGATTACAGGCATGCGACACCATGCCTGGCTAATTTTGTACTTTTAGTAGAGACGGGGTTTCTCCGTGTTGGTCAGGCTGGTCTCCAACTCCCAACCTCAGGTGATCTGCCCACCTTGGCCTCCCAAAGTGCTGGGATTACAGGCGTGAGCCACTGTGCCCGGCATATGCATACTTTTTGAAGCTATTTTAACATTTTTACTACTCTGTATTTTCTAGTTTTTCTAGACGTAAAAAATTGAATCTATAATGTAGAGGATGCTTAGCTGGATGCTGGGGGGAAGAAAACAGGGCGGAGTGCAGGGAAGATTCAGAGCGTCCCTATTGTCGTAGCCATGGGGGAAGGGAAGGGACTAGGTTTGGAGCCTCCAGTCAGCACTGGCCAGGCTGGATGGAGAAAGCCTTCACTCAACAGGCAAGTTTGGAGCTGACAGCAGGTGGCTCTGGGAGCACTGGGCGCCCCTGGGGAGGCACTGAAAGGGCCCTTCCCAGAGCCATCTTGACGTGATCCATCCAGACCAGTGGAGGGTTGGAAAGACAACAGGCTTTCATGGGGTTTGGAGACTCCGTTTGCCTGACGTGGCCAGTCCCAGATGGCCCTCTCTGCATTTGCACATCCTGTTCTGCCTGGAATGCTCCTCTACATCCCCCTTCCTGGCAAACACATTCCTAAATGTAAAGACCCTGCTGGAATATGGCTTTTGTGGAGCAGCCTCCTGCAGTAGACTGGCAGAGCGCATCGCTCCCACACCACTGTCTACAGGCCTTGCACTCACCACCTTCTACGTCATTAACCTGATTTCTGTGTATATTACTAGCTGGTGCACTGCACCAGGCCATTATTGACCTAATATTCAAGAAGGCTCATGTGCCCCGTGAGCCCACAGCGGGCAGGACCCCAGACTAACACAGAGGTTCTGGAGGGAATGAGGGAATGAGGGAGTCTGAGAACGAGGAAATGGGTCTGTGAATGGAAGGAGCCCCTTATGGTAACCAAACACTCCTGGTAAGTGACCCCATCCACACTCTGGGTATCAGAGGCCAAATGCAGCTGCTGGTCCCCTCCCCATTCTGGTTGCCCGGTTTGTGAGGCCTTGGGGAGCAGGTCCTGACTCGGTTTGCTACTCACAAACTGAAGACATTGGGGAGCTGGGCGCAGTGCCTCACACCTGTAATCCCAGCACTTTGGGAGGCCGAGGCGGGCAGATCACGAGGTCAGGAGATCGAGACCATCCTGGCTAACATGGTGAAACCCTGTCTCTACTAAAAATACAAAAAAAAATTAGCTGGGTATGGTGGCGGGCGCCTGTAGTCCCAGCTACTTGGGAGGCTGAGGCAGGAAAATGGCATGAACCTGGGAGGCGGAGCTTGCAGTGAGCCGAGATTGCGCCACTGCACTCCAGCCTGGGTGACAGAACAAGACTCTGTCTCAAAAAAAAAAGACTGGGGAATGGAAGGGAGCACTGAGAAAAGCTAGCACCATCTGAGAGAAAGGAAGAAAAGCAGAAACTCAAACAAGATCCAGATATTGGCCCTTCCTGAAAGCGTTCTGCACCAGGCTTTGAGACTCAAGATGAAAAACACAAAGACAAAGTTTAAGAACCATGGGCACTCTCTAAGGAGAACTGGACATTTCCACATAAGGCAACAAAATTAGGAAAAGAGAATGAAACTATCCCGATGCATAAAGCAGCTAAAAGGAACCCAGCGATTCCATGTTAGTTATGCAGAAAGCTTCCCGGAGAACTAAAATGATAACGGACAAGCCAAAGAAAGTGGAAATTAGGGCAGGTTCCGAAGGAGGGGTACACACAAAGAAATACAAAAAAAAAAAAAAAAAAAAAAAAGGCTGTGGAGATAAAATCAGAAAACTTGTTCAGAAAAGAAATGGGATATAACTTGCACAAGGCGGCAAAAGAATGAGAAAAACATTTGCTAACTATAATGGGCCAAAGAAAGGGGATAAGGGGATTGCTGGCACGTTTTTCGCTGGGGAGAGAAAGCCTATAAGCAACGACACTGAAAAAGCAGAGCCTTTTAATTTTTTCTTAGCCTAAAAAGGTCAGCTGTGATCTGAAAACTGAAAGAGGCACCATGTGGAATCACGAGCAGGCAGGAAGCCAGGGGGATAAGGAAAGAACTTGTGTATTCCCATCCACAGGCCCTGATGACTTACATGCTTAGGTACTTAAGAAATTGGCCCACATTGGAATCCAATCACTAGCTCTCACTCTGAGGGGATTTATGGAGAACTGGTGAGGGGCCTGGAGACAAGAGACCCAGGCAGCCGGTCCCTGCCTCTTTCCAAACCTGGGGGAAAGCAGATGCCTCTGCAAGTGCTGGGCCTATCCACCAAACTGCTATAATAGAAAACTACTGGGACACGTCGTCAAAAAATCAATCTGCAAACACTAGGTCATAAGGAATTAGGTAATAACCAGCACTGCTTTCCAAAGAATACATTCTGTCAGAGTAATCCAATTTCCTTCTAGGACAGAATGTTGGGCCTGGTAAATCAAGAACGGCAAGAGACACATAATCTTCCTCAACTTCAAGAGCAAGGCATTTCATTTCATCTTCCAAGAGAAGTCTCAAAAGAGAAACTGGAGAAATGGGGTCTATAGTTGGCCTTTCTGGGGTTGGGCAAATGAAAAGAGGTTGAAGGGTTAGCCCAAATGGCAGTTCTTTATGTTATAGGTAGCATGGATGGATTCGAATGGACAGAGGTTGGGGTGGGTGGGGTACTGTGCTGGCGGTGGTTAGACGTGTCAGGGGAGGTAAGAGGGGCAGTGGTGGTAGAAATGGTGGTGATAATTGTCATGAAGGTAGTGATACTGGTGGAGGTGGTGATGATGGCAGAGAGGGCAGTTGTTGGATGAAGATGCCGGTAGTGATACTGGCGGAGGTAGTTGGTGATGGTAGTAAAGATGGAAGCAGTGGTTATGGTGGAGGCGGCAGGGGCGGTGCATAGTGATGACGGTGGAGCTGGAGGTGATGGTTGAGGTGGAGATGATGGTGATAGAGATGCTGATGGTGGCGGGTGTGGAGGTGGTGATAATAGTGGAGACAGAGAGGGTGGTTGAGATGAAGATAGCGATGGTAGAGATGGAAACAGTGATGGTGGTAGAAACGGAAATGTGACAATGGTGGTGGTCGGTGGTGGTCATGGCAGCAGCAAGCAAACCCAGGCTAGCGATGGTAAATCTGGGCTTCACAGCCCTCCTGCCTGGCATCTGTGATGGCCGCTCACACTAGCCTGTTCTTTCCATGTCTTAGCTGAGAGAAGCGGGTACAAGATTTTGGGCCCAGCCTCGTTCTGGTGGTCACTATCCAGTTAGTCCTGGGGCAGTGAGCCCCTCTCTGCCCACACAGGATGACTAGATATGGGCCCTGAGAGGCCTGTGTGAGGGGAGACTTTTCTCTAGACCCAAAGGGGTGGGCCCAACCTGAGAGTCCCCCACAGCCAAGAAGAGAAGGCTCCTGGGGCTTGGTGGAGGCAGGCTGTCTGCCTAAGCCTGGAAGCTTCCTCCCCTGTTAACTGAAGGCTATCAGAGCCCCGCCCCAACCCCCAAGAACTAGGGGGCTGGGAAGGGTGAGCTAAAGACCTCCCTCCAACTTGGCTTCCGTCAGGATGTGGCTGTTTCCTTGAGTGAAAATCAGATGAAAACGCCCCCCAGGTCTGTGGGCCTCAGTAGCCTTGGGGGCAGGAGAGACGGTGGGTTGCAGAGCCTGTGTTAGGCTTCATGGAGTGGGTGGTGGAAGAGGGGGTTGCCAACATGGGCTGGACCCCCCGAAACATTCCTGAGGCTGGGAGCTCAGCTCCAGATGGAAAAACATCTTGCCTACCTCCTTGTTCTCAGCAGGGCCCCCAGCTGGCTGTGTGATCTTGACGAGGCCCTTGAGCCAATTCAGCCTCCTGACATTCCCCTAAATCCTAAAGAGTTGGCTGAGATGATCTCTCAGGTCCTTTGGCTACAGGTCCAGTTCCCTAAATACACATCACACCCTGACTCTCCCCACAAGCCTGTCGCAGCCGGTCCGCTTCACCCACCCTCTCTGCCTGGAGGGCTGGCCTCCTTGCCTGCTGTGGCCCCATCTCAAGGCCTAGCTCAAAGCCAGTTCTGCTGCAAAGCCCCACTGCACCCAGCAGGCAGAAGTGACCTCTTCCTCTGCTGGACCCCCATAGCCTTTATCTCCCCTCTGCCTTGAATTGTCAGACAGAAGGGTGCCACGTTTGGCACCTTCACCAGCTTGGCCTTGTTCATCTCCTACCCCTAGCAGCAGCCAGCACAGGCCTGACAGAGAGGACGCTGCAAAGTGGAAAAGAGTGAGTGAATTTTCAAGTGGAGAAACTGAGGCACCAGTGGTCAAGTGACCAAGGCTAGAACCCAGATCTCTGGGTCCCCAGCACCTTGGCAACCATGGCACTGGGGCTGAAAAGGCTCACACCCATCTAGTTCTTGCGAAGTGTCTCCCAAACCCGTGTAATGAGCAAACCTCTTGAAAGGAAAAGCAATTCTCACAGATCCCATCTGTGAATTCCCAGAAGTTCACAGACCCATACTGGAGCAACGCCAACGTAAGGAACTGAAGTTCTAGTCTATGAAAATGTTTAACTGCAAAGAGTTCTGTCTTTATAACTGCTAAAATATTTTAACATCATTGAAATTTACATCCAAAATTTAAAACTCTTCAGAGCACTTAGGAACTCTGAAAGTAGATACCCTAGTTTGAGAAACACTGTCCTGGCTGAGAAACTAATTCACAGGAAGGTGTGAATGACTGATACATCCTTTTCACCATGTTGCTAGGTCCAAGGGCAATTTGCACTTTTACATATACCCTTAGAAAGAGCAATGCGTCCAGTATGGGCAACATGGCGAGACCTTTCTACAAAAAATTTACAAATTAGCCAGGTATGGTAGTGCATGCCTGTAATCCCAGCTACTCCAGAGGCTGAGGTAGGAGGATTGCTTAAGCCCAGGAGTTCAAGGCTACAATGAGCTATGATAGCACCACTGCATTCCACCCTCAGTGACAGGGTGAGACCCTGTCTCAAAAATTAAAAAAAGAAAGACAGCCAGGTGCGGTGGCTCACACCGGTAATCCCAGCACTTTGGGAGGCTGAGGCAGGTGGATCACGAGGGCAGGAGATTGAGATCATCCTGGCCAACATAGTGAAACCCCATCTCTACTAAAAATACAAAAAAATTAGCCAGGCGTGGTGGCATGTGCCTGTAGTCCCAGCTACTCAGGAGGCTGAGGCAGGAGGATCGCTTGAACCCGGGAGGCAGAGGTTGCAATGAGCCGAGATTGTGCCACTGCACTCCAGCCGGGGTGACAAAGTGAGACTCCATCTCAAAAAAAAAAAAAAGAGGGAGAGAGAGAAAAAAAGAAAGAAAGAAAGATAGAAGGAAAGAAAGAGACGATGCTTAATTTAACAGGTAACGCATATAAGGTGAAATGGCAGTCCTTCTTGGGTCAGCCTGTAGGGTGACTTGGGGGTCTTCAAAAACAGCTCTTTCCAGGATACCAACTCATGCTTTTCTTAAGCTGGAGGTGGATATGGAGCGGATGGGGGTGGAGAGAGGTTCTAGGTTCCAGTAACAAAAGGGATGGCTTCCCCAGACTTCCCTCCCAAACTGCCACTCTGCTTCCCAGTCAGCCCTGCTGATAGAGGGGAGATGGTCTCTCCACAGCACTGCATACAGCCCACTGTTCCCCCTTGCCCCCACTTTCCCCCACCACACAGTGCACAGATGCTCCCTCCAGGCTGCCCTGACACACACTCATCTCTACAGGAAAGAGGTATTTTTGGGGGGATGACTGTTCTGTGATTGTGTGATTTCCTTTCTCATGTTGCAAAAGATCCTGTAGTGATATGCAAGGGGCAGGGGCTTTTGATTCATAGAGATCTGAGTGCAAAGTCTGGCTCAACTTCTTTTTATGTGGGTGATCTTAGCCAAGGTGCTCAGCCTGTCTGAACCTCACTTTTCTCACCTATAAATTTAGGGTAGCACCTTCTATTTCAAGCCTTGTAAGCATTAGAAACAAAGAATTGAATGTTCTTGGTCCACTCTTAATTAATGGCAGTGGTAATTCTACTGGCTAAGGAAGGCTGTGAAAAGCCACATGTGAGGTGGTTAGAAGTGTGGATTCTCAAGACCCTGGCCTGGGTCTGAATCCCCGCTTGGCCACTTTCTAGCTGTGTGACCTTGGGTAGCAACTTAAGCCTATGCCTCCATGTCCTCATCTATGAAATGGGGATCATAATTACAGTTATCTCACATAATTGTTAAAAGGATAAAGTCACTCAAAATATTGAAACACTTAAAGCAGTATCTAGGCCGGATGCAATGGCTCACTCCTGCAATCCCAGCATTTTGGGAGGCCGAGGCAGGCAAATTGCCTGAGCTCAGGAGTTTGCCACCAGCCTGGGCAACACGGTGAAACCCCGTCTTTACTAAAATACAAAAAATTAGCTGGGGGTGGTGGCGTGCGCCTGTAGTCCCAGCTACTCAGGAGGCTGAGGCAAGACAATTGCTTGAACCCAGGAGGCAGAGGTTGCAGTGTGGGGAGATTGCGCCACTGCACTCCAGCCTGGGTGACAGAGCGAGACTCTGTCTGAAAAAAACAAAACAAAACAAAAAACAAAAAACAAAAAAAAGCAGTGTCTAATAGTCTAATACAGTAAAGGCTCAAAAATATGAGTCATGTTATTATCATCAATAGGCTGGGGTGGATATGCCTATGGGACGGGGGAAGTGCGGCCACAACTGCCCAGTCCCACCTTTGCTAAGCTTAGTTTGGCATCCCGTTCCCTCCCATCTGCCACCTCCTCAAACTACTGACCTTCCTGTTTTCATTTAGTACCCAGGGCCAGCCTGCCCCACCATGGTGACCCTCTTCTTCCCTGGTTCTTTCAGAAAGCTGAACCCATTCCTCTGCCCTCCCTGAAAACTGCCATCTTCTGTCCCATGCAGCCTGTTAGCTTGTCCCTGCAGCCCATGGGGAGTGGGCATCACTCAGTGTCTGGCTGACTGCCATGAGACTCTAGGTAGCCAGCCGTCACCCCGAGCTACTGGGGTCGTGCGATCCTCCTTGGAGTATAAGAATGTGCACCGAGAAAGGAATTCGGGTGCCTCCGTTATCTACAGAGTAAGTTCCTCCTCAGAGCTGCCCTAAATCGCTGCTACTTGTCTTGGGCTCTTCTTCGCTTCTTCACAATGCTTTCTTCAGCTAGTGGACCTTTGGCAGAGCTGTAGAGACTCAGGGTAATACAAATGAAAACAAAAGTGAAAAACTCTTTTTCATTCAGTAGATTGCCCCCCACCCCAAACTTATCTATATGGAGAGAGAAAGAGACAGAGAGAATACCCAGTAGTAGCGAGGGTGTCAGTGGGTGGGCACACTCATAGTTTAATGGAGGCAGTGGAAACTGATAGAGCATCTTTGGAGAGAAGTCTAGTACTATCTATAAGAATTTAAAACAAGCATACCATTAACCCATTGATGTCATTTTTAAGAATCTATCCTCTAGAAGCACTTGTGTCATTACAAAGATATTCTCACAAGGATGTTCAGTGGGCATTACCTGTAATTCCAAGACTGGAGACAACACAAATGTTCAGTGGTAGAGGAATAGATAAATAAGAAATGAAATATTTATGCAAAGGAGTAGTACACAACTTAAAAACAATAGGCCTATATATATAAGCGTGGAAATATTAAGAGAAAAATAGCATGTTGCAGAATAAAATATATGGTTTGATCTCATTTGGCTTGGTGGTGGCACAGCCTACCATTTCCCCCTCTCCTCTCAGCTGGGTTGGGGGCTTCCTGCTAAGTTCAAGCTGGCTCAGGGCAGCCTGTACTCAGTTGAGAATGCCCAGCCCCTTCCTTCCAGCCAAACGGGTCAGTGCTCCCAGGATGGCCACACCCAGGGAGGGAAGGACTGCCAAGGCCCCAGGGTCAGGACTCTTGCCCAGAGGACCCCACAGGAAGCAGCCTCATTTTGGGAGCAGACAGACCTGGGTTCAAACCATTCTTTCATCTCATTATCACTAGCTGAATGATCTTGGGCAAGGTTCTTTACTGCTCCGACCCTCAGTTTCTCTATCTGTAAAATGGAAATAACACAGACCACACTGGGTGGTGAGAATTCAGTGAGACCATGAATCCCAAGTCAATCTCAGTAAGCGCCTTCCCTTTCCCATGAGCTCAAAGGTTTCTATTACTTTGCTTTCAAATTCCTGTAACCCACCCTCAGTGGCAGCCCTGCTCATCAGCCCTTTCTGTCCAACCTACCCTACTCCTGCTTGAGTCTCCATGGTGGATTCTTCCAGATGCACTCTTTTTTTTTTTTTTTGAGATGTAGTCTCACTCTGTCGCCCAGGCTGGAGTGCAGTGGCATGATCTCGGCTCACTGTAACCTCCGCCTCCTGGGTTCAAGCAATTCTCCTGCCTCAGCCTCCCAAGTAGCTCGCACTATAGGTGTGCGCCACCATGCCTGGCTAATTTTTGTATTTTTAATAGAGATGGGGTTTCTCCACGTTGGCCAGGCTGGTCTCTAACTCCTGACTTCAGGTGATCTGCCCGCCTCGGCCTCCCAAAGTGCTGGGATTACAGGCATGAGCTACTGTGCCCAGCCCAAATCTGCTCTTGGTTCTTTAGTCTGTGAAGAACACCGAGGCCTCCTCCAATACTGAGCTGAGTTGAGTAAGGCCAATGGAGGGTGTTCCCTCCCTTCAAAATACCCTGAATTTCACCCTTCTTTCTTCGTCTCCTCTTCCACCACTTCCTCCTCTCCCCTTCCTCCTCCCCACTTCCAACCTGTCTCCTACTTCTTCCAACCTGCACCCTGCCTGGCTCCCACCCACTAGGCCTTCTTCAGGACTTGACTCAATCAGTCATCTCCCTTTTCTCTCCTTGGCATCTTCAACCCACCCTCCCCTCCACCCCAACTCTATGATTAAGCTCAAGTCGGTCCCACCATAGAATACCCACTCCTCTACACTACTCCCCATCCACCTCCCATTTTCTTTTACAGCGGAGCACCTCCTGACACTCCGTCCAACAATCGGAGGACCTCTGTTCGACCTCCCTCTACTGCCCACTCTCCACCTCTGGGCAACAGTGAAGACAGTCGCAGGCCCTTGACAGTGTGCACCCGGCTCTCCTAGGACTCTGTCCCGCGACGCACACCTCCCACAATTCTGTCCCCTTTCCATCCTCCAAGAGCCACCCGAGGGCTGGCTTTCCATCTTTTTGCTGACAGAGTGACTGAGCTTGGGAAGAAACTTGACCGTGTTCTCTCTTTTTCAGAGGAGGAAACTGAAGCTCCTACACGTCCCTAAGTAACTTCCCCAAGGCCACACAGCGGGTGAGCAGGAGAGCAAGAGTTGTCTTTTATCCAGGAATCAAGTGCTTCCGGAAGTTTCCCGCTCTCCGGAACTTCTTCCCTTCCACTCCACACTTTCTCAGCCTCCAGAAAAGCCCAGCCAGGTGCATATTAGCATAAAAACGTCCCGTCCCTAATTAGTAGCTATTTCCTCTTGGGTGGGTCAGAGCCCTCGGCCTGGGTCTCTGCCTTTAGCCCAGCCTCCCCACACTCTCCGCCCAGGGCCCGGGAGTCTCCGAGCACCTTCCCCAAGAGGGGGCGGGAGGCGCCCCCCAGGCCAGACCCCCCACCCACCCTCGCCCGGCCCCGCCGGGACGCGCCCCTCCGGCCCCAATCCCCGCTGCCTAGAGCACGCAGCGCGCGCCTCCGGAGCGTGGGAGGGTTTGATTGACCTTGGCAAGGGGCGGCAGCGCTCTCAAAGGCCTCGGCCCCTCGCGGTCGCCCCGGCGCGGGGGCTCCGGTTTCTGCAGCCACCATCTCGGTTTCTCGCCCAGCCAGGGCTCGGGGGAGGGGTGCTGGGATCGGCCCTGTCCGACCCCCGGCAGCAGCGCTGGGCTGCGGGAGACGAGATCTGATGAAAATGTCTCGGGGCTGTCCACCCTGTACCGTCAGCAAGCCCGGAGCACTGGGAGCCAGGGCTGGGAGGCGACGCGGGGCGGGGGCGCTGCAGCAGCAGCGAGGCCTCGGCACCGTCCTCCGCTCCCCGCGGCCCCCCTTCCGCCTGCACCGAGGGTCAGGCCGGCTCGGAGTGGGAGGGTGGAGCCCACCGACCTCTGCCTCTCAGAAAGAGTGGCCGCTGTGCCCTCCGTGGCCCAGGTCCGACTACTGAACGTTTCCAAGCCACCTACCTTGCTTCTACCCCTTACCCGCTGGGAGAAACCCCCACTTCCCCAAAGCTCTAGAGGCGAGACCCTGGGTTCCTAGTCCGCTTTGTGGTCCTTGGACAATTGCTTCCCCGTTTCCCCAAGTGTAAAACAGGACGTCAGGACCCTTTTCGTTTGGTTGTTGTGAGGATTCACAAAGCACCCGCCGCAGTGAGCCCAGGGTCCCACCCAGCATCAACCAAAGGTTTCAGGAGCTCTAGGATCGCCTTCCCCCTCAACCCATTGTTTGCAAATGTTGCCTATGTTTGCGTTTTTCTGCGAAAAGCCTTCACCCTTAGATAAGAGGGGTCAGCAATGGTGCGAGAGCTTCAAGTGTATTTGGAGGAGAAGGAGGTAGAATTTTGGAACACAGCTGTATCCTGGAAAAATCAGAGTCCAAGATTTTCCCCAGGAAAACAAAAAGTAAATGCCTTAATGAAAGAACACAATGTTTCAATATTGTTTAATAACGATTATTATGCCCATTTTATAGATGACAGAACTGAGGCTCAAATGACTCCCTGGAGATGGCAGAACTGTTTAAACCATGGAGTTAGTAGTTGAATCCAGCTCCTTTCATTCCAAACTGTGTGCTCTTTGCTGCTCTGCGCTGCCCTTGGACATGACTATTTTGTGCTATTTATAGTTTCTGAGCTTATCACTTTTTTCTTAATATTGGTGAATTTTTTTAAGGGACTCCAGCCTGTTCTAACTGCGCTCAGGGAGGATAAAGAGGAAAGTGTGTCTCTGCACTTGTGCCGGGCTTCAAAATACCAGGCACGGGGTGTTGGGGGAGTTGGGGATGGGTGGAGTGGCAGGGAAGGAGCCTCCAGGGAAGGCGAGGTTCCACCAGCTGGAGTGGAGGGTTCTAGGGAAGCCCCTGGGGATCTCCTCTGGCTCTAGCCATGGAGAGCCTTAAACACAGCTCTCCCACACCTCCCACACCCAGGATCCGGAGTCAGCCCTGCAGTGCCCAGCCACAGGCCTGCCCAACTCAGCGGGAAAGGATGCTTGGTCCGGAGGTGGCCCAGCAATAGGTCTGCTCCCCTGGGGGTATTTGCCTGGCAGCCAGGGTAGGACACACCTCTGGGAGGACAGACAGGCATTCAGAGGTTGAGACAGGGAGAGACAAAGGTGGGGAGGAAGCACTAGAATGAGAGGGATAGACAGGAACACAGAGAGGGAACAAGGGAGCTATTCAGAGAGTCAGAAAGAGAGGGGAGGCCGCCAGGGAGAGAGAAAAGACAGAGAAAGAGGGGCGAAAAGAGAGACAGGCAGGCAAGGGGGTGGTGGGCAAGAAGGGGAGGAGAGCAGGGGGAGAGAGAGGGAGGAGTGAGAAAGCTGGGCAGGAACAAGAGACAAAACAGAGATGAAGAAGAAACGGGAGAAAGGGGAGAGGGAGAGGTAAAAAAGAGAAGTGGAGAGGAGCAGAAAGGAGGAAGAGTAGAAAATGGGGGAGAGGGAGAGGAGAGAAGCCCAGGGGCAGGAAAGCAGAGGCAGCGCCAAGAGCTGGAGAGAGGGAAAGAGTGAGGGGCGACGAGGAGGACCGAGGGGCAACAAGGAGGATCGAGGGGCGGTGGGTGGGACCGTGTGCTAAGCCTTTTCTTTCTCCTTTTTGGGGTGGGCGGCGGATCTCCGCAGAGATAACCCAGTCAAGCCCCCTGCCCCCCGTCCCAGCGAGGGGCCGCAGCTGTATAAATACCGGGGGTGGGGGAGCTGGGCTGCCGCCCAGGGGTCAGCGACACCGGAGAAGGCTTTGCTGTCATTAGCTAATTGAGCCCCAGATGTTAAGAAAAGGTTACGTCCTCCTCCGGAGAGTTTTTCTTTTTAAACACTTTACACAGATTCCCCGGCCAAAATGGCCAGGAGGGGCCCGCCGCCCCCAGCCTCCCCTCCCGCCCCGCCCGCGGGCCCCAGCCCCGGGGCTCCCCGAAGCCGCCAGCCGCGGCTGCTGCCCCTGTAATCCAAGTGGCCTGCCCGGAGGTGCGGCCGCCAGGAGCGGCGGGGACCACCGGCGGCGGAGCCGGCCCCCGGCCCGGGCGGCAGACTGGGAGGTCAGCCCGGAGGGAGGGCGTTGGGGAGCGGGGTACCCCGGGGAGGGGGGCTCTCAGGCTCTTAATCCCCCTGAAGGTTGCAGATCAAAGGTGCTTGTACGAGGCCGAGGCGGGGCGGGTGGGTCGGGGGCCGGCTCGGGCCGCAGCCTTCCCCTTGCTCTGCGGGCTGGGGCTCCCGGGCCAAGGACCCCAGACCGACAGCCCTCGGGAGGTGGCTCCGGCTGCGGCGAGGACTGTGGGCCTCTCTGGCTCGGGTTCGCCTGCGGGAAGGTGGCCAAGGCGCCCCCACGGGCCTTCGTGGAACTTCCCCCTACCCGGGTCGAGGGAAGGGTGTAGGTGCCTGCCTCCCCCCACCCCAGAACAGAACGCTACAGTGCCAGGCACTTGACAGATATTCTTTCATTTAATCCTCACTGCGATCTAATGGGTTTTTAAAAAATTGTTATTATTATTAGCTCATAAACGAGGAAACAGGTTTCTAAGAGGTTAAAGCCGCTTGCCCAAGGACATACACCGCTAGAAAGTGACAGAGCTAGCATTCTACCAGGCTCAAAGCCCCGCCCTTCCCACCTGGCTACCCCCGCAGCCCCTCCACTCTTTCCTCTTCTCTCCCACCCTCTTCGTCTGTCCTCTCAGGCTCCTTCAGTTCCACAAGAACAACCCACCCACCTGTGGCCCTGGCGAGTGAGGCGGGGGTGGGGGGAGCAGGGCAGTGCCAAGGGTGCGGCCCATGTGGCAATAGCTACAGGCTAAATGTGAGGGATGGGGCTGGGCAAGCATGTGCCTGGGTTGAATCTGTGCTGAAAGAATGTTCGTATTCCCCCTCCCCAGAGGTGGGGCTCCCTGCTCAGAATAGAACCGAGCAAGTCAGAGCTAGAAGGGGCCTTCAAGACTGTGGGATCCAACCCTGTCTTTGAGATGAGGAAGCTGAGACAGGGAGAGGTAATGAGTCCTGCCCAAAGTCACACAGCCAGTTGGTGAGAGCAGGAATGAGAGGTCAGGTGATCAGTGAGTGCCTGTGTGGTGCCGGGCACTGGGATAGCTGCCACACTGCAAAGTGGGCACTATCTTCTCCATTCTAGAGATGTGGAAACTGAGGCTTAGAGAAGCTAAGTGTGCCCAGGGTCTCTCAGGTAGAAAGTGGAAGAGCTGGTTTTGAACCCAGATCTTTCTGACTCCAAAACGCCTTCCCTTTCCACCATCCCAAGAACACTGGGCTAAGGAGTAGAGATTGGTTGAGAGAGGGTCATGCACTGAACAACTCTAGAGACAGGAGGGAAAGGGGATGCAGGCTGAGGAGCATTCCATTCTGCAACCTGAGTAATCAGGTCCCTTCTCCACGGCCTCCTCGCTAAAATGGCCTAAATACTGAGGTCCTTCCAGAATCCCCTCTTGAGAGTATTGGTGGGAGGGGAGAAAGTGCTCTTCTGGGTTGCAAAAGTCTCCTGGGGTGGTGGCTCTTCTGGGTTGCAAAAGTCTGGAGATACAAGAGAGGGCTTCATCCACAGGCTTCCTCTGATTCCTGACCTGCAGGAGGCCACGGTTCAGCTCCAGGCAGGTGAAGGGGCCTTACAGCTTAGCTCCTTCATGCCAGAACCATACCTGGCTTCCCAGGGGCCACCAAGAGTGCAGTGTCCCTCCTCCCTGTCCCTATTGGATATGCCCTACCAGCCCGGCTCCATCCACAGACTCCTGAAGCTTCATCCTCATATTCCTCCCGCTTCGTAGTCCTGTCTACCTCTTCTTAGCTTCCTGCTGACTCCATTACACTCATTTATCCATAAGTGCATTCAACACAATTTATCAGGGGCCTGTACTATGTGTCAACACTGTGCCAGGCACTGGGGATACAGCTGAAAGCCAACTGTCCTTTTCGAGCTTGCAGCCCTGGGAGAGGGCAGAATTAACCAAGAAAATATGTGTGTAAGTGTCTAATAACAAATTGGTAAGCAGTGTGAAGGAAAGTACCCAGTGCTTTGAGAAGTTACATCAGTAAGGACACTGTGTGTATGGGATGATTATTGAGACTACAGAGGCTAAACATTACTATTACTAATAATTACCCAAAGAATGGGGCCAAGGCACCCCACTTGCAATCGTGCCCACACGCCATCTGTGATTCCATAGTGGATCTTCAGCCTTCCCCCAACGGTGGACTGCCCAGTCTGTCCTGGAGGGCCCAGCTGATATGGGCGAAAGTGGGGTGATCTGATGGTGGCCTCAATGCCAACAGTCCCCTCCATTTCCTGGGGCAGAGTTTGGGCTGGCCTGGTCCAGAGGTGGTAAGGAGGCCGAGGGAGAGGTTGTTCACCCAGGTAGCAGAACAGGGCCCAGGCTTGGGACTAGGAGGACTGGGTGCTGGGAGGGGGTGCAGCTAGAATGGGGGAAGGTGTCGTGCGCTCACCTTATGGGTATTTGGCATTGTCACTCAAGGAAAAATTACTCCCTGCTCTGCTTCCAACCAGATCCTCCCATCCACCCTCACACTGACACACATGCACTCTCTCTGGCCCTTGAGACAGGCCTGCCCAGTATGGTGAGCAGACCTTAGCGTGGGAATCAAACAGCCTTGGGCCTAAGTCCCACTCCAGCCAGTTCCTGACTGTGTGACCTCAGGCAAGGCTCCTGGTATCCCTGAGCCTCCTGTTCCTTTGTGTTCTTTGAGATGACATTAGCCTGTCATCTCCATGTGTGGCTGTAAGCATTCAATGAATCCTGGATAGAAAGCACCAAATACAGTACCTGGCCCATGGCTGGCCATTAATAAATGACAGCTGACACTCTGATTATATAACAGGATAATTAATATATAATGGTAATAAAAGAAACCTCATTCATGCCCTCTGGGCTCCCACCTGGTTCCCGAGCCTCTCTGGGAGGTCACTTCCACAGCCGACCTCTTGTGAAAGGGAGTTTTACAGATCTGTGAAAAATGTCTGGGCAGCCCCAGAACCTGTTGCGATAAAGGCAGGAGAGTCTGGGAGCCCCCCGTGTGTGCTGCTGGGCGTGCGGACAACGCCTCCTGATTTTGAACCCAAGGCCCTCTGAGCACAAGGCTAACATCTGTCCCACCATACTGGGTAGGGCCTGCTCCAGCTCTACAGTTTTCATAGGCTGGAGGTCTGGGCTAGAGAGGACTGGCCTAGCTGGGTCTTCTCAGCCAGCCAGGCACAGTCACAGCCACCACCACTGCTGCCGGTTCAGCCGCTGCAGGGCACAGAGCACACCTGGAACCCATTAGGCCCGGCCAGGAGCTTGTTCCCTCTCAGCATAAATAGAGTGAGTGGAGTTTGTTTTGACTACTTTAAATTGTGCAGATTTTAGAGCCTGAGAATTGGAACCCCCCAATGCCCTGATGGACAAACAGACCAAGAGACAGAGGGCTGAGGCAGCAGGAAGAGCCGAGTCCCGGCTAGTTCCTTGTCACCTTCCCTGCTTAGCTGGGCGTCTGGTCATGATCATCGCAGCCACTCTTCGTGGAGTGTGTGCTGCGCGCATGATGCTTGCTCGTGGGCCTTATCTTCCCAGCAACTATGCAAGGTAGAAATTACGGTCACTGACTTCCAGATGAGGAGGGGCAAGGACTTGCCCAAGGTCATTTGGCCTGTAAGTGGCAGGTCTGGATTCCATACCAGACGTGCCTGATGCCAAGGCCAGTGGGGGTCTTTCCAAGGGACCACCAAAGTGGGGTGGGGGAAAGAGCTCTGGGTCACTGTCAGAAACACAAGGCACACAGAGCTGATGTTGCTCAGACCCCGACCCCAGCCCAGAGGACGGGAGTCAACGTCTGTGCTGGGCTCCTTCTCAACCAAGTTGCCAGCGCCTGACCCCAACCGCCCCAGGCAGTGATGCCCCCCAGGTCAGGGTCAGGTTGACCTTGGCAGGAGGGAGAGCCTGCGGGCCCTGGGCGGCTGCCAAGACCTCTTGAAATGAAAGGGAACCTTGTCCTGTCCCACACAGGGCTCATTCTCTGAGCACTCTCAAGCCAGCCCAGCCCTGTGGACCAAGGCCCGATCCCTCTGTGCCAGCTATTCATAGACTCACGGAAGAGCATCCGTTGCCAGGGGCAGGGCCCTGAGAAGTCCCCGAGCCCAGCCCCCAAAGTTTACACTTGTGGAAACTGAGGCCCAGGGAGAGGAGGGACTCCCTCAAGGCCACACGATGAGTTAATGGCAGAGCAGAGACTCAAATCCCATCCCTGGCTTCCTAGGCCTGGGCCTTTTCCCCAGGATCCTGGGCCTCACCCCAAACAGGCAGCCCTGCCCCACCCCCTCCCTCATGGAGACATCCACAGCTATGCTCCCTGACCCCCTCTTCACTCCCACAGAGGGACCAGCAATAAATGCTTGTTGGAGTCTCCACTTTGAACTCTTCAATCATCCCAGCTACCCCAGCAAGAGGGGGCTGCCTTGGGAGGTCATGAGTACCCATCCCCGGGAGTGGCCAAGCAGAGTCTGGGTGCCATCTGTCATGGGGGTTGGAGAGGGGCTTTCTGCCCCTGGGAGAGGAGTGGGGATGCCACTGTCAGAGAAATGGTCTCTCTGGACCTTTCCAGCTGGCCTGACTGGGCTCCTCAGAGCCCTGGGGCAACAGGTGAGACCTAGAAAGCTTGAGGCCCAGAGGCCCAAAGGGCCGCCCCCGCATAATGTATGGACTCCATCCTTGAGGGACTGGTATGCAGTGGGGAAGACAAATCTGGAAAGATTCTGTTTGGGGAACTGTGCGCTGCCCACTCTCCCCCAGGGGCTTCTCACACCTCTCACCATTGAAAGCCCACACCTGCCAACGATGGCAGTTCTGGTCAGCACAAGAGCCACCAGGCATGGTCTCTGATTCCATTGTCCCTTGCATCCTGGGGCATGGATCCCTGGGGCGGCATCAGTGCATGGAAATCCTGGAGGTAGACAAGACTTCCTGGGAAACCCAGCTAGAGGTGAAACCCAGCTAGAGGTTTCAAGGGGGATCAGACCAGCCCAGCCAAATTATCCCCAGCCTGTGCCCCAGGTTTGGCCCAGCCCAGTGGGTTTGTTCAAACTCAAGAGTAAGGACCTGGCTGGGTACCGAGGCTCACATCTGTAATCCCAGCACTTTGGGAGGCCGAGGCAGGCGGATCACCTGGGGTCAAGAGTTGGAATATAGCCTGGCCAACATGGTGAAACCACGTCTCTACTGAAAATACAAAAATTAGCCAGGCATGGTGGCACGTGCCCAGCTACTCAGAAGGCTGAGGCAGGAAAATTGCTTGAACCCGGGAGGCAGAGGTTGCAGTGGGCCAAGATTGCACCACTGCATCTAGCCTGGGCCACAGAGCGAGACTCTGTCTCACAAAAAAAGGAAAAAAAAAAAAGAGTAGGGACCTGGAGTGGCCCGACTCGATGCCTCACCACACACCACCTAGGGATTTCTGTGAAGAGAGAACCTGAGGCCTGGAGAAGAAGGTGAGCCTTCGGGGATGGGAGGGGCAGGAGAGTGGGGGAAGGTCAGGGCAGGGGAAGGGTTGGTCAAAGTTATAAAATCTAGTTGTGAGAAAACATTATTACCCAGGAAATGAACACACTGCTGCCCTTCAGCCTCCCCTCGGAGGAACAGAACATAACACAAGTGTCAGCCCCTTCTGCTGGTTGAAATATCTCAGTGTACCTGAATGGGGATCTGGCTGAAGCCAGGTAAGGCCTGGGCTGAAGCAGGGACAGGAGGGCAGTACAAAGGGGTGCCGGGTGCTCAGTCAACAGCCACAGGAACCTGGATGGGGAAGGAGTGAGGGGGCAGGAATGAGACATTGGAAGGGGAGACTAGAGGGGGAGGGCACAGGAAACGACCTGTGATGGACCTTTGTGGGAGCAAGGACAGCAGGTGGTGAGACTTGGGGGTTGGAACAGCAGTGGCAGTTCATGTTCAAGTGCTCGTTGTTGGCGGCCCCCGGCTGGCTGCATCCTTCCTCCATGGTGCAGACCTTGGTGATGGCCAGCCAAAGCACATCCTAGGCCTCACGTGTCCCCTGGGGCAGTGGCCAAGTGGGGCAACACTCGGTGCAGGAAGACACCAGCCATGGCAGGAAGGATGAGTGGGCGCAGGAGAAGCAGGCATCTCAAGACTCTTGAAAATACTGAGGGAGTGGCTTGCGAAGGTTTCCTATGTCACCAGTTTGGGAGCTGCATCCACTTAATTAGCATCAGTAAAGGAAAGAGGGGATCTCTGGATGCCGTAAACACCCAAGAGGCAGACACAAAATAAACAATGGCCTTCCACTGAGAATCTGCGGGGCCAGGCACTTTACATACTGGCATTTCACTCACTGGCATAGGAGCGCTGCCAGGGAGCCAATATTTGCCCATTTCACAGATGCAGAAGCTGAGGATCCGAGAAGTTCTATGATCTGCCCATGGCCACAGTTACTAAAAGGTGGAGCCTAGACTTCTCACTGTTGTCCTACCAGCTCCAGAACAATATTCTTTCCTCTGCCAAGCATTGAGAGGGGCTGTGGTGTAGTGTCAGAGGAAGCCAAAGTGAGGTGGGACCTCTGTAAACATCCACTTCAACCTCACGGCCCCCGCAACCTGCACCCTGGGGGACAGAGACCAAGGCCCGGAGAGGTGAAATAACTTGTCTGAAGTCACAGGGTTCCCCAGGAGTTGAACCAGGCTTCAATCCATGGCAATAAAAGTGTTCTGAATTGTAGACAAGTGGGCCCCCCCCTTCCCCAATGATCTGTCACAGCCATGAGGGCTGGGCTCCCGTAGTTGTGAGGCCTAATTCTCAGACCCTTCCCCCACCACACACACACCTGTTGTTCTCGGGGGCTGGAGGCAGAACCCTCTGGGCAGGATGCTGCCCCTCGAATCAGCCTTTCCTCTCCTAAAGTCCATCTGATGGTCTGTGCCCCACCCCCACATTGGCCCCCAAGGGACCCTGGGTCTCTGGTTTTTGTCAGGCCTGAGACGTTGGTGGGATTGATTTATGAGAGGAGCCCCTACCCCCACTCACCCTGAGCCCTTGGTCCTCCTCCCCCTTCTCCTCCTCTTCCTCTTCCCACTCCTCCTCCTCCGCCTGACTGCCTGCTCAGTTTTCCACAGAGTCAGGATTTCCCTGGGGCTGGGGGCTCCAAGCCAAGAACAACAGAAGACCGGTTCCCCCACCTCTCCTGCCCCTCCCATCCCCCTCCAGCTCACTCCCCCGAAAGAGCAGGTCCCCCTTCGTTGAGAGGAGGGGTTGAGAGTGGAGGTCCAGGTCCAGCCTGATCCTTAAGGAAGGGCCAGAAGGGAGTCCCCTCCCAGCAGGCGCCAGGGCTGGCCACCCCCTCCATGGCCTGAGAAGCGCCTTTCTTCCAGGGCTCCCCTGGAAGTCCACGCTGGGGTGTGGAGACAACAGAGAGAATCCTGAGGGCTCGCTGGGGTGGAATAGGGGGTGTTGAGAGTAGTGAACGAGACAGACCCACACTCGGAGGGGCAGGTAGGAGATCCTGGGAATCCACGTGGTGGGGAGCAGAGAGGATTCTGGAAGCCTCCACTGGGGCTGGGAGGGGGAAGGTCAGAGGCCTCTGAGACCCCACACTGGAGGTGGGTAGGAAGTAAGGTCCCCTCTGGATGCTTAGTGGGCACAGAGAAGAATAAGAAGGGGGGTCCCAACCAGTCTCTGGTTCCCTCTCCATGGGGCGAGACTTGAGTCAAAGGAAAGGCTATGGGGACAGAAAGTGGGAGCGCCTGTCGTGGAAACAAGGGCAGAAGCCTGCACGATGAGGGCAGTGTTTAAGGAACGGGATGCCAGACAGACCCCAGGATTGGGGTCGCAAGAGGGAAGGGTCGGGCAGGAAGCGGGAGGTCACGGCTTGTGTCTGAGTTCGGCTTCTGTCTGGCTCTGAGGCTTGATTTTGGCCCTTCAGTCTAGAAGAGGAGGTGTGGGGACTGGGTGGCTAAGGAACCCTGTTTTTCTCCCTGAGAAGGGGCCCAGACACTCAGACCACTATAGGCAGACAGACAGAGCTTCTCCCTAGAAAGCGCTCCCTGGGGCTCTGCCTGCAGCCTGCCAGCTGGACAGGAGAAGCCTACTGTCCTGCGCCTGGCCACTCCCCACTTAGTCAGTCCATCCCCAGCTGCCTCCACCACTCCTCCATCAGCCCAGGCCTCCATCCCTCTCAGCGGCGTGAACCTGGCTGACCCTCCAAGGTTGCCTGTCTCACACAGCAGCTCCTTTGATAGGTCTCTGAAGGCCTCGTTTTCCTCCATGCATGCTCTTGCCTGGCCCCGCAGTGAACCCCTGTGTCCACCCTCCCCAGTGTGTGACCCAGGCCTATCCTCAGCTCTGACTAGGGAGGAGAGGCATTCCCCTAGCAACCCTGCGAGAGGCCCCCAGACACCCCCCTAGTTAGGACAAGGAGTGAGAACCCATTTGTTAAGGCATACCCCAAAGCCTCAGAGATTCACCCCTCCCTCCCTAGCCCCCAGCCCAGTTCATCCCTGGAGCTGTTGGCATGGGACTTAGAAGGGAAACAGAAAAGTGAGAATGAATACTTGCTGAGCTGGGGAGCCACAGGGCCTCCTCTGCTCCATAAAAAGGCAGGGACAGGACTGTGGCAGGGTCACAGCTGGGTGGCCCTGGAAGGTGTCAGCAATGGACTGGATCCCTTCACTCCAGGACAGGCCAGAGGGTGGCTGGGGTGCCTGGCAGCTCCCTCCTAGGTCATGGCAGGCAGACCACAGAGTGGCAGGAGGAACAGGGATGACTGCCCCCTTTTTCCCATCACAGCCCAAGGCTGGGCTCCTCCTGGGGCCACACATCAGAGTCCTGTCCAACCCCTCCCCTGCTCAGCCAGGGCCCAACCTCCTCCACTCCCCCTGTACTCCCGGCCCCAGGCCAAATCTGGCCAATTTGTTCTGAGACAGGGTTCTGGTTTCATAGCCTCATTTGAATGATTTCCAACCAGAATTCCTGCCTCCTCCTTTGCAAAGCTCTGCCCTCACCTCCCCCCAGACTCCCTTCTGCCTGAGCTGCCGCCTCAGCCAAGGCGGGTGTGGAAGGAGAAGGGATGACCCACACACACACTTGAAATGACACCACTGTCCCCACCACTCCTTCCTGGGCACTTCAGCCTCTACACAACTTACAGCCCCCAAAGAGAGGCCCCTGTGGGCTGGCCGCTCGCGCTGTCTGCCTCAGCCTTGAGAACGTGGGAGCTCAGGCTCTGCCGGCCGCCCCTTTGAGTACCTCAGTCACCCTGCCTGTGCCAGGAGCAGATGATCTAGAGCTGAGCCCAGTGTCCGGCCTTGACCATAGGAGAGTTTAGCTGCCACAGCAGAGCCGATCACTATCCCAGGAGCCATCCCTGCCTGCCCCTTAACACACTCTCTATTCCCGCAGGAGCAGAAAAGGCTCTGTTTCAGATCCCATAGCAAGGGTACGAAGAGGAAGCAGCTCCTTATGCGCAGGCAGAGCTGTGAAAAAAAATTCCAGGCAGCCCCCAGGGTGCTGTTTCGTGCTGCCTAACACTCCTTACCAATGGGAGGATCGTGCAGAGCTCCCGTTCCCCCACCTCTTTCCAGAGACTGGGTTGTGATCCACAGTTAGATCCCCATGGGGTAGGAGGTCTCTTTCTCCAGGCCCTTTGCCCAGAAGGTAGACAGAACACATTTTCTCCTTTTGTTTACAAAAGAGGAGTATGAGGCCCAGAGATATTTAGCAAATTGTCTAAGGTCACACAGCAGGACCTGACCCACAGGCCCATGTGCCCACCACACTACATGGCAGGGTCTGGGCTGTGGAGGGCACTCCTCCACCCAGGAGGCCTGGGCCTCCTCCCCGCTAGGGGCTGCTGAGCCACCATCTGCAAACCCTTCCCCTGGGAGGTGATGCTGGAGATGGGTCCAACAATCTGTTCTACATTCAGGTGTGTCATTTCCTGAGCCCTCTGGTGGGGGCTGGGGCTGGGTATGGCCCTGTTGGCACTGCTTCAGCATCTTCATTTTGCACACAGAGACCTGGGGCTCCTGGCGCAGAGCTGCATGCGGAGCCAGGAGTCCTGCCGCTGAGTCAAACCGAACAGTACCCGGGTCCTCATGCCTCCAGAGCCTCTCACCTCCTCTCTCAGACCCCAGGGGGTCCCTGTCCTCAAGGCCCTCTCTCTAAGGTACCACTCTAGTCAAGAGTCAGACACCCTGGGTTCTATCCAGGCTTTAACCCTTACCAGACATGTGACCTTGGGTAAGTTACTTCCCTGAGCCTCAGTTTTCTTGTCTGTAAAACGGAGTGGCCAGGCGCGGTGGTTCACGCCTGTAATCCCAGCACTTTGGGAGGCTGAAGCAGGTTGATCGCTTGAGCTCAGGAGTTCGAGACCAGCCTGGGCAACATGGTGAAACCCCATCTCTACTAAAAATACAAAAAAAACCAAAAACCAAAAAACAAAAACAGAAAAAAAAGTAAAATGGAGTAATAAAGTCATCCTTGCAGGATTGCTGTGAAGATGAAATTACATAAAAAGTCTAGTGTAAGACACAGTCTTTCTCCACCTATCCTATGTTCAAGGTCAGTACAAGCCAGTTTAGGAGGAGGAAATGCCTCCAGCAGAGCCAAAAGTCCAGGTGTTGAATATTGTCAATACCTGCAAGACCCAAGGCAAGCTTCCCAGCCTCTGTTCTTCCATCTGAAAACATGTCAATGTGATGGAGAGAAAATGAAACAAGGGAGGTAAAAGAAAGTCGTGGGGAGGAAAAAGGTACAAATCCCAGTTCCTGGCTCCCTTTAATCCACATCCTCCACAGCGAGGTCCAGCTGTGGGAGAAGTCCTGTTCCTGGGGATGGGCTGGGGGAGGAGCCCTCTCCCCACTTCCTCCCAGGGCCATTCTGGGGTCTCCATGACTCATCCTCCACAACAAGCAGCTCTTCTTTGTTTCATACAGAGCTGGGTGCCCTGTCTGCTGGCACCTGGCCCAGAGAGGGAGGGTCGGGCTAGAGGGAGGGGCTCCAAGGCTAGCTCCTGCCCCCACCCGCACCCTGATGCTACTTCCTCCAGCTCTGGCCTTGGGAAATCTCCAAGGACCCGAGCCTGCGGGAGCAGGAAGCAGGAGGGGGCTTCTCGAGGAGAACCCTATGAGGCTGTGCTAATGCCCAGAGGCCATGGGGACCCTAGACCATGATGCCATCATCCCCGCACACCAAACTCACACTTCTTCCTAAACAGACACAAAGTGAAGCTTCCTTAGTTTATCTTCCCCTACCAAAAATGAAATCTACATATTTTATTATTTCTTGAAGGCATTTGTGCTTTCTTTGCAACATCTTGTTTTATTCTCTCAGTGACCGTGTGAGGTAGATGTTGCTGGTTCATTTTACAAATGAGGAAAGTCAGAAAGGTTAAGTGAACTTGTCCAAGGTCACACAGCTCCTAGATAGTAGAACTGAACTGAAGGCCTGCAACTGGGCCTATCAGACTATGAACTGGGGATTGCCACCACTTCCCCAGATGCCTTTGGAGGTAGGTCCTATTTTTTAACTCAGCAAGTCCTCATTGCTTCCTGCCTGCCTGAATGCTACTTCCTAAAAACCACTTTTTTACCTGGGAATAGATATGGCTGTCCTGGCAGCCCCACAAAACACTCCTCCTTCCCCTGACACTTCCTGTGATGCCAATAAGTTTCCCACTCTAATCACAACCCTCCAAACCTGGCATCTGCTTTGGTCCTGGGGTTTCTGGATTAGGACTGTTAAAGCGATTATAACAGGGGAGAGAGGGAGAAGCCATCCACACATCCATTAATCCATCCATTTACTCATCCACTCATTGATCGAACCATTCATTCATCTAGCGATCCTGCTATCTAGTCCTTCAATTATCCATCCATTCATTCATCTTTTCATCCATATTCCCATTGTCTATCCATTCATCCATCCTACCATTCATCTTTCCATCCACCCATCTATTTATCTATCCATCTATTCATTCACCCATTCATCTACTTATCTATCTTCTCATTTCTGCTTGTGTATTGATTTAGTTTTCATTTCTTCTTTCTTTTTTCATCATTCTTTCTACTCTTCCATTCTTCTATCTATTCATGTATTTTTCTACCTACCCCTCCATCCATCCACCCATTCATCCATGCATTCTCTCATCCACACACCTGCCTGTCTATTCTTTCATCCACCCTACCATTCATTCAACCCTCCATCCATTCACATGTCCACTTCTCTGTCCACTCACCTACCCATCATCCATTCAGCCAACTATTCATCATTCATACATAGTTTGTCTATCTACTCCTCTATTCATCCTTCCATTCATCTTCTGATCTGCCCATTCATTCACCCATCAACTTACCTACTTGTCCATATGTACATCAACATATACATATTTTACTCATACATCCATCCAGGTACTATATCCTCACATCCATTATTTCATTCATCTATTAATTCATTTATGTTAAATGGAATAACCTAATAAGGTTCTTAGCACAGTGCCTGACACAGTAAGCATTCAGTAATGGTAATTGTAGTTGTTCTTATTCTAAGATTTCATTTGAGAAGCTGATGGTGTGGGAGTAGACAAACAGGAACATTTACAATGCAGTGTGGTGAAAGCTCTTGGAGAGGCATGAACAATGCCTGCATGAGCAGCCAGGAGGCATTCCCTCATACCCACCTCAGCTTCTACTCTTCTCTCCACAACTCTCCCAGGCAATCCTGCCCACTATCCGTACTTCATCCCGGGCTTCCATGCTGTGCCTAGTGGCTCCAGATCAGATATTCAATGGCTTATGGGGCATCTCTCCTGGCAAGCCTCAAACTGAACTCATTATTCTCCTTCACACTTACTATTCCTTCTCCTGTACTTTCTGGATCCACAAGTGGTACCAAAGTATGCCCTACTGCCAGTCCCCAAAATCACCCACGCTCAGACATCTATTATCTCTCCCCTCCCACATCCCATCAGTCACCAAGCACGTTGCTACTTACCTTTGCAAGATCATTCACACCCGTCACCTCGGCAGCACCTCCTCCTCACCCCATCTCCAACCAGGACCTTCTTACCCTTCACCTAGACTGTGGCATCTTTCTCTGCCTTCCTGCCACTATCTCTACATCCTCCAGTCCCTCCCACACCTGCCTCACTCCTCTTCCCTAAACACTGTCCTCATGATGGCACTATCCTCAAAATCCATCAGTGACACCAAGAATATTCCTATATCACCCTGTTGCATTTCCTTCTCCTCCACTGGCCTGTGGACTCCTTGAGGGGGCTCACTTATCTCCATTGCCTGGCAAAGAAGTCTCAGTGAGTGTTTGTTGAGAGGCTGCATTATTTTAGTACATTTGAAGGTGAGAAACTCTGCTGAGAATGGAAGAAGGTACAACTGGGGCCTTGAGTAGTGTAGAAAAGCCTGTACCAGCTGTTGTGGGGGAATGTTCCTGGAAATTAGCAAAACAAGAAAAGGATTATTCAGAGAGATGGTGGTGGGGATGTTTGGGAGTGGGAGTAATCCAGGTTGGGCTAGGAGAGAAGAGCATCTCAGAAGGTCCACAGGTGGGGAGAAGAAGGGGTTTGGGGGCCACATTTTGAAACTAGGCAGAGAGGAAGAATGGATGAGAGCCTGCAATATCTGACTTGCAATCTTGGAGGAGATGGCTACATGATGACCAGGCTCAAAGGGTAGCCTAATGTGCTGTCAAGAGGCCAACTAGGAATGGTGGAAGTCATGGCAGGTGAGAGGTCAGCATCTGGGTAGGAGAGCCAAGAGGCCGGAGCCAAGAAGAATCTGGTCAGCCAGATACCAAGTTTCAGAAGCCAGAGTGTGAGCTGACCTGGGCTTGGAAAGGCCATGGGAGGTGAGGCTGGGAAGAAGGCAGGAGCAGGGAGTATAAAGGAAGACCTCTGTAACAGAGGGGGCTTCGAAAGGAAGTGTAGGGGATGTTTGGAGAACAATGGCCGGGAGTGGTGCTGGGGTGGCAGTGGGGAAGGAGTGGCAGGGTGTGTGGGAGGCAGTGGTGTCTGGCCAAAGCCAACTCCAGTACCCCTCACATTCCTGCAGACACACCCTTTCTGGTCCCTTCAGGCAAGTGCCACCTTTCTTACCTGTCCCAAGTTCGGTGCCCCAGAAGGGAGAGGGATTCAGGGAGAGTTGACTCTTGCCTTTCTCCTTCTCTCTGCCAAGCCAGGACAAAGTAGGGAAGGAGGTCTCTTCAGCCCCCAGTAGTCAGGGTCAGGGCAGCCACCTCTGGACTGATGTCACCGAAGGCCTCCAGCCAGATCCTGAGTCTGTTTTCATTCCTGCTTTATGAGATGGGAATAATGAATGAGAAACAGAGAGGGGCAGGGAGAGACGGTGGAGGGAGAGAGCCCCTTGCCCGTCTGCCCCACCCCCAAGCTAGAACCTGGGCTGTGCTCCTGACAAGTGCCTTCAGTGCCTGGGTGCCCAGCTTCCCTCCAATCTCTCTCCTCCCCTCTCTGAAAAAATGAAAGCTGAAGCAGCCCTTAAAATATGTGCAACTAAGGGGCAGGAGGGGTCACTCCGAAGTGGGCAGGAAGGGCCGGAGTGTGTCATCCAAGTGGAGCACTTCTGGGTTTCCCTGGACCCCCTTCCTAGGTATCCTGTTGTAGGGGAAGAACACAGAACTGGGGACAGGGTAGATGGGATCTGGATTTTGTCTCTGTCAGGGACTGGCTCTGTGATCTTCGGCAAGTCATTTAACCTCTCTGAGCCTTTCCTTGGAGGCACAGAGTGCATCGCGTATTCAGAAACCCTTGTGGACAGATGTGCCTTGCAGCAGAGAAGACGTAGAACAAAGGGCTGAGGAAGTAGCAACATAGAGGGTGCCCGAGGAACTCTGTGGAACCAAGAACTGCTGAGGCCAGAAGCCCAAGACTACTCCTCTGATCTGTGAGAAGCAGGTGGCCCCCGCCTGGGGATGACTTACGGAAAAGGGAAGGCTTGGGCAATATCATATGTTCATGACCGTGTTCCTTCCTCATCCTCTGAGTTGGAATGAGGGCCCCTAGCCTGCCCTGCTCTCATGGGCCCTAGGACCTTTGCATATACCACTCCCTTCTCTCTTCTTGCTAACTGCAACAGAGCCACCAAGATTGAATTCAAGAATTGGGTTCAGTGGCTCACGCCTGTAATCCCGGCACTTTGGGAGGCCAAGGCAGGCGGATCACTTGAGGTCAGGAGTTCGAGACCAGCTTGGCCAACATGGCGAAACTCTGTCTCTACTAAAAATACAAAAAAATTAGCCAGGCGCAGTGGCAGGCCCCTGTAATCCAGGCCACTTGGGAGGCTGAGGGAGGAGAATTGCTTGAACCCGGGAGGCAGAGGTTGCAGTGAGCTGCGATTGCGCCATTGCACTCCAGCCTGGGTGACAGAGCAAGACTTCATCTCAAAGAGTGAAAAAAAAAAAAAAAAGAATCAACTTCTCGGAGCCCTTTTTGACAGTATTTTGGCCTAGGTCCCTTCCTTACAGCACTTGGAATGCTTACCCAGGTATAGAACTTACCCTGTGGCACTTACCACATTGCATTCATTGGTTTATATATCAGGGACCCTCTCAGCTGTGCACACCTCCAGGGAGTGGGGGCTGTAAGCTGGTTTATCCCCATTATCCCCAGCTCCTTACACTGGACCTGGTCTATAGAACTCCCCAGTGAAAGTATGTTGAATAAATGAATGAATGAGTTGGGGAGTGAATGAAGATATGCTCAGGGTCAGAGACTAAAAGGTTAAAAGGACCTGGAGGGTAATGGGGGGGGAGGTCCCAGCTCCCTCTGCTGGGCATCAAATAAAGGGTCAGAGAGCCCCCAGCCCTGCCCAAGACTAGCTGAGGTCCCTAGAACTGTGATTTAGTTCCACAACACTCAACTTGGTTTCTGTAACATTTACCTCGACCTGTAATTAGATACAATTATCTGCATGTATATTTGAATCACATCCCTGTTCCCTATTAGACTTGAAGCTCTTTGAAGCATTGATCTTCTATGTTCTTGCTCATCGCAGTATCCCCAGTGCCCAGCACAGTGCCTGGCACACAAGAGTTCTCTAGTACACACTTGAAGAATGACTATTGGAGGGAAACAGTTCCATTTCCCCAAGCGGGCCCAGGATCAGTGTGCTGAGAAAAAGCCAGAAGGCTTGAGCCACACTTGCCCTCTCAGCAATGTGCCACATTCCCGTGGCCTTGAAACCATCCAGGCCCCAGCAGCCCTACCCCAAGAACTGATCCAGGGCCCGGGCTAGGCCTGCAGCAAAACGTCCAGGAGCCCCGTGGGTGGGACCTCTTTCTCTGCCCCTTTAGCTTCCTCACCCTCTTCCCTTCCAGAGAGACCTGAATGGAGTTGGTGGATTTCTCCTAGTGCCTTGGTTTATTCCATCCCTGCTATGTGCCAAGCACTGTTCAGCATTTTCCTATTTGCTTCTATATTTTCTTCAAACTTCATACAAATAAAAAATAGCTAACATTTTTGAGCACTTACTACAATCCTGGCACATACTTTACATGTATTTACTGATTTAACAATCTCATGATATAGAAATGATAACTAGACCTTTTTATAACCGAGGGCATTGAGGCAGAGAGGTATAGAAACAAAAGAGATGGGCTTTGAACCCCGGTCTGCCCGTACATAAATAGGCAGCCCTTCCCATGGCACTACCCACATTTTCTGGGTTATAATCCAAGGTCTGGCCACTCAGGCTTAGGTCTAAGGACTGCTATCCAGGTCCCTCTCCCTCACCTGCTGTCCTGGGCACCTCTCCCTGTGCTCAGGGGCTGAGCACAGACTAAAGCACCTTTGCTCCCTAGCTGTTCCTACTCTCTGAGCTCAGGCATAGTGAGGGCAAGAAGTGGTTCCTTTGGGGCTATAACTGCCCCCATGGGGCAAGTGGAATGAGGGAATCAAGGGGGAGCAGCCCCTTCCTAAGCCTCAACAACCCCTCACTCCCACCGACTTCCTTTTAGCCCTAACTTGGGAGATCTAATTTTCTGCCCCCAGGAAGTGTGAAAGTAACCAACACTAGGCCTACTAAAATCTCATTCCCTCTCACTCCTTATCTGTCCCCAGAAGAGCCAGACAACTCCTGAGGCGCCCTCTCTCTTCTGTCTCTTCCTCTGCTTTAATCATAGCCCTCCCTCCTTGCAATCCTGCTGGGGGTTCTGAGGACTCCTCCCAGCCCTTTCCAGTGAGACACAGGTTAGTTAGGTGAAGCGGTTCCGGTAGGAAGTGCGCTGGGGGCGGGAGGCGCCTTCCAGGAAGGGGATGGCTTTTCTTCCCTCTCTGCATCCCTTCCCCTACCCGTTCTGCCATGGGAGACTCTTAGGGCGTGTGGGCTTGGAAGGTGGGGCCTAGAGGGTCAAGTGACTGAGGACGAATGACCGTGAGTGAGGGAGTAAGGGCTGTGCTGTGCTGTAGCTTGGGTCAGTGAAGTGTGCCTGTCAGCTGTTTCCGTGGGCAAGTGGCAGGAGAGGGCACGCATGCAGGCGAGGATACCTGGATACAGGAGGAGCGAGGTATGCGTGGTGGCTGCACAAGGCACAGCCGACAGAGTACCTTACTTCCCCCGGACCTCTGGGCTCAAGACATCCCTCGAGATCCTCGACCTGGGGCGCACAGTCCAAGAGTTCCCCTGATCGTGTGGTTTCCAGGGCCCCTCCCGCCTTGGCGCTAAACGACCACGATCTTGCCCTCCCTGCGGACCCAGTAGAGGGCGATGTCACACCTATGCGAGTGGAGCCCCCACCCCAGCATCTCCGCGCCCTCCACCCAGACTCCCGCTATAAAGGTCAGGGCGATGGCACAGGATGGCGAGGAAGGCTTCGCAGGACTCCCGGGCCACGGATCCCTCCCCATTCCCTAGCTTCGAGAGTAGGAAGTGGACCCTTGAGCAGGAGCTCCGCGCGCCCCCTCCGCTTTATTTGCGCCTGCAGCCGGGGAATGCTGAGCGGCTGTGCAGGAGGCCACTCGGCACCGCGTCCCCTCCCCCGGCCGCCCGCCACACCTCGCCCCGTTGACAGCTCCGGCGCCTAGTCCAAGGGCCACCTTGGGCCCCCGCATCGCCCGCCCCTGCCCCCGCACAGCCCCTCCCCCCCACTAGGGGAGGAAGGAGGCCTCGGCGGAGAGGCTGCGTCCCTTCCCCTCCCCTCCCCGCGTCCGCCCCGGGGACGCAGAGAGCTTAGCCGTGCGGGGCGCCCCTCCCCCGGGCCGGCTGCGGCGGCGCGGCTGGGCTCCGTGGGGGGAATACTAAGGAGCGGGCGCCGCCGAGCAGCCCCAGCGCGGGAGCGCGCGGTGAAGGACGGGGGCGGCCTGAGGAGCCCGCGCCGCCGCCAGCTGTGCCAGGGCCGCTGCCAGGGCCGCTCCCAGGCTCCTCCGATCGCCGTCGGCTTCCGCGGCCGGGAGTGCGCCACGCAGCAGACCCTGCAACCTTCGCCCGCGGCCTCCTCCGCGCGGCCTCCCTGGGCCTTCACCCCAGAGCCTGAAATCACGGTCGCATGCTTCCAGGCCTGCGGCTCCGCAGACCCCTAGGTGCAGCCTCTCGCTTAGATTTCCCCTGGGAAGCTCTGCGCTGCCTGGACGCGTCCAGGGAGAGGTGTGGGGCCGCGACACGTGAACCTCTCATCTACATGGCGTGGTGTCTGTCCATGCCTCTGTGCCTACCCAGGGACCCTACCCAGGGTATGCAGGTCTCTCGGAAAGCACAAAGCTTTGCTGCCCAAGGATGCCTCCCGATACTGGGAACATGACTGCACTTCCCCCCTCCCCCGCCTGTTCCTGCGTCCGAAGGGCCTCTGAGGGCCCCCCACCACGCTTTCTCCTTTGACATTTCCAGAAGCTGTTTTCCTAACCCTCTCCCCGGTTCTTGTTATTTATCCTCTGAACCTTTCAAGTATGCAGGCAGTCTCTGGGTGGGAATCACAGCCGCGGGCCTCACTTACTGGCTCAGCGACTTTGGGCAAGTTACTTAACCTCTCCTTTTCCTCTTCTGTAAAAAGCAGTTAAAAATACTTCCTTGCCTGGCTGGGTTGTTGTGAGATTAAATAAGATCCGTGTATAAATGGAGCATTTAGCCCAGCGCCTGGGCATAGGAAGCCTCAGTGAGGAGCAGCCGAACTTCCGGGCCTCAGCCTCTGAACACCAGTGGCTCTCCTTCCCTTTGTCCTTGGTCATGTGACCCTGGGAACTGATCAACCCCCTCTACCCTCAGCTCCCTTAAAGACAAAGGCTGGGAACCGACTCAGTAAAACACCATCCAGACACAAGAGCCTGCCCCCACCCCAGGAAGGTCTCTGCCTTAGAAGGAAGGAGCTCTGGGGTAGTTAGCTCTCCGTTGCCACTGACCCACTTCCAAGAAGTGCGTTAGGTGTTCAAAGCAGTGAGGGCCAAGCACAAAGGGGAAACTGAGCCTGGATGGGCCCAGATCTGGTTTCCCAATGCCTCCAGGGAGTTGCGAAGGGTTGGCAGCCAGGGACTGTGAACTCTGAATCAGGGAATCTTGCTTTGGGAGGAGGAATAAGAAGGGGCAAGAGAATCATCTTATTGCCTTTATTCTGCTGTCGGCCCAGCTGGCCCCATTGTAGGGCACAGGGCCAAGCTTTTACACGCTCACCCATGCTCTCTGTGCAGGCCAGTGCGTGCACACACACACGCGCGCGCGCGCGCACACACACACACACACACACACACTCACACATCCCATCTCTGGCTCTGAGAGTCAGTCTCTGGGGGGCAAAGGGCAACTCCTCAGCCTGCCCCTGCCTGCCCTTTTATGACAGCACCAAGGGCGGGGGTGGGGACAGGGCCCTCAGCCCCCAGAACAAATCCCTGTGCAAACTGGAGGTGCAAGCTGGCTTCAGGATGGTGGTGTCACATTTCCCCATTCCTGGAGTCCCCTCCTCCAGTTCCTGAGGGAGGGACTGCTCTCCGCCTACCTGGGGGGCCAGACCCCTGCCAGGGCTGGGCCCTGTGGAACCCCGGCTTACCCCAGCCTGACCCTGCCAGGACCTCCAGCACTGAAGAACAGACAAGTGTGAGGTTGTGGGGATCCCCTGCTGGAGAGCAGGAAGGTCTGGGCCCTGAGGGGCTTGGGGAGGGGTCATCACCCCCTCTCCTAATCCATCTTCAATATGAAGAGGTTTGGGGCGCACTTCCTGGGGAGGGAACACAGGCCTGGAGAAGTCCCAGCTTGGGCCTTTCCCAAACTTCCAGCTTCTGGGCCACAGCCTAAGGCCAGGCATCCAAAAGTCCAAGAGTCCGAAAGTCCAGCCGGCTGCTTGGCATCCCTGCACGGTCCTCAGGGTCCCCGTGGGAGCCGGTGTCAGACCTGCACAGGCAGCGTCTGGTTCATCTGCAGCCGCATGTCCTGGATACTGCTCAGGATCTTCTTCTGGTGGCCGGCCAGGGTGACCCCAATACGGAGCAGGTCTCTGCAGGTGGAGCCAAATTAGGATCAGTCCCTTTCCTCGTGCCCTCAACTCTGGGCCCAGCCTAGGGCCCCCTGCCCTGCTCCTCCAAATCTGAGGCACACTTACTCTGCCGTCATCTGGGCCACCAGGTCAAAAGATGCAAACCCCGCACTGACGAAGCTCTCCTTGTACCGCCCCATCTTGATGGCATCCAGCCAATCACCAACTGTCGTGAAGGTTGTGTAATCTGGGACCGTGCGGTCCAGGAGGGGCTGTGACATGCTGTGGGAAGAAGAGAAGGACCTGGTGAGTCTTGAAGGTGGGAGATAGGGCTACTGGCTTGGCGGGAGCAGAGGCAGAGGTACTAACCCAGACTGAGCGCTGGCAATGACCTTGAGGCTGGCAGCATTGCGGATGAGCTTGTCCAGGGTATTGACAATCTGGGAGAATTTGGGCCTGAGGTTCCGGTCCCGCACCCAGCAGTCCAGCATGAGCTGGTGCAGTGCTGTGGGACAGTCCATGGGTGGTGGCAGCCGGTAATCCTGCTCCACGGCATTGATGACCTGGGCCGAAGGCAGGGAAACCCTGAGTGAGCCACTGCCATGATCCCCAGCCAGCACCCACCTACCCAACCACTCTGGCGTAGCCTCACTCACATCCTGGTTGCTCATGTCCCAGTAGGGTCGCTCTCCATAGCTCATGACCTCCCACATGACAATTCCGTAGCTCCAGACATCACTAGCAGAAGTGAACTTCCGATAGGCTATGGCCTCTGGGGCAGTCCAGCGGATGGGGATCTTCCCGCCCTGGTGAGGGGGGCACAGGCCCTTCACCCTGTGACTCCGGGCTGCCCCCCAGGCCCGAGCCCCTGGCTGATAGGCCCCGCCCCCAGTCTCCCTCCCAGCGGCTTCCTGTACCAGGGAACTGGTGTAGGTAGGATCGGAGGGGTCATCCTCCAGGAAGCGGGAGAGGCCAAAGTCTGAGACTTTGCAGACCAGGTTGCTGTTGACAAGGATGTTGCGAGCAGCCAGGTCGCGGTGCACATAGTTCATCTCGGACAGGTACTTCATGCCGGCAGCAATGCCCCGCAACATGCCCACCAGCTGGATGACCGTGAACTGCCCATCGTTGAGCTGCAGGCAACAAGCAGGCTCAGGTGAGCCCATTGCTCCCATCAGCCCATGGCCTGCCCACCTGCCTTCCCTCTCCGAGTACTCAGACTCTACCTCGTCTCTCCTGCAACCATGTCCAGAGTGCCCTGAGGGTAAGTGAGCTGCCCTACTATGTGTCAAGTATCTTATAGACAACATCCCAGTTAATCCCCATGAGGACCCACTAGCTCTTACCACTGCCATTCTACAACCAGGCAGCTGAGACTCAAAGAGGTTAAGTCACTTGCCTGAGGTCACACAGGCAGTAAGGAACAGTCAAGATGTGAACTCCCATACTTATGGCTATGAAGGCCCTGCCATTTCCCTGCACCAAGCCACCTCAGTAAATGCTTATGGACTTGAATAGGGGCTGTCTGACTTGTGGGAGGGGATGGTGAGCCCAATCCAACTCTCTGGGGGAGGGAGAGGGCCTGGGGGCTGGCTCTTACCCGGAGGAAGGAGTCCAGGGCGCAGTTTTCCATGAACTCAGTGAGGATCATAACTGGCCGACTTTTGGTGACCACGCCCTCGAGCCGGATTATATTGGGGTGATCAAACTGACCCATGATGGAGGCCTCGCTTAGGAAGTCCCGCCGCTGCCTCTCGGTGTAGCCCACCTTCAGCGTCTTGATGGCCACAAACACCTCTCGGCGGCCAGGCTGTTTCAGTCGACCACGGCACACTTCCCCAAATTCCCCTGCAGGGCACAGGGCACAAGCTATGACTCACTCCTGTACCCAGCCCGCCTCAGCTTCTCATCTCTACTGTGCCCCGGGAGACTCACCAGCTCCGATCACCTCCTCGATCTTGACGCAGGACACGTCGATCTCCTTGGCAAACTCCCGAACAGCCTCATTAGGGTCCTCGTAGGTAAAAGGGTCAATATAAACCTTCATTCCAGGAGCAACTGGAGGGAGAAGAGGTGGGCGTGAGAGGGTAACGTCAAGCCAGCCTCTCCCTGCGATGGGCACAGCTCCAGCAGGCTCCCTGCTGAGCCCAGCCCCATATTCCTCTGTGTTGCTGCCCTAATCCTCCAGCTCCCATGAGAACTCCTGGTGACCATAAAGGCTAGACACCTAGGATTCTACTCCTAGTTTTTCTCTCTCATCTCTCATCACATCCAGACCTCTCTCAGATTCATGCCTCCCCTGGTTCCCACTGCCCCGACCTTGTCCAGGCCTTCAACACTCACACTATTCCAATAGCCTCCCAGCTGGGCTCTCTGCCTCTGGACTTTTCCCACCGAGCTATCCTGCATACCGCTGTCTTCCTAAAACAATCCTTTCATTGTATTACTCCCCAGCTTGAGAGCCTTTCCAATTACCTATGGTGGAGTCAAGTCCAGACTCCTCTGCCTGCCTTTCAGGACCCTCCGAGGGCTGGCCACAGCTACCCAGCCTGGCTTCCCAGCAGCTGTCAAACCAGTCTTCTCGCTGCCCCCACAGTTGGGCTCCTTCCCCACCCCGCCCACTACCTTCCAGAGGCTCCTCTGGCCAGGAATGCTCTCCCTCACCTCCCAACACCCTGCTCATCCCGCCTGGCTCAGCTCAAGTCCACCTCCTCGAGGAAGCCTTCCTCTTCTCTAAACTCTTAGTGCCCTTTACAACAGGAGCACCCAGCTCAACCCTTAATTGTTCTCAAATTGTTTCCTGTGTGTTTGCATCTTGTCTTTCCCACAGGACTAACTGCCTTTAGGGGGAGAGGTCACGTCTCAGTCATTTCTGGGGCTAGCAGGAGTGAGTAGGGGCCCAGGGTACCCGGAGTGAGATAGGGGTCAGGAAATGCCACTTGACTGGAAGTGGGAGGGGGCATTCAGGGTTTATCTCTAAGGAATGAAGTCCCAGGCAGGGAGAAGGGTGTCTGAGAGCCCTGCAGGGGGCTGGGAGAGCTTGGGGAGGGCGGCGGGGACAAACTCACTGTACTGCTGCAGCTTCTCCGTGTACTCCGAATCAGAGCCGTGTCGCTGCTTCCTGTAGGGTGGCAGGGTGGAGGGCAGGCCTGAGACAAGTCATCTGCCTCCCTTTGTTCAGGGCACCCTTGGGCTCACAGAAGGGGCGGAGAGGATACAGGGGATGGCCTGGGGCCTAGTCCCACAATTGGTGGTCACAGCAGTCTCTGGGTGTCTGAGCAAGGGGTTCAGTGGACTCAGTCCCTAGGGAACCTGCCCGGAGATTCAGGGAATGGGGTATGGAGAAAGGGCGGGATGAAGACACAGGCAGGGATGGGAGAGGGCTTCTCCAGCAACGGCTGGCCCCAGGAGGGCTAAGGCCCTGGGTCTGAGGGAAGTGGTGGCGGCTCATCTCTGTGGCATGAGGGCTCTAGGATGCTAAAGGGCAGTTCGAGGCGGCCCATGGAGCAACAGTGGGCCTGGGAGTACCTGAGGCAGACGATAGCGATGACCACGACAGCCACCACGAAGACAAGCCCAGCTGTAGCGGAGCCCACGATGAGGGGAAGCTGCTCCTGGAGCTGCTGGGCCCCAGAGCCTGGAGATAGAGAAGGGGCTGCTGAGTGGAGGGACAGAGAGTGAGGGCCGCGATGGGGACAGGCGCAGGGGGCTACTAACCTCTCTCACTTGTGGTCTCAAACTCGGCAGGGCGGCTGTACTGCCCATAGCCAGCTACTGTGCGGGCACGGACCTGGACCACATAGCGGGCGTCAGGCCGAAGCCCGTCCAGCTGCACGGAGTTCATCTGGCTGGTCACTGTGGAGGCGATGCCCTCGCTCTGCAATGCCAGGAGAGAGGGGGCACCCTCAGGTGGGTCCTGAGGCCAACCAGCCCCTATTCACACCCAGGCCTGCCACATGCCCCCTCCATACCCAAGGCCTTGCTCCCAAGGGCCCCATCATGATCCGGGGGTAATTTTCTCAGCCCAGCTCAGCCCAAGGCCTCCTCCTGCCCCTTGAGGTTCTGACCTTCTCAAAGTACTTCATCTCGTAGTCCAGGATGACTCCGTTGGGCCGCTCTGGGGGTGCCCAGGATAGGGTGAGGCTGCTGCCTGAGCTGCTGTGCAGGCGTAGTGTGGGCACTTCAGACGGGGCTGGGAAGAGCAGAGGGCTCACCAGGGGCTCCCTGGACCCTGGCATCCTTCCCAAAGACCCACTTCCCATGGGACCCCCAGTGGTCCCTTAGCAGGTCCTGGGACACCTCATCCAGGAGAAAGTGACCCAGGCCCTACCCTCCAGTGTCCCCTCCTCACCAGCCTGGTTTGTGGTGATATTCACGGCCGCATAACGAGGCGGCAGAGGGCTCTTGCCCGAGACACCGTTGACCGCCTGCACCTCAAAGGTGTAGCGCGTGTGGGCCAGCAGATGGCTGATGTGGACCCGGCGCTCCGTCAGGCCCAGCTGCCGAGGCACAAACTCCACGTTGTCATCACAGCGTGAGCAGGCTGAGGCCCCTCCAGCCCCATGGCACTTCTTGCAGATGACATTGTACAGGAGGTCATCCCGGCCACCCAGGTCCCGGGGCTCACTCCACTCGAGGATCAGTGAGGTTTCATTCACATTGGAGATCACACCTCGGGGTGGAGATGGCACGGCTGTGAGGAATATGGAGGGAGAAGGTAGTGAGCTGGGGGCTCTAGGACCATCCCTCTGCCCGGAGTTCCAGCACACTCCAATCTGCTTTCTACCTCCTTGCCTTGCCTCTGCTTTGATAAGCAGAATAACGTTCCTACATTTCTTCACCAGGCAGACTCCTATTTATCCTTCAATACCCAGCTTGTGATATCACTTCCTTTTGGAAGCCTTCCTTGATTCGTCCTTGCCCTATACTCTACATGTACATAAAACAATTCCTAGACAGCCTTCTAGCCCAGCTCTTAGTACATTACGGTCATTATCTGTTTTTACACCTATTTCTCCCACCAGGTTGTGAGCTCCTTTAGGACAATGACTGTATCTTATTCACCTCCTCACCCTCGATACCCAGCACAATGCCCGGCACACCGAAGGCCAGGGCAGAGAGGAAGTGGAGCACCAGGCCACCCTCAGGATGTGAGGCCCCCTCCATGGTTAGAGTGGGGCTGGAGAGAGGCACTTCTATACAGACGGAGGGGCAACGGACTAGAAGGCCAACTGCTAAGCTCCTAGCCAGTTCCTGAGCATGGCTAGGAGCCAGTTCCTGAGCATGGCTAGGAGCAAGTTCCTGAGCATGGCTAGGAACAGGTAGGTGCTTAGCAAGCGTTGGTGGAAGGGACGAGCCGGCTGACCTGGATTCTGGCTCAGGGGCAGTCACCTCCCAGTTGTGCCATGTTGAGCGCAACATCTAACTTCCCTGAGCCTCAGCTCCTTCCCTGGAAAATGGGGCTATTCATAGTGACTGCTTAGGCTTCCCAGGCTGGCCCCCCAGAGGGAAGGCCTGCAGAGGGAAAGAGAGGTCACGCGTTCACTCACTGGTACAGGCACTGTCCGCAGAGTCCGAGTCTGCACGGTAGAAGTTATTGTGGCAGGTGCAGATGCTGGCGGCTGGGGAGGTGGTACGGCTGTTGGGGGGACATGGGAGGCAGGGCCCCTCTCCCTGCTTCGCCTTGTAGCTCCCAGGGGGACAGGCTGTGGGAGAGAAGAGGATGAATGGGGCTCACCTCCCTTCCCTGCAGACACCAGACCTCCGCAGCTCCATGAGAACCTGGCTTCTCCCCAGCCTAGGTCTGGCCCCTCCACCTCCTAGACTGTGGGGGCAATGCTGGGATTGCCTAACTCCAGCTGCAGCTACAAAAGGCCCTATTGCCCCATGGAAACCCCACGTCAGCAGATTCCTCCCCGCCCCTGCCCCCCTCACCCCTACCCCGGGGCCTCATGGACGAAGACGTCAGCCCCATCACCTGGACAGCCTGGGCTTGTTGAGGCAGGGAAGACAGAGAAAGACAGAGGAAGAGGTGGGGTGAAGAAGAGACCACCGGTGGGCTAGCAGCACCCGGCACTGTGGAGATGCCCCACCTCTCCCCGAGGCTCCAGAAAAATCATTCCTGAGGACCCTGAAGGACACCCTAGAACAGCCAGGAGACGGGACCTTCACAGTGAAGCTCTCGCCCCACCCACCAGGCGCAGGCAGCAGCTCCTGTCTGCCCTTGGGCAGGGATGGGGGCTGAGGACGGGTGAGAGGAGGAGAGAAAGAAAGCAGGCAGGAAGGCTGGGGTCACCTGGAGTTCAGAGGCCTCAAGTGTCCACAAGGGGACTCACCCCAGAGCAAGCCCAGGGCCTGAGCATCCCTTCTCCCCAGTCTTCCCTCCTGCCATCTACCCTTGGGCCCCTGGACACAGGCTCTGTGGATTGATGGTAGCCTTATCGTGTATTCTTCACACTGGAACATTTGCAAGTCAAAGGAGGCACTAGTAATAACTGTGTTAGGATAATGGGCATAAACCAAGACCCTCCTAGACACTAAAGTGGGTCACTGCCTCTCCATATGACTGCCTGTGGAGGGGGACACCCATAGGGGAGAACGCCCAGCGCTAGGGCTTGCCCTTTTCTGGGGTTTCATCTGCCCTCACGAAGGTGATATTCCACCCTAGCTCTTTTGAGCCAGTGGGGGAGGGGGCAGAGGCCAGGCCAGCCTGGTTGCTATGGGAACCAGCATGCATTTCCTGCCGGGGACCTGCAGAGTGTTAGCCCCTCTTCAGGCTGTCAGGCTCATCACCCCACCCCCTTTCTCCACTTAGGAAGAGGAAATCTCAGGACAGATTCCCATCGAGAAGTGGAGAGGGCCCGGGAAAGGCACTGTTCACCTTCTCATGACAACATGGCCTCGCAGCCAGCTTCATGCTGCCAAGCCCCTCTCACGCCTAGGGCTGCCATAAGAGTCATCACCTACCCCTCAGAGCTGTAGGCTGCAAGCCCCAAGGAAGAGAATCGGGCAGAGGGAGCGAAAGACAGGGCCCTCAGCATGCCATCCTGCATGGCAGAGCACAGGAGGAGGCTTCCGTGCCAGCTTCCACATTCCCTAGCTACAAGGCCTGTGCACAGAGCTTCTCCAAGACTCAGTTTCCTTATTGGCGAAATAGGGAGATGGCAGGAATCTACCTCACAAGGACTGGTGAGGCTCAGTGAGAGACCCCCTAGGTGGACAATTTTGATAACTCCGAAGCCTAGTACATAAGTCTTGGCAAGCCATCCGAGGCAGGCTTCCTGAACTCCTCATGTATACAATAAGGGCAGAACAGCCCAGCTCTCGTGGATGCCAGGGCTCTGGAGACTCATGGCCAACACTTAGCTGGTGGCTGTGCTCCCATGTGCCAGACACTGTTCTACGGGCAAAGCATTGCTCACATAAGAAGCCTCGCTACAGCCCTATGAAGGAACCTCTATTATTTTCCTCATCTTGCACATAAGGAAACCAAGGTTCAAACAGTTAAGTAACTTGCCCAGGGCCAGGAGTGGTGGCTTACACCTGTAATCCCAACGCTTTGGGAGGCCGAGGCGGGTGGATCACTTGAGGTCAGGAGTTCGAGACCAGCCTGACCAACATGGTGAAACCCGGTCTACTAAAAATACAAAATTAGCTGGGTGTGGTGGCACATGCCTGTAATCCCAACTACTCAGGAGGCTGAGGCAGGAGAATTGTTTGAACCTGGGAGGTGGAGGTTGCAGCAAGCCAAGATCGCGCCATTGCACTCCAGCCTAGGCAACAATTGTGAAACTCCATCTCAAAAAAAAAAAAAAAAAAGTAACTTGCCCAAGGTCACGTAAGTGGTAAGTGACAGAGTCAGGACTCAACTTCAGGGACTGGGCCCCTAACCACTGTGCCATTTATATACTGCCTCCCAAGGGGCAGAGAGCCCAGGGTAAAAAGCCATGCACAAGGTACCCACAGCCCCCGTGCCCTTGGCCCTGGGGCCAACCTACCACTTTCAGGGTGAAGCATACACTCAGGCCGGGACAAAGCGAGCATCTCTGCCAGCCTCCTAAGCTTCTGACTGCGTTCTCCAGGTGCCTGCTTGCCAAGGATTCTGCATGCTTCTCTTCCTCTCTCTTTAATGTCATTTTTTCTCTTACTATCCTTGTGTCTCTCCTCATTTTCTCTCTCTTCTCCCTCCTTACACAACATTCTCTGCATCTGATCCCCACTCTTCCCTCTCCTGCCTCCACTGTGGACCTGCTCCCAGACCTCCTAGTCAGATAGCAAGCAGGGGTGGGGGGCGGGGCGGTAGGTAGCTGTGGCCCAGGCCCTCCCGACAACCCTTTCCCCAGGACAGTCCCCACTCACGGCGGCACTGGGACTCCTTGGCAGCTGGCTCATGGCCGGTGGCACAGGTGCAGGCACCCACAGGCACCATCCACTCCCCATCGCCGTTGCAGTAGAGCTTGAGTGGCACCGACACCTCCACGGCGTTAGGGATGCAGGTGCCAGGAGCAATGACCAGCGAGGTGGGCTCCGCCCCAGTGAGGGTCTCGGGGAAGAGTGCGAAGCCTGCGGTGGTGGATGCACACTTCTTGTAGAAGGCGCGCACGGAGATGAGCGACATGCAGGCGCCCTGGTCCTGGAAGGCCAGGTAGAAGCCAGCCTTGGAAAGTGGCCCAAAGCTGCGCACCTTGGTGTTGACACGGCCGGCATCCAGCCGCGAGAAGCTCTCATCGGGTGCAATGGTGTCCACTTTCACGTAGGGGTTCTCCATCCAGAAGGGGGAGGAGGCTGAGGCCACATCGCTGTCAGCCTCGTAGTAGAAGAGGTTGAAGGTCTCCTTGCAGGAGCCGGGGATGTTGGGGATGCTGTTGCAGTCACGCACAGTGAACTTGAGCTCCACGTAGACCCGCTGCACATCCCGCCGCCAGATGAACCCCGTGCGAAGCCAGTTGTTCTGGCTTGACTCGCGCACATTACACACCTGGTATGTGCGGATGGGATTCATGGCCTCATCGTAGCCACTCACCTCTTCCCACTGTGCATGGACCAATGAAAAAGACAGAGTGAATGCCTGCATTTGCCAAGTGCTTCCCTCGTGCCCAGATCTGCTCTATTTACTTCACAGGGATGCTTCTATGGTGTGCAGTGGCTGAGCATACAGGCTATATGGGCTCAAATTCCAGCTCTCTGCCTGCTGTGTGATTATGGGTAAGTCACTTAACCGCCATGTGCCTCAGTTTCCCCATCTGTAACATGGGGATAATAAAGATGTGTAAGGAATAATGACTTTAACTGAATAAAGCATTTAGGACAGGACTAGGAACTTGGTAAGTACTGCAGGAACATCAGCTATATTTGTTATCTTTATACCTCAGTTTTGTCATCTGTAAAATGGGGCTGCTTGGAACTAAACGAGGCTGTGAGGAATTAAATCAGGCTAATAAATGTAATGGGCTTGTAGCAGTGCAAGCACTTCCGGGCTACTGGCTGTCACTATCAACATCGCATTCAATCTTCACAACAGCTCCATGAGGAGCCGCATCTGTTGTCCCGACGTTTAGAGATGAGGAAGCCAAGGCTCGCAGAAGGGAGTTTTGCCCAAGGTCACACAGTCAGGCCTGGTGACTGCAGGGCCTGTAGTGCCATCGTACTCCAGGGTTCTAGGGCTTAGAGCAGCCATGAAGGCCATCTAGGGAGATTAATTAGAATATGTGAGAGAGGTCCGGACTGCGGGAATTTAACAGTCAAGAAGTGGCCACCCAGAGGGGTAAACGGCCTTGCCCAAGGTCACACAGCAAGTTAAAGATCTGGAACTAAGGTTTCCAAGCCAGTGTTTTCTCCAGGGACCCAGGGAGGAGGGAGATGGTGGGGATGGACATGCAGAGGGCTGTTAGGAAGAGAGGGAGAGGGAGCGGGAGCTGGGGGGCACAGGCAGGCAGAGGGGTGAGAGATAGAAATGCCCACAGAGAAGGACCATGAGGTGCTTCAGAGGGTCACAAGTGAGGATGATGGGGATGGCACAGGAAGTGAGGGTGACAGGCAGAGGGCAGAGGCAGCCCTCCTCCAGGCCCTGGTGAGATGAGGGGGCACGGAGGCTGGAAGTGGGGGGAGGCCTAATGGCAAACAACACTCAGGAGAATGATGGGAAAGCCTCACCCCACTTTCTGGATGAGATGTCCACGCCAACTCAGATGTTACCCATTTTGTGTCCATGAGGGTCTCTGGAGGAACAACGGAGAAAAAGGTCAGGGACTAATCTCAGGTTGAGGAGACAGAAGAGATCACAGATGAGCGAAGTGGCTCACACCTGTAATCCCAGCACTTTGGGAGTCTGAGGCAGGTGGATCACTTGAGGTCAGGAGTTTGAGATCAGTCTGACCAACATGTTGAAACCCCATCTCTACTAAAAATACAAAATTAGCCAGGCTGGTGGCGCACGCCTGTAATCCCAGCTACTCGGGAGGCTGAGGCAGGAGAATCGCTTGAACCTGGGAGACGGAGGTTGCAGTGAGCCGAGATTGCACTACTGCACTCCACCCTGGGCAACAGAGAGAGAAACTCTGTCTAAAAAAAAAAAAAAAAGAAAGAAAGAAGAGATGGCTCAGGAAAGGATTCCCCCCAGGCTCCACTTTCCACAAGTCCTGAAAGCCCCCAGTTTCCCTAGCCTACAGGAGACCCTGCGGCCATCCCCAGAGATGTCACAGCCCCAAAGATGTCAGGTCGGGCAGGCTAGGGGTGAGTGCCCTGACCCCAGGCCTGGGTTAATGAGGCAGGAGCAGAGGCTGGTCCACACACCTACAGGCTCTGCTAATCTCCACACAAAGGGGCCGGCAGGGCCTTTATCCTGGAACAAAGGGCTGTGTGCTCCAGACCCTGGCCCTGGCCTCCCCTGACTCCGTTCCCAGCACAAAGGCCCAGCCCCACACAAGGCCCAGGGGAAGGGGAGGGCAGTGACAGGCCAGAGCCAGCTCCCACGCAGCACCTACAGGTGATGGGGCAGGGATGCGCTTTGAGGGTGGAGAGGGGACCACCAAAGCCCCAAACCAGCTCTTAGTTCAATTCTTCCTGCAATCCTTGGAAGAAGGTACTGTTGGTGTATCCCTTTTACAGAAGAGAACACTGATGCCCAGACAAAGAAAATACACTGCCTAAGGTGAAGTTGCTAGGACTTGGGGTGAGGGGACAAGGGTGGATCAGGTTCAGGTGTATCTGACTCTATAATTAATCCCTTGCACTCTGACTGCAATATGCCCCTCTGTAAAGGAGGGATGAAAGAAAGCCTAGAAAACTGCCTATCATTTAAGTCCCAACAGAGCTGTTGCCTCCTCCAGGAAGCCTTCCGTGAACCTCCAAGTCAGGGTAAGATGCCCTCCTTTGTGCATCTAGGGCCAGGGGCTTTGTCACAGTACCCGGCCTGTGTTCTGAGCTGGTTTCTTGTCTGTTTCACCTTGTTTGGTCATAGGAGGGGCCCGTTAATGTTTCTGACATACACTTGCTCCCTTAGGAACCTGGTTCTGCGCTCTGGCTGGATGTCCCTACTCTCTGAAAGACAGTGTGACCCCCAGATTAGACCTGGGTCAGGAAAGGAAGGAAAGAGGTGCCAACTCCTTTCCCGTGGCCTGGAAGACAGTGCAGCCAGCTCTGAAGCTGGAATGGGGCAGGGTTGCCCCAGGACCTCTGGAGGCCTCTACATCATCCCCTCTGGGTGCCCAAGTGGGGAAAAGCCCAAACCCCGCGGCCACAGGCTTGCAGCCTTCAGTGGTTTCCCGGAGGCTGGGTCTGAGCCGAGGACGGCGGAGGACCCCGTGGGTGGACAAGGCAGCTGTGACCCCAGCCCCCCGCCATGTCAGGCAAAGGGGCTGCAGGCAGCAGCCATTCACTGCAGGGAGGGAGGCTCCTCCCGCTGCCGCAGCCCCTGGTCCCCTGAGGGCCCGGCTGTAAGGGGAGCGATCCTGGCCTCTGGCAGACAGACAGACAGACAGACAGACACAGACATTCGGCCTGGGGGGTACTCGAGGGAAGCCGAGATGCTCAGAAGCCGGGGCCCACAGAGACAGGCGGGGAGGGAGGCGGGCGGGGCAGCGACTGGAGCTGGCGGGCGGTGGGCGGCACGGAGCCGGAGGGATGTGCGGAGCCGGCTGGCGGGGATCCGACAGCCGGGATGGCCGGCGGCTGACTACAAAGACAGGGAGACCGAGAGACGCGGAGGCCCGAGGAGACAGGGACAGAGGGAGGTTGCCAGGCGGCCTCGTCCCCAGCCGGCAGCGCGAGTGTCAGTCCCGGGAGCCGGCAGAGCAAGCGCGCCCTGCCCCCGCAGCCAGTCCTCCCGCCGGTCCGCCCGCCGGTCCGCCCGCCGGAGCAGGCCGGGGCTCCAGCCGCTCCCTCGCGCCGCCTCCCTCCTCCCTCTCCCTCACTTCCTTCTGCTCAGCCTGTGCCAAACCCATCTGGAACTGTTTAAACCCAAATATTCAGCCCCCTCCCCCTCCAGCCAGATTCCTCCACAGTTTAAAACAAGCCCTGCGCTGGCTCCGGGAGGAGGGAGCGGAGGGAGGGGACGGCGGAGAGGCGGCGGCGGGAAGGAGGGAGGGAGCGAGGGAGGCAGGGAGGCTCTTCATTTCTGTTTAATTTCTGGGGAGCGAGAGAGGGAGGGAGGGAGGGGATCGGCCCTTGGCCATCGCTCAGCCTTGGCCATCGCTCAATCTCGCCACATTTTTCCCATTAATGAAGAGAGGACTTGGGTTTCGAGTCATGTGTGCCCGAGGAAGGGCTCGGTCACTCCGGTGGGGAGGGGGCCGCGTGCTCTCGGTTTCCCCGTTTCTCAGGGGGAGAGGAGGAGCCTGCTCCCTTCAGCCTGCCCAGGCACAGAGGACGGGGCAAGGCCCTCCTCAGCCCTGGGGTGCCTGGTCCCTGCCTTCGGCAGGAGGTGAGGGGGATGTGGGGGGGGGGTCATAGAACCCATCTGTCCGTGGTATTGGGAGAAAGAGACCCAGCCCACCTTTTCTGTGCTGTGTGTGCGGCGTGTGCATGTGTGTGCACGTGTGTGTACGTGTGTTGTACATACACACGTTGGGACGGGGGTATGAGGGGCAGCGGGTAAAGACAAAAGAGGAGTGAGTGAGCAAGTTCTCAACTCCCCCAGCTGCCTGCTGCACCCCATCCCTCGCCGTCCTGCCATGTATCTGCAGGAGGCAGAGGGGAGAAGAGGCTGGCCACCCTAGACACTGGGCTGTGTCAGGCAGGAAACCACAACTGCCCAGCAAAGTCACCAGGGAGGTAGTCACCAGGCCTGGGGTCTTTCGGGGACTGGAGCTTTGATGCTCAGGAGCTAAGCAATACCTCTTTCAGGTTTCCACAGGGCCATGGAGAGCAGCCACGTGGCAGCAGCTGTGTGGCCCTCACCCATGCACAAACACACAGATGCACGCGCAGCATCCAGTCCTGGGGGCTGGGCTCACTCCCCGCCACTGGGGCTAAAGAGTGACAAGTCAACACATATGGTGGACAAAAACACACAAAGCCACAGCCGCCCACAAACACACACCCAGCTTCACACAGAGCCATGGTCTGTCTTTCTCAGACACACGGATGCATATGGTACAAACAGATTAGTCTTCCTTAGACATTCATATACAGTGAATCTTTCCTACACAGAGATCTGGCTTGCCTTAGGCGGACCCACGCTTCCAGCCTACCTATGTGCAGATTTCCTGAAACATATGCGCACACAGAGGGCACTCACCCCCAACCCTGCAGTATGTTCTCCTTACACACCCAATTGCACATGCTATCACCAGCTGCAAGTCACACAGTCTTCGGTGTAAAGTGCAAACACAAACACCAGTTTCCCTGTATAGACTTGGCGACATGCTTTTAGTCACACAAACTACAATCAGCTGCAAAGTCACAGATGTCCAATGACACTGAAATATGCCACAGCCCCTGCAAAGGAGCACCCTGACATGGTGTAAGTATCAATACCTAGATTTGTGTAAAGCCTCAGAGGTGCATCCTCCATGCACCCGCAACACACACACACACACACACACACACACACACACCCTGCAAGCATGGTTCTGTTTATGGGATGTCTTCCAGTGGGGTAGAGGAAGAGTTACTGGGAGAGGGTGGTACCCCTCATCCTGCCCCCAACACTCTGGTGCCTCTCGCTCAGGCAGGGCAGCCACATGGGCCACTCTTGCAAGGGAAGCAGAGGTGCTGGGGCAGCCTTAGCCAGAGGTGTAGGGAAACAGCCCCAGCCCTGCTTCCTGTTGTCCTGGCTTGGGCAGGAGCTGTCAGTCAGGTCACGAGGCTGGGGTGGAGCAGGGGCATGAAGATGATTCTGGGTGTGGCTGGGTGCGGCCTCCCCAGGTATAGCCGCTGCCCAAGTAACAAGCCACTTCCCTGCCAGCACAATGGCACTGTCTCCAGGGCCCCTGAGCCCTTGGTAGAGGGTAGCTCCCTGAAGAGATTTGGCTTCAGAAGCTCTGGGCAAGGCTCTTCCGCTTGCAGGTCGAGGACCTTGAGCAGGGCATGAGGAGGACATCATGGGCACCCTGGCCTGTGGGAGGGGCACCAGCTGAGGGCCTACCACCTGCCCTGGTGGAGGGCCAGGCCCCATAGCACCCTGGGAGCAAAAGTGTCATTGAGACCCAGAAAACAAACAAACAACAGAAAAAAACAAGCCAAAACAAAAAACAGAAACACAAAACAACTAAAGACAGAAGCAGCAAGGCTTCAGCCCAAATTCCAGACTAGGGACTTAGAGGTGGAAGGAAAGGTCAGCACCAGGGCTGGGCCCGCAGAGTGTGCAGCGGGGCAGGAGGGCAGGGGGCCAGGGTCTGCGCAAGGAGGAGCAGCCTGGAGCAGTGCTATGCCACCCGAGTTGGACACCCTCCTCCTCTTCACGGAGTCCCTTCCTCAGCCACCAAGCTGGCTCCCCTCCCATGGGTCAGGATGTGTACACACGTGTGCCAGCCTGTACACACAGGGAGGTCAGCGTGAGGATCAAGGCGTCTTGGGGGGAGCCTGCCATGGGACTGGAGAAGATGCATGTTGTGGGGAGCCTAACTCACCCAGGGCCACCTCCTCCTTTCCTGCCACAGCCCCTTGGCCCCCATGTCTGGGATGGGGTGGGGGGAACATCTCAGAACAGAGAACACATTTTGTTTTTCATTCTTCCCCTCAGATCATGGGGGTTTCTAATTAAATAAACCTGAGAGGGAGAAGAAGGGGAAAGAAGCCCAGGGCGGGGAGCCCAAACGCCTCGGTGCTCATCCATGCCCCCACCCCACTGTGGCCCTGCCAGCAGCCAGAAGGACGGGTGGACAGCTAGCCCTTAACCTGAGCCCTTCAGCCCTTCCTTGTGATGCTGGCCACACTGGGTCTGGCCAGGAGGCTGGGGGCAGAAGGGAATAGGAGACCTGGCACCAGGGCTAGCCCTTGGGCAGGGGGCCTCTCCCACCCCATCAGGTGCCCAGCTGTATCCAGTCTCCCTCCACCCTTCACCCCCCCCAGCTGCCCAATCCCGACAAACCAGTTTGACTCAGCACAACAGGCAGGGCTACAATTTTCAAACTATGCAGGCCTGGTGATTCAGCCTCTTCATGCTGTTTAATTAGTGGAAGGCCGTGCGGCAGAGGCCTTGCCCACGGCAGCTTCGGCAGCTTCGGCTTCAGCTCGCAGCAGCCGCTGAAGCTGCAGTGGCAGCAGCAGCAGCTGTGGCTAAAGACAGGGCAGTGCTGAGCAAACTGGTTCTTCCAAATACCTGCCGGCCCCCAGCAGCTGCTCAGAAGGCCAGCTCCTGACAGACAGGGATGGGGTTTGGGGGTGCCAGAGGCAACTCAAACAAGTGAGCAAGCCCTCCAAATCCTGGCCCGCTGTCCCCTCTCAGTTCCCGTGTTCTCAGGGGTCACTCCTGCTGCCCCTGTGAAGGAGGTGGGCTCTATGCTGTCTTGTTCCTTCAGAGACAGGTTCCACTGCAGTGACAACTCAGCTACCAAGGCTTGGCTGGAGGGGGACGTGCTGGCCCCACCTCCTGCGATCTGGTAACTGTTTCTCTTTTCTCAAAAGGATATCTTCCCAGCGGGGATCTCTCCATCCTATCCCAAGTATAGGGGTGCTGGGGTTCAGACACCATTCCTCATCTCAGGCCCCATTCCTAGTCTGTTCCCCATTGGACCCCACCCCCTGACCCGTTGATGGTCCTGAGGGGAGAATAATCTTGGCTTTGGGGAACTGGGGAACATTACTCAAAAGACCAGTGGGTGACAAGGTGGCCCTGTTTCCCTGTGGCTGTGCGTAAAGCCCAGGGCAATTTGCATGGGGGAAGGGGACAATCAATCAGAGGGCAAGGGGAGGGCATGTTTTCAACCACGAGGACAAGCAAGGACCCAGGCTCCATCCACATGGAAAACTGATGACAGCCTTGGATGCAGAGTCTTGGTGACCCCCAAGTGTGCAGGAAGGGAAGAGGAACCAGGTGCTAGACAGCATCTAACTAGGGGGTACATGAGAGGTAGCAGCCAGGGCTCAGGGACCCTGGGCCAAAATAAATGTCATGCCCCAGACACAAAGAGCCACAAGGCCAAGGGCAGACCAAATCCTGACGAAACCAAATGGTAGGTTGGATGGAGAAAGCTAGACCCCCCACCTGTCAAGCTGGAGGGGCTGAAGAGATCTTCAGTGCTATGGAACCCACATATCCTGGTCACAGCCCAGGACCTCGAAGTCCACCCATCCACATGCCAAGCCCCAGAATACAGGAGGGAGGACAGGCAGAAAACAGCTGCCCACTGGGCCAGCTCTCTCCCCATTCCTTCCCTCTCTGGAGCTGCAGGGAGATGTGGGGCAGACAGCCCCACCCCCAGCCCCCTGCACCAACCTTCCCTTTCATCTTTCCTCCCTCTAACCTCCCTCCAGCAGGATAAGGGCACACACTCGTTTCACTCCTGAAGCTCCCCAAGGAGCAGACCCTAGGGTAACAATAATAATAACAGCTAATCCTTGAATAACAATGCCTATGCTAAGCACTTTGCACACATTAAGAATTCAGTACTCAGAAGAACTCTGCGAGGTCGGTGCGGTTCCTATCCTGTCTCCCAGTGAGGGAGAGCCAGAGGGTGGGTAGGTGCAATGTCTGCGCTGGGGTCAGCACCTTGCATTTGTTCCCTCACATTCTCCCACGCACGAACTGGAGACCAGAGAGTCTGAGGTATTGCAAAAGTGAAGGAATTGGTGAAACCACCCTTGTAGGCACCGCTGCTTCCCAGAGGCATCCCATGCTGGCCTGGCCTCACAGCCAGGGAGTAGCCCTAGCTCCCACTTCACAGTGGAGGGGAGGTGGGCAGGCCGGGAATGGGGAACGAAAGGTCCTGCTGCCCCCTCTTCCCGGGCCGCCCCAGCACATCAGGACTCGGCCTTCTGGACAGCCCCCCAGCTGCTTGGCCTGGAGGCTTGGAAGCTTGGGCTCCTGCTAGGGCCTGGACTCCTGAGGGTCCAGTAGGTGATGAGGGTTGAAAGACAGAAAGGAAGGGAAGGGGGGAGGGAGAAGTGAGCCTCCTCAGGTAGCCCCTGTGCACCTGACCCAAACCACACTCCCACTCCACACTCAGCACCAGCACCCACCACACCCACAACAAGGGCCTTGTGGCCCGACACACACAGGTGACACATAGCCCCGTAAGTGTATGAGTGTGTGTGTACCAGTGTCGCCTCTCCTGGACTACGACACAGAGACCCAGACACAGATCTGGCAACTAGAACAGGCTCCCTGGCTCACACCCTCAAGGCAATCAACAACAAAGCCCCACACTGGGTTCTCACGCCTGCGATCCTATCACACACATGTGGGTGAGTGTGTGCGAGTGTGGGCGAGACCTCGGTGTGTCAGTCTGAATTTGCATGTGTCCACCCGTGGGACTCGATCTGTCAGCACAGCAGGCTCAGAGATGAGGAGGGTGGGGGATCATAGGAGGTCTTTCCTCTGGAGAACATTAGAACGCACCAGAGGATGCCTTTCTCTCTGAACTGTGTTCTTTTTTCCTTCCAACCTTTAAGTTTACCGACTGTGAACATAAGAACAAGCCAAGTTCCACAGAGTTCGTGTTTTCGTTCCTAAACTAAGAAAGTAACTAGATCTGTTAAAGATACCCCAAATAAGTACTGCCTTTATTCCAATTGCCCTCGAATTTCTGTGGCGTCCCTCCCTCCACTTTAGGGAAGGTTCTGACCCTCTCTCATTTAATGGCTCCGAAATTCTTGGAAACGGGGCGTGAGTGTGTGTGGGCCTCCCTATTGTTTGTGGCTGGTGTTGGGGCCTCTGTCCGCGGCAAGCTTGTGTCAAGTGGCATGCGTGTGAGCTCTCCTGCCAGCGCCAACAACGCCGGGCTGTTCATCCAAGTACAATCATTTGGAAGTTGGAGCTGCCCCCCACAGCAGTCTTGGCAGGTTTCACAGAACCTATTGAGAAGCCTGGCCTTTTCCCACCAGCTACTGAGGAAGGCGCCGGGCTCTGCTGCTACCTGGGGCAAATCCCGCAACTTCAGGGGTTCAAATGGAGACCCAAGCCCTGCTCTAGCAGGCGGAGAGGGAGCCTCCACAAAGGGTGCGGGGGCCCGCCCATACAGCACCTCGGGTGTAATTGGCGCCCGGTAAACCATAAACAATAACAGGCCCCCGCCTGTCCGCCCCCGCAGCGGTCCCCTGACAAATCGGGGTGCTCGCACTCACACTCTCACAGTTAACTCCAACGGGCTCCTCATTAGCGCCCCCCAACCCGGGGAGTCCCGCTTCGCCCCCACCCGCCACAGCCCCGCGGCCCTCGCCTTGCCTGGGGGGTCGCCCACACGTCCTCGACTTCGGGGGGTGCCGGGAGCCCCACTTCTCTGCCGTGAGTGTGGGGGACTCCCGCGAAAGCTCACAGCAGGGCCAGGACTCTGGGGGACGTTCGTCCCGAGTCTAGCTCCCCGCGACCCCCCAACCCGCGGGCTGCCTGCCTCCGAGCCAGCTCCAGCCTCCGAGGCGGCTCCAGGGGCGGCCTCCCCACCCCATCCCTGGGCCCCGGAGCGGGCGCCGGTGGCGGGGCCTCCTCCGACGTGCGCTCAATCCGGGTCGGACCCACGCTGCTAGCCCGCAGCCCCGCGACCCCAGGCACCTTGTTCCCGGGCGCGCCCCCCGACGCCGCTCACCTTCCAGCGCCCGGCAGCCGGCGGGCAGCAGCAGCAGCGGCAGCAGCAGCAGCGGAGGGAGCAGCGGCAGAAGCCCCGGCGGCGGCGACGGCGGCGGCGGCGGGCGGGCTCTGGCCATGGCCGTGGCAGCTCTAGGAGCCGAGCCGGGCCGCGCCGGGCCGGGCCGCGCCGGCGGGGCTGCAGGCACCCGAGAGAGGGTGCGCTCGGCGGGCTCCGGGGCAGGCTCGCGTCGGGTCCCAGGAGATCCAGGAGAGGAGGGAATGCAATCCAGGCGGGCGGCTCCGGGACCGAGGCGGTGCACCGAGCCCGGCGGTCCTGGGGATGCGGACAGGTCGGTCCCGCGGGAATCTGGACGGACCGGTCCAGGAGGATCCGGGGCGCCGGGGAGCTGGGTGCCTGAGGACTTGGGGGGCGGGCCGGGGCAGGAGGGTGCAGGTGGTCGTGATTCGGGATGCACAGTAATCTGGCGGTCAGCTGCGGGCCCGACTGGGATCCGGGGCTTCGGGGGCGCGCGCCGTCCGGGGTCCGAGCTGGGATCTTGCTGCGCCGCTCACGTACTCACTTCTGCTGTCCCCAGCGCTGGCGCGGCCGCTCTGGGCGAGAGGGGTGGGACGGCCTGCCTGCCCGTCAACGCTGAGGCCCCGCCCCTAGCGGCTGGCCACCCACTCACAGACCGCCAGGCCCGCTGGTTCGGCCTCGAGAGCACTCAGCTGGAGTTCAGTTGGCGGTGTCTCCGCCAGGCCCACCCTCGGGGTCTCAGGGGCCGGAGTGGGCGGGGCTAAGGAAAAGATGAATTAGATTGGGCGGAGCGATGCTGTCCATCAGAGGGAGAACCCCGCCTCCTGGCGCCCATTGGCGATTAGTAACCTAAACTGAGTCCGAGGAGGTGCCAACCAGCTAAGACGGACCGGGGGCGCCCCCATGTGGCCCGCGTCTGCCCTGCGACGCCCTCATGTGGCTGTAGCTTAGTGCTACTTGGGGGGACCCCCACCGCGATGTATCCTGTGACAAGGGACTTCATCGTTTCTTCATTCTTTCACTGGGCTGCGTATTTAGTCATTCATTCAGCACATCTTTGTGAGCGCCCACAATGTGTCAGACTGTAGTACCTGCGGGTGCTACCGCAATGGACAAGACAGAGGCTTGTGTTACTAGCTTAGCAGTGGAGGACGTGGGATTAAGTCATCGCTGTAGAGTGTAAGGAGCTTTATTGCAGAGGAGGAAGAGTTCCTCGAGCGTACGTGAGGGCGACGGCCAGTGTCCGGCCCTGAAGAACTGGCATTCAAGCTGAAATAGGAAGGATGAGTAGTGAGTGGCGGATTGTGTGTTCCGGGGGAGTGAGGAGGGGAGCAAATACTCTTTGTGTGAAGACCTAGGGGCAAAAGAAACTGATTCACTGGAGGAATCCGAAAGAAGTTCAGAATAGCTTGAGTGTAAGAGGGACTGAAAGGAGTTCTTAGAAGTAGGTGTTGGGGGAAGAAGGAATTTTTTTTGGACTCATGATAAGGCCTTCCTGAGAGCTAGGGTTTGAAGTAGGGGCATGACCTTGGATGATCATGGCTGCTCTGGGGAGCATGCATGGGCAGAGGCCATGGTGGCAGCAGGAGACCAGTGAGGGTGCTGTGCAGTGCGCAGGCAAGGGAAGATGGTGGCTTGGGCTAGCGTGGTGGCCCTGAGGAGGGAGAGAAGCTGGCAGGTGTGAAGTGTATGTAGGAGGTAGAGTTCACAGGAATTTGTGATTGGTTGGTGGAGAGATGTGGTAGGTGAGGACGTCAAGGAGAACAGTAGGTTTCTGGTTTGGGCAAATGGACTTCTGCCCCATTTATTCCACAAACATTTACAAAGTGCAATCAACACTCTGCAACAGTAACTCGAACTTATTGAAAGTTATTTTATACAGCCTCATTTTACAGACAAAACTGACATCCAGAAAGGCTTAGTGACTTTCTCAAGTCACATAGCTAAAAAGTGGCAGAGATGGGATTTGAACCCAGGACTTCATAGCTTTTAAATACATTTCATCAGAAACCTACAGAGGACCTAGGTACTCGTTTAAAACTCAGAATTCTAAGCCACCCTTTCCTACCTCAAATCTTGGAACTCAGAATCTCTGGGGGTTGGGGCCCAGGGTTCTGCATTTTTAACAAGCAGGTGGTTCTGATGCACCTACATTCTGAGAATCACCATCATCGTGCAGTTCTCCCATCCTAACTGGAGAAACCTCTCTCCATGGTCCCTCAGAGCCTTCCCCAGCTATCTTGATTTCTGCAGGCAGAGAGTGAGAAGTTAGATTCTGAATGACCTCAGAAGCAAGACAGGCACACTTAGTCCTCTCACCATGAAGTGCCCTAGCTCTAGTCCTGGAAGTTCCATGAAAGTGAATGAGGTCAGAAATCCAGTGGTCAAGGACATTTCTCTGAAAGAGGTCAGTCCTGCTGGTCAGAGACAGAGGCATGTGTGGGTACATGGGGCTGGGGTCCAGGACTACCATGAGTTAGAGGCCTGGCTTCCAACCCCACACCACCCTCAGCATTTCTGCCACCAAGATCTGTTCTCAAGCCCTAGGGGCTTTCAGAAACATCACTCAGGGCTCCAGACCACAGAAGGGCTCTTGGAGATCATCTTATACAACTCTCCCATTGTAGAGCCGAAAAGCCTAAGGCTCAGAGATGTGTCCCCTTGCCCTGCAGTCCCCCATGCCCCGGAGTGCTGGCTGGGGTTGGACACAGAGATATTTCAGCAGGTGTCCTGGCAGCAACACATCCCCTAAAGCCCCGCTCGTTGTAAGGCGGATCTGTGAAGCCGCACTTCTGTTTGCTCAGCATCTGTGCCAGGCGAGGCCTCACCCTGGACAAACACAGCCAGCCAGGCGGCAGGCACCAAGCTCCTTTGTTCTTGGGTCTGATAGCAGAGGCAGCAGGGCCAGCAGGTAACGGAGGGCCTGTCCTCACCGGATGTTGGCACTGTGGTTCCCACGGGAATGCTTCCTGGAGAAGACTGGGGTACTGGCTATAACAGCCCAGGGCAAGAAGGTGACCACCTGGCAAAAGAAGGACTTGGGAGGGGGCAGAAGGAAGGATGAAGACTGAAAGCTAGGCAAGATAAGGAGAGCTGGGATGCCTCATTTCTTTGGGGATAGGTGGGCAGAAGGTCCTACCCTTCCTGTTTCCAGGCTGAGGCTGAGGTCCCAAGGAACCCAGGGAGCAGGCTCTGACCTTTGATTTTGGCATAAAAGGGGAACATCCGGACCGAGGTTGACGTGTCTTTTTCTGAGCCCATCATTCTTTGCCCATCTGAGTCTAGGAGGAAACTTGATGCAGAAGTAAGAGCTTGGGCTTTGGCGTCAGAGAGACCTAAGTCCAAATCCTGGCTCAGCCATTTACCAGCTCTGGGACTTCTGATAAGAAGCTGAACCTTTCTGAGTCTAAATCTCCGCATGAATGAAAGTGGGATGGTAATCATGCCGTCCCTGCAGGGCTATTGTGATGCTCTGGCCAGGGAGCCAGGAGCACTGCAGGAGCCTGATAAATGGTCCTGTGATCATTAATACCCAGTCCTCATATCCACTCTGGAAACACTGTCTGTTTGGGGGCAACTAGAGGAATGTGTGTGGATTGAATTGGTGCTTAGCGCTCTCATGGCTATAACCAACTTCAGATTCTCTTTTTAAAAAGATGATAAAGTATCTATCCCTGGGTTCGTGGGTTCATGGGTTAGGGACAGCTGCAAAAAAGACAAAACTGGGAGGAAGAGAGCCTTGGGCAATAAGCAATGAGGGGATTGGTTTGATGAGTGCTTTGGGGGCTTCTGTAGAGGATTAGGGGGAGGCTGCAGGAGAGAGTTGATGGTGACGTGGCCAGGGTTGTAGCACAGTGGACCAAGCAATAGGGTGGGCAAAGATGTCATTTGCTGGGAAGGGAAGGGAAAGACTTGGGGAGGAGCAGGTTTTGTTGTGCGTGAAGCAGGGGTGATTGGGAGGGGGGACTGAGAGTGTCGTGCTGGACTGGCTAAGTTGGGGAGGCCTGTCAGACATCCAAATGCTCACACTGAGCAGGCAGCTGGCTTTCTCGCTGCTCCCACCCTCTCCACTGGCCCCCTTGCTTGCCCTCTAAACAGCCTCAACTCTGGTCTCTCTGTCTCTTGGAGAGTCTTTGCATTGGCTGTTCCCTCTGCTGGGACGCTCTTCCTCCATCCTCACAAGGAGGCCTCCTTCTCAGTATCTAGGTCTCAGCCTAAATGTTGCCTGCTGGCTGCCTTGATCTCCTCCCTCCTCTCCCACACCATCACTGCCTATCCCATTGCACTATTTTATTTTCCTTATACTTCTTAGGACTAGCTGGGATTATATTATTTAGTCATTTGTTCACATATATATTGTTTGTCTCTCCTTCTAGAATGGAAACTTCCTGAGAGCAGGAGCTGCTCTTGTTTATCACTGAATCTCCAGTATAAGGACCAGTGCCCTACATGAAGGAGCCTCTCAATAACAATTTAATAAATAATTAGTAGTTACAGTAAATATGTGGTGGTCTTGCTGCCATTTCCTCTTCCCAAGTGTGTGCCAGACATTGCTAATAGATCAAAGACTCTTTCCTCCACGTGATGCTCCCGACAGCCCTTGCCAATCTATCAGAGTTGGGCATGAAGTTAAATCTACCTGCCATCGCTGTGGTAGAGAAAGCTTCCATGCTCACTACCTGTGTGACCTTGTGTGAGTCTTTTAAAGCTCGTTGGGCCTCGATTCCCTCATGTGATGAATCATACAAGATGTAGGGGTAGACCTGCCACCCCTTTTATATCTGGGCCCCCAGTCTAGAGCCTGGATACCACTGTGAGGACATGCCCTATCCCCCACACAGGGGCTCGGTGCCCGTCTTTGAGTTACAACCACTCCTGGGCTTTCCTCTCCTGCTTCCCTGTTTTCTCACCAGCCCCAGAAGGCAGTGCTGAAGAGACCTTTGATATGTGGTCCAAAAAAACTCTCATTTTCAGATAAGGAAACTGAGCTAAGAAGAAACGTCAATGGAGCCAGAAACTCAGCAGAGACCACTTGTCCACACCCAACACTTCAGCAGCAGCCATCGCTGTCCCCCAGCTCTGCCGGGGCACCTCTCAACACCTCCTCTCAGTAATGGGGAGATGGGGGCTGCAGCTCCTTACACCCGGGCACATTCCCAAACCCCAGGAGGTGAGCCGCCTGGCCCCCCTCCAGGCCCCAGGCAGCTGGCGGGAGAATGATGCCCTATGGATTCCTGGCCCTCTTTCCCACTTCCGAGCTGCCCATTCCAAGGAGGTGAGAAAAGGGGCAGGCCTCTTCCTCCACCGTTGCTTTCGGAAATTGCCTCAGGGTTTTTGGGCCAGGGTGAGGCTCTTAGCTGTTCCAAAGCCAATTAATGCCCTGTTGGCAGCTTCTCACCTTCATCTTCTTCCACTCCAGTATGTATCATCCCCTCTACTCTATTGAAGCCGTTCTGCGGTCGGTACCCTCTCTGACAAGAGCTCAGTTCTGGCTTCCCTTAAGGAAGGGTGGAGGAGGAAATGGGTGAGTATTGACTAAACTTCTCTGTGATCTTAAATGAAGGTGCTTTAAACATCTCCCAGAGAGGGAACCGCTTCAGTTGCCTTTGAGCCTGCCTGCGCAGAGCCCTTGTTTGCAAACTGTCTTTTCTTGTGGAGAAGCCGTGCTTCCTTTTCTAGGAGCTATTTGGGGAAACACTAATGTCTGCAGGAACAGAAAGCCAGCTCCCTGCTCAGGAGGACAGGGAGGATCCAGAGGGATTCAAAAAGCGCTAATTAAGGGCCAATATCCATGGACATTTGGGGAAAGTTTAAAAATGGAAAAGACGTGGGCTTTCATGTTTAATTAGGAAGATGGGAACATCGGGAACTAAGGGAAATTTTTAGGAAGACAGATTTTAACTTGATACTTAATATTTCAGCCCATTTATTGAACGGTCATCATATGTCAGGTGCAGGAATGCAACTGTGAACCGCTAGATAAGGCCCCTGTCCTCAGGGAGATCACAGTCACAGGGAGAAAGGTGAGTGTCAGGCATTTCCGGACAATCACAGGGTGCCATGGGAACACAGGCACAGATGGGCTACCCAACCCATTGTGCCAAATACAACTCTGGGAGAGGGGTCAGGGAGGGTTTCCTCTGGAATAGACCCCGCACAGAGACCTGGCTGAGGCCTGGAGAATAGGAGGACTTGGGCAGGAGAGGATGACGGAGAAGGCCGAGCGGCAGGGGTCTCAGCCCTAAACACGCACGGAATCACCTGGGGAGGTTTTTAGGAAGAAGGACGCCACCCGCAGAGATACTGGTCTGCAGTAGGCCCTGGGCAGGGGTGCGTTTCCAAAGCCCCCAAGGTGGTTCTGACTCTGGGGGGAAGGGGAAGGGAAGTCTCGAGAACCACTGCATCATGAGGTACGTGTTGGAGACAGGGACAGTCAGGTGGGCTTAGCAGCGGCCACAGCGCACAGGGCTTTATTAGCTGTGTTAGGAGTTTCCAGTTCAGCCCAAGAGAGACACGAACTCCTCGATGGGTTTTAAGATTTCAAGCAGAGGCCTCAGTCAGTCACAATGCTTTATAAAACAAAACCTTTTAGGAAAATCTCAGTTACCTCTTTCTTCTCCCTCCCTCTCCCACTACTGATGCAGAAGATCCCTGGAGAGAGGTTCACTCAGGGCCACCAGGGCCAACTGGACCTTCAAGGTCTCCTGGTTCATCTCCTTCCCAAAGGAGGCCTCCTCGGGGCTTCTCCTTTCCTCTGCAGAGCTAAGGCCTTTGCCAGGCCCTGCCCTGTGTCTCTGGGCAGCACGGGTCCTTTGCACCTGCTTCCAGTGGGGAATGGCCATCTGAATGTTGGGCCCCTTCTCCCCTTTTGTCCCCCCTCTGCCCAGGTCCTAGGTCTGGCCAGGTTCCCCCTGGGTTTCTTTTTTTTTTCTTTTTTGAGATGGAGTTTTGCTCTTGTCGCCCAGGCTGGAGTGCAGTGGCGCAATCTTGGCTCACTGCAACCTCTGCCTCCTGGATTCAAGTGATTCTCCTGCTTCTGCCTCCTGAGTAGCTGGGACTACAGTGGCACCCACCACCACGCCTGGCTAATTTTTGTATTTTTAGTAGAAATGGGTCTTCACTATGTTGGCCAGGCTGGTCTCAAACTCCTGACCTCAAGTGATCCCCCCGCCTCGGCCCCGCAAAGTGCTGGGATTACAGGCTTGAACAACCACACCTGGCCGCCCCCTGGGTTTCTTTCCCAGAACAGCCAGAAGTGGCTGGCACATGACCTGGCCCAGCGCGCAGTACAAATGAGGCAATTCCTTTACCCTGGTTTCTGAAGCTGCCCCTCCTGGGCCAGGCCTAACAGCCTCTTCCTTCAGAATGCCTTTTGTCGGGCCTGTCTGGGTCCCTCCTGCTACACACAGAATCTTCGCTGCACCTCCTGCCACCAGCTGGAAGGAGAACAGCACAGTGAAAGGAAGAAGGCCTTAGAGAGGGATTTGGGTTCGAGTCCTTGACCCCATTTCCCATTAGCTTTGTGAACTCCAGCAAGTCACCTATCTCTCTCATTCTCAGTTTCCTCATTTGTAAAATAATGGCACCAACCTCACTGGACAACTGCGAAGAATGAGTGAGAGAAACATGTAGAAGCCTGAATGGAGTACCTAGCACATAGTAGGTCTTCAGGCAATGGTAGCACAATTTACTATCATTCATTACTGTTAATTATTGTTACTCGTGCTGGGTGCTTTGCCAATGATAGGATTTCTTTGAGCTTATGTTCCCTTTTGTAAAATACGATGGGCCAACCAGCTTGTAGGGCTGATGTGAATTCCAGCACGTAGGCAGTTTCAGAGACTTTTAAAGACATTTTATTAGATCTGGAGGCTACTTATGGGCCAAGAAAATGCTGAATATCCAACAGACCCAGCAGCCGTTCCGACCTGCGCTTAGTTTTTATTTTTATTTTTTGAGACTGAGTCTTGCTCTGTCACCCAGGCTGGAGTGCAGTGGTGTGATCTCAGATCACTGCAACCTCAGTTTCAAGCGATTCTTGTGCCTCAGCCTCCCAGGTAGCTGGGATTACAGGCACCCGGCACCAGGCCCAGATCATTTTTGTATTTTCAGTAGAGAGGGGGTTTCACCATGTTGGCCAGGCTGGTCTCCAACTCCTGACCTCAAGTGATCCTCCGCCTCAGCCCCTCAAAGTGCTGTGATTACAGGTCTGAGCTGCTGACCCAGCCCAACCTGTGCTTTGGTTGCAGAGGTTTACACCACTGCCTGACTGGCAGATTGACAAAGAAGTCTTCTAAATGCATGAGGGTGAAGCCTGGGAACTGCTGTAACAGGCCCCATCGTCTGCCATGCAGCGCCATAGGAGCAAAGCCCTAGATCCATATAGTATCTGAATGGTCTAGGACTAGATCTCCCCAGGGACAGACGCTCGTAAGTGATCATGACTCTAGAGTCGAAGCTCTGCTCTGTGCATCTCTTTCCTCCTTTCCTTCATTCACTGAGCAGGGGTTAAACAAGGGAAAGCATCTATTCAGTGGGATTTCACCAGAGGACCTGGGAATGGCCAAATCTTGGCCTCCAGTGATCCCTCTTTCCGTAAACTTCCCAAGGCTGTGAGGGTAAAAATAAACGAGAAACCAAAGCGCCCCTTTGTTACAAGTTTGAGTGACTGTGTGATTCCCCAAGGCAGGCTGCTTTTGGCACAGGGTGGGCCATGTGCTTCAGCCTCACAGCCCAGATTGGGTCTTACCAAGGACTGCAGCCCAAATGAGGATCCCTGCCAAGTGCCCAGGCACTCTGTGGGAAGACAAGAGAGAGAAGATGCCAGCTTGCAAGAGAGCCCAGTCTGTCTTCCTAACCCAGTGGGCCTGATGAAGGAAGCTGAAGAAGGACCACAGAAATGTGGGTCAGTTTCATACACTGATTGTGATTCTGTCCCTGTCTACGCCTTGGAAACTCACAGTCAATCCACATCCCTGGAAAAGGTGGGGCACAGGAAGAGAGTGAGAGGGGGAGTTTCTACACCTCCTACAGGGATACAACAGTGAGCATGGTGGGCATGGTCCCTGTTTTCAGGGAGCTTACAGTCCAGCAGGGGCGATCGTCACGGACATGATTTTGTTATTGCAAGGTAAGAAGTCCTGTCCTGGAAAAGTGTGGGAGCCTATGAAAACATTCTTGGGAGGCCAGGCAAGGCTGTGCCGAGGAACGGCTGTGGATGCTAAAATGTTAAGAATGACTTACCCTGGCCGGGCGTGGTGGCTCATGCCTGTAATCCCAGCCCTTTGGGAGGCTGAGGCGGACGGATCACCTGAGGTCGAGACCAGCCTGGCCAATATGGTGAAACCCCGTCTCTACTAAAAATAAAAAATTAGCTGGGCTTGGTGGTGGGCACCTGTAATCCCAGATGCTTGGGAGGCTGAGGCAGAAGAATCGCTTGAACTAGGCAGGCGAAGGTTACAGTGAGCTGAGATTGAGCCATTGTACTCCAGCCTGAGTGACAATAGTGAAACTCATCTAAAAAAAAAAAAAAACAATGACTTACCTGGGTAAGGCAAAGTTGGGGGAGTAGACAGGGAAGGAAGAGGCAGACAGAATCAGACTCATGCAAGGAAAGAATGAGCTACTGATGCTTTCTCACTTGAGAAGGCTTCCCTGCCCCTAAATGCCATGATGCCCAGGCTCCGTCCTCAGGCCTTTGCCAGCCTCATACTATACCACGCCATTGGGGGAATACCAGCTCCACCTATGGCTCTCTCCCATGCTCCACACCCCACGGACCCACTGAACACTGGGCGTTTCCACTTGGGTGTCCTGCAGGCACCTCAAATCCAACATTTCCAAAATGAAACTCCTCTCTCTCCCACCTCCACTGCCACCGCTTCCTCCTCCTGGGCTTTGCACCTCAGTGAAGGACAGTTCCATCCACCCACTGCCCAAACCAGAAGCCTGAGGCCAATGTAGACCCCACTCCTTCCTCCCTTCCCAGTCCTGTGAGTTCTCAATCGTGACAGATTTCTTCTCACACTCTCTGGCATCTACTGATTCATGTCCTCCTGTCATCGTATCTACTGTCTTGGGACAGGCTAGTCCTTTCCTCTCTTGCCTGTTTGACTGTAGTGACCTTCTAACAGGTCCCCAAACTCTTAACCACTGTGTTATTTTGTTAAATTACGATTTGTGATCAAATGAGGTGTCCCCACCAGGCACCCATCGTGATTGGGTGGGGAGCAAACACAGTGATTAAGATGTGGTACTGCAGTCAAGCTAGTTGGGCTGAAGTCCTGTCACTCACTGTCACTGTGATGTTGACAAGTCCTGCCCCCTCCCTAAGCCTGTCTCCTCACCTGGAAAATGGAGCTAGTGGTGCCTGAGAGCTGCTGGTTTTGTCTGTCCAAAATATACTTCCCTCCTTCTCACCCTTCCTTTGAGTTAGTGGCCCCTCCTCAGCTCCGCATGGTGGGGTGGTCAATCACAGAACCTGATCCCTGATCCCAGGGGCAGGTACCGGCCCGCGTTAGTCCTGGGAACTGGACTTCCGGGGCAGTCACAGGGACTGAAGGGGGTTGGTCCTGGGTCGGCAGAGCAGCAGGCTTTGGTCCTGCCCCAGTCTATCCCGAAAGCGGCTGTTCGTCTTTTCCTTCAACTGTCCCGTGTCCTTCCAACACTTTCTCTCTCTGCCTCCCTTTATCTCCTCAGTCTCTCCTCTTCTCTTTCCCTCCCACCCTTTCTCTCTTTCTGTGCTTAATTTAGGGCCTGTTTCTGATTCTAAAGCCTAAAATCCACATAACAGCACTGTTGGCAGGAGGCAGTGGGGCAGTGCCCAGGGAGTCTGGTTCCCAGAATGTTAGCTACTGCTGTGAGGGCCACCACCCAGTCATCCCAGAGCCAGCCTGATGGGAGAGGGCCCTCTGTGGGGCCGCTTAGCGGACCACGGACCCCCAGCAGATGAGCAGGGGTTGGCTGCTGACTCCTGGTCCTGCACGGGACCTGGCCTCTGGGTGTCCCCAGTGAGGGTCCATTTGCTGCTGCCTCATGCTCAGAGCCTGCAGATCAACCGCTCGCGGTCCTTTCTGAGGCAGTGGTCTTTGTAAACCTGCCCAGCCCAAGCTCCTCAGCCTGTGGTTGTTGGAGATTTCAGTTGTTCCTCTCACGGGAGCCCTCCAGGTCTCCAGGTCAGAATGTGTCCTCCTAGAGGCCCCTCAAGCTCCAGTGATTTTCTCCTGGATGTCTGTTGTTTTTTCCTCTTCAGGGCCACCTCAATTGCCCCACTTTGGGGAACTGCTGTACCCTCACTCCAATCATGGCATTCTAGTGGACTCTCTAGTCACTGTACCCCACCCTGTGGCCACACGGGTAATCAAGGGATGGGGGAAGAGACCGTGGAGCTGCCTTCATTTCCAGAGCTGCAATGTTGCCAGTTGGATTGCTGGTGACCATCTTCCCTAACATGGAGAACATTCATCTACAGTAACAGAAAAGAAAAGAAACAGAGAAGAATTCAGGGACAAAAAGAGATGAGACAATATCATCTGAATTCCTCCATCCAGTCTGCTTCTGGGCCCAACCACCTCCAGGTGAAAGACTGACTCCGTTCTTTATTTCACAAGCTTTTACTGAGCTCCCAGTGCAGGAAGGAGAATGCAGAAGAGTAAGGTAGTGTCACTGTCCTTGGGGGAGTGATTGTGCTGTGACAGACATATGTACATGTGCATGGATGCAGATACACATATGCACACACTCATGGGGGTAACACATGGGGCACAAAAGCAAAAGTGTGCAACTCTCATCTGGGCAAACATCTGGGAGGCGGTGGCTCCACAAAGACTTCATGGAGTTGGTGGCCCCAGAGGAGTCTTGAAGCTCCATTGGCAAGAGCAATCCTCAATGGGCCTGCCCTTCCAAGTAAGAGCCTAGGTTTCCAAAGCTGCTTAGTTGGAAATCCTTTGTGGACCTGTTGCTAAGAATAAGCCCTTGTCACATGAGCACACTGCTGAGCTGAAGGCCTTCTCTCAGAGGTGGCACAATACTGGAAGGGAACCATCGAATGCGGATGCCCTGAGCTGTCACCCCCACAGATTCCCATTGTGTCCCATCATTTCCTCCGGAAGTTTCAATGTTGGAAGGCCGACCTGACCTACCTCTTCAGGTTGAACAAATGGCCCAATTATCTGTGTACGATCTCAGATTGTCTTGAGCTGAATGGATGGGAATGGGGGGGCGGCTGTCTTGAAAAGAAAATGCCAGAGGGAGTCCAGCCATCCGCAAGCTGTTAGCTGGAGCCGATTGCCCACAAAGGATCCCTTTGTTATTCCAGGAGGTGTTGTCACAAGAGCTTGGCCACAGCTCTCGAAGCACATCCAGGAACAGTTCTAGTGAGAGCGTTGGCAGGGAGCTCTGTCTGGTGGCCTGGAACAGATTCTAATCTTGAGGAGACTGGGAGGGGTAACACCCGCCAACCTGCTTAGCACCACCTGCCCGGGAGCTGGCCGTCCCATGGGCAGTGACCAGGGAGCATGGCCAGCACTCCGCAGTGATGGGGCCAGAGCTTCTCAAGGAAAGGGCTTGTGAGTTTCTGGCTAGCTTCTTCTCTGAAAGCTTCCAGGGGCTCCTGCTTCCATCTTAAACAACTGTGGGACAATAGCAGAAACAATGGCAAGTGTTCCCCTGTGGTTTGTATAACAGGCTCTCCATCATTCAGTCTTCCCCACGTTGGCCACAGCAGAGTATCTGTGGATAGGAAATTGATGTGAATTCCCACCCTCCTACAGTAGGTGGCCATATAAATTATCTTTCAAGCCTGAACACCTTGAAGAGTCAAAGGTGGTGCTATTAATAATTACACTGGGACAACTGGCCTGAATTGGGACCACCTTGGGCAAATCTAGGAGTTTGGGCTCCCTACTTAGTCCTTTAAACAAAAGGTCAAGACGAAAGGATGATGCCTTGAGGCAGATTGTTGGTGGAGATGGCCAAGAAACCTTTCCAAAGGCCTCTTTTGCTTCATGTCTTTCACTCCATGTTTTGCAACAGGATGTTCTGAATCAATATTGGCTCAGCTTTGCCTCAGTGACCTCCATCCAGGCTTTGCCGAGGATGTCACAGCCAAGAACATGGTCTAGCTGTAGTTCTCTGTGCAACTATTCTCCCAAAAGGTTGTTAGGGACTGTATAAAGAATATAGGCTTGTGGCTGGGTGCAGTGGCTCATGCCTGTAATCCCAGCACTTTGGGAGGCCGAGGCAGACGGATCACCTGAGATCAGGAGTTTGAGACCGGCCTGGCCAACATGGTGAAATCCCATCTCTACTAAAAAAAAAAAAATACAAAAATTAGCAGGGCATGGTGGCGGGCACCTGTAATCCCAGCTACTCTGGAGGCTGAGGCAGGAGAATTGTTTGAACCCAGGAGACAGAGGTTGCAGTGAGCCGAGACCGTACCACTGCACTCCAGCCTGGGAGACAGAGCAAGACTCTGTCTCAAAAAAAAAAAAAAAAAAGAATGTAGGCTTGTACATGTGAAATGTGGCTATACTAAGTGTGAGTGAGGGCACAGAGCAACAGAAACTGGCACACGCTGGCATGAGGGTAACCTGCATGACAGACGGGAAAAGCACCATACCCTCAGCCCAGTAACCACCCCGGGTGTACACCCTTGGGAAAGTCTCACACATGTGCAGGATATCAGAACAAAAATCGTTGTAGCAGCATTATCTATAACAGTAAAAAACGGGAAGCAAGGCCGGACGCGGTGGCTCATGCCTGTAATCCCAGCACTTTGGGAGGCCGAGGCGGGCGGATCACGAGGTCAGGAGATCGAGACCATCCTGGCCAACACGGTGAAACCCCGTCTCTACTGAAAATACAAAAAATTAGCCGGACGCGGTGGCGGGCGCCTGTAGTCCCAGCTACTTGGGAGGCTGAGGCAGGAGAATGGCGTGAACCCCAGAGGCGGAGCTTGCAGTGAGCCGAGATTGCACCACTGCACCCCAGCCTGGGAGAGAGCAAGACTCTGTCTCAAAAAAAAAAAACGGGAAACAACCTGAAACTTCATCAGCAGAGTCATGGATTTTGAAAAGCAGTAACAATACACAAATTAGAGATATATGTATTCACATGGATAAACGTCACAGACAATTTTAAGAGACAAAAACAAGATGCAGGAGGAGGATTTCTTTCCCATGATGCTGTCTCTACAAGGCTGAAAAACATGCCATCAGATGCAACGTACTGGGTATGGAATCTTGCATGTATGGCAAAGGTATATAGACATAGATGAAAATGATCAACACAAATTCAGGACAGTGGTTGGAGGGGAGAGAGGTGAAGAGGATCAGGGGGGAATACAGACAGCTATACTCTAATAATTTCCTTTTCCTTTTTTCTTTTTTTTTTTTTTTGAGATGGAGTTTTGTTCTTGTTGCCCAGGCTGGAGTGCAATGGCGCAATCTCGGCTCACTGCAACCTTCACCTCCCAGGTTCAAGCGATTCTCTTGCCTCAGCCTCCCCAGTAGCTGGGATTACAGGCATGCACCACCACGCCTAGCTAATTTTTTGTATTTTTAGTAGAGACAGGGTTTCATCATGGCCGGCTGGTCTTGAACTCCTGACCTCAGGTGATCCGCCCACCTTGGCCTCCCAGAGTGCTGGGATTACAGGCATGAGCCACAGTGCCCGGCCAATAGTTTCCTTTTTCACTTGGGCAGTGGATATGCAAGACTCATTCCAGGCTTTTGTATGAGCTAGGTCTGCATTCTAGTTCCAGTCCAGTCCTTCATTTCACATGGCCTTAGATAGACTATGTAACCGTTTCCTTCTCTGTAATGGGGGTACTCAGTTCCCATTTCATAGGGTGGCTGTAAAAATCCTTTCATGTTTTGTAAGGATTTATTTTGTTGCCTACATAAAGGTGTGATCTTGGCTCCTTCTGCAATAAACCCTGACAGCAGGTGCTCCGCAAAGGAAGACGACTGAGCGGGTGCCACAGCTGTACTGGTGGCCTGGTGTACTGGGGTGCAGCTAGGCCTGGTGTGACGTGACCATTTGCAAAGACACCCCCAGCCCCGCCCTGGTGTTTTATGGCCAGGTGCACTGCTCAAACTATTTCTCCTTGTTTCCCTTTCTCTCACTCCCTCCTTCTTTTTTCTCCTGCTCATTCACAGGACTAGAGAGGCAGATCCATGGCCACCAAGCTGTTAAGCGGCAAAACTGGGGATTCGAATCCTGGTGTCTCAGAGATGAAGCACTTCCCAACTAAGCCAGGGGCCCATGACTGTAGTCACCTAACTACCTGGGAATCTTTAAGAAACACCAAAGCCGCCGGGCGCGGTGGCTCACGCCTGTAATCCCAGCACTTTGGGAGGCCAAGGCAGGCAGATCACGAGGTCAGGAGATCGAGACCATGCTGGCTAACACGGTGAAACCCGTCTCTACTAAAAATACAAAAAATTAGCCAGGCGTGGTGGCGGGCGCCTGTAGTCTCAGCTACTCAGGAGGCTGAGGCAGGAGAATGGCGTGAACCCAGGAGGCGGACGGAGCTTGCTGTGAGCCGAGATTGTGCCACTGCACTCCAGCCTGGGGAACAGAGCGAGACTCTGTCTCAAAACAAAAAACAAACAAACAAACAACAACAACAACAAAAAACAAAGAAAAAAGAAACCCCAAAGCCTGGGCCCTGCCCTCACAATCTCTGGATACTCTGACCCCGTGGGTGTGGGAGTTTTCAGACCTCCCTGGGTAATGCTGATGCCCAGCCAGGGCTGAGCTCTCCTACACTCCAGTTCCTGCATGCTCTGCCCTTTGCAATACCCCGTTGTCCTCGTGGCGCTCCTGCTATGAATGAGCCAGCTCCCTCTAGTCTGTGAACTTCCTGACAGCAGAGTTCACGTTTTTCATCTTTATGTCCCCAACATGCAGCACAATCTCTGGCACACTTTTGGAAGAGTGCTTAGAACTCTGCAAGAGAGAGGAACTGAGACTGAGATGAGGAAGTTTCGGGGAGGCAGACAGACTTGGCCTGCCCAATACATGAAGTGTTGACCGAAAGGAAGGGCTGCCCACCATGTATTGAGCTCCCCACTGGAAGAAGTAATCAAGAAGAAGCAGAAGCTGATGCTTCCTAAGGGACTACTGCCTATGTTCAGATTCTATTTGTTTCTCTCCACCATCACCAAAGTGAGCATTTCCACCTCACAGTTCTTATTCCTAGAGGCACAGAGTCTCCTACAGGAAAGCAACAGGGAAATCTACTTCAGCCTCCAGCCAACCCTGTGCAGAAATCCCCTCAGCTGCAGCTCCATCCTCTCTGTAGTGGGGACCTTATTCCACATCGCGAAGTCAGCTTGGACAGCTCTGATGACTAGAAAATTCCTCCTTTCTTGGGTCAAGGTTCATGCTCTGCAACTCCTGTCATTTGGCCCTGGTTCTGCCCTCTGGAGTGGCATCATTCCTTCATCCCACTCATAGGGTTGCATAGGCTGCAGAAAGGACTTTGGATTTTATGTCAAGTGAAATGGGGGCCACATGAAGTATCATTAAACCAGGGGGCAGGGATGGCAACGTGATTTGATTTCTGATTTCAAAAGAACACTGTGGGCCAGGTGCGGTGGCTCCTACCTGTAATCCCAGCACTTTGAGAGGCTGAGGCGGGTGGATCACCTGAGGTCAGGTGTTCGAGACCAGCTTGGCCAACATGGTGAAACACCGTCTCTACTAAATACAAAAAATTATCTGGGTGTGGTGGCGGGCACCTGTAATCCCAGCTACTTGGGAGGCTGAGGCAGGAGAATCGCTTGAACCCAGGAGGCGGGGGTTGCAGTGAGCTGAGATTGCACCATTGCACTTCAGCCTGGGCAACAAGAGCAAGACTCTGTCTCAAAAAAGGAAAAAGAAAAGAAAAGAAACCCACTGTGTTACTGTGTGGAATCTGGATTACAGGGGAGTAACAGGAGAACCCAGCCGATGGGTTGGGAAGCTCCTGGAATCATTCAAACAAGAGATGATGGTAGCTTGGGCAGTGGTGCTAGCAGGGAAGATGGATTTGGGATGTGTTTTGGGTACAGAGCCAGCAAGACTTGCTGATGGATTGGATGTGCATATGCTAGTATTTGCCTAGTATAAGAGAATCTTGGCCTTATGTGTCATCTTTATTAACAAGAAATAGCTAAATTTAAAATATTCGTATTTTCGTATGCAGAGGATGGATAATTTAATCTATTCATGATTACTGAGATCGCTTTTGTTTTGATTTCTATCTCTGCGTTGTTGTTGCTTTTCTGGTTGTTATCTTTATTCTCATTCCTGATTTTCTAGATTTATTGTCTTGTTTCTTATCTCTTCCCCTATTTTCTTTTCCCCTTTTAAACAAGTTACTTGTAACATATCTGACATACAAGCATTCATGTCTTTCTTCCCTTTCTACATGGATAATAAGGGAATCTGTGGAGGCATTTCTGCCTGAAAAGAAGAGAAAGCAGAGGAGGAGGAGGAAGGGGAGAGGAGGAGGAGGGGGAGGAGGAAGAGAAGCAGAGGAGGAGGAGGAAGGGGAGAGGAGGAGGAGGGGGGAGGAGGAGGAGAGGGAGGAGGGGGGAACAGGAGGAGTAGGAGGAAGAGGAGTAGGAGGGGGAGGAGCAGGAGGGGGAGAAGGAGGAGGAGAAGGAGGAGGAGGGGGAGGAGGAGGAGTAGGAGGGGGAGGAGGAGGAGGGGGAGAAGGAGGAGGAGGGGAGGAGGAGTAGGAGGGGGAGGAGGAGGAGTAGGAGGGGGAGGAGTAGGAGGGGGAGAAGGAGGAGGAGGAGGGGGAGGAGGGGGAGGAGGAGGAGGGGGAGGAGGAGGAGGAGGGGGAGGAGGAAGAGGAGGAGGAGATGCTTCCTAAGGGGTCGCTGCCTATATTCAGGTTCCATTGGTTTCTCTCCACCATCACTGAAATGGGCATTTCCACCTCACAGTTCTTATTGCTAGAGGTACAGGAATAACTGTACCTCCGGACTCCCAACATCAGTCTCCTCCCCAGCCTGACCCCAGCCTCACCCTCACACAGCCTCAGCTCCCACTGAGCCCCACTCTCTGCAAGGCGGAGGGCTGACCAAAAGCGAAGAAGGCCAGGCGGTTGGATTCTCAGGGCCGGCTTACCTGTCAAGGACAAGCGGAACCTCAAACCTAGAGAAGTTCAGAGAAAATCCACCAGAGGGCACTGCAGCACTGCCCTGGAAAGAACATCCCGCGACCGCTTTTTCCCAATTAGCAAAGCACTACCGTATTGAGCACCCGTTAGCACAAAGCCCTGGGCGAGAGGCTGAGATGCAAAGATCAGGGCACAGGTGCTGCCCACTGCCACGTCGCGGGGGTGGGGGGGTGCTCAGAGCCCCTGGAGAGGGGTGAGAAGGTGGCACCCAGGCAGGGTGCCCTGCTTCTGGGGACTTTAATTATAGGACACACGCATACGTACAACCACACAACACATACATACACCAAGTAGACAACACACATATGAGCAACACCCACACTCACACCACACAAACAACACACACACACACACATACACACACCACACAAGCCACATACACACACCCTGCAGCCCTGGGCACCTGTGAGGGGCCAGCTGTGGGCAGACCCTGGGCCACAGAGGAGGTAGGGTAGAGACTCTGAGGAGAATGTGGAGCAGAGCATCGGTGAGTTTATAGCTTGAGAAAACAACCCCCATGGCCCCCAGACAATCCACACATCATTAGAGTTGCTGTAAAATAGCCCTATTAAAACGCACACATGTTAACCACATGCTACCCAAGGGTTATATGAACTCATCGATACCCACTCGCACATTAGCACAGATTTGCTGGGCGCTGAGGTTGGGGTGGGGAATCTTTTGCCAGAGGGTCACAGGGGAGGAGAATGCTAGCCAGCGTTTAAGGAGTGCTGATTGGGTGCAGACACTGTGCTGGTGGGGAGGGGTGCTTTCCTTCTCTTAATGCTCACAGACCACTGTGCTGTGGGCTAAAATATTATCCCCATTTGGGGCTGGGCATGGTGGCTCATGCCTGTAATACCAGCACTTTGGGAGGCCAAGGTGGGCAGATCACGAGGTCAGGAGTTCAAGACCAGCCTGACCAACGTGGTGAAACCCCGTTTCTACCAAAAATACAAAAATTAGCCAGGTGTGGTGGTGCGCGCCTGTAATTGCAGTTTCTTGGGAGGCTGAGGCAGGAGAATCGCTTGAACCTGGGAGGCGGAGGTTACAGTGAGCTGAGATCACATCACTACACTCCAGCCTGGGTGACAGAGTGAGACTCCATCTCCAAAAAAAAAAAAAAAAAAAAAAAAATTATCCCCATTTTACAGAGGAGGACACCAAGGCTCAGAGAAGTGAAGTGGCTTGCCCAGGATCACATAGCTAGTAGGTGGAGGAGCTGGGATTCTAACTCTGCCCCGAAGGAACTCACAGTTAGTTGGGGCAATGTATACAGAAAAAGACCCTAAACGACACAAGAGCATCTAACAAAGAGCAACTTCATTTTCTTTCTTCCTCCCCTTTCTTTCTCTTCTCCCTTTCTTTCCCTCCCTCCCTCCTTCCCTTCCTTCCTTCCTTCTTTCCTTCCTTCCTTCCCTTCTCTCTCTCCCCTCTCTGTCTCTCTCTCTCCCCCCTCCCCCCTTCTCCCATCTGTTTCTCTCTCTTTCTACCTCTCTCTCTCTCCCCTTGCCCTGTCTGTCTGTCTCTCTCGTCTGTCTCTCTCTCTCTCCCCGCCCCCCCCCCCCCCACCTCTGTCTCTCTCCCTCTCTCTCTCTTTCTCTCCTTCCAGGACTTAACATGCCCCATTTGCATTCACAAGAGCTTCCCCTGAGAAGGAAGTGGCAGCCCCTGCTCAGGCTGCCCTACCCTAATGACTCCAGGTAGCCTTGTGTCATCTACAGATGCAGCCTGTCGCCTGAAACCTCTGGCCCAGCAGATATTATGGTGCTGAAAGATCAATGGCGGGGAAAGACGCCTGTGGCGATTGTGCAGGCTCGGGTGGGAGACTCACAGCGAGCCCTCTGAGATCTCTAGCAAGGCCATGCCAGCTGCAGCGAGGACTACATGCCAAAAAATAAATTAAATAAAATAAGAAACTGCCACGGAGGACCAAGTGACTGTGCAACCAGAACTGCCCATTGTGAGCTGGGTCTCGTCGGTCCCATTGTGAGCTGGGTCTCGTCGTCCTCCCAAGCTGTAAGGCCAAGCAGGCTCAGCAGCAGCCCGTTGTAAGATGGAGGTGCGTCCTCCAGGATTGAAGTGAGTGGACAGCAAGCCGCAGGGCCCCCACCCCAGCTCATGCCCATGATTCTATGGGTTCCTGTCCAACCAGCCAAAGCGGGGAGGAAAAGCCTGAACTTGGGGTACAGATGGGTCAGCTCCACATGTATGTGCAAACTAAAAATGATGGCAGCCTCACTCAGGGGTGGATTGGAAAAAATTATTGGAAATCATTTTGGAATTTTCCAATAGTTTTGGAATTATTTTGGAATAATTTTCCAATAATTTTGGAAACTATTTCTCCAAAATTATTGGAGAAAATCCTCCAATAAATAGGCGGAGTTTCAGATGGTGCAGCTAATCATCCCCTTTGTGTGGAAAGAGAAGGGTCCCAAAGTTAAGATATGTACAACTCATGGGTAGTGGCTGATGGCTCAGCTGAGTGGTTGGAGGCTGGGACCTGAAGGAAAAAGGCTGGAAGATGAGGAGCAGCAGGTCTGGGCTGGAGGATGTGTCTGGACATTTGGGAGTGGGCCCAAGTGTGAAGGTCTTTGTAGCGCATGTTCACAGCTGCCAGAGAGCATCCACTGCGGACAGGCACTGAACAACCAACTAGACAAAATGACCTGGTCAACCTCCATCAGCCTTCCTTTGCCATTGGACAGCCCATTGCCGGCATGATGGGCACAGTGGCCACGGTGCAGAGATGGAGGCTACTCGAGACCCAGCAGCTTGATTCCTCCTCACCAAGCCCCATCTAGGTGGATCTAGATACTTCCCTTAAATTCCAACCTGCTCGGATGCCAGTGAAGACAGGGCGCCTTGTAAGAGTCACCAGCAGGGGGCGGTGGCAGAACAGGTACAACCTTTGGCAGCAAAGGACTCACCTGTGGAGAAACTCCAGCGGAGGGAGGACGCATGTTTCCCTTTTCCTTGTTACAGAGTAGAGCCATGGAAACTTCAGGAACTGGGGAGAATCCCAGTTCTACCCAGGGTGGGCCAAGTAAAGAAGGCTCTTGATACGTTCAAGAGTAGGTTAAAAAGCTTGACTAATGCTGAACTGAGGGGCTAGAGGAAAAGGTGATTTCTATTTTCTTTTTTATTTAAAAACCCATTATATTGTATTAGAGTTTTAAGGTCTTTCTTTCTTTCTCTTTCTTCTTTCTTTCTTTCTTTCTCTCTCTCTTTCTCTTTCTTTCTTCTTTCTTTCTTTCTTTTTCTTTCTTTCCTTTTAGACGGAGTTTTGCTCTTTTTGCCCAGGCTGGAGTGCAATGGCGCAATCTCGGCTCACTGCAACCTCTACCTCCCTGGTTCAAGCAATTCTCCTGCCTCAGCCTCCCAAGTAGCTGAGATTACCGGCGCCTGCCACCATGCCCAGCTAATTTTGTAGTTTTAGTGAGACAGGGTTTCACCATGTTGGCCAGGCTGGTCTCGAACTCCTGACCTCAGGTGATCCACCTGCCTCGGCCTCCCAAAGTGCTGGGATTACAGGTGTGAGTCACCGCGCCTGGCCAGGGTTTCAAGGTTTTCAAAGCACCCTCAGGTAGTTTTTTTGTTTTTTTGTTTTTTTTTTTTTTTTGTAGTGAAGCTGCAAAACAATCTTGAGAAGTGGATATTATCATCCTCAAGAAAATACAGGCTCAGACACGTTAGCCAACTTGTTTCAGGTCACAGCTGGACAGAGAGGCTGGACCTGAACCCGGGCCCTTCCAAGTCAAATGACTTGGATTCAGACTCAATTTTGCCACCGCTGGATTTTTGGTCCTAAGAGAGAGCCTCGGCTTTCTCTGGACCTTGGTTTCCCTCCCACTGAGGGAGAACAGCAACCTTAGTCATCAGTCCTTAAGCTTTGGCCTTACCACACCTGTGCAACCGGTGGGGGCGCTGGAGCCTGCTGGTACCAGGCTGCCCCAGAGCCCCTTGTTGAACGTTCACAGCACCCCACTGCGTGCAGGCCAAGGTGGAAAATGGTTGACATACTTTTGAACCAAGAAATAGATGTATCGTGTACAAAATTTAAAAAAACAAATGTCCCTCCCTGTCTTGCCCGTGGTAAGCCTTTCCCCTCCCAGGAGGCCACTGCTGTTACCAGTTGTCTTGTGTGATCCGTGTTCATATCAAACAGCGAGCTCTGCTGGGCCAGGCGGTTCCCCTGCGGCCACAGGCGTCCCAGGATGTGCCAGGTTCAGGTTCAGCTGCCATGAAGCACTTCTCTATGGTAGGCTCTTACACCGATATTGCCACTATTTTTTTTTTTCTCTTTTGAGACAGAGATTCGCTCTTGTTGCCCAGGCTGGAGTGCAATGGCACAATCTTGGCTCACCGCAAACTCCGCCTCCCAGGTTCGAGCGATTCTCCTGCCTCAGCCTCCTGAGTAGCTGGGATTACAGGCATGCGCCACCACACCCAGCTAATTTTGTATTTTTAGTAGAGACGGGGTTTCTCCATGTTGGTCAGGCTGGTTTCGAACTCCCGACCTCAGGTGATCCACCCACCTCGGCCTCCCAAAGTGCCGGGATTACAGGCGTGAGCCACCTCGCCTGGCCCTGCCTCTTTTAATTCTAAACAAAAACACAAAACCTGTAAGGTAGCATTAAGACTCCTAGTTTGGCTAAAGTCACCCAATAAGACAATGATTCCACCTGGGCCCAGCTCTAGGTCCTGTAACGCCTTTGCCTGAACCACTGCTCCAAAGCCACCTGCAAAATCAGCCTATGCATGCCCCCACATCTCCCACCCACAAGCAGCAGCGGCACTGCTGGAGCCACCACAGCTCTTGAGTTTGCCAGTTGTTAGTTCTCGTTATGTGCTGCGTGTGTGCATGTGCTGTGTGTGTGTGTGAGCCAGCGTGCACCTGCACGTCTTTCTATGGAGACTGTGAGCTCCCTGAGGGAGGCAGCCTGTGATGCCTGCTGCCAACCTCCCTGCGCCAAGAGCTAAGGTGCCAATGACTCCTCAGTGACAAGTGGAGGGAGGCTCGTGTGGCTGGAACCAAGGCCCCCTTCCACAGCACCTCCACCTCACGGCACACTCTGGCCCTGTTTTTCCTGGAATCTCCTCCCCTGCCCCAGAGTAGGCTGCCACAATCCAGGTGGGGACACCAGAGAACATGGGGCCCCAAATGTAGGGCGTTATCCTAAAGCCAAGCTCTCATCCAGTGTCTGGCTGTTCTCAGCTCCACCAAGTACACACAGGAGCACTGGAAAGACACCACAGCTCCTTATCCCCGGAGCCTGCCTGCACCTGTGACTGCCTCCCAGTGAGAGCTCAGCCTCCAGTGGTGCCTGAGCTGAAGGACAGTCATCAGGCCAATCAACCGCCCATGGGGCACACTTCTCCTCCACGCAAGGCACGAGTGCTGTGCTCCTGGGATAAGGGTTGGCGTCTGGGGAGGAACTGCTCATTTAAATAGTTGGAACCCTTTGGAAGTCAGCCTCTCCTTTCTGAGTTCAAGAAGGTTCCACAGGTTTGTGGCTTGAATGGCAGGGAAGGACTGAGGTAGGTAGGGAAGGCTGGGCCTGGGAAGAGGCTCTGGGAGAGCATGTGGGAAGAGGGGAGAAAGAAAAGGAAGGAGGGAGGGATCCCGACACTTGGTGGGAGGGCTTTGAAATAGAGAACAAGCAAGTGACAGAGAATGAAACTCTACAATAGACTTCCTGGGGGCCTCTTCTCGAAGGCTCATCAATCAATCAATCAATCAATCAATCAAATGTCCTTTCCAACCTCAGCTTTCAAGAAAATCTAGGTTTTCACCATACTTGTTAGCCTTCTATATTATCCTTTTTTTTAACCTGAGAAACTATTAATTTTAGAATTTGGGAATTATTTACCTGAGTGGAATCCCCACGCCATCTCCAACCTTGTCAAAGAATCTAAGATACAAATGATGTTAATGGATTGCATGAACTATTTCGTCGGGGTGTTTTCTGCTTTTAAAAGTCATCCTTATTTAACCTCCCTAAGCTCGTTTCCTCCTTTGTACAATAGAGATATTAGCAGTATGCACCCCCTAGATGGGCTGCAAGGATTCAATGACAGGAAGTCTGTAAAGTGCTGAGCACGGTGTCTGATGCGCAGTTAAGCACTCAGTAAATGTTAACTATGATTTGGAAACAGCCAAATCACTTCAGAAGCTGAGGCCCAATTTGTCAGCTTGCAGTTTTCATCCTTTTCTGCATCTCAGCTTTAATGGCTGCTAATTGTTCACAAGCTAAATTTTCACTTACTGAAGCATTTGTCGTAGGCTCTCTTTGAGAGCAAGTGTGCTGCATAAGTAAAAATAAATGTGATTCAATTTATAAAATTTCTATTTTCGTTCAGCTGTTTTTAGAACTATCTTTCTCCAGTGGCTAAGGAATTGGACCAGATAAGCTGTGAGATCCTTTTCCAGTGAAAAATTCTGTTTCTCTCTTGCCTAGGATGAGAAACTCATGTCTATCTACTCAAATATCATGAGGGTTCAAACATCAACAAAAAGAGATTAATATTTTATACAGAATCATTTGCAAGCTGAGATAGATGAACCAAAATATTTAATATCTAATGATGAATGTCTTGTCAATAACGAGATCATTTCCATGCAGTACATAATTCGGAGAGGAAATAGACTTTTTCAGCCTAATTTTGTGAACTTTAAGAACTAAAAAATTAATCCTAAGGAATCAATTCATAACATAGGGAGAAAAAAACTTTAAGATGTTAGCTATGGCCTGGGTGCGGTGGCTCACACCCATAATCCCAGCACTTTGGGAGGCGAAGGCAGGCAGATCATTCGAGGTCAGGAGTTTGAGACCAGCCTGGCCAACACGGTGAAACCCCGTCTCTACTAAAAATACAAAAATTAGCTGGGCATGGTGGTGCATCCCTGCAATCCCAGCTACTTAGGAGGCTGTGAGGCAGGATAATTGCTTGAACCCAGGAGGCAGAGGTTGCAAGTGAGCCGAGATCGTGCCACTGTACTTCAGCCTGGAGAGAGAGTAAGACTCTGTCTCAAACAAACAAACAAACAAACAAAGATGTTAGCAATGCATTATTTGCAGAGCCCCAGTCAAGATGTAATCTACATCTCTAGCGATATGAAAAAGGTTAAATAAAATTTGGCTCATCCAAAAATTTGGAAGATTATGCAATCCTTACATGGCTGCAGCATGGAGTAGTGGTTACAAACACCTGCTCTGGAGTTAGGCTGCCTGAGTTCAAACCCAGGCTTCATCTTACCAGCACTGTGCCTTGGACAACTCCTTGATTTCTCTATGCCTCAGTTTCCTCGCTTGTAAAACAGAGATTAAACTAGTATGTACCTCAAAGAGTTGTTGAAGACGACATGTAAAGTTTTTAGAACAGTTGCTAGTGAGTAGTGTTTAATACAAGTTAGCTTTCGTGATATTTTAATAACAGTGTGGCAGAGACTGCTAACAATATCAAATCATGTTCTCTTCTTCTAGAGCTCCTAGCTAGACTACGGTTCCCAGCCTCTCTTTCAGTGAGGTGTAACCACTTGACTAAACTCAACGCCACAGGATGAGAGTGGAAGTGATGTGAGCCCATCAGGCCTGGCCCATGAAAACATTCTATGCACAAGCTCTAAGCTTCAACCTCCCTTCTTGCTTAATGTAGACAAAGGCAATGAATTTGGAAGCCATGTTATGGAGATGGTGGAGGCCATGATAGATTCTTTTTTTTTTTTCTTTTTTGAGATGGAGTTTCACTCTTGTCACCCAGGCTGGAGTGCAATGGTGCGATCTTGGCTCACTGCAACCTCCTCCTCCCAGATTCAAGCGATTCTCCCATCTCAGCCTCCCAAGTAGCTGGGATTACAGGTGCCTGCCACCACGCTTAGCTAATTTTTGTATTTTTAGTAAAGACAGGGTCTCCCCATGTTGACCAGGCTAGTCTCGAACTCCTAGCCTCAGGTGATCCATCCCCTCGGCCTCCCAAATTGCTGAGATTACAGGCGTGAGTTAAGTCAACACTTGGAGAACTCCCTATGGATCATGAGCACCCATTAGGGGCCTCATGTGAATGAGAAACATTTTTGTGCTAAGGCAGTGGGATTTAGGGATTTATCAATTACAGCAGCAAACATTGAGTACTGCACAAAGGAATTTTTTAATATTAAGTGAAAAAATAAAGGATATTTAATGATAGACCAGAAACTGAGTTAGCCCCTCAATATTTGTTCTTCCCTTCTTTTCATTGAGGAATACTTATGTACTGTGAGTGAAACGCAAAGATCTTAGTGTATGACACAAAAGGTTTTGATGAATTACACCTATGTAACCAACACACAAGTCAAAATGTATTTTCATTACCCTAGAAAATTCCCTTATGCCCAACGCTTACAGGCAACCATCATTCCAATTTCTATCACTACAAATTAGTTTCGCCCCTTCTTGAACATCATATGAATGGGATAATACATTGTGTACTCATTTGTGTCACTCAGCATAATATCTTTGAGATTCACACGTCACACCTATCAGTCGTTTATTCATTTTAATTGTTAAATTGTATTCCATTGCTTAAATATGCCACAATTCGTCCATTCTCCTATTGATAGACATTTGGGTTATTTCTAGTTTTAACTATTGTGAAGAAGGTATTACAAATATTCATTCATGTACAACTATTCTTTTTTTTTTTTTTTTTTTTTTTTTTTGAGACAGAGTCTCACTCTGTCGCCTAGGCTGGAGTGCAGTGGTGTGACCTCAGCTCACAGCAAACTCTACCTCCTGGGTTCAAGCGATTCTCCTGCCTCAGCCTCCCAAGTAGCTGGGATTACAGGCATGCACCACTACACCTGGCTAATTTTTGTATTTTTAGTAGAGACGGGGTTTCATCATGTTGGCCAGGCTGGTCTGACCTCAGGTGATCCACCTCGGCCTCCCAAAGTGCTGGGATTACAGGCATGAGCCATCGCTCCCGGCCTGATTTCTAATTTAATTGTATTGTAGTCAGAAAACATACACTGTGAAATTTCAGTCTTCTGAAATATATTGAGACATATTATCCTCCAGCATATGGCCTATCCTGGGAATAATCTGTATGCACTTGAGAAGAAAGTGCAGTTGTTGGGCATATTGTCCTATATATGTCAGTTAGGTCCTGTTGCTAGTATCATTCAGATCTATATTCTTACTGATTTTTTTTGTCTAGTTATTTTATCAATTACTGACAGAAAGATGTTAAAATTTCCAACTATAATTGTGGATTTGTCTATTTCTCCCTTCAGTTTTGTCTTCCTATGTTGCCCAGGCTGGTCTCAAACTCCTGACCTCAAGCCATCTTCCCACCTTGGCCTCCCAAAGTGCTGGAGTTATAGGCAGGAGCCACTGCACTTAGCCAAAATGTCTTTCTTTTACCCATATGTTTGAGGGATCTTTTCACAGAATATAAAACCATGGGTTGTTAGTTTTTTCGGTCAGCAATGTGAAGCTGTTCTCCTATTGTCTTGTGGCCTCCCTTGCTTTTCTTTTCTTTTTCTTTTTCTTTTTTTTTTGAGACGGAGTCTCGCTCTGTCCCCCAGGCTGGAGTGCAGTGGCGCCATCTTAGCTCACTGCAAGCTCCGCCTCCCGGGTTCACGCCATTCTCCTGCCTCAGCCTCCCAAGTAGCTGGGACTACAGGCACCCACCACTACGCCTGGCTAATTTTTTGTATTTTTTGTAGAGATGGGGTTTCACCGTGTTAGCCAGGATGGTCTCGATCTCCTGACCTTGTGATCCCGCCTTGGCCTCCCAAAGTGCTGGGATTAGAGGCATGAGCCACCGCTCCCAGCCTCTCCCTTGCTCTTCAAGAGAAGTCAGCCTTCATTCATGTCATCCCTTATATATAACGTGTCTTTTATCTGGCTAATTTTAAGACTTTCTCTTCTTCTTTATTTTTATTTTTATTTATTTATTTTTTGAGATGGAGTCTTGCTCTGTCACCCAGGCTGGAGTACAATGGTGAGATCTCGGCTCACTACAACCTCCACCTCCCAGGTTTAAGTGATTCTCCTGCCTCAGCCTCCCAAATAGCTGGGACTACAGGCGCCCGCCACCACATCTGGCTAATTTTTATATTTTCAGTAGAGATGGGGTTTCATCATGTTGGCCAGGCTGGTCTCAAACTCCTGACCTCGTGATCTGCCCGCTTTGGCCTCCCAAAGTGCTGGGATTATAGCTGTGAGCCACTGCGCTGAGTCAAGGTTTTTTCTTTATATTTGATTTTCAGCAGTTTGACTGTAATGAGCCCAAGTATAGTTTTTTTTTTCTTTTTCTTTCTTTTTTTTCTTTTTTAATCCTGGGAGTTCACTGAACTTCTTGCATCTGTAGGTTGATGTTTTCACTAAATGTTGGGAAAATTTGGTCATTATTCCTTTGTATGCTTTTTATTCTATCCCATCCTCTTTGTCTCTTTTCTTTTTGAGATCTCTGCTTTAAATCTGTTAATTATGCAGAAGAGATTTTCATAGAAAACTAGCAATCACAGCCATAACATTCCCACCAGTAGAAAAAGAAAACAAAGGGAAGCAGAGACACACTCCTTTGCTACTGCTCATATTCTATTGGCCAGCACCCTGGACAGCTGGGAACTGAATAAATTCCCTAGTTACAGAAGGAAGGGGAAAAGACTTCCAATTATAGCTCTGAGGGAGTAACTGATACCAGGTTCCCACCATCACCACCATAAACAACTATAAAATCAGACAAAATATTTGAGACAACTGTTTTCAGGCACTGGGCAACAGGCGATACCAGACTGTGACCCTTGAGAGAAAGGAAACGAAACGTACGAGGTGAATTCTATATTGGCCCTGGCTTTCTTTCTGGGGGCGTTTCTGAGTCACAGTATGGGGAGATGAAGCTTACACAGAGCAACACATTCTTGCTGAGCTCAAGAGGCAGAAATTGGAGTTTGGTGCTGCCGAATTGGCTGGAATTTGCAGGGCAATACAACAGAAAGGAGGATCTGCATGGGGGTGAGGGTGCTTCCAGTCTACTTTGGGTTTCTCCAATGACCTTTGGCTGAGGGCTTGGCTGAGCACATGCCAGCAAGACACCGTGAAGTCTAGAAGAAGGCTGCTAAGAGCTGGATAGGGCTCAGAGCTGGATGGGAATGCCAGAGGTGGCACAGTGTTGGGAGTTCCGGCCAATCCATAGTTAGGAGTAAGGACCATGTTCTGTCTAGAGTAAGGACCAATTCCTAAGACTAAGGACAAAACCAAAACAGACCAAGCCTGCGGGATCAATAAGATCCACTGGTAATTTAACCACCTACCAGAATAAAAGGGGCAGAGTCAAAGTCAGTAAATTAAAGAACAGACTTTTCCAGTGCAAAAGCTGTGCCTAACGAAGAGCTGCAACTGTGGTTACTTGCACGTGGTAGCAACACAGAACCTACTAACTTTTGGAAGAAATTTTATTGCCAAAGAAACCATGGATATGGCTGGGCATGGTGGCTCATGCCTGTAATCCCAGCACTTTGGGAGGCTGAGGTGGGTGGATCCCCTGAGGTCGGGAGTTCGAGACCAGCCTGCCAACATGATGAAACCCTGTCTCTACTAAAAATACAAAAATTAGCAGGGCATGGTGGCGGGTGCCTGTAATCCCAGCTATTTGGGAGGCCGAGGCAGGAGGATGGCTTGAACCTGCGAGAAAGAGTTTGCAGTGAGCGGAGACCACACCATTGCACTGCAGCCTGGACAACAAGAGCAAAACTCCGTCTCAAAAAAAAAAAAAAGAAAAAGAAAAAGAAAAAAAGAAACCACAGATATGGTCTACAAAAGCCTGGGATGGTTTTGACTCCTAAAGTAACTCTAGGGTCCCCAGACAGCACAGGCTGAAAGAGGTTGTGGAACCTATGAGCTCCCCCTTCCTCAAAGGATATAGTCTCCAGTGCCCACTTGAGATGTGGCCAGAAAAAACAACTGACAGAGAATAACCTCCCAGAAAACAAGCCCGTCCTCTCTGGGGCCAGTGGACAAGGGACTTGCTCCCAGACAGCGATGCCAGTGGTGACTCCATGCAAGGGAAGGGAGTCTTTGTAGGATCTCATTATCGCTATGAACCAGTGACTAATGCATGTTTTCCGTTCTTCCCTTTTCTGAAAGTTTTTATTAGTTATCCTGTTCCTTCTCCCCCAGCGCATACTGGGTTTATATGTCATAAGAAGCAAGAGAAGTAACTTTTCTTTTGGTTTATAGGTCAGCAGAGAGAGAGTCACATCTGGACCTTTGGGAGAGGATCCAGAGAGTCTGCACTTTGCACAGATGCCATCACTGTAGACCTGTCTTCCTTGGGGAGGAGCAAGTGTGTTCTGTGAGTGAGACAGACGGACATTTGGGTGGCTGCCCAGGCTCCTTTCCAGCTGGATGTAGCAAAGTTACCTAGTTCTAGACAATGGAATGGGAGCATATGTGATGTGTGCTACTTCCGGGTCATGCTCTTAAAGGGAATCGGGAGGAGTTTGTCTTGATTTATTGTTTTCCCTCTTCCCACCAGCTAGAATCCAAACATAATGATAGGAGCTACAGCAGGTATCTTAGAGCACGAGCTAGAAGTCCCACGTTGCGAAAAGCACATAGAGCTTCAGTCCCTGACCCCATCCAGCTGCCATGCCTAGTCTGCATTGCCCACCACCTGGCCTGTTTTTTGTTTTTTTGTTTTTTTGTTTTTGAGACACAGTCTCACTCTGTCATCCAGGCTGGAGTGCAGTGCTGCGATCTCGGCTCACTGCAACCTCCATCTCCTGGGTTCAAGCGATTCTCGTGCCTCAGCCTCCAGAGTAGCTGGTGGGATTACAGGCATGCGCCACCATGCCTGGCTAATTTTTGTATTTTTAGTAGAGAGGGGGTTTTGCCATGTTGGCCAGGCTGGTCTCGAACCCCTGACCTCAAGTGATCTGCCTGCCCCGGCCTCCCAAAGTTCTGGGATTACAAGTGTGAGCTACTGCGCCCAGCCCACCTGCACTTTTATCTGAGAGAGAAACCAGCTCCTATTTTTTAAGCCACCATCTTCAAGATCTTTTTGTTGCGGCTACCCGACCCATGATCTCAGCTCATCCTCCTCCTGCTGCTTATTCTCTGAGATGGCATTTGGGGTGTGGGAGGTGGGTCTTAGCTGGTCTAGTGGTGAAGGTGAAGAACAGGCCTCAGTTCCTGAGCACAGATTCATGTGCTGCCCTATACCTCCTCTGATTTCTGTAGCCAGTTTCATGTTGACCCCATCACAGGGCATGAATCTCGCTGACATCTGTTGCTTACGTTGATAGCTGAGAAACTCTAGCTCCTCCGAGTCCAGGGGTCCTTTCAATTGATTCTTCTCCACTTTGGTCCTACTACTGTGCTTGATCCCCCTCAGGGAACTTCCATTAGGCTCCCAGCCTGAGTGACCACCCAGCCGTCAACTATAGGGTCACCTCTCCTCACAGAAGCTCTTCCCCTGCAAGAGTATCCAGGAAATTCTCGACACTTTTCATGCCAATGAATGGGCAGCTAATTGTTGGTCTTGTCTCTGCCTAATAGGCAGACAGATTGATACAGGGCAGGTACCTGGTGAGGCTTCTCTTCCCAGAAGCCCAAATTGAAACAGAGTCAGAGGCTTCTCTTCTGCTTTCGGTGTTTCTTTCAATCTGCCTGTGTCTAGAACTGGGGCTGTCAGGACACATCTCTCACAACTGCTTCTCCCTGCTCCATCTTCCTCTTCCCCCTTCCATCTTCCTCCTCCCCCCTCCATCTTCCTCCTCCCCCCTCCATCTTCCTCCTCCCCCTACAACCCTCCCAGGGAAGGGGGGGCATTTTTCCACTTCCTCTTGATAGCGCATCTCCCATGTGGACTTTCATGATTAAATCTACCAAGGTTGGCCAGGTGCGGCGGCTCACGCCTGTAATCCCAGCACTTTGGGAGGCTGAGGCGGGCAGATCACCTGAAGTCAGGAGTTCCAGACCAGCCTGACCCACATAGCGAAACCGCATCTCTACTAAAATAAAAATTAGCCAGGCATGGTGGCGCATGCCTGTAATCCCAGCTACTCGGGAGGCTGAGGCAGGAGAATTGCTTGAACGTGGGTGGCAGAAGTTGCAGTGAATTAATGGGTGCAGCACACCAACATGGCACATGTATACATATGTAACAAACCTGCACGTTGTGCACATGTACCCTAGAACTTAAAGTATAATTAAAAAAAAAAAAAGAAGTTGCAGTGAGCCGGGATCACTCCATTGCACTCCAGCCTGGGCGACAGAGTGAGACTCTGTCTCAAAAAAAAAGTCCACCAAGGTTGAGCCTTGATCTATTAGAGGACGAGCTTCAGGATAAAATCAAAATCATTCCTTTTCTTTTTTCCATAAAGGCTTGCATTTGAGCCTCTGGTCTTGCTAAATGGGTTAAGGAAAGTTAAGAAAGTCTCTCAAGGGTGCCTCTGTCCCAGGCAGTACCTGCCCTTCTTTCCCTGGGCAATGAGCTTCATGGCTCAGCCTTGGGGAGGAGAAGCTGAAAGAGTGTGATTTACAGGGAAAATAAAAATATGTGGATTTAATATTTTTCCTCTTGCATATTTTATCTCAGTTTGGCACTTGTATTTTTACTTTGTTTATGATGTCTTTCAAGGACAAGCTTTTTAATATTTATGGTGTCAAATCTGTCAGCTTTTCCCTAATGGCTTCTGGGTTTGGTGCCCCGCATTGGAAATCTTTCTCCACCCTAAGACCGAACATAACTTTTAATGGCTGCAAAGCATGCCATTGTGCAAATATGCAAATAAGCCCTAATTTATTTACAGATGAATATTTAGTGTGTTTCTACTGTTTAAGTCATAATAAATAATGCAGCAAACATCTCTGTAAATACATTTTATCTTCTGCAATGCACAGTTTCTTTAAGGATAGATTCTTAGGGAATCCATGGGCCTTTTTCACCATTTTAAAAGCCTTTACAACAATGAAAGAATTACCTCTTACAAAGCTGCACAGGTCAACTAAAATGTCAATTTTCTTTTGCATAGAATTGCACCTGCTCAGTGTGGTTATATTGCATTTCAGGTTGACTAAAAGCTCTGGTAGTTACAAATGACTTTGATTAATAAAAATATGAAAAATTATGAGTTAAAAAATGCCACTTGTCTGATAGACTAAAACTTTCCGAAGACCGAGGGGGAACTTAATAAAACTGTTTTCTTTCTTTCTTTCTTTCTTTTCCAGACAGGGTCTTGCTCTGTCACCCAGGCTGGAGTGTGGTGGTGTGATCACTGCACACTGCTCACTGCAGTCTTCACCTCCCAGGCTCAAGCGATCCTCCTGCCTCAGCCTCCTGAATAGCTGGGACTATAGGCACGTGCCACCATGCCCGGCTAATTTTGTATTTTTTGTAGAGACAGGGTTTTGCCATTTTTTCCAGGATGGTCTCAAGCTCCTGGGCTCAAGCGATCTACCCACCTCAGCCTCCCAAAGTGCTGGGATTACAGGCATGAGCCACCACACCCGGCCAAAAGTGTTTTGTATTGTATAGAGATGTCCAGAGAAGAAAAAGACCATTTCAGGGATAACCAGTTAATTCCCAGGAATCAGGTTCTAGATTTCTTATTCACATTATCAGCCCTTCATTTAAACAAATACAGTCAACATCACCATCATCACATCCCCACCACCATCCTCACCATCACCCACCCCATGCACCTGGCTTCACTCATAGAGAACCCATCTCTCCCCTCACTGGAGCTTGAGCTGTACAAGAGAGATTCCACCACCCCAAGCTCATACATGAGAAAACAGAGTTTCAGTGATGTGGAACTGGAAGAGTGGGCTTCTGAATTTGAAGCTAGTGTTTTATTGATAATAAGAAAGTTAAGTTTCTAAATTAAGAAATTAGGTGCTAGAGGCTCGGCGCAGTGGCTCATGCATATAATCCCAGCACTTTGGGAGGCCGAGGCAAGCGGATCACCTGAGGTCAGGAGTTCGAGACCAGCCTGGCCAATGTGGTGAAGCCCTGTCTCTACCAAATATACAAAAATTAGCTGGGCGTGGTGGCGTGCGCCTGTAATCCCAGCTACTCCGGAGGCTGAGGCAGGAGAATCGCTTGAACCTGGGAGGCAGAGGAGTATAGGGCACAGGAGGAGCAATTAATTCCAATTGAGGGAAATCTGGAAACGTCTGCCTGATTTCTCTCATTGGGGATCAGAAAACAAAATGAGCCTAAATGAAGGCCTCAGATGCAAAAGTTTTTCTCTGATCTTCTCCTGTCCTCCTGTCTCTGGCCCCTCATTCTCCCCTGCAGCTAGCCCTAGAAACTAGAATCTTTCTTCCCCAAGACAGATCATAGAAACCAGAGATGTGGCCGGGCCCAGTGGTTCACGCCTGTAATCCCAGCACTTTGAGAGGCCGAGGCATGTGGATCACCTGAGTTCAGGAGTTTGAGACCAGCCTGGCCAACATGGTGAAACCCCATCTCTACTAAAGATATGAAAAATGAGCCAGGCATGGTGTTGGGTGCCTATAATCCCAGCTACTCGGGAGGCTGAGGCAGGAGAATCACTTGAACCTGGGAGGTGGAGGTTGCAATGAGCTGAGATGGCAACACTGCACTCCAGGCTGGGCAACGGAGAGAGACTCCGTCTCAAAAGATAAAACAAAAAGAAATGATCTAACCTACTGTTTTTTTCTTGTTTGTTTGTTTTGTTTTGTTGAGACATGAGTTTCGCTCTTGTTGCCCAGGCTGGAGTGCAATGGCGCAATCTCGGCTCACTGTAATCTCTGCCTCCTGAGTTCAAGTAATTATCTTGCCTCAGCCTCCTGAGTAGCTGAAATTACAGGCATGTGCCACCACACCCGGCTAATGTTGTATTTTAGTAGAGACAGGGTTTCACTATATTGGTCAGAATGGTCTTGAACTCCTGACCTCAAGTGATCCACCCTCCTCAGCCTTCCAAAGTGCTGGTGTGGGATTACAGGTGTGAGCCACCGTGCCTGGACTACTTTGTTTGATTGTAGTTCATAGGACCCCATTCCAAAGAGGGGCCCTGCCCCATCCCCAGAAGGAAAGGTCAGGAGTTTGAGACCAGCCTGACCAATATGGTGAAACCCCGTCTCTACTAAAAAATACAGAAATAAATTAGCTGGGCGTGGTGGCGCGCACCTGTAGTCCCAGCTACTAAGGAGGCTGAGGCAGGAGAATCGCTTGAACCTGGGAGGCAGAGGTTGCAGTGCGCCGAGATCGCACCACTGCACTCCAGCCTGGCGACAGAGAGACTCCGTCTCAAAAACAAAAACAAAAAACAGCTTCTCTTGTATCTTTGGGTTGTCATTCTAAAGGCTCCCATGTCACATAAACTGTGATCAAATAAATTTGTATGCATTTTTTCCCGTTAATCTGCCTTTTGTCAGTGATTTTTAGTAAACCTTCAAAGGAGGCTTTCCCTTGACTCCTACACTCTCCTTGAAATAAGTAACTTCTACGGTTTTGCGAGAATCTTTTTTCTTACAATAGGAATGTATGTTTACTGAAGAAAATTCAGGAAATAGAGATAAGCAAAAAGTAGAAAATTTAGATCGACTAGAATCCCATCTCTTAGGGAAAAACATAGTTGGTGTTTTCTTGTTTTTTGCATCTTATTTCCTGCATATGTATATGTGTTTGTGTGTTTGTGTAAGAAACACATTTTTCAAAGAACCAAAATGGGCTCATCCCACACCTACTGGTTTTCCCTTTACCGTACAATCTAAAGCTAGCTCTACATCAATAGCAGGAGCCAGGGGGCTTGTGAGAAGAGCAGAATGTCAGGCCCGAACCGGAATCTGCATTTTCGTAAGCCCCCTAGAGGATTCCTGTGCCCCACACACTCTGGGGAGCATCGCCATTTTTAATGGCCACAGAGTCTCCCAAACAGGGCTAGACCGTGATTCACTCATTGCATCTCTCGGTGGTGAGGATTTTCCCTGTAACAAGAAGCTGGTCCCTCTGGGATCTCTGGGCTCTTCAGACCCTCCCCCTCAGTCCGTGCCCAGGAGACTCCAACAGCTGGGCAGGCGGCGTCCTTGCCCGTCCTCCACGGGCGAGATGCGCTGTCCACCTCCGCCCTCCTCTTGCTCCACCTGGCCAGAGGCCTGGGCTGCGCGCTCCCCGCGCTCCTGCGCAGGCTCTACTGGGAGCCCCTCCAGGGCGCAGTCCGGACCTGACGGGCAAGCCCTGACCTGCCTTTCATCCCGCTGATGCTCGCGCCCAGCTCCCTGTGAATACCCACTGATTGCCCCCGGAGTCTCCCCGTTAGGCCCTCCCGCACCTCTTACCCCTTCCTCCCCTTCCTGGCCTCCCCAGCTCCCTCACCCGCCTTCTAGAAGCATCCTCCCCCTTCTCACCCACCTCTCTACTCCTCCCTTCCCGACTTCCTCAATTCCCACCTCCCCCCCAAATTCCAGTCCTCTCCCTGGGAAAGAGAAAGCGGCCGGGGTCCCACCCTGGCTGTGTGTGGCCCGCGGTGGGGTGGGGCAGCCTGCCAGCCGCCAGGTAGCGCGAATGGAGCGCGGGGCGCCGCGCGCTGCGGGCGGGTGAAGCCGGAATCGGGGCGGCGGCTCGGCCCCCGGCCCCCGGCCCCGGGGAGCCCAGAGCGACTAGTCGGGCAGGAAAAGAATGACGGTGACGTGACCACTCTGACCCCGAGGACTCTCTGGGCTCTGGCGGGCGCTGGGCTCGGCGGATCTGAGTGCGTAGGAAGGGCGATGGGCGCTCAGTCCCCGAGGATCACCTGCGGGACCCTTTGGGGGCACCTGCCGGAGCAGCTGGCCCTGCGACGGGTCCCACCGCGCCCTCAGCAGCAAGGCGGTTCTCCCTTTATAGAGGTTTTACGTGCGTTTGTGGGGGGTGTTCTCAAAACAATACAAATAAGCTTCCATTGTCACCGATCAAAATAGTAAGGGCTTTTTAAAAGGAAACTGTTTAGGGCTGACAGAGCTACAGAGGAAGTGGAGTGATCCGGGCACAGTCAGGGACGGGGGAGGGGGGCGGAACTGGTCTAGCTGTTTTGGCAAAATGTAATAATACAGAGTTAGAGTCTTTGAATGCTCACACTGTTTGATATTGTGGTTCTAGTAGTGGTCATGCATCAGAAGAAATAATCCCAAATATTCCCCCAAAGCTTTTATGGACACAGACATTCTTTGCACTGAAAAATGAGAAAAAAAATTATCTAAAATTGGAATCAACTAGTTGGGCACTGATAAATACATTATGGTGTATCCACAGTTGTGATATCATTCTGTCATTGATAACATTTCTGAAAAGTTTTCGATAGTATAAGGAAATTTTCTCATTCTGTAAAAGGCACAAGGTGAGTTTGTATACACAAGATAATCACAAGTATATAAACTAAGCATAGTGGAAAGACTGGAAGAAATACATTTTAAATAGGAATGGGTGCTTTTTTTTTCTTTTGAAAAAACTTTTTTATGAACTATTTCAGATACATATCAAGGTATAGAGAAGAACTTACCCATCAATAATCATGGGGAATGGAGCAACCTCACTGCTGAAGCCCCTTAGGGACCCTCTTCACCACCTTCCTCACCCTCATCCCTGAGGTGACTTCTCACTATCTTTATTACATATGAGTGGATTCCTAAACATTATATAAGTATTTCAAACTTGACATATATGACAAAGTATTATGCACACTCCTTTGACTTGCTTTTTTAAGTCAACTTGGTGCTCTGGGGATTCATCCATGTCGACTCATGTTGATGAATCTGGCTCTGGTTCATTCAGTAAATATGACTTAATATTTCTCAAAAACGTAGAGCAGAGCCTGGCACATGGCACTACATATGTTTGTTGTTTTTTAAGAAATAAAAAATCATTTTCACTGCAGTATAGTAGACTTGTTAATATCATACTAAATGTATTGATCCATTCTCCTGCTGTGAAAATTTAGAATGTTTCCATTTTGTTCTTATTACAAACAGTGCCGCGATGAACATTCTGGTCTGTGTCTTCTTGTGCACATGTGAGTTTCTATGGAGTGCACCTAGCATTGGCCACAGACATTGCAAGGGATGCCTAACTTCAGTGCTACAAATTACTGCCCAGTCGTTCTCCAAAGCGATCTTGCCAGCAGCAGATGAGTCATTGTAGTAACACTCCCAGCCCTCAACACTGCCTCTCATCACGTCAGTTCTTTTCCAGTGTAATGGGTGTGGTTACTTCTCATGGTTTAAATTTGCATTTCCCTAATTACCATGGGGTTAGAGGTCAGGCATTTGTTCCTATGTTTATTGGTATTTTTTATACTGTAAAGTCTTGATCATAACTTTTTCCTATTTTTCTATTGGTTGTTGACATTTTCTTGTTGGTTTTTAAGAATTCTTTATAAATTTTGTATCTTAATCTTTCATCAGATGGATGAGTTGCAAATATTGTCATTCACTCCATGGCTTATCTTATAACTATTTGTGATGTCTTTCAAGACACAGAAAATTTACATCTGCACATATTCTAATTTACCTCTTTCTTTAAAGTTTGTACTTTGGTTGACATGGTTAAAGTACCTTTTCCTCTTCCAAGATATAAGTTTCCCTACACTTTCTTCTAAAAGTTTTTAAATTTTGTCGTTTTATATTTGGTCTTACATCTATCTGGATTTGATTCTTTGTAAAGGTGTGGTGGAGAGATCATCTTTCTCCTTGGATAATAATTGTCAAAGCATTTATTGGACAGCTCATCCTTTTCCAGTCATCTGCAATGCTGGCTTTGCCATAAATCAAATTTCCCAGTAAGTGGTGGTCTGTTTCTGGGTTCTCTATTTTGTTACATTGTTCTGTCCTCTAGCAATACTGCACTCTCACATACTATAACTTGATAATAAGTCTTGATTTCTGGATGAGCATGTATTCATACATTTTTTTTTCAAGACTATCTCAACTATTTGGAGTTCTCTGCATTTTCATACATATTTTAGAATTAGCTTGTCAGTTCTATAAACATTTTGTTGGGATTTTGATTTAAACAATGACTTCCTAGGTTAATTTAGGGAAACTGACATCTTCATGATATTGAGTCTTCCTATTGATAACCATGGAATATGTCTCATTTATTTAGGTCTTCTTCAAAATCCTTCAATAAAGTTTTTCATATATATCTAACATCTTTTGTTACATTTATTCCTAGATACTTGATTTCTATAAAATTTCAGCAGTCTCCAGGATTTACTTTCATAATTGGAAAACAACACCTTTACGTATGGTTTTAATTGTAAACCTTTTCAGTTATAATCCTTAAAAGTATTTAATGATTTGTATCAACATGCAGATTGGGGTCATGGGAAGATGGCCTCTACAGTGAGTTTTCTCCAGTTTGACAAAAAGTATTAGAACCTTTGGAGAAAGGAAGAAAGCAGGAGAATTTTTATGCACTTAAGAATTTACAAAGTTTATGTGTGTGTAATAGAGAGGCAAATAGAAACGGAGACAGAGAGACAGAGCGAGAATATAGGGCAATAGATTTATAAAAAATGGAAAATGACATGAGCACAGTGTAGTCACGTTAGAAAGCTGAGGCAGGAGGATCACTTAAGCCTAGGAGTTTGAGGCTGTAGTGCACCATGATGGCGCCTGTGAATAGCCACTGCACTTCAGCCTGGGTAACACAGCAAGATCCCCATCTCTTAAAAAAAAAGTACAAAGCGTACAAATGGAACTCAGCTGCCCACCTGCCCACCTCAGGTTATCGGCTCCCCCACCAGCAGGCTTCCGCTGCTTACAGGTTCTTGTGTAGCCTTCCAGAAATATTGTAGTCTCCTACAATTATGCATATGATTATATTCTCTCCAAATCTATCCCATCCATTTTTTTGACACCAATTAAAGTATAAAATACAGTTCAGCACTTTGCTTTTCCCTTTGTAATCTTCCCATGTTAGTGCATAAAGTTTAGCTCATTTTAAAAATAACTACACAGTTCATTTTCCAGTTCCCTGTTAACTTGTGTCCAGTCTTTTGCAATAACAAACAACACTGCAATCATCATTCTTATACATACAGCTTTACAACAATGGGAGCATCCCTATAGGAATGGGCAGAGAATAAATGCATGTGTAATTTTGATAGACTGCCAAATCGCTCTCTAAAAAGATTGCAACAATTTACAATTCCAACAAACGCATGAGAATTGCCTATCTGCATTGCCCTCATTCACGCTAACACTTTATATTATCAAATTTTAAAATGAAGAACTTATTTTTTCTTTAATATGCATTTTCTTAATTATGGTTGAAATAGAACCCATCTTTTTGTATGTCTTTAAGCCATTTATACATCTTTTCTTGCTGTATGCTGATTTTCTTTTGGGCTGTATTTATTCCTATGTTGATAGTAAGAGCTAACTATATATTGAGGAAATTAGCTATTTATATAACATATGAGTTGCCGTATTTTTTCTAACTTTTCATTTTTTTTTACTTTTTTTGTTTTTTCCATACAGAATTTTGCTTTAATGTATTTGCACATGTTCTATTTTTCCTTTTTTGTCTTCTGAGTTTTGTCCTTTACTTAGAAAGGCTTTCCCCACTCCAAGAGTTCTATTTTTAAAATTGTTTCATCTTTTATTATAGTACTTTACATGCATTTTTATTGTGAAATGTACATTTTTTTAAAGTTAGCATACCAGTTCTATAAAAATCTTTGTTGGGAATTTTGATTAAAACAGTAACTTCATAGAACTTGAGGATAAGCGGTAAAAAAATAATAATAATAAAAAAGAAAAAGAAAAAAAAAACCCAGTAACTTCAGGGCCAGGCACGGTAGCTCACACCTATAATCCCAGCACTTTGGGAGGCCGAGGCAGAAGGATCATTTGAGGCCAGGAGTTCAAGGCCAGTCTGTGCAACATAGCAAGGCCCCATCTCTACAAAAATTAAAAAAAAAAAAAAACTTAGCCTGGCTTGGTGGCGTTCACCTGTAGTCCCAGCTGCTCCAGAGGCTGAGGTGGGAGGGTGGCTTGAGCCCAGGAGTTTAAGGCTGCAGTGAGCCATGCTCACGCCACTGCACTCTAGTCTGGGTGACAGGGTGAGATGCTATCTCAAAAACAAACAAACCAAAAAACCAGTAACTTCATAGACTAATTTGGGGAAGTAGACAACTTTATGATATTGAGTCTTCCTATTGATAAACATGGTATATATCTCTATATAGAAAACTAGGATTTTATACATACGCATATATATATACACACATATATATGGCTTATGATAAATATAAAGTGAACAGTTGTGTAACTACAACCCAGGTAGAGAAATAAAATATTGTCGGGCCGGGCGCGGTGGCTCACGCCTGTAATCCCAGCATTTTGGGAGGCCAAGGCAGGCGGATTGCGAGGTCAGGAGATCGAGACCATCCTGGCTAACACGGTGAAACCCCGTCTCTACTAAAAATACAAAAAAAATTAGCCGGGCATGGTGGCGGGCGCCTGTAGTCTCAGCTACTCAGGAGGCTGAGGCAGGAGAATGGCGTGAACCCAGGAGGTGGAGGTTGTGGTGAGCCGAGATCGCGCCACTGAACTCCAGCCTGGGCGACAGAGCGAGACTCCGTCTCAAAAAAAAAAAAAAACCATTGTCAACACCTTAGAACTGCTCCTCCTGCTCCATTGTGCCCCTTATAGACAATAATCTCCCTCCCCACCAGGGAGGGATTTCTAATTTCTGAAATGCCTGATTTCTGTAATAAACAGTATATGTATATCTCTAAACAATATATCTTAGTTTAAAAAAATATATTATTCAAATAGAATGAGGCTGGGTGTGGTGGCTCACGTCTGTAATCCCAGCACTTTGGGAGGCCGAGGCCGGCAGATCACCTGAGGTCAGGAGTTAGAGACCAGCCTGGCCAACATGGTGAAACCCCGTCTCTACTAAAAATACAAAAATTAGCCAGGCATGGTGGTGCACACTTGTAGTCCCAGCTGCTTGGGAGGCTGAGGCCCGAGAATAGCTTGAACCCAGGAGGCAGAGACTTCAGTGAGCTAAGATCGCACCACTGCACTCCAGCCTGGGCAACAGAACGAGATCCGTCTCAAAAAAAAAAAAAAAAAAAAGAATGAGATGATGCTGTATTTGTTTTAATCCTTTGCTCCTTTCTCTCTGTATTATGTTTGTGGGATTATTTCCTGTTGTTACACGTGGCAATAATAGTGAGCTACAAATCAGTGCTATATTTGGTATATCAACCTTGGAGCCAGCATTCTTGTTAAATCCATTCATTAAATTAAACATATTATCTTTAGATTGTTCTAGAATGTTTACATACACAGTCACACTGCCTACAGCTAATGATAGTTTTATTTCCTTCTTTTAAATAATACAATTTTTATTTTATTTTATATATATATTTTTTGAGATGGAGTCTCTCTCTGTCCCCCAGGCTGGAGTGCAGTGGTGCAATCTCAGCTTACTGCAAGCTCCGCCTCCAGGGTTCACGCCATTCTTCTGCCTCAGCCTGTGGAGTAGCTGGGACTACAGGCGCCTGCCACCATGCCTGGCTACTTTTTTATATTTTTAGTGGAGACAGGGTTTCACCGTGTTGGCCAGGATGGTCTCAATCTCCTGACCTCGTGATCCACCCGCCTCAGCCTCCCAAAGTGCTGGGATTACAGATGTGAGCCACCGTGCCCGGCCTAAATAATATAATTTTTTATGTCTTTGTTTTGCCTTCTCTCACCGGCTTCGATATACAATAATATGTTAAGTGGAAATAGTGAAATTGAGCATCCTTGCCTCATTCCTGACCTAAAGGTGAAAAGTTTCAGCATTGTACCATTAATTATGATGTTTGTGATAAGTTTTTTTTGTAGGTAACCTTACTGTATTAAGGAAGTTTCCTTATATTACTAGCTTGATAGGAGGTTTTTGTTTGTTTGTTTGTTTTTGTTTTGTTTTGTTTTGCCACAGCCCTAGGGTCTAAGGGATGATAGACTAATAACTACAGATATTAAGAGAAAGGACAGGGACCTATGAATCTTATACACAGGTAAAAGACCACTTACCTGTCAAGTAAAAGAAAGATGCCAAGAATAACCAAATAAGAAATGAATCTAGAGACTTCAACAAAAGGAAATATGAGAAAGAAAGGGAGACAGTTACTGAGAAATGATGTTTGCATTATATATTGTTAGATTTAAATGGATGAGAATAGTGCGAAAATTTGTAATATGAGTGTGAAGTAAGAACGGTTTTATCATAAGGGACAAACTTAATATTAGTTATAAGTCAGGAACACTGAACCGTCTTTGAAAAAAACAAGGAGTTGAGAATATTTGGGAACAGTGAGGAAGCAAAGGTGTTTTAAAGGATTTATCTCACTGGGAGGAGGGCGCCCAAGCAGTGAGCACCTGGGGGTGTGGCAGCAGGTTGTTGCCATGTTTTGATACAACAGTAAATAAATCTAGTTTTGATTAGGAAAGCCCATGAGTGCTTCTAATTTAACAAAGGGGGAGAAAGAAATGAATAGTAATGAAAATACATTAGAAAAGAGGAAAAAGATAAAAATTAAGACAAATAGTAAAAATAAAAAAAGATGGAAAGAATAAAATCAAATATATCGGCTGTTACACTAAGTGTGAAAGAGCTGAATATTCATATGAAAGATAAAGACTCTCAGGTTGGATTGAAAAACCAAATTAAAATGTATAATTTTTGTAGGAAGCACATCTAAAACAAAGTGATGGTTAAAGAAATACCAGGCATACATATATTGTGATATCTGATAAATGACCTCAGGGCATTTCCCTGTGGAACTGCCATAGATGATATAGATTAATATAGATACTATGCTACAATATCTGTATTATCCATAGTAGTTCCATAAGGAAATGCTCTGCAGTCATTTATGAATCTTCAAAATTTTTTTAAAGAAAGTTTTCCATCATAAAACAGAACCACTTAGGAAGAAAGTCCTTTTTCACATTAATCTTGTCTCAGCTCAAAGTTGCCCTCGTCTGGGGAGATTTCTTTGAGCCCCTCTGCCTGCTTAAGATGCCCTTTCTATGTGGTCTAGCATTTTTACCAAATTGTCATATCCACGTCTCAGGATATTGTAATTATTGATTTATTTATTTGTTTCCCAGAATATTGTAAAATCAACATATGCTGGTGTCCACAATACCTACATCTATGTGCCTTATGAATGACAACCCATAAGAATTTAACAAATGAATAAAGCAAATGTTTTCTGAAAGAAAAAAAGAAATACCAGGCAAATACAAAGAAAAAGCTAAAATGACAACATGAAATTGAAGGTTAAAAGTATTAAATGAGACAGAGATAATATGTAATGATAAAAGGCACACTTTAAGAAGATGTTAAACGTAAATCTCTAAACACTAAACATCATGGCAGTCAAATCTATAAGGCAAAAACTGTTAGAAACGTGGAGAATGTTATTTAAAAACATGCACACGTAAACTGCGGTGGAAGATTCTAATCTACATCTTTCAAAATCTGACAGATCTAGAAGATAAAAATTAGCCAGGACATAGAAGGTCTGAGTATTACAATCAACCAGCTCAATTTAATAGATGTGTATAGAACTGTGAAACATGCAAATATAGAAGATGCTTTTTTCTTATGTAAATAACACATTGGTAGATGATAGATATAGATGGATAGATATGATAGATAGATAGATAGATGGATAGACAGATAGATAGACATCAGTCATGTACTTGGCCACAAACAAAGCTTGAAAAATTCAAAAAAGTGAAGATTTTTGCAGGGTATTTTCTGATAAATATTTTAGAATATAAGAGAATAATAATAAAAAGATGACCACTAAACTATTAACTGCTTAGAATAAAAAAACCCTGGATCAATACATAAATCAAAATTGGAATAAAAACTATCTAGAAAGCAATGAATCCTATTTTTTGGTATGCTAAACTCATATTCGAAGGAAAAATCACAGTCTTAAATGCCTTCATTGTTAAAGAAAACTGAAATTAAAGGAATATGGAACTCATTTTAGAAAATTAAAAATGGAACAAATACTTCAGTCATGGTAATTAGCAAAAGTAAATGCCAAAACTAGTGAAAGTGTCAAAAATAAATGGAAAGAATTTTTTAAAAAAATCCGAAATCTAACTTTTTATGGTGGTAAAATATACATATTTGTCATTTTAACCTTTCATAGATGTACAATTAAGTGGCATTAAATACATTCACAATGTTGTATAACCATCACCATTATCTATACCCAAAACTTTTTTATGATTCCCAGTAAAAACTCTGTATGCATTAAAACAATAACTCACCCTTCCTCCCTCTGCCCACCAGTGGTAACCTCTATTTTACTTTCTACAGTGATACAATAGTTGTTCTTCTGTGTCTGGTTAATTGCGCATAGCATAATGTTTAAGATATATTCATGTTACACCATCTTGGCCAACATGGTGAAACCCCGTCTCTACTAAAAATTCAAAAATTAGCTGGGCGTGGTGGCACGCGCCTGTAGTCCCAGCTACTCAGGAGGCTGAGGCAGGAGAATCGCTTGAACCCGGGAGGTGGAGGTTGCAGTGAGCCGAGATCGCACCACTGCACTCCAGCCTGCGCCACTGCACTCCAGCCTGGCGACAGAGCAAGACTCTGTCTCAAAAAAAAAAAAAGACATACTCATGTTACAGCATATATCAAAATTTCATTTCTTTTTATGGCTGAATAATGTTCTATCTCTGTTTATACCACATTTTGTTTATCTATTCATCTGCTGATGAACTCTTAGATTGCTTTCACCTTTTGACTACTGTGAATAATGCTGCTATGAACATGAGTGTACAAATATCTGTTGAAGTTCCTGCTTTCAATTCTCTTGCATATATACATAGGAGCAGAATTTCTGGATCATACAGTAGTTTTATGCCAAATCTAATTTTTGTAAGATAAATAGATATCCCCTGCCGACCATTAGGAACAAATGAAAGAAATCAAATGCAAGCAATATTAGAAATTAAGAGGGTGATATAATGCCAGATACAAAAAGAGAGAAAAATAATTATAAGACAATATTACATACAACCCTAGGGCACCCAACTTGAAAATCTAGAGATTTGTTTCAACAAATCTAGGAATTGTTGAATTCCTAGAAAAACATAAACTGATATCAAAAGAGATTGAAAATTTAAATAGGTCAGTTACCCAGGAAGAAATTGGAAAAGTAAAAGTAATGTAGGAATAGAAAGACATTTCTTAAATATGATGAAAAATATTTACCAGAAGTCAATAGCAAATATCTTTCTTACTAAAACCATGAAACCCTCAAGCTATTTCCATTAAATTAGGAAAGTACAAAGAAGGGATGCTTACCATGATCATTATTATTCAACATGTTTTAAAGGCTCAATTGCATTATTGGGGAAAAAAGAAAGTATAAGAACGAATTCTAACAGCAGAAAAAGTTATATTTACCTGCAGATACTATGATTATACATGGAGAAGAACCCAAAAGACTGCAGTAAACATTCTACTAGAGAAGACATAAATAAGCAAATAAATAAACAAGATATTCACAGACTGTAAAAAGTACTCTGCAGGAAATAAACAGAGCAGTGATGAAGAGTAGCTAGGCAAAGGGCCTCACTCCAGACACAGTGGCCAGGAAAGGATTTCCTCCAGGGGAGATCCTGAAGCTAGGACCCAGGCAAGGAGAGGAAGAGCTCCAAGAACGGCATTCCAGCCAGAGGGAACAGTGTGTGCCAGGGTGGGTTTGAAGAACAGCAAGAAGGCCACTGGGACAGCAGCTAGAAGGGAAGAGGGTGTTGTGAGAGAAAGTGGGGTGGTGTGGGGGCTGTAGGCCAGAGTAAAAAGGTTGAACTTGACTCTAAATGCCATAAGAAGACATTGAAGGACTTTAGCCAGATTTATGCTTTTTTTTTTTTTTTTTTTTTTTTTTTTTGAGATGGAGTCTGGCTCTGTCGCCGAGGCTGGAGTGCAGTGGCAGGATCTTGGCTTACTGCAACCTCTACCTCCCAGGTTCAAGCGGTTCTCCTGCCTCAGCCTCCCGAGTAGCTGCGATTACAGGTGCCTGCCACCACACTTACCTAATTTTTTGTATTTTTTGGTGGAGATGGGGTTTCACCGTGTTCGCCAGGATAGTCTCGAACCCTTGACCTCCGGTGATCCACCCACCTTGGCCTCCCAAAGTGCTAGGATTACAGGCGTGAGCCACCACGCCCAGCTTCTTATTTATGTTTTTGAAAGAATATTATATGTGCTTTGTAGGGAGGAAGGCAAGGGGGGCTAAGGACGCCAATTAGAAAGCTATAGCTATGGGACAGGTGGGAAGTCACTGTGGTGTGCCTTAGGAAGTGGCACCGGGGCGAAGAAGACACACGGGTGGAAGTGAGCTGTATTTTAGAGTTAGGCCCCCAACTGGAGGGATGTACAGATGTTAGCCCTTTCCTGGTATATCCTCACTGACCTCTTTATTTTGAAACTCTAAATGTCACTTTGTTACAGCTATGTATCTTAGAAGCTAGGTAGATAGGCCGTTTTAGGCTTTTTACTTTTTTTTTTTTAATAGGGGAGTTTAATCCGTCTGCAGTAATTTTGCTCTGTTCTGTGGTTTCTCCTTTTGTCCTTCCTTTCTATTTTTAGTTACCATGGCTTCCCTGCCCCTTCCTCTTTTGCTTCCCCTTGCCTTGGTCTTTTGTTCCTGATTCCTGAAGGACTGTTGGAGTTTTCCCGGTCTCGTCTTTCTTAACGCTCTAAGGGTTTGGAAGTTTAACGTCCTATCTCTACTCCGGGTCTAGTGACCGTTCAGGGTCTTAAGACATTTTCAGTGCTAGCCCGTGCGTCTTTGTTTCCCCATCTTTCTTTAGTTCCCTTGTAAGCCTTTGTGATCACTTCAAATCCTTTTTAGAAATAGCTTCCAGATGAAGAAGTGAAGCTGCCTGGCGCATAGATGTGTTCAAGTCTCCCTTCTTTTCGCTCAAGGAGAGTGAAGAGTGGATGGTGCCAATTCTAGCTGGGAGGAGTGAAGGACGGGGAGGGGGACGATGAGGCAGGAGGAGACCACGCCGCCCTCCTGGGAGGGGGCTGACTCGACCCAGCTGGTTCGGGTGTGCACCATCCTCACTCTCTCCGCCCTTCCAGGGCTGCACTGCGCCCCGCTCTCGGCAAGACACGGGTGACGCTCCGGAGATTTAATTCCCCTGCTCAGGTCAGTGTAGGGCCTCAGGGAAGTTCAAAGCTCGCCCACTAGAGGGCATTGGCGCGTTTCCCAGAAGACACGGCCCCGGGAGCTTTCGGGCTCTCCAGCAGCCCAGGGGGACTCCGGCGTCCGCGTAGACTGGTTCTGCGCAGGGGGCTGGGGCTGCTGGCGAAGGAGGTCGGGCGCTGCAGAGGAGCTCATAGACCCTACAGCGCAGTCAGGGTCGGGGAGGCCGCTGATTCTCCCGCTTCAGGGCGTTCAACTGCAGGACGAAGCGTCCCCAACGCGCACACCCGACTCTGGAGACCCGAGTGTGTGCGGGAGGCCAGCCCCGCCGAAGCGCCGTCCAGGATCTGCCGAAGCGCCGTCCGGGATCTGCCGAAGCGCCATCCAGGATCTGCCGAAGCGCCATCCAGGATCTGCCGAAGCGCCGCCCGGGATCTGCCGCCGCACGCAAGAGCCCAACCATAGAGGACAGCGGGGGCACCTAGTACCCGTGGAGATCCCAAACTCCTCTCACCCCAGCCCCAAAGCACTTCTCCCAATGCTGCTGCCGTGCCTGAATCCCGCCCACGCGTGAGAATCACCCCATTATTACAGAAGACCCCTGTCAAATGCACACGCGTTAACCACGTGTTACCCAAGGACGACTCAGTCATCCTTTAGGACTCGGTGATACATTAGCACAGATGAACCTGGCACTGAGGTGGGATGAGGTGGGGAGATCTTTTGGCCGCAGGTCATTTAGGATATTGTTATTACTGCAAAGACCACAGAACAGCCATGGTTTAGTCACTTATTCCTTGCCAGGAGCTTCGTCTCATTGTCTCTTTTAATAAACAATATTTTGAGATCACTTTGTTATAGTGATGTCTGCTGGTTTCCCCACTGTAAAATGACTAGTTTTCCCTTTGTAATTAATAAATATTTGGGGGGAGATGCTTTGAGACTGTGACGTATTCTGTTTCTTCTCAAACTCTTCCCCTCTCCTCTCCGCCCCACGTTTCTTGATCTCCTCTCTCTGCCTCTGGAGCACCGCTACATGCTGCCATTGATGGTTTGGGCACTTGGCTCGCCTCACCTTGGCTACTTTCCTCTCCCTCTCCCCTGGTCGGCCCTTCCTTGGTAGCTCCTCTGTTGAATTCCCACATCCTTCGAACTCTGCAGGTAGAATCCCTTACATTTTCCTGGGAATGACCTAGCCTCCAGCCTGAATTACTTCAACTTCCTGTATTCTACAATATCTCCAAACATCTTCACTTCCACACTCATCCTCTCTTCCTTGCATCCTATCTCAGACAAAGAGGAGGCCAGCTGGAGCTCTGGAAGCAGCTGGTAGAGTGGAAAGGGCACAGGCTTTGGAGTAAGTCAGACCAGATTTTGATCCCACTGCCACCACTTACTAGCTATATGACCAAGATTTTTTCTCTCTCTCTCTTTAGAACATCAATTAACATAAGGATATTTGAATAGAAATACTCATCGTTAACGATTATAAGAATTAGTATCAATGTGTGACCAATTTCCTGAGAGAGCTCTGACATGTAATGCTCAGTAAAGGATAGCTGTTATTATTTTCATAGTTTCGGTCCCTGTGCCCTCTAAAAACTTCTTCATGCTTCATGAATTACTCCTCCTCTCTCCTGTGGCTTCAGCCTCTCCCTCTCAATTGGTTTATTCTCTCAGCTTTTCAACATAATCAAATCTCTCCTATCTTCAAAAACAAGCAAACAACAAAACCAAAAACTCTTCTGCAAAGAAACCCACCGGCTCCCTCAAGTGCTTTCTTCCCTTGTCATGAAAAGGGAACTTCCACAGGAGACATTTATGCTTTAACAAATGCCTGGTTCCTGAAGCTTCCTAGTTCTTGTAGGAATCTCTCCTTTGGTTTCCTGAATCAGTGGATTGTGTTATTTCATCAATTTTGGAAAATTCTCAGCCATTATCTCTTCAAATATTGCCTCTGCTCCATTCTCTCTCTCCTCTCTTCTAGAACTCCAATTAAACGTATATTGGATTATCTCCCTGTGTCTTCTATTTTATTTATCTTCTTATCTGTATTTTCCATCTTTATGCCTCTCTGGACTTCATTCTGGATAGTTTCTTCTGACTTATCTTCCTTTCCACCAATTATTAGCTCTTAACTCTTCTATAGAGTTCTTTATTGAGTTATCATACTTTTCAGTTCTATAATATCAAATGGTTCTTTTTAAAATCTTCACCGTTGCTTTCAAAATTTTTATATCCTTACATAAAATTTTAAATTCAATTTTTATCTCCATGAACACAGTAAGCACGGTTTCATTACAGGTTGTATCGAGTTATTCTAATATCTGGGATCCGGTGGGTCTATTTCTATGGTCCACAGTTTCTGTTGATTCTGACTTGTGGTGTTTTGTCTCATGTAGCTCTTGTGCCTCTGTGCTTTCTGGACAATTTATTTGAAATGGCTCTTTTGAGAGTTAATTTGAAATCTAGGATCCTCTTCCAAAGAGGATTTTTTTTTTCCTTTTTTCCAACACCTGAGGGAACTAGCAGTCCGGGAATAAGGCTTGAGGCTGTTCTGTATGTCCACAGGGCCAGTACCCACCCCCTTTTCCAGATGCAGCCCTTTGGGGCCACTACTCAGAGCACATAGTGGGCTCATACTAAGTTTCCTTCTTTACTAACAGTAGACACCAACTGTTCCTCCAGCTCTAGGGAGCCCCCCAAAAGTACTGTTCACCCTGCTCACCTCACATGGTTCTGAGGATTGGCAGACAGCCCAGGGTAAACATATCAGTGGGGTACAAGTGACTTGCACATCTCCAGGACACTATGTAATGCAATATGACCCCTCACACTCACCCAAGGACCTTGGCATGTCAGCTGCCTTCTCCCAGGAAGTGAACACATCCCAAGTAACCAGTTTAGGCTCTTACCCCTCCCTGTTCGGCTCTATTAATGAGGCCTGCAGTGCTATTAAGAAGATAGTTTGATATCTCCTCTAACTTTTGTAGCTGTCTTTAGAAGTAATGGTGATTTATCCCTTAGTCTACCATTACTGGAAACAGTTGGCAGGGAATCTCTAATGCCCCTTGGTACCACTTCTTTCCTGGCTGAACTTAGATCCTTCCTTTTATTCACCCACAGTTGAGTTTTATAAGGGGACTAAATAATGCATTATAATACAGAGAGCAATTTATAACCAGCCACTCCCTATGGCCTATGACCTAGCCCATGCCACTGGGCCCAGCTTCGAGGCCATCTTCCTGTCTCCATGACCATCCACCCATGTATGAAGGCATCTCTGATGACTGGGCTTCCCAGTGGTAATCAGATATGGATTTGGTCCCAAGGTCTCTATAAGTGGGTGGACAAATTCCTCTTTGAGTAGACCTCTCCGATGTGAGCCACCTGGAAAAGGCCTGTTCTTAGATCATTACATTAACTCAAACATGATGCCTCTTTGTTAAGCCTGCTCTGATTCTCCTAACACAGGCAGGGTCTCTCCCTGCCTTGTCTCATGTGGCCATTTCTCACACTCCATCTTATAGAATCGAGATGTTATGTACATATCATGTACCTGTTGTTTTTGTTTGTTTCATTTGTTCGCCTGGGTGGAAGGGGTTTGAATTATTCCAGTTTCTATACCCACGATGTATAATTATTCTTGGGTTGCACAAAGCCATTTCATTATTGTATTGACTGACTTCTCTTTTATCTCTAGTCCCTATTCTCATTCCCCTTCCTCCACAGGTAGCTATTTTACCATGTTAATGGGCAACTTTATTTGAATGTGTTCTTGCAAATGTGTACTGTTGATTTATTTGCATACATTTAAAAAACCTGTTTGAAAGCTACCACATGATAGGTCTTATTCTGTTTCCTCCTTTTTATATTTTTAACACCCAACCACGTTGCAGTGTGACATCTAATTCAAGGCGTCTAGTCTCTGCATAATACCCCAGGGAAGTTCTCATGCGGACCCATAGGGAGCACATATGAAGATGTTATCACTGCTTGTTTTTTATGGTGGCAGGGAGTTGAAGATCACCTGAGTGCCCATTGCGGGGAGAATGGAGTGGTAAAATGTAACAAGGTGCCCATGGTGGGGTATTATGCAGAACTGAGCTCTGCCTCCTACCTGCTTATGAGATGGGGAATTCCTTAGATAGAGGAACAAGGCTCAGATGCTGAACAGCCAAACAGAATAACTATGTCCACAAGGCCCCTCCTCTCCCATAAGGTCTGTACCTGCTGAACTGTGTGGGGGCTGTTCAAAGAATTTGAACTTTGTTAATAGTCACAGTTCAGAGACAACTGATACCCTGGGCATCCCTGATACAAGCCATTGTAAGAAGAAACAGCATGGAACCAAAGAGAACACTTACTTTACCGGACAAAGGTATCTCCTGTTACAATCCACATTCGTCTCCCCACTCTTAGGGCCTAAGTGACTTTGGGGTTTCAGAAACTCTGGGAGGCTGATCCTCAACCCGACCCCAACCCAGCCTACCACAGCAGCACGAACGTGCTTTGGGAAGATGATCGTCTGGGTGGAGGGTGGAGGAGAAAGGTAGAATCCTGCAGAACTCAAAGAACGTTCCTGTGTACCCCCCACCACCCTCCAGGGATAAAAGAGCTGCTTCCCTCCCTCTTGGCATAAGCATCATTCCCTACAGAGACTGGCAGAGATCTGAAACCATGCAGGGACAGCTGTGGAGGCTGCTGTCAGTGGAGACCCAGGCTCAGAGACCCAGCCCAGCCGGTAGTAAGAGCGTCCCCCATGGCGATGGCAGCACTCCAGGCCACCTGAGGTCAAGAGGGCTCCACCCAGCCAGCTGCAGCTTCCCTGGGAGCTGTGGAGGGTGGCGAGTGTGGGATCAGTGCCCAGCCGTCAGCACGGGCAATACCTTTGCACCTGACCAGCAACCCACTGCCAGAGCAGCCACAAGGACTGATTCTTGGGCCGGTGAGATTCCAGAGTCTCCCTCAGCGCAGGTGCTGAAGGGAAACTCTGCAAGACCCTAAGAGCCTCTGTGATCAGGTGGGGGCTAAGAGGCGTCAGAATGTGGATGCTCCTGTGAATCAGACTGGACTTGTAGTTCCAGGCCGCAGAGTCCTGGCATGCGGGCACCATGGTCATAATGATGATCTTCATTGCCATGGCACACACCATTCCCATGTATCAGCTTTATGCCTGGGCAGAGCAGACGGGTGTGACTGAAGGCACAAGGGCAAAATGCCATTATTGAGGCACCTCCTGCTGCCCCGGGAAGCACTTACCTGAGTGGTGAGTCCACCTGTCTACTCATTGGACCGCCGTTATGCTCCAGGCAGGATAGAAGAGGCAGTGGTTCCCTGCCTGTGACGAGTCCCTGGGCTCTTCTCCTCAGGGCAAGTGGTCCTGCCCTGCTGGAATTGTGTCTAACCAAGGGTAGAGGTATCAGCAGCAGGTACCTGTGGAAGAGACAGAGAAAGCGGTTGTCTCCTTAATATCATCCTTGCTAAGTTCTTTCATCCTCCAAGGACAAAACAGATGGTGAGGAAGAACAGGGAGGACCTTGAGGAACTGGTCTTACTTGGAATGCTGGGGCAGCCGGTCACCGGGTTTGGGATTCTTCCTGTGGAGCGTGGAGCGGCTGTGATCCACCAAGGCAACTAGCGGTGCACGGAGCTGGGCAGGGTGGCCAAGGCCTTGGCCGTTGATGTAGGTGTTCGAGGCACGGATGGCCTGTTGATCTATGTGCAGCTGCTGCGGCTGTGTGTGTTGATGCGTCCCACCCACCAAAGGCCCCAAGCTTCCTCTCCACCTTCTGCTGGCACCGTCTGCAGCCTCTGACAGCATAGATACTCTTCCTGGGGTGGGGGCTTGGGGGGCAGGTGCCCCAGGATGCAGTGATAGAGTTCCAGAGGCTCAGGGCTGGGGTGGGCTGCAGGATGGGGCTGTTCAGGCTGAGCTGTCCTTCTGTCCTTAGCCTGCACCTTTCTTTTTGGCCCCATCATAGACCTTTAAGCGTGCCCCCAGATGGACAGGCTGAAGTCCCCTTGACCCACAGTTTGGCTTTCTATCCCTGCAGCCATGTCCTCATTTTCTGGGGCTGGTCAGCTCCTGGTATGGCTTCAGGACCTGTCCACAAGTCTGCCACCTCACTGTGTGGAGGTGGCTTCAGACCTCTCTGGAAAGTCAAAAATGGAGACGGAGACACTCTTCTGACAGGTTTGGGTGGTCCAAAGGATGAGTTGCTGTGGAGAGGTGGAGGGAGTAAGGGCGGGCCAGTGGGGAGCGGGCACCTGGGCGAGTCTTCCCAGTTTTCACTGCTGTGATTGCTATGAGGATGTGTATGAAGCAGGGTTTGTGACAGGCCAAATCTGCACAGGGCCCACCATCCACAAAGTGCTTGTATGCCTGCATTCTCTTGGTCCTTTTTGAAAACATTGCTAACAGGTCAAAACCCAAAAGCGACCACAGCCATGTCTGACTTCAGGGGTGCAGATGCTGGGTTGGTAGAAGACCCTTCTGTCCCTCTCTGCAGAGTTGAGTAACCTGCCTGCACATGAGGTGGTTGGAGACTTCTTATCTTTTCTTTAGTTTTTAACATAAACTTTATTATTGAAGCATAACATAAATACAGAGAAGAGCACAAATCACGAGTTCAGTGGCTTTTCCAAAATCACATGTGTAACTAGCATCTAATCAAGAAATTGAACTCTACTAGAACACCAGAAGCCCCCTAATGCTTCCACTCAGTCACTCCCCCACCATGCTAACCACTCACCTGACTTCTAATACCTTAGCTTCCTTTCACCAGTTGGGGACTTTATAGGAATAGAATCATCTGATATTACTGAAGGACTTTTAAGAACAGAAATATTGAATACCCAATATTGAGAACTTTGCTTTGGGATGATATCATCATCCTCATACACATAATAAAGCCTGCTGAGCGAACAAATGTCTTTTGCATGTGTTTTTGTTTTGCTTTGTTTTGTTTTGTTTTCCAGATATTAGAGGTGACAATCCGTGGAAAGGAGCCGAGTCTCCCATCTGGGTCAGTGCAGAAACGGAGCAAAGGGAGCTTCTGCAGAATGTGTTTGCAAGTAAGGCACCGCTTGAGCAGATTCAGACACTCCAAGCCAGACGGGAGGGGGAACATTGGGCAGAGCATTGGACTTCCCCTCAGAAGGTAGGACAGGGGCTGAGTCAAATTCATATACTTTCCACTAACAATGGAATTATAAACTAGATAAGCACATTTCACTGGAAAAGATACAAAGAACTAGTCATCCCCATGGACATATGGTCGTCCCTATTTGACATTAACTGGCTGGTTATTCTTGCATGATTTATACCTTCATGAGTCAGATTATGTGATTGAATCAAACGAAGCATGCGTAAGTCTGGAAAAAGAGAGGAAGGGGAGGAGGCTCCAGCCATAGATATCAGAAGAGACCAGAGAATAAATAAAACCCCTTCTGGTATGAGATTGCCATTCTACTCTCTATTGTGAAAAGTTGCTACTGGATGCAGAGACGCTTACAGGGGGCATCGAGAGGGTTTCCAGAACCAGTCTTGGGCAGCTGACAGGCCAAATCTTAAAAGAAAAGTGAACTCCTTTGCCCTCCAATAGCAGCAAAAGCTGAAACCAGAAGGGCACTCAGCTGAGCCTCCCGGGGCAGCAGGGTGGGAAGAAGGAGGACCCAACTCATCAAGAGGACCCTCCCTTTCAACAGTCATCACAGGTAGTATAAGGCAGCTCTGGACAGGATTTCACAGTAGAATCACCACAGGAGCTTACATACTTCACTTTGTTTAGTGTGGTGAAATATATGTGACATAAAACTGACCACTTTTACCACTATTAGGTATACAGTTCATTGGCATTAAATACATCACCATTGCTGTGCAATCATCATCATCGTCCGTCTTCAGAACTCTTCCATCTTCCCAGACTGAAACTCTGTACATTAGGCCACAATTCACTCCCTTCTACTCAGCCCCCTGGCAACCACCAATCTATTTTCTTCCTCTATGAATTTGACTACTCTGGGTACCCTATATAAATGGAATCATACAGTATTTTTCCTTTAGTGTCTGCAGGGGAAGTTTTAAAAGCATGAATGCCCAAGCCCAACCCCAAGCTAATTAAATCAGAATTTCTGGGGGGAAAGCCCAAGTAATTGCTGTTATTTTTAAAAGCTCACCGGTGATTCTAATGGGCACCCATGGGTCAGAAGATCTAAATCAGATTTGCACTCAAGAACCCCTCCCCCATGACAAACACACCTCAGCACCTGCTGGCTGATTCCCCAGATTCCTTTAGCTGTGGGTAAAGCTAAGGGTTCTCCTTCTTCAACTGGAGATGAGAGGCTTAAAATGACGTATTCGGGTATCACAGCGACTGAAACTCATGTGCTAAAGATTAATCTACCAGTCAAGAGGGGTAAGTGATTATTATGAGACACTGTCTCCTTCTGGAAACTGGGAGGGCTCAGAGTAGCAGATGGTAAGTGACTGCTGATTTGGGAGATGGGGAGAGACAGACACACTGGGACCCATGGCCGCTTTTTAGGGAGCAGTGATAAAGGTTAGTCCTATTTACCTTTAGTTACCTTGTGGACACAATAGGATTTGGGAGGAATTTACGACCAGCACATCTGTGGATTTGCCTTGTTCATTGGAATGCGGCCACTCGGACATATGGTTCCCATCAACTGTATTTTTGCATGATTCTTGAATTTCGCCCCCCCCCCAACTTTTTTTCATTTAACTGCACTGACTTCATTACAAAGGAACTTCACTTACATGGGTTCTAATTGAGGCATGACCAGTGCCTTACTCAAGCAAGAGCTCCTTCTGTTCCTTCTTTCTGCAGAATTAGAAATATACAGAGAATGATCAGATAGATAGATGATAGGCAGATAGATAGGTAGGTAGATAAACAGATAAAGAGACAGGCAAATGTATACAAAGTGACAAAATGATAAGAAAGATCCACACCAAATCATGATATTGGTTCTCCCAGTGGAGGAAGGGAGGTATGGGAATGGGATCAGAAGAATTTGAATGTTTTATTTACTTAGTTTTTTAAAACCCTGGAAACAAGCAGGACAAAATGTTAACACTTGTTCTCTCTGAGTTGGCATTTGTTGTGTTATATTCACTCTTTTTACTCGTCTTTGTGCTTTTTGGTATCTTTAACAGTTGTCAGTATTATATATATAGGTATATAAATAATCATACACATAAAGACACATGTATAAAGAAATACTTTGGCCAGGCACTGTGGCTCATGCCTGTAATCTCAGCACTTTGGAAGGCTGAGGCAGACAGATTGTTTTAGCCCAGGAGTTTGAGACCAGCCTGAGCAACATGGTGAAGCCCCATCTGTACAAAATACACAAAAATTTGTAAGGTGTGATGGCACACGCCTGTGGTCCCAGCTACTCCAGACGCTGAGGTGGGAGGATCGCTTGAGTGCAGGAGGTCGAGGCTGCAGTAAGCCATGATTGGGCCACTGCATTCCAGCCTGGGTGACAAAGTAAGATCCTGTCTCAAAAAAAAAAAAAAAAAAAAGTAAAAAGAAAAGAAATACTTTGATGACTGAGAAGAGCTCTTATAAAGAGTTTCATATTAATAATTTTACCATAAAAATAAAATTAATAAAGTTTCAGAACATTTGAAAAATACAAAAAAGCGTAGACAGAAATTGCCACATTTTGGTGTCTTCATATCCTACTTACTTCTCCATGCATTAAATAATTGTGTCATTGATTTCAAGTTTTCACATAGTCCCTAATTACAAAGGTAATACTTATTCATTGCAAAATGCAGAAAAAGATGGATAAGGAAAGATACATTACCCCATTGCCTTATTACCTGGAGTGCCCCACTATGGTTCATCATGGCAAAAAACAAAATCAGATTCTGGCTAGGAAGACAATTACTGAATGTTATGATTTGAATGTGTCCCCTCCAAAATTCAGCTTTTGCCAGTGTGATAGTATTAAGAGATGGGGCCTTTAAGAGGTGACTAGTCCGTGATACTCCTCATGAATGGGATTAAGAATCCTTATAAAGGTGCTTGACAGAAAAACCTGGTTCTCTCTTGCACTTCTGCTTTTCCACCATGTGGGGACATGAGGTTTCTTCCCTTTTGTCCTTCCACCTTCTGCCTGCATCACATGGTAGTGCCTTGATCTTGGACTTCCCAGCCCGAAGAACTCTAAGAAATAAATTTCTGTTCTTTATAAATTACCCAGTCTCAGGCATTCTGTTATAGCAGCACAAAACAGACCAAAACACTGAAAATATTAAAAATAACATATTCCATCAACAGAGGTTATCAGGGTCTTGGCTTTTATTGAGCTCCTCCTTTGTTTTTTATGTGATGGAGTGACTCACACATGCAGTCGGATATGGTATGGCTGGCCTCTAATGCTAATTTAATCTTGGATTAAATGTTACTTTCTTAGACATCGTCTCTGATGGTTCAATCTGAAAGAGCTACTCGCTATTTCAATAGCCTTAATTTAAGTATTTTTTGGCAGGGAGGAGGGAGTTTGCCATTATTATTTATCATTCTCTATCATTTTTTCTTTTTTAATTGTGCATTTATTTGTTTCTTCCCTGTCTTTTTCATTATTGTATCCTCGGGGCCTAGAAAAATGTCTGGAATTTGGAAGTTTTATTATTGAATAAATAAATAAATCAAATATCCTTTAGTGATCATGCCTACTTAGGATTATGGAAGTGTCTTTCTTTAACTACCACTGGACCCAAGCCTAAGAAAACAACCTGGTGAAGCACCTGGATTTCGGCCACACCCCTCTGCCTCCTCTGGATTTCGGCCACACCTCTCTACCTCCTCTGGATTTCAGCCACACCTCTCTACCTCCTCTGGATTTTGGCCACACCTCTCTACCTCCTCTGGATTTCAGCCACACCTCTCTACGTCCTCTGGATTTCAGCCACACCTCTCTACCTCCTCTGGATTTCATCCACGCCTCTCTACCTCCTCTGGATTTCAGTCACGCCTCTCTACCTCCTCTGGATTTCAGCCACACCTCTCTACCTCCTCTGGATTTCATCCACGCCTCTCTACCTCCTCTGGATTTCAGCCACACCCCTCTGTCTCCTCTGGATTTTGGCCACACCTATCTACCTCCTCTGGATTTCATCCACGCCTCTCTACCTCCTCTGGATTTCAGCCACACCCCTCTGTCTCCTCTGGATTTCAGCCACACCTCTCTACCTCCTCTGGATTTCATCCACGCCTCTCTACCTCCTCTGGATTTCAGCCACACCCCTCTGTCTCCTCTGGATTTCAGCCACACCTATCTACCTCCTCTGGATTTCAGCCACACCTCTCTACCTCCTCTGTAGCAGCAATTCTATGTCTCTGTGTTAATGAAAAGTCCTTGCCGCAGCCAGTGGAGAAGAGAGAGAGAAGGGCAGAGAGAGTATTTAAGGAAATAGCTGAAAACATTCCAAATTTGATGAAAGACATGAACATAAATATCTAAGAAGTTCAACAAGTAGGATGAACTTAGAGATCTACATTAAGGTACATCATCATTAAACCATCAAAAGACAAAGACAAAGAGCGACTCTTGAAAGCAGCAAGAGGGAAGCCACTTGTCATATACAAGGGATCCTCAATAAGATTACTAGCAGATTTCTCATCAGAAAGTTTGGAGACCGGAAGGCAGGGGGCTGATATATTCAAAGTGCTAAAAGAAAAAGGAAAGCCTGTCAACCAAGAATGCTACAGCCCCCAATTTTTTTGCCTTTCATGTTTATGAGGCATCTATAGTTCCCTTGGCACGAATAGCCACTTTCTGTCCTTTGTCCATTTTTCTCCTGAGGTGTTTATTTATTTTTTATTTTTTATTATTTTTTAAATGGAGTCTTGCTCTGTCACCTAGGCTGTAGTGCAGTGGCATGATCTCAGCTCACTGCAACTTCTGCCTCCTGGGTTCAAGCAATTCTCCTGCCTCAGCCTCCCAAGTAGCTGAGATAATAGGCACGCACCACCATGCCTGGCTAATTTTTGTATTTTTAGTAGAGACAAGATTTGACCATGTTGGCCATGCTAGTCTCGAATACCTGACCTAGCGGTCTGCCCTCCTTGGCCTCCCAAAGTGCTGGTGTTACAGGTGTGAGCCACGGCACCTGGCCATATTTTTAACTTTTTTCTTTGTAAGTGCTTTCTATGTTGTAAGGAGACTAACACTTTCTTACATATGGGGCACAATTTTATTTTGTTTTTCTTTTGAAAATTTTAAACTGTAATTTTAATCAGTACATGTTTAATTTTTATTAATAAATAACTTACAATTTTTAATATAATTAAATATGTTACTGTTTTTCTTTATGACTCTTGCTTTGGTATCATTCAAAGAAATACTTTAAAAACTTCAGGATCATAGAAATTTAGCAAGGACTGCTAGTAATAACAATAGGAGGGCCGGGCGCAGTGGCTCACGCCTGTAATCCCAACACTTTGGGAGGCCGAGGTGGGGGGATCAAGAGGTCAGGAGGTCGAGACCATCCTGGCTAACACGGTGAAACCCCGTCTCTACTAAAAATACAAAAATTAGCTGGGCACGGTGGCGGGCGTCTGTAGTCCCAGCTACTCAGGAGGCTGAGGCAGGAGAATGGTGTGAACCCAAGAAGCGGAGCTTGCAGTGAGCCAAGATCGTGCCACTGCACTCCAGCCTGGGTGACAGAGCCAGACTCCATCTCAAAAAAAAAAAAAAAAAGCTAAATTATTCATAATCACCATCATTATTCACTATGTATCAGACACTTTATATATAATCCCATTTAATTCTCATAACAAATCTATGAAGTAATTATTATTCCCATTCTACACATCAGGAAGCTGAGACTCAAGAAGACCAAGTAAATTCCCCACAGTCATGATTACGGGGTTGGAAGTGAATGTCAGTAGTTTTGCTGTGCATAAACTTCAGGCTTTGTTGGATGAGCAGACCCGGGTCCACGTCCTGGCTCTGCTGTGCCAGCTGGCAGATGGACCACTTTGTGCATGTCTCTGCACCGCTCTGGACCTTCATTTCACTTGTAAAATTTCACCTAATAACACCTCCCTCATAGAGTTGTTAAATGAGAGAAAAGTATGTACTGTGCCAAGCACTGAGAGAAAAGTCAGCCTGAGAGTCAGCCCTACTCCTCTTTGCTGGAGCTCCTTCACTCTCTTTGTTTCCTCTCTGCAGGGGTAGGGCGCTGTGGCAGAGGGGCTGGTGAAAGAAACGCTGAATCAGCATCTGTGAAACTGACATCTGCAGTGAGGTGCACAGATTGAAATGCTGGGCCTAGCCGATTTAAGTAAGGAGCAGAGCAAGGTGGCTGCAGCGGTCCCACCCTGGAGGACCCTCTTAAAGGCGTCCCACCCTGGGGTGTGGCTCAGGTTTCTGCAACAAGACCTATTCCTTTCTGTGTGTGGGAGGCAGGGGTGGGGCTCGTCAGCATGATCTCTCCGTGGTTCAGAGGCAGCCACTCCTGCCTGTGAGGATGCCGGTCATGTGTGTGTGAGGTTGCTGCTCATCTACCAGCTCTCGCCCCGTTGGCCCCAACACACACACTAAAGCCATGGGCACCCTCGAGGGACACCTGCTGCCAGCAATGTTCTTCCTTCTCTACTCACTCTACTATATGGTGCTGGTGTCTCTGGCCCTGCTACAGGAACAGAGGCTCCTCAAACTCCCTCTGCCCTCCAGGGAGAAGTGAGGACACAGGTGGTGGTAGCTGGTGCCACTAGAAGGTGTGGTGAAGGTGGTCATCACCCTGGCTGGCATCTTACCCAAGTTATTCTACCCGTCTGGAGTAAATCGGCTGATGGTGGTAGACTGGGAGGATCCGCGGTGGCCATTCGTGTTCAAGGACAGCTGGCAGCACATCACCATGTACGAGTTCTTTATGCTCACTGGCGTGGTGGACATTGTAAGCCAGTCGTGTCAGGAATGGTAGAATATGAAGCTAGAGCAAGCAGTCAAGGCCTTGGGCTCCTATGTGCTGGCACTACTGATGGCAGCCCACATTGAGAACAAGGGCACCCTGGAGATCCGTGTGCGTGAGCTCTTCAGCGTGCCCCCCTTCCTGGTCTCCCTGGTGCTCACCATCAAGGTCTGGGTCCCTGACCAGCCCCAGCTCTGGGTGCTCAAGACCTGGGTGGGGCTGGGGCTCAGCAACTGGATGCTGCAGCTGTGTGTGCTGATGTTTGCGCCTCCCTCCGGACAGCCCTGCAGGTGGAGAACCCCATGGACCTTGCCTTCCTCACTCGCTTCTTCTCCTGGCACCTGGGCTTGGGGGCTGCCGTGCTGGCTGCTGTCTATGGCCTCTGCAGCCTCTGGCACCGTCACTGCTCCTCCTGGACAGCGTTACCAGGGGCCAGGTACTAGCCGTGCCTCACCAATTCCAGTGGTGAAGAGCTTGAGAAGCTCAGGGCAGAGGCTGTGCTGCTGGATGGAGGCGTCTAGGTACAGAAACTGTCTTTGTTCTATGCCTTTTGTAATGAGAGTTTCAAGGGTGCCCACAGCACGCATAGCATGGAAATGCCTTAGAATTCACAGGCTAGCTTCTATCTCGGGAGCCATCTTTCTCGTTCCCAAATAAACCTGCCAGCCCCTGGGGTAACTTCTCATCCATCATTCTCTTCTCTCCAGGTCTGTCTCTTTTCTCTCTCATTATTCTGGCCAAGCACATACATGAAATGAGAACAGGAGTGCTGCTTTTTTCTGGCAGTTTTCAGGATCCAAGAGGAGGAAATGAATTGAGGAAGTAGACAGAGAGGAAAGAGCGCCCGTAGACACCATATTTCTTAGATGGGGCAGGACTACGGTATGCACGGGTATGCCTGCAAATGAAGTCTCTCAATGTGTGAAAGACAGGGGGTCCGTTTTTCCATAATGGTGAAGTCTTCTGTTTTCTCAATTTCTCTGTTTTTTATTCACTCTCAGTATGGCAGTATGAGGAATTTTCATGTTTGTTTTTTGTTTGTTTTCGAGATGGAGTCTCACTCTGTCACCCAGGCTGGAGTGCAGTGACTTGGTCTCGGCTCACTGCAACCTCCGTCTCCTAGGTTCAAGCAATTCTCCTGCCTCAGCCTCCTGAGTAGCTGGGACTACAGGCACCCACCACCATGCCCAGCTAATTTTTGCATTTTTAGTAGAGACGGGGTTTCAACACGTTGGCCAGGCTGGTCTCAAACTCCTGACCTCAGGCGATCCTCCCACCTCAGCCTGCCAAAGTGCTGGGATTACAGGCATGAGCCACCGCACCCGGCCATTTTTTGTGTTTTAAACCTAAACTAAATGAGGCCACTTCTGCCTTATGAGAGAGGAAGGAATGAGAAGCTTGGGCAGTTGCAGGGGGGTGTGGTTCCAATCAATTTAGCAGGGGATCAAGAAGAGGGAGAAAGGAGGCCACGGAGGAATTCCAAAGCTGCTTGTCAGAAATGAAGGTGATTTAAATATGATTTTAAATTGTTTGTGTTTTTCTGTGATACAAAACAACTCCATTGTTCCAACTCATTCAGTAAAGTCTATTACATGTGTACACGTCTCATGTGAGTGATTCTGAGGGAAGCCAGAGAAAGAGCCCATATCTCAATTGACAGGAAAAGAACACGGAGGAGGGGGAAAGAATTGCCATGAAATGGGGTGCAAGTGATCTCAGTGCTTCTGAAGACACAGGAACTCAGAGCTGAGAGAGAATCTGAGGGTGTCAGTCCCCTGGAATGTGCAGGAATATTTTCAGATCTTTGGTCTTCTCTCAGAATGGGATGCTAATAAATTCACATATTTGGTGAAATATATGAAAGCAAATTATATAAAATTACATATCTCTGGGTACAGTTAGGAAGCCATTGCTTCTAATAGTATGAGTCAGCTTAAGTGAGATGGACACACCCAGCATTTAGAAATCTGAAGAGGCAAAAAGAAAAGAGATGCTGGCCATAGATGTGGAGAAAGAACCATAGAGAAAAGTCCCCATGATGAAGCTGCTGCAATTACAACACCCCGTGTGCAGCCTGGAATGCTCTCCTCAGACCATGAGAAGCTTCAAGAAGCACAGAGAGGTTTGCAGGATGGCAGACAAGACAGACTGCACACTGTTATTTGAAAATATCATTGGATGCACTCTAAAGAATCGGTGTAGACCAGGCGCAGTGGCTCACACCTATAATCCCAGCACTTTGGGAGGCAGAGGTGGGCAGATCTCTTGAGGTCAGGAGTTTGAGACCAGCCTGGACAATATGGCAAAACCCTGTCTCTAAAAACATACAAAAAAAAAAATAGCCAGGTGTGGTGGCACAGACCTGTGGTCCCAGCTACTCAGGAGGCTGAGGTGGGAGGATCACTTGAGCTTGGGAGGTAGAGGCTGCAGTGAGTCGTAATCATGCCAGTACACTCCAGCCTGGGTGAAAGAGTGAGACCCTGACTCAAAAATAAATAAATAAATAAATAAATAAATAAATAAATAAATAAATGAGAGAGAGAGAGAGAGGAAGGAAAGAAGGGGGGGAGGGAGGGAGGGAGGAAGAAAGAAAAGAAAAGAAGGGACAAGACAATTGGGTGCACTCTAAAGAAGCAGTACACAAGAGCACAGAAAACAGGCCGTGGAGACTCTGGGACAAGGGGTTGATATTAGAGAAGGGGAGAAGGGAAAGGGATAAAGAAGGAGCCAAAAATCTGGCCACTCACACTGGCAGGGCTTGGATGGGAGGGAAGACTCTGGATCTTAGAGGAAAACAAATGTGTCTCTCAAGCAGCTGGAACCAGGCCAGCCCCAACTTTCCTCCCCAGAGGAGGAAGAACCAACCCAGGGAGAGGCCAGCACCTGTCTTTCTCTCCCCACCCCAAAAAGCCCTGAAGCAGAGCCAGATATACCGGAACTAATTAAGTTTAAGCTTCAAGGCCCTTCACCTTACTCATCCTGTCCAAGGCCCTGGGAGAGGCTTTAGCAAGGTGTTCGCATGATCCGCATATCACTGAGAATTTGCAAATGTACTATTTTTGTGTATTCTTTTTTCCTAAAGAGGGTCCTTTAAATTGTGTAAGCATTCGGCCTCACAAAGCCTGGCTCTGCCCTCACCCTGGAGGCTTACCACAGATATACTTCAGGATGCTTTATGATAAACACATCCCTTCACCTGTTCATGGAACATTCTTTGTTAGAGAATCCTTCCTTCTTCAACTTGAAAACAAGATACTTATAACGTTAATGACCTCAAACACTGGCTGAAAATCAACGGCTATAGTATAATCCCTCTGACAAAAAATGTGAATAAGTGTTATATGATCCTAGGTCTGAATTGATAAAGAGGAATTAGAGTTGCAGAAGACTAGAGGGAAAGGTGGGAGTGAGGTAAAGAGGTTAGTCCTGCATACACTCACTTGTGCTGTTGTGGGGAGAATTTTTGTCTGCACATCTGGCCCTTGCCCAGTGTATTAGGGTTTTTCAGAGAAACAAAACCAACAGGATGTGTAGATAGATGAATGGATGAGTAGATAGACAACAGGGATTTTAAGGGGCAGGCTCATGCAATTGCTGGTAGTTAATAGGGATCTTAAGGAACCATCTCATGCGATTGTTGGGGCTGGCAAGTCCAAAATCTGCAGGGCAGGCCAGCGGATGGGAGAACAGTGAAGGGTGATGTTGCAGTCTTGAGTCTGAAGGCAGTCTGGAGGCAGAATCCCTTCTTCCTTAGGAGACCTTATCTTTTCTCTAAGGCCTTCAACTGACTGCATGAGACCCATGCACATTATAGAGGGTAATAGGCTTACTCAAAGTCTACTGATTTAAACATTAATTATAACCCAAAAATACCTTTATGGCAACATCTAGACTGATGTTTCACCAAACAATTGGGTGCCAGAGCCTAGACAAGTTGACACATAAAATTATCCTTCATATCCTGCATATTGGAGTATGACCACTCCGGCATGATTTCCATCAATTGTATTTGTCGTGATTTTTGGAGCCCTTCCATAATAATAATAATAATTCATTTTTACTTATTTATTTATTTTTGAGATGGAGTCTCACTCCATCACCCAGGCTGGAGTGCAGTGGCAAGATCTGGGCTCACCACAACCTCTGCTTCCCGCGTTCAAGCGATTCTCCTGCCTCAGCCTCCTGAGTAGCTGGAATTATAGGCACCCACCACCACACCTGGCTAATTTTTGTATTTTTAGTAGAGATGGGGTTTCACCATGTTGGCCAGGCTGGTCTCAAACTCCTGACCTCAGGTGATCCACCCACGTCAGCCTCCCAAAGTGCTGGGATTACATGTGTGAACCACCGTGCCCGGCCAATAACTTCACTTTAAAGGAACTTAAGGCCAGGCATGGTGGCTCATGCTTGTAATTCCAGCACTATGGGAGGCAGAGGCTTGTAGATCAAGAGGTCAGGAGTTCAAGATCAGCCTGGCCAAGAAGGTAAAATCCCATCTCTACTAAAAATACAAAAAAAAAAAAAAAAAAAAGGCCCAGTGTGGTGGCAGGTGCCTGTAATCCCAGCTACTCGGGAGGCTGAGGCAGAACCCTGGAGGCGGAGGTTGCAGTAAGCCGAGATTGCTGCACTCCAGCCTGGGCAACAGAGCGAGACTCTGTCTCAAAAAAAAAAAAAAAAAAAGGGAATTTAATCACTATAAGTTCTAACTGCAGTTCTGACTGTATAATACTATATGGACCTCTTCCCTTACATATTCTCCCTAGTGCGAGAGAGAGTGCTGGGTGTGCAGGTAAGTGACACTTACTTACTTATTTATTTATTTTTGAGATGGAGTTTCACTCATGTTGCCCAGGCTGGAGTGCAATGGTGCGATCTTGGCTCACCGTAACCTCTGCCTCCTGGGTTCAAGCGATTCTTCTGCCTCAGCCTCCTGAGTAGCTGGGATTACAGGCATGCACCACCATGCCTGGCTAATTTTATATTTTTAGTAGAAATGGGGTTTCTCCATATTGGCCAGACTGGTCCCGACGTCTTGACCTCAGGTGATCTGCCAGCCTCAGCCTCCCAGCATGCTGTAATTACAGGCGTGAGCCACCACGCCCGGCCAGTGACACTTATTTTTAAAGATTAAAAAATAATATTTAGAGGCCAACAGCCTCAACCAGGGCATACATGAAGCCTTTCCCTTTTTTCCACTATAAAGCTTTCCCACTCCTCTACCTGCTTTGGATTCTCTGTCAAAACACAAGTGATGGTGGCCAACTCCCTTGCTATAGCAAGCTCTGAATCAATCGTCTTTGCTTGTTCTCATTTGGTTGATCTTCATTTATTTCCAGCAATTCAATTCTTCCCTTTATTCATCTAAGTAGGTATTCAATATTTATTAAGCATCTATTATATGCCAGACTCCATGCTAGGCCCTGAGAATAATGAAGTGACCCAGATGCTAGGGTCCCTGACTTTAGGCTGATTATAGTCCAGTGGGAGGAGAAAGGCAAATAAACAGTAAGCCGAGCGCAGTATGAAAAGGGCTGTGACGAGGGCCAGCTAACCAGACTTGGAAGTCAGGGAACATATCTGAGAAAAGTGATGTTTCCACAGGGGCCTGAAGCATGAGTATGGCCAGACCAAGTGGAGAAAAACTGGGGGAGAGGGAAAGAAAGGGCCACAAGCAGGTTGCCAGACCACAGAGAGCATGAACATTCAAGGATGTGAACAAAAGCGAGATGGCTGAACTTGGTGTTTGAGCTGGGAGTGGTGCCACGGAAAAGCAGACAAGGGTCAGTGTCCTTCTGGGCCACATGAAGTAACTTTGCACTTATCCTGAAGTAATTATCAAATACCCATTTTGGAATATGGCTTCATGTGGAATGAGGCCAGAAGCAGAGCAAACCTGGAAACTTAGGAACCAGTGTGGAATCTAACAGGTGATGGTGGCCAGATAAGGGGAAAGAGGAAATTGCATGCATTGGAGAGCTGATTTAAATGGCTCCTGACGGGATGTCGGGGCTTGAGACTGGTGGGCTGAACAAGAGGGGGAAGGAGCCACAGGCTGGGCAGCTGGGAGGAAAGTGGACACAATCGCTGAGATCATGAAAACCAGGGCAGGGAGGTGGAGAGCAAGAGATGAATTCTGGATGGAGAGATGCAGTTTGAGGTGTTCTGGAAGCAACTAGATGTATGAGTCTGGAGCTCCAGAGAAAGGGATGGGTAGAGAGGGAAATCCGGGCATCATGCATGAGTGAATGGCCATTAAATCCATGGAGATGGGTTGAGGCCACGAGAGACAGGGTGCAAGGAGGAGGGCTTAGAACTCTGGGAGGCACCCACATATAGTTGGGAAAGGAAAGAGAGGCACTTGGGAGCAGACCAAGAAAAAGCAGCCAGGTGTAGAAGGAAAGCCAGGAACATGTTTTAACGCAGATACTAAAGATTGGCCCTGTTTCAGGACCGGGAGTAGACAGCAAAGGCTCCTTCCTTATTTCTCCCTTCCTCCTTCCTTTCCTACCCTGTGAAGGAAACGCAGATTTGCTCAAGTCTAATGAAACTGGTCCTGCTTTGCCCCATGGTGTTGCCCAAGCTTCATTAACCAAGTGCTGGCCTTGGCACTGTCTGCAGAATACACTGGACTGGACGCCACTGCACTCCAGCCTGGGTGACAGAGTGAGACTGTCACCCAGGCTGAAAGAAAGAAGAAGGGAAAAATGAATGAAAAGAAGAGATGAATGTTCTGAAGACAAGGACTTTCCCTGAGTCTTACCCAACTAAGGATTTTGCCAATATCTTAAGGTGGGACTGAGGTTAATCCCGGGACCACGTTGAGCATTATTCTGTCTAATGAGAGTATGTGAGGTAGTTATTTAGTTCATTCGCCATGGTTATTGAGGGCTTATCATACACTAGATGGAAATCGAAAATCCAATTCCGGCCGGGCGCGGTGGCTCACGCCTGTAATCCCAGCACTTTGGGAGGCTGAGGCGGGTGGATCACGAGGTCAGGAGATCGAGACCATCCTGGCTAACATGGTGAAACCCCGTCTCTACTAAAAATACAAAAAATTAGCCAGGGGTGGTGGCGGGCGCCTGTAGTCCCAGCTACTCGGGAGGCTGAGGCAGGAGAATGGCGTGAACCCGGGAGGCGGAGCTTGCAGTGAGCCGAGATCGCGCCACTGCACTCCAGCCTGGGCTACACAGTTAGACTCCGTATCAAAAAAAAAAAAAAAAAAGAAAAGAAAAGAAAAGAAAATCCAGTTCCCTCTCTGCTCACTAGCCTGTGAGTGCAAAAGGGACCACAGGAAGGCTAGCGAGCCATATTCACGGTCCCCAGCCCTCAAAGTCTCACCCAGGCATCGGTCTGAATCCTCACAGGTTTCTCTCTCTCCGTCCTCCCCTCTCTCTTCTCTCCTCCTCTCTCTCCCCCGACCCCCTGTCCCTCTCTCCCGCTCCCTAGATACTGCTGAGGGCCGCCTTCTGGCTACCCTGGGAGCCCACATATATTGGCTCCCCTTCACCCTCCCCCTTCCTCACTGCCCAAGGCGTCCTTGGTAATCAGCCGCTTTCTTCTCTACTTTGCAATTCTTTGATGACGCTGAGCTGAGCGAGCCCGCGCTCAGCCCGAAGAACCCCTTTCTCCTCGCACTGTGTGCCAACCGCATCCTTCCTTGCGAAACCAGTTCCTAACTTCCCCCTCGCGAGCGCCTCGTGGAAGTCGCAGATCCGGAGACCCCATCTCTGATAGCCGCAGTGCGCTCTGGGTGTGGCTGCTTCCTCACGCTTTCCAATGCCAACCTGTCCAGGCGCCCCGGACTGAACCTGGGGGCGTGGGGACTGGGAGGGAGACTTCATTTTCACTTTTTAAAAAATACTTTTGATTGTTTTACCACGGACAAAAGAAAGGATATGGGTAATGCTATTGATTATTTTTATATTTGTTTATTATTATTATTATTATTATTATTATTATTATTATTATTATTATTATTTGAGACAGAGTTTCGCTTTTGTTGCCCAGACTGGAGTGCAGTGGCCCGATCTCGGCTCACTGCAACCTCCGCCTCCAGGTTCAAGCGATTCTCCTGCCTTAGCCTCCCGAGTAGCTGGGATTACAGGCGCCTGCCACCATGCCCGGCAATTTTTTTGTAGTTTTAGTAGAGGGTGTTTCACCGTGTTGGCCAGGCTGCTCTCGAACTCCTGACCTCAGGCGATCTGTCCGCCTCGGCCTCCCAAAGTGCTGGGATTACAGGAGCTAGCTACCGCACCCGGCCTATTGATTATTTTTAAATTTGAAATCAAAATATGAAGTTTGCAAAGGGCACGGAATTAGCCGGTATACTGGGGAGCGCAAGGAGCCCAGTTCTGCCAGACTGTCCCCGGCAGAGTCCGCGACACACCAAGGCCATGTCTTGTTAAAAAGGGGGTTCTGGCCTGAGAATGGCTGGGGAGCCTGGGCCCGGCACCCCTGCCCGCGTCCCTCTCCCCTAGGGTGTTGACGCGGAGGCTGCGGGTGCGGACACAAGCCCACCTCTGCCTAGCGCGATTTCCAGAGCTAGCGCCCGAGGGAGGAGCGCGCGCCACCCCGCCGCCCTGACAGAGCTTGGGAGAGGGTCCCCAGGACTTGGCGTACCCGTCCGTCCTGGGGCTGCTGCTGTCCTCAGAGCCTGGGGAGGTACCGGGTCCAGAAGGCTGAGCGCAGCGCTCCGTGTGGGTGCCCTAGTGAGGCCTCAGCCCCACTGCGCCTTCTTCCTTCACGTGGGCAGGAGAAGGACCCGACTGGTACTTGGTGAGCAGAGGTTCGCACACCCGATATGGGAAAAGGAAGAGGGAAAACAGATGAATCACTGAGGGCTGGACTGATTCAGTCATTTGTGCACGGAGTAAATATTTATTTCGCATTTTTAAAGCTCTTGACAGGCAACAGCAAACCAATCAAAAGTCCCCGCCCTCATGGACCTGGGGTGGAGGTATGGTTGGATAAAAAATAAACAATGAACTTACTAAATCATATATTAATGATTAGCCCTAAGTAATCTAAACTACCTCCTCCCACATTCTTAAAAGCAACACTTCTTTGACAAGTTGGTCTTCATCATGCACCCAGGCACAGCAAGTGGCAAAAGTATGCCGAGATGGAGAGGGTATGTCGTTGGGAAACAATGCTTACATATGTAGCTAATTTTTTTTTTATTTATGAAGCAGCATTTATCTTAATCATTGGGGCGTCTCAGAATTTCCTAAGTGCCTATTCCTCCCTTTTAAAGCAGCTAGTTTTTGAAAAGTAAGAAAGGATGTTAGTTTCATTCTGCAAGGTCATAAAAACACTTTTATCCACTCATTTACTTTAACAGTTCCTGCAACACGATTGAGATGCCAGAAGTGCTGGCAGAAGAAAAAGCACACATCTGAAGAACAAATGATAGGGATACATGAGTGTCCTAAATGAGCATAACAAGACCTAATAATGCCCAGACAATAGTATCCTATATGACAAAGGGGATCAAAGCCAGAGTCCGGAAGACAAGACTGACCTGGAGCAGTCCCTCCCTACTCATTTTTCTTAAGCTGTAAAGCAGAATAGCTTGTTCTGTATTTAGTTTGAGGACAATTTGGGCATGGGAAGGGTGGGGTGATTTAATACTAACCAATCATTTAAGTGGCATCCTCAAGCAAACCTTACCTTCACAAGCAGGATTTCTATGCAAATGTAGCAATCTACCAGGATTTAGGATTTAGCCCTAGGCAGGGTCATGATCAGAAAATTGTTATCAATGATCCTACCAAATTCAATACCCACTTTTTGTAGCAAATGCTTTGCAAAGCCCATTTACTATCTTGAAATGGAATTCATAGATAATATAATCTATCTGTATACATAATTCCAAAAACATCATTATATCTATCAACGCCTCCCAGCCAAAGACCCTTGGGAACACACTTGCAGTTGAACAAGTTCAGTTTATTGCACATTGCAAGGAGGGAGAATGCACGCCACGGGGAAATGCAGGATGTCTTGGTAAGAGGGTATTAGAAAGGACTTACTATCGGATTTAGGGTTTGGGGGGCAGCTTTTGGAAAGATTTGTGAAAGCGGTGCTTTGCTTTGGATTGGATGCTGTCAAGAAGTGGGAGCAGTTCTATGGTTGGGTATTTTAATTAACTTCATCTAGAAGGAGGGAAGACTAGAGCCAGGCTAAAGCTATCAATGTGAAAAAGCAGCAGTCACTCCTATTAGCCAGGATACGGGGAGGTTTGGTCATCTCTGTGGTTTGGAGAATGTTCATGTTTTGTCTATGTTCAGACGTGATTAGGGAATGTTCTTGTTTTTATCTAGAGCCATCCCCATCTGGGTGGCCTTATCCAATACCGGTGTTCTGTGGAATTGTTTACATGTAACAGAAAAACCCCACAAGTGAGTGCCAAGCCAACTTGGGTGTCAGGGACTGCTTTTTCTCACACTCTGTCATAAAAGGAGAAATGAAATGATCATAACAAAATAATATGCATCTTCATATGTAAATGATCCAGAACAGTTTTACTAGAATACATAATAGATCATATGGTTGCATGAGTCAGTTTGGATTTAGAAGTAAGAATATTGAAAGCATTTCTTTACACAAATACTGAAGAATGAAAGACAAGAGGTTCCAGTTAACATCAGAATTAAAATTAGTGTTCAGATACATAAAAACATACCAGGCTCATTAGTCTATAAACCAAAGAGGGAATAACCTTAATAGAAACAGGAATAACATGCCAAGCAAATAACAGTCTGTCAAAGAGGAAAAGTAAGAAAGAATAATATTCTCAGAATAACACTGGCCTCATTTATAAGAGTAATGTTGAAAACGTCCCTCTATGATGTGGAACAGGTAACGATTAAATACCTCAGCAATCTTATCTCCCTTTTTGAAATTCCAATACTCATTCAAGATATGCATCCTGCTACTTCAAAAGACCTGGAAGGCCATATTCAGTAACCTACAAGATAATGCATATTTTCATGTGATGAGGTGCACTCCGGGTTCTTGCCTTGCCTCAGTTCTCAAACGTGAGTCTCAAACTGAAGCAAACTAAAGGGATAATAACACTTACCCTACAGGGTGGGTGCTTCGATTAGAGGTAATGTTTGGGATATGCACAGCTTATGGGGCTCTGAAAGCTGGCCATTGCCATCAATTTGGTCTGCACGCACACAGAAAGAGAGGGTGAGTGCCTGCGTCGGTCTGCCTGGTTGCATTGAAGGTACTGGATTGAATGTGTGTGATCATGTTGGCAGGAGAATCGCAGGCACAGCTATTGCAGGTAATAGTGCAGGCTCAGTACTAGGGGGAAACAGGGGACACAGGGGACATGTTCTGAAGTAACTGAATTGAGGCCAGGCACAGTGGTTCATGGCTGTAATCCCAGCACTTTGGGAAGTTGAGATGGGAAGATCACCTGAGGCCAGGAGTTCGAGACCAGCCTGGGAAACACAGTGAGACCCCATCTCTACAAAAATTTGTTTTCTCTTTTTTTTATTTTGGTCTTATATTTAGTTTTAAAATTTTTTCTTTTTTCCCTGAGTCTGACACAAAAAAAAATTTTAAAAAGTAGCCAGGCATGGTGGCACACACCTATAGTTCCAGCTACTCAGGAGGCTGAGGTGGGATGATGCTTGAGCCCAGAAGTTCAAGGCTGCTGTGAGCTATGGTGGTGTCACTGCACTCCAGCCTGGGTAACAGAGAAAGACTCTACCTCTAGTAATAGTGATAATAATAATATGAAAAGCCCAAATAGCCAAAGCAACGTTAAGCAAAAAGAACAAAGCCAGAGGCATCATATTACCTGACTTCAAACTAACTATAAGGCTACGGTAACCAAAACATCATGGTACTGGTACAAAAACAGACATATAGACCAATGGAACAGAATAGAGAATCCAGAAATAAAGCCACACACCTATAACCATCAGATCTTCAACAAAGTTAACAAAAATAAGCAATGGGGAAAGGACTTCCTATTGAATAAATGGTGCTTGGATGGCCGGTTAGCCATATGCAAAAGAATGAAATTGGACCCCTACTTTTCACTACATACAAAAATTAACTCAAGCTGGATTAAAGATTTAAATGTAATACCTCAAAATATAAGAATCCTAGAAGAAAACCTAGGAAACACCATTTTGGACATTGGCCTTGGGGAAGAATTTATGACTAAGTCCTCAAAAGCAGTTGCAACAAAAACAAAAATTGACAAGTGACACCTAATTAAACTAGAGCTTCTAATTTAGCTAAAGAGTAAACCTAATTAAACTAAAGAGTAAACAGACAACCTACAGAATGGGAGAAAATGTTTCCAAGCTATGCACCCAGCAAAGGTCTAATATACAGAATCTGGCCGGGCCAGGTGGCTCACACCTGTAATCCTAGCGCTTTGGGAGGTCTGGTAGGCAGATCGCTTGAGCTCAGGAGTTCAAGACCAGCCTGGGCAACATGGCAAAACCCCACCTCTAGAAAAATTACAAAACTTAGCTGGGCGCAGTGGTGCGTGCCTGTAGTACCAGCCTCTTGGGAGGCTAAGGCAGGAGAATTGCTCGAGCTCAGGAGGCAGATGTTGCAGTGAGCTGAGATCGTGCCACTGCACTCCAATCTGGGCAACAGGAATGAAATCCTGAAGAAAAAAAGAAAGAAGAAAGAAAGAGGCTGGGTGTGGTGGCTCACACCTGTAATCTCAGCACTTTGGGAGGCCTAGATGGGCGGATAATCAGGTCAGGAGATCGAGACCATCCTGGCTAACACAGTGCAACCCAGTCTCTACCAAAAATAGCCAGGCGTGGTGGTGGGCGCCTGTAGTCCCAGCTACTCGGGATGCTGAGGCAGGAGAATGGCGTGAACCCGGGAGGTGGAGCTTGCAGTGAGCCGAGATCACGCCACTGCACTCCAGCCTGAGGGAAAGAACTAGACTCCGTCTCAAAAAAAAAAAAAGTAAGGAACTAAAAAAGAAAGCAGGGGAAGGGAGGGAGGGAGGGAATCTATAAGGAACTTAAATGGTTCAACAAATAAAAAATAAACCCCATTAAAAAGTGGGCAAAAGACATGAACAGACCCTTCTCAAAAGAGGACATACAAGCAGCCAACAAGCATGTGAAATAATGCTCTGCATCCCTGATCATCAGAGAAATGCAAGTCAAAACCACAATGAGATACCATCTCACACCAGATGGCAATTATTAAATGGCTTGTTAAAAAATCAAAAAACAACAGATGCCAGCAAAGCTGCAGAGAACAGGGAATGCTTATACTCTGCTGGTGGGAATGTAAATTAGTTCAGCCACTGTGGAAAGCAGTGTGGAGGTTTCTCAGAGAACTTAGAGTTACCATTCAACCCAGCAATCTCATTATTGGGTATATATTAAAAAGAAAAATCGTTCTACCAAAAAGACACAGGCACTCACGTGTTCATCACAGCACTGTCACAACAGCAAAGACATGGAATCAACCTAGATGCCAATCAATAGTGGACTGGATAAAGAAAATACGTGTGTGTGTGTGTGTGTGTGTGTGTGTGTGTGTGTGTGTGTATAAAATATATAAATGAATTATATTATAATTATAATATATTATATTATAATTATATTATATAATATTATGTATTCTATAATACATAATATAATTATATATGATATTATATATTATTATATACACATAATATTATATTCTATATGTATATGTTATATATAATATAAAGGAAAATACTATATCTCTCTCCCCAGGAATACTATGCAGCCATAAAAAAGAACAAAATCATGTTCTTTGCAGCAACATTGATGCAGCTGGAGGTCATTATCCTAAGCAAATGAATGCAGGAACAGAAAAACAAGTACCATATGTTCTCACTTATAAGTGAGAGTTAAACATTGGGTAATCATGGAGATAAAGATGGTAATAATAGACACTGGGGACCACTGAGTGGGGAGGGAGAGAGTGGGGCAAGGTTGAAAAACTGTTGGGTACTATGCTCAGTAGCTGCGTGTCGGGATCATTGTTACCCCAGACCTCAGCATTGTACAATATACCCTGGTAACAGACCTGCACATGTACCCACTGAATCGAAAATAAAAGTTGAAAAGTAATGAATAAAAATGAAATAAAATAACGTAATTGGGACTTGCTCAGTTGGATATATGGATAATTGTATATAATATGCTTCAATATTTTTACCTTTGTGCCTTTTTTTGATAGTACAAGCCTCCTGAAAGACATTTTTTTAAATCAACATTGAAAGAATGCAACTGTACATTTTACGTGATGAAGTTTTGGACCCTGTTTATTTCATTGTGGTCTAGGGTTATTTTATTTCATCAGGTGGTGGAGAATAAAGGCTAAGTTGGAAGAAGAAACTGTAAAATAAGAGACTACAAGAGGTCTCAGAGAGGTTAAGCCTTCAAAGGCAGATCATTGCAACACTGAAAATCTTGAAAAACAACAAGGAATTCAAAATAAATAAAATAACATACAATTTTCACAAAATGTTTGTCTTCTCAACGTGCTAAACATCTGGTGCTAATTTTTTTAATGGCCTACAAACCCATGTTGCCAAGAAATTCTAGTTGAGGCTCAATCTGTGGCACGTACAATATAATGACAATGGGAAAGGGAATTACTTTTTTCTGTGAAATACATTCCAAGGGTTTTGGATGCTGTCAGTGCCTTTGTATACATTGCCAGTAATTTTGAAAATAAATTTTCACTGTGGCTTTTTTCATTTCTTAACCTTATCCATGTGAACAGGAGAGCTTCCTCGTTCCACTGGGAGATCTTATCCACTAGTAACGAAAATGTGCTCCACTGGTCTCATTACACAGCTGATATTCACCAGTTTCACCATCTCATTGATTTTTCTTACAACAGTATCATCAGAATTCAGTGAAGAAAAAAATTTCAGTTGGATTTTTTCCTATCATTCTAATAACCTATAAACCACTGGTAATTTGAGTTTTTTCTATAATATTATACTGCTTACCATATTCTGCAATCATTTATATTATGCTGAAAGAATTAGCAACAACTTTACCTTCTACTCAGAGATTTTTCTTTAACATTCCGTGGCTATTCTAGTTTCAAACTTCTTTAAATCTCAGAAGTATGATATGCTGCCAACTTTATAAATGTATTTCTTTATACAATCTTTATTTTCTGTCTTCTTGTGGTCACTGTTTATTTTAAAAGAAGTGTAGAGTAGGCATATTGACAACTCTCCACATGTGGGAAGATATAAAAACCAAGTTTTTAACATTCAGCTGAATAATACTCACCCTTTTCCTCCATATTTGACATTTTGCCATAGAGGCTAAATCAGTATATTCCTGTGTAGAGGTAGTAGCCATGAAGAGGACAGTTACAATGGACACTAATTAGATGATGCCAATAATATAAGCAGGATCGCCATCCGTGACTTTTCAAAATGGTGAACTCTTGACAAATTTTCAAATAAAGCACTGCGCCGTATTTCCTTGATGTATGCATTTGATGCTTCCTAGGAAATTTAGTACTTACTAAACCTTGACAAAAAAAACCCACTTTGTATTCACTTATAAAATGGAATTCGTTCTAGGCTCAAATAATTAGAAGCAGGTTTTTCACCTATATAATTCTAGGTTCAGTTAGATTTTAAATTGGATTGTCATAAATAGGTTTGTTGTATTTATTTATTTATTTATTTATTTATTATTTTTTGAGACAGAGTCTTGCTCTGTCACCCAGGCTAGAGTGCAGTGGCAAGATCTCAGTCACTGCAACCTCCACCCCCCAGGTTCAAGCGATTCTCCTGCCTCAGCCTCCCGAGTAGCTAGGGCTATAGGCACACACCACCATTCTCAACTAATTTTTGTATGTTTAGTAGAGACGGGGTTTTGCCTAGGCTGGTCTCAAACTCCTGACCTCCAGTGATCTACCCACCTCAGCCTCTCAAAGTGCTGAAATTACCAGCGTGAGCCACCATGTCCGGTCAGGTTTGTTGTATTAAAAGTCCTGAGGAACCAGGAGCGGTGGCTCACACCTATAATCCCAGCACTTTGGAAAGCAGAGGCGGGCAGATCTCTTGAGGTCTGGAGTTTGAGGCCAGACTGACCAACAGGGCGAAACCCCGTCTCTACTAAAAATATGAAAATTAGCAGGGCATCGTGGCGCCTACCTGTAATCTCAGCTACTCAGAAGGCTGAGGTGAGAGAATCACTTGAACCCGGGAGGCGGAGTTTGCAGTGAGCTGAGATCGCGCCATTGCACTCCAGCCTGGGTGACAGAGCGAGATTCCGTCTCAAAATAAATAAATAAATAAAATATAAATAAAAGTCCTGAGGGACACACGAGAAATCTTTGTTGTACTAGTCTGACCCAACTAAATGCCAGCAGTAACCCCTGTTCATGATGACAAAAGAAAAAGCCATGCAAATCTCCAAAATACCTCTGGGAGCAGTACCATCCTGCAGAGAACCATTAATTTTTATAAAGATGCAATCACACTCTGTAGTTTACAATCTGAGTTATACCTGATTTACATAAAAATACAGTCACATAGAAGTGATCAGAGTTGTTTTAAGGCCTTTATGAGGCTCAGACCCTTTTACTTCTGGAAGCCCTACCCCAATTATATCAAGCATATTAAAATGCACCTTCATCCTAATAAATATAATAATAGCCAGGCTTGTTATGTGCCAGACACCATTTTAAGTACTTTACAATAACTATTTGAAGTACGCACTATTATTATTCCCATTTTACAGATAAGGAAAAAGGCACAGAGAGGTTCAGTGACTTGCCCAGAACCACACAGTGGTGGAGCCAAAATATAAAGCTTAGAACTCTGACACCAACATACTACAGCCTATATAACTCTTGTAGAGTTTACATCTAAGGATAAAGTATCATTTATGAGTTTGTCGCATTGGAGATGACTTCGCCTTCATCAATTTTAATTGTAGAGTTTTTATTTTGTATTTTGAGTCAATCATTTAATTTGAGGTGTGAAACATTATCTTAAGGCCCTTGAAAGGCCCGTGGCCCCCAGTACCATTACCTGTAAGAGCATTGCCTGAGATTCTCCACGCACATTCAATCCAGCACCTTCATGCCTCGGGGAGACCCACGGAGGCACTCACTTTATCTCTCTGTCTATTTTTTAATGTGTGCGTGTGTATGTGCGTGCGTGTGTGTGTGTGCGCGGACCAAAATGATGACGATGGCCAGCTTTTAGAGCACCGTGATTCATGCAAACATTATCTCTAATTTTAGCGCCCACTCTGTAAGATGTTGTTATCTTAATTTTTATGTGAGGTACCCGGTGTCAGATGACTGAGTGAATTTTCCAGTGTTTCATGCCTAGGGAAAGGGGGAGTTGAAAATCCAGTCCTGGTCTTTATGTCTCCAAAGCTTCTGCCCCCATCCTGCTATTAGTGGCTCCGTGTGGGCCCTTTGGGGCTTCTGTGTCTCTTGCATGACACTCCCTTCCCAGTGAAGGAACCTCAGCAGGTTTCCACTTGTCCTGCCATCCAGCTCCTATCCGGCAGGAGACGGCAGGTACTGGTTTTTCCCCTTCAGCTGCTGTTATCCTATTCCAGAGCCAGATTAAGATCTCAGACTTTCATTATAGCACAGACAACTTCGGGGAGCTGCTCTCGATGGGAACTCCAGAGGAAACAGGACGATTTTCTCAGTGCCTGGTCTTACCAGCTGCTATGGTAGTAACATCCCCTGCAAAACTCATGTTGAAACTTAATCCCCAATGTGGCAGCATCGAGAGGTGGGGCTCTTAAGAGGTGATTAGATCATGAGGACTCTGCCCTCATGGGTGGATTAATCTATTCATAGCTTAATGGGTTATCATGGGAGTGGGACTGGTGGCTTTATAAGAAGAGGAAGTGAGATCTGAGCTGGCATGCTCAGCCCCCTCACTATGAGATGCCCTGTGCCACCTTGGGACTCTATGGAGAGTCACCACCAGCAAGAAGGCCCTCACCAGATGTGGCCCTTCAGTCTTGAACTTAGCCTCCAGAACTGTAAGAAATAAATTTCTTTTCTTTATAAATTTCCTGTTTCAGGTGTTTTGCTATAACCAACAGGAAACAGATGAACACACGAGCTCTGCTTTTCCTGGGTGATTTTCCTTTTTGAATTATGCACTTAAAATGGATGCATCTTATTGATGTAATTGATATGTCTACAAAAAGCTACGACAAAATAAAAGTTAATTTAATAAGACAGTAAAAGGGATTCTAAGCTGGTGAACCCAGTGGGGCCTGGGCAGAGATTCTTACTCTGCAAACTGCCCGAAGTGGATCAAAAACTAAAACCACTCATCGTTTCTCCTGACCATGCCCTCTTCTTAGAGATTCCTTCTCCCACAACCCTGGGGGCCATGACTGGACAAGGTCACCTCTCAAACTGATTGCCTGGTCCCCAATATGAGGATGCAAAATGCATGGGGTGTGGATGTTACCAACTGGTTCCCTCTCATGAGACTGAGATAAACTCCATGGGCCCTTCACCTGTAGATCTCAGAGAATGAGGCAGATTTTATTGGGCCTGAGGCAAAGTAGAGAAAGCTAAGAGAAAGGAAAGGGTAGCGACCCAGGCAGACAGAAGAGTACTGGAGAGATCTGGCAGAGCCAGGGAGACAGAGGATGCATAGGCACCACAATGAGAGAAAGGAACTTGGTGCCTGCCTTCCAGTTCCCTAATCCTCCCGAGGGCCCGTCTCTTCCTATCCTTAGGTTCCATGCAATCTGCCAGTATCCTTATATGATAATTCCTTTCCTGCAGCCAAAGCTCCCTGCATCCCCTGCTGAGCCCACTGCAGCTCTAGATCCCAAAAGGACCAGCCCACAAGTGACAGCCTGCAGTCTCCCGACCTGGTGGGCCTTGGCTCTGAAGGGAACTGCCCCAGGGCCTGCCACCTGGTCACCCACAAGTCACAATCACCTACCCCCAGGGCCTTACCTGGGTGTGAGCTCTGCTTCATGGCCCCTGCAGTTGGCCCCAAGACTCTGCCTAGTGTCTTTACAGGACTAGCTCCACTGTGGACCATAGCCCGCTTTGCTCAAGCTAAACCCTGTCCACTGAGTGGCTGGATCTGCTCCCTGAGGTCCTCCTTTCCATACACACTCTACCAATTCCAGACTCAGCAGTGAAATAGATGGTCCAAGGCCTGCCCTGCCTGCCTGTTGAATAGTTCAGAAGTTCCTCCGTTGCAAACTAAAAATAAAATTCTAGGCCTTCTCCTCCCTCCCACCATTGACTGAATAGACACCCTCTTGGCCAAGAGGACCCCAGAAAAACCTTAAAACCGAGTTCCTGGCCATGATGGAATGTGAGGTTGGACAAGCTCTATTATATCCCCTCCCTTTTGCAGTTTAGATACAACTAACCAGCATTAATGTTAAAATACAGATCATAAGATTGACAAAACGGGCTCTTTGTAGCGATAAGATACCACATTATAAACAGCACCTAAGGCGATGCCCAGCAAGAGTGAAGTCACACACTCCTACACTTAAAGAATAAATTGAGGTAGGTGTATCACTAGAGGTCAGGAGTTCGAGACCAGCCTGGCCACCATGGTGAAACCCCATCTCTACTGAAAATACAAAAATTAGCCAGGCATGGTGATGCATGCCTGTAATCTCAGCTACTCAGGAGGCTGAGGCAGGAGAATCACTTGAACCCGGGAGGTGGAGGTTGCAATGAGCTGAGATAGCGCCACTGCACCCCAGCATGGGCGACAGAAGGAGACTCTGTCTCCAAAAAAAAAAAAAATCCAAAATCTCATGACGTCTACTAGTACTATCCCAATCAAAGCCACTGTTATTTCTCATGTAGATTATTGTAATAGCCACCCGAGCTACACTTTCTGCTTCCATCCTTGCCCCTCCCCAATCTGTTCTTCACCCATCAGCCAGAGTCATCCCTTCAAAACACAAGTCAAATAAAATCACTTCTCTCTGCTCGAAATCTTCTAGCAGTTCCTCAAATCACTCCATGTAGGATGCTACAATGAGTGGAGGAAACTACTAGGTCTGCGATCCACTCATCTTGAGTGGAGAAGTACTGAGAATAGATCTGGTGAGTCAGCACTAGCTGCTGAGGAGCCCCGAGGAAGAGGCTTTGGAAGTGCACAGGACTGGAAGTACAGTCTTGGAAAGTCACCACGTCTGGGGAGAGGAAATCAACGTAGAAGGTAAAGAAACTGAGAGGTAAAGAAAAGAAAGGAACAAACTGGTGGAAAGCCAGAGTCGCACAGAAACAAAAGAGAATCAGAATCAAAAGACATACCAACCTCTCTCTCACAAAAGCACCATCTATTCATGAAAATTGAACTTCACGGTACCAATAGAAGAGGGCATTCTTGAACGAAGAATCTTAGTAAGCCACTCAAGTCCTTCATCCCCATCTCACAAAGAAACACTTGTTATTGATAGGCCAGAAAAATTCAATATACTTTTGAGTAAACAAAAATGACATGCAGCACTTACACAAAGCCACTATGAGAAGAAAACAGAAAGTCAGAGGCTACTATCTTCAACTAATGAATTTCTTACCTGCCAAAACAACTAAGAGACAGGAAAATTATGACACAGTGTCTAATATGAATTAAATATTATTAGACAGGTATTTACAGATATAAAAGAACACCAAAATTCAAAAAATCAGGACAGAAATGGACAAAAATAACTCATGAAGTGAGTTAATAAAACTCAGGAAAAAAGTAAAAGAAAAAACTAAACCTTTTCAGAAATAAAGATTAAATCACAAGATGCCTAAAGGCAAATAGATTCACCTTCAACTGAAAATATAATAAGGGATATAGGCAGGAAAACAAAAACAAATAAACAGGTAAAATACAATCAGAGAAAAAAGTGATAGCTATAGAAAATAAACAAAAAATTATATACTGTACATATAATTAGAATTGCCTAAAAAGCAAAACAAAACGATGGGACAGAAATAATATTTAAAACTATAATCCAATAATGATTGTGGCAATGATCACACAACTATAAATTATTTGTCAAAACCCATCAAATTGTACACTTAAAAGTAGTTAAGGTTGGCTGGACGTGAGTAGTTAAGGTTGGCTGGACGTGGTGGCTCACGTCTGTAATCCCAGCACTTTGGGAGGCCAAGGTGGGGAGATCACCTGAGGTCAGGAGTTTGAGACTAGCCTGGTCAGCAAGGGGAAACCCAGTCTCTACTAAAAATACAAAAATTAGCCGGGCGTGGTTTGGGGTGCCTGTAGTCCCAGCTACTCAGGAGGCTGAGGCAGGAGAATCGCTTGAACCTGGGAGCCAAAGGTTCCAGTGAGCCGAGATTGCGCCATTGCACTCCAGCCTGGATAATAAGAGCGAAACTGTGTCTCAAAATAAATAAATAAATAAAATAAAATATAAAGTGTTTAACCATGAAAATTATAATCTAAGAAAACTTTCTGGAATTAAAAAAGGACTAAATCTAGATGTTGAATGTATTTATATACACAAGAAAATTGACCAGAATGGCCACCTCTGAGACATATCTGAGTAAAGCTATTATAAACAGAAAGAAAACATTCTGTTAGCAAAAATTCCAAATCACATACAAAGTAAAGAAAATCAAGTGGTCATCCTATGTGATAATCTCTAGTGCAAAACTCAAAGAATAGTAAAAGAATGCATAACTGTAAGTTAATACGAGAAAAAATAATTATAAAAAATATTTTATTAATCTAAAAGAAGCCAAGAAAGGAAGAAAAGAAGAGACATAAAACAGATGTGTCAAATAACATGCAAACAGAGAGTAATTGTAAACCAAACCTTATCTGGAATAACAGTAAATGCAAATGGACTAAATATTGCAAGTAAAAGGCTAATGTTGTCAAACTGGGTTTTAAAAATACTGCCTATGGCTTATGGCTGGGCACAGTGGCTCATGCCTGTAATCCCAGCACTTTGAGAGGCCAAGGGAGGTGGATCACCTGAGGTCAGGAGTTCAAAATCAGCCTGGTCAACTTGGTGAAACCCCATCTCTACTAAAAAACACACAAAAAAATTAGCCTGGCATGGTGGCAGGCACCTGTAGTCCCAGCTACTTGGGAGGCTGAGGCAGGAGAATCGCTTGAACCTGGGAGACGGCGGTTGCAGTGAGCCAAGATCATGCCCCAGCACTCCAAGCTGGATGACAGAGTAAGACTCCATCCAAAAAAAACAAAAAAACAAAACAAAAAACTGCTTATTAGCCAATGTCACTGCCTTTCAATTAAAAAAAATGTTTGTGGCCGGCCATGGTGGCTCACACCTATAATCCCAGCACTTTGGGAGGCAGAGGCGGGCAGATCACGAGGTCAGGAGTTTGAGACTGGCTTGGCCAACATAGTGAAACCCCGTTTCTACCAAAAATACAAAAAAAATTAGCTGGGTGTGGTGGCAAGGGCCTGTAATCCCAGCTACTTGGGAGGCTGAGCAGGAGAGTCAATTGAACCCGGGAGGCGGACGTTGCAGTGAGCCGAGATTGCGTCACTGTACTCCAGCCCAGGAGACAGTGCAAGACTCCGTCAAAAAAAAAAAAAATTAAGTATTGCTTACAAAAGACACACACTAAATAGAAGGACACAGATGGTTGAAAGCAAAAGGATGGAAATATTATATTCCACATAAAAGCTTACCCAAAGATAGTGATACTAATGTTAAGCAATGTAGACATTAAGCCATGAAGCTCTAGTAGAAATAAGTTCATTTCATAATGATAAAGTGGCCAATTGAATAGGAAGACATCACAGTCGTAAATCTATATGTAGCCGATAACATAGCTTTAAAATATATAAAGAAAACTAGGCAGAACTAAAGGAGAAAAAGACAAATTCACAGTCATAGAGGAAAATTTTAATACTTCTCGCTCAACATCTTGATAGAAAAGGTATACACACCAAAAAAACTGATAAGGATATAAAAGTATGAACAACACACTTAAAAACTTGACCCAGTCATCTTTCCCTTCCCAGAGCCCCTCTCTCTCACTAGAGAGAGAGCTGTTCTCCTTTCTCTTTCTTCTGCCTATTAAACCTCCGCTCCTAAACTCCTTGTGTCCTAAATTTTCTTAACAAAAGATGACGAACCCCAGGTATTCACCCCAGACAATGAAACTGCTTCAGTGTCATAATTTTGCAAAGGTGGTTTCGATCTCAATTTAATACTTTTTAATTTAGAAATGATGGTAAAACTTTATAATATACATACAATTAGCATTTTTCTTTTTTGTGTTATAAAATGTCATGGAGATACATTAAAAGATTTTCTTAGAATAATCTGTAAACTATTTAAAAGGTAACAATAAAAATTATGTGAACTTTACAAACTGGTTCTTCAGTGCTACTTGTAGGAGAGAAAGGAAAGCTTCCCCTTATTCTCTGAAGGTTTGTCAGTTGCTGTGTAACTGACAATACACAGATTAAAAAAAGAAAAAGGCATAAAAATTATTTAACACTCATGAGAGGGGAATTGCAGAATTATTACCCAATAACCCAATAAAGTCTTCATGCTTATATACTCTTCTTCATAGAGGAAAAGAAGGGAAACAAACAAACAAACAAACTTGACCCAGTTGATACATATAGAGCTTTACACTCAATAATGACAAAATACTTATCGTAGTTTTTCAAGTGAACATGTAAAATGTATTAACATTGACCGCGTGCTAGGCCATAACAGATTCTCCAATATATTTCAAAAGACTTAAACCATTCAGAGCATATTTTCTAACTATAGTGGATTAAGCTTTAAAAATCCATAACAAAAAGATAATTCAAATATTTCCAATTGCCTGGAAATTAAGCAATATACTTTTAAATAATCTGTGGATCAAAGAAGAAATACATCAAAAATTGTAAAATATTTCAGACTGAATGGTAATGAAAATATAACATACCAAAACTTACATAATTCAGCTCAAGCAGCATTTCGAGGGGAATGTAGAGCCTGGAATGCATATGTTAGGAAAGAAGAAAGGCTAAAAACCAGTCATCTAAGTTTCCAACTCAAAAACTAGTAACAGAATAGCTGTACAAGAGAGAAAATAGAAAATACATATAAGAGCAGAAATCCATGGAATAAAAATAAGAGGAAGAAGAATAAGAATAAGAGGGGGAGGAGGAGGAGGAAGAGAAGGAGGAGGAAGAAGAAGAGGAGGAGGAGGCAGAGGAGGAGGAGGAGGAGGAAGAAGAAGACCAACAAAGCCAAGTGTTCAATGAAAAGATTAGTAAGCTCTTGGTAACACTGACCAAGAAAAAAGGAAAAAAAAATACATATACACATAAAAGCAATGTCAGGAATAAAAAACGGGAAATCACTACAGATCCTACAAACATTAAGAGATAATAAGAGGATATTATAAACAACTTTACACCAGTATAGTTTGCACTTTGGATAAATTAGTCAACTTTCTAAAAAAATTTACCAAAGCTAACAGAAGAAATAAGAATTCAAAAAGTGTGCTTTTTCAAAAGTTGTACAGTAGTTGGCATTTAAAATTTCTTAACAGTTCTAGACATGAGAGACTAGTACTGGACTAGCCTTCTTGCCATTGGAAACAATAAAAACTAGATGACATATATAAATAAAATTTTTTTCAGATATTGGGCAACAGGTAGTACAAAACCGGGATCCCTGTGAAAAGAGAAATCCATGTGAGATCCATGTTCTAGACCACAGTACAGAAAGGCAGAGCCCAAGTACAGCACAGTGAGCTCATTGAGCTGAGAAGGCAGACATTTGATTTTAAGCCTTCTGAGGCAGCTGAAAGTTGTGGGGCAGGATACCGAAAAGAGAGAGTTGCACAGAGAAGGAGCTGCGGAAATCGACATAGGATTCCCCTTAAGTCTTGAGCTAAATACTCAACTGAGAATGCAGACTCATTTCTGCGTTCGTGTGCAAGGCACGGTAGAGGACAGATGTTAGGGAGTCGGGAGCTACACAGAGTTCTCACAGTACTGAGAGACACGGAAGTTCCAACTAGCCAGAGTAGCTGGGCAGTACAGAATTTGGTCAAACCTTCAGAAAGTCCACATCTTGGGAATAGAGCTATTCTCTCCTAAGGTTATTCCTAGTAAAAGAAAGGAGTAATCTCAATCAGCCCTAACATAGCTTAAAACAAGCCTCAAAAAAAAAAAAATGCTGATCTACCAGTAAATTGATTGCTTGCTAAAACAAACCCCAACACATTTTAAAGGAAAACCACATAATCCCAACAACACAGCGTCTATAATGTAACACATACAATTAAAAAAAAATCACTGAAGAGGTGAACTAGCAGTAAAATGTAACACATAATCAGGAGAAAAAAAAGTTGAGAAAAACAAACCAAGAAATGTTAGAGATGCTGGAATTAACAGACACAGATCTTAAAACATCCATTATAAATATGTTCAAATATGGTTAAGGACTTAAAGGGAAAAGCTGAATATAGTAAACAAATGGGGAAACTGATTAGATAAATGGAAACTATGGAAAAGGACAAAATGGATACTCTAGAATTAGAAAATACAGTATCAGAAGTGAAACATTTACTGAATGAGTTTAAGCGCAGATCAGACACTGCAGGAAAAAAAGTCCATAAATTTGAAGGGAAGGCAACAGAGCTATCCAAAGTGAATCACGGAGAGAAACAAAAAGATTGCAAAGAAGTGAACAGAGCCTTCGTGACCTGTGGGACATTAAGCAGTCTAACATGCGTGTAACTGAAGTCCCAGTAGGGGAGGTGAGACACTGTGGCAGGAAAAAAGTGTATTTGAAGAAATATAATGAAAAAATATCACCACACAGATCCAAGAAGCTCAAATACTAAAAACCGAAGATAAGTAAAACAATTGTAAAAGCGGTCAGAGAAAAATGAAACATCGAACGAAAAAAATGTTTAGGACGGGGTGCTGTGGCTCACATCTATAATTCCAGCATTTTGGGAGGCTGAGGCAGGTGGATCACTTGAGTCCAGGAGTTTCAGTCCAGCCTAGGCAACATGGCGAAACCCTGTCTCTACAAAAGATACAAAAATTAGCTGGGCCTGGTGGCACATGCCTGTAGTCCCAGCTACTCAGGAGGCTAATTAGGGTGGGAGGATTCCTTGAGCCCTGGAGGTGGAGGTTTCAGTGAGCCAAAATCGTGCCCCTGCACTCCAGTCTGGGCTGGAGTGAGACTCTGTCTCAAAAAAAAAAAAAAAAAAGTTTAATGAAACCACGACAAAACACTGACCTCATCATAAATAATGCCAAGAAACAATGGAACATCTTCAAAGTACCAAAGGCTGAGTGGAGACTGCCAACCTATAACCTATTTAATATCCAGTGAAAGTATCCTCCAATAATAAAGGCAACCACTTCAAAGAACCAGGGATTCTTGGAGAAGTGGCTGATTCTAGGACTAGGATATGGAAAGTACAAGATGAGTCTAGAACATCTTGTAGAGCCAGAAAGTGCTGATCAATGTAGAGGGAGTGGTTAAATTTGAAAACCATCATTTTACAACCAGCAGGATATGGCCTAGGTCAGGAAAATGGGTGATAAATCAACAGTACAAAGTTTGACGAAGAGCAGAATATCTACATAGTCTTAACATTTCTCCCCCCAAATGGCTTATTAGTTGCAAGGGAAAAATAAGTGGATAAAGCAGGCAGCACCTTGACTGGGTAGTCAAAATCAACATCAGCCATGAAAAGCAGGCGGACATGTGGGTCCCTGAGTGTGCTGCCCTGAAAAGGATGCAGCTTTATGCATGTGATGTTGCTGCTGACAGTGCACAGGCGGGATCTAATCACGAGGAAGCACCTGCTTCCTGATGTCACGCCATCTTAAAATTAACTAGGAAGTGTTCTTTAGAAAAATGCCGAACCTGCTTTATACAATTAGATAAATCCAGAGTGTAGAAATTTCCACAAGAGAGCTAGCCTGAGCTCTTCAGAAATGTAATGACATAAAAAACCACCAAAATATTGGTAAGGGGCAGGGGAAGGGGACTGTTCTAGGTTAAAAAAGAGTAAGGAAACATAATCGCGAACTATAATATGTACTCTTGATTGGTTCCAGGATCTGAAACAAATGCTATTAAAGTAACAGTGGGCACAAATGAGGAACTTAAATATGAATTGTATATTAGAAAATATTCTTCAGCCGGGCACGGAGGCTCACGCCTGTAATCCTAGCACCTTGGGAGGCCGAGGCGGGTGGATCACCTGAGGTCAGGAGTTTGAGACCAGCCTGACCAATATGGAGAAACTCCATCTCTACTAAAAATACAAAATTAGCTAGGTATGGTGGCGCATGCCCGAAATCCCAGCTACTTAGGAGGCTGAGGCAGGAGTATTGCTTGAACCCGGGAGGTGGAGGTTGTGGTGAGCCCAGATCATGCCACTGCACTCCAGCCTGGGCAACAAGAGCAAAACTCCATCTCAAAAAAAAAAAAAAAAAAAAAACAAAAAGGAAGAAAGAAAGAAAGAACAACAGAAAATATTCTTCAATTCATACTAAGTGTTTGGGGTGTGATAACAATCTTGTGGTCCTGAAGGAGAATGTCCTTATTCTTAAAGGAAATGCACAAATATTTAGGAGTAAAATGTTGTGATGTCTGCAGTTGTTTTCAAACAATTCAGCCAAAAAACCAAAAAGAGAGAAAGAAAGCAAATGTGGCAAAATATTAATTAATAACGATTAAGAAAAGGATATATAAGTATCCATTGCACTCTTCTTTCAACTTATATGTGTGTTTGAACATTTTTAAAACAAAAAGCTGAGAGAAAAAAAATGAAACAGGAAGAATGACCCTAAAGAAAACAAGGATAGCTTGGGAACAAGAGAAAACTTCATTTTTACATACTTTTTTACATATTGTATTTTCAGAGAAATTTGAGAAACTATTACGAGCACAAAAAAGAACAGAAAGCTCTAAAATAAGAAAATTTAGTAAGCAACCTAGAGCTCTCGGAAGTGAAAAATATAATCACTGAAAAATAACTTAAATAGAAGGGTTGGTAGATGAGAAAATAGATTTTAAAAACTAACAAAACAGAAAATGTGAAAGAAAAGATAAGATCTACAGAGGATCAATTCATAACTCCAACGCCTGACTAATAGTAACCCCAGAAACTAGGAACAGAAACATATGGGGCAGGGGCAAGAATTTTCAAAATATAAAACAAGAAAACTTCCTAGAACCAAAGAACATTTGACTTCCATCAAAGAATAATGAATGACAAATAACTCTGCCCAGGCACGCCCACATCATCAGCATGGAAGTTTAACATGCTGGGGTTTCAGAGACTTTTCAAGATTCCAGAGATATAAACAAACACACTAACATGTCACCTACAAAGGAACAAGAGTCATGTAGGATTCTCAATATTTTTACTAGTCATGCTTGATTCTAGGAGCACCAGAAAATCTCCAGGTGGCGAGGAGGCTGGGCTTCCCTCCAGGAAGTCCTGTGTCATATGCTTGGCCCAATACCCCAATACCCCAATCGATGAAATTATTTTTCATTCATTATTCTTTGATGGAAGTCAAATGTTCTTTAGTTCTAGCAAGTTTTCTTGTTTTATATTTGGAAAATTCCTCCCTCCCCTATATGTTTCTGTTCCTAGTTTCTACAATTACTATAGACGTTGGAGTCCTAGGATTGATGATCCTCTATAGATCTTATATTTTCTTTCACATTTTCTGTTTTGTTAGTTTTTTAAACCAGTACCCTGGTGACTTGTATATCTTTCTTTTTCACAAAAGAGTGAATTAACTGACTGTGGGAACATCTGTTTGTTTATCTTTATATCCTCTTCTCTTTATTTCTAAAGTCCTAAAAAGAGTAGACACTCAGAATTCTTTTTTGTTTGTTTGTAATTTTTCGAGATGGAGTCTTGCTGTGTCGTTCAGGCTGGAGTGCAGTGGCGTGATCTCGGCTCACTGCAACCTCCACCTCCTGGGTTCAGGTGATCCTCCTGCCTCAGCCTCCTGAGTAGCTGGAATTACAGGCATCTGCCACCACGACTGGCTAATTTTATTTTATTTTTTTGTATTTTTAGTAGAGATGGGGTTTCACCATGTTGGCCAGGATGGTCTTGAACTCCTGACCTCATGATCTGCCCACCTTGGCCTCCCAAAGTGCTGGAATTGCAGGCATGAGCCACCGCACCCAGCCCAGAATTCTTTTGAAGAAGTTGTATCAGTGTCAGTCTTTCCTTTCATATCTCACCACTTCCTTCCCTCTCATTTTCCATCCCCCTCTTACTCTGTTCTCTTATGCATTCTGGAAACACCGAGAACCTCAGTATGCTAGATAAAGGGGTATCAAATAGACGAAGATCAGTCCTGAGTTCCAGGAGCTCACAGCTGCGAGGAGAGAGACCACGTACAGGGCCATGGCCCTCCCGGGAGCTTCCTCTCCAAACCTACAGCACAGAACCCAGATGCACCTACCTACACGAGAGTTTCATGCCCTCTATTCTTAAATCTGAATTAAAGATAAGTTTTATTTTATTTTATTTTGTTTTTGAGATGGAATTTTGCTCCTGTTGCCCAGGCTGGAGTACAATGGCACGATCTCAACTCACCACAACCTCCACCTCCCAGGTTCAAGTGATTCTCCTGCCTCAACCTCCCAAGTAGCTGGGATTACAGGTACGCACCACCACGCCTGGCTAATTTTGTATTTTTAGTAGAGACGGGGTTTCTCCATGTTGATAAGGCTGGTCTCGAACTCCCAACCTCAGTTGATCTGCCCGCCTCAGCCTCCCAAAGTGCTGGGATAACAGGTGTGAGCTACCATGCCTGGGCTTATATGTTTCTAGTCCAAACATTTAGCTACCTTTTTTTTTTTTTGAGACGAAGTCTCACTCTGTTGCCCAAGCTGGAGCACAGTGGCACAATCGTGGCTCGCTGCAGCCTCAACCTCCTCAGGCTCAGGTGATTCTCCCACCTCGGCCTCCCTAGTAGCTGGGACTACAGGTACGCACCACTACACCCTGCTAATTTTTTTGTTTTTGTATTTTTTGTAGAGATGGGGTTTCTTCATGTTACCCAGGCTGGTCTTGAACTCCTGGGCTCAAGCAATCTGCCTACTTCAGCCTCCCAAAGTGCTAGGATTACAAGCATAAGCCACCATACCCGGCCTACCTACTTTTAACTTGTGGAATTTTCTATAAGGTCAGGGATGCCTGGGGGAACAAAAGTTTCCTCCTTGGTATAATGCAGGTAGAATCCACATGCTGCCTCCAGCTGCTGTACTTTCCTTTCCCTGCGAGTTATTCTTTGCAAGGGGAGGCCACAGGATGCAGACAAGGCCTCATCAGCGACCACTCCTCCCTCAGATCAGAGGTGGCCCTGAGGGTAACAGCGGGGAGCCACACTGGTGCAGAGAATGCCAAGGAAGGGAACTGGGAGGGTGAGGCACCTCTGCAAACAGTTCCCAAGGGAGCGCCTCCACCTGGTGGCCACGACAGGAAGCAGCGGTTCCCTTTGCCAAGGACATGGCCAACAAGGAGTTAAGGTTTTATACACACAGACCAGCGGACCCCGGACCCTCTGCATGTCAGAACCTGGATAATGTAGCTTAAGCTTCAGGATCCCTCCCTTACACAAGTCCCTTCTAAAGCCAGGGAGCAGTCGTAGCAAAATGCTCATTATGGACATATATTTTGTGCAAAATTTGCAAAACTAAGATTTTTCATATCATCTTTCCTAAAGAGGGTCCCACAAATTATATCCGCTTTAGACGCCAAAAAGTCTATCTTTGACCCTGATTGTCACATAGGGGCCACTTGGTCCAGAGCTCTCTGAATAGGTTTTCTTTCTTTCTTTCTTTCTTTTTTTTTTTGAGACAGAGTCTCGCTCTGTCTCCCAGGCTGGAGTGCAGTGGTGTGATCTCAGCTCTCGGCTCACTACAACCTCTGCCTCCTGGGTTCAGGCGATTCTCTTGTCTCAGCCTCCCAAGTAGCTGGGATTACAGGTGCCTGCCAACACGCCCAGCTAATTTTTGTATTTTTAGTAGAGATGGGGTTTCACAATGTTGGCCAGGCTGGTCTTGAACTCCTGACCTCGGGTGATCCACCTGCCTCGGCCTCCCAAAGTGCTGGGATTACAGGCGTGAGCCACCGCACCCAGCCCTGAATAGGTTCTTTAACCCAAATTCCAGTGCTCACTCCCCGCTCCGTCCCCGGGAGGCTACACAGAGGACCCTGGGAGAGCAGCGTGCACCAGGGTCAGAGACACAGGTTCACAGTTCAGAGAGATGTAGGTCTACGTCCCACCTCTGTCACTCACTAGCTGTGTGTTCCTGGTCTCTCTGTGCCTCTCTTTCTTCACCTGTAAAATGGGGATAATAATTGTGCATACTCCGGGCTGCTGTGAGAATACAATCAGACACACATGGTAAGTGCTCTGTTTGGTGGCTGACCTGTAGGAGGCGCTCCAGGAATGGCGGCTACGGGAAAGGTTCATAAATAGATACCCTAAACTGGGAATACCTATTCCTAACTTAAATTCAGCTCTATATATTAAGCATATACAAAATTGGCAGTATTTCACTGTTTTTTCAACTTATAAAAATAGCGGTTTCACATGATTTCCCCTAATAGAACAAGTGACAAAAATTACTGGGCATGGTGGCTCCTGCTGTAATCCCAACACTTCAAGAGGCTGAGGTGGGAGGATTGTTTGATGCCAGGGGTTCGAGACCAGCCTGGGCAACATAATGAGACCCCCCCCGACTCCACACACACACAAAATCAACGGCCAAGTAGGATGCAGGTCACTGGGAGTGAGCCTCACTCCTCTTGCTGGGAAAGGGTGTCTATGCTTTGCCTGCGGAGGCTGCGGAGGCTGAGGAAGGTTGTTTAGTCTTCTCCCTGGAGCCCCCTCTGTAACCATAAAGGCCACTGATAAAAGGGCCCATCCCTGCCCTCCCTACTTTCAGTCTTTTTTTTTTTTTTTTTTTGAGAAGGAGTTTCACGCTTGTTCTCCAGGCTGGAGTGCAATGGGGTGATCTCAGCTCACTGCAACCTCTGCCCCCCGGGTTCAAGTGATTCTACTGTCTCAGCCTCCTGAGTAGCTGGGATTACAGGCACGTGCCACCGTGCCTAGCTAATTTTCATATTTTTCATAGAGATGGGGTTTCATCATGTTGGCCAGGCTGGTCTCGAACTCCTGACCTCAGGTGATCCACCCGCCTTGACCTCCCAAAGTGCTGGGATTACAGGCATCAGCCACTGCGCCCAGTCCCCTACTTTCAGTCTTAATGGAAGAGTGACCCAGGAAGGGCTCTTCGGCCCCCAACACTCCTTGAAACACTGCCCCTTGCTGTTGGTCTCTGGGGGCACCAGCTGCTCTCCGAGTGCAGCTCCTGTTTTGGAGGTGCTGGGCTCTGTGACCACTTGCTGTCTCAGTCCCTGGAACCTAGTCTAGAAGTCTCTCTTTCTTCATCTGACCCTTAGGGAAGCAGGGGAGGATGTGGTGTGGAGACAACCAGGCCCACATGGAGTCCACACGGCAGAGTCCACACCTGACAGCCAAAGTCCTCCAGCCAAAAAGCTGTCCCTGAGAATCACAAACTCACAAGAAAACCCTCTGGCTGCTGGGGCCTGGGCGTCTCCTGTTTATTTCCCACCCAGTGGCCCGCAGGTCCCATACTCTAGAGAACGTACTCGGAATTCTGGTCCCATACTCTAGAGAACATACTCACACCCAGCTGAGCTGGGCGTTCAGCTGGTCAGTAGGTCAGACCACAAACATGTAGGAAACACGTGCTGTTAAGACAGGTGTCTGGCTGGGTGCGGTAGCTCACGCCTGTAATCCCAGCACTTTGGGAAGCTGAGGCAGGTGGATCACAAGGTCAGGAGTTCAAGACCAATCTGACCAACATGGTGAAACCCCGTCTCTACTAAAAATACAAAAAGTAGCCGGGCATGGTGGTGCGTGCCTGTAATCCTAGCTACTCAGGAAGCTGAGGCAGGAGAATCGCTTGAAACCGGGAGGTGGAGGTTGCAGTGAGCCGAGATCACGCCCCTGCACTCTAGCCTGGGAGACAGAGCGAGACTCAGTCTCAAAAAAAAAAAAAGACAGGTGTCCTCCGAGATCAGAGAGGACTGTGCCATGCAGACTGTGTCAGCGGAGTTCTCTGAGAAGCAGAGGCTGAGACAGAGTCAGGAATACCCACGCCTCATTGGTAAGCAACGCCTCTGAGAGGAAAGGGAAGGAAAGGTGGGTGGGGCAGGGAGCTGCCAGACCACAGTGCAGATGTGACAAAGCTTGGCCGGCCCCAGGGGAGCCCTGGAACAAAGGTGTCCAAGACTTTCTGTTAGAAGAGTCGTTCACAGGGCAGAAGCAGCCAGGCCCTTATCATCAAGCTCAGTCTCTGGCTGGGGCCACCCCTCGAAGAGCATGATCTCAGCTCAAAAGCTGCAGCTGACCTTGAACACCAGCCCAGACGCTGAGGCTGTCAACTCATCACACTCCTCGCGGCTGGGCAGCAATACTTTCTCAAAGGAGAATGGAGCAGAGCAGCCCCATGTCTGCCACAGTCCACATGTCACGGTAATGTGGACACATGTGGGGAGCAGCTCCCCCAGGGATCTGGGGGGCCTCTGTACAAGAGGGAAGTTACGAGCATGAAATAGAGACCTCATTCACTGCTACTGGCCTCAGGGCCACCACTGGTGCTTGGCTCCCTCCGCTATTCCTTCTAAATTGCCCTGCCCTCAGCTCCCACCTCTGTCGGCCCTCATGGTCTAGCTGTGGGGTGACCCTAGCCCTCATTCTTGATGAGTCTGAGCCCCTGGTAACAAGGAAAATGTCCTGTCCAGACCCTCCTTTGAGGAAAGATGTGCTGCCCAGCTGCAAGGAGTGTGGTTGGCAGGCAGCCTCCAGCTGTTGGCTTTGTCAGGATCTGCCTCAGTGTTGGAGCCAAGGTCACCCTATTTTGGGAGCAAGCCCCAGCCCATAACTGAGCACAGTGGCAGTCCAAGGGCCTAGCCTTTACCAGTCTTTGCCTGGAGCCGCCCCACTGGGCTGGCAGAGATTTTGTCTTATTTGCATGGCCATCTGAGCCTCCCCTCGCCCAATCTTGCTTTACTCCTTTTCTTCACAGGTGTTACTCCTCAATCAAATGTCTGCTGCCTAACTCTGTCTCACACCTGCTTTCTAAAGAGCTCAACCAAACATTTGGAACTGGGAGTGGTCCAAGAAAGCATCCACCATGGAAGTGGCCAGGCCTTCAGTGGACAAAATGACTCAGCCAGTTGACAGTAGCCAGCCTTTGTCAGTGCCTACCCCGGTCCCAGCACAATGGGCAATGACCGAGGCTATGTATGGGCCCAACACCATGAATTCCCACTTAACAAGGTCAGTCCAGCTCTTGCTGCCTCTGCATGTCCAATCTGCCAGCACAGAGATCCATGCTAAGCCTGTGGTATGGCACTACTTCTTAAAGAGACCAACCAGCCACATGGTGGCAAGTTGTCTTCACTGGAACCCTTCTATCCTAGAAGGTCAGCAGTTTTTTCTCACGAGAATAGACATCTATTCTGGGTATAAGTTTGCCTTTCTTTCCCATAAGGTCTCAACCAGCACTGCTATCCAAAGGCTTATGGAATGCCTGATTCACAGGCATGTCATCCCACACAACAGAGCATCTGTTATGCAAATGTACCCAGGATTCGTATTAACCAGATATGGCCAAATATGCAGACGTGGAAATGACTGTAATGAAGAAGGAAGTCTATCCTCACAGATCCTGGAAACAGGAGGCACAGCACACCATGCACGGCCACGTGAAGAAGGACTGGGATTGATCAGGAGGCAAAAGAGAGGTGAGGGCAGAGCGCAGCCCGGAGCCTCTATGGGGGTTCTCATGGAGAGTAGCAGACAAGGCAGGGTAGGTATGCTGAGTCCAGGATTGGAGAGATGAAATCGTTTTGGCAGGCCCTGGGCTATAAAGAGTGATCCCTGCCGGGCGCGGTGGCTCACGCCTGTAATCCCAGCACTTTGGGAGGCCGAGGCGGGCGGATCACGAGGTCAGGAGATCGAAACCATCCTGGCTAACACGGTGAAACCCTGTCTCTACTAAAAATACAAAAAATTAGCTGGGCGTGGTGGCGGACGCCTGTAGTCCCAGCTACTCGGGAGGCTGAGGCAGGAGAATGACGTGAACCCGGGAGGCGGAGCTTGCAGTGAGCTGAGATCGCATCACTGCACTCCAGCCTGGGCAAAAGAGGAAGACGCTGTCTGAAAAAAAAAAAAAAAAAAAGAGTGATCCCCAATTGTTTGGTACACGGCCCTGGGGTGATTTAGGGCGGGGGAATATTGGCTTGATATATGAGAATTTGATAAAGGACACGGTTGGGGATGTGGACTTGGATTGGTTGGTTTTCCTATCAAGGACGTGCTTGCAGGGAGGTTGTTTGCTATTTCTAGGAGTTAGCTAGCCCTGAGAGAGGCAGGATCAAGATCCCAAATGCCAGAACACCAAGAATACAAAAGATGAGGACGTGTAGTTAATGCAGCATCTGACCAGGGAATTCCCTTTACAGCAAAGTAAGGCCATGATCATGAGATCACTGGTGGTCTCACCTGCCACACCATCAGAAGCTGCCGGCATGCTAGCTCTTTGGAATGACTTGTTGGTGGCACAGTTGGAGTGCTGGCTTGGAGGCACCATCCTCCAGGGCACAGAATGCTAACTGGATCAGAAACCTTTATATGTTGCTACAACCTCAGTAGGAAGAACAGATGGACCTAGGAACAAAGGAGTTAAAAAGCAGGAGTGTAGACTGTGAGTTTCTTAAGAAAAAAAGTAAGAGTGGCTCATTTGCCATCACTCCCAATGACCCCCTGGGTGAACTCGTGCTTCCCATCCCTGCACCTCTGGGCTCCACAAAGTCAGAGGTCTTGGTACCCAAATGGGGCTCACTTATCACTACGACGAACAGGGGCCAGACTGTTGATTATGTGAAGATAAGATGAGGACCAGCATCTCTGCAGCCTTCAGATTCTTAAGTATGGCATTCATTTCCACCTTTCCCCTCAGAATGTGATAGATACTGTTTTTGATATACTGTTTTTTTACTGTTTTGTGTTTTTATTCTGGCTGGTCAGTGGCAGTTTCAGAGGATTGTGTCTGGGCTTTACCGCTCTCATGGCACTTAACCTATAGGCAAAGGTTCCAATGTGGAGGTTACCCCAACTACCAAGTTTGTCAATCTCTGTTCCACAGGCCATCAGATGAGTCTATGAACATCATAACCCCCCTGTAAGCAGAGTTTTTGGCCAGGACTCCATATGCTCTAAACTAACAGAGGCACCATGATAACACTTCAGGCCTCTGGACAGCAACATCAACTCAGACTCTGTGTCCAACTGTCCTTGAAATATCTGAATATTATCTTGGCTGGGCGTGGTGACACATGCCTGTAATCCCAGGACTTAGGTAGGCAGAGGTAGGTGGATCACTTGAGGTCAGGAGTTCAAGACCACCCTGGCCAACATGGTGAAACCCCATCTCTAATAAAAATACAAAAATTAGCCAGGTGTGGTGGTGCTCACCTGTAATCCCAGCTACTCCAGAGGCTGAGGTGGGAGAATCACTTGAACCCAGGAGATGGAGGTTGCAGTAAGCCAAGATCGCGCCACTGCACTCCAGCCTGGGCAACACAGTAAGACGTTGTCTAAAAAAAAAAAAAAAAAAAATCTGAGTATTACCCTCTTACCCAGGACATAGCACTATGGTAAATGTAAGGTCCTTTTGGGGAAGGACTGCAGATATCATTAAAGTGCATACTTGCCATGATATTGCAGGATTCTCCTATGGTTCCAACCACCTCTGCAGCCAATAGGTCCTGAGTCTGAAAACTGGCTGAGGTTCAGACACTGGGCAAGGGATCATGACTTTATTGGGGCAACTACCCTCAGCCTCCTGCTTATTAATTTTTGGTCTTTTTTGAATACAGTTGTCCCTTGGTATTTGTGCAGTATTGGTTACAGGACCCCTATGGATGCCAAAATCCATGGATGCTCAAGTCCCTGATAATAAAATGGCACAGTATTGGCCAGGCATGGTGGCTCATGCCTGTAATCCCAGCACTTTGGGAGGTCGAGGTGGGTGGATCTCGAGGTCAGGAGTTAGAGACCAGCCTGGCCAACATGGTGAAACCCCGTCTCTACTAAAAATACAAAAATTAGCTGGGCGTGGTGGTGGGCGCCTGTAATCCCAGTTACTTGGGAGGCTGAGGCGGGAGAATCACTGGAACCTGGGAGGCGGAGGTTGCAGTGAGCTGACATCACGCCACTACACTCTAGCCTGGGCGACAGAGTGAGACTCTGTTTCAAAAAAAGAAAAAAAAAAAGGCACGGTATTTGCACACACCTACACACATCCTCCTGAATAAATAATCCCGAGTACTTATAATACCTAATATAATGTAAATGCTATGTAAATAGTAGTTATACTGTATTTTTAAGGGAATAATGACAAGAACAAAAAATGTCTGTACATGTTCGGTGCAGATGAATTTTTGTTTTCAATCTTTTGTGGCAACAGGGTCTCACCATGTTGCCCAGGCTGATCTTGAATGCCTGGTCTCCAGCAATCCTCCTGCCTCGGCCTCCCAAAGTGCTGGGATTACAGGTGTGAGCTACTGCACTCAGCCACACAAAATTTAAAATATATATATATTTTCCACCCACAATTGGTTGAATCCACAGATGCAGAATCTATGGATACAGAGGGCCAACTGTACTTCTATACATAACAGTTCCCTTTGGGCTGCTTGTCTACTTTTCCACTGGAGACACTGTGTTCTCTTAGCCATCTCCATAACTGTCTGAACATCAAACCTCTGTAATTATCACTCTGACCTTCTCTGCTGCTACAGTTGTTCTGACCCCTGTCTTCTGACCGCTAAGTGCTGCGCCCTGCTCTCTATTGCCCCAGCCCTATCCTCTCCAGTACAATCAGCAAACCAAGTTCTGTGCCTGCCTCTCCCAGCATCAGTCCTGGCCTGCAGGGGAGGGCCAACACTGAACAACCTAGTCATGACCGTGGCAAATGGTGTGTTCCCCTGTCTCCCCATAGAATCCTATTCTCTTTTGCCTAACATACTGCCTCCATTCCAAATGCCCACCCACTTTCCCAAGGCTTTTGATCCCTTTCTCTGCCCTCTTCCCCGGCAATTCAGATATTTCAACCTCACTCAGCTTGACCTGCCACTTTGTCCAGGCTTCAATGAACCACCCTAGCAGTTATCTTGCACCCTCCCTGGGGTCCTTACCAGGGGGTTAAATCCTGTGCCTTATAGCTCCCTTCTCCAGTCCCATGAAGCTCTCAGAATCCAGGCCCACAAGTACTCCCACAGCCTCTGCTGGCACCTGTTGACTAGATCTTACAGCTCCTTTGGAATATAGCACCTTTCCTCCTGTATCCAACTAGCATATCCCCAGGCAAACTACGCAACGATTTAACCCAGTAGTAAAGTCTAGCTACCCACTGGCAATGAGGGCCACACCCCAGGAGTTAAGTCTAGCAGCCAGAGGATGAGGTGAAGGCAGCTGCCTAGGGACACCTGTTGCCTTGTAGGGGAAAGACCTCTGCCTTGTCAGGCCGGGTGCCATGGCTCAGGCCTGTAATCCCAGTGCTTTGGGAGGCCAAGGAGGGCGGATCACAAGCTCAAGAGATCAAGACCATCCTGACCAACATGGTGAAACCCTGTATTAAAAATACAAAAATTAGCTGGACGTGGTGGCACGTGCCTGTAGTCCCAGCTACTGAGGAAGACTGAGGCAGGAGAATCGCTTGAACCCAGGAGGCGGAGGTTGCAGTGAGCCGAGATCACACCACTGCACTCCAGCCAGGCGACAGAGTGAGACTCCATCTCAAAAAAAAAAAAAAAAAAAAAAAGACCTCTGCATTGTCCCCCAACACAGAGGAGGAGGGAGTACTCTCAAGTGTAGGGGATGAGCCACCTCTGCAGGTTCTGAGAGCCAGAGAAGCTCAGGGCTTCAGAATGTTCAGGGGCACCCACCTCGAGGTCCCATCCCATGTGTCGGGGTCCCAGAGATCTGAATCGCTAGAGCATTCAGCCATCTTTGGAGTGCAGCCACTCTATTAACTCATGGCTTCATCTTCAGTTCCTTTTCTTCACCGAGCAGAGGACATGAAGGATTCTTCATCAGCTGCCAAAGAAATCCTCTGGCTTTCACACTTAGTTTTCAATTGTTTGTTAATTGCCCTCAGCTTTTCATTATGTGTCTGTAGATCACCAATGCAATTGTTCATTTCCATGTATCTATCTATAATTCATATATTCTATATTCATATATATTATACATCATATAATATCCATATTGTATAGAATGTTTTTCTCCCCTGTGTACCTTTCAAATGCCTGACTTATCACATAAGCCAGTTCATTCCCCTTCACTGGTACATTCTCCCACGTCAGCATCAGTGAAATGTTTAACAATAGGGCCACCAACATGTGCTGGGGACTTTCCATGCTCACTTAACTCCTGGGGCGTGGCCTCATTGCCAGTTGGTGGTGGAGTGATCCAGCCCCCAAACCCCGTCTTACCAACTACTTTCTTGGACCACTATTGAAAACCCATAGGCCCGGCACGGTGGGTCACACCTGTAATCCCAGCACTATGAGAGGCCAAGGCGGGTGGATCACGAGGTCAGGAGTTCGGGACCAGCCTGGCCAGCATGGTGAAACCCCATCTCTACTAAAAATACAAAAATTAGCTGGGCATGGTGGCATGCACCTGTAATCCCAGCTACTCGGGAGGCTGAGGCAGGAGAATTGCTTGAACCCTGGAGGTGGAGGTTGTGGTGAGCCGAGATTGAACTCCAGCCTGGGCAATAGAGTGAAACTCCATCCTAAAAAAAAAAAAAGAGCCAGGCGCAGTGGTTCACACCTGTAATCCCAGCACTTTGGGAGGCTGAGGCAGATGGATCACCTGAGGTCAGAGTTCGAGATCAGCCTGGCCAACGTGGTGAAACCCCGTCTCTACTAAAAATACAAAAATTAGCCAGGCATGGTGGTGCATGCTTGTAATTCCAGCTACTCAGGAGGCTGAGGCAGGAGAATCGCTTGAACCTGGGAGGCAGAGGTTGCAGTAAGCGGAGATCGCACCACCGCACTCCAGTCTGGGCAACAAAAGTGAAACTCCGTCTCAACAAAAAAAAGGAAAAAAACAAACAAACAAAAAACAAAATGGATGCTGAGATGGAGTTAGGAATTCAAAACTTTCACTGGGGAGTAGGACTTGTGAAAAGAAAGAGGCGGAAGCCAGAGTGGGCAGAGAGAGCCCTCTGATTCGGAGGCAGACTAGCTAAGGTCTCTGACTGCCCAGTGGGAAGCTCCGGAGCAGATGGTTCATTGGGAGTCCAGCATTGGGAGGAAATGACTAGGCCATTGTAACACTGCCTTAGTCATCACTGGGGAGGCCACCCTGCAAAGGATATGATCTCAACTGGAAAGCAGAGGTTGACCCTAAAGGAGTCTATAGCTGGAGCTATCAGCTCATCACGTGCCAGGCAGCTGGGCAGTGAGTCCTTTCTCAAAGAGGTATCTAAGGTGCATCTCTGCCACATTGACAATGACAAGACAATATGAGAACAGTTTCTGTGCAAGCCTGTGCACAGTTGAACCATGTTTCTCTGGTTAGTAAAGAGGTGTTGGCTGGAAGTTTACCAGGAAGATAAGGTGAGAGGGGACTTTGCAGGAAAAGTGGACCAAATATTCAAAGACCAAGGCAATGCAAAGCATGGGTATGTTCTAGAAAAATCCAAAGAATCCAGTGGAGCAGAAACATAAATGTTAGCAAATGGGAGAATATGGACATGAATGATAAAGGAGACGAGTAACACAGGACCTTTTCTGCCTGGCCACAGAAGTTCAGATTCTGGGCCGGGCACGGTGGCTCATGCCTGTAATCCCAGCACTTTGGGAGGCTGAGGCAGGTGGATCACCTGAGGTCAGCAGTTCGAGACCAGCCTGACCAATATGGAGAAACCCCATCTCTACTAAAAAAATACAAAAATTAGCCAGGTGTGGTGGTGCACGCCTATAATCCCAGGTACTCAGGAGGCTGAGGCAGGAGAATCGCTGGAACCTGGGAGGCAGAGGTTGCGGTGAGCCAAGATTGCACCATTGCACTCCAGCCTGGGCAACAAGAGCAAGATTCTGTCTCAAAAAAAAAGAAGTTCAGATTCCACCTGCAGCTGACACAGGGAACTTGAAGAATGTTCATCAGGGAAATGACATGATGAGATGTGAATATTAACAAGACCTCTCTATGGAAGAGAAAAGCCAGGAGATGAAGTGAGGAAGAGTCAAGATGATGCTGCAATGGTCCAGGAGAGAACCAAGTTGGGGTGGTGGAATGGAGAGGAAAGTCCAAATAACCCCATAGCAGGTAGAACTGGGTGAACACAGTGAGCAATTGACCATGAGGGGTTGATATGGTTTGGCTGTGTCCCCACCCAAATCTCATCTTCTTTTTATTTTTTTTTTTGAGATGGAGTCTTGCTCCATCACCCAGGCTGGAGTGAGTGGCACAATCTTGGCTCACTGCAACATCTGCCTCCCAGGTTCAAATGATTCTCATGCCTCAGCCTCCTGAGTAGCTGGGATTACAGGCACGCACCACCATGCCTAGCTAATTTTTGTATTTTTAGTAGAGATAGCATTGGCCAGGCCGGTCTCGAACTCCTGACCTCAGGTGATCCACCTGCCTCAGCCTCCCAAAGTGCTGGGATTACAGGCTGTGAGCCACTGCGCTGGCCCCAAATCTCATCTTGAATTGTAGCTTCCACAATTCTTGAATGTTGTGGGAGGGACCCGGTAGGAGGTAATTGAATCATGGGGACAGGTCTTTCCCATGCTGTTCTTGTGATAGTGAATAAGTCTCATGAAATCCGATGGTTTTATAAGGGGGAGTTTCCCTGCACAAGCTCTCTCTTTGCCTGCTGCCATCCATGTAAGATGTGACTTGCTCCTCCTTGCCTTCCGCCATGATTGTGAGGCCTCCCCAGCCATGTGGAACTGTGAGTCCATTAAACCTCTTTTCTGTATAAATTACCCAGTCTCAGGTATGTCTTTATTAGCAGCATGAAAACAAACTAATACAGGAGTGAAGGAAGGGAGGAGCCCAGGATGATGCCCTAGTTTCTGACTTGAGCATCTGGCTGGCTGTTCACCTGGTCCCAGAAGAGACCTACACACATGCTTTCTCCCCTCCAATTTCCCCTTCCCCTTGACCTGTGATCTATTCCTCCACCCCAGGTCCCTTTCAACATTAGACATCCCTCACCCCTATTCACCTGATGCACACGGCAAGGGAGGGCACAGAAATAGGCTCCCAATAGAGGCTGCCAGGCATGGCCCTGGAGACAGCTCACTTGTTACAGTCCCTGCTGCTATGGTTTGAATGTTAATCCCCTCCTAAACTCATGTTGAAACTTAATCTCCAAATGACAGTGTTGAGAGGTGGGGCCTTTAAGAAGTGACTGGGTCATGAGGCTCTGCCCTTATGACTGGATTAATCCATTTGTGGATGAATGGATTCATGGGTTATCATGGGAGTGGGGCTGGTGGCCTTATAAGAAGAGGAAGAGACACCTGAGCTAGCACACTCAGCCCCTCACCATGTGATGCCCTGTGCCACCTCAGGACTCTGCAAAGAGTCCCCACCAACAAGAAGGCTCTCGCCAGATCCGGCTCCTTGATCTTGGACTTCTCAGTCTTCATAACTGTAAGAAATAAATTCCTTTTTAAAATAAATTACCCAGTTTCAAGTATTCTGTTATACGTAACAGAAATTAGACGAGATAACAGTCCAGGCCATCTCTCACCCCTGAGCTTGAGCTCGCAACCCCATAGAGATGGGTAGTCCAACAGTTAAGGCCCTATCCAAGTTGCCCAGACCTGCCAGTCCAGCGCCATCCACTCATCGTGCACCTTGCTTCAGCCTCACTGAACCATATTCTCCTCTTGTGATTTCCCACACCAGGCCCTCCTCTTGCAATGTCTGGACCTTCACAGTTCAATTCAAACGCCCCCTCCTCTATGAGGTCTGCTGTGACTCCCCAGCTGGGAATATCTTCCTCCTTGATCTCCACTTGCTTTGCATTTTGTTCTTATTAATCCTGCTCTGTATTGTGAGGCTTTTACGTGCTCATGGGTTGTCTTTACTAGATGTCAAGAACTCAAAGCCAGTGTCTGTTCCAGGCAGGTCCCTGCACGGAGTGGGGGTGAGGGAGTGCACAGAGAAGGAGCAAGAAGGTAGAGCCAAGACCCAGTGAGTGGGCCGGGGACTGGGGCATGGTGTAGGAAGACAGGTCTTGCCTCTCAGGACAGGAGGAGCTCAGAGAAAACGTTGCCTCTACTACTGCTGCTCCAAATGCAGACCTTATGGTTTCTAGGACCTTCATATGGACCAAACTGGGCTGTTCCTTGGGGTGAGGCTCTCCAGAGTTCCAGAAGACTCTGCTGGCCTCCAGGCCAGCCAATTCTCCCTCTCATTATTAACTGCTGCAACCATGTGCTAAGAGGGGATCTGATGAAATCCTCCCAGCTGTTTCCTGACGACCCCTGACGGTGCCCAACCTGGACTGAGCCCTTTTCTGGGACAAGGATCCCCAAGGATGTGCCTGGGTGTCACCCCTAGCAGCCCACCAAGGTTTGGTTCACTCCCTCTGGGTGTGAGCCAGGCGCCAGATGTCCCCACACTAGAGGACACCAGGTGGTTGGCATCATGGCAGGTCACTTCTAAAATGGGATCAGGAATTTTTCAGAAGAAAAGGTTGGCAGAAAAAAAAAAACCAGATTGTGACTGAAACACAGTCACCAGCTGATGTAGCATATTTGGAGCTATGTTCTTCTTGCAGATGGGGAAGGATACAGAAACTCATGAAGGGTAGGCATGGGAAACCTTTCCCCAGAATTAGCAGAGAATAGCCCAGGTGAGGTCCCCGCTAACCAATGATTTGGGCAGGTTTGTGCTTCACTTGCTCATCTATAAAAGAGGGATCAAAGGGAGTGTTGTGAAGAATTAAATGAGTTAGTAGATATGTAAAGTGCTTAGCACAGTGCCTTGGCACATAGGAGTGCTATCATGATTTGTATTAGTTTTTCTAGGATAATTAGAATTGCAGCAACATGTGTGTATGTTGACAAATCTAATTAAAGGCCCAGAAAGGTTTTAAGCACTTTCACTGTCGGATGGAAAGGGTAAGATAGTTACATTAACTCCAGCTTGGTGCAAACCATGAACAATTCAGCAGTAATTGAGAGGGTCAGCAGGAAAGGTCATTGAGGACCCTGGATGTTTGCGTTCCTTGCAATCTGCTCAAAATGATAGGTTTTTATATTTAGCGCAAAAATTATATGCTTTGTAATTTTAATGAAAAGTCATTTGTAATTTAAATGGAAACTATATTTGATTAGGTCATGAGTTGTGAGAAATAAATTAAATAAGAAAGAAAAAGGATTTTAAAAATCATGTCTGGTATCAACCCAACTACATAACCTTAAATCCCCTATATCTATATCTGTAAGATACAGTATAGTTTCTGACTTCTCTAGAGCGAAAACTCAGATATATCTAGAGCCATCTGACATCTCTCCCACAGAAGGATCTATTTAACATGAAGGCTGCTGAGACTTGTTGTGATGGTTAATTTTTTTTTTTTTTTTTTTTTTTTTGAGATGGAGTCTCGCTCTGTCTCCCAGGCCAGAGTGCAGTGGCACAATCTTGGCTCACTGCAACCTCTGCCTCCCCAGTTCAAGCTATTCTCCTGCCTCAGCCTCCCAAGTAGCTGGGACTACAGGTGCGTGCCACCATGCCTGGCTAATTTTTTGTGTTTTTAGTAGAGAGGGGGTTTCACCATGTTAGCCAGGATGGTCTCGATCTCCTGACCTCGTGATCTGCCCTGCCTTGGCCTCCCAAAGTGCTGGGATTACAGGCGTGAACCACCGCGCCATGATGGTAAATTTTATACAGCAATTTGACTGGGTCACAGAGTGCCCAGGTATTTGGTTAAACATTATCTCTGGGTGTGTCTATGAGGGGGCTTAAGGAGGAGATTAGTGTTTGAATCAATGGACTGAGTACACAGATGGCCCTTCCCAATGTGAGTGGACAGTATCCACTCTGCCAAGGACCTGAATAAAACAAAAAGGTGGAGGAAGGGAGAATTCACTCTCAACCTGACTGTTTGAGCTGGGACAATGGTCTTCCCCTGCCCTCAGACTGGGTCTCACATCAGTGCTCCTGGTTCGCAGGCTTTCAGACTCAGTTTGGAACGTACACCATCAGCCCTCTTGTTCTCAGGCTTTCAGACTTGTGCTGGAGCCCACACCGCTGGCTCTCCTGCTTCTCAGGCTTCCAGACTGAGACTGGAACTACACCACCAGTTTTTCCACATCTCTAGCTTGCAATGATAGATGGTGGATCTTCTCAGCCTCCATATGTATATATCTATTATCTGTCTCCCATTGGTTCTGTTCCTCTGGAGAACTCTGACTCATAAAGATTTTAGGGCCAAACATGGTGGCTCACATCCGTAATCCCAGCACTTTGGGAGGCCAAGGTAGGAGAATCACTTGAGGCCAAGAGTTTGAGATCAGCTTGGGCAACATAGCTGTATACTTCCATCTCTACAAATAATTTTAAAAATTAGCCAGACACGGTGGTGCATGCCTCTAGTCCTGGCTACTCAAGAAGCTGAGGCAGGAGGATCACCTGTGCACAGTTCACAGTTGAAATGAGCTATGATCACAGCACTCCACTCCAGCCTGGCTGACAGAGGGAGACCCTGTCTCAAATATATATATATATATGGCTGGGCACGGTGGCTCACGCCTGTAATCCCAGCACTTTGGAAGGCCGAGGAGGGCAGATCACAAGGTCAGGAGATCGAGACCATCCTGGCTAACATGGTGAAACCCTGTCTCTATTAAAAATACAAAAAATTAGCCAGGCGCAGTGGCGGGTGCCTGTAGTCCCAGCTACTTGGGAGGCTGAGGCAGGAGAATGGCCTGAACCCAGGAGGCAGAGCTTGCAGTGAGCTGAGATAGCACCACTGCACTCCAGCCTGGGCGACAGAGCAAGACTCCGCTCAAAAAAATATATGTGTGTGTGTGTGTGTGTGTGTGTATAAAATATGTGTATATATATTATATGTATATATTTAAATATATATTATATGTATATATTTAAATATATATATATATTTATTTTTTTGAGATGGAGTCTCGCTCTGTCGCCAGGCTGGAGTGCAGTGGCATGATCTCGGCTCACTGCAACCTCCGCCTCCTGGGTTCAAGCGATTCTCCTGCCTCAGCCTCCCGTGAGAAACAATTTTAAGAATGAGCTTTCTGAATTGGTTCTAAGATTTCTGGCATTGTCTCTCTAGTCTGATTAAATTTAAAGAGACTAACAACTCTGTTTCCAGTAAGAAAGAGAGCACTAGTCGTCCATGGCATGATCTGACAATGGAAATATGCAAAATATTCCCACTGGATACACCTAATCAACCACTTATAAGAAGCCAGGAGCTGGGTGACTATATATAAGATACTTTCTAACCTTTTTGAAAAACTAATGAATATAACAAGGTTGGCTACTTGCTCCTAGAGTCACTGGACAAAGAGGTGAAAGAAAAGAATGAGTTCAGGGATTCAAATTCCTAGTTCAAACGCGGTGTAAATAACCTAAAAGCTACTACATGTGCCCTGAAGGAGACCCTTATCTCCTGTCACCAAAGCGCTGAGATTACTGAAAATCAGGCAGAGAATCCTGTGACTGGCTGGATTACAACATGGACTGAACTTCCAGCCTCGCAGGTGTCTTTAACAGGTGTCGCTGTGAAAGTGAGGGTGTTGACTGGGGAAGAATGGGGTGGGGATGTGTAGGAAGACACGATGAAGCTGGGAACAGTGAACATCTAAGTTTTCGGGGTTTTTTGTTTTGTTTTGTTTTGTTTTGTTTTGTAAGAGACCAGGTCTTGGCCAGGCACAGTGGTTCATGCCTACAATCCCAGCACTTTGGGAGGCTACTGTGGGCAGATCACCTGAGGTCAGGAGTTTGAGACCAGCCTGGCCAATATGGTGAAACCCAATCTCTATTAAAAATCCAAAAAAAAAAAAAAAAAAAAAAGAGAGAGAGAGAGAGCAGGTCTTGCTCTGTCACACAGGCTGGGGTGCAGTGGTGCAATTATAGCTCACTGCAGCCTTGAACTCCTGGGCTCAAGTGACAATCCTGCCTCAACCTCCCAAGTAACTAGGACTACAGGCACACAACACTATGCCCACTAATTGTGTGTGTGTGTGTGTGTGTGTGTGTGTGTGTGTGTGGAGATGGGGGTCTCACTATGTTGCCCAGTCTAGTCTGGAACTCCTGGCCTCAAGCAATCCTTCTGCTTCAGCCTCCCAAAGTGCTGTGATTGCAGGTGTGGTGAGCCATTGCGCCCAGCCAGAGCCCCGAAATTCTTATGAGTCTTCTTTGCCATGGAAGTAGCCTCCCCACCTCCACCTGGCGAACTGACTCTGCATTGCCAGAGGAAACTGTGATGGCCTCCCTTGAGTCAGTTGCCTTTGCAAAACAATGCTGATTCTCTTCAGGATCCACCCCCACCACCCCTTTTTGCTTCTAGACTTCAAGTCTAGACTCAAGTCCCAGCAAGCCCCTCAGATGAGGTACAAAGGTTACCCGTGAGGAGGTGTGCTATACTTCAAAAGAACTTCTTAAGTTTTCTAATTTCTATAGACAGAAATCTGGGGAACATGTATGGGAATGGATATTGAGGATGTGAGATAATAGTGAAAAAAAACAAGCAGGGTGCAGTGGTTCACGCCTGTAATCCCAGCAGTTTGGGAGGCTGAGGCGGGTGGATCACCTGAAGTCAGGAGTTCAAGACCAGCCTGGCCAACATGGTGAGACTGCCATCTCTACTAAAAATACAAAATTAGCCTGGCATGGTGGTGCACACCTGTAATCCCAGCTACTCTGGAGGCTGAGCGGGAGAATCGCTTGAACCCAGGAGGTGAAGGCTGCAGTGAGCTGAGATCACGCCACTGCACTCCAGCCTGGGCAACAAGAGCAAAACTCTGTCTCAAAAAAAAAAAAAAAAAAAAAAAAAAAAAAAGAAAAGAAAAGAAAGAAACTAAAAAAAGAAAAAGAAAAAACATAAAGTTGTATCAGAGTGAATTTATTGACATGGGCTCACTAAGCAGAGATCCTGCATTTTAATGTTGCAGCTCAGAAAATAAGAAAAGGCTCTAACAGTTTTTGGTTGGTTGGCTGATGAGTGGATCAAAGATGGCCCACTGTTGGCCAGGCACTGTGGCTCACACCTGTAATCCCAACACTTTGGGAGGCTGAGGTGGGCAGATCACCTGAGGTCAGGAGTTTGAGACCAGCCTGGCCAATATGGTGAAACCCCATCTGTACTAAAAATACAAAAAATTAGCTGGGCGTGTTGGTGGGCACCTGTAATCCCAGCTACTCAGGAGCCTGAGGCAGGAGAATCACTTGAACCCAGAAGGCAGAGGTGAAGTGAGCCAAGATCATGCTACTGCACTACAGCCTGGGCAACAAGAGTGAAACTCCGTCTCAAAAAGAAAACAAAAAGGGTGACCCACCATGAACAAACTGGAAATGGTGGATGGACATGACTTGGTTTAATGTAGAATGGATTCAAAGGCGTAGGAAGATGGGATGTTCGCGGGGATTTGTCATTTAAGACCTACTCACCAACTAAGACATAAAAGTACATCTTCTAGACCTACTGGGAAAGGCCAGAAGTCCTGCTTTTTACCAATACTGTGAGAAATAAATTTGTGATGGAGCCTCAGCACCTTGAAAGAGCTTTGTAATCCCTCGTCTCCGTAGGCAGAACTTACAGCAGTCACTGAATTTGGAAACTTAAATGTAATGGGAGTCATGGATCTCAGGGCGCAGGGACCAAGTGGCAGCACTCCACTGCCACAGGCGAGGTGAACATGGTTACGGTGATGGACAGCAGAGTCACAGCAGCTGAATTGCCAACTCCTGCAGACCAATGGCACAGGCTGTTAAGCATGGCGTTCCTAGAAGTGAAATAGATGGGAAGCCTACTGATTACTTGATCCGTATAAGCAGAAAAGTTCTAAGCCAAGTTAACAAAAGTCTAATCTGAATCATAAAAACAGAGCCAGGCCTGGCACAGTAGCTCATGCAACAGGTCCAGGCTGCTGTGCAGGCTGCTCTGCTGCTTGGGCCATATGATCCAGCAGATCCAGTGGTGCGTGAAATGTCAGTGGCAGATAGGGATGCTCTCTGGAGCCTTTGGCAGGCCCCTACAAGTGAATTTCCTTAGGATTTGGGAGCAAAACTCTGCCATCCTTCACAGATTACTCTCCTTTTGAGAAACGGCTCCTGGCCTGTTACTGGGCCTTAGATAGATACTGTGTGCCTAACCATGGGCCATCAAGTTACCTGAGCTTCCCATCATGACCTGGATGTTATCTGACCCATCAAGCCATAAATTTGGGTGTGCACAGCAATACTCCATCATGAAACGGAAGTGGTATATACATGATTGGGCCTGAGAAAGCTCTGTAGGCATTGGTAAATTACATGAAGAATTGGCCCAAAAGCCCACGGTCCTCCACTCCTGCTACCCTGCCTTCTCTCTCCCAGCCTATGTCTATGGCCTCATGGGGAGTTCCCTATCATCAGTTGACAGAGGAAGAGAAGACTTGGGGCTGGTTCCCAGACGGTGCTGCAGAATATGCAGGCACCACCTGATGGTGGACAATTGCAGCACTACAGTTCCTTTCTGGGACACCTCCGAAGGACAGTGATGAAGAGGAATCCTCCCAGCAGGTAGAAATTTGAGCAGTGCATCTGGCTGTTCACTTTGCTTCAAAGGAGAAATGGTCAGACATGCAATTATATACCCATTTATAGACTATGGCCAGTGGTTTGGCTGGATGGTCAGGGACTCAGAAAGAATATGAATGGAAAAATTGGTGATAAGGAAATCTGAGAAAGAGATATATGGGTAGACCTCTCTGAATGGATAAAAAACCTGAAGACATTTGTGTCCCATGTCAATGCCCACCAAAAGGCAACCTCAACAGAGAAGGATATTAATAATCAAGTAAATAGGATGACTTGTTCTATGGATACCAATCAGCATCTGATGACCTAATGGGCTCATTATCATTGTCATTGCCTAATGGGCTCATAACGAAAGTGTCTGTGGCTGGGCGCGGTGGCTCACGCCTGTAATCCCAGCACTTTGGGAAGCCAAGGCAGGCGGATCACGAGGTCAGGAGATCGAGACCATCCTGGCTGACATGGTGAAAACCCATTTCTACTAAAAATACAAAAAAAAAAAAATTAGCCGGGCATGGTGGTGGGCGCCTGTAGTCCCAGCTACTTGGGAGGCTGAAACCAGAGAATGGCCTGAACCCAGGAGGCGGAGCTTCCAGTGAGCCGAGATTGGGCCACTGCACTCCAGCCTGGGCGACAGAGCAAGACACCGTCTCAAAAAAAAAGAAAGTGACTGTTGTGGCAGGGATGGAGGATGCATGGGCTCAGCAGTGTAGACTAACACTCACCAAGGCTGACCTGGCTACAGCCATCACTGAGTGCCCAGTTTGCCAGCAGCAGAGACCAACACTGAGTCTATGATATGGCACCATTCTCCACGGTGACCAGCCTACTATCTGGTCGCAGGTTGATTACATTGGACCACTTCCATCATGGAAGAGGCAGCATTTTGTTCTTGCTAGGATAGACACTTACTCTGGACACAGATTTACATACCCTGCTCACAAATCTTCTGCCAAAACCACCATCCGTGAACTTAAAGTATGCCTTATCCAGTGAAATTCCATACAGCATTGTTTCCAAACACTTTACAACAAAAGAAGTGTGGCAATGACTCATGATCATGTAATTCACTGGTCTTATCATGTTCCCCATCATCCTGAAGGAGCTGGCTTGATAGAACAGTTTCTATCAAGTTCTTGATGACTCAGTTTCAGCACTGAATAGTTGGCAATATTTTGCAGGGCAGGAAGGAGCCCAGCCAGTTCTCAGCTACCTGAAAATAGACCTGGGCCTACACAGCACCTGGGCCCGCCCCATGTGTGGGCCGCAGAGGCAGGTCAGCAGGGACTACCCTGACAGTTCAGAGGTGGCAAACTCTTAGTAGGGACAGTCACTCATAATCCCCACTCCTCCACCCCTAAGCAGACTGCCGGCTGCTGCATGGGCACTTTCCTGGGACACCTGATTCCAGCACTGACCATCTATTACTTGGGGCTTTACTATGTGGTGATGGCGTCCAGAGCCCTCCTGTGGGGCCAGCAGATCCTCTTCCCCCGACTTCCCCCAGGTCTGGGTCCCTGACCAGCCCCAGCTCTGGGTTCTCAAGGCCTGGGTGCTCCTGTTGCTTGGCTCCTGGTTGCTTCAGGGAGCCTCAGTGATGTACGCCCCACCGGACAGCCCTGGTGAGCAGTCAGCTACAAGAACCTGGCCTTCCTCATCATCTTCTTCTGCTGGCACCTGGGCTTGGGGATTGCCATGCTGGCTGCTGTCTATGGCCTCTGCAGCCTCTGGCACTGTCACTGCTCCTCCTGGACAGCATTCCCAGGGACCAGGTACCAGCCGTGCCTCGCACACCCCAGTGGAAGAGAACTCAAGAAACTCAGGGCAGAGGCCATGCTGCAGGATGAAAACATCTCATTTAAAGACTGTCATTCTGGCTGGGCGTAGTGGCTAACACCTGTAATCCCGTTACTTTGGGAGGCCAAGGCAGGCGGATCACAAGGTCAGGAGATTGAGACCATCCTGGCTAACACAGTGAAACCCCGTCTCCACTAAAAAATACAAAAAATTAGCCAGGGGTGGTGGTGGGTGCCTGTAGTCTCAGCTACTCAGGAGGCTGAGGCAGGAGAATGGCATGAACCTGGGAGGCAGAGCTTACAGTGAGCCGAGATCACGCCACTGCACTCCAGCCTGGGCGACAGAGGGAGACTCCGTCTCAAAAAAAAAAAAAAAAAAAAAAAAAGACTGTCATTCTGTCCCCAGCTGTGCTGTGCTACCCCTGTAAGAAGCTTTGGGAGGTTGCCACTGGGTGAGTGATCCTGTCATGTTCTGGGATCCACAGTGTGGATCCCCATCTCTGCAGCCATGTTCCTTGTCCCCAAATAAACCTGCCAGCTCCTAGGATGGTTTTTTACACTGTCCCTCTATCAGACTTTGTGTCTGCCTGGTTTATTCTGTGGCTGTGGTTTCCAGGACTCTCTGAGGGCAGCCAGGTGCCTTCTCTGGCACCTCTGAAATCCAGGAGGGGTACCAGCATGGAGAACTGGGAGGGTGTGAGCATAGATTGGGTGGCTAGTCAAGTTTCCCAGCTCTATTCCACACTGATATCTGCTAGGAAAGGTTCCTCTTCCTTGTTGTTCTTGAAAAGCAGATTGGCTATTCCCAAAATTGAGGATAAAGCTACTTTTTTAAAGTAAGGCAATTATAGACACAAAATTTAGAAAGACACACCCCTCAGGAGAGGGGAGGAAGGGAGGCAGCAGAATAGAACATGGTGGGAACTCAGAGGAAGAGGAGGTTCTCAATAATGGCTTAGTTCTTAAAATGAGGGGTAGGTTTATGGGTATATAAATAGGTCACTAAAATAAAAGAATAAGCACTGGCCGGGCATGGTGGCTCACACCTGTAATCCCAGCACTTTGGGAAGCCAAGGTGGGTGCATCACCTGAGGTCAGGAGTTCAAGACCAGCCTGGGCAACATGGCAAAACCCCATCTCTACTAAAATTACAAAAATACAAAAATTAGCTGGGCATGGTGGCAGGTGCCTGTAGTCCCAGCTACATGGGAGGCTGAGACAGGAGAATTGCTTGAACCAAGGAGGCGGAGGTTGCAGTGAGCCGAGATCACGCCACTGCACTCCAGCGTGGGTGACAGAGCGAGACTCCGACTCAAAAAGAAAAAGAAAAAAAAAAAGAATAAGCAAGGACCAACGAAGGGAGCGTGTCGTGAACCAAGGTCGTCATTATTCTAGCACACCGAAGGTACACCCATTTCAAACCATGTGAGCTGTGAGTAGGCACAGGGTTGGGTCGCTGGGGTGGGAAAGGCTGCATGCGCTTGTGCCTAAGGATGTTTAACATGAGAGAGCTGGAATCCATAATAATGGTTCGCATCCACCCTTGTATGATCATCAGGATCTCAGCCTTCCTCATTTTACTCTGTCCATTTCATTTTTGCTTTTATTTTTTATGTTAATTGTAGGCAAATTAACACCTTGTTTAAAAAATAAACTGGTGGGCATGGTGCCTCACACCTGTAATCCCTGCACTTTGGGAAGCTAAGGTGGGAGGGTTGCTTGAGTCCAGGAGCTTGAGACCAGCCTGGACAACATAGTGAGACCCTGTCTCTACAAAAATAAAAAATATTAGCTGAGCATGGTGGCATGCACCTGTAGTTCTAGCTACTCGGGAGGCTGGGGCAGGAGGATTGCTTGAGACCAGGAGGTCAGGGCTGCGGTGAGCCACAATCATGCCACTGCACTGTAGCTTGGGTGGCAGAGAAAGACTGTCTCTTAAAAACAAAACAAGGCTGGGCACGGTGGCTCACGCCTGTAATCCCAGCACTTTGGGAGGCCAAGGCAGATGGATCACTTGAGGTCAGGAGTTCAAGATCAGCCTGGCTAACATGGCAAAACCTTGTCGCTACTAAAAATACAAAAATTAGCCGGGTGTGCTGGCGGACGCCAGTAATCCCAGCTACTCGGGAGGCTGAGGCAGGAGAATTGCTTAAACTCAGGAGGCGGAGGTTGCAGTGAGCCGAGATTGTGCCATTGCACTCCAGCCTGGGTGACAGATGAGACTCCGTCTCAAAATAAAATAAATAAAATAAAATAAAATAAAATAAAGTAAAACAATGGCCTGGCACGGTGACTCACGCCTGTAATCCCAGCACTTTGGGAGGCCAAGGTGGGCGGATCACGAGGTCAAGAGATCGAGACCATCCTGGCCAACATGGTGAAACCCCATCTCTACTAAAAATACAAAAAAAAAAAAAAAAAAATTAGCCGGGCGTGGTGGCGGGCACCTGTAGTCCCAGCTACTCGGGAGGCTGAGGCAGGAGAATTGCTTGAACCCGAGGGGAGGAGGTTGCAGTGAGCTGAGATTGTGCCACTGCACTACAGCCTGGTGACAGAGTGAGACTCCGTATCAAAAAAATAAAATAAAATAATAAAATTAAATTAAAATTAAAAATTAAAAACAAACAAAACTAACTTTGTCACTTCACCCCTGAGGGAAAATTGGGAGAGGGTGGCATATGGCTTTTCTACAGTCCAGCAGCAGATTCTAGGCAAGGGGAGGAGCCAAGGCCCTTAGCAGAGGCCTGAGCCTGAGCAGACAGGGCACCAGCAAGGAGTCGCCAGCAGCAGGGCTGCAGAGCACTCTCAAAAGCAGGACTGTCTAACGCTAAAATGGCTTGCCTTGGGTGACCAAAAAAATCCAACCTTATCAATAAAATCTTCACTGCATTTCAGCCTGGGCAACAGAGGAAGACCTTATCTCAAAAAATTAAAAAAATAAAGTCTGCTTCTAAACCAGCCGTGTTGCATGAGCGATTCTGGAAGAACACATAGAAAAGGCTCGTATCTGGGTTGGTGGGAGCAAAGGGAAAGAATCACCATGAAATGTGGGAGGTAAATGACCTCAGCAGTGCTGAAGATGCAGGAACTCATCAGACGGCTCCTGAGAACATCCACCCCAGAGTTCATGGATATTTTCAGAAAGCCTCTGGGCTTCTCCCAGAATGAGGAGAGAAAAGTGTCCATAAACGATGATGGTAGCTGATGTATAAAATGAAATAGAGCTACAGCAAACTACGTAGAAATATGCATCCCTTGGTGCAATTGGGAGGCAGGCCACCTCTTCCACTGGCTTGAACCTGCTTGTGTGAGATGGAAAAGCACAACGTTTAGAAGTCTGGAGAAGGAAAGAGAAGGGAGGAGATGCTGGCCATCGATGTAGGGAAAGTATCACAAAGTAAAATTCCCACTAGTGAAGCTGCTACAATTCCATGAAAGAGTCTGTGGTCAGAAATGCTGTTATCAAACAAACAAAAATAAATAAATGAACGAAGTGCTGTTATCAGAGATCAGAAAGCTTCATAATGCGTAGAGAGGTTTTCCAGCTGGGCGCGGTGGCTCATGCCTGTAATCCCAGCACTTTAGGAGGCCGAGGGGGGCGGATCACAAGATCAAGAGATCAAGACCAGCCTGGCCAACATGGTGAAACCCCGTCTCCACTAAAAATACAAAAATTGGTTGGGCGCGGTGGCTCATGCCTGTAATCCCAGCACTTTGGGAGGCTGAGGCGGGTGGATCATGAGGTCAGGAGATCAAGACCATCCTGGCTAACATAGTGAAACCCCATCTCTACTAAAAATACAAAAAATTAGCCGGGCGTGGTGGTGGGCACCTGTGGTCCCAGCTACTAGGAAGGCTGAGGCAGGAGAATGGCGTGAACCTGGGAGGCGGAGGTTGCAGTGAGCCTAGATTGCGCCACTGCACTCCAGCCTGGGTGACAGAGCAAGACTCCATCTCAAAAAAAAAAAAAAAAAAAAATTAGCTCGGCGTGGTGGCATGCACCTATAGTTCCAGCTACTTGGGAGGCTGAGACAGGAGAATCACTTGAACCCAGGAGGCAGAGGTTGCAGTGAGCTGAGATCTCGCCACTGCACTCCAGCCTGGCAACAGAGTGAGACTCTGTCTCAGAAAAAAAAAAAAAAAAAAAAAAAAGAGAGAGATGTTTTCCAGGATGGTAGACAAGGTGATCTGTAATTTGAAGATAGCTCTGAATATCACCTAAATAAGTAATGTTCCTGAGCAGGAAAAACAGGCCCTTCAAGCTGGGTAGCAAGCAGGTAAGAGAAGGGGAATGTGGAAAGGAACGGGGAGCAGGCAGAGGCCTGGTGTACCCATCCTGGAGAGGCAGGCTCCAGATGTTGGAGGGCAAAAGATGCCTCGTTCTCCTCTAGCAGCGTCGCAGCTGGATCCAGACCAGTTCCAGTTTGTCCTCCCAGAAGAGCAGGGGTCCATCTGGGGACAGGCCCAGCCCCTCTCCTTCTGACATGTCCCCCAGGTGGCTCTGGAGGTCTAAATCAGACAAGCTTTCAGGAACCCTATTGGCAAACACATCCCTGCACCTGCTGACCAAAGACCAAAAGGTGAACAGACAGGGCAAGAGGGAGAGACAGCACATGGGTTTCCCAGCCAGTCTTCTGGAAAGGCAGATTTACACAGGTCTATCCTGTTGACCATCGATGGCCCTGTGGGCAAAGAGTGGTGCATAGAGAGGAATCTTTTTTCCACACATCTATGCTTTCAACCAGCTCAGCAGGAATGTGCCCACACAGACATGTGACTCACACCAGCAGGTTTCTCATGTATTTTTGAGACTTAAAATAATGCTAACTTCAGACCAGGCGTGGTGGCTCGCGCTTTTAATCCCAGCACTTTGAGAGGCCGAGGTGGGTGGATCGTCTGACGTCCGGAGTTTGAGACCAGCCTGGCCAACATGGTGAAACTCCGTCTCTACTAAAAATACAAAAATTAGCTGGGCGTGGTGGCACAGGCCTGTAATCACAACTACCCAGGAAGCAAAGGCTTGAACCAGGAGGTGGAGGTTGCAGTGAGCCAAGATCGCGCCACTGCACTCCAGCCTGGGTGACAGAGTGAGACTGCATCTCAAAAAAAATAAATAAATAAAAATAAATGCTAACTTCAATAGAAAAGAACTTCATTCTCAAATGTTAGAATTGAGAGTTTGCTTCATTGTGCTATTTTCATGGAGGAAAAAAATAATATTTATTCATTTTTTTCTGATCATGAAAGCAATGAAAGTTTATTGGATAAACAGCTGGAAACTCAGAAATATAGTAACAATAACACTAAAGGACGGGCGCAGTGGCTCATGCCTGTAATCCCAGCTCTTTGGGAGGCCAAGGTGGATGGATCACTTGAGGCCAGGAGTTCGAGACCAGCCTGGCCAACATGATGAAGCACCGTCTCTACCAAAAATACAAAAATTAGCTGGGCGTGGTGGTGGGTGCCTGTGGTTCTAGTTACTTGGGAGGCTGAGGCACGAGAATTGCTTGAACGTGGGAGGTGGAAGTTGCAGTGAGCCAAGATCGTGTCACTGCACTCTAGCCTGGGCAACAGAGTGAGACCCTGTCTCAAAATAAATAAATAAGAAGAACACTGAAATTGCTCACAAGCTGGCTATTCCTTCATTCAAATGTGTAGAGAGCTCCTTCTCACTGGCAGGTCTACTCTGGGCTATGGCGGTGAACTCTACTCTGGTGAACACAACCAGAAAGGCCTTTGTTCCTGTGCTGCTGACATGCCAGTGGGGGAAGCAGACAAGAGGCGATTCCATGGGCATAAAGTATGTCAGGTCGTCACAACGCCATGAAGAAGAATACACAGGGCAAGAGGGACAGACACACTACTTGAGCTGGGCGTTCCCTATTTGGAGGGTCAGGTGAGATTCCAGAAAGAAGCAGAGTGAAATTTTGGATGTTTTTCCTTCCAAGCTTTCAATTAAATATTAACGTTCTTATTATCAGTCACAAATTTTTAGATGAAACTACTTTAAAAAAAAAGTCTTTCTTAGAAAAGCAACACCTTTAGCCAGGCATGATGGCACATACCTGTAGTTCCAGCTACTCGGGAGGCTGAGGTGGGAGGATCGCTTGAGCCTGGGAGGTTGAGGCTGCAATGAGCTATGGGCACCACTGCACTAGACAACAAAAGCAAGACTCTGTCTCAAAAAAAAAAAAAAAGAAAAATAAAGAAAAGTAATACTTGTTCATTGTAGAAGACCTGGAAGTGGTAGAAAATCTGGAAGGGAAAGGGAGAGAGAAGATAAATCTCCCACAATGGCACCAGCATAGGATAATCCCTCCAGATGTGTTGGTACATCTCCCTCCTCGTACCTTTCTCGATTGCTAAACTCACACGGTATTTACACGACTGAATCCTGCTTTTCTTAACCCCTATCATAAGCATTACCCCATGTTTGTCAGAGTTTTGAAAGACAAAGTACAAGAGGCCACTGTTTCCCTTCCGCGTGGGAAAAGGCCTTCACAGAAGCCCAGGCACCATGCTCCCCTGTCTGGCTGCCTGGGTGCCGCCCTGTCTGGGAAGACCCTGGGCCTTCATTCAACCTGTCATTGAGAGAGCTTCAGACAAGTGATAAGTCCCAGATCCCCAGAAGTGAAACCCCAGGCAGAGGGACCACTTTGTGTCAGACCCAAAGGGAGATGAGGTTGCAGCAGAGCCAATGGAGTATTTGTTTCAGAAGTAGAGGCGAGGGAGGGTACACACCCCCAGGAGAGTCAGGTAAGAACCAAAGAGGAAGAAGAAATAGGTAGCAGGAATGCATGTTTCGAGAGTCAGAGTTGACAGCCCCTCTATCTCAGAGTCTGAGGCAGCCCCAGACTTCCCCCTCAAACTCCTACAGCAGAGATGCCATTGTCTCCGGGAGCCTGCAAGGGCCCTGCTTCCTGTCTCCGGAAGCAAAAGCAAACTGGTGTCCTTTCCACCCTCACCTGCAGCCTCTCTGCCCTCAGCCATTTCCCCCTGGGTCTGGGCCTCCTCCTTTTTGCTTCCTATCCTTATTGGAGCATCATTCTGGACCTATAACCACGTACACTCACTCCCAACCCTACCAATCAGGTCATTAGAGAGTTTGTTTTATTTTATTTTATTTTTTGAGATGGAGTTTCACTCTCGTTGCCCAGGCTGGAGTGCAATGGTGCGATCTCAACTCACTGCAACCTCTGCCTCCCGGGTTCAAGCAATTCTCTTGCCTCCGCCTCCTGAGTAGCTGGGATTACAGGCACACACCACTATGCTTGGCTAATTTTTGTATTTTTAGTAGAGACAGGGTTTCACCATATTGGTCAGGCTGGTCTCGAACCCCTGACCTCAGATGATCCACCCGCCTCGGCCTCCCAAAGTGCTGGGATTACAGGCATGAGCCAGCCAAGAGTTTTACAAGCAAAATATTTCTCTTCAAAAATCTTCCAGCATGTCTACTGTATTTAAGACTATACCAAACCCTATGAAGGGTTTGGTTCTCTATGAAAGCCAGATCCTGTTGGCCAAAGGTGTCAGGGGCTTCCTCACAATCTGCACTCATATCTTGCACGTTTCACCAAGATCCAAATGGTCTGGTACTTGGAGCAATCTTTGTTCATGCACCTACAAAGTCTTGCTACTTTCTAGCTGTGTGTCAGTAAGCAAATTACTTGCCCTTTCTGAGCACCTGGTTTTCTTACCTGAAAAAAAAAAGGTGGGGGAATAATAATTTGCACCTCTTAGGGTTGTGTAAGGATCAAGAGGCGCACTGCCTGTGAAGTGCCAGCATATAGTCAGTGCTCAACAAACAGGGGACATTGTCATCCATACTGTCTTATGACCAAGAAACTTCTGGGTTGGCCAACATAAGATTTTTTTGCCTGCCTTGAAAACTTTTCCACCCAAGACAAAGGTCACGTACTCAGATGCCTTCAGGCCGGTCAGGTAAGATAAATAAGAGAAGAGGGTGTGGTAGAAATTAGGCAAACTGGAGAGGAGCCCAGGCTGCTTGATCTCTGGCAGGAATGCAAGGCTCGAGTTCAGATCTTCTGATTTTTCTCCTCTAAGGAAAGCCATAAATCTGGATTTTTTTTGTGTGTAAAATGACTGGATCTTTTAAAATGTGGCAGTAAGTCCTTTTGCTAAAAAACAGATGCAGACAAAACCAATGTGTAGAGCTTTGCAGGGAATGGCAGGTTGGTGTGCTGAAAGATGACTCGTTATAAAATGATGTTTACATGGAGAGTAGTGGGGGTCTGCATGAGGGGAGGACAGGGGTGTGGGGCACAAAATGGGGGTGGGCTTTGGAGTTTGTATCTTGTGTGTGGCCTCAGGAGTGGGTGACTGAAGTGAGTCAATCCCCCAGAGATGAGGGGCCTCAAGAACAGGGAAGCCAGCATGGGGCTTTCTCAACAAGGACATGGGAAGTGCCCTGAGCTGCCAGGGAAAACCATGGAATTCATGCCAAAATCTTTAGTGGGCAAGCGAGGTGACCCAGCGACAGATACGGGAGGACCGGAAGGTAGGAGACTGGGGAGCACAAGCTTCGAAGGGAAAGCAGGGGTTACGATGCTACCTCAGAGAGGGGCTTTGCAATCTGCATGGAATGATTGTGCAAAAGGCTTACCACCAGCCTGGCGCACACAGATGCTCAACAAATATCAATTCAAGTAATTTATTGATTTTCACAATAAATACTTCCTGGGGGTATACTATGTGCCAGATACTAGGGGCGAGCAAGATCCCAGGGTTCCTTCATTGAGGGAACAGAGAGGGCAGTGGAGAAGCCAGGTGAGTTAACGAGCACTTGCAGGACAGTGTGGTAAGGACGATGGGCCATACACAGAGCCAGGGGACGGAGAGAGCCTCCTGGAACCCAACGAGCAAATAGGACAAGCATGTGAAAACGGAGTTGGACTACTGTCCCGACAGGGGAAAGGTTCTGGAAGCTGGAGGCTGTGAATCAGCAGAGCAATGGAGGAGCTGAAAAAAATGCGGCAGAGCTGTCTCCCAGCTGACAGGGGTAGCACGCAGGAGCTTCCCAGGAGTGAGGTTTCTCCCAGGACCTAGGAGATTCCATAGGAGGGTTTAAGTAGAAAAATGCCCCTTAACCAGCATTTATATCACCCAACTGTGTGCCAAGCACTCTGCAAATGACTATAAAATTATAGGCACACTTAATTCATGTAATCCTTCTTCTCCCCCTCCCCCTTTCTCCTTCTCCTTCTCCTTCTCCTTCTCCTTCTTCTTCTTCTTCTTCTTTTTGAGATGGAGTCTTGCTCTGTTGCCCAGGCTGGAGTGCAGTGGCATGATCTCAGCTCACTGCAAACTCTGCCTCCTGGATTCAAGCAATTCTCCTGCCTCAGCCTCCCGAGTAGCTAGGACTACTTGGAAGAATAAGGGAAGGTCTAATAGCCAAGACATAAAAACAAATTTAGGCAAGCTGTGATTTAAAAAAAAAAGTCAATAAGGCATCTCAAAAATTTTGTAATGGAAATAAAAAATTAAGCAGATGAGCTGACAACAAAATAATCACAATTTGTAAGAATTACTGAGCTAGGAAGTGAGTAGGATGATATATTCAAAGCACTGAAAGAAAAAACTGCCAACCAAGACTACTATACCTGACAAAACTGTCCTACAAAAATGAAAGAGAAATAAAGACTACCAGACAAATAAAAGCTGAGAGAGTTCATCACTAGACCTGCCTTACAAGAAATACTAAAGGAAGTTCTTCAAGTTGAAATGAAAGTATGCTAAATAGCCACACAATATTAAAAGAAAGTGTGAAACTCACTAGTAAAGGTAAATGTATAGACAAATATAGAATACTGTAATACTGTAATGGTGATGGAGAAATCACTTTTAATTCTCCTATACAAGTTAAAAGAAAAAAGATGGAAAATAACTATAACTGGCCAGGCATGGTGGCTCATGCCTACAATCCCAACACTTTGGGAGGCCAAGGCGGGCAGATCACTTGAGGTCAGAAGTTCGAAACCAGCCTGGCCAACATGTTGAAACCCCACCTCCACTAAAAGGATAAAAAATTAGCCAAGCATGGTGGCACATGCCTGTAATCCCAGCTACTGGGAAGGCCAAGGCAGGAGAATCGCTTGAACCCCAGAGACAGAGGTTGCAGTGAGCTGAGATCACACCACTGTACTCCAGCCTGGACCACAGAGCAAGACTCTGTCAAAAAAAAAAAAAAAAAAAAAGAAGAAGAAGAAAGAAAAGAAAAGAACTATAACCAAAAATATATTAAAATATACTCTTAATCCATTTACTGTTGCTATAACTGAATACCTGAGACAGGGTAATCTATAAATGAAAGAAGTTTATTGTTTAAAGTTCTAGAGTTGGGGAAGTCCAAGGTCAAGGGACCACATCTGGTGGAGGCCTTCTTGCTGGTGGGGACACCCTGCATAATCCCAAGACAGTACAGGACATCACATGGTGAGGGGGCTGAGAGCGCTAGCTCAGGTCTCTCTTCCTCTGCTTATAAAGCCACCAGTTCCACTTCTGTGATAATCTATTTACCCATTAATCCATTAATCCAATAATGGATTAATCCACTCATGAGGGTAGGGCCTTCATGATCCAATCACCTCTTAAAGGCCCCACCTCTCAATACTGCCACACTGGGGATTAGGTTTCAACATGAGTTTCTGATGGCACAAATATTCAAGTCTTGGCATATGCACAGAATTAAGAGATATAAATTATGACAATAATATAAAGTGTGATGGGGGTAGAAGTTAAAGTGTAAAGCTTTTGTACATGATTAAACTTAAATTATCAGCTTAAAATAAACTGTCATAACTATAAAATATTTTACCTAAGCCCCAAGGTAACTACAAAATAAATACCTATAGAAGTTACACAAGGGCCAGGCATAGTGGCTCACCCCTGTAATCCTAGCACTTTGGGAGGCCGAGGCAGGTGGATCACCTGAGGTCAGGAGTTTGAGACCAGCCTGGCCAACATGGTAAACCCCCACCTCTACTAAAAATACAAAAATTAGCTGGGCATGGTGGCGCATGCCTGTAATCCCAGCTACTTAGAAGGCTGAGGCAGGAGAATCACTTGAACCCAGAGGGCAGAGGTTGCAGTGAGCCGAGATTGCCCCACTTCACTCCAGCCTGGGTGACACAGCGAGACTCCGTCTTCAAAAAAAAAAAGAAGAAGTTACACACACACACACATACACACACACAAAAGGAATCAAAGCATAGCAATACAAAAAAATAAAACACAAGGGAAGACAGCAAGGGGGAAAAGACAGAAAAAAACCCCACGAGGCTATCAGAAAACAACTAACAAAATGGCAATAGTAAATCCTTTTCTATCAATAATTACTTTAACTGTAAATGTCGGTATGTATCACTATACCCTCTTAGGACTGCTTTTGTTGCATCTCATAAGTTTCACAACTCAACTGACTGGGAAAAAAATGACAACCTAAGCCCAAAGTTAGCAGAAAGAAAGAAATACCAAAGATTAGGGCACAGATAAGATTGAAAAAAGAAAAACAATAGAAAAAAATCGGCCGGGCACGGTGGCTCACACCTGTAATCCCAGCACTTTAGGAGGCTGAGGTGGGCTGATCACCTGTGGTCAGCGGTTCAAGATCAGCCTGACCAACATGGCGAAATCCTATCTCTACTAAAAATACAAAATTAGCCGGGTGTGGTGGCGCATGCCTGTAATCCCAGCTACTTCGGAGGCTGAGGCAGGAGAATCACTTGAACCTGGGAGGCAAATGTTGCAGCGAGCCGAGATCGTGCCATTGCACCCCAGCCTGGGCAACAAAGCAAGACTCCGTCTCAAAAAAAAAAAAAAAAAAAAAAAAAGGAAAGAAAAGAAAAAAATGAACAAAACTAAGAATTAGCTTTTTGAAAAGATAAAGAAAATTGACAAATCTTTGGCTAGACTAACTCAGAAAAAAAGGTAAAACAGTTAAGTGAGATCAGAAAAGAAAGAGGAAACTGTAAAATTCCTAGAAGAAAACACTGAGGAAAATCTTTGTGACATGGATCTTTGCAATGATTTCACAGATATGACACCAAAATCACAGACAACAAAAGCAAATATAAAAAGTGGGACTACATCAAACTAAAAAGCTTCTGCATGGCAAAGAAAAGAATCAAGAATGAAAGGCAACCTATGAAATGAGAGGAAATATTTTCAAACCATATGACTGGTGAGGGGTTAATCTCTAAAAAGTATAAGGAGCCAGGCACGGTGGCTCACGCCTGTAATCCCAACACTTTGGGAGGCCGAGGCAGGAGGATCACCTGAGGTCAGGAGTTCCAGACCAGCCTGGCTAACATGGTGAAACCTCATCTCTACCAAAAATACAACATTAGCCAGGTGTGATGGTGCATACCTGTAATCCCAGCTACCAGGGAGTCTGAGGCAGGAGAATCATATGAACCCAGGAGACAGAGGTTGTAGTGAGCTGAGATTCCAGCCTGGGTGACAAGAGCGAAACTCTGTCTCAAAAATAAAATATAATAAAATAAAAAATATAGGGAACTTCTACAACTCAATAGTTTAGAAAAAACTAATAACCTGATTTTAAAATGGGCTAATGATTTGAATAGACATTTCTACGAAGAAGACATATAAATGGCCAACAAGTATATGAAAAAATGTTCAATCCCTAATTGAGCACTAATCATCACTAATCATCTGGGAAAGGCAAATCAAAACAGCAATAAGCTATCACCTCACACCTATGAGGATGGCTATTACCAAAAACATAAAAGACAAGTGTTGGCCGGGTGTGATGGCTCATGCCTGTAATCCCAGCACTTTGGGAGGCCAAGGTGGGCGGATCATGAGGTCAGGAGATCGAAACCATCCTGACGAACACAGTGAAACCCCGTCTCTACTAAAAATACAAAAAATTAGCTGGGCATGGTGGCGGGCGCTTGTAGTCCCAGCTCGGGAGGCTGAGGCAGGAGAATGGTGTGAACCTGGGAGGCGGAGCTTGCAGTGAGCCGAGATCATGCTACTGCACTCCAGCCTGGGTGACAGAGCGAGACTCTGTCTCAAAATAAAATAAAATAAAATAAAAAGACAAGTGTTAGTAAGGTTGTAGAAAAATCAGAACTCTTGCACACAGTTGATGGTAATGCAAAATGTTGCAGGTGCAGCCACTATGAAAAACAGTATGGAGGTTTCTCAAAATATTAGAACTAGAACCGCCATATAATCCAGCATCCTACTTCTGGATATTTACCCAGAGGAATTGAGATCGGGATCTTAAAGAGATATTAGCACTCTTACGTTCACTGCAGCACTATTCACAATAGGCAAGATGTAGAAACAACCTTAATGTCTATTGACAGATGAATATATGAGGAGAATGTGGTATATACATATAGTGAAATACTATTAAACCTTTAAAAAGAAGGACATTCTGGCCGGGCACAGTGGCTCACGCCTGTAATCCCAACACTTTGGGAGGCCGAGGCAGGTGGATCATGAGGTCAGGAGTTCGAGACCAGCCTGGACAATATGGTGAAACCCCATCTCTACTAAAAATACAAAAATTAGCCAGGCGTGGTGGCGCATGCCTGTAGTCCAAGCTACTCAGGAGGCTGAGGCAGAAGAATCACTTGAACCTGGAGGCGGAGGTTGCAGTGAGCCGAGATCACACCACTGCACTCCAGCCTGGGTGACAGAGTGAGACTCCATCTCAAAAAAAAAAAAAAAAAAAAAAAAAAGGACATTCTTCAATATGTGACAAAATGGATAAAGCTTGAGGACATTAGGCTAAGTGAAAAAAAATCCTGTCACAGGACAAACTGCATGATTCCACTTATATGAGATGTCTAAAATGGTGAAATTTATGGAATCTAAGAGTGGAATGGCAGTTACCAGGGACTGGGGACTTACTAACCAGTAGGCATCAGGGTTCAGTCAAGCGAGATGAATAAGCTCTAGAGATCTGCTGTGCAACATCGAATCTCTAGTCAACAGTTAGGTACTGCACACTTAGAAATTAGTTAAGGGGAGAGATCTAATATTAAGTCTTCTATGACAAATTTTTTCTTTTTTTAAAAAGAAGGAGGTTAGAAAACAAATTTTTTTTAAACAAATGGAGGTGGAGGTTAGACGGCCAGCGTGGTGGCTCACGTCTGTAATCCCAACACTTTGGGAGGCTGAAGCGGGTGGATCACCTGAGGTTGGGAGTTCAAGACCAGCCTGACCAATATGGAGAAACCCCGTCTCTACTAAATATACAAAATTAGCTGGGCATGATGGTGGGTGCCTGTAATCCCAGCTACTCGGGAGGCTGAGGCAGGAGAATCGCTTGAACTGGGGAGGCGGAGGTTGCAGTGAGCCGAGATCATGCCATCGCACTCCAGCCTGGATGACAAGAGCAAAAACTCCATCTCAAAAAAAAAAAATGTAGGTGAAGGATATGAACAGACACGTCTCAAAAGAAGACATTTATGCGGCCAACAAACATATGAAAAAAAGCTCATCATCACTGGTCATTAGAGAAATGCAAATCAAAACCACAATGAGATACCTTCTCATGCCAGTTAGAATGGCGATCATTAAAAAGTCTGGAAGCAACAGATGCTGGTGAGGATGTGAAGTAATAGGAAGGCTTTTACACTGTTGGTGGGAGTGTAAATTAGTTCAATCACTGTGGAAGACAGTGTGGAAATACCTCAAGGATCTAGAACCAGAAATACCATTTGACCCAGCAATCCCATTACTGGGTATATACCCAAAGGAATATGAATCATTCTACTATAAAGACACATGCACACATACTTTTTTGCAGCATTATTTACAATAGCAAAGACTTGGAACCAACCCAAATGCCCATCAATGATAGACTGGATAAAGAAAATGTGGTACATATACACCATGGAATACTATGCAGCCATAAAAAAGAATGAGCTCATGTCCTTTGCAGGGACCTGGATGAAGCTGTAAACCATCATCTTCAGCAAACTAACGCAGGAACAGAAAACCAAACACCACATTTTCTCACTCATAAGTGGGAGTTGAACAATGAGAACACATGGACACAGGGAGGGGAACATCACACACCACGGCCTGTTGGTGGGTGGGGGGAAAGGGGAGGGAGAGCATTAGGACAAATATCTAATGCATGTGGGGCTTAAAACCTAGATGATGGGTTGATAGGTGCAGCAAACCACCATGGCACATGTATACCTATGTAACAAACCTGCATGTTCTGCACATGTATCCCAGAACTTAAAGTAAAATTTAAAAAAAAAATGACCATATCATTTTGCATACCCTTGAGCAGTATTTCAGAGTTCCTGTGACCATTTCTTTGTATTGTTCATTTTTTAAATTATTATCTTGGACATTCTAATAAGCATATAGCTATGTGTGTGTGTGTGTGTGTGTGTGTATGTGTGTGTGTGTATATATGAGGTAGACCATTTCTTTCTTTTTTTTGAGATGGAGTCTCACTCTGTCACCCAGGCTGGAGTGCAGTGGTGCAATCTCGGCTTTCTACAACCTCTGCCTCCCAGGTTCAAGTGATTCTCCTGCCTCAGCCTCCTCAGTAGCTGGGATTACAGGCATGAGCCACAACACCTGGCTAATTTTTGTATTTTTAGTAGAGACAGGGTTTCACCATATCGGTCAGGATGGTCTCAAACTCCTGACCTTGTGATCTGCCCCCCTCGGCCTCACAAAGTGCTGGGATTACAGGCGTGAGCCACTGCGCCTGGCCGGCTTCATTTCTTCCTAACATCTTCACATAGACAGACAAAAGAGGGGACAAAGTCTTAACAAAAATGGTTTTGTAAACACAAACACTGACCAGTGACTATTTTAACAATATGATAAAAACAGTATTATAAAAGGAAAACAAAAAAGAGGTTAGATAAAAAGAATTACTGAGCTGGAAAATTGAGCTGAGAGACCCTTCTGGAATGCAGCATGAGAAAAGAAAAATATAAATTAATATATTTAAGAGATATGAAAAATACATTCTGAAGTTCCAACATCCCTCTAATGGATGTTCCAGAAGAAGAAAACAGAATAGAATTTTTTAAATGTTAAAGTTACAAAATAGAACAGCAAATAATATAATACTATGTTACCACCAATCAATACTGACAATTTATTGTTTTACTACATGTGCTTCAATTAATTTTTTTTTTTCATGAGACCGAGTCTCACTCTGTCACCCAGGCTGGAGTGCGGTAGCATGATCTCGGCTCACTGAAACCTCCACCTCCTGGGATCAAGCGATTCTCGTGCCTCAGCCTCCCATATAGCTGGGGTTACAGATGCACACCACCATGCCCAGCTAATTTTTGAGTTTTTAGTAGAGACAGGGCTTCACCATGTTGGCCAGGCTGGTCTCGAACTCCAGACCTCAGGTGATCCTCCTGCCTTGGCCTCCCAAAGTGCTGGGATTACAGGCATGAACCACTGTGCCCAGCTCAATTAATGTTTTAAAAGAAATAAAACATTACAAACAAGGCTAATGGTCTTACTGACCCCAATCTCCTCCCTTTCCCTTAGGGCAGCAACCACCATCATAAATTTGTATATACTTTTCCAATACAATACACAGTATAAGAATGTATATAATATATATGATGCCTTTGTATGTGGCTTTAAGTAATAACATACTGTATGTAGGGTTCTGCAACTAGCTATTTTCACTCAGCACTATAAGTTTTGGCTTTCTCCACATTTATAAACAGCCAGTTAATTTCTGCACACTGCTATAGAACATTTCACTGTACAACTAACTATACCACATTTTTATATAGTGCTTTATTTATAGATGGACTTATGCAGTAGTTCCAAATTTTTACCATCACGAAACAATGAAACAATATAATAATAGTACATATTGCCTTCTGCACATAGATGAAGGTTTCTCCAAGTGTATATCTAGAAAAATTACAAAATGATAGGATTTGCACATTTCCTATTTTACTAGATTCTGCCAAATTACTCTTCTATTTATACTTCCACGAGCAGTATACAGCTCTTCCTATTTTCCTTATCCTCACCAATACTTATTATTTTCAGACTTTTTAGCTTTTCCAATTTCATAGGTGAGAAATTATACCTCACTATAATTTTAATTTGCATGACCCTGATTTCTGCTAAGGCTGATTATCCTTCACGGTCTATTAGACATTTGGGACACTTTTTCTGTGAACTTCCTCTTTAACTCTTTTTTCTATTGCATTTATATAGTCTTTTCTCATACACAAGTTTTTAATTTTTATATAGTCAAATTTATCAACCTGACAAGCCATATATATATATAATGTGTATATATATATATAATGTATATATATATAATGTATATATATATAATGTGTATATATATATACACACACATTTTTTTTTTTTTTTTGAGACAGAGTCTTGCTCTGTCACCCAGGCTGGAGTGCAGTGGCCCCATCTCAGATCACCACAAGCTCCGCCTCCCAGGTTCACGCCATTCTCTTGCTTCAGCCTCCCGAGTAGCTGAGACTACAGGCGCCCACCACCACGTCCAGCTAATTTTTTGTATTTTTAGTAAAGATGGGGTTTCACCGTGTTAGTCTCGATCTCCTGACCTCATGATCCATCCGCCTCAGCCTCCCAAAGTGCTGGGATTACAGGCGTGAGCCACCACGCCTGGCCCGAGTGATATAGTTTTTAAAGAATAGATGAATAGGCCAGGCGTGCTGGCTCAAGGCTGTGATCCCAACACTTTGGGAAGCCAAGAAAGGAGAATCCCTTGAGGCCAGAAGTTCAAGACAAGCCTGGGCAACACAGCAAGACCTCATTTCTACAAAAAAAAAACAAAACGCTGGGTGTGGTGGCTTGTGCCTGTAATCCCAGCTACTTGGGAGGCTGAGGTGGGAGGATTGCTTGAGCCTGGGAGGTTGAGGCTGCAGTGACCCATGATGGCGCCACTGCACTCCAGCCTGGGTGACAGAGTGAGACCCATTCTCAAAAAACAAAAAGAATAAATGAATATTTCTCAAACCCAAAGAAAAATGCGAGTCTTTAGAATTGAGAGGGTGCACTTGATGTTAAGCAGGATGAATGCAATAAACATCCATTGAGATGCAGTGTAGTGAAATTTCAGAATATGATTGAGAGTTTTTTGTGTTTGAGGCACAGGTTGTGCTTGTTTTTGCAGTGAGGCCCAGAAGAGAGACAGTGAGCTCTCTGGGCACTGGGAAAATCTAGCAAGGAAACCAGGAAGGTCTTGAGCATTCACAGGTCTTGAGCTGTCGATCGTGGCTGCTTTACAACTCACCAGGCTCCTTGAGACATTCCTGGAAACAGAATTCTGGAGACTCATTATTCGGAGCACGGATGGAAACATTTTGTTGTTACTGCTGTTTTGTTTTGTCTAACACAATAACTAGCAATGGAGAGGTTGCAAAGCATTGTTTACATATTTGGATGAATCATTAGAAACTGCTATTTTTGTAGAGTAAAAAATGGTTGAATGTTAGGGATTTCTAGGGTTGAACCTAATAGATAATTTTATTACATACTCTTAACCCTATGAGATACACATTATTACTATCAACTGTTTTACAGATGACCAGCTAGTAGGGCAGAGAGCTTAAGTCTGTCCATGGGGCCACATGACTTCTAAGAGGCAGAAGCCAGCCTGCCTGGTTCCATCTCCTGGCCTGATTCTTGGGTAGCACTGCCGCTGTCTGGAACAGAGAAAAAAACATGGCATGTTCTTCTCTCTCTCAGGATAGTATCCATCAGGGAGGTTATCTGACTTCTTTGTTTTTGTTTTTGAGACGGAGTTTTGCTCTGTTGCCCAGGCTGGAGTGCAATGGCGCGATCTTGGCTCACAACAACCTCCGCCTCCCGGGTTCAAGTGATTCTCCTGCCTCAGCCTCCTGAGTAGCTAGGATTACAGGCTCCCACTGCCATGGCTAATTTTTGTATTTTTAGTAGGGACAGGGTTTCACCATGTTGGCCAGGCTGGTCTTGAGCTCCTGACCTCAGGTGATCTGCCCGCCTCAGCCTCCCAAAGTGCTGGGATTACAGGTGTGAGCCACCACACCCGGCCCATCTGACTTCTAGGGAAATTAGGCTCAAGATAATCAGTGGTAAGAAGTGGCGTTTGCTAAGAGAACTTGACCTTGATATTCAGACAAACATCCTTCAAGGAATAATCTATGAGCTAGAGAAAGAGTAGTCTGTGAACCAAAGACCATCAGGTGACTGGGGCAGTGAAACAAAGAGCTATTGCTGTGCGTGTCCCAGCTGCCAAGCTGCTGAGCCTTAAGTAACCAGTGTGCTATTTCTTTGCACCATAATTATTCAGAATAGGACACCCTCCCCAGCCTGGATGCCAATTTCAGCAGGCCTGAGATTTTTCTGCTCATGCTTAGAATAGTCTGTGGTTGCTTTTAGTTGCAAACGCAGTCTCAAGCCAGAAATTGGAACTTTAATGTGAGGTATTCATCAAAACTCTGAGCTTATTTTTACCTTACATCCTTCTCTCTTCCCCCAGCTTGTGCCTGGCCAGCTGGGAACCTCCAGTGGACACAATGGAGAGGGCTTTGTCTTCTCTCTCGTTCCACTTGGCCTCCCCGAGCCAGTTACCATAGAATTGGCTTCAGACTGTCTTGGCAGGCAGATGTTAAATTTTGCCTCTTTTTCATGGAGTGATTTTACACCCCCTCCACTCAAGTTACCGGCTGAGTGCCGCCTCAGCCTTTCTCCCAAAATCCTCTTTTATCTATGGATGTGTCTCAAGTCCAATCTCATTTCGGGTGGTCATCTGAGACCCCATCCTCAGCCCATGGGCATTCAGTTCCAACCTTCTCCCGCTAGGATCCCTCTACATAGACTCAAGACAGGGAGTCCTTGCAGGCTCTCTCTGCCACAGGACCTACGTCTGTTCAGAAGAAACTCTCCTGCCTCCCTACCCCAGAAAAAACTCTGAGGGTGCAGGCTGGTCCCAGTGAGGTGGCAGCAGCCCCACCAGAGCAGCTGGTGAGCCCTCCTGTCACCTTCCAGATTTCCCAGGTGAAACTAGACCCCAGGCCACCCCGCTCCCCAGTTGTAGGGGTCTCATGTTAGGCTCTGTTTTTTCTTTTTCTTTTTTGAGACGGAGTCTCACTCTGTCATCCGGGCTGGAGTGCAGTGGCGCAATCTCAGCTCACTGCAACCTCCGCCTCCTGGGTTCAAGTGATTCTCCTGCCTCAGCCTCCCGAGTAGCTGGGATTACAGGTGCCTGCCACCATGCCCAGCTGATTTTTTTATTTTTAGTAGAGATGGGGTTTCACCATGTTGGCCAGGCTGGTCTAGAATTCCTGACCTCATGATCCGCCTGGCTTGGCCTCCCAAAGTGCTGGGATTACAGGCGTGTGCCACCGCACCTAGCTAATTTTTGTATTTTTAGTACCGATGGGGTTTCACCATGTTGGCCAGGCTGGTCTCGAACTCCTGACCTCATGATCTGCCCGGCTTGGCCTCCCAAAGTGCTAGGATTACAGGTGTGAGCCACCACACCTGGCCTCATGTTAGACTCTTAAAGAAGCTGCCCCACAGACACTCACCCTTACCAAGTGTGAGGTAAGGGAGCAGGAGCTCACCTGTCCCCAGGATGGGACTCACAGCACAGCTTTCTTCAAGGACGTCCGCCATACAACATCCTCCCATCACCTGTCTGTCTACATTTTCAGTGTCTCAAAGTGGGAAAGGGGTTTCAAAGTCTTGGATCAGATTTTTTGGCATTTCCATAGAAAATCTTCCATAAGGTGACTCGGGCTCTCACTTTGGATCTTCACATCTATGGTGCATATTAGTGTCTAGTGGAAATTTTAAGGCCCTATTATTCTATTTATATGCATTGACCTTTTTATCTTCATAAGCTCAGACAACATTTTCCATTTTTAAGATGAGAATAATTCATCTCTGAGGGCCCAGAGAGGTAAGGCCAAGGTCACCCAACTGGCCAGTGATGAAGCTGGGATTCCAACCAGGTCTATCTGGCATCCTCTGGGAGGTGCATGCTCAAGCCCAAGAATCTGAGGACACATAGAGAAGTGTGTCTCTCGCTTGAGGGCCCAGACCCTGGGTGACTATGAGAGGCTCCGTGCTACTTAGAGCTGATCTATGTCAGCTCCTATGGCTTGTCATTGCCCACTTCCCCACAGGACACGTTCTGGGACCTAGTTTCAGAGAGCGGGCTGGGAAGACGAGATCGATAATTCTGCCCTTCTGGCAAGAGCCCCATCTGGATGTGACTTTCAGCTCAAAAGAGTGCGCCAGGACGGCTGACTCACCTGGTCTAGCATCCAAGCCAAACACTGGGAGGAAAGGGCTCAGTTCAGCCAAGACTGTGACTGCAGAAGAACGGGGATCCTGCGCTGGGATCCCAGCCATGCCCTCGCCTTGGTGTTTTCTCAGTCTGTGTGGGCCTCCTTTTCTCCATAACTTCTGCGAGCTATGGTAGCAAGGCATGCCAGGGCTTCCACAGGTGGTCCAGTGCCACACAGGAAGGTGTTGAGAGGTGCGAGATGGAGCAACTGACTCAGCTGGTCCCTGCAAGAGGGGGAGGATGTGGCACTGGCCAGCTCCCAAGATGGGCTGCGTTTGGTCTCCAGGGAGGTCCAGTCTGGTGGGCATTTCCAACATAAGCGGTTGGGCAAGAAGCCAGGGTCCATCCACAATGGAATGTCCACCAAACATCCTGATGCGCAGCAAACACTGAATGAAATGGAAAAAGATTTACAAGATTTACAATACATTATTAAGATTTACAATACATTATTAAGATTTACAATACATTATTAAGTGAAGGGCCTGGACAGCAGGAGCCCATCTTCATCAAAGCAGTGATCTTGCTTCTGGAGAACAGGCCTGAAAGGTAAAGGCGCAGCCTGGGTGCTTGGCTCCATCGATTCCTGTGGGTTCTTCGAAGGGTCAAAGAGGGTCCCAAGGCTGACCCACAGGTATGGGGGCAGGACAAAGTCCAGCCCCTTCCCCTTCTTGCAGTCATAGCCACTCACCTCCATCTCTCCTATATCCTCTCTCAGGGACCTGCGGGCTGGTCTTCTACATGCTCTAAACACAAAGGGAGTCTTCATACCCCACACCATTTTCCTCAGACAACTGGGCCACTCACTGGGCACCCATCTGCTACATGCTCCCCTCAGTGATGCCAGGAGGCCCTACTCCCACCCCACCCCCAGCTTCTGGGTCTGTTTATTTTGACTCTTAACCTCTCCATCAGAAGGAAGGACTGACCTCTCTCTGTTATGCATATACACTTGCATATGGATTCTTAAAGAAAGTTCTGGAAAGAGGCCTGGCATGGTGGCTCGTGCCTGTAATCCCAGAACTTTGGGAAGCCAAGGCGGGTGGATCACCTGAGGTCAGCAGTTCGAGACCAGCCTGTCCAACATTGTGAAACCCCATCTCTACTAAAAATACAAAATTAGCCCGTGTGGTGGCACGTGCCTGTAATCCCAGCTACTCGGGAGTCTGAGACAGGAGAATCGCTTGAACTGGGGAGGTGGAGGCTTCAGTGAGCCAGGATCTTGCCACTGCACTCCAGCGTGGGTAAGACAGAGCAAGACTCTATCTCGGAAAAAAAAAAGTTCTGGAAAGAAACACAGCAAAATGTTAAGAGTGGTTGTGACAAGGGATTGATATTAAAATACTCTTGTTTTCTTTTATCACTACCTGTGTTTTCTACAATAAATGTGTTCCTTCTCTACGTTACCAAAGAAATCAAACCCATTGCCCTGAACTGCCTCAAATTCCTACTGCTTTCTCCCCCTCCCTCCCTGAAGTCCACAACCGTCTCTGAACCCACATCCATCCCTCCCTCTAGAATCAGAGCCTGAGGCAAACTCTCCATCTGTGTTCTCACTGCCTCTCACCGTGTCCTTGCTCTACCTGCTATGTAAAACTCATCTCCGAATACATCGCAGAGTTGTCAGGAGTAAGACTTGTGAATTCTTCATGTAGTACCTTATCAATACAAAGAGCTCGGCTGGGCACAGTGGCTCATGCCTGTAATCCCAGCACTTTGGGAGGCCGAGGTGGGCAGATCACCTGAGGTCAGGAGTTCAAGACCAGCCTGGCCAACATGGTGAAACCCCATCTCTACTAAAAAAAAATACAAAAATTAGCCGGGCATGGTGGTGTGCACCTGTAGTCCCAGCTACTTGGGAAGCTGAGGCAGGAGAATCGCTTGAACCCGGGAGGCAGAGGCTGCAGTGAGCCAAGATCACACCACTGCACTCCAGCCTGGGTGACAGGGTGAGACTTCATCTCAAAAAAAAAAAAGAAAAAGAAAAGAGAAAGAGCTCAATACATGGTAATGATGGTAATTACTTCACTTCTCAGTGCCTCTGTTTCCTCAACTGTAAAATTAGGTGATTACAGCACCTACCTCATAGGATTGTTAGAAAGAATAAATGAGGCTGGGTGCTGTGGCTCACGCCTGTAATTCCAGCACTTTGGGAGGCTGAGGCAGGTAGATTGCTTGAGGTCAGGAGTTTGAGACCAGCCTGGCCAACATAGTGAAACCCTGTCTCTACTAAACATACAAAAATTAAGCCGGGCGCGGTGGCTCACGCCTGTAATCCCAGCACTTTCGGAGGCCAAGGTGGGCAGATCACCTGAGGTCGGGAGTTCGAGACCAGCCTGACCAACATGGAGAAACCCTGTCTCTACTAAAAATACAATATCAGTTGGGCGTGGTGGCACATGCCTGTAATCTCAGCTACTTGGGAAGCTGAAGCGGGAGAATCACTTGAACCCAGGAGGCAGAGGTTGTGGTGAGCTGAGATGGCACCATTGCACTCCAGTCTGGGCAACAAGAGTGAAGCCTCTGTCTCAAAAAAAAATTAATAATAATACAAAAATTAGCCAGGCATGGTGGCAGGCACCTGTAATCCCAGCTACTCAGGAGGCTGAGGCACAAGAATCCCTTGACCTTGGAGGCAGAGGTTGCAGTGAGCTGAGATTGAACCACTGCACTCCAGTCTGGGCAACAGAGCAAGATTCTGTCTCAAAAAAAAAAAAGATTAAATGAGCCAAATGTATGTTAAGTACTTAGAAAAGCTCTCAGCACATAGAAGGGGCTCTGTAAGTGTTTGCTAGCACCAGTATTAGCAGGACTAATCAGTATTGCTGGTATTTGTACATTCTTCCATTTCCTCCAAAACCTTATTCATCCATTATCTCCCCTTTCTCCCACAATTTTTTTTTTTTTTAGAGATAGGGGTCTCACTGTGTTGCCCAGGTTGGTCCCAAACTCCTGGCCTCAAGTGATTCTCCTGGTTTGGCCTCACAAAGTGCTGGGATTACAGGCATGAGCCACCATACCTGGCCTCTCCCACAATTAAATCTGTCTTCAGATTCCTTCTCTTAGTTTATTGAGTCAACTATTTCCTATCCCCCAAATCCACCCCATGATCTCATCGGCCAACCTGTCTCCACCCCTCAAGGCTAGGCATCTGAAAAAAAGTGGGTTTCGAGATTCAGTCTAGCACATTTACTTGGATTTAGCTCACCACCACTGATGACACAGCACAACCTGTTTCTCCTCCCACTTCTCTAATGAAACTCTTCCAGCAAAGGCCACAAGTGACCGCCATTTGCCAAATTCAAAGGACACTTCAGTTTTTATATTTCTTGATCTTTTTTCCTTATCTGACCCCACTGAACTCACTCTCTCCTGAAGCTTTCTTTCCTTGCCTCTCCTGTTCTTCTCCTACTTCTTTGGATTCTCATCTCAGCCTCCTCACCTGAGTTATTTCCCTCTGCCCAGTCCTTACATGTTGATGCTCCCCACGACTCTGTCAGCAGCCTCCTCCTCTCCTCATCCTCCCCACTCTCCCTGGAGAAGCTTATGGATTACCATGCTACTTATCACCTTTCTCCTATAACAATAGAGTTTCCATTTCTAGCCCCAGCTTCTCTCGCAAGCACTAGACCCACATATCCTAGTACAAGCTGGATGTTTACACCTGGAGGTCTCACAGCCCTGTCTAAAATTAGACTGCACTTATCCTCCTAAACGTGCATGTCCTTCTGGGCTCCCTACCTAGATGGTGATGCCATCAACGCCATCCTTCTACTGGGAGGCTCACAAAACATCCTGGACTTCTTCCTCTAATCATGCCTGAAGTCCAGCTGAGCTAATTTCCCTACCTTTGCTTAAACCCATCTGCTTCTTTCCATACAAGTCCATGTCAGATGCAGGCAGTCAAAGAATTGTCTCAGAGTTCATATCCATCCTCCTCCTTTCCTTCTTTCTTTTGCATTTCCCTCTTTCTCCATTCACTCAGTCAGTCAACAAACACAGGTTGAACATCTATACCATGCTAGGCCCTAGAAATATAAAGAGCAAAAAAAGACAATGCCCCTAAGGTCAGGGAGTTCACAATATAGCAGGACAGGGATGTCAAGAACCCTAGAATCATGAAATTTGCACACACAAGGAGCTCAGAGGCCATTCTTTCTTAACTAAGTTACATAAATCTGGATTGTTATTCCTTTTACAATATTTCAAACAAAAAAGTAAAGACACTAACATATCTGACACCCAAGCACCCAACACCCAGCTCTATGGAATTCTGACATTTATCTTTCTCCTGTATGTTTATACTATATAAAATATATGTAACTACATACCCATTACGTTTTCAAACTATATATAAAATGTATCACATTCTGTATGTCATTTTACAAAGTGATACAAAGTGATTTTTTGCTCAACTTTATGTTTTTGAGGTTAGCCACATTTGGATTTCTTCCTTTCCAATTCTTATACCATTTTTCTTATATTATTGCATAGGCTAGGTTCTCCAATGTGGAAAAGACGTGATGAGAACAGCCATCCTTGTTTTACTCCTGAGTTTAAAAGAATGCTTCTGGGCTGGGCGTGGTGGCTCACACCTGTAATCCCAGCACTTCAGAAGGCCAAGGCAGGCAGATCACCTGAGGTCAGGAGTTCAAGACCAGCCTGGCCAATGTGGTGAAACCCCATCTCTACTAAAAATACAAAAACTAGCCAGGTTTGGTGGTGGGTGCCTGTGGTCTCAGCTACTCAGGAGGCTGAGGCAGGAGAATCACTTGAACCCAGGAGGCAAAAGTTACAGTGAGCTGAGATGGCACCACTGCACTCCAGCCTGGGCGACAGAGCAAGACTACATCTCAAAAAAAAAAAAAAAAAAAAGATTTGTGCCATTTGAGTTTGTTTGCTGGTGATTTTTGGTAGATAACCCTTATCATGTTCAAAAAGCTTCCTTTTATTCCAAATTTGGTTAAGTTTTACCATGAATGGATATAATTTTTTATCACATGAATTTTCTGCATCTATTAAGATGATCAATATTTTCTCCTTTAATTTTTTAATATGGTGAGTAGTATTCATAAATTAAGTTAAACATTCTTACATTCTAGTATTAAACTCTAAAAATAGGCTAGTTAATTCATTTTGCTCATATTTTATTTATGACTTTTGTATTTATGTTCATAAGTGAGTGTATCAGTTCTCTATTACTATTGAAATAACAATAACTGATTGAAACAACAATAAAATATGCTGGGAGTGGTGACACATACCTCTAGTCCCAGCTACTCAGGTGGCTGAGGCAGGAGGATCGCTTGCACCCAGGAGGTCAAGGCTGCAGTGAGCCACGATTGTGCCACTGCACTCCAGCCTGGGCGACAGAGTGAGATCCTATCTCAAAAATAATAACAATAATAACAATAATAAACAGGTGGAAGCTGCAATGTCTGTCATCACTTAAGCTGAGATGTCACACACCATTATTTTCTGCACCACCCTACCGGTTACACAGATCAGCCCTATTCATTGTGGAAAGGTGTGACACAAGGGCATGAGCACCAGGAGGTGAGGATCACTGGGGCCAGACCAGAAGCTGGCTCCCACATAAGCCCTGCAGAGTTATTTGAGTTCTAAAAAAACATGAATATGTATATCTTTAATAAAAATGAGAAGTTTAAATGAGTTTTTGGCCAGTCATGGTGGCTCATGCCTGTAAATCCCAGCACTTTGGGAGGCCGAGGAGGGTGGATCACCTGAGGTCAGAAGTTCAAGAACAGCCTGACAAACATGGTGAAACCCCATCTCTACTAAAAATGCAAAAATTAGGCCAGGCACTGTGGCTCACGCCTGTAATGCCAGCACTTTGGGAGGCCAAGGCGGGCGGATCACGAGGTCAGGAGTTTGAGACCATCCTGGCCAACATGGTGAAACCCCGTCTATACTAAAAATACAAAAATTAGCTGGGCATGGTGGTGCGTGCCTATAGTCCCAGCTACTCGGGAGGCTGAGACAGGAGAATTCCTTGAACCCAGGAGGCGGAGGTTGCAGTGAGCCGAGATAGCACCACTGCACTCCTGCCTGGAGACAGAGCAAGACATCGTCTCAAAAAAACAAAAAAAAAAAAAGCAAAAATTAGCCAGGCCTGTCCCAGCCACTCAGGAGGCCAAGGCATGAGAATTGCTTGAACTCGGGAGGCAGAGGTTGCAGTGAGCCGAGATCACAAAACTGCACACCAGCCTGGGTGACAGAGACTCGGTCTCAAAAATAAATAAATAAAAAATAAAGGAGTTTCTGTTGTAGTCAACACTCATTTAAATTTATCAACATGTTTTATCTATTTCTATGCTTAACAGTGTTTCATGTGCTCTCCCCTTTTTTTCTGGTTCATTTTTCTTCCTGAAGTGTATAACCTATAATAATTCTTTAAATGAGGGGCTGCACTTTACATGTATCGAAACGCCCCTTTTGTCTTAAATTTCCACTGTAAGTTAGCTGGGCATAAAAATCCAATTGGCACTTTGAAGATACTACCCCCTCATCCCCAGCCTCAGTCTTTGCTGAGGTCCAGAAATTACTTTTTAAGTAATCTGTCTTTTTCTCAGGTCCATGGTAAGGTTTTATTCTCTTTGCCCTTGATGTTCTGCAATTTCCCCAAGGAAATTTCTCAGCTACTATTTCCTCATGTATTTTTCACTGCCATTCCCTTTATTCTCTTCCTCTGAAACTCCTATTAGACATACATAGCCCTTCATGCAAGCTGTCCTTCATATCTCATAACTGCTTTTATATTTTTTAATCTTTGTGTATTGTATTCATGTTAATTCCTAAGTAATGTCTTCTAACTCAATAATTCTCTTTTTGCATCATTTATTCTGTCTACTGAGCTTTCTTTTAATGAACAAACTTTCTATTTCTAAGATTTCTAATTGATTCTTTTCACATCTACTTGTTCTAGTTTCATTTTGATCTGCCTTCATTTATGTCTTGTTAATTTCCAATGGATATTAAGCCTTCATTTGCCATTTTTGGCATCCTAAACATTTTTAATTCTTTGTAAGACTTTCACAAAATTAATTTAATCTGCAGTGAACTCATATTCCACATGGTGATTCTGTTGACTGCTTTTCTTTCTTGCTTTTTTTTTTTTCTAAAGATGGGATTTCACTATGTTGGCCAGGCTGGTCTTGAACTCCTGACCCCAGGTGATCCTCCCACCTTCACCTCCCAAAGTGCTGGGATTACAGGCACGAGCCACCACGCCCGGCCTTGTTGACTGTTTTTCTTACCATTGTTTCTCATCTATTTTGGCTTACAACTTTACAGTGAGTTGGAGGGTTTTCCACCTTGTTTTTACATCTGTTTTTCACTCTGTCTCTAACTATCCTGAGCTAGGACCTCAGGCCCAGTTGAGGTCTTACAATAGCATTGCAGGGCTCTACTCTGTTGTGGCATGAGGACACCACAGCTACAAGCACGTAGCCAGAGGGTGGCTTGGCTCAGCATCTAGTCAAGAGTCTGTCCTCATCTTCCCACAACTCAAGCCCCAAGCTATTTGTGGACAGCTGGCTTCCTCACTCCATCCCCGCCACCCCCGATTCTTTTCACAAGCAGAGGGAACCTTCCCCGAGCCCTGGCTTCCAGACACCTGGCTGTTGGCCCCTTTGTAGCATGGAGCACTTTAACTCCCTTACCAGGAGCTCTGTGTCTGGCAGCTACTGCTGTTTCCAGACCCCGAGGCCAGCAGGCCCCTGGCCCCAGTCACCAATTTGCATTTCTGATCTGCTTGTGGTACACAGAGATAGCCATTTTGGTTGGGGCCCAACTATGTCCTTTTGTTTATCATTTTTTCTATTTTATTCCTGATTGCTGTGTGTTTGGAACAGAGAGAGGAGGCCACAGCGTGAGCCCACTCTGCCGTCTTGGCTGGAAGTCCAGCACTGAATTGTGAGGCTGCCGTACCTGTAGAAAGTCCCATGTCTGCTTTCATTCAGGTAAAAGAGGAGAGATGGTTTCATTAAAATCCAATAGGCATTTTTTTTTTTTAAAGATGGAGTCTCACTCTGTTGCCCATGCTGGAGTGCAGTGGTGGGATCTTGGCTCACTGCAGCCTCCATCTCCCAGGTTCAAGCGATTCTCCTGCCTCAGCCTCCCAAGTAGCTGTGACGACAGGCATGCGCCACTACACCTGGCTAAGTTTTGTATTTTTAGTAGAGACAGGGTCTCACCATGTTGGCCACGCTGGTCTTGAATTCCTGACCTCAAATGATTTGCCCACCTTGGCCTCCCAAAGTGCTGAGATTACAGGTGTGAGCCACTGTCCCCAGCCCACTCAGGGGCTTTTATGCTTCACTATGAATTTCCTCTCAGGATAACAGACTGAGCCCGTGTGTTCCCCAGTCACACACACACACACACACACACACACACACACACACACGCTGAGGGTTATTCTTTGAAAGGGGAGGCCACGTCTGGGGGCGGTGGCTCACGCCTGTAATCTCAGCACTTCGGGAGGCCGAGGTGGGTGGATCACCTGAGGTCAGCAGTTCAAGACCAGCCTGGCCAACATGGTGAAACCCCGTCTCTACTAAAAATACAAAAATTAGCTGGGCGTGGTGGCGCATGCCTGTAATCCCAGCTACTTGGGAGGCTGAGGCAGGAGAATCGCTTGAACCTGGGAGGCAGAGGTTGCAGTGAGCCGAGACTGTGCCATTGCACTCTAGCCTGGGCAACAGAGTGAGACTCCATCTCAAAAAAAAAAAAAAAAAGAAAAAGAAAGAAAGAAAGAAAAGAAAGGGGCAGCCACGGGATGCAGACAAGGCCTGATCGCCACCACTCCTCCCTCCTCAGAGCAGAGCTGGGCCTGTGGGTAACCATGGGTAGCAGCTGGTGCTGGGTACCACGGAAGGCACGTGTGGGGTGAGGCTCCCCTTCAAACCGTTCCCAGGGGAGCGCCTCCCCCTGGTGGCCATCAGAGGAAGCAGCGGTGCTCTCTGCCAAGGACAAGGCCGCAAGGAGTGAAGATTTTCCACACACAGCCAATCGTGCAGACCTGGGACCTGTGGTCATGACACCGGCAGCCTAAAGGTCCTACTTAAATAGGGCCCAGGGCAGAATTCTGTCTATGATCTCCCCTGCTGTGCCGGGACACAGCCCACTCTGCTCAGGACTGTGTAGAGGCGGCTCCCTCCTGCCTGGCCCTTCTGAGCCTCAGAACATTGACTCCAGAGACCACTGGGTCCATAGATTCTTTGGATGGATTTTTAAACTTGAATGTCCAGACCCTTCTTGAGGCCACACAGAGGACTGAGGGAGGGCAGTCTGTGTAGGGGTCCAGGACATGGGTTTGAGGATTAGATAGACCTGAGTCCAAATCCCACTTGCCACTTGTTAGCTGTGTATCTCTAGGCAAGTTACTTAACCTCTTTGTGCCTCTGTTTCTTCATCTGTAAAATAAAGATAATAGTTGTATATACCTTAAGGGGTTGCTGTGAGAATAGAGCCAGATAACCAGGTCCCTCCTCCCTCTCCGCCCCCCGCCCATGGCCCCTGTTTTGGAGGTGCCTGGGCTCTTACTGCCTCTTCCTCTGCCCTTCCTGGAAACTGCGGGCTTCCATCAGCCTCCTCTGGGCCTTGGGCGACAGGGATGGGGGTCTTTTTTTTTTTTTTTTTTTTTTTTTGAGACAGAGTCAGTCTGTCACCCAAGCTGGAATGTGGTGGTGCGATCTTGGCTTGCTGCAATCTCTGCCTCCTGGGTTCAAGTGATTCTCCCGTCTCAGCCTCCAGAGTGGCTGGGACTACAGGCGTGTGCCACTATGCCTGGCTAATTTTTGTATTTTTAGTAAAGGTGGGATTTCACCATGTTGGCCAAGCTGGTCTCAAACTCCTGACCTCAGGTGATCCGCCCGCCTTGGCCTCCCAAAGTGCTGGGATTACATGCGTGAGCCACCGCTCCTGGTTGGGGGCATTTTTTGAGGAGGAGCCAGGCCCAGATGGAGTCACACTGCAGAGGCCTCACATGGGGGCCAAAGTCCTCAGGCCCTGAAGGTGTCCCAGAGAATCACAAACTCACAAACATACCCTCTGGCTGCTGGGGCCTGGGCTTCTCCTGTTTAATGATTTCCCACCCAGTGGCCCACAGGTCCTATACTCTCAGGGAACACACACAGAATTCTGGAGCCCCTGCCAGAGGCACAGTTCAAACACAGCAGAGCTGGGCCTGCAGCTGGTCTGTCAGTCACACTAAAGTTATGGCGCACCTGCTCTGTATTTAGCACTGGGGCTTCTAAGGGAAGGGATGTGTCTCTGCCTTCAAGGCATTCGCAGCACAGTGGGGAGACTGGCTGCAGAGCCCCCTGACATGACTCACAGGAGCCGCTCTAGTGAGACTCTGCAGGCACAGCCCGGGCCCAGATCAGGGTCCGCCCAGGAGAGTCAGGGACGGCACCCAGAAGAGGGGCTTCTGGCTGGGCACTTGAATGTGGAGTAAGAATTTGCCAGGCAGACAGACTTGATCGATTCATTCGATACGTTTTCATTCGACACCTGCCACCCTCCCTGCAGCTGCTGTTCTATGCACTAAGGATTCAGTGGTGAAGAAGAGTAAAGCAGTTCTTGCTGTCCAGACCTTGGCCTGGCACTCACTGCAGGCCCATGGTGCTCTCCTGTTGAACATAAACAGTTTCACAGAACATCAACATCAGACAAGGCCACTCTGTGGCTGTGATGGAACTAGACAGAAACAAGCCCAAACCCTACAAGTTCTTTCTGACACCCCCTCACTGATACGCCCACAGTGCCCCATGGCGTGCGTTCCCCTTCACTGCAACCAGCCATAAACCCCAAGTGCTCCACTATAGGTGGGATCCTGGTGGTCTTCGGGTGGAGGGCAATTGACAGTGATGGCTGAGAGGTAGGATTTGAGTGGAAATGTGGAGATTGAATGAAATGAAGGGCAAGCCATGCGGAAACGTCAGGGCGGAACATTCCAGGCAGACGGAACAGTCATCGTAAAGGCTCTGAGGATGGAATATGACAGGCAGATTTGAAACCTGCAAATATGCCAACCTAGCTGGAGCAGAAAAGGCAGAGCAGGTATTCCAGGCAGAGGGAAAAGACTGTGAAAACCTAATGTGAAGGAAAGTAGGCCCCTGCTGACACGTATGGGTAGTTCTGTGCAGTTGAAATAGAAAGTTAGGCCAGGCTCGGTGGCTCACGCATATAATCCCAGCACTTTGGGAGGCCAAGGCAGGCAGATCACCTGAGGTCAGGAACTCGAGAGCAGCCTGACCTATATGGTAAAACCCCGTCTCTACTAAAAACACAAAAATTAGCTGGGCATGGTGGCAGGCGCCTGTAGTCCCAGCTACTCGGGAGGCTGAGACAGGAGAATTGCTTGAACCCAGGGGGCGGAGGTTGCAGTGAGCCAAGATAGTGCCACAGCACTCCAGCCTGGGTGACAGAGAGAGACTCCCATCTCAAAAAAAAAAAAGAAAAAAAAAAAAGAAAGCTAATGTCATTTGTTTTGGAGAAGAAGGATGAGTACACAGGAAATATGCAATTAAGAGCCTTCATTGCCTCTCCTCAGAGATTCTTAGCAAAATCACCAAGAACCCAAATGCTCTGCCGGAGCCACCCATGATGGCATTTTCCTTTGATGTGGTAATAGAGTAAGCTGATCAATAGCCTCGGTAGTGAGGCCTACCGAAGGGAAATGCACTTGTTCGGGACAATTCCTTCATGTTATCACTAAGAGGGAAGAGAAAACAGATGGCAGTGCTCCTCACTTTCGGGTGACCCTGCCAGCCCACCCCACGGTTTTGCGTCTTCATGATCCATCTAGGGGAAAGCCTGCCCCTTTGGTTTAGGTCTAATAGGATTACCTAGGCCAAGTATCTGTGTGGTCCGATGTGATTTAGTAGTGAGAGAGATTGAATACATTTCATCACCAGCTGCAATTTATGCCCCGGAAAGAATACAAAAAAGAGTCTGCCTTCTAGTTGCTGGCAACATAAACTGGAAATTCCCTGCAGAGGCTCAAGGCTGCAGGTGTGAAGGAAGACACACACACACACACACACATATACACATACACCACACGCACATACATATACCCACACACCACACACACACATACATATACCCACACACCACACACACGCCACACACACACATATACACACACACCACACACACATACATATACCCACACACCACACACACACATACATATACCCACACACCACACACACGCCACACACACATACACACATGTGCGCCACAAACACACATGCCACACACACCACACACATACACACGTCACACACATACACACACACGCCACACACACACACATATACCACAAGCCACACACACACTCATGCCACACACACCACACACATGCCACACATACACGCGCGTGCCACAAACACACACTCACCACACACACCCCACACACACATACACGCCACACACACACATATACACACACATGCCACACACACACACACACACACACACACACACCCCACACCGGCATTGAGCTTTAACCCAAACCAAACCCAGTCATCTCAGGGTTCCTAACTGCTCAGCAATTACAGTTTCCCAGCGAGAAAGAACTAAAGGTCATGCAAGGTGATAGCTAAGCATTGTTCTAGCGTTGCCATTTAATAGGGGAAAAAAGTAAACGTTTTGAGTCTGTCCGTTTCTAGGTGTCCTGAAATTTGTTTCATTAAAATTAATAGAATCAAGTACAGTCTAGTCCAGGAGAGGAGTGAGCCCTGATTTAGGGCATAGCCCAAAAACGCCATTCACAAGGCTTCTATATTTTATCCTACTGCCAATGGGGCACCATGGAAGTATTTTGAACGGGAGGAAGACATAATCAGATTGAAATGCTAGAAGGATCTCTCCAGTAGCTTAACAGTGGTGGACTGGGCACGTACATTTATCCTCACTCCTTTCTGAAATTCTTTTTTTTTTTTTTAAGACAAAAAAATCCATAAGGAAAAAGAGAACTGAAGAGACATCGATAGCAACATTTTGAAACTGGAAAGCAGCTAGAAAAATGGCAACCAACGTATTAGAACCAAGAAAGCTCAATCCTGAACCATGAGGGAAGTAAACAGCCAATTTTCTTTAGACCCCAGACCCACAAATGGTTCAGGTATTGGTGGCACCAGGTCCTCTGAAAGCAGGGAAGAGGAGGCCGGTAAAGATGGAGCCAAAAACAGGACAACTGGGGATTGGCTCCTCCCCCCACCTCATCTTCTCCTGCTCCTTCACAGACTTGGGTGTTTTTCTTCTAAAAAAGTAAAATCGGGGGTCTCTGAACTAGCACATCAAGCAGAGTGAGGGCAGGGCCACCACACCAAAAATGGGATCAAACAGGAGTTACAAGTCGAAGACAGAAATATGCCCTGTCCCCAGCCTCTTCCCTGTCTTCTCCCCAACACTGGCAGCCAGGTCCCTAATCCCTGCCAGGACTGGAAGAGCCATCTGCAGGAACCTGACTAGCCCACAAAGAAAGCCCTAAAGACTCTGACATCCACACTCCTCATTAAGAAGCCTGGCCCAGCCCAGACCATTCTGCAGCAAAGCTTGCAACGAAGCATCCTCCCTTCATCCTCACATACACACTCAGGTAAGCAGGAAAGCAATCAGCTCTGTGAGTGGAAAGTGGTTGCCTATAGGAAGCAGTAAATTGGGGTGAGTGGGGGAGGGGTTGAAGAGGAAGGATGGGAAGAGGCTACTGTTTTTGGTAAAAAGTCATCTTGAGTTACTTGACTCTTTAAACTAGAACTGACTGGGCGTGGTGGCTCACACTGTAATCCCAGCACTTTGGGAGACCAAAGCAGGGGGATCACCTGAGGTCAGGAGTTCGAGACCAGCCTGGCCAAGATGGTGAAACCCCATCTCTACTAAAAATACAAAAATTAGCTGGGCGCGGTGGTGGACGCCTGTAATCCCAGCTACTAGGGAGGCTGAGGCAGGAGAATCACTTGAACCTGGGCGGTGGAGGTTGCAGTGAGCCAAGATTGTGCCATTGCACTCCAGCCTGGGTAACAGAGTGAGACCCTGTCTCAAAAAAGCAAAACAAAACAAAAAACTAGATGCATTTAAAGCTGTCATAAAAAAAAATAGATACCAAATGGAAAGAGAAAAATGTCTAGAAGAGATGGGGAGAGGGAGCACCATCAGAGCAAGAGGAATGAGGAACCTATTGCAGTGGTCCAGGACAGAGACCGCAAGGCCTCAACTGAGGCAGGGGCAATAGGAGGAAGAGGAGGTGGAAGTCAGAATAGCTCTGTGATGGTGAAGGTTATGCTTGAGCTTGACTGAGCTAAGAGGTGCCCAGATAGCTAAGAAAACATTACTGCTGGGTGTGCCTGTGAGGGTGTTTCTAAAAGAGATTAGCACTGGAATTAGTAGACTAAGCACGGAAGACCACCCTCACTAAGGTGGGTGGGTGTCATCCCCAGGGCCCAAATAGAACAAAAAGGTGGAAGAAGAACACATTTTCTTCCTCTCTCCTCTTGAGCTGGGACATCTTCCCCCACCCTCAGACATCAGAGCTCTTGGTTCTCAGATAGCTGAACTCAGACCTAATTACATCTCCAGCATTTCTGGGTCTCCAGCTTGCAGAGAGCAGACGGTGGGACTTCTTGACCTCCCACCTCCCTAATCACATGATCCAAGTCCCGTAATACGTAGTATATCTAATAATAGCTTGTACGGCCGGGCACAGTGGCTCACGCCTGTAATCCCAGCACTTTGGGAGGCTGAGGCGGGCAGATCACAAGGTCAGGAGTTCGAGACCAGCCTGGCCAATATGGTGAAACCCCATCTCTACTAAAAATACAAAAATTAGCCGGGAGTGATGGCACGCACCTGTAGTCCCAGCTACTCAGGAGGCTGAGGCAGGAGAATCGCTTGAACCTGAAAGATGGAGGTCGCAGTGAGCCAAGATCATACCACCACACTCCAGCCTGGGTGACAGAGCAAGACTCCATCTCAAATAATTAATAATAATAATAATAGGATGTACATATGTACCTCCTATTGGTCCTATTTCTCCGGAGAACCTTGGCAAATGCAAGCTCCATATATATGAGGCAGAACTGGCTGGACATAGTGACTAACTGACTGTGGGGGTGAAGGACGGGGGGACTCAAGGACGAGTCCCTGGCTTACAGCCTGGACACCTGGCTAGGGCTGTTCACCTGGTTTCAAAAGAGACTGACCCGTATGTCTCTTCCCACCAATCTCTTCCTCCTGACTTGTGACTTTTCCTTCCCCACGCCAGGTCTCTTATGCCATGACACACTTCTTGTCCCCCGTGTCTACCTGGTGCATGGGGCCAGGCCAGCATGCAGGCACAGGATGCAGAGCCTTGGGTCCCAAGGGCGGGAAGTGACCATTCCCTCAAGGCCAGAATGGATGGAACTGCCACAGGGGTGGCGGGTAGGGGCCTATGGTCTCTCCAGTACTGCCCAGGGCAAAAGCACTCCTAGGATCTGCAGGCCCTGGGCAAATACATTTCGTGGGCTCCTGTCAACATGAACAATTTCATTTTATAATGTATTACAAAAAGTCATGAGTCCACAGGAGTGATACAGATTGATTGAAGAGGTCCTTTTGTATTTGTTTATTGTCCAGTCAATGAACATGAAGATTCCTCAGAATGTACAGGACCCATCTTTTCCTGTTGAGTCCAGGAACCATCTCTTCACATTTGTTATTTAATTAATTAATTAATTTATTTATTTATTTTTTTGAGATGGAGTCTCGCTCTGTTGCCCAGGCTGGAGTGCAATGGCGTGATCTCAGCTCACTGCAACCTCCGCCTCCCGGGTTCAAGAGATTCTCGTGCCTCAGCCTCCCAAGTAGCTGGGATTATAGACGCACATCACCACGCCCAGCTAATTTTTGTATTTTTAGTGGAAATGGGGTTTCACCATGTTGGCCAGGCTGGTCTCGAACTCCCGACCTCAGGTGATCCGCCGCCTTGGCCTCCCAAAGTGCTGGGATTACAGGCGTGAGCCACCACGCCCGGCCCCGTCTCTTCACATTTGTTATGATCAAATTTGTCATTCCTGACTAACTTCATAAATCTCAGGTAGCAAGACAGTAATTATCCACAATGTCATTGCTTTAGAAAACCTGTTTATATTGAAACAATATAGACCTTTTTGCCTCTGCAATTCCTTAACACCATGTATTTAAGGCTGGTTGCATCATAATTCCACACTGCATCATCCGCAGTGCAGCCCCTGAGGACTGGCTTCCAGTGGCTCTCTCAAAGGTGGTGATGGTGATTCCTCGATAATGATTACCAAGGCAAGTCTCACCCAGAGTATGCAAAAAAAAAAAAAAAGAGCAATTCTTTGTGTTCTGATTATATTAAATGTATCATTTAGAATTGTAGAGCATAAACATAAAACAGCACATCACCCAAACATGACTGCTCTAGAACTCTTCAGGCCATAATTGCCGAATCCCTAGAATGTGATCTTTCTCCCCGCTGACCCCCTACAGCTCCACACACCACCAGCAGGAAGGATCGGCCAGGGGGCCCATGGACAGAGAGAACAGTCTCCTTGGTTCTCACATAACTGTCAAGGCAAGCAGGACATCCATGGGAAGGCCCCTTGGTGTTGTGAGCCAGTGCTGAGGGCCCTCGGAGGAGATAGGTGGGCCACCCTCAGAGGACTGCCTGACGTGGTGTGGAGACCACAGAAGGGCTGGGCTGGCCGCCCTAGTGCCATTGACAAAGTGAGGAGGGCTCACGGGTACACTCGAGTACTGTCGACCTGAGGCAGCACTGTGGCTGGAGTGCAGTGGGAGGGCTGATGCCTAGGCACACTCACAATCAAGCCAAGAGTTGGTAGTGGACCATCTGCAGCCCAGAACCTTGAACTCATCCTGTGTCTGACAAATTAAGGTGGACCAAACTCACATGATCCCACAAAAGAAATACTGTGCGTGCCAACGGGAGCAATTCAATCACCAGGCTTCCCTCCTGGAATAGGCATACGTGCTGGAGCTCCTCAGGGCATCAGATTGACCTCACACCCTGAGTAGGGGGCAGAGAACACCACAAAGGAGAGAAACAGGGCCTGGGCAGACTCATGTCTGCCAGGAGGGCAGCTCTGGCTGGCCTCTGTCATCAGAGAAATGTTTGAGGAACAGGCTTCTAGAAACCATGACCCACACAGACCGTCCAGGCACTGGGCACCCAGCCCAGCTAGCACTGTCGGCCCAGCCCAGACATCCAAGAAGGGTTTAGAACATTGCAAGGAAGGCACTCCAAAGTACTGGGCCCTCTGAGGCCCAGCCCTGGGCACGGACCTGCTCTCCCACATCTGAGTGTGGTATCAGCCCACAGAGACAGGTAACTCCCAGCCATCCTCTCAGCCCTGAGCTTTGGAGGCCCCTGGTTATTCTAGCGCAGATATGTATGATATTCAGGGCCCTCCACAAGCCGCCCCGGGCCTGCCTGTCCAGTTTTATCCTCCCACTCCATATTCCTCCTCCAGCCCCACTGAATCCACACTCTCCTCAGGGCCCTGGGTCCTTCCGTCCACTTGCAGTGTCTGCGTGTAGGGGTCCTCCAAGGCTCAGCTCAAGACCCACTTCCTCTATGAGATCTGCCCTAATTCCCCTAGCTGGGAGCATGTCTCCCTCCGTGATCTCCAGGGGCCCCACTGCTCCTCACATCGCTCCGCGTCATCGGAGTTTTCTGCATACTTCAAGTCTCTCTGACTAAATGATAATGCAGGCCAGGCGCGGTGGCTCATGCCTGTAATCCCAGCACTTTGGGAGGCCAAGGCGGGCGGATCACGAGGTCAGGAGATCGAGACCATCCTGATTAACACGGTGAAACCCCGTCTCTACTAAAAATACAAAAAATTTGCCGGGTGTGGTGAGCGCCTGTAGTCCCAGCTAATCGGGAGGCTGAGGCAGGAGAATGGCTTGAACCCGGGAGGCGGAGCTTGCAGTGAGCCGAGATCGCGCCACTGCACTCCATCCAGCCTGGGCAACAGAGCGAGACTCCGCCTCAAAAAAAAAGAATGCAAAGTCTGTCCAGAGCAGAGCCTTGATTAGAGCAAAGGGTGGATAGGGGGAGCCCAGGGAAGGAGCAGAAAGGCCCAGAGTAGGAGACAGGAGGCAGGGGGCCCAGAGCAAAAGGCAGATCCTGACATCTTCAGGGCAAGAGAAACTAAGGAATCAGTGGCACTGTATCACGGCCGCCCACGCAAAAATATGCAAAGTGACGCTTAAGAAATCCCTCCAGGAGGCCTGTCTGGCTCAGAACAGTCCTCTTTCTCTCTCTGTGATCCCTCCCGACCTACACTTCCACACCTCCACAAAGGTGGGCCCCTGGCAGCCATCATATTCCTGTGTGATTCCATTCTCTAAGCAAATTCCTTCTCTGGGAATTTGGGACTCAAACACAACCAGCAAGTCTCTGAGCATGGGTGGGACTGGGTATCTAGAAACTGCCAGGCAGTGGACACACCCTTCTGGACTTGGAAAAGCAGCAAAGACCTGCATTCAAAAACAAGGGACTGGCCAGGCATGGTGGCTCACACCTGTAATCCCAGCACTTTGGGAGGCTGAGGCAGGTGGATCACTTGAGGTCAGGAGTTCGAGAACAGCCTTGCCAACATGTTGAAACACCATCGCTACTAAAAATACAAAAATTAGCCAGGCGTGATGGTGCACGCCTGTAATCCCAGCTACTCAAGAGGCTGAGACAAGAGAATCGCTTGAACCGGGAAGCAGAGGTTGTGGTCAACTGAGATTGCGCCACTGCACTCCAGCCTGGGCGACAGAGTGAGAGTTCATCTCAAACAAACAAACAAATAAAAAGAAGGGACTGTAGCAGATGAGCCAAGATAAATGGTATTGTTCAGGCCTTATTCAGAAACAAGTGGTAGAAACCCAGATCCAATCAGCTTGAGCAAAAAAGAATGACTTGAGCTTACCAGCTGCTAAGTAGGTGTGGTATTGCCTTGTTCCTCTCTCCACTTCCTTACCCTACTTGGATTTAGTTATTGCCCCATTGTAATTATAAAAGCCTTCAGAAGGGCCAGACTCTATCACCAGCTAGGGAAATGAGAACTCCTTCCATGCTGTCCATGGGCCTATCCCAAGGAAGACTCGGACGCTCGGAGCACGCTTCAGCCCTGAGTTAATAAGTGGGCCAAAGAACACCCCGATGTCTGTGAGAATCTGCAGGTTGGGGGGGGTGGAAACTCTGTGATTGACAGTCCCCAGGGCCACGTGGACTGGGAGAGGAATCCCCAAAGCGGGACAGAGTGGGGAAAACATGAGGAGCGGTCAACAAATCCATTGTCCTCAGTCCTGTTCAGAGACAGCTTCCTGACTCCTGGTTCCAGCCTCAGAAGGCCAAGCGCCCCACGTTCTTCAAACCCCCTCCATCATCTGAGTACATTTTCCTTTTTGGTTAATCTTATTAGGGATGATTTCTGTTATTTGTGACCAAAAGAGCATGATAACCCCAATCATGCATATCTATAACAGCAGAGGAAGAGTCTAGGTAGTTATACCAAAATCAACAGTAGTTATTCCTGGGTATTAAGATTTTAGATTTTCATTTTCTTCTTTGTACTTTTTAAAAATTTTTATTTATTTTTTAATTTTATTTTATTCATTTATTTATTTTTTGAGAGAAGTCTCGCTCTTGTCCCCCAGGCTGGAGTGCAACGGCACAATCTTAGCTCACTTCAACCTCTGCCTCCCGGGTTCAAGTGATTCGCCTGCCTCAGCCTCCCAAGTAGCTGGGATTACAGGCGCCTGCCACCAGGCCCAGCTAATTTTTGTATTTTCAGTCGAGACGGCATTTCACCATGTTGGCCAGGCTGGTCTCGAACTCCTGACCTCAGGTGATCTGCCCGCCTCAGCCTCCCAAAGTGCTGGGATTACAGGCGTGAGCCACCGTGCCCTGCCTCTTCTATGCTTTTAAAGTTTTTCCCGGCCTGGTGCTGTGGCTTAACGCCTGTAATCCCACCACTCTGGGAGGCCGAGGAGGGCGGATCACCTCAGGTCGGAGTTCAAGACCAGCCTGACCAACATGGAGAAACCCCGTCTCTACTAAAAATACAAAATTAGCCGGGCGTGGTGGGGCATGCCTGTAATCCCAGCTACTCGGGAGGCTGAAGCAGGAGAATTGCTTGAACCCGGGAGGCAGAGATTGTGGTGAGCCGATATTGTGCCATTGCACTCCAGCCTCGGCAACAAGAGCAAAACTCCGTCTCAAAAAAAAAAAAAAAAATTCCCAGATTACGTTTATTTTACTTTGATTATGCAAGTACTAAGTATTTGGTATAGCAAAAACTATAAGAAAAACAACAGCAGTTTTCAGCAAGAATCCTGGCACTCGGAGACCATGATGACTGACATTTTGACTTCTTACCTTACCACCCCCCCACCCCCCGCACCCCACTCACACAGTGGCCAGTGGAGTTAAGCGACACCACCCTGTAGACACCCTTGTGCCAACTAAGTTGTCACAAAATGCTTGGAGACATTAAGAGATGTGTTTTGTGCCCGACGGAAAACAGCTTGAACCCTAATCACATTGAGGTTCACTCAGGCACAGGCAGCGATAATGCTCCAGTGGGTGTGGGTGGGGGTGGGGGATAGAGGCCCAGTGGAGGCCTGTAACATGTGCGGTGACTGTACCCCAAGAAAGAAATCACCACGCATGAGGAAGTGGGCCAGACTCAGCACCTCGGAGTGACAGTCAGGGACAGCAGAACAATCAGGGTGCTCTGGGAGGCTGCTCCTGAATCCTCCAAACTCACCTCCCTCCTGGAAGGCAAAGATCTGAGCTTAAGGGGCAGGAGGTGGGGGGAGCAATTATCTCATGAGGAATCCACTCAGCCACATTCCCTTGGAATACTACTTAACTTCTGTGTACCTTGTTTTCCTCATCTGCAACATAGGGATGGGATGGCAATGCTAACAACCTCCTACGATCAATCCTCCTACGCTCCTACTGAGGACCACGTGTATGTTACGCTCTCATCACAGTGCTGTCAGTTCGGGATACTCAGCACATGGTCATGATGGTGATGATGAAGGAGGAGGAGGCGTGCCTCACTGTAAAAGGCTGCAGAGTAAAACCCAGTGGGAGGCGGGGGAGGACCACCATTAGGAGCTCAAGCAATTCTGCTATGAAACACACACACCCACTTCCCCCTTAAAAAGCTAAACGGAACTAGGAAGACCGTGGGTCCCAGAAGTCTGGGGAGAGTTCTAGGTAGTGGTGAAAGAGTGAGCATTGCCCCACAACCCAAGGACCAAGGATGAGGGTGGGCCGTCATCCCCACATGAGCAGCAGGCACCGAGGGCCAGAGTGACAGATGCTTGTCAGAGGTGCAGGAGGTGGCCAGAGACTGGTAGTCAGAGATGACCAGCAAACAGCAGGGACAGAGGTGCAGGCAGGGATTGGGAGACAGCGGCCGATGGAGCAAAGGATGGTGAAACTAGCAACTGAGAAGAAGGACCTCCGTTGATCCAGGGCATTGCTCTAATTTAAACGAACCCCCATCACTATTTCCACTCTCATCCCTGACTGCAGGGCACCTGCAGAAGCACAGCAAGGGGAAAGGCTTTGGCCTTACCTTCTGGCAGTTGACAGCAATTGCCCCAGCACACTGCAGAGACAGATAAGCAGCTTACCCAGAACCCACAAGTGTGTGGGGCTTAGGAGGCTTCCGCAGGAGATTCCTGAGGCTGCTGGTACCACCACAGAACAATCTTTCTTCTCATGGACACAAATAATAGATTATGATCACGGCTTTTTTTCCTTTTTTTTTTTTTTTCTTTTTTAGACGGAGTCTTGCTCTGTCGCCAAGGCTGGTGTGCAGTGGCATGAACTCGGCTAACTGCAACCTCCACCTCCCAGGTTCAAGCAATTCTCCTGCCTCAGCCTCCCGAGTAGCTAGGACTACAGGGATGTGCCAGCACATCTCACTAATTTTTTTTTTATTTTTAGTACAGATGGGGTTTCACCATGTTGGCCAGATGGTCTCAAACTCCTGACCTCAAGTGATCCACCCACCTTGGCCTCCCAAAGTGCTGGGATTACAGGCATGAGCCACCGCGCCCGGCAGACCATGGCTTTTAAGCAAGGTATAGCAAAGTCACTGCACCCTCCCTGGCTGGTTGCTCTGAGGGAAAGTTCTGCACCAAGGAAGGGCCAGTCACAGCCCTGCCCAGGCCTCTAAGGCCTGCCTGCATCCTATCCTCCACCTGCATCACAGTCTCCGGGGAGCTTTTTAAAACTGTCGCTGCCCAGACCCCATTCCTGGAGATTCTGGTTTAGGAACAGAGCATCATTCTCTTGTAAAAGCTCCCAGGCCAGAACCACTCCTCTACATCCTCTGTACCTTGCAGATCTCACGAAAATCTACAGTGAAGCAGCTACAACTTGCTAGAGAGCGCTGTGGACTAGACGAGGCCCCATGAATCCTTCCTCAAGGGGACCTGGATCCTGGGCACTGAGTCTGCGGACCCTTGGACAGCTGACCTCTCCCTTAAAGCTGAAATGACCCGTCAAATCCATGTTCCACAAGTCCCTTCCTTTGAATCCCAGCTCAGCCACTTACTAACAGTGTTTTTTTGCACATCTTATCTAATCTCTCTAAGCCTCAGTCTCCTCTTCTATAAAGTGGGAGTGATAGTACCTACCCCAGAGCATTATGAATGAAATTAAGAATGCAAACTGGGGCAGGAGAATCACTTGAACCCGGGAGGCAGATGTTGCGGTAAGCTGAGATCATCCCACTGCACAATCACAGGCTCATGCCTGTAATCTCAGCACTTTGGGAGCCTGAGGCAGGAGGATCACTTGAACCAGGGAGGTCAAGACTGCAGTGAGCCATGATCACACCACTGCACTCCAGCCTAGGTGACAAAACAAGACCCTGTCTCTAAAAGTAAATAAATAAACAAATAATAAACATAAATTAAGAATTCATGTCACAGAATAAAGAGGTTTTACCCCACATACCCAGGTGGGTCATTCTCAGAGTAAATTTATGTTTATGTTTAAGAAGTACATTTTGTCAGGCATGGTTTCTCACACCTGTAATTTCAACACTTTGGAAGGCCAAGGCAGGAGGATCACTTGAGTCTAAGAGTTCAAGACCAGCCTGGGCAACATAGTGAGACCCCCCCCCCATCTTTACAAAAAATTAAAAAAATAGCCAGGCATGGCGGCATACACCTGTGCACCTGTAGTCCCAGCTACTTGGGAGGCTGAGGTGGAAGGATCACTTGAGCCCAGTAGGTCGAAGCTGCGGTGAGCTGTGGTGGTGCCACTACAGTCCAGCCTGGAAGACAGAGTGAGACCCTGGCTCCAAAAAAAAAGAAGTACATTTTGGTAGCTCCTGATAGGATCCAGTGAAAAACACAGAGCACTTCTATAGGCTATTCCTGTCACACACTTGAACCAGAATCCAATGAAGACTGTATTTAACTTTCAGTTTACAGGAAACATGGGGGATGAGGGAACAAATTAAATGACACTGTGAGTAGGGAACAAATATATCTAAGCGGTAGATCATTCTCTAGAGACAAATTAGCCAGTGTCTCCAACAAATCAATGGCATGAAATAAAGAGGGGGAGAAACTATAACAGAATGAAAGGATTTGAGAACCATCGTGAGAACAAAAGATGCAGTTTGACAGCCAAAGGCACTTAAAGAAAAATTCCAAAATTAAACACAGAATTACCATATGATCCAGCAATTCCACTTCTAAATATCTATCCAAAGAATGGAAAGCAGGGACTCGAATAGATACTTGTACACTAGTGTTCAAAGCAGCATTATTCACAATAGCCAAAAGGTGGAAACAACCCAAATGTTCCTCGACAGATGAATCGAGAAACAAAACGTGGACTATACCGTCAGCCCTCTCCGTACCCACGATTTCCCACCCAGGGATGCAAGCAACCACAGATCAAAAATATTTGAAGACAGCCAGGCGCGGTGGCCCACACCTGTAATCCCAGCACCTTGGGAGGCCACAGCGGGCAGATGACTTGAAGTCAGGAGTACAAGACCAGCCTGGCCAACATAGTGAAACCCTGTCTCTACTAAAACTATAAAAATTATCCAGGCATGGTGGCACATGCCTGTAATCCCAGCTACTCAGGAGGCTGGGACGGGAGAATAGCTTGAACCTGGGAGGCAGAGGCTGCAGTGAGCTGAGATTGTGCCGTTGCACTCTAGCCTTGGCGACAGAGTGAGACTCCATCTCAAAAAAAAAAATAAATAAATAAAAATAAGTATATGTATTGAAGACAAAATAAAATGAAAAAGTAACAATATAACAATAAATAAATAATGATACAGCATAATAATTTACATAGTTTTACAATGTATTAGGTACTATAAGTAGAGAGGATTTAAAGTATATGGAGGATAGGTGTAGGTTATATGCAAATACTGTGCCATTTTATATCAGAGACTTGAACATCCTTGGATTTTGACATCTTCGGGGATCCTGGAACCAATCCCTCATGGATACTAAGGAATGACTGTACATATAATGGAATATTATTTAGCCTTAAAAAGGAATGAGATTCTGATGCATATTACTACATGAATGAACCTCGAAAATATTATGCTAAGCGAAATAAACTCAACACAAATGACAAATATTGTATGATTCTACTTATATAAGATGTCTAGGATAGAGAATAAGCAAATGTGTAGAGACAGAAAGTAGAATCAAGGTTATAGAGGTTACCAGGGGCTGGAGGAGGTAGGGTGAGAAGTTATTATTTAATGGGTACAGAGTTTCTGTTTGGATCTCGGCTCACTGCAACCTCCGCCTCCCGGGTTCAAGCAATTCTCTGCCTCAGCCTCCCAAGTAGCTGGGATTACAGGCACCCACCACCACACCCAGCTAATTTTTGTATTTTTAGTAGAGACGGAGTTTCACCATCTTGGCCATGCTAGTCTTGAACTCCTGACCTCATGATCCACCCACCTCGGCCTCCCAAAGTGCTGGGATAACAGGCGTGAGCCACCACACCCAGCCTTAAAATGTAAATTTTATGTTATATATATTTTACCAAGAAAGAGAAATTTCACTTAATTCATATCTTGAAAAATATTAAAGAAGACCTATAAACACAGCCCAGAATGTTAGAATCTCTTTGCTCTCATTCCACTCCCCCTCACCCACACATGCCTCTGAAGACTTCTCCTCCACACCTACCCACCCCCTCCAGCCCTACAGCCCTCACCGCTGTACCCCACCTCTCTTCTCTCACTCTTAATCAGGTAGATTGACAGCCTCATTCCCAGCAAGAATGTTTCCTCTCTCGGGTGGGAAAGGAGGGAAGAGGCTGGCTCCAGAAGATTCCCTTTGACAGGCTGCCAAAGGTAGAAAGGCTGTGGTCATGCCCACAGTAATAGTTATTGTCGCATCACATAATAGAAGCCGGAGCACTGAGTCCCCTCCACCTTTTCATGGGCATGGGGAGCATTTCACCCCTCCCTAATGGTTCTCACACCCATTGTCAGATTCAATTACAGTGACGGCATTCAGTGCCAACTATACGCCAAGCATGTACATACGTTTTCTATGGTCCTTGTGACAATCATGCAGGTAACCATCATTAAGACCATGTTGCAGCAAACTGAGGCTCAGGCATGGCAAATGCCTTGCCAAAGTCACACAGCTAACAAGTGTCATTCTCGGTTCATACCACTCTACTAAACTGCTGCCAGTTCAAGGCTGGCCGTATTTCCGGGAAGTCGTCACAAAACTGAGGTGATGGTGGTCAAGAACCAAGTCACTAGCAAAGCACACTTCCCTGCCTCCCTTCTTCTCACAATGTCTACAGAGCCCACATCTACTCAGCTGAGTCTTCTTGGCAACCAAAATGAATACACACATTGCAAACTGTTAAGGTAACCACAGCTATATGGAGAGAGGGCGTCCAGCCTTGTAGCAACTTTGGACTGATCCTCAGGAGCGACCCCTCCTCCCTGGGAGTCACATCTCAGACTCCTTCTGGCTGTTGCCACCTCTTGGAAAATGAACAGGGAGCTGGAGCTGGAGCTGGGAGCTGCTCCCAACTGCAGTTCATTTGGGGTGTCCAAACTCACTTCTCACCAAGGCGCAGTTGTGAAGTATCTGCTTTGCCATCAGCTGGATGGGGCTCAGGCTGTGGAGTTTTAGTGTCACCCCAGCCTCTGGGTCTTCATCCAGATGTGCAAAGAGAACAGCCACCTGGCATCGTTTCTCTTTTCTTTTTTCTTTTTCTTTCTTTCTTTTTTTTTTTTTTTTTGAGAAGGAGTCTTGCCCTGTCACCCCAGAGTGCAGTGGTGCAATCTCAGCTTACTGCAACCTCCACCTCCCGGTTTCAAGCTATTCTCCTGCCTCAACCTCCCAAGTAGCTGGGATTACAGGCACCTGCCACCACGCCCCACTAATTTTTGTATTTTCAGTAGAGACAGGGTCTCGCCATGTTGGCCAGGCTGGTCTCGAACTCCTGACCTCAAGTGATCCACCCACCTCAGCCTCCCAAAGTGCTGGGATTATAGGATTGAGCCACTATGCCTGGCCTAGCATCGTTTCTCTTAAAATTCTGACAATCTATGGCAAAACTTATATGTGCGGTAATAGAGCCAAGCAAGGAAAAGAGATATAAAACTATAAACACAAGGCAAACTCAACAAAACACACAGAAAGAAGAAAAACTCCAAAAAAAACTCTGTATTCTCCACAAAGAATTTTTCCTAGTTTGTTTTGTTGTTTGATTTTTTAACCAAAATTTTTTACTTCAAGGAAACATTTTTATAATTAAAAAGCATGATTCACTAAAACTACCATCTGAAATTTTGAAATAAATCATGGCATCATAATGTTCAGGATAAAAAAGACTAGGGAAAACATCAAACGTAAATGAGGCTCATTCTGAATTGCAGTTCTAATTTTATTAAGTAAATAAATTTTCTTCAGTTTATACTTTTCTATTTTCTGAAACTTTTCCAGTGGAGAATTGTTACATCTATAATCAGTCAACAATAAAGTGCTATAATTTTTTATTTTAGCCAAGTCAGGAAGTCTCCTCACTCACCTATTTCTGGAGGAGGGGAGGGGAAAAAAAAAACCTTCTTTTGAAGGTCTTCCCTGGTGCCATTTCCAGTGGTACCTCGGCTGGAACCTATGAGAAAAAAAAAGTTCCTTCATAATGATGTCAGCCTTGCTTTAAAAAAAAAAAGTCTCTAAAACTCATGAAAAACACAGTTGATGTGAATCATATGTCTGAGTGGCAGAGTTCCCACTAAGCTGGGTGAGCACACAGATGCGCAGGACAGAAATTCCTCCCCACACAGTGACTATTCCTCTGCGGAGCTGTTGAAGGTAAACAACCCAACCGCTGTAAATGTTCCTGCTGGCTGTGAAGTCCCCATGCCCCTACCTCCTTACCCTTCCGTTATCCATCCCTTTCTCTAACCCTCCCTCTTATCAAAAACCAATGCCCGCCCCCACCCACCCCCCGCCGTGCCCCAGCACGGTGGCTCATGACTGTAATCCTAGCACTTTGGGAGGCCAAGGCGGGTGGATTGCCTGAGCTCAGGAGTTTGAGACCAGCCTGGGCAAGATGGTGAAACTTCATCTCTACTAAAATAGAGAACATTTGCCAGGCATGGTGGCAGGTAATGTAGTCCCAGCTACTCGGGAGGCTGAGGCAGAATTGCTTGAACCCCAGAGGCAGAGGTTGCAGTGAGCCAAGATCACGCCACTGCACTCCAGCCTGGGTGACGGAGTGAGACTCTGTCTCCAAAAAAAAAAAAAAAAAAAGCAATGGGGGCCAGGCACGGTGGCTCACGCCTATGATCCCAGCACTTTGGGAGGCTAAGGCAGGCTGATTACCTGAGGTCAGGAGTTCGAGACCAGCCTGGCCAACATGGCAAAACCCCGTCTCTACTTAAAAAATACAAAAATTAGCTGGGTGTGGTGGCACACGCCTGTAATCCCAGCCACTCGGGAGGCAGAGGCAGGAGAATTGCTTGAACCCGGGAGGCCGAGGTAGCAGTGAGCCAAGATCGTGCCACCGCACTCCAGCCTAGGTGACAGAGCCAGACTCTGTCTCAAAAAAAAGAAAAAAAGCAATGGGATCTGACAATAATCATTCACATTTGTTGACTGATAGATTATACTTAAACAGGTGACCTAATATCTTAACCAGTCATTAGCATTTTAAAATTCTCATCTTCCAGTTTGAGATGAAAAAACTTCTACTGAAGGAATTTCAGGCATCAGCCAGCAGGTGCAGGAATGTTTTTGCCAAAGGGATGGGTGGTGGGTTCCTGAAAGTATTGTAAATCTGGTTTAGATGTCCTCGGACCTGGGTGGGGGGGGGTGTCAGAAGGAAGAGCGCTGGGCCTCTCCCCAGGTGAGCCCCTACTCCTTTGGAAGGAAAAACAGGCTGGGCTGGTTCCAGCTGCTGGAGCTACTGGGGGAGAATGAGGCATCTTTTGTCCTCCAGTATCTGGAGCCTCCTCTTTCAAGACGGTCCACTGGGTATCTCCCCTCACCACCACCTTTCCTTTGTTCTCCTTTTCCTTTTTTGAGACGGAGTCTTGCTCTGTTGCCCAGGCTGGAATGCAGTGGTGTGATCTCGGCTCACTGCAACCTCTGCCTCCCAGGTTCAAGTGATTCTTCTGCCTCAGCCTTCCTAGTAGCTGGGACTACAGGTGCGTGCCACCATGCCCGGCTAATTTTTGTATTTTTAGTACAGACAGGGTTTCACCATATTGGCCAGGTTGGTCTTGAACTCCTGACCTCATGATCCACGCGTCTCGCCCTCCCAAAGTGCTGGGGTTACAGGCGTGAGCCACCGCACCCAGCTGTTCCCCTTCTTTCAAATTCACCCCTTGCCTCAGAGCTTCCAGGAGATTCTTTATGTTTTCTGGCCCAGTGCTTCTTTAGGAGGCATTCAGTGAGATTTTCACACTCCAGCCTCCCTTGTCTGCCAACCTGGAAACCAATTTATGCTTCATGTGGCATTTTGGCCTCTCACGTTTCCGACCACAAGATATGTGCTTAAATTGCAACTCTTCTTGAGTGGAGATTTTAGGATAGGGTCCCTTCCTAGTCGTGAGTAGATCCCCCTTCCTTCTTCCCCTTTTCCAGACTGGCAAATGCCTGGGTGGGTTGCATCTTGTAAGCAAACTTGTGCAAGCATAACTGACCCATGAATGGATGTGACCTCATTGTACCAGGTAGTAGCTATTGTTTTATGCTCACTCTGGTCATATTTCATCTTCACATAGCATATCATTTAAATGTTAGATGAAACACTAAGTCCTTTGAGATTTAAATATAATTGAATCAAGACTTTATCCTCTATTTTTGTAGAGATCCAGTTCTCACCCCAATATCCCAAGGGACTCATTTTCTTAGGGTCCTCTCCTACTGTGATATTTACCAACCTATTGATTTCACATGAATCTCACCATTATGGCAGGTCTCTTCCCTTCATTTCTCCTGACAAGGAACTTAGTCACGTTCACGAATTTTTAAAAAGTATTATATATCCCCATGGCTTTATTTCCATGTCACCTCACTGGGGCATTCTCTGACTACCCCTTTTAAAATTGCAACCAGAAAAAAGCAAAGACAAAAATAAATAAATAAATAAATAATATATATATATATATATATATATTTTTTTTTTTTTGAGACGGAGTCTCACTCTGTCTACTCAAGCTGGAGTTCAGTGGTGTGATCTCTGCTCACTGCAACCTCCACCTCCCAGGTTCAAGCAATTCTCCTGCCTCACCCTCTTAAGTAGCTGGGATTACAGGCGCGCACCACCATACCCTGCTAATTTTTGTATTTTTAGTAGAGATGGGGTTTCACCATGTTGGCCAGGCTGGTCTCGAACTCCTGACCTCAAGCGATCTGCCCACCTCGGCCTCCCAAAGTGCTGGGATTACAGGCATGAGCCACCAAGCCTGACTGAAAAGAGAATTTTAAAAAACAAAAATAAAACAAACAAAATACAAATAAAATAAAATTGCAATCAGATCCTCTCCCTCTGGAATTCCCAGTTCTCCTTCTGCTCTATTTTTTCCATAGTACTATCTTCTTCTGGCACACTATATAACTGACTTGTTTATTATATTTATTGACTGTTTTCCCCCACTAGACTATAAACCACATGGGCAGGGCTTTTTGTTGGTTTAATTCACTGCCGAACCCCCAGCACTTAAGACAGTACCTGATAAGCCGGGTGCAGTGGCTAACACTTGTAATCCCAACACTTTGGGAGGCCGAGGCGGTTGGATCACCTGAGGTCGGGAGTTCAAGACCAGCCTGACCAACATGGAGAAACCCCATCTCTACTAAAAATACAAAATTAGCCAGGCATGGTGGCACATTGCCTGCAATCCCAGCTACTTGGGAGGCTGAGGCAGGAGAATCACTTGTACCCGGGAGGCGGAGGTTGTGGTGAGCTGAGATCGCGCCACTGCACCCCAGCCTGGGAAACAAGAGCGAAACTCCGTCTCAAAAAAAAAAAAAAGAGTACCTGACAAAAGAAGCTGCTCAATAAATATTAGTTGAGTGAATACACTTACATGAAGCTTTGTAGTATGGCGGATTTTGCTAAAAATGTCAGGTGATGGGCCGTCCACAGCCTTGTTACTCGTAATGTGTTCCTGCACCAACAGCAGCAGCATTACCTGGCAGCTTGTCGGCAAGGCAGCATCCCAGGCCTCACCCCAGACCTTCTGATCAGCATCTGCATTTCAACAAGACTCCCAAATGATTCACATGTGCATGAATGCTTGAAAAGCACTGGTCTAGGCCATGTGTGCAGTGGCTCACGCCTGAAATCCCAGCATTTTTAGGAGGCTGAGTTGGGAGGATCACTTGACACTAGGAATTCAAGACTAGCCTGGGCAACATAGTGAGACTCCCCATCTCTATTTCAAAAATAAAAATAATACAAAGAAAAAGAAAAACACTGGTCTGTATCACAACAATGCAAACAACTTAAACTTGGATCTTAGACATCCCCATTCTTAAAAGGTTTTTTTCTTATATGCAAGAAATTGGTAACATTGCACTCCAGCCTGGGCAACAGGAGTGAAACTCTGTCTCAAACAAAAAAAAAAAAAAAAAAGAATATGTCTCCACTGCTACCCCTATAGAAGGCAGAAAAGACCACAAAAGGTTCGGGTTTTGAAGGACAAATTCTTGGGGGTTTTTTTTTCCGTTCTTTTTTTCTCCCTAAAGGACAAGTCCTTTCCTTTTTTTATATTAGTGTTGGGGAGAAAGCCCCTGGCTTCCCTCCCTCTTCCCCACCTTCCCTCAGAGTCGGGGGCTGGTCAGGGACCCAGGCCACCATGTTAAAAGCTGCCGGGCCACCAGGAAGACCAGCAGCACCAACCAGCCTTGCCTGTGATCTCCAGGGTGTTCTTACCATAAGTGTGGAAGGTCACAGCCATGGCCACCTGCTCCAGTCTCACAGGCCTCTTTGCCAGGCAGGCTCATGAGACCCGCCAGCTGCTGGGCCGGAAGCACATGTACTTGACCGAGTTGTCTTCCCAAGACCTCAACAGCAGCCCTTCTGCCCCTGCATGGAGAAGTATCCAGTTCAATGCCTGTCAGGCAGCAACCCTTGCACTGGCATCGGCTGCCTCTATCTGTGCCCCCTGCTTGTCCCACTGCCCAAATGAGAGAGTGAGGAGTCTCTGTCCCCACAGTAGGCCTGGCACCTCAGTGGAGCATGACGAACTCCAAAAATGGAGGCTCCAAAAGAGGCTGAGCCAGCCCAGCCAAGGCAGGTGGACAAGAAAAAACTGTGAATGACTCCTCCCAAGAAATGGCTGGGGCCCTGGCCAATCTCTGCTGCTCACGTGAGGAGAGGACAACCTCCAGGCCTGCTCAACACCCATCAGCTGAGAAGCATGGATTCCCCTGGGGGAGCTCTAGCCAGTTTGCAGAAAATTTGCCCGATTCTCTAAGCTAGGGAAGATTTTTTTCAAACTTTTTGTTTGTGTACCTCCCTGGCCATTTTCAATGCAAAGGTCAGATTTCCCTTAAACGCACTCCAGAGCTTTCCTTATTTCTGCAGAAAGAAGTGCACTCCTGCTCCTGAAGCTGTCGCACAAATACCCTATGCTGGGACATCACAGCCACTTCACAGGTGAGGATCAAGGCGCTGCAGAAGGCACTGTAGGGGTAGAACCTGGCGTGGGAGTGGGAGCGGGGCCAAAGCTGGGTAATGAAGTTTTCACTGACTAACACTTAGAAAAATACTGAGTGAATTTTTTTTTTTTTTTTTGAGATGGAGTCTCGCTCTGTCCCCAAGGCTGCAATGGCGCGATCTCGGCTCACTGCAACTTCTGCCTCCAGTGTTCAACTGATTCTCCTATCCCAGCCTCCTAAGTAGCTGGGATTACAGGCGCAAACCACCACACCCGGGTAATTTTTGTATTTTTAGTAGAGATGGGGTTTCACCATGATGGCCAGGCTGGTGTCGAACTCCTGACCTCAGGTGATCCACCTGCCTCAGCCCTGCAAAGTGCTAGTATTACAGGCGTGAGCCACCGCACCCAGCCATCAGTAATTTTGTTTTAAGAGTGGTTGGCTATCCAGGAGTTGGAATAACAGGTGGATTTTTCTTTCCTTCTCACATATTTGTATATTACCATAATTGTTAACAATGATTTAGTTTTATGAAGAGCAAAAATAATTCTGGCAGCTCCCTTTGTACATGAAAACGTATCAAAGCCAAACAATGTTGTAAGCTCCATTCTCAGAGCAGCACAGTCATTCCACAATCTCTAATAAGTCCTCCCCTTTTGTCATCCCTAACAATGTATTTCCAGCATTCCATAATACCCTCTATGTAGGCATTCCATACACACAGGCTTTTTTCATCACACATCATATGTGACTACCTAATATTTGACAAGTGAAACTGTGTCTCTTTCAGCATGCCCAGAGAAATCTTTCTCTGCCTTAATTTTATTACATGATGAGACCTCTCCTTTCTGCCATTTTTGTTGTGTCAGAAGTATTGCCAAAAAAAGGGGTTCTCATCCAGACCGCAAGAGAGGCTTATTGGATCTTGCACACAAAGGAATTCAAGGCAAGTCGCAGAGTGCGGTGAGAAGAGATGGTTTATTGAAAGCTACTGTTTCAGCGTAGAGTGTCTTCAGAAAGCAAGAGGAGGAACGCCTCTTCTAAGGTGTTTTTTGTTTTGTTTTGTTTTTGTTTTTTTGATGAAGTTTCGCTCTCATCGCCCAGGCTGGAGGGCAATGGCCGCAGTCTCGGCTCACTGCAACCTCCGCCTCTCGAGTTCAAGCAATTCTCCTGCCTCAGCCTCCCAAGTAGCTGGGATTACAGGCATGTGCCACCATGCCGGGCTAATTTTTGTATTTTTAGTAGAGACGGGGTTTCGCCATGTCGGCCAGGCTGGTCTCAAACTACTGACCTCAAGTGATCCACCCGCCTCGGCCTCCCAAAGTGCTGGGATTACAGGCATGAGCCACCACACCTGGCCTAAGGTTTTCTTATATAGGTTTCTTATCCATGTAAAAGCTAAGTTATGTCTACATGTGGGGGACTGACAGCATGACATTTATTATGTTGCTGATTTAAAGAAAACTATCCTTGGCATTTTAGTGCGTAAGTACATCAAAGCTTGACTATAACCATCATAAAAGCATACATTGTTATGTGATATGGGGACATCAGGACATTCTGCTGTCATAGGAGTTTGTCTTTGCAGGCATTGTGAAGCTGCTTCCTGAGCTGTAGACATCTTATGACCATGGGTCATGACTGGCAAGGAACGTACCTGCTAGTTTTGTTGTTTTGTTTGTTTCTTTGTTTGCTTGTTTGTTTTGAGACAGAGTCTTGCTCTTGTTGCCCAGGCTTGAGTGCAATGGCGCGATCTCAGCTCACTGCAACATCCGCCTCCTGGGTTCAAGCGATTCTCCTGCCTCAGCCTCCCAAGTAGCTGGGATTATAGGCGCCTGCCACCACGCCTGGCTAATTTTTTGTATTTTTAGTAGAGACGGGGTTTCACCATGTTGGCCAGGCTCCAGGCTGGTCTAGAACTCCTCACTTCAGGTGATCCATCTGTCTCCGCCTCCCAAAGTGCTGGGATTACAGGCGTGAGCCACCATGCCCGGCCTACCTGCTAGTTTTAAGATGGAGTTGACTTTATTTTTTTATTTTTATTTTTTTTGAGATAGAGTTTTGCTCTTGTTGCCCAGGCTGGAGTGCAATGGAGCGATCTCGGCTCACTGCAACCTCTGCCTCCCAGGTTCCAGCGATTCTCCTGCCTCAGCCTCCCGAGTAGCTGGGATTACAGGCACCCGCCACCACACCTGGCTGATTTTTTGTATTTTTAGTAGAGACGGGGTTTCATCATGTTGGCAGGCTGGTCTTGAACTCCTGACCTCAGGTGATCTGCCTGCCTCGGCCCTCCCACTCCCAGGAGGTCCCTGGAACCCCCATCTGTCCCTCTGCCCTGTGGCAATTTCACATATCCATGGCCAAGATTTGAAAACTATTGTTCTTAAGTCACTGCACAGATCCTGCTCTGGTGACATGGACAAAAGTGAACTGACAGCTGCCAGCATACCACCATGCCATAGCTCCAAACTGTTTGCTGTTCATCACCTACCTTAGCACAATCTGGATTTGGTATATTAAAAGTGGGCAGAGTATCACTAGGGAATGCCTAAGAGGTAGTCGCACAAGGAGAACTTGGCAAAGTGGATTACTGCACATGAAGGAGTTTTCTCTTCAAAAAATGTTGTATCAAAACCACCCCATTTCTTCAGCCAAGCAGGTATGTATTCCCTTCTGTCTGTTTTGCTGGAGAAGCTCAGTGGTTGAGTCAAACCCTCTGCCATGTAAAAGGCCTGACTGACCCCAGGGTGAGAGATCAAATTTTAAATACTACAGGTAACTGTTTTGAGACACAGAAATACTAAACCCAGGAAAATGGTCCTCTGCTTGGATTTTGCTGCATTTTTGCAGGGTTTTTGGTTTGGTTTGGTTTTTTGGAAAGGGAAAGGGCTCTCTGACCAATGTGCAGTTGCCTGAAGGGGAATGGATGGGGCATTGAATGGATGGGCATTGAATGGGCATTGAATGGATGGGAAAAATGAATGATATTATTGAGGTCTCTGAACATCAGGGCTTCCAACAAGTCTGAAATGAAGTTCCTCACACACTGGACAGGGCTGGCCCTTCTGTTTCACCATACCACTTCCCTGGGGCTCAGGCAGGGCCTGGAGACTGGCCAGCTTTGGTTGGAACACAGGCTAGGATGGGAACGGTGTTTCAAGGGTTTTTGCCTAAAGAGGACAGGGCTCTGCCTGGACCCATCACCTGCTCATTGGTTCACTCAGCTGACGTGCACTGAGGCCTGCTCTGAATCCCTCCTGGTGCCTGTGGTTCCAGCTCTGTGGAGCTCACTGAGCCATCCTAGAGTGACTCACCTGCCTTATTCCTTCCCCTAGTCTTGTGAGCATCAGTAACAAACTCGGGTTAAATCCAAGGATCAAAATTTCCCTTTCCAACCCTTCTTCCCACCAAAGTTCCACACCAAGGAGGACAACACTGTCAGCACACCATTTCTGGGCCAAATCTCCATCATACCACAACTGGTGCCTCACTCCCACACTTAACCCCGTGCTGAATACTGCTGCTTTTTCATCCCTATCTGGCCCTCACGATCCTCCTATTAACAGCCAGGGCTCTGGCCCAAGTGGTTATCCCCATCCTCATCATCCCTGAATCCTCAGTCCAGCCCCTCCTCTCCCCTAAGCATTCAGCAGCATATCAGTTGCCAAACGCAAGTGAAGCCCATGGCCACTCTCCTCCCTGCGATTCTCCCTGCCTTCATTCCAAACCAGCCCCACAAATCCCACCTCGGGGAGAGTGCCTTTTGCAGCGAATACGTGCCAGGCCCTGAGCTTGTGTAATGCACGTGTTCTGATTGAATCCTGTGAGGGGGATATCATGTGTTTTATAAAAGGGAAATGGGGGTTTGTGAAAGTTAAATAACTCAGCTAGTTAACAGCAGAACTGGAACTCGATGCTTCAATGGGCTAAGACAATAACTTCTTAACCACATACAGCATGCCTAACACTCCATAAGCAAGCTATGATTTCCCTTTCCCCTGCCCTACCAGATCATAAAATCCCAGATTCATTTGACTCCACATTGTTTATATGAAAGATGGATCTGCAGCTACATACATTTGTTAGATTTCTGTTCTGATACCCTCATTTCCTAGAGCTTGTCAAAATGCCTGGGTCTTGATGGTAGGAATGAGGGAGGGGAGAGAGAAGAGGGTAACAGGGCAGGAGGGTCTTGTCTTATTCTCTACATGATTTGGTCTCAAGGTAAGCACAGCCAAAAGCTGGATCAGAGCTGATTCCAATCCACTCTGACCCCAGTTTGCCCCAGAACTGGTCCAGAACACGAGTTTCCAGGAAAAAAACAGAAAAGTGTTTGCCTCACTTTAGACAAAGAAGGTAGAGGCTGGGCTGGGTGTGGTGGCTCATGCCTGTAATCCCAACACTTTGGAAGGCCAAGGCAGGAGGATCACTTGAGGCCAGGAGTTCAAGACCAGCCTGGGCAACATAGCAAGACCCCATTGCTGTGAACGAAGGAGAAGGGAAGGGAAGGGAGAGGGAAGGGAGAGTGAAGGGAAGGGGAGGGGAGGGGAGGGGAGGGGAGGGGAGGGGAGGGGAGGGAAAGAAAGGGAAGGGAAGGGAAGGAGGGAGAGAGGGGCTGGTGACACCTTTGATTCTCTCTCTGGAGCAACTTCAAACATGAAGTCAGCAAACAGGCCAGCGATGTGGGAAACTAAACTTGAGTCAAAATCCTGCTTCTACTTCCCTAAATTCTTGAGTCTCTAGACCATCTCAAGAACCATCCCCAGCCCCTCTGCGGAACCCAGGCATGCCAGCCAACTGCCACGCTATCCTCTGCCTCTCCAGGTCTCTTTCAGCTCCCCAAGTGTCAGAGCTCCTCTCTCTCACCTCCTACTCTCTGCCCCTTCTCCACCAGGCCCCACTCAGGTTCCTGGCCACAAAGAGCCAACCTCATGCCCAAAGACTGAAAAAGAAATGTTTTAATAAATACAAAACTCTCCAATAATGACTCTGCTCAGCTCAGGGGCAGCAGGAGTGGAGTGTCGGGGGCCCTTGGTGCTGAGTGAAGATAAATTAAAAATCCCAACAAGCCAGTGACATTATGTACAGGAGGAAAGGGGTGGGGCTTCCAGGACAGAGGCCGAGGGTGGCAGGGCAGGACTTGGAGTGGCTGTGACCTCGGTCTGGCCCAGCTGCCTCTCCCCCTTGTGGAGCTGTGGTTCCCAGAGGTAGTGGGGGTGGGAGTAGAGGCAGGACAGAGGAGCAAAGGCACTGGGCTTCCCACAGGAGAATGCAAGAAGGTCCTCGATGCCACCCCTTCCCCAGCTCAGGCCCCATCCTCTTGGTCACTTGGCCCTCTGGCTGCTCCCTAAGAGCCTTCGGCTTCTTTCTCCAGCTCTGGATCAGTTCTGGTCTCTGGGGCTGCTGGAGACAGAAGGGAGGGAATGTTGGAGGAGGGGAGAGGGAGTGGAGAGGCACAGAGAGGCATAGAGGGCAGGGCAAAGCATCCCTGCCTTGGTCCCAGAAAGGCCAGTATTTTCTAAACAGGTCAGTGCACACAGCTGGGTGACCTTCATCTCGTTGCTTAATTTCTCTGAGCTTCAGAAATCTCATTTGTAAAGAAAAGGTCATAAATAACAATTCCACCAGGTTGCTGTGAGGGTGGATTGGAATGGCACTTGTGAGGCAGGCTGCACTGTTCCTGCACACAGTGAGTGCTCCCTTCCCTGATCAGGAGTCCCACAGGCAGGTGAGCCCTCCACTCACAGCTGCTGACCCTGGACTCCCTCACTTACGCCGCCGGTGGGCCGTGCAGCGGGAACAGCATCGACTCTCCTTCCCCGAGCCACAGGACAGTGGCAGTGAACAGTCATCCCGCTCACAGTGAGGCACCCCTGCCTGGTACAAGACAGAGCAGACACTGAGTGTCCCCCAGAGGCACTGGGACACAGTGACCTTCAGCTTCTTCAGGGACCTCCCTGGGAAGGTCTCCCTACTCCAGACCAGGCTCCCAGTACCCACCTCACACAAGCCTCTGCTCCCCACTTACCCCACATCTGCAGGTGATACAGCTCATCTCTCCAAAAGGGGGCACTGAGGGGTGCCAGCTCTGACTCTCTGGGAACCACTGCCCAGCAAAACGGCAGCCCCGGGGCCCATCAGCCTGCATGGGGTCCCCCAGCTGGGGGTGGGCCCCCGACCCCACTGTTGAGAGGGAAAGAGAAAGGATCAGCCCAGGAGGACCAACAAGGTTTTATGAGTATTCTCTTTGAATACCCAGCACGTTGCAGTTTCTGGCACTTAGTAGGTGATAAATTTGGATGGGTGGGTGGGCAGATGAATGGATGGATGAAGGGACGGATGGATGGATGGATGGATGGATGGATGGATGGATGGATGGATGCATCAATGGGTGGATGGGTGGATGGATGGAGGGATGGATGGATGCATGGATGGATGCATCAATGGGTGGATGGTTGTATGGGTGGATAGATAGATGAATGGACGGATGGATGGATGGATGGATGGATGGATGGATGGATGGATGGATGGACGGATGGATGGAGCAGGAACCAGAACCCATCATACCCCACTAGTATATCACATTCTTTCCACTGCATTTAGAGTCCTGGCTCCAGGCTAGGCACAGAGCAGTGCTCAGTATAATGCTCAATTAACTGAGCACCCTTCCCCTCACCCAGGACAAAGCCTGCCTCAACCCAAAGGTGAGGCCTCAGTGCTCAGCCACCTCTCTCACCTGGACACTGTTTGCAGCAGTCGGTGGGGTTGACACGCACAGGCTGGGCACAGGCCAGCCGGGGACACTGCACCTTCTCACAGTGCACCTCTCCAGTGCCCCCCTGTAGGGATCCATTGAGCAAGGAGTGTCAGGCAGGGGGCACATAAGCCTCCTGCCCACTCCCTCTCCTATTCCACACCTCAAATGCAGTCTCTCTGTGGCCTTTTACTCAGAGGCCCGGACTGGCTTTATAGACCTAAACTCAGCTCCTCATCAGAACCCTGCAAGGTAGGTGCCATCATATCTGCTTACAGGAGAGGAAAGTGAGGCTCAGGGACAGAAGGTGCCTAGGGTCACTGGCACTAGTTAGCTGGCAGAGCCAGAATCCACACCCAGGTCAGCCCTGTTCATTTTCCCACAGGAAGCCGACTCTCAGAGCGCAAGGGCCTTTTCTCATATCGTTTTGATTCTTGAGCCCTCCTCACCAAGGACGGGCCTTCCTCACCTGGCAGCCCCTCCCCATCTCTGCAGACCCCGCTGGGTTATGGCACCAGAGAAGATTGGGTGGCCATACCTTGCAGGTGCAGACAGCACACTTAATTAAGCCAAAGGGGGGCACAACGGGGTGCCACCGCGTACCCGCTGCCCGCCAGCTCCGGTCACCATCAAAATAGCAGCCTGGTGGGGAACAGGGCCCAGCAGCCATTAGTATGAGCTCATCAGCTGGGCCCACAACCAAGGCTTGAGCCTCAGGCCACCCCCACACGAGCCTAAGCCAAGGGCCCACCTGGGGGCCAGTAACACTAATGAGTCCTGTCAGGCATCACTTGGAATCTGTGCCCCTCAGGCCACCCCCTATATACTCTCCCCTTCTTGTCCCCCTCCTGGTTCAACCTAATGGCTCCTCTGGGGCCTCCCACCCTGCACGCACCCTTCCAGCTCACCCTCTCCTGGGTCCCGGCTCCTTGGCAGCCCTGGCAAGTCTCTGACATCTTGTTTCTCTGTGGAGCCAAAGAAATGGTGAAAGCAGAGAGTGACCACCCTCATTCCCTCCCCAAAGGACCTGTCCGCACTGGGCCAACTCCTCCCTCCACTCCCCTGCGGGGAACTCACCAGGGCAAACAGGGCAGCACTGGTCGGGAGCCTGCACCGGGTGTGGGCAGCTGGGCGGTGGGCACACCACCGGGTCACAGATCACCGTTCGTCTCTGCAGAGAGGAGCAGAGGCATTGACGGGAGTGTCCAGGCCCCTTGCTCCAGATCCCAGGACCCAGTGTGCCCTTCCAGGACCTCCTACCTGGCAGGTGCAGAGTGAGCAGAGCGGGTCGTAGTTGGGCGCCCAGCGAGCCCCGTGGGGGCGCTGCTGCCCCTCGAAGAAGCATGTGTTGGGGTCTCGGGGCCGCCCAGGACCACCAGGTTTGGCGGGCGCTAGGGCCGGGAGACCAGGCACCACAGGCGGCGCAGCAGAGGCTGTATCCGGAGCCCCCAGCGCCCGCACCCCCTCGGCCCCGGCCGCCTCCAGGCGCAGTCCGCCAACCTCACATTGGTTGGCTATGTGCACCTGGGAGGAGAGGCCAACTGAGGCAGCGCTGGGGCTCCCCCTCGCGTCTTTACCAGCGGCAGCTGGCCAGCCAGCAGGAGACACCTCGGCCCCCTGAGCGCTGCAGTGGCCCAGGAGGATGCCATTCGCTCCACAATCATCTCAGCTGCCAGGGATAGGGTGCCGGGCTGCCAGCCTCCTCATGTAGCTCATCCTCCCCACCAGCCGGGGGGGCGCTGTGATACGACCACCCCCAGGACTCAGAGACAGCAAGTGACTAGTGCAATGGCACACAGTGCCCCTCCAACTCTGCACCCTCCCCACTGCCCCCACTGCCCACACTCGCCACCTACCTGCCCTCGGAGCTCCCCTCTGGGGCTACCCTTGGTGGTGATCATCAGGGAGGCCATGCCTTTTGCCAGGTGCCGCAGCAGTTCCGGCTCCAGGTCCTTCACCACACCCTGGGCCTGCACATAGACAGGACAATGGATAGGAATAAGGCACTTTAGGGCTGAGCCTACTGTCCCCAGTTCACAGATGAAGAAACTGAGAGCCAGGGAGGTTAAATAAAGTCTTCATGGTAGCAAAGCCCATTGGCAATAGTGTGGAGCTTGGAAGCCAGGTCTCTCTGACCAAGTCCATGAGAACTCACCCCACTTGAAGGGCTTAGTCCATCCCACCTACCCCCCTGAGGTCCAGGATATTACATACTATCCAAGACACCCCACCAAAAAAAGACTTAGAAAGGAGAATGAATAATAAAAAGCCAGTCAGAGTCATGCCCAGGTCTATCTGACTCCCAAGCCCATGCCAGCTCTTTTTTTTTTTTTTTTTTTTTTTTTTTTTGAGACGGATTTTTGCTCTTTCTGTCCAGGCTGGAGTGCAATGGCGCCATCTCGGCTCACTGCAACCTCCACCTCCCAGGTTCAAGCGATTCTCCTGCCTCAGCCTCTGGAGTAGCTGGGATTATAGGCATGTGCCACCACGCCCAGCTAATTTTGTATTTTTAGTAGAGATGGGGTTTCTCCATGTTGGTCAGGCTAGTCTTGAGCTTCCTACCTCAGGTGATCCACCCACCTGGCCTCCCAAAGTGCTGGGATTACAGGCTTGAGCCACTGCACCCAGCCTACAAATCACTGTTTAATTTATTTTATTTATGCCAGCTCTTCTATACCAGGCTGCCTGCTCTCTGCTTTCCCCAACACAGGCCCACACAGCCCTTCAAGCTAAAAAACAGAAATGTTCCAAGCTGCCGCCTACCATCACATCCTTACCTCTGAGCCATAGAATCCCTTCAGCAGCCGCCGAGGCCCTGGCGTTCCAGGAGGCCCAAGGAGGTGGGCAGTGACAGTGCCTTGTTCTGAGCCACCAAGCCCAGCCAGCAGCACTTCATAGTGCAGGTGACAGTGGGTATCCAAGGAAAGCCAGGCGTGCCCTGCTGCTTGGCTCTTCACAGGGGGTAGCACCAGGGCTCCTGCTAGGGGCACGGGCAGCGCTGGGTCCAGACAGAGGAGAGATGACAGGTGAGAAGGTGGCCTAGGGCAAGCCCTCAAACCCAGCATTCCCAGCTCCCCAGCACACATTCCACGAGCTGGAAGACACTGTCCATAGGTCCAGGGCCTGGAGAGCAGCAAGTTTTAGACCCTTGAACCTCAGCAACAGGAAGAGTCCGCCAGCAGGGCCACCCTATATGTCCCCACCTTCAGATGGCAACCGGAGCTTAGGCACAAAGAAAGACACACCAGGCTCCGGCTGTCTGCCACCATCCCTCAAATGTTCTAGGAAACCAAAGGGCAGACAGACCCCTAAGGACACTCACTGTCATGGCGGGCGCTATGCCCACAGTAGGGCAGGGCAGCCACGTGCCCCCGAAGCTCTCCGTCTGGGAAGTCCTTGGTGCCCACGTTCAGGAAGAGCTCATTCTGCAGCAGCATATGAGCCCCTCGGGCACCCAGCCCAGGGCAGATACCCACGGCCTGGGGGCAGGGGAGGATAGGCCTTCTCAGCTCTCACACGAGTCCAAGGTTCTGAAGTCTTGGACCATTTTGTGCCCCCACTCCACCCACACACACTTCCACACACCAGAAACACAGGATAAGGACCTGGCAGGCCCAGTTTCAAGGCCCTCCCCTGCTGCTTCCTAGCTATGTAACAACCTTCAAGAGTAACTTAACTTCTCCAAGTCTTCACTTCCTCATCTCTCAAATGGATACTGTGAAAGCCAAAAACTATGTAAGGCCACCAATGCAGCACCTAGCACATGGAAAGGCCCTATAAGTAGCAACCATTGCCATTACATTTACTAATATGTGGCCTGTGGCACTGTTCTCCAGGTCCAATGCTCCCATTTGACTGTGAGCTTGCTAAGCACAGGGGCCACATATGATTTGCTTTGTACTCTAGTCCCTAGTCTGGGGCTCACTAAAAATGTCAAATCATGCCGGGCACGGTGGCTCTCGCCTGTAATCCCAGCACTTTGGGAGGCCGAAGTGGGCGGACCATGAGGTCAAGAGATCAAGACCATCCTGGCCAACACGGTGAAACCCCGTCTCTACTAAAAATACAGAAATTAGCTGGGTGTGGTGGTGCACACCTGTGGTCCCAGCTACTTGGGAGGCTGAGGCAGGAGAATCGCTTGAACCCAGGAGGCAGAGGTTGCAGTAAGCCAAGATCACACCACTGCACTCCAGCCTGGTGACAGAGCCAGACTCCATCTCAAAAAAAAAAAAAAAAAAAAGTCAAATGAATAAATGAATGAGTGGGAGAACCCATGAGTGAGTGGATGATAATGAACATCCCTGCTCATCCAACCTGGCTTCCCACAGCCCATGCATTGGGCCCTGGGGTCCAGCTCCACCTGGAGCCCTCACCGTGTGTCCTCCTGGCTGGAGTCCAGCCATGTGGCACAGGACAGTGCGCTGATCCCTCCGCTGAGGCTTGGTCTCCAGTGTCATGGCCACCACCTCACTGCTTGTCCCTACCACTTGCACCTGATGGGCAGGGATGGAGGAGGGCAAAGTGGAGAGGCAGTAAAGGCCTGGGGCCTGCTGCCCACGCCACCCCTCCCCCACCTTCTGCAGCCCCTGGCTCTTACCTGATAGATCAGGGAGCCATTTCCTAGCAGCGTGAGGCTGGCTGAGCCGGCAGCACCCGTCTGGACTGGGATCAGGGCATCAGCCCCACAAAGGACACTTTGCAGGACTACGGAGGGGCAAGACAGGTGAGGCTAGGTTTACCCCATGGCCGCTTACACCCCCAGTCCACAGGATCTCTCCCACACCCACCCTGGCACTTGTCTGTGTCTCTCAGTTGTGCATGCCCGGCGCACCAGGCCCCCCCCCCGCCTCACCGTCGCAGCTCTTCCTGGCAGCAATGTGTCCACTGATGCGCAGCCCTGGCCTGCCTGCCCACTCCAGGGCCATCTGCAGCTCCCCCAGCACCAGCCAGTCCATCTCCTGGACTGTCAGGTTGGGCAGCACCTCAGCAAAGCCTGGTTCCTGGGGACAGAGCAGGGTGTGATGGGCAATAGCAAGAGGCCAAGACAGGTGGCAGCGAGAGCCAGATCCCCACTCACCTGGGCTGAGACATTGGCCTGAAGTTCTCGCAGTAGCTGCCCCTGGTGTAGAATCTGGAGCCTCAAGGGAACCTGGGTTAGTCCTGCAAGGCCGCACATGTGGGCCTTTCTGAGACAGGTGCTCTCCCTAACCTTCTCACGTGTTTTGCCCCCATCCCACTTACCCCCACTCCTGGGTTCCAGCAGCCCTCGGAAGAGCAGCAAAAAATGCAAGGAGTCCTCTGTGTCACTGAGAGTGAGCAGGGTGATGCCCCCTACGCCCTGCTGTGGGGGGCCTTCTAGAGTCAGGATGGCACTGAAGGTCTCTGGGGAAGGGACGATGATGAGAGCCCGTCAGAAACCCTCCCCCCCTTTCCTGGGTGATAGAGAAGACTCAGAACTTCACGCCCGGGGCTCTTTGCTCCCTACCTGCAGCCAGGGCCCGGTGCCGGATGAGAGGCCCCCAGACCTCCCCTGAAGGGTGAGTGAGTGTCACAAGTGCCACATGCAGCTGTTCTGCCCTAAGGAGCCGCAGAGACAACCGAGGCACTGCCCGCCACACCCCACAGACCTGGAGCAGAGAGACAAGAAGGCCCTACGCTCAGACACTGTGCAGGCTAGGCCAATTAGGATGCCCAGGCAGGGCTTATGAAAAAGGAACATGGAAAGGAACCTCCAGGGTGCCCTAGGAAGCTTAAGAAAGAACGCTGGAGCCAGATGCTTGGGTTCCAATCCTGGCTGCACCACTTACTAGCTGTGTGACCTTGAACAAATCACATTATCCTACTGAGCCTCAGTTCCCCCTTCTGTAAAATGGGCATCATAATGTCAGTGCCTTCCTCCCACTGGGCTGTGGTGAGGACCACGGGAGGCAATGCAGAGCATGCTCTCGGCACAGTGCCCAGACTGGGCAAGTGCTCATAAATGGCATCATCTCACCAGGCCATCTTGGGTGGGGGCTGCAGGGTGCTCAAACAGGACACTGCCATTGGAGTCTGAGAAGCGGATCCTGGTAGGGCGGTCCAGCCTGGGAATGAGAGGTCGGGTGAGGCCGGACTGAGCCAAAAGCAGCCCCTCCCAGCTCTCCCAGTTTCCCTCCCGGGCCCCGGCAGCTGACCCCTCCTTGCTCCTTCCCCTTTCTCACCGCCTGTAGGAGATAGAGAAGCGGAGGCTAGAGCGCAGCAGCGAGACTCGGGCTCGTGCCACCGCCTGCGACCTCGGCCCTGTCAGCAGCGCCACGAAGTCTGGGACGGGAGGAAGATGGCCTGAGCACTGTCAAACGCCGCTTTGGTGGCCCAGCCTCAACCACAACCCCGCTGTTCGCCAGCCCCCTACCCGTGTGGCCGTCACCACGGGCCCGCTCCTCAGCGCCTGGCTCCCCGCGGTCGCTATAACTGCGATGCTCCGGGTCCCGCGGATACTCGAAGGACAGGCCGCTCGGCTGCCGCTCCGAACTGCTGCGCTCTGCGGGCGGGGGGGTAAGAACACGGGCTTCAGCTGGCCATGGGAAAGGCCAGTCCGACGCCCCATCCAAGTGGCCCGGGACCTAGTATCGTGGCCCTGCCTCCCTCCCCGCAGGGCGGAGCAAGACTTACCCTGGGGGCAGGTCTGGCAGCAGTGTCCCGGCAGCTGGCGCGGCTGCCCACAGGCCGGGGTTGGGCACTCTGGTTTGATGTTCTTGCAGCTGACCCTGCCAGGGCCCCTGGTACGGCGACCCCACTGAGGCTGCTCCCGGAAAAGGCGGGAAACCCAAGTGAGTGCAAGATGCCAACTGATGAGACCCCCCCAGGCAAGGATGTCCCGCAGAGTCAGCCAGCTCTGCCACTTACAAGCTGCGTGACCCTAGACAAGCTACTTCATCTCTCTGGGCCTCAAGGTCCCTGTCTGGAAAATGGGGATAATAATACTCTCTATCTAGCAAGGCTGCCATGAGAGTTAGATGAGCAGGGAACGAAACGGAGTTGGCACAGAGCCTCACACAGAGTGGGCGATCAGTAACAGCACCTAAGAATTGGAGGGGCTGATTCCCCTTCCTCCACCAGAAAAATATCCCCAACATCTGCCGACTGGGCTCCTTCTCAGCAGCTCCGAGTCCACTCCGACGCCCGCGCGACCCGGCGCTCCCCACCCGCCAGGGCCCGGGCCGGCCGCGGGGTGCACTCACCGCCTCGCAGGCGCACAGCACGCAGCGCATCACCCCGAATGGCTCCCCTAGGTCCGGGTGCCACGTCTCGTCCAAGGCATAGACCTTCCCGCCGAAGGTGCAGCCTGCGGGGACGGGCTTGGCTGGAGGCCGCTGCCCAGCTCGCGCCGTGTGCCGCCCCGGGGGCTGCCCGCGGGTCCCGGGTCCCAGGCACCGCGCCCTTCTGCCCCCGCCCACCCTCCGGGCCGCCCGCCGCGCCGAGCCACCTGCGCCCCGCGCCCCCTCCGGGCTGGCGCTGACTCGCCCCGAGCCCGACTCCCCGCCCGCGCCTCCCCCGGGCGCCCACCTACCTGCCGCTCCCCGAACGGGCAGCGGCTCCTTCTCAGAACGGATGGGCAGCACGGGGGGCTCTGGGCCGGCGCCGCGGGCCGGCCGGGAGCCGAGCAGCAGCAGCCCGAGGAGCAGCAGCGGGGCCGGCGGGGCCGGGAGGCTCGGCATGACGCGAACGGGACAGCTGGGGAGGAGGGAGGGAGGAGGGCGCGGGAGCGGGCGGAGGGAGGGAGGCGGGAGTGCGGAGGGCGGAGGGCCGGGCCGGGGGCGGTGCGGCGGGAGGGGGCCGGGGCCGGGGCCGGGGCCGGGGCAGTGCCGCGAGGGGCTCGTCGGGCGGCCGCAGAGTCGGCGCCGGGCCGGGCGGGGCGGGAGGAGCGGCCGGGAGGAGCGCGGGCGGGCGGGCGCTGACCCGGGCCGTACGCGGCTCTACTGCCCCGGGCGCCGGCTCCGGCCCGTTTTATGCCCCGCGCCCGACGCCCCGGCCGGGGGCCTCCTCCTCAGCAAACGGGGCGGCGGCGGCAGCTCGGCGAGGGGCCGGGCTGAGCCCGGGGGGTCCGACCCAGCAGCAGCGGCCCGGATCGCGGGTGGGGGAGGGGAGGGAGGGGCTGGGACCGGGCAGGGGAGGAGGGAGGGGCGGGAGGGGAAGGGGGAGCGGGGGAGGGGGAGGGGAGGGACCAGGGGGCGCGAAGAGGGGGAGGAGAGGCGGGCCCGGAGCCCCCCGCTGCTGGCGGCCACAGGGCGGCTGGACCAGGAGGTCGGTGTCCAGCCCAGGAAGGGAGCCTCAGGCTAGGGAGGGGCAGAGGCTAGGCCTGAGGCCTGGACCGCTCTGTGAGCGAGGACCCGGTTCCGCCCGAAGGATGAAGACTTGTCTTTAAAGATGACAACGTACAGGAAAGGTCCATCAGCCGATCTCCCCCTGCCTGGGCCCACAGCGCCCCCCAAACCCTCACCACCCTCTCTCACTGCCTAGCCTGCCTCCCTACCTTCTCTCTGAGGTCGCTCCTCATTCTTGTGTTACCCAGGACAGGGACCTAGCCAGAAACCGGCAGCATTCCCCCTTCTGTGGAGTGACAGTATCTCCCTCTCATTGTAACTTATCCTCAGGCGCATTCGACAGTCCCCTCTTGCTTTCTCACCCCCTTCCTTCACCCAAGGGACCCTCTGCCTCTCCAGCCCACTCCCAGCCTCCTTTCTCTTGGTTCCCTGGTCATGCCTGCCTCCCTGTCTCCTGTCTCTCCCTCCCACACACACCCACTATCCTCCCAGCTATCCCAGCACCCTCCTTCCTAATCTTGGGAGACATCTCGTCTGGCTGGACGGGAAAATTCCAGGATCTAGGCCACACTTCTCAGCAGACATGCCCATCCTTGGGGAGGAGGAACAGGAGAGAGCCTGAGGAAGTTCTGGGGGACAGGGGGATGATGGGATCAAGGTCAGGCCAGGAAGCCCCTGAGGACAGAGACTGTGGGGAGACTGGGACTGGGAAGAAAGCAAAGGAGCTAGAGCCAGGGCCAAAGGAAAAGGGGGGCCAGCAGGGAGGTATTTGCGGGGGAGGTCCAGCAGCTGTCTTTCCTAAGACAGGGACACATGGGCCTGGTTATTCCTCTTGTCACATGTGGAACGGTAGGAGATGGAAGACGGAGACAGAACAAGCAAAGGAGGGCCCTGGGCACAGAGGTCTGTGTGTGTAGCCATCTAAGCCACTGGACCCCAGCAGACGAGCACCTAAGCTCAGGCTTAACCCAGTGCACGTGTGCGCACATACATGTGCCCCGCACCTGACAGTCCACTCAACCCGTCCAAACCCTTTCCCCATAACACCAACCCATAACAGGAGATTTCTCTCATGTGGGCAATATCCGTGTTCCCACTTCGAAAGGGGGAATGACAAGATAGGACTCCCTAGGGGATTACAGAAAGAAAAGCAGGAAAGCAAGCATCCTGTTGGATTTCAGCAGCAGGTATGATGTCCAGGGAAAAGAAATTTGGATAGCCAGGGAGTGAAAACCCCACCAATCTTAAACAAGACCTCTGTGCTTCTTCCCCAGCAACACAAATGTCCTGCCAGATTCCTCCTGGAAAAAAACTTCTGCTCCTGTCCCCCTCCAGGTCCCAGGTTGCCCATGTCCAGGAAAAGATGGATCCCCCTATCCAAATCTTCTCCGTGGTGTGTGTGGGTGGAGGAGTGGACCCTGGTCCAGGCAGGGGCTCCAGGGAAGAGAAGGCGTCACTTCCGGGGGCCTTCACCAGTGTCTGGTGGCTCCCTTCTCTGATTGGGCAGAAGTGGCCCAGGCAGGCGTATGACCTGCTGCTGTGGAGGGGCTGTGCCCCACCGCCACATGTCTTCCTACCCATCTGCTCCCCAGAGGGCTGCCTGCTGTGCACTTGGGTCCTGGAGCCCTTCTCCACCCGGTGAGTGGCCAGCAGGGTGTGGGGTTATGTGAGGGTAGAAAGGACAGCAAAGAGAAATGGGCTCCCAGCTGGGGGAGGGGCAGGCAAACTGGAACCTACAGGCACTGACCTTTGTCGAGAAGAGTGTAGCCTTCCCAGAATGGGAGGAGCAGGGCAGAGCAGGGGTAGGGGGTGGGGTGCTGGTTTCTGAGGGACTGATCACTTACTTGGTGGAATACAGCACAGCCCTGGCTGGCCCTAAGGAAAGGGGACATGAGCCCAGGGAGAAAATAAGAGAGGGAGCTGCACTTAGGGCTTAGCAAACACAGTAGTAAGATGGACACAGCCCCAATCCCCATTCTTAGCTGGTCATTCCTCGTTAGCTTAAGGTTCTGAATCTGGTGCTGGGGAAGCTGGGCCAGGCAAGCCAGGGCGCAAGGAGAGGGTAATGGGAGGAGGGCCCACTCATGTTGACAGACCTACAGGAAATCCCAATATTGAATCAGGTGCAAGCCTCTTTGCACAACTTGTGAAAGGAGGAGGAAGCCATGTGGGGGGTCCTGTGAAGGAACCGGAAGGGGTTCTGCCAAGGGGGCAGGGAGGCAGGTGTGAGCTATGAGACAGATATGTTAGTGGGCGCCTAAGACAAGGTAAGCCCCTAAGGTGGGCATCACCCAGCAGGTGCCCGTTCCTGGGCAGCTGGTCTCAGGAAGGAAGTCCCAGAACTGTTAGCCCATCTCTTGGCCTCAGATAATGGAGTATTTCAGGACTTGGAGTCCAGAGAAAAGCTCCAGTGGCTTTATGTGTGGGGGTAGATAGGGAAAGAATAGAGGTTAATTTCTCCCATACCGCCTTTTAATCCTGACCTCTAGTGGTCCCAGTTACAGCTTTGTGCAGTTCCCCTCCCCAGCCCCACTCCCCACCGCAGAAGTTACCCCTCAACATATTGCGCCCGTTTGCCAGTTCCTCACCCAGGCCCTGCATCCCATTTTCCACTCTCTTCTCCAGGCTGAAGCCACAATACTTTCCTTCTCTATCCCCATCCCAGATTTTCTCTGACCTAACAACCAAGGTTGCTCAGAATTTAAGGCTAATTAAGATATGTGTGTATACATATCATGTCCTGCTGCTCTCAGCAGGGGTAGGTGGCACCAAATCCATGTCCGATTCACTGAGGAGTCCTGACAAAAAGGAGACACCATATGCTTTCTTGCTTTCTTTCTTTCTTTCTTTCTTTCTTTTTTTTTTTTGAGACGGAGTTTCACTCTTATTGCCCAGGCTGGAGTGCAATGGTGCGATCTCGGCTCACCACAACCTCCGCCTCCCAGGTACAAGCGATTCTCCTGTCTCAGCCTCCCAAGTAGCTTGGATTACAGGCATGAACCACCACACCCTGCTAGTTTTTTTGTATTTCGTAGAGCCGGGGTTTCACCATGTTAGTGAGGCTGGTGGCGAACTCCTGACCTCAGGTGATCCACCCGCCTTGGACTCCCAAAGTGCTGGGATTACAGGCATGAGCCACTGCACCCGGCACACCATATGCTTTCATCACAAGAAAATGTGAGAGAATTCAGGGCTTTGGCAGTTCCAGGCTGGTCAGCATCTCAAGCCCTCCCCAGCATCTGTTCACCCTGCCAGGCAGTCTCTTCCTAGAAACTTGGTTAAATGTTCACTCTTCTTGCTACTTTCAGGATAGATTCTTCACCCTTGGCCCGCCTTTGCCCCACCCTACTCTGCCCAGAAGTGCAAGAGCCTAAGCCGCCTCCATGGCCCCAGGAAGGATTCAGGGGAGAGGCCCCAAACAGGGAGCCACGCCAGCCAGACACCCCGGCCAGAATGGAGCTGACTGGTGAGAACACACCTGAGGGGCTAGGGCCATATGGAAACATGACAGAAGGGGAGAGAGAAAGGAGACACGCTGCAGGGGGCAGGAAGCTGGGGGAACCCATTCTCCCAAAAATAAGGGGTCTGAGGGGTGGATTCCCTGGGTTTCAGGTCTGGGTCCTGAATGGGAATTCCTGGAATACCAGCTGACAATGATTTCCTCCTCATCTTTCAACCTCACCTCTCCTCATCTAAGAATTGCTCCTCGTGGTCATGCTTCTCCTAACTGCAAGGCTAACGCTGTCCAGCCCGGCTCCTCCTGCTTGTGACCTCCGAGTCCTCAGTAAACTGCTTCGTGACTCCCATGTCCTTCACAGCAGACTGGTGAGAACTCCCAACATTATCCCCTTTATCCGCGTAACTGGTAAGACACCCATACTCCCAGGAAGACACCATCACTTCCTCTAACTCCTTGACCCAATGACTATTCTTCCCATATTGTCCCCACCTACTGATCACACTCTCTGACAAGGATTATTCTTCACAATACAGCCCGCATTTAAAAGCTCTCGTCTAGAGATAGTACTCATGGAGGACTAGCCTGCTTATTAGGCTACCATAGCTCTCTCTATTTCAGCTCCCTTCTCCCCCCACCAATCTTTTTCAACAGAGCCAGTGCCCAGAGGTTCACCCTTTGCCTACACCTGTCCTGCTGCCTGCTGTGGACTTTAGCTTGGGAGAATGGAAAACCCAGATGGTAAGAAAGCCATCCCTAACCTTGGCTTCCCTAAGTCCTGTCTTCAGTTTCCCACTGCTTCCCATGGATTCTCCAACATTCTTGAGCTTTTTAAAAATATCTCACCTTCAGCTTGGCCACCCTAACCCAATCTACATTCACCTATGATGATAGCCTGTGGATAAGATGATGGCTTGCAGGTCCAATATGTGAATAGATTTGAAGCTGAACACCATGAAAAGCTGGAGAGAAATCGCTCATGGCCATGCCTTTGACCTATTCCCGTTCAGTCTTCTTAAATTGGCATGAAGAAGCAAGACTCATATGTCATCCACAGATGACACAAAGCTGGGAAGTACCACTAAAATAACAAAAGACTGAATCAAGATTCAAATCACTGAAAGACTAGGTCAAAAACAAGGTGAAACAACAGAGATATAAACTTCTACATGTGGGCCGGGGGCTCACGCCTGTAATCCCAGCACTTTGGGAGGCCGAGGCAGGCAGATCACCTGAGGGCAGGAGTTTGAGAGCAGCCTGGCCAACATGGCGAAACCCCGTCTCTACTAAGAATACAGAATTAGCCGGGCATGGTAGTGCATGCCTGTAATCCCAGCTACTTGGAAGGCTGAAGCAGGAGAATCCCTTGAACCCAGGAGGTGGAGGTTGTAGTGAGCTGAGATCATGCCAATGCACTCCAGCCTGGGTGACAAGAGCAAAACTCCGTCTCAAAAAGAAAAAAAAATTCTACATGTGTAAATTAATGAGTAAAGTCCTATTCCAGCTTTCAGGCCACAATGCCCTGCTTCCATCATTTAAGCCTCTGGCCCTAGCACTTCCTACGAAAAGGATCTGAGAGAATTAAATTGCCCCCAAACTTACCATGTAACATTACTGAAGCTGCTATTCTTAAAGCTAGTAATTCTTGTCTGTTTGATGTTTAGCATCCCCATTGTGGAAATGCTCGTACAGAACTCTATTCCGAGTGGACTACACTTAAATATACTGGCCTGAACACCGGACATCCCCCTGAAGACATATGCTAATTTATTAAGAGGGACCATATTAAACTAACATGTGTCTAGAAAGCAGCAGCCTGAACAGAAAGAGACTAGAAGCATGTTTTATGGGCAATAGTTTAAAAAACTAAAATCTATCCTCAAGAACCCTAGCGTCCCTTCTTCCTTCAGGACTGAGTCAGGGAAGAAGGGCAGTTCCTATGGGTCCCTTCTAGTCCTTTCTTTTCATCCTTATGATCATTATGGTAGAGTCTCATACCTACATTTAGTTTATTTATTATTATTATTTGAGACGGAGTCTCACTCTATCCCCCAGGCTGGAGTGCAGTGGCATGATCTCAACTCACTGCAACCTCAGCCTCCCGGATTCAAGCGATTCTCCTGCCTCAGTCTCCCAAGTAGCTGGGATTACAGGTGCCCACCACCATGCCCAGCTAATTTTTGTATTTTTGGTAGAGATGGGGTTTCACCATGTTGGCCAGGCTGATCTTGAACTCCTGACCTCAGGTGATCCACCTGCCTCAGCCTCCCAAAGTGCTGGGATTACAGGCGTGAGCCACTGCACCCAGCCTTCATTCAGTTTAAAAATCAAATGATCCTAAGGTTTTGCAGCAGAAAGAGTAAATTTGCAGCACTAGAACCAAGAGGTAAAAGCTGTAACAGGGCAGATTTCAGCAACGTAAGAAAAAAGGAGCTCTTCTCACTGAAACCAAGTGTAAGACCAGGCTGGACTAGAGGACACGGGAGTTTTTGAAGCAGAGGCTGATGACCAGCTGTCGGGAGACTGTGAAGGAATTCCTGCCCTGGGTGGGACCTTGGTCCTGTCCAGTTCTCAGCCTGTATGATTCACTCTGCTGGCTACTCCTAAGGCTCCCCACCCGCTTTTAGTGTGCCCTTTGAGGCAGTGCGCTTCTCTCTTCCATCTCTTTCTCAGGAGGAGACCAAGGCACAGGACATTCTGGGAGCAGTGACCCTTCTGCTGGAGGGAGTGATGGCAGCACGGGGACAACTGGGACCCACTTGCCTCTCATCCCTCCTGGGGCAGCTTTCTGGACAGGTCCGTCTCCTCCTTGGGGCCCTGCAGAGCCTCCTTGGAACCCAGGTAAGTCCCCAGTCAAGGGATCTGTAGAAACTGTTCTTTTCTGACTCAGTCCCCCTAGAAGACCTGAGGGAAGAAGGGCTCTTCCAGGGAGCTCAAGGGCAGAAGAGCTGATCTACTAAGAGTGCTCCCTGCCAGCCACAATGCCTGGGTACTGGCATCCTGTCTTTCCTACTTAGACAAGGGAGGCCTGAGATCTGGCCCTGGTGTTTGGCCTCAGGACCATCCTCTGCCCTCAGCTTCCTCCACAGGGCAGGACCACAGCTCACAAGGATCCCAATGCCATCTTCCTGAGCTTCCAACACCTGCTCCGAGGAAAGGTGCGTTTCCTGATGCTTGTAGGAGGGTCCACCCTCTGCGTCAGGCGGGCCCCACCCACCACAGCTGTCCCCAGCAGAACCTCTCTAGTCCTCACACTGAACGAGCTCCCAAACAGGACTTCTGGATTGTTGGAGACAAACTTCACTGCCTCAGCCAGAACTACTGGCTCTGGGCTTCTGAAGTGGCAGCAGGGATTCAGAGCCAAGATTCCTGGTCTGCTGAACCAAACCTCCAGGTCCCTGGACCAAATCCCCGGATACCTGAACAGGATACACGAACTCTTGAATGGAACTCGTGGACTCTTTCCTGGACCCTCACGCAGGACCCTAGGAGCCCCGGACATTTCCTCAGGAACATCAGACACAGGCTCCCTGCCACCCAACCTCCAGCCTGGATATTCTCCTTCCCCAACCCATCCTCCTACTGGACAGTATACGCTCTTCCCTCTTCCACCCACCTTGCCCACCCCTGTGGTCCAGCTCCACCCCCTGCTTCCTGACCCTTCTGCTCCAACGCCCACCCCTACCAGCCCTCTTCTAAACACATCCTACACCCACTCCCAGAATCTGTCTCAGGAAGGGTAAGGTTCTCAGACACTGCCGACATCAGCATTGTCTCGTGTACAGCTCCCTTCCCTGCAGGGCGCCCCTGGGAGACAACTGGACAAGATTTCCTACTTTCTCCTGAAACCCAAAGCCCTGGTAAAAGGGATACACAGGACTGAAAAGGGAATCATTTTTCACTGTACATTATAAACCTTCAGAAGCTATTTTTTTAAGCTATCAGCAATACTCATCAGAGCAGCTAGCTCTTTGGTCTATTTTCTGCAGAAATTTGCAACTCACTGATTCTCTACATGCTCTTTTTCTGTGATAACTCTGCAAAGGCCTGGGCTGGCCTGGCAGTTGAACAGAGGGAGAGACTAACCTTGAGTCAGAAAACAGAGAAAGGGTAATTTCCTTTGCTTCAAATTCAAGGCCTTCCAACGCCCCCATCCCCTTTACTATCATTCTCAGTGGGACTCTGATCCCATATTCTTAACAGATCTTTACTCTTGAGAAATGAATAAGCTTTCTCTCAGAAATGCTGTCCCTATACACTAGACAAAACTGAGCCTGTATAAGGAATAAATGGGAGCGCCGAAAAGCTCCCTAAAAAGCAAGGGAAAGATGTTCTTCGAGGGTGGCAATAGATCCCCCTCACCCTGCCACCCCAAACAAAAAAGCTAACAGGAAGCCTTGGAGAGCCTCACACCCCAGGTAAGGCTGTGTAGACAGTTCAGTAAAGACAGGACCTGGATGTGACAGCTGAGCAAACAGCTAGAGCTTTGGCAGCTCAGCAGGAGGCTTTGCCAGGCATGGACGCCTGCCTCCCTCCTGTGGAGGTCAGGAGGAAGTGCAGGAAGTGGCATGAGTCAGGCTCCTTGAGCTCACACAGCAGGAGAACAAGTACAAGTCAAGTACAAGTTGAAGGCTCATTTCCCAGTTCCCGCAAATGCATCTAAAAAGCAGCTCTGTGTGACCACCATAAACTCTGCTAGGGGATCTCTAAAAAGGAGTCAGGCTTATGGGGCTTTGCAAATAAGTGCTGCCTTGGTGCTCAGGAAAAGGTTTGTGTTGCACAAAAACACAAATTCCACTGCAAAAATCAACCTGCTACCTCCAGAGGTTCCTGTAGGAAAACTAGTGGAAGCTTCTTCCTCTCCCCGACCCCTGAGGAAGGAAAGGCTACCACGGAGGTAGAGGAGCCAGGAACCCAGAAACCCAAACACTGCCACAAATACCCCAGGGTCACCAAAGGCATTCCAAAGCAGCAGAATGAAAGGCAATGTGCTAGGAACCTCGTGTACTTTACCTTTTGTAACATTCACACAACTCTGTAAGGTAGGTATTATCTTTTCTGTTTTAGAGATGAGGAAACTGAGGCTCAGAGAAGCCAGGTGAGTTATCAGTGGTTACACGCCCTGTGGGCAGGAGAAGAAACACCCTAGTCTGACCTCACTCTAGGGTCCATACTCTCTCCAGTGTGGTACACTGTCCTATATGTCATTTAATGATTCTGTTTACTGGGAAAGACATACAAGTCCTTAAGGAGTAACAGTTAGAGTTTTGAGGCCGGGCGCGGTGGCTCACGCCTGTAATCCCAGCACTTTGGGAGGCCAAGGCAGGCGGATCACAAGGTCAGGAGATCAAGGCCATCCTGGCCAACACGGTGAAACCCTGCCTTTACTAAAAATATGAAAAATTAGCCGAGTGTGGTGGCAAGCGCCTGTAGTCTTGAACCCGGGAGATGGAGGTTGCAGTGAGCCAAGATCGCGCCACTGCACTCCAGCCTGGGCAACAGAGTGAGACTCCATCTCAAAAAAAAAAAAGAGTTCTGAGTAGAAAACCAAAGTTCTTAGTGGAGGTGACCAATTTAGACATCTTCCCATGTCCCTCTCTCCCTTCACGGACAGAATAGTTTTCCTAGAGAAGGAATCAACAAATGCACAAAGCTCAAAAATGTTGTCCAAATCTCAAATGCTGTCAGTTTCTGCATGGAAGAGAAGTAGTTCATTCATACTACAAATTCCAGCATGCAGTCAAGGGAATGTTAAGTGGAAACTAACTTACTGACATATTGAGCTGGGTTAAATTTAATAATCAAATGAAACACTTTATAGCACATGAAAGTGCCAGCACCTAGGACACGATACACCAATAGAACCAGAGAATGATGGGTTCCCAGCACAGACAGATGAGAGACAAGAATGGCAAAACTTTAGGGCCAGGTATGGTGGCTCACACCCAGCACTTTGGGAGGCCGAGGCAGGCGGATCACCTGAGGTCGGGAGTTCGAGACCAGCCTGACCAACATGGAGAAACTCCATCTCTACTAAAAAATACAAAATTAGCTGGGCATGGTGGTGCATCACCTGAGGTTGGGAGTTTGAGACTGGCCTGACCAACATGGAGAAACCTCGTCTCTACTAAAAATACAAAATTAGCTGAGCATGGTGGCACATGCCTGTAATCCCAGCTACTCGGAAGGCTGGGGCAGGAGAATCGCTTGAACCCGGGAGGCAGAAGTTGTGGTGAGCCGAGATCGCGCCATTGCACTCCAGCCTGGACAACAAGAGCGAAACTCCATTTCAAAAAAAAGAAAAAAAGAAATAGAATGTCAAAACTGCAAATGTCACCAGAAACTTCCAGGCATCTGGTATTGGTATGTGACTTACTCCACTTGTGGGCAAATGCGAGTAACTCATGGGCTTCTCCAGTGTGAACTTACCTGCCCTATTACAAATCTAACCCATTCCCAAATCAGTCTGGTTGGTCCCATCCCTTCTTCCCACTAACACAAAAAAACAATTACAACCAGAACACTCCTATCCCTATTCAATGCTCTACCAGTTCTCTTTCTTCTGCTACCCCAAGACCGCCAGGACAGTCTATGATAACCTACACACTATTACTTGTAATTCGTTTGTCTCACTCTCATTTGTCGTTCTCCAACCCCACAAAAAAACCCACCCCATGGAAAGGTTCTAGGATTTCATAAAAATTCATCCCAACTCCCTCCCCCTACTCTACCCATAGTAAGGTAAAAGAAACACCTCTTCCTCCTCCCTGCTGAGGCCATTCATTTTCAACCCATTTCCCTAAATACTATTTCTAACACCTCACATGAAGATCCGAAAATGATGGGGAAGGAAATACCCCAGGTATCCCAGCAGGGGACCAGCTCCCAGGCAAAACCAGATCAAACAGACAACTGTTTAATGCACAGAGAATCTTTTTGGATTGTTACCCTAAACTTCCTAGGGGAAAACAGAACCCCATATGCTTTCCTAGAGACCTCTAATGCCAAGCTGAAGAGCCAGCTCACATGCTGGAGCCCTTATCATAGCCATTTCCTTAATGTTTTTTCTTCCCCTACTCATAAGTTAGTGACTGTAGTCAGGCCGCTACATGGTCCTGGCACTGGCCCTGGCTCTGGCCTGCCAACTTCATTGGTATTGCTGCCCTGTCCACTTCCACTTACCCTCCCTCCCAGGTCACCACTGGAATGTAGAGCAGAGAGCCAGCTCCTCCAGCTGCTTCCAGAACCACCAAGTCCTCTCGTCCTACTCTCTTCATAGTCATCTCCCATGCCTGTAGCTAAAAGCCTCTACCCAAAGCTTCCATAAAAATAATGAACATTTCTAGACTATGCAAGTGACTCATTCAAGTCAGCATGAACTGACTTCCTAAGAGACTGAAAGTGTTGGAAGGACATGAGCAGGGCTCCTTGCCAATTCAAAATTCTGCGCCAAATGGGTGGTATCTTCTGGGCCTGGGGTACCCTCAGGAGCCAAAAGCACAACTCTCTCCCAGACTGAAAACCACACTGGAGGATAAATGTTGAGAACAGTCAGCCAGGAGACTGAGATAACCCTGAACCCAGATACCAAAAGGCTGGAATAGATCCTACATTGACAAGTGATCAGCTGGCTGTGGGCCAGAAACAATACACCACAGACAAACTGGAAAAAACGATTTTACAGTAAATGGACTTTTTACAAAAAGGGGAGGGGCAGTCTGAAAAAGTAAAGTTTAATTTAAAAATCATATACATAAAGCTTCTGATTCATTTTCAGCTCTCCCACTGTGTCTTTCACAGGCGAGTCAGTTTCCCATTGAGTGGAGGCCAGTTAAAGATGCCGCCACGGTGGACAGTGAGCCAGCCCTTCCTCAACAGGTGAGCAAGAGCGGCTGCCACTCAGGCTTGAACAATGCCCATGACCTGAGTGACTTGGCAGAGAGGCTGGCTTCAGGCGAGGTTCAGAAGGCTAGCTTCTTCATCAGGAGATAAACTCTGGAGTCCACCTCGAATCCATGCAGGTTGTTGGCATCCCCCTGCAGCCTCATGAGCAGGCCCCCATAGGACACGTACGCAGAGCTGAAACAGAAGGCCCCATCCCGTGATTCTGGAGCACTGCCACTCAGCAGCTCTCAATCTCAGCCTAAGAAAGAGAAGAGGCATCTTCCTACTGTTGTGTCACTAGGAACCAAAATTCTGACAAAGATCAATGCACAGGTATGTGCAAGGCACTGTTCCATCTCAGCCTAAGAAACAGAAGAGGCATCTTCCTACTGTTTTGTCACTAGGAACCAAAATTCTGACAAACATCAATGCACAGATATGTGCAAGGCACTGTTCTTTATATTATCGAGGGTGGAAAACACCTAGATGCCCCAAATCAGGGGAATGTTCAAATGAATCAAGACATATCCACTTACTGAAATGTTATGCAACTATTGAAACGTTTAAGAAAAGCTTTACACCGGCCGGGCACGGTGGCTCACACCTGTAATCCCAGCACTTTGGGAGGCTGAGGCGGGCGGATCACGAGGTCAGGAGATCAAGACCATCCTGGCTAACATGGTGAAACCCTGTCTCTACTAAAAATACAAAAAAAAAATTAGCCAGGCATGGTGGTGGGTGCCTGTAGTCCCAGCTACTCAGGAGGCTGAGGCAGGAGAATGGCGTGAACCCGGGAGGCGGAGCTTGCAGTGAGCCGAGATCGCGCCACTGCACTCCAGGCTGGGCAACACAGCAAGACTCCATCTCAAAAAAAAAAAAGAAAAGAAAAGAAAAGAAAAGCTTTACACTAACATGGGGAAACATGTTTTACATAATGTTAAGCAAAAAGAGCAGAAGAAAACATAATAAACACCACAGTCTCCAAGAAAAAAACAGAACACCAGGATATGCAAAAAAGTCTATGTAAAAGGTTCTCTCTGGATATGGAATTACAGGTGACTTTTTTTTCCTTCTTCACATTACTCTTCTGCATTTCAAATTACTTACAAAAAGCACATATTGTTTTAATAAGACTTTAAAGAAAAGAAAAAATAGCTGGACAGGAAAACCAAGGAACTAGGGATTGGGTTACAGAGTAGCCACACACACACACACACACACACACAGCCTTTTACAGAGTAGCAAAACACACACACACACACACACACACACACACACAAAGCCTAACAGTCTAATCACTTAATGCTGCATTTATTCCTGGGGAAGCAAGTCTCCTTTGCACTTTACACAGTGAGATAATCAGTTTCTCATGTGGACCACTGGGCCAGGAGGGCCTGACAAAGGGCAGTCTACATTTCAGACTGGAAACTGCTCCCAGAACTATTTCTTTCTAGTTCCCACCTCGGTCTGAGGTGCCTGAGGAGAGGGACTCAACAGAGGAAGCAGGAGCATAGCTCAAAGTCTCAGAACATGGAAGAGGAAAAGAATCCTCACAAGATTACGTAACTTACAGGCGTGTTGCTGCTTCAGTAGAAGTTTCATCTCCCTCAATCCTGTACACTTTTCCATACATTACATACTCAAACTGGTCAGCCCTATGGAGCAATAGCAGCAAAGTTATTCTTAACAGTAATTAACAATATAAAAGATCCCATTTAAAAATGGTTACTGGTCAGCCGGGCGTGGTGGCTCAAGCCTGTAACCCCAGCACTTTGGGAGGCCAAGGCGGGCAGATCACGAGGTCAGGAGATCGAGACCATCCTGGCTAACACAGTGAAACCCCATCTCTACTAAAAATACAAAAAAATTAGCCGGGCGTGGTAGTGGGCTCCTGTAGTCCCAGCTACTCAGGAGGCTGAGGTAGGAGAATGGCGTGAACCCGGGAGGCGGAGCTTGCAGTGAACTGAGATCGCGCCACTGCACTCCAGCCTGGGCCACAGAGCAAGACTCCGTCTCAAAAAAAAAAAAAAAAATGGTTACTGGTAACTAAATGCCAGCATTATAACAACAGGCACATTACAAACATGATGTCATTTAGTCCTCATGGCAACCCCATGAGCTAGGCATGACCATCTCTATTTTATTGATGAGGAAACAGGCTGAAGGAGATTAAGGTTACTCAACAAATAAGTGGTAGAGCTGAGAAATGAACTCAAGTGGGGTGCCAAAGTCTTTCCATCACACCAAGCTCCCTCCCAAGACACAAGACCCACATGGCCTAGGTCACTCAGCAGTTACCTCCTCAGCCTTCAAAAGGCTGCAACTCACAAGCATGTAATCACTGTTATAGATAAATACCTGGTTGTTTGAATTTTTTTCTTTTTTTTTTTTTTTTTGAGACGGAGTCTCGCTCTGTCGCCCAGGCTGGAGTGCAGTGGCGGGATCTCGGCTCACTGCAAGCTCCGCCTCCCGGGTTCACGCCATTCTCCTGCCTCAGCCTCCCAAGTAGCTGGGACTACAGGCGCCCGCCACTACGCCCGGCTAATTTTTTTTTGTATTTTTAGTAGAGACGGGGTTTCACCGTTTTAGCCAGGATGGTCTCGATCTCCTGACCTCGTGATCCGCCCGCCTCGGCCTCCCAAAGTGCTGGGATTACAGGCGTGAGCCACCGCGCCCGGCCCGAATTTTTTTCTTTTTTTTTGAGACACGGTCTTGCTCTGTCACCCAGGCTGGAGTGCAGTGGTGCAATCATGGCTCACTGCAGCCTCAACCTCCCTGGCTCAGGCAATCCTCCCACCTCAGCCTCCCAGGCAGCTGGGACTACAGGCACATGACACCATGCCCAGCCTTTTTTTTTTTTCTCTCTTCTTTTTTGTAGCAGTGAGGTTTCGCTATGTTGCTCAGGCTGGTCTTGAACTCCTGGACTCAAGCAATCCTCCTGCCTCGGCCTCCCAAAGTGCTTGGGTTACAGGTGTGAGCCACGGTGCCTGGCCTGTTTGAATTCTTAAGTGCAGAAATTTCCTTAAGGTTACTCAGATTCTGCTGATCATCATTTATTCCAGGAATTTTAGAAGAGTCTTTCTATATCACTTATCTACTTAGTCCTCAAGGCATATTTCAAGTATTACCTTCTCCACTCCCTCACCTGGAAGGCCTATCATCAGTGGGGTTGTATTCACCATCATCCAGGGTACCATCTTCATACAAGGTACTAGCTATGACCAACCGAAACTTGTCACCTGAAAATAACAGCAATATCAGAGAGTAAAGAATAGCAGAAGCAGCAAAAAGTCTCTTATTATTGTCTGTATTCAATACTTACCCAAGTCTACAGGGTAAATTTGAATGTTTACATCTAAGATTAGATCCATCTTGAAAGATTCACTCTCACAATGCAGTCGAGACACTGGGGAGAAGCAGGAAAAGAGTGACAGAGGTATTGCCAAGGCAGATCCTACAGTGTGGGATTGTATGCAACAGGATACTCAATCTAACCCAGTCTACATCCAGTGGTCTCTCATCTGCTCTCATAGAAATTCAGGCTCAATCAGAACCAGATATGCAAGAAGGAAAAGGGGAGAAAAACTGTGGCAAGCGAACGTAATCCCCAGAAAACAACCAAAGATACTCCAGCAGCAAAGCCTGCCTGGATGACTGAGAACCTGACTCTGGGCAAGTTATTCAATCATCCAAAGGTTTTCTCTTTCTATGCTAGGCACTGTGCTGAGGGGAGTGACCAAGATGTATAAGAACTGGTATCCGTCTTGAAAAACATCTTAGTCTCCAGGCAAAGAAAGAGACATCAAAGAGAAAATTATTGATAGATGACAAAATAAAGAGGTGTAGGCCGGTGCAGTGGCTCATGCCTGTAATCCCGACATTTTGGGAGGCCGAGGCAGGTGGATCATTTGAGATCAGGAGTTTGAGACCAGCCTGGCCAACACGGTGAAACCCTGTCTCTACTAAAAATACAAAATTAGCCAGGCGTGGTGGCGCATGCCTGTAATCCCAGCTACTTGGGAGGTTGAGGCAGAGAATCGCTTGAACCCGGGAGACGGAGGTTGTGGTGAGCTAAAATCGTGCCACTACACTCCAGCCTGGGCAACAGAGAAAGGCTGCGTCTCAAAAAAAAAAAGGTATATACCAAGCAGCTAACTCTAACTCAAAGAAGACTTCACAAAGCGCTAAAGATTCTGAGGGCAATACAAGAATATAGGCTCTGAAGTCAGATTACTCGCTGTGAAGCCTTGGGTGGTTTACTCAACCTCTCAGAGAAAAATGGGAAAGGCACCACCCACCTCATGAGGACTGTCATTTTTTTGAGACGGAGTCTCGCTCTGCCGCCCAGGCTGGCGTGCAGTGGCGCGATCTTGGCTCACTGCAACCTCCGCCTCCCAGGTTCAGGCAATTCTCCTGCCTTAGCCTCCCAAGTAGCTGGGATTACAGGCGCCCGCCACCACGCCAGGCTAATTTTTGTATTTTTGGTAGAGACGGGGTTTCACCATGTTGGCCAGGCTGGTCTCACAAGACAGTGTCTAGCACAGAGCAGGTAGCGATTATAAATATGCCTAGGAGTTTGCCAGCACCATGACAAAAGGCCACCCAGGCACCGGGCACGGCATGCGTGAAGCCAGAGAGAGCTCGGGAGTCTCCGTTTTCTCATCCATAAAATGTTTACTGAGGGAGGTCCCTACACCAGGACCTGCTGGTAGGGGCAGGCCACAAGAGCTGGGTGGACACGGGGCCCAGGGGCATGTCCGCGAGGTTAGCCTCTTCCTCCAAACCGCCCCTACATACCTTACTTACCTCGGTCAAACTTCTTGCCCTCCGGGTCAATATCCTTCACATCGAAAATATCCTCAAACAGGATGCCCGCCATCGCGAGGGGGCCACGAGAGCAGCAGAAGGGGTGAGAGCGCGACCACAGTTGGGAGTACGTGCACCCCCTAGCGTGGACAAGACCGGAGAGAACCAAAAGCACCTCCTGAAAGCGCGGCGGCCAGACGAGAGTGGCGCATGCGCACAAACAAGCGGTAACGCGACCACTTCCGCCACAGCCTCCCGCTCGGGGCTACTTAACTTCCGTCCCGAAAGATTGCTTCCGAGAGGCTTCGGCATTGAGGGCGGGTCTCATGTCCAGGTGGCTCTGCCCAGGGCGGGGAAGCAATAGGCTGTAGAGCGGGTTCTCGCGCTCCGCTGGGGCCCTACTGCGCCCTCTTCAGAGGCCGGGTTCCGAAGACTGGAATGCGTGGGGGCCTAACCCAGGCAGGGACCTTGATCCTTGGCCCAGAGAAGCCGGGCCCTAGCCCTACCCCGCCGGTCCGCGTGCCCGCCGAGGGCACAGTCCGCGCCGAGGGCAGGTGGAGCAGAACCCCGCCCCAGAGGTGCCCAGCCCCTCCAGCCGGCACCGAGGACCCCGGGGCCGGCCTGGGCCGGCTCGGCCCTGCTGGACGTAACCCGAGCCGGATCCGTCCAGTTTGGGAATTTGCCATGACGTCGCTATGGAGAAGAGGAAAGCCTGCATTGTCCCCTCCTCTCGTACTGCACCCTCCCACCACTGCCCTCCCTCTTCCCCCCAGGCCCTGCTCTCTTCCCCTACACCGCCCCTTCAGCCGGGCTCCCGCCACCCCCCTCCCCCGGGCATTACCCCTCCAGCTTAGTGCTGCGCGTTCCCCCTCCACTGCCTTCTCCTGGACACGGATCCCCTCCGTGCCCCTTCAGCCTGGCACTGCCCTGTCCCTTGGATACCAGCTCTTCCCTCACACTGGCCCTTCCTCCTGAGTGCTGGCTTCTATCACAAGGCCCCCCCTTCCCGGGCACTGCTCCCGCCCCCTGAGCCCCGCCTCTGCCTCCCAAATGCCCCTTACTCCTGGTGCTGGCTCTCCCGCACACTTGTGCGTTTCCTGGGCGCTGCCCTCGCTCCTCTCACACTATCTCTACGCTGCCCATCCACCCTGCGCGCGCTCCGCCCTCTGTTCTATCCTTCCCCAGCCCCTGATAGAGAACCCAGAACACCAGCAGGCAGTTCCCCCAAAGCGGAGGGATGGAAGCAGCGACTTGGGTTCCTCCTTGGGCCCAGCCAGGGAGAAGCGACCCACGCCCGCGTCCCAGGAGTAGACTTCCCGGCACCTGGAGCTCCCTTCCCTCCGGCCTACCCCTTCCGGTGCCCTCCCCAACCTCCACCCCCGCACACCCCGCAGGCCCGGTTGCTCCAAGTGCACCTACCCACGGGAGCCCCGAGAAAAGGAAGGATGAGGAAGACGGCCCCAACCCTCTCCGAATCCTTCCAGCTTTGCTTTTCACCCCTGACGGGGCAGAGGGGCCTTCCCAGGCCTGTCTGGGCCGCTCGTCTCTTCGGAGGGGCAGAGGGGAGGCGGCTCCTAACGGGCTGACCCGGAGGAGTCCGATGTAGACAGCTCCGCAGCCCCCAGCCCCAACCCCTACGGAGCTCAGGCGTCTGCAGCCCCTCCTGCCTGGGCACGGGGAACCGCGAACCCGGGCCGGCCCCTCCACGTGCCAGTAGACCCGCCCCTCCCGGGCGCCCCTCTCCGACCCGGGCATCCGCAGGGAGCCGGCGCGGGCTTGCGCCTTCCCAGCGCCCCTTGCCGCCTCTCGGGAGGCCCCGCGCGGACCCCAGCCTGGCTGGGCCGTCCCCTCCGGATGGGCCGGCGGGCGGAGCAGCGCAGAGGGCACCGCCCTCGGCCCGCCCGCCGGGGAGGGGACGCGAGCGGGAGGCTGCGCCAGCGGCGCCCGCCGGGGGCCCGCCGCACTCTGCTCTCGGCCTCCCGGGCTGCGGGGACGGGACGGCTGCCGGCGCGGACTTTGCGGGCCGGGAGCCGAGTCCAGGACAGAGCCGGAACCGCCGAGGGAGGCGAGAGGGCAGTGCGCGGAGATGGCGGCCGCGGCGGCGGAGGAAGGGATGGAGCCACGGGCGCTGCAGTACGAGCAGACCCTGGTAAGTGAAGCTGAGCTGAGCCCCAGGAGTGCGCTCCGGGACCCCTGCTCCAGGTTACCCTGGGAAGCGCGAGGACCAGGGGCCTACCCTAATCCTGTCCTAGCATTTTGAGCTGGGGAAACTGAGGCTTGGAAGTCTGAGGCTGCAGGGCCGAAGGGATGGAAAACTGCATGCTGGTTTCTGGCTGAGGCTGAGGGCCTGCAGAGGACAAGGACACCAGGTACTTGTCTCAGGTGTCCTTCCCCTCACCCCACAACATGCACGTTTTCTTTGCACCTCCCCTTCACCACCTGGGCCCAAGTCTCAGCACCCCACTGCCCCTTCCGCGGCACCATTCACACCATTGAACTTTCTCTACGCCACTATCTCCACCACCCAAGACATTCTCTGTGTCCCTGCCATGTGCATGGCACCATGCTAAGCATAGAATCGAGTGTGTAGAAAGATGGTCAGCCCCAGACCCTACCTCTGGAGGCTCCACACCCAGCGTTGGCTCCAGGAGCCCCTCAGTTGACTCTGGAAAAAGGTGGCTTGCCACTCTGGGGGACAGGAGCTTTAGGGAGGGTGGGTGAAGCAGGAATGGGTGTGGGAATTGGGACCTTTGTCTATGCTGATGCGGGGTATCCAGCCCCCACCCACCCCAGGGTGTGTCCCCTGACCTCATTAGAAGCAGGGGTCCTGGGCTCTGAGCTGACTTATCGCCCCCATTGTTACTTGGTGTTTGAGAAGCCACGTGACCCTCCTCATGTCACTGGGGTGGAAGACCCAAGCCCTAGGGAAAGGAAGGGGCCCGTGGTTCCTTTTTACCAGCTTGGGCTGGAATTTGCCCAGGAAGGTGGCAGGGAGGGAACGTCTTGGAGAGGAGAGGCTATAAGTCTGGGAGGTGCCCAGTTAGGAGAAAGTAGCTGGATGAATCAGGATGTCAGGGAGAGGTGGGAGTAGAGCAAGGGTAGAGGGGCCAACCCTTGGGATGGGGTAGGAGACACTTGCCAATCTGCCCAGACCAGGATAGGAGCATGGTCAAGGAAGCCAGGCACCTGGCCTCTGAAATGGTGCCTCTTAACACCAGCCACCTCTCCATCTCCGTCCCTTCCAGCTGTCTCTGGAATGAGCTCTCAGGGTCGAGCTCTGTCCCGGGCACTCTGTGCTCCAGCCTGCTCCCGCCCCCCTTCACCATCCTATCCCTTTGTCTTTCTCTCCCACTCTCACCTCCCTCCTCCTACACCGTGCTTGCCTCTTAATACTCTCCATTCTCTTCCTCCTCCGTACTTCTTCCTCTCTCATCCCCTTCTTTCTCTTCTCCATCCCTTCGCCTTCCCTCTCTTTTCTCTTCTACTTTCTCCTCTCTAGTTCCCTCTCTTCTCTTTGCTTTCCCTTTCCTATCTCTCACCCTCTCTCTGTCTCTATCTTTCCCTCCCTCCCTCCCCCCCATCCCAGCCCCAACAGGAGCCCTTTGTGTCCCGAAGCTCTGCGGGTGGCAGCCAGAATCTACTCCTCCCCGCCCCCCAACACACGCCCAGCTTGGCAGGTCTAGCCATGGTTCAGGCGACTCTCCCGTCCCATCACCCCAGCATCCACAGTCACAGCCCAGCCATCCTCAGCCTCCGCTGTCCCCCAACCCACCGCTGGGCTCAGTGCAGCTCCAGAATGGGGCTGAGGCCACCAAGCCCTCTCCACCCACCCTAAGTGAGAGGCTTTCCACTCCCAGCTGGGCTGGCAGGCTGGTGGGGGTGGCAGTGGAGAATGGGGACAAGGGGATTAGGGTGGGTGGGAGAGGTGCAGCTGAGTTGGTCACAGGCCGGAGGCCCAGCAGGAACGTGATAAGGATTGGGGCTGCGCCTGCTCCTGGGCCCAACTCAGCTGCCCCGAGCTCCACGAGGCTCTTATTGTTGCCCATGTGCCCCTGATCATCCCTTACTCCCTGGCCTTCCCGCCTCCCACTTTTAGACTGTGCCACAGGTTTTTCCACCTTTTCCTCTTCTGGGGCTTCCCTCTCACTCCTCTTCAGTGCCCCAGCCCCAGGCCTGTGAGAAGAGGACCGATTATTCTGCCACCCCCAGAGCTGTGTCCCTGTACCTTGGCTGTCCCCATCACTCTGGCCAGGACAGCCTCCACAGTCTGCAATGTGCATTGTTCCCACACCTCGGGCCAGAGTGGGAACTGTGCGTTCAAGAGGGATATCCAGTGTGGGGGCTGGGAGAAGAGGAGTGGAGGCTCTAAGAACTCTCCCTGCGTTCCCACTCAGCCCATGACCTCGAATGCCCCCATCCCCTCTGTTGCTCCAGATGTATGGCCGGTACACTCAGGACCTTGGGGCCTTTGCCAAAGAGGAAGCTGCTCGGATTCGCCTGGGAGGGCCTGAACCCTGGAAAGGTCCCCCTTCCTCTCGGGCTGCCCCAGAGCTCTTGGAATATGGACGGAGCCGTTGCGCCCGATGCCGCGGTGAGAACTGGGGTGGGGGCAGGGGACCTGGCTGTGCTGTGCTGAGGGAAGCAGAGGCCATTAGAGCTGCTGATGGGGGAGAGGGGACAGTTGAGGGGGCAGTAAAAGGGGTAGGAGCACTTTGGTGCCATCCTCCCCCTTCTTCCCTTCCCTGCACCCAGTCTGTTCTGTCCGCTGCCACAAGTTCCTAGTATCCAGGGTTGGTGAAGATTGGATCTTCCTGGTCCTGCTGGGGCTTCTCATGGCATTGGTCAGCTGGGTCATGGACTATGCCATTGCTGCCTGTCTGCAAGGTGAGGGTGACAGCTGGCAGGGGGAGGACTGGGAATAAACCTCCTGCGTCCATGCCACACTCGTCTAGACATGGAGGAAGGCGTCTTGGCTTCTTGGCCACTGACCACTTTCCCCAGCCAGTCTGACTGCCCAGATTCAGGCATCATCTCGGCCACTCCCACAGGGCACAGCTTCTTGCATCCCCTCTCCAAGTGATCCTCTTGCCTAGATTGCGCTTTGTCCCAGTGAATACCCTCAGGGACCCTTTCCTTCACCCATGCCCTGACTCTGTGTGGTACTCCCTGGGACAGCCTGTCGTATCAGCGTGGTCCACTGGCCAGGCAGGCAGTGGGTGTGTGCACTGGGGGTCCAGCAGGTCCTCTTCCCACAGCCCAGCAGTGGATGTCCCGGGGCTTGAACACCAGCATCTTGCTCCAGTACCTGGCCTGGGTCACCTACCCTGTTGTCCTCATCACTTTCTCAGCCGGATTCACACAGATCCTGGCCCCTCAGGCTGTCGGTATGTTAGAAGAGAAGGGGAGGGCAGAGGCGGGACCCCTGAAATGGGTGCATCGAATGCCTCTCCTGAGACTGTTCCCTCTCCAGGCTCTGGCATCCCTGAGATGAAGACCATCTTGCGGGGAGTGGTGCTGAAAGAATACCTCACACTCAAGACCTTTATAGCTAAGGTCATTGGGCTGACCTGCGCCCTAGGCAGCGGGATGCCGCTTGGCAAAGAGGTAACTGCAGGCTGGGGAATGAAGGAGTCCCTCCTGGTGGAAGAGGAGGCCAGGCCAAGGTCAGGGCGGGCCCCCTCCCGACTCACCGCCTGCCCCACCCCGCAGGGCCCTTTTGTGCATATCGCAAGCATGTGTGCTGCCCTTCTCAGCAAGTTCCTCTCCCTCTTTGGGGGTATCTATGAGGTAAGGGGAACCCTGGGGCAAGTAGGGGGCAGAGGCTGCTGAGCCCACAGCTGACCCCCTCTTGCCACCACTCTCGCCAGAATGAATCCCGGAACACAGAGATGCTGGCTGCCGCCTGTGCCGTGGGGGTGGGCTGCTGCTTCGCGGCACCTATTGGAGGTAGGCAGGGCTCCTAGGTCAGTCCAGCCCCACAACCCTGCCCTTGGCCTCTCCTCCTTGGCCCCTCTTATCTGGGTCTGAGGCCTTAGGCCAGGCCCAGGCCTCAAGTGCTGGTCTCCCTCCCCCTCACAGGCGTCCTCTTCAGCATCGAGGTCACCTCCACCTTCTTTGCAGTGCGGAACTACTGGCGGGGCTTCTTCGCTGCCACCTTCAGTGCCTTCATCTTCCGGGTCTTGGCAGTCTGGAACCGGGATGAAGGTGGGGGCACCCAGGGGATGAGGGCAGCCCGAGATGGTGCCAGGTAGGGGGCCCACGAGGCTAGGCCTGCCTCCCTCTGCTGTTCTTCCCTTTAGAGACTATTACAGCCCTCTTCAAAACCCGATTCCGGCTCGACTTCCCCTTTGACCTGCAGGAGCTGCCAGCCTTTGCTGTCATTGGGTGAGGAGCTGAGGGGGCTGGGGGTATCAGAGAGGAGGGGGGTTTCTAGAAGGCTCCTTTTCACTCAGGTGCCTCTTCCCTTTCCAGTATTGCTAGTGGCTTCGGTGGAGCCCTCTTTGTCTACCTGAACCGGAAGATTGTCCAGGTGATGCGGAAGCAGAAAACCATCAATCGCTTCCTCATGAGGAAGTGAGTGGCTCTCGGCTCCTCTCCAGGCTGCTTTGAGTTGTATAAGGGCCACAGTAGGTCAGGGGACAGTGATGGGGAGAGAATGGCCCAGTCAAAACAGGCACTTCACTGAGAAATCAGCCAGCAGTGTTTTCCAGGCTGACTGAGCATTTTTATATTCATATGAATTACCTGAAAATTGGCATTTTTAAGTTTATAGTCAGCGGTAGAGGACATTTGGGAATCAAAGACTAAGGCCTCCTCAGGTCCTCTGGGCTGGCCCATATAGGAATGCTCCCTGGAGAGTGTTTGAGCCTCAGGTTCCCCCCATGACCCATGGGGATAGATGAGATCTCTTTTTTTTTTTTTTTTTTGAGACGGAGTTTCACTCTTGTTGTCCAGGCTGGAGTGCAATGGTGCGATCTCGGCTCACCGCAACCTCCGCCTCCTGGGTTCAAGCGATTCTCCTGCCTCAGCCTCCCAAGTAGCTGGGATTACAGGCATGCACCACCACGCCCGGCTAATTTTGTATTTTTTAGTAGAGACAGTTTCGCCACGTTGGTCAGGCTGGTCTCGAACTCCCGACCTCAGGTCTGCCCACCTTGGCCTCCCAAAGTGCTGGGATTACAGGCGTGAGCCACTGTGCCCGGCCGAGATTTTTTTTTTTTTAATCTCCAGAACACAGCTCTCTCAGTGTGACCCTGAGGATTGGGAGTGGGGAGGGCGAGACATGACTTCCCTTGGGACTGACATCCTTCAGAGAGAGGGCAGCCAGCTGAACCTGCTCCCTACGCACCTCTGGTCAACTTTACAAGTGACCCCAGCTTCCCCCAACATTGACCTTCACTCTAAGTCACTGCAGAGAGACAAAGAGAGGCAGAAACTTCTCCACCCCATCACACAATATGCCCTGATGGGCTTCTGAGGGTGGAGGGTGGAATAACAACTCGGAGGGCCCCAAGGGAGGGCTTGGAGGATGGACTTTCTGCTGCTGCTACCCACCTACAGAGTCAGGGGCTGACAGAAAGGTCTTTGGGTCAGACCCCTGCTCTTAGAATAACCCCAGTCCACCATCAGCCTTGGGGCTATCGTATCATAAACAGCAAAGGAGACCTTCTGTCAGGACTGAGTGTTTTCATGAAAGAGCCAAGGCTCTGCTCTGACCTCAGCCCTGAGATATGCGAGGCCACCCAGCCCTTGGCCACCCACGACTGATGTGAAACCTACGACTCTAGACGCCTGCTCTTCCCGGCTCTGGTGACCCTGCTCATCTCCACGCTGACCTTCCCCCCTGGCTTTGGACAGTTCATGGCTGGACAGGTAACCACAGGCAGAACAGGAGTTTTGTGCTTTCCCTTGGAAGGCATTCCTCCAAAGCCAACAGCCCCAGTGTGACTGTGGGACCCCTTGTTCCCCGTGGGATCCCATGGCCTCTTCCCTTCATCCTGTCGGTTTCCCAGCCTGAGGCACCCTGTTCACTCTAGCTCTCACAGAAAGAGACGCTGGTCACCCTGTTTGACAATCGGACGTGGGTCCGCCAGGGCCTGGTGGAGGAGCTAGAACCACCCAGCACCTCACAGGCCTGGAACCCACCACGTGCCAACGTCTTCCTCACCCTGGTCATCTTCATTCTCATGAAGGTGGGCTCCTCACGTGTACACTGCTAACCTTTACATAGCTTGCCCTTCTAAGCACCTGCCACGCAGTGCTCACTCCTCGAAGCCTCTCCACAGTGCCATGGGAAAGGCACTATTATCACCCCCGTTTGAAAGATGGGGGAGTCGAAACACAAGTAGCTGGCCCAAAGTCACACAGCTAGAGGGCAGAGCGATGATCTGAACCCAAGCCATCTGCTTCCAGAGTCCTTCCCCTTGCCATCACCTGGGAGGCCTGGGGGTCCCAGGGTAGCTAGGAGGGTTACGGGGTGGCTGGGAGGGTTACGCCCACCTGATCAGCGAGGTAGACTTCTCCTGGGTGGCGCTGTGGGCTGCCTGGGGCCAGGTGGAGCCTCTTCGCCTTTGAACCACCCCCTGCCTGCAGTTCTGGATGTCTGCACTGGCCACCACCATCCCAGTTCCCTGTGGGGCCTTCATGCCTGTCTTTGTCATTGGTGAGTTCTCAGCTGCCTGCTCACCCAGCCTGCACCTTCCTCAGCCTCTGGCCACCCCCCCAGCCAACCCTCTGCCCAAGAGCGGGTTTTTGGTCCAGCCCTAGCCCGAACCCTGACCCCACAGGGCTGTGCCCTACACTGAATGACCCGTTGGCCCCTCCCTCACCCTCTGACCCTCTCTCTTCCTAGTGCCCCCTGCCCTCCCCCTCCACTGCCTCTTTCTCTTCCCACCCCCCTCCCTGAAGGAGCAGCATTTGGGCGTCTGGTGGGTGAAAGCATGGCTGCCTGGTTCCCAGATGGAATTCATACGGACAGCAGCACCTACCGGATTGTGCCTGGGGGCTACGCTGTGGTCGGTGAGTGCCTCAGGTCCCATCGGCCTTGGGAGACCCCCCCACCCACGCCCCAGCCACAGGGTCCGAGACTCTGGTGCCCCCTGCTGGCAGAAACCAGGCTTCCCTCAGATGCACAGGTCCAATCCCAGGACTGTATTGGGCAGCCCTGAGGGACCCACTCAGGACCTGCCCTGGTTGTGGAGGGTCTTCTGGGACCTGGGCACCCTGAGGAGACTGAGTGTGACTGTCCCCAGGGGCAGCTGCGCTGGCAGGAGCGGTGACACACACAGTGTCCACGGCTGTGATCGTGTTCGAGCTCACAGGCCAGATTGCCCACATCCTGCCTGTCATGATCGCCGTCATCCTGGCCAACGCTGTCGCCCAGAGTCTGCAGCCCTCCCTCTATGACAGCATCATCCGAATCAAGAAACTGCCCTACCTGCCTGAGCTCGGCTGGGGCCGCCACCAGTACGGAGGGCTGGGTGCCAAGGGGGCTGTGGGTGAAGGGCAGAGGGCATCCTAGATCCCCCTACAGCCACCTCTAGCAAGGTCCTGGAGCCTACGAAGCTGGGAGATGAGCCACCTTCGTCCACACTCTGGAGGGGCTGTAGCTGGCCCCTGCTGTTCAGAAAGAAGGGTGGGAGCACCCCTTGGTCCTTAGCTCCCGTCCCCATGGATGGGCTCTGGAGCCCTCCTTGTGGCCCTGGGATGGCAATGCTCTGGGCACCTCTCCCCATGCTGACCACAAACCAAGCGCCTCTCTCGGCCCCCAGGCAGTACCGGGTGCGTGTGGAGGACATCATGGTGCGGGATGTTCCCCATGTGGCCCTCAGCTGCACCTTCCGGGACCTGCGTTTGGCACTGCACAGGACCAAGGGCCGAATGCTGGCCCTAGTGGAGTCCCCTGGTGAGGCCAGGAGGGGTCCCAGGTGCTAGGGGCATTGCCCAGGGTCGAAGCTTCGGGAAGGGGCAGGGAGCTCAGGACCAGTCTCCTTGGTTCCAAAGGGAATGGACCAGCACTTGCCAGGTGGGGGCTTCCCTCTGGTGTGTGGCCTGCATGCAAGGCCCCCCACTCTGAGTGTGAGAGAAGGACGGGGCTGGAGGGCTCCCTCTCAGCTCCTGAGTCCTTCCACCTGTTCTGTCCAGAGTCCATGATTCTGCTGGGCTCCATCGAGCGTTCACAGGTGGTGGCATTGTTGGGGGCCCAGCTGAGCCCAGCCCGCCGGCGGCAGCACATGCAGGAGCGCAGAGCCACCCAGACCTCTCCACTATCTGATCAGGAGGGTCCCCCTACCCCTGAGGCTTCTGTCTGCTTCCAGGTGAGGGGAAAAGCCACAAACGCTTCCTAAATGTCATTGTGTAGACTGATTGGGAGGGTGGTCTGGGGCCGTGGCCTCACCAGCCCCTTCCTGCCTATGCAGGTGAACACAGAAGACTCAGCCTTCCCAGCAGCCCGGGGGGAGACCCACAAGCCCCTAAAGCCTGCACTCAAGAGGGGGCCCAGTGTCACCAGGAACCTCGGAGAGAGTCCCACAGGTAAGCCCATGTCTCCTGTGTCCACAGAGCCTCAGCCAAGCTACTGAGATCCATTAGAGTCCCTGCCCAGCCCTGTTGCTGGGGTACATCCCAGCTGGAAGAGGCTGCCCACATGGGCCAGGGCTGGAACTGGGATACCTCTCCCTGTGTCTTCCTTACCTTTCCTGGTCCTCTCCCCAAAAGATGACATTGCCCCCTGGGGCCTTATGTTTGGGAACACAGGGAGCGCAGAGTCGGCAGGCATCGCCCTCCGGAGCCTCTTCTGTGGCAGTCCACCCCCTGAGGCTGCTTCGGAGGTGAGTGGCTGGAGCCTGTCCTCCTAGCTTGCTTTTTCCCCAGCTCCCTCTCCAATGCTGAGACCACGTCATTAACCCTGCAGTGCCTGCCTCTATTCTCCCTGCCCTTCGGCCCTCCCTGCTGTCAGCTCAGGTCCTGTGGCGTGCCCTTTCCCCTGGGCTCCACCACTTCCCCTCACCTCCCCTCTCCCTATAACCTCAACTCCTCATCTTTCTGGTTTGGCTCTAACAAAACTGAAGAAGTTGGAATCCTGTGAGAAGCGCAAGCTGAAGCGTGTCCGAATCTCCCTGGCAGTAAGTATGCCTGCTCTTCTAGCATCTCGGCGGCACCGGGCAGGGAGGGCAGGGTCTAGGCTGGATAAACTCCAGAGCCCCTAGCTGCCAGCCTCCCTCCCTCTCTACTAGAGTGACGCGGACCTGGAAGGCGAGATGAGCCCTGAAGAGGTAAGGTGCCACTGGACTCTGGACCCTGTTTCTTCCTGGTTGTGTTCAATCATCATGTTGGCTGCTGTCCCCATGGGAGGGACCACGGGGTTGGAAAAAGGGCAGGCCAGCTTTCAGGGAGGTGAGGTCAGCTACAGGCACCTTCTCCCTAAACCTCATAGTCTCTTCCCCTCAGATTCTGGAGTGGGAGGAGCAGCAACTAGATGAACCTGTCAACTTCAGTGACTGCAAAATTGATCCTGCTCCCTTCCAGCTGGTGGAGCGGACCTCTTTGCACAAGGTAGGGCCAGCAGCCTGGCCCAGGGCTGGTCTAGGCTCTCAGGACACAGTGGGGATCTTGGTCCCCCTACAAGTTTGGACTCAGGCCAGTGGGGAAGGAGGGAGGAGAAGGGAGTTGGCTCAGTGCGGAGATGTTTTTTAGACATACTGCTTGGATGATGGGAGGTGGGAGCAGCCTCCTCCTGCTCTGTGGTGGAGCCAGGCATCGTTTTTCCTCTGCTCAGCCTTGCCCTCGAGGGAACTCTGGACCAACGAAGCAACAAAGACAGGGATTGAGCTGGGTGGAAGCCAGAAGGCCAGGCCAGGGTCAGAGCTAGGCGGGAGGCCACCACAGCCCAGCAAGGTTGATACGCCCATGCGGAAAAAAACGGGTGAGAAACAGGCAGGATAAGAAAATGCAATAAACAAGCCAACAAACATCCAAGTAGGGGTGGGGAGACTGCAGAGTAGAGATAAACAAAGATGAGAAACACCCAGTGGGGGGCTTGGAATGCCAGACCCCAGAAAGTCTGCCTTAATGTGGGCCGAAGGAAAACTGGTACGGACGCGGGAAGATGGCTCAGCAGAACTGCAAAGCAGCCTGCAGAAATGCGGCGAGGAACTGAGCAGACTGCCTGGGGTGGGCGAGGCAGACCCCAGAGGAGGCCAGGAGCTCTCTGCGTCCAGGACTCCTAAGGGGGGCAGCCTGCATTGGTAAAATGGCTCCTGGGACCAGCAGAAGCCAAGGGGTGTTTTAGCTAAACTTTTGACAGGCATAATGTACAAGCCTTGAAGCGTTGGGGGGTTTGGGGGAGGGGATAAGCAGCAGGTAGATGTACCCAAAACCTGCAGCTTGGGCATTCAGCTTACACACAAGCTCTGCCTAAGAGCCAGTATAGCATGGACAAGCGGAGACTGAGGCAGGAAGCATAGGGGACAAAAGAGAAACAAAAAGGCAAAAATAAAGGAACTTAGAAGTCCTTGGATGAGTGGCAAACTGCAGTGCAGTTGCAAGAAAAAAGGTAATAGGCCTGAGAGGGCTTTTATCTAAAGCCCTTCTTCCCAAAACCTCTGAGGCCTTTCCACAATGATCTTACTCCTCAAACATCCATGATGATGATCATGCTGACATTTTTCGAGTGCTTGCTATGTGCGAGACACTGTGCTAAGCTCTTCAACTGTTTAATCATCACAAGCACGCACTTAGATATTGCGATCCTCCAGTTTTTATAGATAAGAAAACTGAGATTCAGAGAGGTTGAGCAAGTTGCACAAGGACACACAGCTAATAAGTAGCAGAACTGGCGCAGTGGCTTACACCTGTAATCCCAGCACTTTGGGAGGCTGCAGCAGGTGGATCACTTGAGGTCAGCAGTTCGAGACCAGCCTGGCCAACATGGTGAAACTCCATCTCTACTAAAAATACAAAAAATTAGCCAGGCGTGGTGGCAGGCACCTGTAATCCCAGCTACATGGGAGGCTGAGGCAGGAGAATTGCTTGAACATGGGAGGTGGACGTTGCAGTGAGCCGAGATCATGACACTGCACTCCAGCATGGGTGACAAAAGCGAAACTCCATCTCAAAAAAATAATAATAAGTAGCAGAACTGGGCCTGGAATCTAGGATGGTCTGACTCAAAAGCCTGTGGCCTTAACCATATTAATACACAGGGAAACTGAGGCATGCAGCGAGGAGGTCACGTGCCTGAGTCAGCACAGCAGAGTCAGGCCCAGAGCCCAGATTTCCTGGCCCTGCTCCCAGGATTCTTTCAGAAGGCCATGTTGTCCCTCTCCATGTCAGTTCACTGTTCCCAGGCCCAAGAAGTATGGGCCCTCCAATGGGTTCCATGATGTCTAATTGAATTAAATGAAAAAGAACAAAGTAGATATTTGTTACAAACTTAAAAATCAGAAGAGAAGAAGTCTTTGAGGAACCAACTAACAAAAGTACAAAGAACTAGAAGTGATAAGAACATAAAAGATTAGAATTCAAAATGTCCTTACAGGCCTGAGGAATCAATAGGTAGTCGCCCAATTAAGTTCAGGAGGGGAACATTCAGATAAGAGAGAGAAAACACTGGAGACTACTTAGGAACCCGTGCAACTGGAGATCGCTGTGCCGGCTAATAAGTAATTCATTCAGAGGCCACCCACGGAGAAGCAATGGTAAAGGCCAGAGTGGCGGCCACAGCTAGGGCCAGACCAACTGAACCCAAATCCTTACTCTGCCACATGCTGGCTTGCTGTGTACCTTGGTAAGTTTCTTAGCCTCTCTGTGCTTCACTTTCCCGATCTGTAAAATGGGGATCACACCTCACTGGGTTTTCTAAGAATTAAAGGACTTGAAACATGTGAAGCACTTACAATAGGGCCTAGCACACAGTAAATACTCAATATATGTTAGGAATTACTGTTACTACTCCTACTACTTATACTGAGAGATGAATTTTAAAAGATAGCATATGCTGGGCATGGTGGTGGGCACCTGTAGTCCAAGCTACTCAGGAGGCTGAGGTGGGAGGACTGCACGAGCCCAGGAGTTCAAGTCCAACCTGGGCAACATAGTGAGACTGTCTTCTAACACAAAAATTTTATTTATTTATTTATTTTTAGACGGAGTCTCACTCTGTCACCAGGCTGGAGTGCAATGGTGCGATCTTGGCTCACTGCAACCTCCACCTCCCAGGTTCAAGTGATTCTCCTGCCTCAGCCCTCCCGAGTAGCCGGGATTACAGGAGCGTGCCACCACGTCTGACTAATTTTTTATATTTTTAGTAGAGACAGGGTTTTACCATGTTGGCCAGGCATGAGCCACTGCGCCCGGCCCAGAAAATTTTTTTAACTAAAAAAAATTGTTTAAAAAAAATACTGTAATGAGAGAAGAGCTGAAGTGTGGAAGAAATGAATGTTTTCAGAAAAAGAAGAGTGATTATGTGAAGCTGCAGGCTGGAAGCTGGAGTACACAGTAGAATGTGAGGCTATAAAGACAGGCTGGGGTTGGCTTGGGAAGGGTCTCATGGGCCTTCTAGGGAGTCTGGGCTGTACTCAAGTTTGACAAAGGGCATAGGATAAGCAGGGCCAGACTGGAGGGAAGGGAGGCAGAAAGAACCCATCAGGCTGTTGCAGCCCCAGTCTTAGTGAGGATAGTGAGGCTACAGTCAGTAATGGCCAGGATGTTTAGGAAGTGAATTGGTAAGGCTTGGTGACTGTCAGGGGCAAGTGGTTTGCAAACCTGAAAGGCATATCGCCCGCCAGAAGCTCACCTGGTTAGGATTGTGGAGAAAAAGAAAATTCAAGGGAACTATTTAATAGGCTCCTTGGGAGAAGATGAGAGGGGTTATTTGACCATAAGAAGACAAGGCTAAGGGATTAGTAACATAGGAAGCCTTATAATAAAAGCGTTTCCCTCTGAAGTCAGACAAGGAAATTAAAGCTAACTTGTAGCACGTAGGACTCCAGTTAGCCAGAAGGAATCGCTAACCACATGACAACTGTGTTATAGGTATTCAAGAAACACAGAAGAACTTTTTTTTTTTTTTTTTTTTGAGACGACAGCGTCTCACTCTGTCACCCAGGCTGGAGTGCAGTGGCACGATCATGGCTCACTATAGCCTCTGCCTCCTGGGCTCAGGTGATCCTCACAACTCAGCGCCCCCAAGTAGCTGGGACTGCAGGCATGCACCACTATGTCTGGCTTTTTGTGGAGACAGGGTTTCGCATATTGCAGGCTAGTCTCAAACTCCTGGGCTCAAGCATTCTACCCGCCTTGGCCTCCCAGAGTGCTAGGATTACAGGCATGAGCCATCGCGCCCAGAAGAGCTTATTCTAAAATTGAACTTCTTGCCCCTCTAAGTACTGTCATGCCATGGGTGGAGAAATTTAGGAAAGTTCTGGAAATCCCTCCCTAAAGAATTTCAAATGTGTAAGAACATTTAAAAAGTGTTAAGGCAATTTAAGTGAGTTCTGAGTAATTGGTACACAAGAAGCTGTTATTACTGCTCATCTTGATTCAAACATTAAGCGAAGAGGCTTACAAGTAAACTCAGAACAGTGAGATAAATGATAGGCCAAAAATTCCAGGAACTGCTGAGTCAGGAGAGCGTTTTTCAAGACATCTGGCCCCAAGAAAATCTACTTAAAGCATAAGGAGAACTGGCTGACAATTTCTGAACCCCTGGTGATTATATGTGAAAGCTTAGGGGAGGGCTTAAAGCAAGAAAAACATGGGAAGATGGGGGTGACCGTTGTCCTCCTGGACTGCAAGCTGCATCTCAACAGAACTTGGGATGCTGCTTGGACCCTAGAAAAGGCAGACTGTATGAGAGGCATAGCGTGCTTCAGGCCAAGACTGGAATGCCAGAGCAGGGGAGAGAGACTCCAAACCTGGCCAGCCAGGTAGGAGGGCAACTGAGAAGCAGTGGAACGAGAGGCATAGGATTCAGGGCCCAAGTGCCCTTAAGGTCGGTGTGGGCTCTCCCTTCTCGGTATATCTGCAACTAAACAGGACTGGGGTTGTGCGTCCCTCTCCGGTGTGATGAAAAGTGACTGGGGCTGCACAGCCACTCCTGAGGACCCGCCTGGAACAAGTCACTTCACTGTTGAGCCCCATGCTGCTTCTCCTAATGCTTAGTTCTCAGGACAGTACTGGAATTAAATGATAATGTAAGACCTAGCACGGAGCCTGGCCAATCACTAGATTTCACGTGTGAACAGTTGTTCTGTCCCACGTCCCCCTTTCTAACATGGGACTAAGAATTACTCCCCCATCCTATTTCTCCGTCAGTGTAAGCAATATAAGGATTTTGAGTATCAAGTTCCTGAGGCCTGGACACAGAAACATTCTCATTATTATTACGATTGTTATTATTTTCCCTCCAGCAGTCCTGTCTCCTTCCCTCCCAATCTGGGGCACCCCTCCTATTCCACACCAACCTTGTCCTGGGCCCCTGTGGCCTGTCATTTAGAGCTGCCCCTCGTCCATCAAGTCCAATCGCTTTTCTCCCCACACTGCAGACTCACACTATCTTCTCACTGCTGGGAGTGGACCATGCTTATGTCACCAGTATTGGCAGACTCATTGGAATCGTTACTCTAAAGGAGGTGAGGTGATGGTGGCCTCCAAAGCTGCTCCACTTCCAAAAAGTCATGGAGGCTTATGTCCAGCTCACCTGGGGAGGAAGGCGGGGAGGAGTCTGACATCTGGGTCCAGACATCTGTCCCTCTCACCTTTCCAGCTCCGGAAGGCCATCGAGGGCTCTGTCACAGCACAGGGTGTGAAAGTCCGGCCGCCCCTCGCCAGCTTCCGAGACAGTGCCACCAGCAGCAGTGACACGGAGACCACTGAGGTGCATGCACTCTGGGGGCCCCACTCCCGTCATGGCCTCCCCCGGGAGGGCAGCCCTTCCGACAGCGACGACAAATGCCAATGAGCCCCTCGTGGGTGGCCTAGGATGGTGCTAGCCATGCCCGTCAGCCCAGAATGTGCATCTTTCATTCCTTCTGCCTTCGGAAGGCAGGAGGCAGCTACAGCTGGAGGCTGCACCCCAGCCCCCTCCAGACCTGGGGTGCCAGCTTCTCCCAGTTCATCCTACCTGGAATCTGACCCACTACCCACCTGCAACAAGTCTTCCAGAGGCAGGAAGATAGGCCCTGCCCTGGCAGGATGGGTTGGGGTCACTTGACCCCTGCTCCCCCTTTGAGGGGAAAGGGGTGGAACTAAGATGGGTTTATAACTGGAACCTCCAATGACCAGATGTATATAGAGATTTACAAAGATTTTTATATTAATTTAATAAAACAAATTCTTAAATAGAACAAAATAAACACCTAATGAGCCACTTATATATAGAATGCTTGTGCCCGTTGGCTCTCGTTCTTACCTTGGGCCCTCTTACCTGCCAAAGCCTACAAGGCCCTTAATTCTAAAGCCACCCACCCTTCCCACAACCATAAAAACGTACAGTCCAGTGACCTTGGAATGCAGGATCTGCCAGAGGCCTCCACTACGTGGGCATTAACACCCTGGCTGGGGTGGGGCCCTGTACTGTAGCCTTGGCCTTTCATTCAGACAGAAAGGCTCTACCTTCTTTCCTCCCCAAGAAGAGACACTCCCTCATGACTGTCACTCACTGGCACAATTCCTGCCTCTCAGCAGGCATCAGCTGACAACTCCCGGCCACCCCTGTGGCCCTCTTGTGGCCCTCTCTAGAAGAACATGAAGTCCCAGCTCTGTGGCAACCAGAGCCATCCTTTCTTCCACCTCCCGCTCAGAGAGCTCTGCGTGAATGGGCAGCCCGGCTGGCTGTGAGGCGCCAGCACACTGCCCGCACATCCTAGGAGGGGTTGGGAAAGGGCCCAGGCCCCATTAGGGGGCCAGGAAAAGGGTGGAGGGTACATGCTTTCATCATTCCAAAGCCTCCCAGAGAAGAGAAGATCCGACTGAAAAAACAGACCAAAAACCTTCTGTCTTTAGGAAAAAAGAGGAAGATTTAGAGACGATGGAGAGGTGAATGAAGCACAGCACGAGCCCAGCTGGGCAGGGGCCCTTGAGGGACGGCTCAACCCATAGGCTCCGGGAGGGCAGGAGCCAGCCCCTCCAGGTGGGGGTGATTCTATCAAGCACTGCACATGGACTCGGAAGTGAGAAGAAAAGCAGAGAAGAGAGAGGCATGGGGAGGGTGGGGGGTTGCTGGGCCCCCTCCCACCCCACCCTCACACAGCCCAGTCACAACCCCCTTAGTGGTTCACATTATCCGAGGAGGAAATGTGTGTGTGGCATTTTAAGAACATGAACATCACTGTCTGCCACAGCTGTAGCCATGCCCCAGAGGCCCCGGGCAACCCCCGGCAAGCCCCGGGAGTGGGGGCAGGACATGCGCCCCCAGCCCAGCCCCTGCCTCCTCTCCAAACACTTTCATGCAAAACACACAACGGAGAAGCGAGCGCTCCCAGGAGCCCTCTAGGCTGTGGAGCTCTGCTGGGAGCCTTGAGCCCACACTTGGGCACAGAGGCTCTGCCCCTGGCAGCAGCCGGGGGATGCATGCCACTGCCAGGCATGATGTGGGTCACTGTTCCTCTGGCTCTGCCTCATCCTCATCTAAGGACACCACCCCAGAAGAGGCCAGGTCAGAGGCTTGCCGCTGCCGTTCCCAGCTGCCCGTTAGTGGTGGGCAGAGTGGCTGGCAGTCCTTGCAGGGGGCTGGCTCCTCCTCCGCGGGGGAAAGGCAGGACTCTGTGAGGGGCGAGTTGTAGAGTGAGTCCTGGGCCTCCAGTGGGCCCAGGCTGCGGAAGGCACTTTCCCGGCTGGGGGGCAGTTTGGCGAGAAGCAGCTCATCGCCCAGCAGCTGGGAGGCCAGCCGGGCCGGGGAGCCCAACAACCCATCCTCCAGGCTGCACAGACTAGAGCACAGGGTGTCTGGGGACACGGTCTGTGAGCAGTCGCTCTCAGGCTCCACGGAGCCCTGGCGCACAGGCCGGGAGAACCGGTGGCCGGTGAACAGGTCCTGGAGGTGCGGCCCCAGGGGCAGCTGCCCAGCCATGTCTGTGAGGAGAAGAGAAAAGAAGACAGTCCTGCTGGCTCCATTTCAACTGGACAACCTGGAAGCCACATTCACCCCACTCCACCCCTGGCATAGCTCTAGGGGTGGATAGGTGCTGGGTAACCTTGAACCAGTCACAACTTTTTGAGACCTCAGTGTCCTTAATGGTGAGTTGGAGATTCTAACAATACAAGAACAAGAGTCTCGCACACAGGTGGGTGCGGTGGCTCACGCCTGTAATCCCAGCACTTTGGGAGGCCGAGGCAGGTGGATCACCTGAGGTCAGGAGTTCGAGACCAGCCTGACCAACATGGAGAAACCCTGTCTCTACTAAAAACACAAAATTAGCCGGGCGTGGTGGCACATCCCTATAATCCCAGCTACTCGGGAGGCTGAGGCAGGAGAATCACTTGAACCTGGGAGGCGGAGGTTGCAGTGAGCCGAGATCGTGCCATTGCACTCCAGCTTGGGCAACAAGAGTGAAACTCCGTCTCAAAAAAAAAGTCTGGCACACAGTTAACAAGCAGTAAATGCAGGGTCACCGCCTATGGCCATACAGGTTGCTCATCGCACAACAGGGCCTGTCCAAGGCAGTGAGAAATAGCAAAATCTAACCCATACTCTGCTCACCAAGCAGCATGCCCTGGCCTGCCAGAGAAAGGCTGTGCCTGCCAGAGAAAGGGGTGCCTTTTTCTAATTTGCACAAAGATTCCACACAGGCTAGTAGCAGCCTTGGATAAATGTTAGTTATTATCATTACCCCAGGGGTCAAAGTAGGCCTGGAACTCAATCAAACAAAAATGCTTGTGGTTTAAGGTTCCATCTTGGCTTCAGACAACCAAATCAGCCCTCCAGACCACAGCAGCAGTCTCCAACCTGCTCTCATGTATTGCCTGCTTTGGAGAACTTGTTAATTCACTGGAGGGGTATGGGATGGTAGAGGTAATCTTCAAAGGCAAAGAGGTTGTGGGGAATGGTGGCCTGTGAGACTTGAGCCCAGAAGCTACAGAGAAAGTCAGCCATGTGGTCTAGGGAATGAAAGATGAAAGGAGGGCCGAACACAGCTGCAGAGCCCTGCAGGGTCCCCTCTGCAAGCACTGGCCCAGAGAAAGGCCCACGGGCTGGAATGCAAGGATGCTGAGTTGGAGCCAGCATGGCCCCGTGGGTGTTCCAGGCCCAGCATGCCTTCCTGTTGACCTGGGCTGCAGCCCTGCGAGGTGCTGGGCTGTGCACTGCAGCTCATCTGCCCTGCCACAGCCAGCCAGAAGGCTGCCTCGGAGAGGAAGAGGCAAAGGCACTGCAGACCCTCCCAGAGACATGGCTGCACAGAAGGTGTCCTTGAGGTCTTTCGGCTTTTTTTTTTTTTTTTTTTTTGAGGACTGCAAGGCACAACTGTGCAGACAGGCAGAGAAGCCTCAGCACCTGTGGGAAAGGAACGAATCCATTTCTGTCTGCTCATTTCCCACCCATGAGTGTGGACAGCCTTCCTGTCCCTGGAGTGTCCAGGCCTGCCTGGACTGAGTCTGTCCCTCTCCCTCCCCTTGCAAAGGCTGAGAGTGTTCTGGATGTGGCTCTGAAAGAATGCCAAGGTCTATCAGGTGGGTCCACCACAGCCCTAGCCCAGGATGTCCCTCACCTGTGTCCATTCCCCCAGCAAAGTCCTCATCATAGGAGTCATCAGTGGAGTCCTCGCCATCCACCGAAGACCATGCTCGGAGCTTGGCTTCCGCGATGGCAAACTGCTCAGCCACTCCTGTCGCAGGGACAGAATGCATAAGCAGAGAAGGTGAGCTAAGTCTAGGGCTCAGCTTGAAGACAGGAGAGAGGAGAAACAGGGTATGGGAAGACTCCAACCCCCATGTCAGACCCGAGGAGATAAGAAAGCAGCCCTGGCCGGGTGTGGTGGCTTATGCCTGTAATCCCAGCACTTTGGGAGGCCGAGGCAGGTGGATCACTAGGTCAGGAGTTCAAGACCAGCCTGGCCTAGACGGTGAAACCCCATCTCTACTAAAACTACAAAAATTAGCCAGGCACGGTGGCAGGCAACTGTAATCCCAGCTACTTGGGAGGCTGAGGCAGGAGAATCGCTTGAACTGGGGTGGCAGAGGTTGCAGTGAGCTGAGATTGCATCACTGCACTCCAGCCTGGGCGACAGAGTGAGACTCCGTCTCAAAAAAAAATTAAATAAAATAAAGAAAGAAAGCAGCCCTGTGCCAAGAGTGTAGCTTATCCCCTTTCTGCCATCCACCTGCTGCAAAGCGAGCCTCTTGTTCGCCCTCGCTGAGGTCTGAATAGGAGGAAAAGGCTGATTCCAGGGCAGCAGGTGAGTCACTCGGCTTGCTCCAGCCCTTCCACTCAATGAGGTGAGCCACTCGGCCCTGGGCCATGGCGGTAGGCTTGGTCACGTGGTCCTTCACCACCTGGGAAATACCTGGAGATAGGGGAGGGTGGAGAAGCCTGGTAAAGGACCAGGCCAGGGAGCACAGGTGCAGGGAGGTGGAAGGGTGGCAGTAGTTAGGATCCATGTGAACCTTTGGGTGGGAGAAGGGGCTGAGATTCACCTGAGCAAGGGAAGAAAGGGGAGACCCCAGCATGTACTCACAGGAAACAGTTCCAAAGGGATGTGCAAACGGGAGGAGAAAGGACAAAGTGGCCAGAAACATGGGAGGGGCTGCATACCATGCAGGGAGGACCTGGCCAGCGCAGCGATCTCCTGGATAGTTAGGGCTCGCCGGGACTTGGGCAGCATCGCGACTGTGTCTCCAACATTCACCTTGGGTAACACCATTAGAAAGTCAGTGCCCCTCTGACAGCAATGACCTTCCCCCTAACATGCCCATACCCAGCAAAGGCATGAGGAGGAGACAGGAGCTAGGAAGGAACACCACATATGTCCCAGTGGCTACAGGGAAATGTAAGATGATAAGAAGCTAGGACAGGTGAATTATGTCCTCCCAGAAAGCAATGGAGATTCAGACAGGCCCCGAGAAGCAAAACTTCAGCTAATCCTCCACTTTCCCAGCACCCAGAGGAGATGGAGGCAGGGCAGGAAATGAAGAACCACGAGTGAGACCTCTGAGGAGAGGGAAGAGGAGGAAGGAAGAAGAGTGTGGCATCCAGGACTTCTTTAAGATTCCCTTCCCCTCTGCCCCTTGCTCCTCCTCTTGGTCTTCCCATCCACATTCCGGCAGACTCGGCAAGATGGAAACCAAACCCCCACACCTTCTCCCCACGTCTGGCCCTGCTTCCTGACCTCTTTCCTTTGCATCACCCACCACTGTCCCATCTAGCCTGGCTCCAAACCTCAGCATTACCATCAATTCTCCCCTGGCTTTGCTTGCCCATATCTGTTGATAAGACCTAATGATTCCACCTGCAAAGTCCCTGCTCCTACCCTGTCCTTTCTACTGCTACTGCCATTGCCCTTTCTCAAGCCCTCAATGCCTCCTGCCCAGGTCGGCAGAAGTGGTGTTCCCCCAGCCTCCTCCAATCCCATGCTATTTTCTCAGGCCAAAGTGTAGTGAGTGTAGTGCTCCCCATCTCTTCTGGACTATTCTGATGGCTGGCTAGCTCTTTCTCATTCTTCCAGTTTGGGCTGAAATACCACCTCGTCAGAGGAGCTTTCCTGGCCCCCCTCTTGGTAGTCTGTCCTCCCTCTGTAGTCTCTTAACAAATCACTCTCCATCAACGTACCCCATTTGTGGCCCTTAGTCATAGTGAGTAATAATGGTCTCTTTTGCATTTCCTGTTTCTTGTTGGTCTCCCTCACTGGTCTTTGGCTCTTGGGGAATTCAGTCTGTTTTGGTCACTGTAGTGCCCAATGTTTAGCACAGCACCTAATACAGAATAATTTCTTAAAAATGCATAGGCTGGCCAGGCGTCAGTGGCTCATGCCTGTAATCCCAGCACTTTGGGAGGCCGAGGTGAGCGGATCATGAGGTCACGAGTTCAAGACCAGCCTGGCCAACATGGTGAAACCCCGTCTCTACTAAAAATACAAAAATTAGCTGGGCATGGTGGCACGTTCCTGTAATCCCAGCTACTCAGGAGGCTGAGGCAAGAAAATTGCTTGAACCAGGACCCGGGAGGCGGAGGTTGCGGTGAGCCGAGATCGCACCACTGCACTCCAGCTTAGGCTACGGTGCAAGACTCCATCTCAAAAAAAAAAAAAAAAAAAAAAAATGCATAGGCTGGGCCAGGCGTGGTGGCTCACGCCTGTAATTCCAGCACTTTGGGAGGCCAAGGGGCCAAGGTGGGTAGATCATCTGAGGTCAGGAGTTTGAGACCAGCCAGGCCAACATGGTGAAACCCCATCTCCACTAAAAATAATTTAAAAAATGGGCAGGGCATGGTGGCGGGTGCCTGTTATCCCAGCTACTCAGGAGGCTGAGGCAGGAGAATTGCTTGAACCCAGGAGGCGGAGATTGCAGTGAGCCAAGATTGTGCCACTGCACTCCAGCCTGGGCGACAGAAAAAGACTCTGTCTCAAAAACAAGCAAACAAAAATGCAAAGGCTGGATGAATGAGGTAAGATATAATGTAAACAGTTTTCCTGGAGTGCAGCTGGTCACAACACATCTCTAAAATCTTGTCTAGCCTACGCTACTGTCCAGTGAGGTTAGTGCAGGCATCATACCCAGGCCCTGAAGGATCCCACTCTGTGACACCCTTGCCTCCTTCCAAGCCTCCTTTGAATCCACTGCTGATCTCCTCTGCCCAATAAAACCCCCCTTCTCAGGCCGGGCGCAGTGGCTCACGCCTGTAATCCCAGCATTTTGGGAGGCCGAAGCAGGCGGATCACCTGAGGTCGGGAGTTGGAGACCAGCCTGGCCAACATGGTGAAACCCCGCCTCTACTAAAAATACAAAATCAGCCGGGCGTGGCAGCGCATGCCTGTAATCCCAGCTACTCTGGAGGCTGAGGCAGGATAATCGCTTGAACCCCAGAGGCAGAGGCTGCGGTGAGCCGAGATCGCACCATTGCATTCCAGCCTGGGCAACAAGAGCGAAACTCCGTCTCAAATAAATAAATACATAAAAATAAATAACAAAAAACAAAAACCCTTCTCCACCAATCCCTGTCAGCAAGCAGCCCGCCTGCCTCCAGGAAAAGGAACTCAGCTTTCCTCTGGGCCAAGAATGCCATCCTTACGTGAAAAAATGCTTGCCATCACTTAAGGCCCATCTCAAGTGTCACCTGCAAATAATGCTTTCAGCCGACAGCCTCTTCTTTTCTCTGACACACCCCGCCCCCATCATTGCCCTTGTCTGTCTCCCGAGGGAGCTCAGGATGGCAAGGCCTAAGTCTGATGCACGTAAGTTCCTAACTCCACCCTGTACCTGGCTCAGGGCTCCCTGACAAGCCCCAGCAAATGTTTCCCTCACTTAATGAAGTTGGAGGCACACATCCCTCCCCGGCATTGCCCAGCTCTCTTCTATCACGTTCCCGTCCCTCACAAGGGCAGCCAACACTGCCCCTTGACCTGAGGCCCACCCTCGATCCCTCCCCTTGGGTACCTGGCTGACAGGGCCCCCAGGGTGGCGCCAGTAGCCTCCAGCCAGGCCTAGGCGGGGGAGCACCTGCTGGGTGTTTCTTAGCTTGCTCTCCCTCCCTCGCTTCGCTCCCCTCAGCCGCCGCCATCCGTGCCCGGCGCTCCGCGCAGCTGCGGCCCAGGCCCAGAGAAAAGGTGTATGTCTCCCTGGCAACCCATCACCACGCAACAGGGTCTCCCGGGATACGGCCCGGGATGCGCTGACGTCAGCGCGGAAGGCGCGAGCTCTCCGCCTGCTGGCACAGCGCCGAGCAGAGCAGACCGGCACGGGGGCGGCCTCCCGGCCCGCCGCCGGATAGCGCCTCCGCCCGCCGGAAAAGGGAGCCAGAAGCTGGCTGGCCAGGCGTGGGTGGGGGCTGCAGATCCCCTTTATATGGATGACGTCCTCCTTCCCCCCACCACCAGGGGCCCAGCACCTCTGGCAAGTCCTGACTGTCCACCGAGGAAGGGCGGGAGGACCTGCTCCAGCCTCGGAGGGTTCGAGCAGATCCCAAAGAGGATAGAGAGAGACCCCGAGGAAGTTCGATCCACTCCACAGCCCAAGCGGGGTCCGAGGACACTGAGAGGAAGGGGAAAGGCTGTTGAGCTGTGCCCCTACTTCTGCAGAGATCCCCATTTTCATCCAGTATTGCCGTATCATTTCTCGGCCCCTCCCCCACCTTCCAGAAGACCAGCGCCCACTGAGTGCTCTCCTCAACTCTAAAAGCCCCCATCCCACACATCACTGACCCTCGGGCCCCTGGGGCCATTCTGTGGCAGCCCACTTGCCACCTTCCTGCTCTGGATAAATTTTGCCTCAAAACCCTAGGGTGAAACCAAACAATGATAAATTCTGACTCTCCTTCCCGTTTCCCAGCCTACCCATTCCTCTTGGAAAGCACACTGAGTTCTTCCGCCATCACTGTCCCCCCCACCACCGCCACCCTGGACCCTTTGCAGGAGGGTTGCCTTCCTTCTCTCTTCCTGCTGCCTTCTTTCCTCTCGCCAGCCTCAGCTGGTCCACAGCTCTTTACTCTTCTTTTCTGACGAACTCATGATATTTTTTCTGATTTTCACCCCTGTCCCCTGAAGCCGTTTCCTGATGCCCTGTCTGGCCCCAGCCTGGTTCTCCCTGTTTCAGCCTGGTTCTTAATATCTAAGCCAGAGTAATTTTCCTTTTCCACCTAAGCACCCTACTGCTCAGCTTCCCATCATCTCCCAGATCACATCCATGATCCCTGGTCTCACCTCTGCGACTTGTCTGACAAGTCCATCGTCCTCCAGGCCCTTCACGCTGCCACAGAAACATTTTGCCCAGCACAGAAATCATAGGCATGCTGGCTGTGTTGATGCAGAGAACCAAAAGCCCAGAACCGCTCCAGGCTCAGCTCCCAGTTCTATTCCTGTTTTGGCTCCGGATGCTGAGCCAGTCCCCTCCCCATTTGGAACCTGTGCCTAGTCACATAAGGAGAACATTCCTGCCTCATGGCTCTGAGGAGGTGGGAACACCAGGGCTCAGCCAAGCTCTCTGGGACTCGGGGAGCTGAGGCCCATTCCCTAGACAGTGCCAACAGGCAATGTACATCACAACTGACCTTTAGCTGGAGCAGCCGTCTCTATCCCTGAGCCTCGGCCAGCTGTTGGTCCCCAGAAATGCTACCAACCAGAAGGAAAACAGGAGGTTACAGGCCATCCCTGGCCCCCAACTGGTACCTAACCAGGGCTCTCGAGGCCAGTCCTGAGGTCAGCCAAACTCACCCCTGACAAGAGAAGGTGATGACTTCCTGAACTCCAAGCCTTGATAGGGCCAGAGAGATCAGAGCAGTCAGCTGCTCCTCAGCTTCAAAAGCCACGAGGTTAACTTAGGACTACAAATCCCAGAATTCCTCAAGGGAAGTACAAATCTCAGCCAGTCTTAGCTCCAAAGAACATCAAGTACCAACCACACCAAGGCCTGTGTGACTGACCACCTGCCCTGAAGGTCCAGGACCCATCCCAAACCCAGTCCTGCCTTGCCTTATGCGTGGAGAAATCCACCACACCGGAGTAAAGGAAGCTGGCCGACCTCTGATGCACAGGACTACGGCCAGGCCCGGTGTGCATGGCCACCCACGGAAACCGAGGCCCAGGCAGGGGTCAGCACTGTGGGAAGGAAGCCCTGATGGCCTGCCTCTGGGTTCCTCTTTCCCTCCACAGAGTAGAGTGATTTGTTTTTGCTGAGTGGGGGCAGGACATTAAAACAACTGTAATAGGTGAGAGGTGATTCAGTGTTCACAGGTGCCCCAAACGGGACCTCAGTCCCCCTTCGCCGACTGACTGAAGAGGGGAGTCAATGTCCGACAAAAATTCTGTGGTAGGGTGCTTAGCCAGGACCGAAAGGCTACCTCTTTAAGAAGATGGGGACACGGCTGGGAGAAGCAGGTTCCCAGCACAGGGCCACTCCCAGGACTGTGAAGGCAGAGGTGTAGGCGGAGGGGAGTGTGTGTGTGGGCGCGCAAGGCCAGTCGCCGAGGGCTGGAGTGGTGGGGGCATCGGGCTGCCCAGCCCCTCCCGGGGCTGTGCGTCTCCGGCCACCCTGAGCAGTGGGCACACGGCAGCCAGCGGCGAGACCATGCGTCTGCCCTGCAAAACCCCAAGGCAGGCAGGCCGTGGGAGCGAACCGGAGTCGGTCTGGCCCCTTCCCTGCTCATTCCCGCTCCCTCCTGTTGCCTGGCCCGCCTCCCGGTGCAGGCTCCTCCCTCTCCCGACACCGGCCCCCTCCTCAAGGCCCCCACCCACCCGCGGCCCGCGCACCGGCGGCCGCAGCCCGACTCCCCAACCCGTACCCGGCCTCCGCCTCTTACCCTGACCCGCCGGGCTCCGAGAGCCGATACAGCCCATGGCCGGGCACCCAGGCACGCTAGCCTGCGCTCGGGGCGCGGGCCATCGCCTTGCAGAGGGTAGGGTCGCGGCCACACTGGGGAGGGGAGAGCCCGTGAGAGGGGAGGGGTGGGAGCCGCGCGTCCGCCGCCGCTCCCCGGAGAGGGAACCGGGCCGGTGACGTAAGCGCGGGGGCGTGACCGCCGCGTCACCACCCAAAGTAGGCGGGGCGCAGCGACGTCACAGCCACGCAGAGGCGGCCTGGACCGGGTTCGAAAATGCCGGTCCTCTCCTCCCAGAGCCGACTGCCACCTGAAGGCAGGGGCGGCGAACACTCACTAAGCCAGCCCAGTCACACTACACGGGGTCGCAAAACCTCCCTTCATGCATCCAGCCCCTTCATTTTACAGATGACACCTTCAAGCCATAAAGGGATTCTCCAGCTATAAACAACCCGAAACCCAAAAGCCTTCCCCACACAGGGGCTTGAATCATTCTGGTAGGAGAGCAGAGCCTAGCAAGGATGTCCTATCACTAATCTCCCTTTTCTCCGGACCAGGAAGGCACCTATCAAGCCCATCTGAGGGCCCAACCTTCCAGGAAACCTCAGATCCCTGCAATCATGGACAGGGGAAGAGGCAGGAGGGGTGCCAGGTTACAGGGAACAGCGCTACAGTACCAGCTCTGGGAAGGATCCCCACCTATAAACACCTTCTCTAGAGGGAGCAGGGCATAAAGCAGAAAGGCAGTGAGCTTAATTGAATTCATGTTTAATAATTACAGGCACCGTGCCCCCCCTTCCCCCTGCCCAGGCAACAGCAGGGGTGGTACAGGGGCTGGGGCATATGCCCCCAGCAGCGAGGACGGCAGTCCCGAGAGTGATTTTCAGAAAATAAAAAAAAGGACCCCAGGGGCAGGCGTTGGTGCCCCTCCCCACCCCAAGACACACCAAATTTCAAGACTTTATATATAATATATCTCTGTGCCCCAGGGGGAGGAGAGGGACACCTGGCGGCATCCTGGAGGGGGGCCCAGGCAGCCCCAAGCCATCCTGCCTCTTCAGCCACTTTATTAGTTCAGACACATCACACTACAGGCACCCACTGCCACCGCCGCTGCTGCCGCCCCCCTGCAGTCCAGGCGGCTAGCCGGGCCATCTGTGTGTCCATGGGGCTCCAGGTCCCCGGCCCCACCAGCCCTCAGTTGTGGTCAGACTCCTCCTCTGCTTCACGGAGCCACTTGAAGAAGGCTGTGACAGATTTAAGGGCCACACCCTTGCCCTGCTGCTCAGCGGGGTCCTTGCTACTCTCCCAACTGTAGAAGGCATCCTCCTTCACCACGTCCTCGTCATACAGTGCGTCAAAGAACATCCGCAGCAGGTCTGCAAGCAGGCGGGACAGCAGTTAGAGGTGACTGGCCACCGCCACCCCAGCCCACCCCAGGGAACCCTCCCAAGTTCCACTGTTCAAACAAGGCCCTGATGCACCAGCCTGACATTTGTGGCCATTCCAGAGTGACTAGGCCTCTGACAGGATGCTAATCTCATGATCTGAGACTGCTGCACAGCAATGAGTCACTTGGCCATCAGAAAAACCTTACAAACTTGCTTGGCCTCACCTTGGCAGCCTGAAACCTCTCTGCCCATGATGTATTTAATGGAGAAAACTATATTCAGAATTGGTACTCCTGAATTCAGGAAATCGCTAAAAGTCCTATATATATCATACATAAAGTCCTATATATATCCTACATGTAACCTGAACATTCACTGCCCCCCAAACAGATCCTGACAACTCCTGATCTCAATTTCCCTTCCTTCCCCACACATTTCCTGTACATACACACCTTCTCTGGCCTTGACACTTTTGTGGATGCTATATCCTTTGCCGGAAACTTCCTCGTGTCTTGTTCCTTCAGGACTCAACTCAAGCATCACCTGTTCGGGCCCTCTTTCTCCTCAACCCCTAGCTGCTGGGTAGCCTTCCCAAGCAACGTGTCCTATAACCCCTGAAACACAACCGACCCCAGTGCCCACAAGGCACCACCAGTCTTTCCAAACCAAACCTTACACTTCTAAGCCATCTATGAGATGCTGCCAGCCAGGATGTTCTGCAGGGCATGCCCAGCCTCAAAGTCACAAACTGCCTAGGGGCACAGTCACCTGCTACCCCCACCCCATAGCAATGGGCCATAGCAGGGCAGAACCTTCACTTAACCCGTACCTACACTCCAAATCCCACACATACCCACCCAGGGACCCCATCCAATCGATTATGCACTCTGCCCTGTATTTTCAAGCCCAAGTTTCTCTAACCTAAAAACAAAAAGCCCTGTTTTCAACCACTATCTTACAGCTAATAAAATATTTTGTCTACACTTGATGTTTTCCCTTCTTTCTGTCTCACTTAAGTATTTCTCAGTCCTTTCCAATCCAGAATCTGTCCCCTGCCCCACTAAATACTGTTTTTGCCAGGGTGGCCTCTATGTTTTTATATTCCAAACATCCTGCATTTTCAGGCCCACTCCTACAAACGCTCACAGCAGCATCTGGCATTATCAACCACATCCCTCTCCTCAAATTTCTCTGTCCTTGGTTCAGAGGGGCCTGTCCTCCTTTGGTCCCTACCAGTATGTCCGCTCTACCTCCTTGGGGCTGTATCTCAGGCCCTTATCACTCTCCCTCAGGCAAGCCCGTATCCTCTTATGACTTGCACATGAGTTACCCTGTGCCGGCATTTCACAAAGCTGCCTCCTGCCCTGATCTCTTCTTTTCCAAAAGGACCCAGATACCCCAGCTATTGAGCTGACATCTCGATTCCCTTACTCAAGGACCACAACTCAACTTGATCCACCGTTGCCTACCCCAGCAAATGACATCACACTATGGCCTCTAAGCCCACTGTGATTTAAAAACCATCCTGGGAGTCATCCATGACTTCTAATCTCTCACGGCCCCCTCCCCAGACCAGTGTAACCAAAAGCTGCCAACTCCATTTCCTAAGTATCTCTTGATCTGCCTACTCCTCTCCACCATCACCAGCAAGGCTGAGCCACTGGTGCTAACACTGCCACATCCACTCTCACCCCATTCCAAACCACTCTTCCCTCTATTGCCAAGATGATCTAAAAACTAAAATCAAATTCCTTTATTCCTTGCTTAAAATCCCACAAAGGCGTTTTCTTGCCCCCAGGCTAAAGCCCCAGACTCTGGCCATGGCTTACACCCGGCCCTGTGTGGTCAGGCCCACATCCCTCTCTTCGGCCCCATCTTGCCTCACTTAGGACTGGTTGCTGTGCTCTCCCACACTGGCCTTTCTTTAATAGTTCTTTTCCCTGTGTCAAGTTCTTCCTACCATAGGTAGAAAGAACACACATAGTGCCTTCGCTTCAAACATTCTCCCCCTCCCCTTCCCAGTTGTTGTGGAGTGAATTACCACTCATTACCCCTCAGACCAGGTGTCCTCCCTCCGAGAGCACCCGTCTTCCCAGGCTCATTGCTCACGCCAGTACTAACTCCAGGCCAGCACAGGAAATTGCTCGGCTTCCTCTCTGTGAGCATGCCAATGCCCTGACACATACCTATGTTCTGAATGCATAACCTGAGACATGTTCACTGAGACCTCAGTCTCCTCATGTGGAAAATAGGGGTAATACCATCCACCCTAAACAACATTTGTGAGGACTACATGAGGCAAGGTAAGCAAAGCATTTCAGCCCTGTGCCACGCCGTGGGGGCACACGGTACTGGGAAGATCCTATCATTTATCACCTCTGCACTGTTGGCATCAAACACATGGCTAGGCACAAAACAGGCAATTACCCTTCAAGGCTGTGTCTAACTCCTTCCACTTGTAGGAACAACACAACACAAACGTAAAAGGAAAGAATGAAACCCAGAGGGCATTTTGCTCTCTAATGACTACCTACCTTTCTTGGATTAAGACCCTTCCATGAAGGGTCTCATGCCCTGCTATCTGGCAGTCCCTCCACCCCACCCCTGTCCCCATGGCCTGGCTCTTACTGGGAGGCTGTTCTAAGGTCACTACAAGGGCCTGGAGGGCGTAGAGCGCCTGTAGCTCCTTCTGCTCGTCACACAGGTATTTCTGCAGCAGCTTCGCTCGCGCTTTCAGCACTGCAACGTCCACTCGGAGGGGAGTCTCAACTACAAGAAGACAGGGATGAGTGGAGCAATATACCCTTACCCCGGTTCAGAACTGGGAGGCCAAGGCTGACACCCACCTCCCTCCACTTGTCTGTCAGGCCCACCCTTGCCCCTCCATCTCCCTGGTTCCTCTTACAAATAATTGCAGAATAGCAGACAGCCGTCATGAGGGCTCGAACTAACGTGTTGGATACTATCTGCTGCTCACTCAGGTTGGCCTGTATGGGAGAAACAAATGATCCCCAGATTCTGAATTGGGCCCTTCAGTCTTCATTCTTGCTGCCCCCACCCCCACCCTAAGAACTACCTTTCCTTTATCGATATCCAGGAGAAACCTACCTCTATCCAGTCGAACACCCGCTGGTTACTGCTGCCCTCCTTCAGCAGCTTCTCCAGCTGCCTGTTCAGCTCCTCGGAGGGGAGTGCCCTCTGGCCAGGGGCTTCCGACTCCTCTCCCAGGGTATACTCCACCTTCTGCAATGGAAAAGGCCCGCAGTTAAGAGGTAAGGTTGCCAACAGGAGACAAGAAAGAAGACTGGCCAGCCTCAAATGCTAGAATTAACCCAACTCCATCCCCAAACCTGTTCAGCGACGAATGCACCAATGTCCTGGCCTTCAGGTAGAAATTCCTTCCAGCTAAGCCCGGCTTCTCGCCACAGCGTCCCCACCTTTTTAGGACCCTGGAAAACACAAGACCAACCCAGCTTACCAAAGCTCTCTCTCTCCAAGGACCCAACAGCTCTACCACATTAATCCAACAAATATTTACTGAAAGCCTACTAGGTACTTGCTAGGCATTAAGGATGCTATAGAAATACTAATAGGCAAAGCCCTTCCATTCCTACGGTCTGGTGCAGGGCACAGATGTCAGTCAAATAACCACCCAAATAAATAAGAACTCGTCCCAGGAGCGGGCGGTGGCTCACGCCTGTAATCCTAGCACTCTGAAAGGTCGAGGTGGGCGGATCACCTGAGGTCAGGAGTCGGAGACCAGCCTGACCAACATGGTGAAACCCCGTCTCTACAGAAAATACAAAAATTAGCCAGGCGTGGTGGTGGGTGCCTGTAATCCCAGCTACTCGGGAGGCTGAGGCAGGAGAATCGCTTGAACCCAAGGCGAGGGTTGCAATGAGCTGAGATCACGCCACTGCACTCCAGCCTGGGCGACACAGCGAGACTCTGTCTCAAAAAAATAATAATAATAAAATAAAATAAAAGAGAACTTGTCCACCAAAGTGCTATGACACTAGGGTAGGAAAAATGATGTAAGGGCCTCTAGGAAGGGACAACTTCTAACAAGTATGCTTGTTTCCTAAACCCAGAAAATCTTAAGACACAAATATACCCCATCCCTAACACAAATAAAAAATCCTCATAAAACCAGCAGTCTGAGTGCATTTTCTGTAAGGGGCAATAGACTATGAAGACATCACTCTTTTCTTTATAACAGACTAATGGCACTGGCTCTTAGCAAGATTATTGCAGTTCACAGATTTTAAAACATGCCCATTTTTTCACATTTTAACTAAAAGTTGTCTTACAGCCGATATATATCTTTTTTTATTTTGAGACAGAGTCTTGCTCTGTCGCCCAGGCTGGAGTGCAGTGGCACAATCTTGGCTTACTGCAACCTCCCCCTCCTGGGTTCAAGCAATTCTCCTGCCTCAGCCTCCCAAGTAGCTGGGACTACAGGTGCGCACCACCATGTCCAGCTAATTTTTTTGTATTTTTAGTAGATACAGGGTTTCATCATGTTGGCCAGGCTGGTTTCCAACTCCTGACCTCACGTGATCCACCCACCTCTGCCTCCCAAAGTGCTGGGATTACCACGCCCGGCCCAGTCTTTTCTTTCTTAACAGCGCATAAAGAATGTCTTATAATCTATGGCACCTTGGAGTTGATGAAATACACAAATAGTTCAATATGCTTATTTGTTGTTAAAAAACAACTTGTCCTGGTACACGTCTATTTAAAAGAATTAAATGATGTTGACATAACAATTCCTTTAAATCCCAAGTGTGATTCCTCCAGGTTCCAGATGGCTGAACCCTTGAAACTGCACACACTCACCCCAACTTCTCACTTCCACTAAGTACCACATTCAACTTACCTTTCCCCATCTCTTTACCTTTATATTCGCTAGTTACCAATTAACTTTCACAAAGCCGCTTCAGCACCCTGAAAGCCTCCTGTCACAAATATTGTCAAATATTCCTTTGCAACCCCACAGTACTTAAGATACTCCACTCTATTTCAACTGTTTTATGTCACGCTTTACTGTTGTTTTTATCAAGCTGTCATTTCTTTTTTCTTTTTTGGAGACAGAGTCTTGCTCTGTTTCCCAGGCTGGAGTGCAGTGGCACAATCTCGGCTCACTGCTACCTCCGCCTCCCGGGTCAAGTGATTCTCCTGCCTCAGCCTCCTGAGTAGGTGGAATTACAGGCACCTGCCACAACACGGCTAATTTTTGTGTTTTTAGTAGAGATGGGGTTTCACCATATTGGCCAAGCTGGTCTTGAACTCCTGACCTCGTGATCCACCCACGTCGGCCTCTCAAAGTGCTGGGATTACAGGCGTGAGCCACTGCGCCCGGCCCATTTCTTCCTTTTTCTCTACCAACTTGTTTCTTGTGTTTTATTCATTGCTGTGTCCCTAGTGCTTAGTATATGATAAATGATCATCAACAAAACCCTAGTTCAATGAATGAATAAATAAATGCATCAATCACAGGCCTAGGGTCTTAGACTGCCATTCTCCTCCAGTCTTGGCCAGAACTCATGATAGGAACTGGTGTGCGGGAGATGGCCCACCTCAGTATTTCCTCTCCCAGGTACCAACACAATCCTGTCATCACCATCACTCCACTCCACCAATGGACCATGAAGCTTCAGGGCCACAGCAAACAGCCAAAACCACACCGTGGGAGGCATCTCTGGACTCCTGGCCCTCACTCACCATGCTTTTGCACAGGAGGCCCAGGATCTCCAGCAACAGGGAAGCAGCTTTGCCCAACGGTCTCAGAGGCTTTGTAATCTCCCTACAAGAAGAGAAAAACCTAATGCTGACAGCCTCCACAGTTCTCTCACCACTACTCCATCTCCCTCCAAACCAGGGTATCCAACCCAGCCATTTCCCTACCACCTTTCCTCTGGTCTTTACCTCCCCTGAATTCCACCCAGGGGGACTTACCTGAACAGCTCCCCCATGGGCACCCCACCTTCCTGCAGAATGGGTGTTACCAGTTCCGCTAGGTAGAGCCACACGTGGGGGATGTCAATTTCCATGTCCTCAGCCAATTCCAAGATTTCATACAACCTGCCAAGGGAATTCAAAGTCAAGACATTCTAGGCCAGGTCCCCACTCTCCTTCTGGGGCAACGTGGCATGGCTAGGGCATCAACTATGGAACCCCCAGGAACATTTTCTAGACATGGGGACAATTATTTCAAGCTAAGGCCACCTCTGTGTCCTTAGATGGTTTTCACCCCGCTTAACCCCCTAAAGTTATGCTGACCAGGATGGTCAAGGAACCCATACTGTTTTTTGGTTTTTTTTTTGAGACAGTTTTGCTTTTGTCACCCAGGCTGGAGTGCAATGGCACGATCTCGGCTCACTGCAACCTCCACCTCCCGGGTTCAAGCAGTTCTCCTGCCTCAGCCTCCGAGTAGCTGGGATTACTGTGCCACCACGCCTGGCTAATTTTTGTATTATTAGTAGAGACAGGGTTTCACCATGTTGGCCAGGCTGGTCTAGAACTCCCAACCTCACGTGATCCTCTAAGGAATCCAACCCACCTTGGCCTCCCAAAGTGCAGGGATTACAGGCATAAGCCACCACACCCGGCCAGGGAACCTACACTCTTATGCAAGGTTCCAAGGGTCCCAAAAAGGAGATAGAAAATTGTGGGTCTGTATAAGTGGGAGGCCCAGAGAAGCTGGTCATACCCTTGGTAGTACTGAGCAGTAGACAGATGCCCAGCACAGAGCAGCTGGTGCAGCAGCTGCCCCATATGCTCACGAGCAATGGCACTGCGCTCCAGCGTAGACTCGACACCATGCCGTACAAAGATGAAGAGCAAGGAGGGTGAGGCCAGCTCCTGCACGCACTGGACTGCCTCCTGAGGGGTGCAGGGCACAGCAGGAAGAGACCAGTCACTGTCTGACCCAGACCCCGGACCCCTATGCCTGCCAGCATGATCCCTCCCTGCCCACTCCTCAATCACACGCCGCTCCCACTGCCTACTTTCATGTCATTGAGATGGAGATATTCCTCAATGATAGCCTTGGATTTCTTCTCTAACTCCTCCTCAGAGAGAGCCGCCTTCAGGGGGCTCACTGGGGGTAGGGCAGCTTCTCGCTTCACTGTGGGAAGAGAACACAGATTAGAGGGACTTTTCAGTCTTCCCAGCAAACAAGATTTGGAGCTCTCAAAAAGCTGGGGACCAGCTAGTCCCAAGGCAGCCAATGCCTTTCCCTCCATTCCTCTCCCAGACTCTCACCGGCATCCCGCCCACGGTCCCGATCCTCCGTGAGGCTAGCTGCCTTGCGCAGCCCCTCAGGCTGGGAGGGCCGTTCTCTACTCCGCTCCTCCACTTCCTTGCTGAAGCTCCGCTTGGTAGCAGGTGTCCGCGCACGATCAAGCCGGTCCCCACGGTCCCCTCCCCGTTCACTCCGCTCTAGGCGGTCTCCTCGGTCTCCAGCTTTCTCGCCTCGTTCTCGGCTCAAGCTACTCCTGGAAGACAGACAGACAAATTTTCACTCACTTGCACTGCCCAGGCACTCATGTAATTACACAACATGCTGAGCAACTGTTGGGCCTTGTTCTTAGCATAATGAGTATGCCCCAATCTAACCCAAGGGCTCCAACCAGGACAGGTATGAAGAAATTTCCAACCTATGGCAACAACCAGAACCCAATCACGGTACCCCCAGTGTGAATAACAAAGATGTCCAGGAAACCTCACCTCTGCACCACACGTCTATTATCTGTGCTTTCTGTGGGTACCGCTTGTTGAAGGGCTGAGAAGCGATTCAAAGTACTAGTAGCTGGGCGAGCAGCTTCTGATGCTGGGGATGCAGAAAATCCGTATTAAAATCTTTTTCTCCTTTCCTGCATTTTATCCCCTACTTGCCAGTTTAGGACACTTGGTCCCAGTCCCAAAAGTAAAGCAGTTCAATCCCTGGAACCACAACACAAACCTCCTCTATTGCCCGCATTGCCTAACCACCTTGTACTGAAGGCCTCCCTAACAGAAAAGGCTCTGTCCTCAAGGGAGCTCTGACGGGTAACCACCCAGCTCCTGACACTGCCTCCATACCTGCGTCTGAGGGCTTGGCTCCTGAGCCTCCGCTGCTGCCCTTGCCCCAGCTCAGTCGCCCTCCAGGTGCAAAGAGCTGGTTGTTAGAATCGATGGAGCCAGGCTGAAGAAGAAAAGGGGAGTAGAATCATAGGTCCAACCCGGCTGAGTCCCTTGGCCAGCACCACCATATGCAACCAAACAGGTAGTGAATGGCCCAGTCCAGGGGTCAGAAAATCTTTTTTAATAAAGGGCCAGTCTCTATTGCAACTACTCAATTCTGCCACAGTAGCATGAAACCAGCTGTAGATGATAAAGGCATGCTGTGACTGTGTTCCAATAAAACTTCATGGACACTGACATTTACATTTTATTTAATTTCCACAGCATAAATTACCATTCACTTTTTGATTTTTCGCAACTTTAAAATGTAAAAACCACTACTGGGTCCTGGGATGTATGAATGGGCTGGATCTGGCACGTGTGTGTGTGTGTGTGTGTGTGTGTGTGTGTTTGCCAAACACTGGTCCAGACTAATGGGAGTACCACCCTCCCTCTACAGCTGGCAGTCCTGTCTCCAGCAATCCAACCAGTTAGTCTAAGAGGAAACATTCAGCTGTCACCTTCTCAACTTTAGAAAAGTGAAGGGACTAAGATCTAAACCTGAGCTGAATCACCCACTCCCACACACACCCCTACCTTGGTGATCTTGGTGAGTCGTGAGGTGTCAATGGGGCGGCTACCTTTGCTGATGGGAACTGTGTTCCAGCCACCATCATCCACAAGGGGAAGTCCACGGCCTGACACAAAAAGAGGGGCATACTGGAATAATGAATAAATCCTAGCAGCCCCTTCCCCTTGGGCCACCCCCAGCCTCCCTTCCTCAGATCCTCAGTTCCATCATGGTGTCTCAGTGGCCCAGACACGTGGCACTAACAGGAAGTCATCAGAGGAAAGTATAACCTCCCGGTCCCTTCACTGCTCCCTTCTCAATCCCAGCTTGGAACTCACTGATGGGAGGGCCTGGAGGACCGCCCCGACGCTTGTCACTGCCCTTGGCCATGAGCTGCTGCACTTTGATGTGCTCTCGATGTTCTTCCATCTCAGCCTCCTTATGGATCTGGTCAATGGTCTTGGGACCCTGATCCCCTCGGCGTGGCACCCAATTGCTCTGTGGAGACAGAGGGCCAGTCACGATGATGTCAGGGAAGGCAAGACAAGGCAGTGTCAGAAACTGGAGGCAGCAGGCTGGCAGTGGGGAGGAGGGGGACACACACCCCTCGCAGATCCAGCACGTCCTGCAGCATAAAGCGGATGCGGGATGACGTCTTCTTTTCTTTAATGATTTTTTCCATCTGGTTGAAATACTGATCCATTCGGGGCTAGGAAGGAGAAAGGCATCAGACCAGGAACTTCTCATGTCCCACCTATAACTGCAGGCCCCACCCCTCCTCAGGCCTTCCGCCCCATCATTGTGGGCTCAGTGAGCCCCACATATGCTTCAGCCCATCCCCCTCCAGATGCAAGGACCTCTACCTTGGCTTTTTCAAAGTCCAGGTCTTTGCCAATGGTGGTGAGCAGACGACAAAGGCACTCAAGGGACTCTTCATCATGGTTCTTAAGCAGTTTGACCACACAGTCATGCATTATTGCCTCTGTTAACATCTTCAGTTTGAACAACTCTCCAATAAACTTGATATTCCCTAAAGAGCGCCGCCGGGCTATGTCCCGAGCCTCTTCCAGCTCTTCCTTCAGGCGTCCTCGTTCCTCTGCCTGCCATTCACAGGACAGGGATTGTGTCAAAAAGATAACCAGCCACTCGGCTAAAACCCTTTTCTACCTGGATATCCAAACCTAGCAATAAGCACTCAGTCCTGAGGCCGGCTGGCTGGGCATAGTGGCTCATGCCTGTAATCCCATCAATTTGGGAGGCTGAGGCAGGCGGATCACTTGAGGTCAGGAGGAGTTTGAGACCAGCTTGGCCAACATGGTAAAACCCCGTCTCTATTAAAAATACAAAAAAATTAGCCAGGTATGGTGGCACATGCCTGTAATCCCAGCTACTTGGGAGGCTGAGGCAGGAGAATCGCTTGAACTCAGGAGGTGGAGGCTAGCCAAGATCACACCACTGCACTCCAGCCTGGGTGACAGAGCAAGACTGTCTCAAAAAGGAAAAAAAACGTCCTGAGCCAGAGAAATCCCCAAGACACCACTACCTCCATTCCAAATTCTACAGCTGAGTAGCATCTGGGTAAGGGAAGGAGGTAAGTGGTGAGTGGAATCGATAGTGGGTTTTCTCTCACCGTAGCAGCTTCATCCATCTCTTTTTGCTTCTTCTCAAAAACCTCATCATCATCTTTGTCTTTCTCAAACTCCTTCTGACATCGATTCAACAACAGCTTTCGGAAGTTCACAGTCACTGTTGGCTTTTCCGTAGTGGGCACTTTCAGCTGTAGGTCAGAGAGAATGTCACACTCAAGACTAGTCCTGGGCAGGGAAGGCCCTCCAAGAGCCTTTAACTACCTGACCCAGGAAGATCTCTGGCCCCAGCTCTGCCTCCTTCCAGCTGGAAGAGGCACAAGTTGGAGGGGAACCAAGAAGCTGGACTCAAGGAGTCTTGGGAATAGGAATGGGCAACCAGACCATTAGATTTAGAACCCACTGGAAACTAACCGCCATGAGGCAGCGGCACATGTTGGCATAGGCCACAGAGAAGTTGGGCTCTGAAATGGCCTTCTCAAAAATGAGGTCAATGACCCCTTTGAGGCGTTCCTCGGTGTCGATGGCCAGCTGCGTCACTTGCTTCATCAGCTGCTGGAACATCTGGGGTGTCAGTTTATTCAGGATGGAGCGCACCCTGCGGAATAGGTCCTGGAGGGAGAAGAGACAAGAGTTCCAGTGAGGGTCTCAGAACAGGCTGTTGGGAGGGACAGGAGAGGGTGGTGGGGACTTAGGCATGACAGATGCTAGTGATAAGGACAAAAAGAAGCAAAGAGGGCACAGATGGCAGACCTGGAGAAGAAATGGAGAGAGACCAAAAGCAGGACTTGCCAGTACCTGGGTTTTGCTGCCATCAGCATCTTCTTCCCCTCGATCCTTATCAGCCGCCGTCCGCTTGCTGCTGGGTTTCCAGGCTTTCTCTGCTTTGTTCAGTTTTATATCTTCGGTCATTAACACTGTGGCAATGATCTTGCGTGGTTCTTTTCGGGGTCCCTGCTGAGAGCGCCGGGGTCCCAGGCCAGCCTGCTAAGCAAGGGATGAAGACAAGAGGGGACATGGAACTAGTCAGCACAATATGTGACACCACTACTACACGCCTCCAGGGCAAACCCCTCCCCGCGGGCACTGAGACACGGAATCATCCACTCCCACTCCTTGCCCACCTGCCACTTTACCCAGCCCCACTCACCGGCCCACGGGGCAGCTCCCCACCTGGCCCACCCCTTGGGGGCCCACGGGTGCTAAGGGTTGTCCGGCCAAGGTTGGCAAAGGATGGAGTGAAGTCTGGGCCACAATTTATGCCTTGTAGTCTAGTGGGATCCAGTGGCCGCAGTGGTGTTTTATTGGCCTGCAAAGAGGACAGGAAAAGGTCTCAGAAGCAGGCTAGAGCGGTTGACTACTCTTTCAGGACCTCAGGCTCCTCCCCAATCCATCCAGCACAAACTTATCGTCCCCTCCCCAACTGAAGCCACTAACCTTGTCCAGCACCACGTCACTGATATGTGGCAATCCCTCTGGCTTCTGCATACTGGCAAAGATGAACTGAAAACCAAGCAGGAACTCACGGTCGTAACGTTTTTTCTCCTCTAGGTTTAGAGGCTTCCACTGATCTGCAAGGAAAACAGAATGAAGCAATCATACTGCCTCCTCTGGCCCTAATAAGAAAACTCAAGCCATTCTCAACCCTTTCTTCAGCATACCTGACTTATATTCATACTTCTGTTCCCCGGGCTGGATGTTCTCAGCATTGTGAATTTTGTCTTCCTTTGAGTCCCAGGTCTCATCTGCTTCCTCAGGACGTGGGGGCACACCACTGCCCTCAGACTCTGGGCCTGGATTGCTGCCTGCAGGAGGCTGATTTTCCACCTCTGGTACTGCCGGGTTCGCCTAGAACAACAGAACATCCAGTTTTGGTTGCAGAATGACCACTGCTCCATACCTCAACTTGGCCCTCTCCCCTCCCATTTTCTGCTCCCTTACCTCCTTGAAGGCATCCAGAAGGTCTCCAACAGCCTCCTTCTTATTTAGCTCCTTAATTTTCCGTCTCCTCTTTGGCACAGATACTGCCACTAATTAAAAATAAATAAATAAAAGCATGGATCTTTGCCAATAATTTAAGGAGTACCCTTAATCCCTGGGAAATAGAAAGCAGCCAAAGAACAGTATTTCCCCTTTGCATCACCCTTTTTAGGCTTAAAAGTCCTTAATCTAGTTCTTAGATTCCATTGCAGGGACCCAGAAACATGTCAAAAATGGGCGGTCATCAAGGAGGGCAAGGAACGATATCCCCTAGCCCGCCCTACCTCTACCGTCCAACCACACCTTACCTTGAGTGGCTGCTGCTGCCTCCAAATTCTGAGACAAGTTGGCTGGAATAGGGGTACTCTCTGGGGGGAGCAGTTCCTCTCCTCCTTTCTCACTCTCAGCTTCTCCTGCTTCTCCTGCTTCTCCTTCTTCCTCTTCTTCTTCTTCTTCCATTTCCTCCTCCTGAGCTGGGGAAGTAGCTGAAGGAGCCGTAGCTGGAGTAGCAGAGGGGATGGTGGGGGGCGCCATTGATGCTGTCACCTCCTTGGCCTGCTCCTCTGGCTCACTGACTGGGCTTAAGTCCACAGCTGGTGGCGAGGGGGCTCCGTTGAGCAGTTCCTCAGGTTGGGCAGTTGGAGCAATGGGCACAGGGGATTCGGAGGGGCAAGCTGGGGGAGGAGCAAGCTCTGGGCTTGACTCCACCTCTGGTTCCAGATCTTCAGATGGGACCATGCCATTAGGCTCATGAATTTCCACTGTGTGAGATGCCAAAGGGGTGGGAGCCTGGAGAGGACTGGAAGAAAACTCAGATTCTGGAACCGGTTTGCTAAGTGTCACTTCTACTTCCAGTATGGGTTCGGCGAGAGGAGTGGGTTCTGGAGAGAGGCGATATGGCTCCCCAGTTTCACGGGAGATGGGGGTTGATTCTTCTACAGACATTTGTATAGTTGTCATAGTGTCCCCAGGAATAGAGAGGACTGCGAGATTAGGCTCAGACCCCGGTTCCAAGACTGGGGATGGTGATGGGGTCGGAGAAGGCGACGAAGGCTGGGATTCTGAAGGGCTATGCTCTGGGCCAGGCAGCCCTGGCCGGTCAGCAATGATTGCTCCCTGTGACCGGTCATCTGCACCATAGGAAGGAAGAATGAGCAACTAAAGGCAAGTGCTTAACTGCTGTTGTTCCTCCCCATCCTCCAGCCCAGGCATTCCCAACTTAATAACCCCGCATCATCTTCTCCCCACCTAAGCTATACTTCCACTTTCATCCAAAACCCAATTCACCCTCAAAATCCCACAACCTGAAATCTAAGTCATCATTCTCTGGTACCCAGTTCAAGTCACTCCACCACCTCAGCATTTAACTGTTAACATTCCCTTTCCCCATAAAAGCTCCGTCCCACCGGCTTACTTACCTGGCCGGACAATGACAGCAACCTGGGGCGTCTCCCCATTAGCTTGAGGCTCCAGACCGCCTCCCGTCTGCAGGACACAAAGGGTTACCAAGTTTGCACTGAAGAGTCCCACAACCCTTCTTTACTAGAGCCATTTCTACTTTAGCTCTGCCTAGAAATCCAGGAAAGCAGGGAAATAAATCCCTTAGTTGAAAGAAAAGATCCAGGGACTTGGGAGTCCAGGGCAGAACAGACATCCCAGCCAGGGTATCACTCGAAAAGCAGACAGTACCTGGGGAGGGGTGGGTGTGGAGGCAGTGCGGGCCCCAGACATGATCTCCTCTGTGATATCCTTTCCTCCTTGGTTTGGATCTCGAATTCGGATCTGGGGAAAGAAAGCTATAAGATGAGTGGGAAGCAGGAAGAGCCCACCTCTCCACCCTGCCCCAATCTTAAGACTCTGGGCCAACTCCCCACCCCCCAGCGGGAAGCAGGTAGGTAGGTGCCAGAAACCCCTTGAGTTCCACTTTCAGCCCATCTGGCTGCTCTCGTAGTCCCTGCCCCAGCTCCCACCCTTAAGAGACCCTTGATCTCACAGAGCAGCCCTGTACATCACAATGCCCCTCCCTCCCTCATCCCTACCCCACCAGCAGTCCCCAAGTCAGTGGCTGCACACCCTGGGGCCCAGGACCCCCATCTAGAACCCAATCGGCTCACTTGTGGCTAGTGTGCCTGATCTCTGGGGGCAGGGCCCAGATCCAGTAGGTGGAGCCAGGGTGACTCAGCGGCTTCCCCAGCTCTGGCACCCTATTCTGGGCACCACGCCCAGGGCTTGAGGACTGAGCAGAGGCGGAGGCCTTGAGAGCTTCCAGGACTGGGGGGGCAGGGGGGAATGGGGGCTGGGGCCACAGAAAACAAACCATTTCCAAGGCAAGCCACTAGAAACCCAAAACCAAGCATAGTTCTTCCAACCCCCCAGCACCCAGGTCTCGCAGGAACTTCCTCGCTAGGCACTTCAGTCTTCCCATGACCTGCTTCTATGCTGAAATCTTAGCATCTTACAAAGAACCTGAGCCCTCCACAGACACCATTCTCTGCCCACTCTCAGCTCCTTCCTCCTCAAGTCACTGCTCTTTCCGGCACAATGTCCCAGCAGCACCTGACCTTGATTCTCCCCTTCCCAGATGTCCCGGAGCCCCTCACTGCTACTCACCGTCTTACGCTCCCTCTTGGGAGCAATCTGGGGTGGCTGGTTCATCAAAACTGGGGTGGGGGCCACGCCAGTGGGAAACTGCTGCACCCCTTGGGCTGGATAGTAGGCGCCAGCTTGGGGGAGGGGGGACGGAGAAGAATGGTGGTAGCGTCAGGGCCCAACCATATACTAATGCCTGCCTGACACCTCCCACCCCAAAACCTCTCACCACCCACAGCCGGCCCCTTGCCTTGCCCTGCCCTGCCCTCCTCCCCCAGGGAATTAGGTGTCTGTCAAAGCTGGGGAACCAGTCTGAACTGCGTTTACAAGAATTCCTAACACACACACACACACAAACACACACACACACACACACACACACACACACACACACACCCCTCGTAGGCAGGCACTCTTTCCTACCACACACCAGTGACCAGGAGGACTTATGTCTGTCCTTCCACCGTACAAGTTACTCTCGTGTGTGTACCCCACCCGCTATCAACATGTACACACATACTCTGAACCTGAAACAGAACCAGGTCTTTGGCTGGTAATGAGAGAAAGAGATCTGCCAACCCTGTTCCATTTAACTTGAGTCTAGTTCCTGTCTCCAGCCCTTTACAAAGGGGCAAAGAAACAAAGTAACATTATGAACTAGGCTCAAGATGAAGAAAAATTAATTCCTTAAAGCAAACTATCTCCAAAGTGGGTGAGTTCTTTTTTCCCCTTAATTTTTTTTTTTTTTTGAGATGGAGTCTCACTCTATTGCCCAGGCTGGAATACAGTGGCACAATCTTGGTTCACTGCAATCTCCACATCCCGGGTTCAAGCGATCCTCCTGCCTCAGCCTCCCGAATAGCTGGGATTACAAGAGTGCATCACCAGGCCTAATTTTTGTATTTTTAGTTGAGACAGGGCCAGGCGTGGTGGCTCACGCCTATAATCTCAGCACTTTGGGAGGCTGAGGCAGGTGGATCACTTGAGGCCAGGAGTTCGAGACCAGCCTGGTCAACATGATGAAACACCATCTCTACTAAAAACACAAAAATTAGCTGGGTGTGGTGGCACACGCCTGTAATCCCAGCTACTCGGGAGGCTGAGGCAGGAGAATCACTTGAACCCAAGAGGCGGAGGCTGCAGAGAGCCAAGACTGTGCGACTACATTCCAGCCTGGGTGACAGAGCGAGACTCCGTCTCAAAAAGAAAATTAAAATAATAACAATAAAATTTAGTAGAGACGGAGCTTCACTATGTTGGCCAGGCTGGTCTCGAACACCTGACCTCAAGTGATCCGCCTGTCTTGGCCTCCCAAAGTGCTGGGACTACAGGCGTGAGCCACCGTGCTCAGCCCCCCTCAAATTTTAAAATAGAGACAGGGTCTCACTAAGTTTCCCAGGCTGGTCTCAAACTCCTGGCCTTAAGCAGTCCTCCTGACTCCCAAAGTGCTGGGATTACAAGCAAGATCCGGGCACATTCTTTAATTTCATCCCTAAATTCCACTTGTTTTTGACAAGCACAAGTGTATTTGTTTAAATTTTGCATACATATAAACAAAAACATACATGTATGAGAGATTCATACTCAAAACTTTTCCTGATAGGTGATCAAAAAACTTGGAAGCCACTGCCATAAAGAACAGACTAATCCTTCCCTAGAACATAAATAAAAAATAGCTACAAAAACCTCCCAAATTTGCATTACATGGGCTCCCAACCATGGAAGAAGTGTCACAGGGAAAGCCTACTAATAGGCTCTCAGGCTGGTGCCTGATCCTACATTCCCTGATGTGGGAAAGACTCTTAACTCTCCTGGCAATAAAATCAAATTTTCTCCCCACAATCAACACCAGTTAAATATTAAGCACCAATCCCTACCACCTATTAACCTTATCATTTTTAGACCAGAAGCCAAGCCTGGGAAGGGTCTTCTGCTTTAGAAATCAGCAGATGAGTTTAGATGCTCCCTTGGGCTTGTTCTCACCTCTGACTCCCTCCCCTGCTTACCGTAGGTCCCAAATTCTGTAGGGCTTGCACCTGGATAGAAGCCTGGGGCTCCTGGCTGCACAGGGTACTGCTGTGTCGGGACAACGTATGTGGAACGCCCCTGGTGGGGAAGGGGGAGAGGGAGAGAAGGAGTTGAGGGAGCTATGAGTTCCATATCAGACTCCAAAAAGAACATAGGTCAAGACAAGACAAGCCAACTCTGGGCAATGACCAGAAGGAAGTCCCACCTCTGGAAAAGCAATGGAACTGGAGGGTCAGGGTGAGTTAAGTGAGAGGTATAGGGGTCTGTGGCTTCTAGGCTCCAAGCCCCCAGCCTCACCTGTCCAGGGATGTAGTAGGCCCCCTGGGAGGCTGGGTAGGAGATCTGGGAAGGGATCATCATTACTTGGGATCCAGCAGGGTAGACATGGGCAGCTGGGCCAGGGCGGGCAGGGGCTGCACTCTGCACTCGGGAGGCTGCACTGCTCGGGGGCTGGGCCCGGCTAGGGTAGAAGTGCTGTCAGGAGGGAGGAAAGCAGTTGGCATTGTAAAGAGAAGGAAGTGGACAAAAAATTGCCACTCCACAATGTCTCTATAGCCTGGAAAGAAGTACTGTGGGCTTCAGAACATGGCGACCAATCCTTCCAAGACCACTTGACCAAATGGCTAAGCGGCTTCTTGTACACACACATGCCCTCCAAACCTCCAAATTCAGATGTACACTTTGCATCCTGCAGAGATTTACTCTCTCACTGCCATGCATACACACGTCACCTCTACCAAACTACCCCTCTGCAGAGGCTTCCTAACACCGAGATGCATCATGCCTAAGTAAGGCCCTTTCGGGCAACATATCCCCAGCATGCACTGCTCCACCAGCATGTAATGAGGAGCTAACCATAACATGCAACAGCATCCCAGTCCCCAGATGCGCGTTCTTCAAGATGTAGCCCCTAACATGCATCACTCGGCCTCCAACTGAGAACCTGGACACCAAACAAGTCACTACCCTGAAGATCCCCATTCCCTGTGTCTAGCCCCTGACTAGGGTGGAGGGTAAGGATGAGACCAGAAGACTGTCCAGGGTTGGGAAAGGGATATTACCTGCAGAGACCTGAATCCTCCCTGAGAGCACATGGGGATAGGAAAGAAGAGAATTACCCCCAAGGTGATGGCGGGGGGAGGGAATGAAGGCAATAAGACAGGACAAGAATCCTCCCACTTAGTAAGGAAGAAGCTGGGGAACAGAGAAAGGCAAGGACCAGCTGGAGTGTTTACCTCACCACAGTCCAAAGAGAAAGCAGAGAGAGCAATAGAGCAATAGCAGCCTCCGGTAAAAGGAGCAAATAGGAAAGCAAGAGCTGGCAGCAGGGCCCAAAGCACTGCCCCCAATTCTCAGAGGCACTAGGATCCCAGTAATGCCACCCTCATTGACAACATACTATCCAAGGGACCAGCCACCGTGAGTAATCAACAGGGCAAGGCGCAGAGCCGCATGAAAGAACACAGAGGATTAAGGCCAGGTATGGGGCCTCCAGTTTCCATCCTAGACCTAAACTGGCCAAAGCTTTCCACTGCTCCCACCCAGGTCCCCTACTCCCCTCCCCACAGCCCCTCACCTGGCGGGGCTGAGAAGGCGTGTTCATTTGTGTCGCTTGTGGCGTACTGAACACCACCGGCGCTGTCTGCCCCGGGGGAAACGCTGGCTGAAGAGGGGAGACCAGAGTTCAGCAAGAGGGGAAGCCCAGGTGGGGCAGAAACCCAAGCTGGTGAAATAAGGGGAGCAGATCTGCGGCAAGAGCCTTAACAATCCACATACCCCCTCCCCGTGACAGCCCCCGGGGACAGCCCAGGGGCCCTGTCTCAATTTGGCAGCAGGCGGCTGCACTTTGCCCTGACACAGATGGGGGTAGGAAGATCCAGAGGCTGGAGACTGCCTGGTCTCCCCCACCCCCACCCCTGCTAATTCCTCCCTAATTACCTGTGGGAGTCCGGGGGATGGGGCGGGTGGGGGGCCTGTGGACTGTGGAGCTTTGTTCATTTCATTTGGTGCCACATCAGGGTCCCCCCAGCACCTGTTGGGAAAGAGTGGCGCTCAGGAAGAGGAAGGGACCCAAGCTTAAGGCAAATGGGGCGGTGAAAGGGTTGATGCAAGGGCTGGGTCCCATACGGAGTCCCAGAGATGCCAAGAGGGTGAAGCAGAAAAGATACAGCCTGTCCCCACCAACATGCTGTCAAACCCGCATCACTTCCAACCAACCCCTGACCTACTGAAACAGACCCCTCACTCACCCCCTCGATTAAGAACAAGTCCACGGTGCGGCCTACAGGTTCTGGGCATCCGAGGGCCTGGGGTTGGGAGGTGAGGGTATCAACCTGGCTCCGCGGGGCCCCAGACCAACCAGACCGGAAATTCCAGGTCTCGCTGGCACCAGGCTCCCGGATCACGAACGGAGCTAGCTGCTTCGGCCGTGGCGTCCCCACCCCCCACCCGGGGACACCGGGTTCGGGCCTGGCCCAGGGGCACACAGGATACGCCTGCCGCCGGGGAACCCGCACTGGGCCAGAAGCTAGGCCTGCCGCCGCCCAGGAGTGTAGGCCAGGAAGGGCGGGAGTCAGGCCCTAAAAGGCCAGGCGGGCGGCGGCCGTCGAGGAGCCGGTTTCAGGCAAGTGAGGGTCGGCCCGGAGGGCGGGCGGGGCCGGGGGCTCCTCCCTGCCCGCCGCCACCGCCTCCCTCCCCTGCGCCCTCCCTGCGCAGCGCGGGCCAGTGCCAAAGAACAACGTGTCACTTCCCGGCGGCCTGGCCGCGAAGGGGGGAGGGGGCGGCGGGCCGGGAGCCGTGGTGCCTGCGCCCGTGGGCTGCCGGGCCTCCTCGGGTCAGGCCGAGGTGGCATTTCGCGGCGACGAACCCGGCGCCCTACCAGCCCGCGGGGCCCGCATAGTCCGGCCCTGCGCTCCCCACCCCCACCCAGCAGCCAGGCCCGGCCGGGCCAGGCACACGTGGGCCGGGGATCGGGACCCTGGCGGGCCGGGGCCCTGGGTCGGGCCGCGGGGCCAGGGCGCCGGGGCGGCGGCGCAGGGTGGCCGGTCCCGGCCCGGATGGCGGCGGATGCGGGGGGAGGGGGTGGGGGGGCCGGGTCGGGCCCGGACATGGCGGCTTTACCTTCAGTCTCCTTCAGTCCGCGCGGCCGAGCCCCACGCAGCCGCACAGACGTAGTCCACAACCATTTCCGGCTCCCCGCACAGATCCCGCTCGGCGGCCACCGCTTCTCCGCAGGCGCAGCCGGCGCCCCCACGTGACCGGCGCAGGGGGCGGAGCCGCGCCGGGCGATCTGCGCCGCCGAGCACATGGGATTTGCCCCCGCCCCGTCACGTGACAGCCACAGCCCGCCCCCGTGTCCCCTCCCGAACTTTGAAACTCCCAGACCGATTCCCCTCTGTGTTTCTCTCTGTTCCGCGATTCTTTAGTTCATTCATATTTTAAGCAACCATTTATTGAGTGCATGCTAAGTACAAGGCGAAGTGCTGGTTGAGGGCTGAGAAACTGAAATCAAAGTCTCGGCAAAAAAAAAAAAAAAATAAGCGGGGCGCGGTGGCTCACACCTTAATCCCAGTACTTTGGGAGGCCGAGGTGGGCGGATCACGAGGTCAAGAGATCGAGACCATCCTGGCCAACATGGTGAAACCCCGTCTTTACTAAAAATACAAAAATTAGCCGGGCGTGGTGGCGCACCCGTAGTCCCAGCTACTTGGGAGGCTGAGGCAGGAGAATTGTTTGAGCCCGGGAGGCAGAGGTTGCAGTGAGCGGAGATTGTGCCACTGCACTCTAGCCTAGCCTGGCGACAGGGCGAGACTCCATCTCAAAAAAAAAAAAGAAAGAAATTAAAGACTCCGTCCTGCCTAAGTAAATCGTGATACAATACGAATTATGCAGGCTTTGAAAATAATTTAGATTAGGTCATTGAAAGGCCAATAACAAAGGAAATTAAAAGGATAGAAACATTCTAATTAGGCAAGTAGTATGAGATTTGTAGTTTAAAAAGATCATGGGCCGGGCGCAGTGGCTCACGCCTGTAATCCCAGCACTTTGGGAGGCCGAGGCGGGCGGATCACGGGGTCAGGAGATCTAGACCATCCTGGCCAACATGGTGAAACCCCGTCTCTACTAAAATACAAAAAATTAGCTGGGCCTGGTGGCGCACGCCTGTAGTCCTAGCTACTCGGTAGGCAGAGGCAGAGAATTGCTTGAACCCGGGAGGCGGAGGTTGCAGTGAGCCGAAATTACGCCACTGCACTCTAGCCTGGCGACAGGGTGAGACTCCATCTCAAAAAAAAAAAAAAAGAAAGAAAAAAAGAAATTAAAGACTCAGTCCTGCCTAAGTAAATCGTGATACAACACGAATTATGCAGGCTTTGAAAAGAATTTAGATTAGGTCCTTGAAAGGCCTATAACAAAGGAAATTAAAAGGATAGAAACATTCTAACTAGGCAAGTAGTATGAGATTTGTCGTTTAAAAAGTTAGAAACATTCTAACTAGGCAAGTAGTATGAGATTTGTCGTTTAAAAGGATCATGGGCCGGGCGCGGTGGTTCACGCCTGTAATCCCAGCACTTTGGAAGGCCGAGGCGGGCGGATCACGGGGTCAGGGCGGATCACGGGGTCACCATCCTGGCCAACATGGTGAAACCCCCATCTCTACTAAAATACAAAAAATTAGACGGGTCTGGTGGCGTGCGCCTGTAGTCCCAGCCACTCAGGAGGCAGAGGCAGAAAACTGCTTGAACCCGGGAGGCAGAGCTTGCAGTGAGCCAAGATTGCGCCACTGCACTCTAGCCTGGATGACAGTGAGACTCTGTCTCAAAAAATAAAAATAAAAATAAAAAATAAAGGCAGGCACGGTGGCTCACGCCTGTAATTCCAGCACTTTGGGAGGCCAAGGCAGGCAGATCACCTGAAGTCAGGAGTTCGAGAGCACCCTGGCCAACATGGTGAAACCTCATCTCTACTATAAATAGAAAAATCAGCCAGATGTGGTGGCAAGCACCTGTAGTCCCAGCTAGTGGAGAGGCTAAGGCAGGAGAATCGCTTGAACCTGGGAGTTGGAGGCTGCAGTGACCTGAGATCACAACTGCATTCCAGCCTGGGCAACAGAGTGAGACTCTGTTTCAAATAAATAAATAAATAAATGAAATAAAATATAAAAAGAGCAGACACTCCCACGGAGGGGCAAAAGCGTAAGGATGGAAGAATAAGGACAGAAGAGAAGTAATCTTAAAACTGACAGCCGGTCGGGGGCGGTGGCTCACGCCTGTAATCCCAGTATTTTGGGAGGCTGAGGCAGGCGGATCACCTGAGATCGGGAGTTTGAGACCAGCCTGACCAACATAGAGAAACCCCGTCTCTACTAAAAATATACAAAAATTAGCCAGGCATGGTTGCGCATGCCTATAATCGCAGCTACTCAGGAGGCTGAGGCAGGAGAATTGCTTGAACCCGGGAGGTGGAGCTTGCGGTGAGCTGAGATCCTGCCATTGCACTCCAGCCTGGGCAACATGAGCGAAACTCCGTCTCAAAAAAAAAAAGAAAAAGCTGACAGAGGCCAGAAGGGACCATCATCTACAGCCAAATCCACAGGTCAGATTGCTTGAGTTTTCATCCAAACTCTGATACTTATTACCTGGCCAGAATTTGTTAACTTTCCCTACTCAATCAAGTCCCCCAAATATATTGTTGCTTACGTAATAGATAGTGCCTAACCTGAAAATCTGGGATTCATCCTATATTCCTTCTCCATCCACACACTACATCTAATCAGACACCAGGTCTTACTGGTATTTGGATCAAAATCAAGTCCTATTGATCTTATCTTTTAAAAAATAACTATTCTACCCTTCCCTATGTCCCCATTTCAACTGCCTTAGTTCAAGCATTCATTTTCCTTGCCTGCTCTCCTGTCCTCCAGGGTTAGCTTTCTCACCCAGATAGCTGATCATGTCACTTTTCTGCTCTCATTCAGTGGGCCCCATTGAAAGATACTGTCAAATTCTTAGCACAACAAAGCTCTTGTAAACCTAGTCTGAGCCTGAATTTCCAGCTGTATCTCCTACCACCCTTTTCCCTGGCCCCTATACATTTAGCCAAACCAAATTATCTGTAAGTTTCTGAAAACAGCTTTTCCTCCTTCTTGCCTTTGCTACTCCCTTAGCTATATTCTGCCCTCTTTTCCTCTGTACAAACTTATCTTCCTCTAAGGATATAAGCTTCCTCAAAGTCCCCCGATTGCCCCAGGCACTTAGGCCCCATCTCAGTGATACCAGGGTACCTTGTTCACACCCTGGTAAGTATCGATCACAGTTGTTTTCATCATTTCATTAAACTTTTTGAGCATAGGGGTTTTTTTCTGTATTTGCATCCCCATAAATTAGACGAATGTCTGATGCAGAGTAAGGCTCCACTGCTATTCACTGATGAATGAAGAACTAAAGGTGAAAGGTTAAAAGCCACTATGAAACTGTCTTATTCTAAAGCACAATCACCTAAATCACAATTTGGGAGAGAATCATTCTTTTTAGTTTACAAATCACTTTTTATTCTAACATCACCACCACTGGAAATCAGGTAAGGCAACTACTATATCCACATTATATAATAACAGAGGCTCATCACATCACACATGCTAACTTGAAGATTATGGCAGGAACCATAAAGGGGCTCAACAGGGATTCCTTAATCCTGTTTCAACCTTTTTATACAGGCTGCCAAGATGACTCAATCCAAAATTGCTGATGTCTCATGCCTGTAATCCCAGCTACCTGAGAGGCTGATGTGGGAGAATCACTTAAGCCTAGAAGTTCAAGGCTGCAGTGAGCCATGATCATGCCACTGCACTCCAGCCTGGGCCACAAAGTGAGACTTTGTCTCTAAAAAAATTTAGTAATAAAATAACTGGGCCAGGTGTGGTGGCTTACACCTGTAATCCCAGCACTTTGGGAGGCCGAGGCAGGTGGATCACAAGGTCAGATCGAGACCATCCTGGCCAACATGGTGAAACCCCGTCTCTACTAAAAATACAAAAATTAGCAGAGCATGGTGGCGCATGCCTGTAGTCCCAGCTACTCAGGAGGCTGAGGCAGACAGTCTCTTGAACCCCAGACGCAGAGTGAGCCGAGATCACGCCACTGCACTCCAGCCTGGGCAACAGAGCACGACTCTGTCTCAAAATAAATAAATAAATAAATAGCCAGGCATACTGGCTCATGCCTGTGATCCCAGCACTTTGGGAGCTGAGGTGGAAGGATCCCTTGAGGCCAAGAGATTGAGACCAGCGTGGGCAACACAGCAAAACCCCCACCTCCACAAAAATAAAAGTAGGCCAGCTGTGGTGGGTCATGCCTATAGTCCTAGTTACTACTTGGGAGGCTGAGTCAGGAGGATCACTTGAGTCCAGGAGTTTGAGGCTACAGTGAGCTATGACTGTGCCACTGCACTCCAGACTGAGTGATAAGAGTGAGACCATTTCAAAAAAAAAAAAAAAAAGCCAGAAGTGGTGGTACACACCTGTAGCCCTACCTTACCTGCTTGGGAGGCTGAGGGTCAAGCCTTCTTGAATCCACTTTCTACAAGGACATCCTAGAAGTAGATGTTAACATGATCAAATTCCTCATAGCAGCCTCCCAAGAGGGACAGATGGTTGCGGGAGGTAAAGATGTCCTTTTCATTCAGTAGCACGTAAGTCAAGTTAGAAAAGTATGAGGCTGCCCACTCTTGGGCATCCTTAGCCCAAGGTCAGAAGATGATAGGCTTGAAGAGGGTGTATTGGTGGTGGAGGGTGAGTGTGGGGGGTTATTTACAGGATCCACAAGCCCCCTGAAGTTATTTGGAAGAGTTTGTGTAAAAATTTGTGTATTTGCGTCTCCTAGGAAGAATATCCATTGGCTGGGCACGGTGGCTCACACCTGTAATCCCAGCACTTTGGGAGGCCGAGGCAGGTGGATCATCTGAGGTCAGGAGTTCGAGACCATCCTGGCCAACATGGTGAAACCCCGTCTATTAAAAATACAAAAATTTGCCGGGTGCGGTGGCTCACGCCTATAATCCCAGCACTTTGGGAGGTTGAGGCAGGCGGATCACAAGGTCAGGAGATCGAGACCATCCTGGCTAACATGGTGAAACCCCGTCTCTACTAAAAATATGAAAAATTAGCCAGGCGTGGTGGCAGGTGCCTGTAATCCCAGCTACTCGGGAGGCTGAGGTAGGAGAATGGCGTGAACCCGGGAGGTGGAGCTTGCAGTGAGCCAAGATCGCACCACTGCACTCCAGCCTGGATGACACAGCGAGACTCCATCTCAAAAAAACAAAAACAAAAAACAAAAATTAGCCGGGCGTGGTGGCAGGCACCTGTAGTCCCAGCTACTTGGGAGGCTGAGGCAGGAGAATGGCGTGAACCCGGAAGGCAGGCGTTGCAGTGAGCCGAGACTGCCTCACTGCACTCCAGCCTGGGGGAGACAGCAAGACTCTGTCTCAAACAAAACAAAACAAAACAAAAAGAAGATCCATTACATTTATTGGCTTCTCAAGGGTTCTAAGAAAATGCAAAGAGAAGATGATTAGAAAGGAGGGGCTTAGTTTTTTCCACCCAGGGGAGGGAAGGGGCTCAGTTCTTTCCATCCAGGGCAGTGCTGCTAACCTAAACTCAGCGTTGCTCCTAACAATGCCCTCTCACTTCCACTCCTTACTCTAGTTTAGACTCCAGCCATGACACCCCAGAAAACAGACACAGAGAGACCTTGGGGATAAAAGTCTTTATTGAACAACCTTATCTCACTCAGTAACAAAAGAGCAGGAGGCGACAATTCCCCCAGAAGTCTGCAGCCGTGTCCACCCTTGGCAGCAGGATGCATGGCCTGCTGATAACATCAGCTGCAGTTCAGAGCCCCTGGTGGTCACTTAGAGATCATAATTGGGGTTCTTCCGAAGGATAACAAAACCTTCCAGAATGGGGGTAACAGGAAGAAACTCCTCAGTGGCCAATTCTGCCCGTTCCCCGTGGGCCAACAACACTGGGGTTGTATGCGTCTGGAACCCTGTGATAGTCTTCGGCTTGCCAGCCTGGCCCACCACATCCACTGCCTGTAGGGTAAGAAAATTGAAAAGAGAGATGGAAAAGTAGCGACAAGCCACCGCCCACGCCAGTTTCAGCAAAGCAAGTATATGTACATTCTCCAGTTTGAGAATACAGCCTGAGCCCTCCCCTCTACTCAGCCTCTCACCTGGCCCACACGGACAGACACTGGCAATGGCCGCAGCTCCTCATCAAACGTAACCAGCATTCGGGGCTGCATGGCAGCCACCAGCCCATACAATACATAGTGTGATTTGCCTAGAATAACTGAGGGAAGCAGACAGGACAAAAAGTTAAGAGACAAAAAGACAGGCCTGGCCAGAAACATTGAGAGCCCACCTCAGCGCTGACCCTTTAACCCGTCAGTCATACGACTGAATCCACACTCCTCCCCTCATACACCCTACTACGAACCAGAGACGCCCCCACCTCACTTTGCTTACAGCCCTTAGACTTGAAAATCGCATTTCCCCAGTGACTTAGGAGCAGACGCTGGGCACATCACCCTCAAATCTCTTTGGGCCAGATCAAAAGTGTGGGTGATGAAAGTCTCATGTCACAGGCCCAAAGCCTGTCTCAGAAACCTAGAGCGATACAGAGCTAAACTGGGGTCTTGAACCTAAATTATCAAAGTGGCCCTGGAAAGGGTGGAGTCAGAGCCCTGCATGCTATGATATAAAATTTCTGACAGGAACTCACTGTTTCGAACATCCAGGAAAGAGACAAGCACAGTGAGCAGTCCAGCCACGGCCACCTGGCTCATAAGCTGCCGGTCGCTGTGGTAGGGGCAGAGGGTAAGGGTGCCCTTCCCTAAATGTGTCAGGCCCTGAAAAAAACAGAGGGAAGTAGAGGTGAGGAGTTACCACTGAGGAGACATCGCCTAACCCAGCCAAACAGAAATCTCCCACTTGGTCACATCTTTCCTCCTGGGCCAACACTCCATGTTCCTCCTTCCATCACCACAGATACTTCCCCGGCACGCTCTGTGGAGGAGTTCTATTCTTTACCTGTGCCAAGCGCACCATGAAGAGGTTGTTTGGGTCCTTGGCATGATATTGAGCTAACTGGCGCAGCATTGCAGCCAGACGGGCATTATTGGTACCTGGAAATGTTAAGCATTACAGAAGTGAAAAAAGGGGCTTCAAATCTTCCCCCAATCTGTTTATGACCTTCTTCTGCCGGATACTCACCACTGCCCACCATGCCCATGGCAAAAATGGAGTTATAGGAAACTTCTGGATCAGCATCATGAGAGAATTTGCTTAGGGTATCCAGGATGTTGAGTCGTGGATTTGAAACAGAGATGAGGGCCAGTGCTAAAGGTACAGCCCTCCGGAGTGTAGGCTCCCCATATCTCAGCTGATGATCCAAGAAAATACAACAGTAAGGCGGAATGCAGTAAAAACAAATTCCATTACAGGAGTGGACTGATGGGTAAAAGGGGGCCTTAACTTCTGTAGAAAAGGCACAGCAGGCTGGGCATGGTGGCTCATGCCTGTAATCCCAGCACTTTGGGAGGCCGAGGCAGGTGGATCATGAGGTCAAGAGATAGAGACCATCCTAGCCAACATGGTAAAACCCTGTCTCTACTAAAAATACAAAAATTAGCTGGGCATGGTGGCATGTGCCTGTAGTCCCAGCTACTTGTGAGGCTGAGGCAGGAGAATCACCTGAACCCGGGAGGCAGAGGTTGCAGTGGGCCAAGACCGTGCCATTGCACTCTAGAGCAAAACTCCGCTTCAAAAAAGAAAAGAAAAAAGAAAGAAAAGGCACAGCAAAAAGACCAGCTCTCCACCAAGAAAACCCATCAGAAAAATCTTCCCTGGGGAACCCCAGGCCATCAAAACCAGTATATTCCAATTTTCTTCATGCTATACTCACCAAGTGGCCAAAGGTTCGTAATGCCATCTCTGCACCAATCTCCTCCCCCATAGCAATAAGGGCAATCCCCAGAACAGCCACTCCCTGCAATTGAAGAGAGAGCAGAACCCATTAAGCTCAAGGAATAAAAAACAGTCACCCTTGACTCAAGTCCCATCTGAAAATAAAAAGCCATCCTGTGGGGAACACCTTTACCCCTTACATACAGAACCCAGTCACACGCTATTTCAATACATGGCAATACCCAGAGAGGCCCTAAAGCAAAAACCAAACCCAGCCTCCCCTATATGCTTATCTCTTCTCACAGCCTCTCTGCAAGTGCCCAGCTGCCCATATAACCTGATGTGCTCCCATGTCAGCAGGGGCTTCCTTCTTGTCCTTGTCTTTCTTTTCCTTCTTGTCTTTGTCTTCCTCCTTCTCTTTGGAGTCAAAGTGTTCGCTACAAATGTGGAGCAGCTGCTGCACCTTCAGCACATTCCCAGAGCCTGCGTCAGGGTGGTGAGGGAGAATGGACAGAAATGAGAAGTTACCAAGGAAAAGCTTTGGAAAACAGGAGAAGTCTAAAGAATCTAGAGCAGATCAGAATGAAGGAGAAAGGAGAAACAACCTGAAAATAAGGACCAAGAAAGAAGTGAGGAGTCACTGGGGAAGCACAAGACAGACTCATAAAGACACAGACCTGCATATGCACACACATCCACCAGTGTGTTGGCAAAACTGCGGAATGGCTCTGACACAACCTCCAGTGCAGCCAGGATTGCCTCGATGGCCTCACCCTTCCCTACAGGACAGATTCAAGGGGTCAGAGGATACTTGCCTCCATCCAGCACAGCCTGACACATAAACCCTCCCTGTTGTATCCAGTTACTGTCAGCTCTTTGCCCAAATAGAAACATCCCCTCACCCAGGTGGTTGAGACCCAGTCCAAGAGGAAGCCAACGAGCATAAGTATCCTTGAGCTCAGTCTCTGACTTCTCCATGATGGTCTGAAGGATAGTGGAAGTTACATCTCCATTGCAGGACCCTACTGCTATCATTCCACAGGCTAAAGCTGTGACACCTGCCACCTAGAGGTAGGAAAATCAGTATTACACAGAGTAAGTTATTAAAATATTTATGTCTTGATTCAAGATAGCCTATTCCTACAGTCCACTGCAAGATATTCTCCCTAATAACATTAGTTCATAATATCAAAATAACAATAGTAGTCATTATTCATTGAGTATATACTATATGCCAGCCACTAGGCCAACTGTTTTACATACTATTGACATTTAACCCTTGTGACAGCCCCAAGGTCACAGATCCTGAGGTTATCCCCTGCACTGCTTTTTTTTTTTTTTTTTTGAGACAGAGTCTCGCTCTATCGCTAGGCTGGAGTGCAGTGTCGCGATTTTGGCTCACCGCAACCTCCACCTCCTGGGTTCGAGCGATTCTCCTGCCTCAGCCTCCCAAGTAGCTGGGACTATAGGTGCGCGCCACCACGCCCAGCTAATTTTTGTATTTTTAATAGAGACAGGGTTTCACCATCTTGGCCAGGATGGTCTTGATCTCTTGACCTTATGATCCACCCACCTCGGCCTCCCAAAGTGCTGGGATTACAGGCATGAGTGCCTGGCTGTTATCCCCTTTTATGGATGAGAAAAATACGGCCTAAAGAGATTGAATTACTTGTTCAGGATCACACTGCTTATAAGCAGAGGTGGCAAGATTTGAACTCAAGTCTTTCTGACTCTAAATCTATGCCACTAGCCACCATGCTGTATTTATCCATTAATGACTCTGCACAAGTATGAACATTTAAGGCTGACCAATGACTACAATACTAAGGAGAATCATCAACCCCAGGCTGTGTTAAGTTACACTTCACTCTAGTCCAAGTAGTTTCTCAGAGATTCCAAGGGACAGAACTCAACACTAAAATGTTAATTTTTTTTTTCTTTTAAAGACAGGGTCTCACTCTGTAACCCAGACTGGAGTGCAGTGGCGCGATCTCAGCTCACTGCAACCTCCACCTCTGGGTTCAAGCAATTCTCCCACCTCAGCTTCCCTAGTAGCTGGCACTACAGGCGAGCACCACCACACCCGGCTAATTTTTCTGTTTATTTTTTGGTAGAAATGGGGTTTCACAATCTTGCCCAGGTTGGTCTCGAACTCCTGGGCTCAAGTGATCCGCCCACTGCAGCCTCCCAAAGTGCTGGGATTATAGGCACGAGCCACCGTGCCAGGCCTAAAATGTTAACTCTTTAGCCTTAAAACCACCAGAGGCTTAGAATCCCAGATCAAGGGGTTTCACTGAGGTGACGCCCCTCAATACACACCAACAGGCATGTACATGTATGCACACATGCACACACTTACTTCTTTTTCATTATTTATCACAGAAAGTAAGACTCAAAGCACCTTCCCTACTTACTCTAAATGCTCAATAGCCTCTACTCACCTCCATGCTGGACTTTGAATCTCCCATCACAGGCAGCAGCAGTGTTAGGACATCTTCACGATTTGAGCCAGCATAAGCCAAGCCTAGCCTGCAAAAGCCATGGAAAGGCGGTCCCCAACACATACCCAACGATGCAGCAAGAAAAGAACAAAAGGAGAATCGGTCATTCATTCACCATTTCAACAAACATTCACCAAGAGCCAGATACCCAATAGGCACAGTGGTAGCCCTTGGCAATATGGGTGAAAAGGGCCCAGTTCCTGTTCTCCAGAGTGTACAGGCTGAGCACTACCAGAAAGACAAGCGAGGAACCTTACCCAAAGATGGAACCAAGTCTCATGGTGTTGCTGTTGTGGAGAACATAGTCTGAGAGCAGTGCCAGAGCAGGGTCACACTCATTCCGGACCCCAGAGTTCACTATGCCACAGGCAAGAAGAGCTCCTGACTACAAAGAGCAAACAGATTCTTCACTCAGGATACTCTATCTTCCTCACCGCAAAGGATGCAACATGGGCCTCACTGCAGCACCCTTATTAACTAGAGTTAAAAACTGGGCAGACCTCATCAGTGAAAGAGAGGCACTGCTAGGCACTAGAATATGGAACGGGGAAGTCCCCATGAGCAGGCTGTATGCAGACCAACCTTAATGTAGTCCTCAGAGGAGTACAGGTACTTGTCAATCTGGGTGAGGCCACCATCCACATCCCACAGCAGAATCATCCCAAGAGATGCAGCTGCACTCAACATTCCTATACCAGGGAAGAATCTATTAGTCTTAAAATGGCCCTATCCTGAGGATCCTGTTATTATAAAGAGCTCTCCAAAGAACTGCATGGTGGATCCCTTGTCAGATAACTTATGACTCCAAGAGGACAAAAGAAGTGATCAAAGCAAAACAAAAGACAAAGCAGGAACAGAATTATACCGTGGTCCTTGTTCTTGTAAAGCCATTTGTTGCCATCATCTGTTAGCAGCTTGTCTTGGCCAAAAGCTGCATTCACAAAGCCATTCACAAAAGAGGAGGCCAGGTTCATGCGGGCAGAGTCCACCTGAGAGCCACTGCCCCCAAACCCTGCAACAGGAGGGAGAGGAAAAGTAAGGAAAGAAGGTTTCAGGTAGGACAGGAAAGAAACACAGCATGGCAACTGGTCTCTGGTTCTGAGCTAGTCCCTTAGTATCCTCTACCTATACCCCCCCAAGCAGTGACCTGAAAAAGATTCATGAGGATTCTGAGCTCGATAGGATAAGCATGTTGGCCAAGCCATCACTCCCAATACAAGGGGCATACCTACAATCCCCCAAATCCCATACACAGAGAGGGCTACTCACTGTTGTTCTCTAGGTGGGTTTTGTAGATGTCATCAGGCACCTTGGGCTCCATGATGTCCAGCTGAAGAGAAGTCAGAGGGTCACAATTGCTTCCCTAGAACTCCCCCAGCTGTCCCTTCTGCTATCCCACTGAATGGCAATTCTAATCAAGGAGAGTCTAGTCAGAGGTAGAGTCAGGGAGGTGAAATGGCAGGTAGAATTATGACGAAAAGGCCTTGATGAAAAAAGGGCAGTCTCACCTCCCGAGCTAAGGCCAAGAAGTTGCTGTTGAGCTGTACATTGGACATGATCTCTGTCAGGTCCTCATACTCCTCGACATCTTCACTCAGCTCCAGGAACACCCCATGCCGGCCTAGCATGAATGCCATCTGTTTCTGTACTACCCTGTGGAGAGAGCCCGTACATCTGCTCATCACTGTCCACTAAGGGCACAGGAAAACCCCTCAAGCCCTAACCAGAAACTACAAGTCCCAGCTCTTTATGCAAGTGTCCTATTCGTAAGCTTATCTCTTTGCCAGCTTCTTCCCTACATACACATCCTTGCAGGAGGTGAAGATGTCTTCTACCAACTCCATGTCATTGAGCATCAATGCCAATCTCAGAGCTTCAGGGAAGCGGCTAAACTTTCGGAACACACCCAGGGCACAACGCAGTAGGGCTGAGTTCTCAGGCTCAGGCACGTAATTCACACAACTACAAAAGTAAAAGTAACAAAGAATTCAGAAAGTCCCAGGCACTCATTTTCCCCATGAATTCACTTACCCAAAATAAATAATAAATATCTACTATATACACCAGGCACTGTGCTAGATGTTAGAACTACTAAGAAGACACAAAGTCTCTGTCCTCAAGAAACTCACACACATCAAAAGATTAACTACAGCGTGATGCTATGCTTGAGCAAATGCTCTGGGAAAATAGAGGAGGCGCAATTGAGAGAGAGGTGCTGAGGAGGGCATGCCTGCCACCCTTCCCTACCATGTTCACTCACCTGGTGAGATAAAGGCAGACCTTTGCATATGCATTTTCATCAATGTCCTTCTCCAGCATGTCCACCTGCTCAATTTCCATAAGCAGGTCGCAAGCCTCATGCTCTGCATTGTGGGCCATGTTATAGGGGACGATTTCCTTCACCAGAGTGAGCAGAGGCTCCCGCTGGACCTTCTCTGCGTCATCCAGCTCCTGCCACTCCTTAGCCACTTCTCCTGCCAGATGCCTACAGATAGTCCCAGACGATTAAGAGAGCACAGCTTCAGGGGAAGCACTTCTCTGTGGGTCAAGGAATCCAGCGTCTGGGAAATTCAATACACTGATGCTCCAAGACAGATTGTACTCCACAAGAAAATTCTGAATTATCTCAGAGCCTCAGAGCCCCCTTCGGATTCCCAAGAAGAAAGATCTTACCTGACATACTCATGACCCCATGATGCCAATTCCTCCTGGGAGCCCACTAGCCGATACTTGAGGCACTCACGCTCCCCACTCATGGTCATGGCCAAAACGGAGATGATGTCAGCAGCAAAACGCTATAAAGAAAAGAGTTCTTTGAAGTCAAACCCAGCAGTCCAGCATAAAGGGAGCATGCATTGTGGAATCAAGATCATTGTCTCCGAAACTGAACTAACTACATACCAATCTCTGTACTAGAAATTTAACATGTTATGTAAGCTAAACCTCACAAAAACCAAGGTTGGTGTTGTTGCTATCTCCTTTTTTTTTTTTTTTTGAGACTCAGTTTCGCTCTTGCTGCCCAGGCTGGAGTGCAATGGTGTGCTCTCGGTTCACTGCAACCTCTGCCTCCGGGGTTCAAGTGATTCTCCTGCCTCAGCTTCCTAAGTAGCTGGGATTACAGGCGCCCACCACCACACCCAGCTAATTTTTTTTTTTTTAATTTTTAGTAGAGACGGGGTTTCACCATGTTGGCCAGGATGGTCTAAAACTCCTGACCTCAGGTGATCCACCCCTCGGCCTCCCAAAGTGCTAGGGTTACAGGTGTGAGCCACCACACCCAGCCACTGTCTTCCTTTTAAACTAACACAGCTGAAGGGTGATAAATGAGGGATAAAGTGGAAAAAAATGGAGGCTCTCAATTTTACTTTAATTGCAATTATAAACTATTAAAAGGTCTTAAGCAGAAAAGACCTATAACCGAGAAAGATCACGATAGCTGCTACATGAGAGACAGACTGTGTAGGAACAAAGCACAAAAGCAACAACATCAGTTAAGAGGTGCTGCAATAACCCATGCAAAAACTGAACATTTCCAGGATTAGGGTTGTACCAGCAGGCAGAGAAGTGACTGAATGTGGAACATATTTTAGAGATAAATGAATGTATATGGGATAGAAGAAAAGAGAAAAATCAAGGTTAAACATACGTTAAAAGTAGACCATGCTAATGAAACCCCAAAGTCCAATACACATGACAGAAACAGTGTCTTCTGAGAAGCTGACCTTCCTTTCAGCTCTTCTGTAGATATTTTGACTGTGATGAACTCTGCTCAAATAGATCACGGCTTAGGTCTATCAGGCTTCCTGTGACTCACAATGAGTCCCCCCATGATCTGGGTAAAAAGGAATTCCTAAACTAGGCCTCCACCAGGTTTGAAACAGTTTTACCTTATTCTCCCCAGGGGCCATGTTCTCATAGATTTCCTTCAGTTTGCCATAGTGTGGACGCAGAAATTTGAGAGGCTTGGGCACTGAAGTCATGGAAGTTGTAGAAGAACGAATCTGCCTTCGCAATTCCTCCAGCGCTGGTCGATACAGGGATGTATCCTTCTCCTGATCAAGAGACGACAGGGCTCAGACAAAAAGGAGTCACACCCCTTCAAGTCATAATACAGAGATATTTAACTTAACAACTCCTCCAAGGAAATGCTGTGTCTTATTCATTCATCTGTGATTCCTCAACTCCCTGCACCCTGCCTGGCACAAAAACAAATGACCCAAGTTAAGAGGTAAGAACTCTGCTTCTCCCACAAGAGAAAGCTGCAAAACTGTACAAATACCCTTTGTAACTCTCCTGCCTCCCAACATCATCATAACACTGACCCTAAAATACAGTCCACCGTACATAGCAGTTGCCTCAAAAAAGAATAAAACAAGTGGGAAAGATCCAAACATGCACCGAATCATGTTAACATCGTGACTCACCCCTAGTCGTTCCACGAGCATCTCCAGTTCATCTTGAAGCTGTTTATCCTCTTCAGACTGGAGGGTTGGGAGAAGCAGCTCATGAAGAGAAGGAATCCCAAAGACGTCCTCCTCCCACTTACCCGGGGCAGGTGAAGAATAAGCCTGCCTCCTTAGGAGGGGCCAGGTGGACAAGGAAACCGAGTGGGAATGGGAAGCCCTGGTGAGAAATCAGCCTGGGTTCTGAATCAGGCTCTACTTGAATGCCACTCTAGGAAACGGAGGTGACAATGACCTGCCCGAGTCCACTTCACGCGGCGGTGGTGAGGGTTGGTGGGGACGGCGGAGGTGACAGCGCGGAACGGAGAATGAGGAGCAGAGAGGCAAGGTGCCGGGAGTCCCGAGGGTCGCCCCAACCGCCCTCTCCCTGGCGCGGTGGGGTAGTTGGGTGTCGGGCCTGAGGCCTGCGGAGCCGCCGTGACTCAGCCCCGCAGCCTCCTTCGCCGACTCTCGGGGTCGCGCCTCACCAGCTCCTGTTCTTTGTCCTTGTCCCCGGCATCCCGCCGCTCCTTGCCGCTCGGCTTCTCGTCCGTGCCGCCGGGGGCCGCCGCTGGAGACTGCTGGGGCTGCACCGGCGCCTTGTCCCGGCCTCCCTCCTCCATCTCCGCCGCCACTGCCGGCCCGCTGCGCGCGCACCCGCTCGCACCGCCCTTTTTCCCAGACCAACTCGCGCGCGTCGGTCGCGGCGCCCCTCCTCCTCCAGAGCCCGCCTGCGACCGGAAACGCCGGGGCGAGCCGGGGCGCTCGGCGACCCACCCACCCCCTCGGCCTGAGAGCCCCGCCCTCGGACCCCGCCCTCGGAGGCAGGTGGAGACTACAATTCCCAGCCTCCCCCGCGCCATAGTCGCCCCTGGCCCCCGACCTCTTCGGAGTTTCCTGAAACCCGCGGGACTTGGCCGTGTGGGGTTTGGGTTCGCTCACTGCTGTAGATGGGCGGTCTGCGAGCGGAGTTACCGAGTTTTACTCCGCCACAGGTTTTTCTCATAACGGTGTAAATAGAACCCACAGTGACACTCCAGTTGACTGCGTGGCGCGACAGACAAACTAGATTTCTTGACGTCCAGGACGCTTGATTGCCGCCTGTATAAAGTCTGTGTAACTGTGTCTAGCCCCACACCACTGTGGAATATTAACCTCATTTGGTTTTGTTGTTGTTGTTGCTTTTGAGAAGGAGGCTCGCTCTCTCGCCCAGGCTGGAGTGCAGTGGCGCGATCTCGGCTCACTGCAAACTCCGCCTACCAGGTTCAAGTGATTCTCGTGCCTCAACCTCCCGAGTAGCTGGGATTACAGGCGCCCGCCACCACGCCCAGCTAATTTTTGTATTTTTTAGTAGAGACGGGGGTTTCACTATGTTGGCCAGGCTGGTCTCGAACTCCTGACCTCAAGTGATCTGCCCGCCTCAGCCTCCCAAAGAGCTGTAATTACAGGTGTGAACCACCGCGCCCGGCCTATTAACCTCATTTGATATTCCTCCCCAGTTGAAAGAGAGTACTCTGCTATTCCCGTGGCTACCATTTTAAATACTTTGGGGAGCCAGGTGGAGTTGACATCGATCAATAAAGCCCTGTGCTCCCCGCCAAGTTCTGGAGCTAAAAGCAGAACAAGACAAGGTCTTCGTCCTCTATCTTCTCGTCTTTCCCTGTGAAGCCTTAGAGGCGTGTGACTGACGCGCTTATGTCAGGACTGCTTTCGAGTGATTCCATGCACTTCTTACAATCTTTTGAGATTGGTAGGGTTAGGTCCATTTTACAGAGAAGATCATATCAAGTAGTAAAATGAGGATTTATTTTTTATTTTATTTATTTGTTTTGAGATAGTGTTTCTCTCCTGTTGCCCAGGCTGGAGTGCAATGGCGCAATCTCGGCTCACCACAACCTTCGCCTCCCGGGTGCAAGTGATTCTCCTGCCTCAGCCTCCCGAGTAGCTGGATAAAGAGGAGTTTTAGAAAAAAATCCCTCTACAGATGACTGAAGAAAGCATGAAAATGTATGGACACCGTGAAGCCAGAGATAGAATAGGCAGAACAGTTATGGACTGTTGAATTTTTGTGCCACCACGCCCGGCTAATTTTTGTATTTTTAGTAGAGACGGGGTTTCTCCATGTTGGTCAGGCTGGTCTCCAACTCCCGACCTCAGGTGATCCGCCCGCCTCGGCCTCCCAAAGTTCTGGGATTACAAGCGTGAGCCACCGCGCCCGGCGGAATCAAAATTTAAAGCTCAGTCTTTCAGTCTTCAAAGCCCTTGACTGTTTTAGGCAAACCCCAGAGTTTCTTCTTCAGCTGTGTGTGTGTGTGTGTGCGTGTAAGGTGAGAAAAAAGGAAGTATCTCTTCTCCCTTTCACCTAGTGGGAACACTCAGGAGTCTTCTAGCAATCTTATTTTATGGGTTCTGACACATTGAAGAAAAAGACACCTAGTACAACATATCACAGAGTGAATGTTGGGTAAATGTTTGTGTAGATACGGAAGTAAAGGTCTGAATCCATTTTAAATACCTGTTGCTCTTTTCCACTCAGTGCTTGGATTCTAGGCATGACCTTCCATTGCCATTGCCAATGACTCCCCCAGCGCTGGTCTGCAGACAAAAATTCAACAGTCCATAACTGTTCTGCCTATTCTATCTCTGGCTTCACGGTGTCCATACATTTTCATGCTTTCTTCAGTCATCTGTAGAGGGATTTTTTTCTAAAACTCCTCTTTATCCATGACTTCCTTCTTCTTTTTTTTTTTTTTTTCCAGACGGAGTCTCGCTCTGTCGTCCAGGCTGGAGTGCAGTGGCATGATCTCAGCTTGCTGCAACCTCTGCCTCCCGGGTTCAGGTGATTTTCCTGCTTCAGCCTCCCAAGTAACTGGGACTACAGGCATGCACCACCACACCCCGCTAATGTTTGTATTTTTAGTCGAGACGGGGATTCACCATGTTGGCCAGGCTGGTCTTGAACTCCTGACCTCAAGTTATCTGCCTGCCTTGGCCTCCCAAAGTGCTGGAATTACAGGCATGAGCCACTGCGCCCGGCCTGGAACTGTGTCTTATTCATCTTTATGCTCCTAGCCTCCAGCCTAGCGCCTGGCTTGTAGTGAGCCTTGATAAATATTTGCAGAATGCATGCATGCGGAATGAATGAATGAATGAATGGCTTTGCATTCATCTTCAGGCCATCTTTGTGTATAATAACAACCCACTGGGAGCTGTCTTTGGAGGCCAGAACTAGGCACTGGAAAATCATGAGGTTTCTCCATTTGTAAATCATGATAGACCCACTAAAACTGCTTTTTTTTTTTTTTTTTTTTTTTTTTTTTTTTTTTTTGAGATGGAGTCTCCCACTGTCGCCCAGCCTGGAGTGTAGTGGCACGATCTCGGCTCACTGCAACCTCCGCCTCCCGGGTTCAAGCGATTCTCCTGCTGGTCTTGAACTCCTGACATAGTGATCCACCCACCTCAGCCTCCCGAAGTGCTGGGATTACAGGCATGAGCCACTGCGCCCAGCCTGCTTTTTTTAATTAAAAAAAAAAAATAGGACCTCCAATCCTGCAGAAAACTGTGCTTATTTTTATGAGGGACTCTCTTCCACCCGGACATTTCCAAAGTGCTATCAAGGGTGTGAAATCATACTTCTTGGCATATGTTAGCTTATTGTGGATGGGAATTAGTTAGACTTACCAATGGGACTGCATAAGGGATGGCCTAGCACTTTACCTATAATTGCTTCCCTGTGTCCACCGAGGAGCACCATCCCTTATTTCCCCTTCTGCCTGGACACACCAGAGCATATCACATACGCATACTCAGCCTGACAGGGCTACTAAGGGTAAAGGTTACATCTCTTACCTGATGTTCACCTTGGCTTGCCTCTGGAACCAAGCACCTGCAGAGTGTTCAACAAACAGGTGTTCCCTGGCTTGATTTCAGCTCAATGTGTGCTTAGGTTTCCTGAAGCTGTCTGGTTGTCACATGTGCCTTGCCCAGGGAATCTGGGTTGCATGGAAATGCACCTGCTGGTGATGGTCCCACTCAGAAGCATGATGAAATTGCCCAGAAGACAGATGTGTGTGTTTCAGTCTAAATTCTGTCGTGTTGGAAGACTAACTGATAGTGATTAAGGGCATCTGAGTTCCAAATCTAACTTTAATGCAATCTGTCTTGTCTGACATTGGAAGTTACGTGATCTTTTCCCTTAGTTTCTCCATTCGTAAAATAGAGACAATGATAGAACCTCCTTGCAAATCATTGTGTGCATTTAATGAGAAGGTATGTTTAAAGTGTTTAGCACAAGCTTAAGCAAAATAGTGACCCAGTAAATTAAGGCTAGCCATCATCATCATCATTTGACACTTTGACCTTTTTGCAATATGAGGTTTTAATAACCCACTGGCCAGCCTGTCAGAATCCTAAGCTGGCCTCTGAAATTAGGTGTCAGGGAAAGGGTAAGGCTTTATCTGCCAAGCCTGTCTCCTCAGTCATTATGCTGTCTGACATTATAAATCTCATCTGAATGTCACGAGTCACTTACTATCTCTTTGGGTTCCGGAATTTGCTAAGCCCATGGATTCACTTTTTAGAGCATTAAAGCAGAAATGCTCCTCAAAGATCGTCTCATCCAATTCACTTGTTTTACAGACTGCAGAAGATACTGAGACCTGAAGGCCTAATGTCACACAGCTCAAGGGTGGCAGAGCTGGAGGTAGACCAGGCCTGCAGATGTGATGGCCTCCTCTTTCCAATACACGCAGCCATTTACCCTGGAGTCATGCTCTTAGAGACTCAGGCTGTGCTTTCCCTGGGTCATGGAGTTCCTCAGGACACTTTTCTCCTTTCTGAGCAGTTGGCTACTTTCTTCCTTTTGTGGCCAGCCAGCACTTTGAGGTCACATGACAGAGATCCACATACAGCTCTTTATGGAAAGATTGTGGGACACATACTATTGCCATTCACCAAGGGGCCAAGGACCAGCAGCAATCATAACCAGAGCTTCACTCCTCCCCTTCCACACTGAACAAACTCATCCCTACTTGCACCTTGGAGAGCACTAAGGTTTTTTTGTGTTTTTTTGTTTGTTTTTGAGATGGAGTCTCGATCTGTAGCCCAGGCTGGAGTGCAGTGGCGCAATCTCAGCTCACTACAACCTCCACCTCCCAGGTCCCGGTTCAAGTAATTCTGCCTCAGCCTCCCAAGTAGCTGGGATTACAGGCACACACCACCACGCCCAGCTAATTTTTGTATTTTTAGTAGAGATGGGGTTTCACCATATTGGCCAGGCTGGTCTCAAACTCTGGACCTTGTGATCAGCCCGCCTCGGCCTCTCAAAGCTCTGGGATTATAGGTTTGAGCCACCGCGCCCAGCCTAAAGCACTGAGTTTTAAAGAGAATTGAGATTGAGGCTGGGTGTTGTGGCTCACGCCTGTAATCCCAGCACTTTGGGAGGCTGAGGCAGGTGGATCACTTGAGGTCAGGAGTTTGAGACCAGCCTGGCCAACATGGTGAAACCCCATTTCTACTAAAAATACAAAAATTATCTGGGCGTAGTGGCACGCGCCTGTAATCTCAGCTACTCAGGAGGCTGAGGCAGGAGAATCACTTGAACCTGGGAGGTGGAGGTTGCACCACTGCACTCCAGCCTGGGTGACAGAGTGAGACTCCATCTCAAGAATAAAAAATAAAGAGAATTGAGATTGGACTCTTTCCACTGTTTTGCTGTAGTTCTCATTTCATAGGTGAAGACACTGAGGTTCATGGAGTTTAGGGAACAGGCTGAAGCTCACAAAACTATCAGAGCTTCCATTTCAGTCCAGCTCTCTTTGACTGCAGTGAAGTAGTTAGGGATAGATCTGTAAAATGGAGACTAGAGTATTTGAAAAGGGCGGTTGTTGCAAGGATTAGGTGAGCTCATGAAGGCGAAAGTGCCAACAGAAGAAGAGTCACCTAAGGGAAGAAGAAACTTCTCATTCATCAGTTTTGTTTTGTTTTTTTCCTAAGAGATGAGGTCTTGCTATGTTGCCCACGCTGGATTTGAACTCCTGAGCTTAAGCAATCCTCCCACCTCAGCATCCCGAGTAGCTGGGACTACAGGCGCACCACCTCACCTATCTTATTCATTTGTGTATCACCAGTGCCTGACACATTGTTGATAAAGCAATTTTTTTTGAAAATAAGCCTATGAATGTATAAATTAATAAATGGATGAATGAATAAAGAAATGAGCCACCTAGCACAGGTGCCTGGAACACAGGAGGTATTCAATCAACGTTCCTTTTCCCTCCCTCACTCTGGAGGGTAGAGGCCATATATGCAGTCTCTGTGCCTGGCACTTGGTAGGCCTAATGAGTGTGTGTAGGTGGAATGGCTGACTCTTGGGAGCTCTGAGCCTTTGAGGCTAGAAGGAAATGTTTGTCTTTTCAGCTACAAGCAGAGGCCAGGGCTTTGAGCTCTGGGAGCTCAGGGAGTGATATGCCCAGGACTTCCCACCACTGCAGGGTAAGGGCCGCCCATCTTCCAAGTTGACCCTGGCCCAGTAGTTACCCACACTCAGTGTCAGGCCTGGCTGCACGCACCAGTGGAGGAAAGCAGCAAATCCTTCCAGCTGTAGAACAGCTGGGGATGAGGCTATGGCCACCAGTTAGCAGACAATGTATTCTGCCCAGTCAGACTCAACTTCCTTCCATTCCTCCATCCTGCCTCTCTTTCTCTGTCTTCTCTGGGCTTCAAATCTCAGTCCCCTGTATCCACTAGTGAGTAAATGAGCACTGACGACAGTGGCTGGCATACAGTAGTTGCTCTATAGACGCTGGTGGAATGAGTGAATGGATACATGAAAACAGGACTGAAGGAAGAGAGACAGGCTGACGGATGCATGTCTGTTTATTGGCACAGGGTCCTATAAGGGCCAAGACCACACCCTCCCACCCTCTTTTCTGTAAAAATAAACTCTGTTCTTCCTTTTCCCTGCTCTATCTGCTTTCCTGCTTTGTCCAGGGAGAATCAATCATTTGCTAAGGCTTGTGCCCTAAGACACAGGAACCAGTACCCGCTACACATATGCACTTCCCCTCTCAGCCCAGGGAAACAGTGGGCAGCAGGAGGCTTTCAGAGGCCCTTGGGCTTCCACTAGGAGCTGTCAGTGAAGGTCAGCAGCAGCACTGGGAGCAGTGGCACAAGGAGCACAGGGTGAGGTGGGGGTAGCCCGTGAGGGTGAGCCAGACAGAGCTGAGTCCACCCCTAAGTGCGCACTGAGTGAGCCTGGGGAGAAGTCCAGGAGGTACACCACCCAGGCCTGTGGGTCACAGTGGGGCAGGCACGGCAGGCCCCATGGCCGCCAGGCTGAGTGAGCCTGGGGACAGAAGAGGCAGACTCCTTCCTATGGGAACTGGCCTCCCCACCCAGACCTCTTCCAGGCAGGGTGACACGGAAAGATGTCACAGTGAATGGTGGGGGCTCTGCTGGAGGCAGGGGCACCCCCAAAGCAGAGGCACAATGTGGTGATTGAGGAGGGTCTGTACTCATGTCACCTGTGGGGGGGAGGGACTAGACCCAGCCCAGCTTGCATTTGCTTCCTCCCAACCCAAGAGCAAACAGCTTTGTCAGGAGAGCTGCCCCAGGTCTGGTGACAGCTGGCCATTTCTCCCCTGATCCAGGTCTACCACACCTCACACAGCTGCCCTGGGTTCATGGGGGAGCCGACAGGGCAGCCGAAGTGCCGCAGGAAGTCACGGGAGTTGGAGAGAGTGCCCAGCACGCGGAAGCGGGCAGGGCTGTGGGGGTCGGTCACCAGCCCCTCGTGAGAGCTCTCTGGTGTGCGGACCGAGCACCACACCTGCGGGCCAGGACAGACATGGGGGCATATGGTGTCTAGTGTGGAGCCGGGCCTTAGAGTCAGCTACAGCCATCCCAGGGGCACAAACCACCACCGCTGCAGCCCCTCCCAAGTTCCTTCCAAAACTGCCCTGGACATCGGGTTGCCCAGCATGGACATGACGAGGGGAAAAAGCGGAGCCCCAGAAGCTGCCTGCTGTGGCTGCCCAGCGGAGGCTCTGCCTGGGTCCTTGCTCTGCCACTTACTCTATTCCTGGGCAGCCCTGGACAGGCCACTCTGCGTCCCGAGCTTTCGTTTCCTGCATGTCTCCCTCACAGGAACAGCGTGAGGATGAACGTTTGCCCCCTTCGCCACCCTGTGCCCCGCAAGCACGACAACCTTGCCCTTTGAACTATGCGAAATCCTACCAAGGCATTCTCCCGCTCAGGCCTCTTCAGGCTGCCTTTGTGGGCCCTGGCTGGCCGGAGGCTCTGGGCATGGGCCTTCCCAGCCCACCTTTCATGCCCCAGCCTCAGCCCCATTCACCAGCCCGTTTGACACGTGCCCCAGAGTTCTCCTAATGACATACTCAGGAGGGAGCAGGACAAAGGGGCAGACCCCAGGCCTTCCGAGAGGGTGATACCTGGGCAAATCCCACGAAGAAGAGCTGGTGGTTGGTGAGCCCCACGGCTGGCAGTTGCTGCTCCTCCCCATGCTTTCTCAGCCATGCTTTGTAAGCCTGGGGACAGAACAGTGGGCAACAAGCCCATCCAGGCCTGCCCCCACCCACCCGGCACCTTTCACCCCAGGCCAGCAGGCCTCAGCCGCTGGAGGGCTGGTCAGGCCACTCACATTGTAGGCAGCCTTCAGCCCCCCGTTGTCAGCAATGTTCTCCCCCAGCGTCTGGCGGCCGTTGAGCCTCTCCCCATTGACCTGGTATTGATTGTACTGTTCCTCCATGCAGGCCGTGTGGTTCCGGAAGGCTGCCAGGGACTCATTCTGCCACCAGGGCCGCAGGTTCCCTTCTTTGTCATACTCGCGCCCTGAGGAGAACTCACCTTTGCACCCCACCAAAACCAGAGCTCGTCTCTTGGGGGCAGCAGTGCCCCCACCAGCCCTGGTCCACAGACTTCAGGGCCCTTGGGGCTACATCAATGTCCCAAGGCCTTGCAGGAGCCACTGGGAATTCTAGGCTAGAGGGGACGACTCCATGGGCCCCTACCTTGGTCATCAAAGGCATGCGTCAACTCATGGCCCATGACCACACCGATGCCACCGAAGTTCAGGGCCCTGGTGGGTGAGGAATAGCAAGTGAGGACATGGCGGGGGTACTTCTGAATCCCACCTCCAGCCCTGCTCCCAGCTCAACCACAGGCCCAGGCCCCAGCACCCAGCCCCTCCTGCTTCAGACACACTTGGGGTGGTTGCGGGCATAGAAGGGGGCCTGCAGGATGCCAGCGGGGAAGACGATCTCATTCTTAGTTGGAAGGTAGTAGGCATTCACTGTCTGGGGGGTCATGCTCCACCTGGCGGAGGAAGAGTGAGGGGCTGAGGCTCCCGACTCTCCTGACACTGCTCCCCTCCCAACAGCCCTGCCCTACCTCCTGCAAGGGTATGGGGCCGCCGGTCTGGGACCAGTCTTGCCACCCTTTTCCCCCATCCCAGGAACCTTCCCCCACCTCTCCTGCCACCCCTAGTGTCTATGTCCACCCCGTCATTCTCACTGGTCTCGGCTGGGAGGCTTGCGGAGCTGGTCAGCCATAACCTTGGCAGAGAAGTTGTACAAATTCAACATGTTTTGGAAGAAAGAATCTTCAGAAATTTCGTACTGTGGGAAAGGTGGGAAGTAGAAAGAGAGCAAGAGAATCCATTGGAGAAGATAATAGCGCCAGTTTGGCTACTCATTAGTATCTCTCCAAACCTCAGTTTCCTCAACTGTAAAATATCTAGTAAACCATAATTGGCAATATTTAAAGGCCATTTATGTTATGGGTGCTGTTTTTTTACATACTGTATTCATTTATCTCACAACAACCCTATGAGGAAGGCACTAGTAGGACCCCCATTTTACAGAAAATGAAACCAAGGCCTAGAGAGATTTTGTTAAGGTTACAAAGTTAGAGGTAGAAACAGAATTTGATTAGGCTTGACTCCAAATCTTGGCTCGTTAGCACTATATTTCACTGCTGTTTGGCCTGCAGCCTGTCACAGAGCCAACATTTTAACAATGCTGGTTACCTCCATCTGCCTCTAAAAGAAACCGACAAGCACCTCTTTCCCAGTGCTTGAGCCCCAATTTCTAAGCCCAGGGAACAGTGCCCTCTACAGGGCTGAAGTTCAGTACTGATGAGCGTAGGTACTCACCCCGTCATAAACATCATCCAGCTCTTTGGGCTCCAGGATAAAGTCTGGGAAACCAATCATATCATAGATGGCATCTGCCTGAAGAGACCAGGTTAAGGGTTTGTTTCCTTCCCCAGGTTCCTAGCAAAACTGTATCCTTGAACCCCACCTCAAGATGGCGCCCCAACCCTAGCCACCGCTCACTTTCTCCTTGGCTGCCTGGCGGGTCTTCTCATCCATCCAAACCAGCTGTCCCAGGGCCTCCTCAAATGCGGTCCGGATTTCGCTGATCATCCCCTCTGCCTGGGAGGGAGGAGGTAAAGTCAGCCTTCCCCTGCACTGAATGCATCCCTGCCCCACCCATCCACCCTTGGTGCCCCATCCCTGTCCACCCAGGGGAAATGGGAACGTCTAGACTAAAGAAATACGGCTGAGCACCTGGAGACGATGAGAAGGAAACACCATTTGTAAAGGTACTGGGATTGTGGCTGGCTTTTTTCTTAATTAAGTACACATTTTAATTGACAATAAGTTCATCAAATTATATTATAATTTAATATAGTGCAATGATTTTTTTTTTTTTTTGAGACAGAGTCTGGCTGTGTTACCTAGGATGGAGTGCAGTGGCGCAATCTCGGCTCACTGCAACCTCCGCCTCCCGAGTTCAAGCGATTCTCCTGCCTCAGCCTCCCAAGTAGCTAGGATTACAGGCTCCCGCCATCATGCCCGGGTAATTTTTGTATTTTTAGTAGAGCTGGGGTTTCACCATCTTGGCCAGGTTGGTCTTGAACTCCTGACCACGTGATCCACCCGCCTCAGCCTCCCAAAGTGCTGGGATTACAAGCGTGAACCACCACGCCCAGCCTAGTGCAATGATTTTTATCTGATTATGAAAAGAGGACATTCACAGAAAATTTGGAAAATTGAGAATTGAAGAACAGACCAGTTATAAAGCACTCATTCATAGATAAGTTCTTTTAACATTTTGATTACCCACTTCTAGAGTTTTTCCCTCCCCTGATATGCATATAAAATATGGAATTATGTTGTATAGGGTATATATTTTTTGTAACCTACTTTTTTTGCTGAAAGATATATCAGCCATTTAAGGATCCTCACAACCCATCCTAACCACAATTTATTTTTCCTTTACCCTATAGTTGGACATTTAACCTGTTCTCATTTTCTGCTATTATAAACAACATTGCCATAAAAACCATAAACATCCTTACAGGTAATACTTTAAGCACATCCATTATCATATCCTAATAAATAAATATTTCTTCTAGTTATATAGTTAAACATAAACACATAGACAACTTTAAAGGACTCTTATAATCCCACTGCCCAAAGCAGCACTACTTCATTTGTTCATCAATTTACATCCAGTTGTTTTTCTTTTCTTTTCTTTTTTTTTTTTTTTTTTTTTTGAGACAGAGTTTTGCTCTGTCGCCCAGGCTGGAGTGCACTGGCGCGATCTCGGCTCACTGCAACCTCCGCCTCCTGGGTTCAAGTGATTCTCCTGCCTCAGCCTCCCAAGTAGCTGGGATTACAGACACCCGCCACCACGCCCGGCTAATTTTTTGTATTTTTAGTAGAGACCAGGTTTCACCATGTTGGCCAGGCTGGTCTCGAACTCCTGACCCCATGATTCACCCGCCTTGGCCTCCCAAAGTGCTGGGATTACCGGCGTGAGCCACCGCGCCTGGCTCCCGTTGTTTTTCTATATGTCTGCACATACATGAACAGTCAATTTTGAGGGCATAGTGTTGAAAGAATCTTGTAGACTCACAATTTCTTTGCTTTGCCGGTCAAACGTGGCCTTCACGAAGAGGGACCCCAAAGCAAAGCCAAGGGCGTCATCCGTGTTGGAGATGCAGGTCTGCCACCTCGGCACACAGGACTGTTAAAGGACAAAGAGCCAGGACCCTAGAGATGGCTGTGTCCTCCAGTCAGAGGGCCTTTCTCTGTCACTGGGGCTAGCAGCCCTTCTCAGCTCTGGACAAGAGTCCTGGGTTTGCTCAGTGCCACATCTGTCTTTTTTTGAGACAGGGTCTTGCTCTGTCACCCAGGCTGGAGTATAGTGGTGCAATCACTGCTCACTGCAACCTCTGTCCCCTGGGCTCAAGCGATCCTCCCACCTCAGCCTCTCGAATAGCTGGGACCCCAGGCACATGCCACCACACCCAGCTATTTTCTTTTGTAATTTTAGTACAGAAGGGGTCTCACCATGTTTCCCAGGCTGGTCTTGAACTCCTGAGCTCAAGTGATCTGCCCGCTTTGGCCTCCCAAAGTGCTGGGATTAAAGGCATGAGCCACCGTGCCCGGCCCACAACTAATTTTATATCCAGTCAGTCCCCCATGCAAGAAACCTGGGAGTCACTCAGCTTCCTCCATCTCCCTAACCCCCCACATTCAGTCTATCAGCAGTTTCTACTACTTTGACTTCTTTTTTTTTTTTTTTGAGATGGAGTCTCACTCTGTCACCCAGACTGGAGTGCAGTGGTGCGATCTCAGCTCACTGCAAGCTCCACCTCCCGGGTTCACGCCATTCTCCTGCCTCAGCCTCCCGAGTAGCTGAGACTAAAGGCGCCCGCCACCACGCCCGGCTAAATTTTTTGTCTTTTCAGTAGAGACGGGGTTTCACCGTGTTAGCCAGGATGGTCTTGAACTCCTTACTTCAAGTGATCCGCCCACCTTGACCTCCCAAAGTGCTGGGATTACAGGCATGAGCTACGGCGCCCTGCCTGCTTTGATTTCTTAATCATCTTTCCCATCCACTCAAGTGGACGGGGAAAATGATTACCACTTCCCTGACCTATAACACTATCATCTTGAACTCCTGAGCTCAAGCACTCCACCCACCTCAGCCTCCCAAAATGCTGATTACAGGCACGAGCCACCACACTCAGTCTGCAATTGCCTTTTTTTTTTTTTTTTTTTAAACAGAGTTTTGCTCTTGTAGCCCAGGCTGGAGTGCAATGACGCAGTCTCAGGTCACTGCAACCTCCAGGTTTAAGTGATTCTCCTGCTTCAGCCTCCCGAGTAGCTGGGATTACAGTTGCTTGCCACCACGCCCAGCTAATTTTTTGTATTTTTAGTAGAGATGGGGTTTTACCGTGTTGGCAAGGCTGGTCTTGAACTCCTGACCTCAGGTGATCCACCTGCCTTGGCTTCCCAAAATGCTGGGATTACAGGCATGAGCCACCAAGCCTGGCCTGCAATTGCCTCTTAACTGGACACCCTGACTCCATTCTCATCCCCGCTTCCCTGCTGCTCCCCTCCATCTTCCATTTAGCCACCAGAAATATCATTTCATACATAACCCAACTGTGTTTCTCCTCTCCATGCTACTCCCATGGAGCCCCATCTGTGAAAGAATCAAGGCCGGACTTCCCAATACAATATTCAGATCCCTTCCCAAGTGCCCCATGCCCACCTTACCAAACCCCGTCTCTCAGTTGCCCTCTTCTCAAGCTCATGCCAGAACGTGTGTAAAGCCACCATGCTCCTTTTGGCCTCTAGGAATTTGCACATGCCGTTCCTTGTCCCTGGAATGCCCTTCTCCCCGGCTTTCTTGGTGAACTTTTCCATCACATGGCACCTCTCAGAGAAGGCTTCTCTGATGCCCTTCCCCACCATCCCCCCAGGTGAAATGTGCTGTCCCACCTCTGTCCTATAGCAGAAAAGTCTTTCACTCAGTGTGAGCAGTTATCACCACAAAATATAATGTATTTGTTTACATGTCCACTCCCCCCACTTAATGGGGCATCTTGAAACTAAATACTCACTTATTTATTATATCCTCTCCATCCTCCTCATCAAAGCCGAGTGCCTATACATACCATGTACTGTGCAGGTGCTTCACTTACATTAACTCAGCTAATACTCTTCCTGACAACCCTCCAAGTTATTCCTGCTTTACAGAGCAGGAAATGGAGAGTCAGAGAGGCTAGGTGATCTGCCCAAGGTCCTACAGGCTAGAAAATGAATGAGTTGGGATTGAAACGCAAGTCGGCTTGCTTCCAAATTCTGCGCTCCATACTATGCACCTGTGCACCATGAGGCACATGGTGCCTGTCACACTGAAGGTATGCAGCATCGGTTAGACTGGATCAGAACGTGGAGGCAAAATCAGAAAGCCCACCTTCTTAGTGCCATAGAGGGTCTCCAGCAGCTTCTCTTGTGCAGACTCAAAGCGTCGGTCCAGGCTTGAGGTTGTCTTTTGCACCAGGTTCCAGATCAGGTAATTGTTCAGGATGCTGACAACCAGACCAGAAAATAAGAAAAGGGCAGGTGGGATGCCCTTCACACCCCTCAAACCAGCCCCCAGGAACATGCAAGTTGCAGGAGTCCCGAGAGGCATATGTGGAAGCTGTCCCGGGGTTCCTCTTTGGTCCCGGGGCCACACACCTGCCTGTAGAGGTCAGGTTGGAGAGCAGTGGGGGGACAGAGATCACAGGGAGCACCCTGCAACCCTAGCGCAGAGGAAAAGCCCATAGACATTCTGATTCAATGTTTGGAAGGCCCATAGCATTACCAAATGTTGTTCTGTGTGGCTGGGCCTGTCCATTATGCCCAGCCTTGCTGGAGACCTCCACAGAACCCACCCTCACCCTGGGCTACCCCCACACCTTGGTTCCGTGCGGTTGATGAGCTCTGACACCTGCTGCAAATAATCCATCCCATACACCACCACAGGCTCAGAGTCACTCAACTCCAATGGTGACAGCAAGAAAGACAGGAACTCAAGCCAGTCCATGGAGGGCGCCAGAGCCTGAAAGAAAAAAATCTCAGGCCTTGCCTGCCCGACTCGCTTCCAGCAGAACCCTCCCCCACTGTATGCTGTAGCCTGGGAGCCCTTCCCATTGCCATAGCAACAACTACTGGCTTCATGGTGTATCCTTCCTGTAATATACCCTTTTCCAGGCCTGGACACCTCCAATCTGGGAGCCCAACCACTTATTATACAAGGATAACCACTACATGTGACATTCAGCTGGGGCCTAGATATTCAAATATTTTCCTAACAATTGATAAAATACCACTCCCAACACCCTGCACGTACTGGCTTCTCCTCCAGAACCACACTCCATCCCAACTTTTCCATAATCCAACATCTAAAGTGTTAATGGCCTGGCACAGTACGGGTCCCCCAGTGGAAACTTTCACTTCTATTTTTTTTTTTTTTTTTTTTGAGATGGAGTTTCGCTCTTGTCACCCAAGCTGGAGTGCAATGGCGCAATCTCAGCTCACTGCAACCTCCGCCTCCCAGGTTCAAGCGATTCTTCTACCTCAGCCTCCCGAGTAGCTGGGATTACAGGCATGTGCCACCACACCCGGCTAATTTTTTATTTTTAGTAGAGATGGGGTTTCACCATGTTGGCTAGGCTGGTCTTGAACTCCCAACCTCAGGCGATCCACCCGCCTCGGCCTCCCAAAGTGCTGGGATTACAGATGTCAGCCACCATGCCCAGCCTATTCTGATTGTTTTGTGGACATCTCATACAAACTGTTACACATTTTTAACACAATCCCTCCATGCATCCCCAGGCAAGAAAGGGACCAAAGGATGACCCAGTGAGAGGTGGCCTAAATGGACACCATTTTTTTCCCCAGGACAGCAGCAGTGCAGCTGGGGAGCACAGAAAAGCAAGGGAATGAGGAAAGGACTGGCTGCCTTGGGGAGATGGCATGGAGGGAAGCTGGGTGGTCCATGCCAAGGCTGGCCCCTCTCAGTTGTCTCCAGCCCCCTGCCTGCCCCACCTGCAGCTCCGAAATGCTCATCTTGTGGTAGATCTTCTCCTCGTCGCGCCGCTGGTCCTGGGGCACTGTGATGTTGGCCAGCTGTATCTCCAACTCCAGCACCTGCTGCATCTGCTCCCTCGTGGAGGTGGGCCGCCCACCCAGCAGCATCCCCAGTTCCTCCATGTAATCCAGATAGGCAGTGAGCACCTGTCAAGGCCCGGGTGATCCTCAGAGCCCAGCAACAAGTCCTGCCCAAGGCTGAGATCTGTTCTTACCACCACCTCTGCCCAATATCTCTTCTGCTTGATCCTTCTGGAAGCCTTTCTGGATGACCTGTTTCATTTCTGACACACTGCTTACCTCCATTGGCTAAGTATTGTTTACTTACTTCTTCTTCTTCTTTTTTTTTTTTTTTTTTTTTTTTTTTTTTGAGATGGAGTCTCACTCTGTTGCCCAGGCTGGAGTGCAGTGGCGCGATCTTGGCTCACTGCAACCTCCACCTCCTGGGTTCAAGTGATTCTCCTGCTGCAGCCTCCCAAGTAGCTGGGACTACAGGCGTGTGCCACCACGCCTGGCTAATTTTTTGTATTTTTAGTAGAGACGGGGTTTCACCATGTTAGCCAGGCTGGTCTCGAACTCCTGACCTCAGGTGATCTGCCCGCCTCGGCCTCTCAAAGTGCTGGGATTACAGGCATGAGCCACTGCACCCGGCCATGTTTACTTACTTCTGTACTTGTTTATCATCTATTTCTCCAAGGAGAAGGTGAGTTCCAGCAGAGCATTGTTCCAAGTTACAGCAGCTTACTCACTGCTGTCTCTAGGGACTAGAACACAGAGTAAGTGCTCTGCAAATGTCTGTCCAGCAGATGGGCCTACTTCCCATACTGCTTTGCCTTCTCATTTCCTAGATCCCTGCTAGTTGTCCCAGCCCATCAGTGACCATGTGCCTTCTCTGAACAGCTGACTGGACCTCACAGGGGATCGGGGCCATGGTGTCCTCAGGCCTCTATTACCTCCCATCCTGCCAGGCCTCAAGCTAGCTGCTTTCTCCACTACCCGCTGGTCTCCAAGGGAGAGAAAAGCATGGAGAAGAAATATTTAGTGACCACTTCTGCAGACATACATCAGACTCTCTATTAGAGGCTTTCCATACAGTGTATCTTTTCCTCCCCACACAGCAACTTCATGAAGTGAAGATGAGTCCCATTTCACACCCCAGGGCAGAAGCTTGGGAAGATGACACGGCTTGACTTCCATCACAAACTAGCAGATGGCAGAGTGAGAATGTGGCCCAGGCCTGATGACCCCAGGGCCATGGCGGCCCTGGCCCTGCTCGGGTCCAGTACAAACTCATGTGGCCTCACCCCTGCTGGCCCTGAGGCTCCATGAAAGCAGGGCTGGGTTTGCTTTGTTCACCACTGTAATTTCAGACCCAAGCGCAGCTGTCTGCCACAGAGTAGGTGCTCAATAAATATCTGTTGAATAACAGGGCGAAAACCTGCAAACAGACACTCAACACTGCTCTGTGCCAATTCCCTTAACCCTCCTCCCAGAAACCACTTCCCACTCAACCTGAAGGCCCACCTGGGCTCCACTAATCGCCAAAGGCCATCTCTTCTTCTACTTACCAAGAAGTTTTAGATCCCTTAATATTCATTCTGTGTATTTCAAATTCCTCCTGTCTCTCACCTCTCCTCTTACTTGCTGCTGGCATCAGAGGAAGAGGTTTGAGTACCAATCCCAGTCATCCCAGCTCCTGAGGGGGATGGTTAGCTAAACCAGTGATCTCACCTTACCCCTTCTCTCCCTACCTCCTCACCTTCAGCTTAGTGCTTACTTTTGAGACTCTCCTGAACCCTGCTTTACTCTTAGTTTTTTTGTTGTTGTTTGTTTGAGATGGCGTCTCCCTCTGTCGCCCAGGCTGAAGTGCAGGTGTGTGATCTCGGCTCACTGCAACCTCCGCCTCCCGGGTTCAAGCGATTCTCCTGCCTCAGCCTCCCCAGTGGCTGGGATTACAGGCGCGGGCCACCACGCATGGCTAATTTTTGTATTTTTAGTAGAGACAGTGTTTCGCCATGTTGGCCAAGCTGGTCTCGAACTCCTGACCTCAGGTAATCTGCCCACCTCAGCCTCCCAAAGTGCTGGGGCCACAGGCGTGAGCCACTGCACCCAGCCTACTCTTAGTTTTCATCCTATCTTAACCTTTTGTGTTGCATCTTTCTCTAGATCCCAGCACAGGAGGCTTCCTGAAGGCAACCAGTGACATGCTGACAGCCAAACCGAAGTCTTTCCTCTTGCCCCTTCCAAAGGGTTGAAGGATGTGGTTCTCTCCCAAATTGTAAAAATTATCTCCTCCCCTGACTCAGATGATGTCAAAATCACACATCTGTTCACATCACTTTTGAGTTTCCCTTTCCATTTCTTTCGGGATGAATCCTAAATTTGGCCCACAATGCTCCTGCATAGTGTGAGGCTATGGGCCTGTCCAGAAGGCCTTGGCCCGCATGCCCCTCCTGCTCCCTCATCCATTGAGAATGGCCAGTGGGCTGGCCATATGCCTTCCCACCTTGGAGCCTTTGCATAACCTGTTGCCTTTGTAGAGCCCTCTCCCTTCATTGCAGCCTATCCGCACCCTGGAACTAGGCAGGTTCCTGGTCACACTTGCTCTCAGAACCCTATGCTTCTCCTCTATAATAGTCCCAACAACTGGAAACAGGACAACTGTGTAGCGAACTGTTTTATGCCTTCTCCTCCACTCAGAGGGTAGTAGAAGTGTCTTGTTCACCATATGCCTAGAGGAGGGTCTGGCCAAGGGATGCTCAGCAGATGTTTCTGAATGAATGACAGAAGGACAAATGGTTGTCCTACTCCACAGCAATCTCTTTTGCTGACTCTCCCACTGCCCTTAAAATACAAGGATCTCCTTCTGTCCTTTCTCTGTCCTCCTCCTGTCTCACCTCTTCAAAGCCTTTGTTTAGGTTTCTTTTTCCTTTTCTTTCTTTTTTTTTTTTTTGAGACAGAGTCTTGCTCTGTTGCCCAGGCTGGAGTGCAGTGGTGCCATCTCAGCTCACTGCAACTTCCACCTCCCAGGTTCAAGCGATTCTCCTGCCTCGGCCTTCCAAGTAGCTGGGATTACAGGCACCCGCCACCACGTCGGGCTAATTTTTGTATTTTTAGTAGAGATGGGGTTTCACCATGTTAGTCAGGCTGGTTTCAAACTCCTGACCTCAAGTGATCCACCTGCCTTGGCCTCCCAAAGTGCTGGGATTACAGGTGAGAGCCACCACACCCGGCCCAATTTTTGTATTTTTAGTAGAGATGGGGTTTCACCATGTTGGCCAGCTGGTCTCAAATTCCTGACCTCAAGTAATCAGGTCGCCTTGGCCTCCCAAAGTGTTTGGATTACAGACACCCTGCCTGGCCTGGTTAGGTTTCTAAGGAGATGCCCCTCAGGCCTCTGGGTCCTTTCACGCTTATTCTCTCTTCAGGACTCCACACAGCTTTCCCAGCTGCCTGCTGACCTCTCTGTATGTAAGGTGCCCAGGTCCCATCAAACTCACATGTCTAAAAGGAGCAGCTCCCACACTCTGATTGAGCATCTGCCACATGCAGGAGCATAAGTTTGTACCCCTAACCTACTCCAAATGCCATATGAGGTTGATGCTATGATCCCCTGTTTACGGATGAGGGAACAGCCTCAGAGAGATTAATCAACTTGCACCAAGCAGCAGAGCTGAGACTGAAATCCAGGTCTGACTCCAAAGTCTCTCCTATTCCTGTGATGTTGCACTGTCTCCTCTTTCTCAATGTACCCTAAGCTGGTTCTTCCTAGAGACACCCCTAATTCCCAAGGGACCCCTCCATTCCACCATCATGAAAGTGTACAGCTTCAGCCATCTTCACCTTTTCCCTCCTCTAACATCCGGGCACCAAGAACTCATGATTCTGACTTGATGATATCGCTTACATCCTCCCCTTCCTACCATTCCTTCTGCCACTCTTTCATTTGGGACCTTCCTGACTCAGAGCACGGAGTACCGCAGATGCTCTTAATTCATCTCCAGGCTTTCTTTCTCACATCTACTCTTCACACCCCAAACAAACTGACTTCCCAAAGCACTGCGCTCCCTCCCTACTTTGGAGCATGCAATGGCTCTCCGGGAGCTACAGAATAAACTCCGTAGTGTGCTATTCAAGGTCCCCTCCATAACCCATTCCTGCCCACCTCTCCAGCCTCTCATCTGCCTTGAGTTCTATATTTTACCACAGTGGACCCCTTGCCATGGTCCAGACACACCTAGCCTTTCCCTCGTCAACACTTTTTTTTTTTTTTTTGAGATGAAGTCTTGTTCTGTTGCCCAGGCTGGAGTGCAGTGGTGCCATCTCAGCTCACTGCAACCTCTGCCTCCTGGATTCAAGCGATTCTCTTTGCCTCAGCCTCCCAAGTAGCTGAGATTACAGGTGCACACCACCATGCCTGGCTAATTTTTGTATTTTTAGTAGAGACGGGTTTTCACCTTGTAGGCCAGCCTGGTCTTGAACTCCTAACCTCAAGTGATCCGCCGGCCTCAGCCTCCCAAAGTGCGGGGATTACAGGTGTGAGCCACTGTGCTCAGCCTCATCAACACTTTTGTTTAAACTGTTCCTTCTTTCTTTTTCTTTCTTTTTTTTTTTTTTTTTTTGAGTCGGAGTCTCTCTCCGTCACCCAGGCTGGAGTGCAGTGGCACAATCTTGGCTCACTGCAACCTCCGCCTCCCAGGTTCAGGCAATTCTCCTGTCTCAGCCTCCCGAGTAGTTGGGATTACAGGTGCCTGCCACCACGACTGGCTAATTTTTGTATATTTAGTAGAGATGGGGTTTCACCTTGTTGGTCAGCCTGGTCTCGAACTCCTGACCTCAGGTGATCCACCCACCTCGGCCTCCCAAAGTGCTGGGACTACAGGCGTGAGCCACCGCACCTGGCCTAAACTTCTTTCTACCCAGCATGCCCTCATCCACTCCTATGTATTCTACAGGACCTGGCTCAAATGCAATCTCTTCAGGAAGACTTTGCTGGCTCCCTAAGTCTCTCCTGAATCCTCAGGACCCTCTTGTGAGCTTTGTTCTCAGCTATCTAGGTCCATGAACCCATCGACACTGAACGCTTCCTGTGGCAATGGCTCGGAAACTTATATCTCAGAATTCCCCCACTGGACCTGGCACACAGTAGGTGTCTATGAAACCTACTAGAAGAATAAGAGGAAGGAAGGAAGGAAAAGGGGAAGAAAGGGAGGGAGGGAGGAAGAAAAGAAGAAAGAAAGGAGGGGCAGTTTGTTCACTAGGTGACAGGATAGGCTCACCTTCCCTGCTCTGACCCTTGGCAAAGGGAAAAGTCAACAGGGATCAGCCCAGCTCAGCCAGGGGTAGGGATGGGGGTTCGGAAGATGTTCCTTACTTTCTCATTGGCAGTTCTGTTTAAGTAGTAATCCCGAGAGGGCAGAAAGAGCCCAGACTGGTCCACCTGCAATGTCAAGGAAAGGAGGTGAGCCCCTCGCTTTCCCCACCATGGGAACCTGAATTCCCGAGCGGGGGTAGGGGTGGGGCCGGGGGGTCAGCCCAGCCTGCCTGTCACAGGAGAGGGAAGTCTGGGCTCAGCAAAGTGTCCCTAAGTCTCTCCCCACCCTTTCCCAGCTCATCACCTGGATAACATTGCTGTTGGAACTCTTAGAGTCGGCACTGATGTAGACGGTGAAGAATGGGGTGGCCCTGTAGGTCCCTGCTACTGCCTTCAACACCTCCATAAAGTTGTCCTGGTCCCAGGGCCCCGTAATGTTCCAACCACCAATCTATGTAGAGACCATAAGTGGAATGATTAGTGCAGGAGCTCCCAAAGCGTTCCTGGGCCATCTCCTCTCTCAAGGCCTCTCCTGCTCCCCTGCCCTCAACCGGCTCAGTGGCCCTACCTTCTCAATGAGGTCTCTCAGTGGCTGGGCTCCCAGCTCCTCAATGCGCTCCACCTGTAGGCAAGATAGGTAGAAGCGCTGTGTCTTCTGCTCAGCTTCACTGCTGGAGTTGAAGGTGGTGTTTTCTGTGGGGCAGAACACAGGATCCAGGTGGCAATTACGTTAACTGCTGAGGGGGAGTCCCTGGCCCTTGCTCGGTTTCTCTCCTTGCCTTGTCAATGAGCAGTCCTGCTAACGCAGACCCAGGAAGAGTGTCTGAAACAGCAAGCCGTGGCTTCCTCTCCCTGTCCATGGAGACCCAAGGATATCTAAGCAGTACAGGCTCCCTGGTGTCTACCACACCACGACAGTGCTCCAAACAGAGTGCAGAGAAGCGGCCCTCCATTGTACCCAGAGTTCTGCCCCCATCAAACCCATCTGCACTTCTCAATAGTCCCCTGCTCTCTGCCTCCCCACCCTCTGGAGTGTTCACAGAACCATCCACTTCCTCATTCATGGACACTGCCTATTTGCTAAGTGCCAGGCCCTGTGCTGGGCACAAGGCACATAGGTGGCCCAAGGCCTCCCTAACAGCCCCACTCACCAAGCAGGTGCTTCAGTATGGCCTGGTTTTGGTCCCAGAGGCTGTTGAAGGTGTTCCAGCGAGAACGCCCATCGGGCAGGGGGTTCCTCCGAATCCAGCCCCCACAGGAGAACTGGTAAAAGTCCTCACAGGGGCTCACCCCTCGGTCCAGGGACTCCAGGATTTTTCCAGCCACTCGAATGCAGGCCTCTGTAAGGCAGGTGCTGTGGGATGGGTCTGTGGTAGGGAACATGGCCGGAGGGTAGGAGACTGTCAGTCTGTCTGTCTGGAAGAGGCAAACTCTGCAAGGGCCATGACAGCAGGAAGGTTGGGAAGAGAAAGCAAAGCCGGGGGCTTTTCTGCAGGGAAGGCTTGGTTCCCACAAGTGAAAATCTTAGAGGCCCTTAGGCCTCCAGAACCCCTAGTTATGAATACTGACGAAGAGTGTGGGCCCACCTACCTCTGTGGTACTGGACCCCTAGGGCCACAAGGCAGCCCAGAAGCAGTGCAGCCAGCAGTAGAGAGGCACCTGCTAAGACCAGCTCCAGCTGCGTGCGTGAGCCTAACAGCTGTCTTGTCCCCTTCTGGAATCCCACCTGGGGAACACAGGGGGACAGAGAGTGACTGAGATGCAGGGCAGGGATCCAAGATTACCAGAGGGTGAAGCCACAGGCAGTTTTCAGAGCCACAGGGTTAACTCTGGGCCCGGGGGCAATGAGGCCAGCCAGTGAGTTGAGCCTTGAGTCTGTTTTGTGCAACGTCACGGCTTAGCATCGCCTCACCATAGTCCTAGAGCAGAGGCCAGAGATGGAGCGGAGGTGGGGGCAGGTGACCCTCCAGAACAGCCCAGAGCTCCTGGGTGTGCCAGGCGTCATGCCAGGGCTGGGGCCTGGTGAGAAAGGGGAAGCCCCCTTGCCCACCTCCATGGCGTCCGGGGAGGCCCCGCCCTCTACGGGGGTCTCGGGTGCGTCTTCATCCCGAAGCGTGGCCCGTTTGTACTCCACCATCTGCCAGACAGTCGGGGTTGCCAACCGAGGTCAGGCAGAGAGGGCTATTTGCCCACGACCCTGCCCCAGTGCTCCCTGCCTCGCGGACCCCTCCGCCCTGCTAAGAGGGCCCTTCCCTTCCCACCTGCCCTGCTCTCGGGCCCGGGGTCTCTCTATCACCCCTCCACCAGGCCCGGGAGGCAGCCTTACCTCCGCGAGCCGGGCACCGCCTGCCCCTCCGCGGCCGACCCCTCTGCCTCGTCCCCCTCCACCCAGTCCCCTCCCGTGGAGCCCGGGGCCCCCACTCACGTTGCTGCCAGCTCCCAGCTCCTGCAGCGCGACGTTCATGGTGGAGTCGGGCCAGGCGGTGATTCAGGGCTCCCGGCAGCTGGCCCGCTCCCGGGCCGCGGCCCCGGTCCCCTGCCCGGCCCCGCCGTCACCAGCCATCACGGCCGCCGCGCAGCACCCCCGCTCGGCCGCGGCCGCCCCCCCCCCCGCCCGAGTCCACCGCCCCACGCGGAGCCCCGCCCGGGGTGGGGGGAGGGTGGGGGAGAGGGAGGAGCGCGCCGAGGCTCTCCGCAGGCTCCAGCTGCCCTCCAGCAACACCGGAGACCCCTCCACGCTTCATGGTCCGCCCCCCATCTCAGCAGCACCCTCCTTCAAGCCACCCATAATTTACTTTCCTAGGAAAAGTAATGAAATTCAACCAGGCCCAGACGTTGCTAATACTCCTTGGCCTACTTCCCCCAAATTTCAGGCTCTCTCCATCCCCTTTAAGCACTTTAGAGAAATTATGCCCTCCTGAGGAACGTCTTCCCCCAGTAGTCCACACAGCCCCTCTTCAGCCGGCAAATACATAGCACACAGGCAGTTCACTCACATTCAGGGTGTGCACGTGGTACCTACCTATGTGCAGAGAACGCATAGACGCCAAGGCGCCAAGGACACGGGCAGGCACGACGCCCAGCACACAGTCCACACACACACGAGATGCCCACAGAATGTACACACACTGCATACTCACACACAGTGTACACACGCACAACACACCCAGAGCCAACACACACGCACACTGTGTTTCTGTATGTACACACACCAAGTGCAGGGGGAGCATACACTCCACACACACACAGCCTACACTGACTCTACTCTTCCATGGCGCTTCAAGACCACACTTCTACTCTCCAAGATAACTGCTGTCATCAGATCGTCTCATAAAGGGAGGGTTACAGATGGTGACAAATTGGCAGGGAAAAAAACAGCCATGCACAGATATTTAAAGAAAAGACGTGCTAACACTTCTAACTTGGGGAAAGCAAACCGTTTTATTTGGGAGATTTACAAGGAGAAAAAAAACTAACACCAAGCAATATTTAACTGAAAAGCAATAGTGTGGCACCCATGCATCTGCCATCTGCCTTCCATATTGTCATTCCTTAATCAGGCCTGGTGTTATTGCAGTCTGTTGCACTGAAAAGTGCCTAGTGTTTTACAATTCAAAAAAAAAAAAAAAAGGAAAAGAGAGTGCGCTTCATCTTCCTCTCCCCATCCTCCACCCCCACTGAGAAAGTACAAGAATTTGACCTGAGAAGGCTTGAGTGGGTAGCAAACACATAATCCATTTCTTTCTTTCTCTCTTTCTTTCTTTCTCTCTCTCTCTTTCTTTCTCTCTCTCTCTTCTTTCCTTTCTTTCTTTCTTTTCTTTCCTTTCTCTCTTTCTTTCTTTCTTTCTTTCTTTCTTTCTTTCTTTCTTTCTTTCTTTCTTTCTTTCTTTCTTTCTTTCATCTTTCTCTCAAGAAGGGTGTCAGCCGGGTGCAGTGGCTCACGCCTGTAATTCCAGCACTTTGGGAGGCCGAGGCGGGTGGATCACGAGGTCAGGAGTTCGAGACCAGCCTGGCCAACATGGTGAAACCCCGTCTCTACCAAAAATACAAAAATTAACCAGGCATGGTGGCGGGCGCCTATAATCCCAGCTACTTGGGAGGCTGAGATGAGAATCGCTTGAACCCAGGGGGGTGGAGGTTGCAATGAGCTGAGATCATGCCACTGCACTCCAGCCTGGGCAACAAAGAGCAAAACTTCATCTCAAAAAAAATAAATAAATAAAATAAGAGAAGGGTGTCTCACTTTGTTGCTCAGGCTGGAGTGCAGTGGCATGGTCATAACTCACTGCAGCCTCAAATTCCTAGGCTCAAGCAATCCTCCCACCTGAGCCTCCCTAGTAGCTGGGACTACAGACACGTGCCACTGTGCCTGGCTAATTTTTAAATTTTTTTTATAGAAACGGGGTCTCACCATCTTGCCCAGGCTGGTCTTGAACTCCAGGCCTTAAGCAATTCTCCCACCTCAGCATCCCAGTGTGCTGGGATTATGGCGTAAGTCACCATGCCTGGCCCATAATCCATTTATTGACACTCACCTCAGTTCTCAGACAACTTGCTGCAGTGGATCTAATGCAGAATGTTCTTGCGGCTGAGAAAGAGTAGATGATGAATGAAGCAGGCTGAGAAGTGTTGCATTTGCTTTTGTTGGCATTTTGCACCCCAAAATTGCATGGTTCTTAAACAGGAGACAGTACAGTACAGTAAGGATAAAAGATTCTGGATCCAGACTCAGTTTCCTCATTTGTAAAATGGAAATGAGAGTACCTACTTCAGGCCACACACGGTGGCTCATGCCTGTAATCCCAGCACTTTGGGAGGCCGAGGTGGGTGGATCACCTGAGGTCAGGAGGTCAAGACCAGCCAGGCCAACATGATAAAACCCTGTCTCTACTAAAAATACAAAAACTTAGCTGGGTGTGGTGGCACGCACCTGTAATCCCAGCTACTCGGGAGGCTGAGACAGGAGAATTGCTTGAACCAGGAGGTGGAGGTTGCATTGAGCCGAGATCGCGCCACTGCACTCCAGCCTGGGCAACAAGAGCAAAACTCTGTCTCAAAAAAAAAAAAAAAAAAGACTAATACCTACTTCAAAGGCTAGTTGTGAGAATTAAATGAAATAGTACTTGTAAAGTATATGGGACAGTGCATGACACATAATGGGCAATGTGTTTTGTTTGTTTGTTTGTTTGTTTGTTTGTTTTGAGACGAAGTCTCGCTCTGTCGCCAGGCTGGAGTGCAGTGGCACGATTTTGGCTCACTGCAACCTCCGCCTCCTGGGTTCAAGCGATTCTCCTGCCTCAGCCTCCTGAGTAGCTGGGACTACACGCACGCACCACCACACCTAGCTAATTTCTGTATTTTTAGTAGAGACGGGATTTCACCATGTTGGCCGGGCTGGTCTTCAATGCCTGACCTCAAGTGATCCACTCACCTTGGCCTCCCAAAGTGCTGGGATTACAGATGTGAGCCACTGCGCCTGGCTTACAGCATTATAATCTTATGAAACCACTGTTATTATACATGCAGTCCATCATTGACATAAAGGTTGTTATGTGGTGCATGATTGCATAATGAAAGCTACTACGTATGGGCCACCTGGCAACAGGATCATTAGAAATATTCCCAGGGTCACTGCAACAGCATACTACAAATAGCAAGTTTAGACAGCACTTTACTATGTGGCAGCCACTGCTCCAAGTGGTTTACATCTTATGCACTCATGACACTTATGAAGCCATTCTACAGATGAGGAAACTGAGACATAGAAACACTCAGAGTTATACAGGTTGTAAGTGGCAGAGCTGGGATTCAAACCCAGGGAGTATGGTTCCTTTCTGGAGTGCAGTTTAGCAATATGAATCAAAAGGTGGCTACACTTCCTCCCTGCATTAGTTGCTAGTGTTTTGCTACATCCCTTCTAGGAAGAATAAGTGGAAATACATAAATTTCCAAGACAGGCAGACTTGGGCTCAAATTTGGGCTCAATTCTTTATCAGCTGTATCATCTTTATCAAGTTACTTGAAAGCTCTGACTGTTAATTTTTCTCATCTATAAAATGGGAATAATCACCCCTGTCTCAGAGAGTTGCTGTGAGAATTAAATGCAACCACATATGATAGAGCCTGTTACCTATTTTTACACTGCTCTCAGATGCACTAGGCTTGGCCTAAATGGGCATTTTCTTTTCAAGTCTCTTTCATGACCCAAATTATTTTTAGACCCGTAACCATCCCCCCCTCCCCTCCCCTCCCCTCCCCTTTCCTTCCTCTCTTCCTTCCTTCCTTCCTTCCTTCCAATTTTTAGAGACAGGGTTTGCTCTATCACCCAGGCTGGCATTATCAGAGCTCCCTGCAGCCTCAACCTCCTATGCTCAAGCGATCCTCCCACCTCAGCCTCCCAAGTAGCTGGGACTACAGGTGCATTCCATCACACCTGGCCTTTTTTTTTTTTTATACAGATGAGGTCTCACTATGTTGCCCAATTTGGTCTCAAACTCCTGAGCTCAAGTAATCCTCCTGCATTGGCCTCCCAAAGTACTGTAGGCCTGAGCCACCACGCCCAGCCCCCCATAACTATTTCCGACTACATGTTAAATACCCTATGTATAAGAGTCTTGGAGGTTGCTCTGTTTTATATTTCTATTTTCTTTCTCTGTATTTTTCATCTTTGACTCTGTTTCTCTCTTATTCTCCTATTTTCTCTCTCTCTTTTCTACTCTTCCTTTCCTACATGGATAATCTTTTTTTGATCTTTTTTCCTACATAGATAATCTTTTTTTTGGTCTTTTTTCCTACATGGATAATCTTTTTTTTTTTTTTTTTTTGGTCTAAATTGATTGTGAATTGAGAGGGAATGGACAATGGCTTGTGTGTTAAATTTACAAACACAATGTAGTCATGAAGATAACAAGAAACATCGATGAGGCCCAGTGTGGTGCTCATGCCTGTAATCCCAGCACTTTGGGAGGCTAAGGTGAGCGGATCACCTGAGGTCAGGAGTTTGAGACCAACCTGGCCAACATGGTGAAACCTAGTCTCTACTAAAAATACAAAAATTAGCCGGGCGTGGTGACGGGTGCCTGTAATCCCAGCTACGCCAGAGGCTGAGGCAGGAGAATTGCTTGAATCTGGGAGATGGAGGTTGCAGTGAGCTAAGATGGCGCCACTGCACAGCAGCCTGGGCGATAGAGCAAGACTCCATCTCAAAAACAAAAGAAACATCAAAGTCCAGTATAGATAAAGATGGAAGATATGAACACTCATACATTGCTGGTAGCTTAGAAGTTGATACAACCTTTTTGGCAATATGAATCAAAAGGTATGAAAGTGTGCATACTCTTTGACCCAGAAAATTTACTTCTAGGAAATTGTTCCAGGAAATAATCATTATCCATGGGATAGTTTTATCAATTAGCTTTTGTTGTGTAACAAATCATCTCAAACTGGATTAAAATAACAAACATTGATTATTTCTCATGTTCTGTGATTTTTTGGGATTGGCCAGCTCAGCAGGAGCTGGATGGTTTAGCATGGTCTAGAATGGCTTCATTTACATTTTTGGGCTTCAGCTGGGATGCCTGAACAGTGTCTCTGTGTATTATCTCCTCTTCCAGTAGGCTTGCCCAGGCTTCTTCATATGGTGGCCTTAAGATTCTCAGCAACAAAGAAGGGGCAAGCCCCAGTACATAAACACTTTTTTTTTTTTTTTTGAGATGGAGTCTTGCTCTGTCGCCCAGGCTGGAGTGCAGTGGCGCGACCTCGGCTCACTGCAAGCTCCGCCTCCTGGGTTCACACCATTCTCCTGCCTCAGCCTCTGGAGTAGCTAGGACTACAGGCGCCCGCCACCACGCCCGGCTAATTTTTTGTATTTTTAGTAGAGACGGGGTTTCACCATGTTAGCCAGGATGGTCTCGATCTTCTGACCTCGTGATCCACCAGCCTTGGCCTCCCAAAGTGCTGGGATTACAAGCGTGAGCCACTGCGCCCGGCCATAAACACTTTTTTTTTTTTGACACAGAGTTTCGCTCTTGTTGCCCAGGCTGGAGTGCAATGGTGCGATCTTGGCTCACCGCAACCTCTGCCTCCGGGTTCAGGTGATTGTCCTGTGTCAGCCTCCCGAGTAGCTGGGATTACAGGCATGTGCTACCATTCCTAATTTTGTATTTTTAGTAGAGACAGAGTTTGTCCATGTTGGCCAGGCTGGTCTCGAACTCCTGACCTCAGGTGATCCACCCGCCTTGGCCTCCTAAAGTGCTGGGATTACAGGGGTGAGCCAAAGTGCCTGGCCATAAACACTTTTTTCAAGCCTCTGCTTGCAACACATTTACCAACGTCCACATTGGGCAAAGCAAGTCACATGATCAAGCCCATTCAGGGCTGGAGAAATAGATGCTACTTCTTGATTGGAGGAGGTACAAAATAATGTGGCCATTTTTTTCCTACGACATTTGTTCATCACAGCACTATTTATAATCGTAAACAAAAAATTAGGAGGGAATTCAATGTTCAAGAGTAGAGGGCTTGTTGAATTAAACATCCATATGATGAGATGCTATGCAACATTTACAAATGATAGACAAGAAGAGTTTATGCTGTGGGAAAATGTTCCCCACATACAGTTAAGCGGAGGAGAAAAAGGGTTACAAAATCTCATTTTTGTTAAGCAGAAGGTATAAAAGCATAGGTTAAAAAAAAAATTGGAATTGCCAGGCACAGTGGCTCATGCCTGTAATACCAGCACTTTGGGAGGCCAAGGCAGGAGGATTGCTTGAGCTCAGGAGCTCGAGACCTGGGCAACATAGTGAGACCTCATCTCTATTAAAAATTTTTAAAAAAAATTAGCTGGGCATGATGGTATGCACCTGTAGTCCCAGCTACTCAGGGGGCTGAGGAGGGAGGATCACTTTAGCCTGGAAAATTGAGGGTGCAGTGAGCTATGATTGTGCCACTGCACTCCAGAAGGGATGGCAGAGTGAGACCCTATCTCAAAAATCAAACAAGGCCGGGCGTGGTGTCTCATGCCTGTAATCCCAGCACTTTGGGAGGCCGAGGCGGGCAGATCACGAGGTCAGGAGCTCGAGACCAGCCTGGCCCACATAGTGAAACCCCGTCTCTACTAAAAATACAAAAAATTAGCCAGGCACCTGTAATCCTAGCTACTCGGGAGGCTGAGGCAGGAGAATGGCGTGAACCCGGAAGGCAGAGGTTGCAGTGAGCCAAGATCACGCCACTGTACTCCAGCCTGGGCGACAGAGCGAGACTCTGCCTTAAAAAAAAAAAAGAAAACAAGAAAAACAAACCAACCAAACAAAAAAAGCAAAAAAGATTAGGAGTACATACAACAAAATATTAATTATAAATATATCTAGTGATGGCATTATTTTTTCTTTATGTTTTTCTGTATAATAATAACATTTCTATAGTCCAACATTTACCTAAGCAGTTTATATATATGTTAACTTATTTAATCCTTGCGATAGCCTATAAGATGGGTTCTACCAATATCATTGTCCATATTTTAGAGATGAGGAACCTAAGACACAGAGAAGCTTAATAACTTGTCCAAAGTTACAAGCAGGTAGAGGGCAGAGCCTGGATTTGAATCTAAGCTTCATGTTCTTAACTGCTACACTATTTTCCTTTTTTTTTTGAGATGGAGTTTCACTCTTGTCACCCAGGCTGGAGTGCAATGGCACAATCTTGGCTTACTACAACCTCTGCCTCTTGGGCTCAAGCGATTCTTCTGCCTCAGCCTCCAGAATAGCTGGGATTACAAGTGCCCACCACCACACCTGGATAATTTTTGTATTTTTAGTAGAGATGGGGTTTCACCATGTTGGCCAGGCTGGTCTTGAACTCCTGACCTCAGGTGATCCACCAGCCTCAGCCTTCCAAAGTGCTGGGATTACAGGTGTGAGCCACTGCACCCAGCCCACTATTTTCCTTTCAAAGGCAACTAATTTGTCTGGGGCTAGAGTATAATGTTTGATAAATGTGCTATATCACTGGTTTTAAGCCCTTAAAAAATATATATTAAGGCTGGTCTCAGTGGCTCATGCCTGTAATCCTAGCATTTTGGGAGGCCAAGACTGGAGGTTTGCTTGAGCCCAGGAGTTTAGGACCAGCCTCGGCAACATGGTGAAACCCCGTCTCTACTAAAAATACACAAAGATTAGCCAGATGTGGTAGAGGATCACCTAAGCCATGGAAGTTGAGGCTGTGGTGAACCAAGATCATGCTACTGCACTCCAACTTGGGTGATGGAACTGAGACGTTGTCTCAAAAATAATAATAATAATAAAGAAAATTAAATAATAAAATGTAAAATATATTTAAACGTTTTTATTGCAAATGTAATATACTCCAGAATTATATTGAATAAAAGATGAAATTCATTCTGTTGGGATCCTGGTACCATCCTCAGAGATAACTATCATTTGCGTTTTGGTATGTATCTTTCCAAATCTTTCTTTCTTTCTTTCTTTCTTTTTTTTTTTGAGACATGTTCTCACTCTGTCACCCAGGCTAGAGTGCAGTGGCACAATCTCAGCTCACTGCAACGTCTACCTCCTGGGCTTAAGCAATCCTCCTGCCTCCTGAGCATCTGAAAATATATGTGCTCACCACCATGCTTGGCTAATTTTTGTATTTTTAATAAAGATGGGGTTTTGCCATGTTGCCCAGGCTGGTCTCAAACTCCTGAGCCCAAGCAATCTACCTGCCTCAGCCTCCCAAAGTGCTGGGATTAAAGGTGTGAGCTACTGAGCCTGCCCAGATCTTTCTTTTATGTGCATTTATGTTCCTACATATACTGTATGTATATATGTGAATGTAAGTGTGTATACATATGTGTGTATGTGTACTTTTCCCACATATGTAAAATTCTACTCTAAACTTGTTATTTGATGACATTTTGGCAGGTCTTGAGGATTTTACCATGTCTGTTCACATAGATCTTTCTCATTCTTTTTTTTGTAATTGATATAGTTTGGCTGTGTCCCCACCCAAATCTCATCTTGACTTCCCATGTGTTGTGGGAGGGACCTGGTGGGAGGTGATTGAATCATGGGGGCAGGTCTTTCCTGTGCTGTTCTTGTGATAGTGGGTGGGTCTCATGAGATCTGATGGTTCTATAAGAGAAAATTTCCCTGCACAAGCTCTCTCACTTTGCCTGCTGCCATCCGTGTAAGACATGACTTGCTCCTCCTTGCCCTCTGCCATGATTGTGAGGCCTCCCCAGTCATGTGGAACTGTAAGTCCATTAAACTCTTTTTCCTGTATAGATTATCCAGTCTCAGGTATGTATTTATCAGCAGTGTGAAAACAGACTGATACAGTAATTTATCAGTTTCTTTTAAATAGAATGGGCCCTAGAAATACCCTCATGGTGTGGGCTTCCATCAGGTGGATAGGGTAGGATCAAAAGGCCCAGAGAAAGTCTAAGGAAGGAGAAACATGATCATGAGATATGATAGTAAAAATACTACCCCCCCAAAAAATATATACATATGTATTTTTTTTTTTTTTTTTGAGATGGAATCTCACTCTGTCACCCAGGCTGGAGTGCAGTGGCGCAATCTCAGCTCACTGCAAGCTCTGCCTCCCAAGTTCACACCATTCTCCTGCCTCAGCCTCCCAAGTAGCTGGGACTACAGGCGCCCGCCACCACGCCCGGCTAATTTTTTGTATTTTTAGTGGAGACGGGATTTCACCGTGTTAGCCAGGATGGTCTCAATCTCCTGACCTCATGATCCGCCCGCCTCGGCCTCCCAAAGTGCTGGGATTACAGGTGTAAGCCACCACACCCGGCCTATATTTTTTGAGATGGAGTCTTGTTTTGCCACCCAGGCTGGAGTGCAGTGGCCAATCTTGGCTCACTGCTACCTCTGCCTCCCGGGTTCAAGCAATCCTCCTGCCTCAGCCTCCCCAGTAGCTAGGATTACAGGCGCCCACCACCATGCCCAGCTAATTTTTGTACTTTTAGTAGAGATGGGGTTTTGCCATGTTGGCCAGGCTGGTCTTGAACTCCTGACCTCAGGTGATCCACCCGCCTCAGCCTCCCAGAGTGCTGGGATTACAAGTGTGAGCCACCACACCCAGCTTACCCCAAAATATTTCTAACAGCTTGTATTTGTTTCTTAGGGCCGCTGTAACAAGGTACCACAAACTGAGGGCTTAAAACAACAGAAACTTATTCTCTCACAGTTTTGGAGGCCAGAAGTCCAAAATCAAGGTGTTGGTAGGGTTAAGCTCCTTTGGAAGACTCTAGTAAAGAATTCTTCCTTGCCTCTTTCAGCTGCTGGTGGCTCCCAACAATTCTTGGTTTTCCTTACCTTGTAGTTCCCTCACTCCTATCTCTGCGTCTTTCATGTGGCCTTTTTCCCTGTGTGTCTGTTCTCTTCTTATAAACACATTGGTGATGGGATTTAGGGCCCACCATAATCCAGTATAACCCCATCTTAATTTATTTTTTATTTTTTTCTTTCTATATAAGACAGGGTCTCCCTATGTTGCCCAGGCTGGTCTTCAACTCCTGGGCTCATGGGATCTTCCTGCCTTGGCCTCCCAAAGTGCTAGGATTACAGGCATGAGCCACCACACCCGGCCTATATTTTTTTATTTTATTTTATTTTATTTTTTGAGACAGGATCTCACTCTGTCACAGAGGCTGGAGTGCAGTGGCACAATCTGGGCTATTTTTAGTAGAGATGGGGTTTCTCCATCTTGGCCAGGCTGGTCTTGAACTCCTGACCTCAGGTGATCCACCCGCCTGGGCCTCCCAAAGTGCTGGGATTACAGGCATTAGCCACCTAGCCTGACTGTACCTTATCTTAACTAATTGTATCTGCAAAAGCCCTATTTCCAAATAAGGTCACACTTTTTTTTTTTTTAGACAGGGTCTTGCTCTGCCACCCAGGCTACAGTGCAGTGCGGTACAGTCATAGCTCACTGTCAACTAGCTTCTGTGCTCAAGTTATCCTCCTACCTCAGCCTCCCAAGTAGCTGGGACTACAGGCATGCACCACCATGCCTAACTAATTTTTTTTTTTTTAGTAGAGATGGCGTCTCACTATATTGCCCAGGCTGGTTTTGAACTCCTAGGCTCAAGTCATCCTCCCGCCTTGGCCTCCCAAAGTGCTGGGATTACAGGCATGAGCCACTGCACCTGGCCCTGGGTCACACTTTGAGGTTACAGGTGAACATTGAATTGTTGTGGGAGTCCCTATTCAATCCACTACAGGGGTCTACAGTTTCCACTTGACTAAAAGTGTCACTAATACTCAATTGTCAAAAGGCATGTTATCTGTGTAGAGCACGTGGACAAGTATACTAGGTTTGAGGGACTTCCAATTGAGAGACTCAATGCACTGTCACGCAACTCTATACAAGCTTTATTTCATTTTAGTGAAAATGTATTTTCCTCTCATGGGAAGGAAGCAGAATATCAGAATTTTAAAGAGAGGAGCAGAATTTAAAGAAATCCCCACATTTTTACAACATAGCTGAAGCTTATATATCATAATAGTCCACAGGTTTGTACTTAGGACTTTTGCTTTAACCATGATCCAGCAGGCACGGCCGGGACGGGAATATAATTATTTAAGAAGGAGGTAACCAAGTGAATTCTGGATTAAACTGTCATTTTTCCAATCTCCCTCATTGTGCAGAGAGAAAGGAGAATTGTTTCAATTCCTCACACAATACTCTTATCTCATCCTTGGCAAGAACCCTCATGCCTCTTCTTTGGCATTTTAGGTGAGGGGCAGCTCACTACCTCCCGAGACAACCCACTTTACCCCAGGACAGTTTCATCTACAAAACTGTCCTTTTCTTTCTTTTTTGAGTCAGGGTCTTGCTCTGTCACCCAGGCCAGAGTGCAGTGGCACCATTATGGCTCACTGCAGCCTCAAACTCCTGTGCCCAGGTGATCCTTCTACCACAGCCTTGCAAGTAGCTGGGACCACAGGTGTGTACCACCATACCCGGCTTGCTTATTTATTTACTTATTTATTTAGAGATGGGGCCTAGTTATGTTGTCCAGCCTGGTCTCCAACTCCTGGCTTCAAGCGATCCTTCTGCTTCAGCCTTCTGAGTGGCGGAATTCATAGGTGTGAGCCATGAATGTTGCCCAGCAAAACGTTCCTTAATAAGTAGGTTTTATCATCCCCATGCTTCAGACTAGAACATGGGGCTTACAGAGGTATCATATCATGCAGACACATGGTGAAAAGACTAGAAGGATATATATATATATATATAGTTATAAGGCCGGGTGTGGTAGCTCATGCCTATAATCCCAGCACTTTGGGAGGCCAAGGCGGGCGGATCGCGAGGTCAGGAGTTCAAGACCAGCCTGGCCAACATAGTGAAACCTCATCTCTACAAAAAATACAAAGACTGGCAGGGCGCAGTGGCTCACACCTGTAATCTCAATACTTTGGGAGGCCGAGTGGGCGGATCACGAGGTCAAGAGATTGAGACCATCCTGGCCAACATGGTGAAACCCTGTCTCTACTAAAAATACAAAAATTAGCTGGGAGTGGTGGCACACACTTGTAGTCCCAGCTACCCAGGAGGCTGAGGCATGAGAATCACTTGAACACAGGAGGGGGAGGTTGCAGTGAGCTGAGATGGCGCCATTGCACTCCAGCCTGGCGACAGAGTGAGACTCCATCTCAAAAAAAAAAAAAAAAAAAAAAAAAAAAAAAAGCTGGGCATGGTGGCGTGTGCCTGTAGTCCCAGCTACTCGGGAGGCTGAGGCAGGAGAATCGCTTGAACCTGGGAGGTAGAGGTTATGGTGAGCCAAGATCGCGCCATTGCACTCCAGCCTGGGCAACGGAGCAAGACTCCGTGTCAAAAAAAAAAAAAAAAAAAAAGATGTTATGTGATTTTCTTAATTTTCCTAAAATTTTTTTCCTTCCTTCCTTCCTTTCTCTCTCTCTCTCTCTCTCTCTCTCTCTCTCTCTCTCTCTCTCTCTCTTTCTTTTATTGAGACGGAGTCTCGCCTCGCTTTGTCACCCAGGCTGGAGTGCAATGGCCCAATGTCCGCCAACTGCCACCTTTGCCACCCTAGGTCAAGCGGTTCTTGTGCCTCAGCCTCCCAAGTAGCTGGGACTGCAGGTGTGTGCCACACCTGGCTAATTTTTTTTGTATTTTTAGTAGAGACAGGGTTTTGCCATGTTGATCAGGCTGGTCTCAAACTCCTGACCTCAGGTGATCCACCCACCTCGGCCTCCCAAAGTGCTGGTATTGCAGGCGTGAGCCACTGAGCCCGGCCTCCTAAAATGTTTTAAGTACAAACGAATTAATTTTTTAAAACCATGATTATGGGTCCTTCAGTTCAAGGTCACTGAGAAAGTGGGAGTCAGGATTGGAACCCATTACTGGACAACTTCCAGTGTATGTGGAATTTTCTGGACTCTCTTCCAGTGACCCCAGTCTTCCGCCTTTATTGTCCTTCCAGTTTCAGGGCTCCTCTCACTCCAGGCTGGGCCTCCACCTCCAGCTGTGGCCCTCATCCCGGAGACTAGGACAGAGCAGAGGAGGGCTTCATAGTGATGGGCCCCCAGGCCTGGGCCCTTGAGTGAGGCTGGCATCAAGGTATCCTGTGGCATACCGCCCCCCCCATCCAGTTCCCTGGGCAGCCACCATTGCGTTTGTCCCTGTGTCTCCGGTATTAACACCTGGCGAGAAAGTGTTGGAAGGAGACCCACTACAAGGCAGCCTCACCAGCTGTGTGATTTGGTAATTTGGCCAGATTAAGGAAGGAAAGCGCGTTCGCCTGGAGTGTGGAATGAACGTACAGGGTGATCATTACCGTTTTCAGCGCTGCCGTCACTGTCGCCGCATGTGAGACACCCCCTCCTCCCCAAGGCCAGTGATTGCGCCAGAGCTCCTGCGCGCTGGCAAGCAGGTGACGCCGCGGGTGACGGCCAGCCAGGGCGGGGGTTGTGGGGGCGGGAGGCAAGGGGAGAAGAGGGCATGTTCCCATCGGTGAGGCGAGAACTCACCCGTGGTCCAAAGCAACGAGGGCGGGGGGCACCCTCCATCTCTACCGCACTCCCTCGGGGCACACACTGGCGCGCTCCGCGTCCTCAGGTGCTCCGAGCTTCCCCGCGTCACCCGCAGCCCAGGGCGCCCCCCGCGACGCCGCCATTCATTCCTCCTACACTGCGAGCGCACCACTCCAGAGCCGCGGGGGGCTACAGCCACCGGACTAGGGCTGGGGGTGTCTGCCCTGGTGCGCGCGCGTCGGCCCAGTTTCTATAGACCCCTCCTAGGAGAGACTGAAATACCCAGATTCAGGAGACGGAGACACTGGCACAGAGATACAGGAGTCAAGAATGGAGATAGATAGAGAAAGGCAGACACTTAAGGGACAGGCATAGACAAAGGCCATAACACAGCGAAAGAGATACGGGGCACAGAGACAGAGAGATACAGACACTTAGAGATGGACTGACACACACAAAGGCGGAGACAGAGACACAGACCGGCACTCAGAGGCGCACGGACCCTGACGATCTACTTAAGACCAGCAGAGCAACTAGTACAAGAGCGCGTCAGCGGCAAGGGCACCATCCCACTGGCCCGAGCTCTTCCCGCGCTGTGGGTTCGTGCCTTCCCCAGTCACCCTGTACCCGAGTCTCCTCCCCGCGCATTTCCCGCTCCCCGCTTTCCATTGCCAGCCCTGCGGCCGCCTTCCCGCCCCAACGCGCCCGGCCAGCTTTTGCCCTCCTGCTCCCAGTCCCCCTTGCACGCCTCTCCCAGCCTAGGGGTCAGACCCTCCTCCAAGCTCCTCCAGTACCAGGCTCGATCCCACCCCCCTTCGGTCCCGCCCCTCCCCGCGAGGTCCCGGCCGGGTTGGCTGGTACTATTCCCCAAGACCCACGTGCTGGCCATTCCCCGCCACAGTGCGGGAACCTCCCACTCCAGCTGCCTCTGTTCCCGGGGTAGCTGGGCGCGCTCCTGCCCCCGGCCCCGCCTCTTTCCCCTGGCCAGTGCCCGCCCCGCCTCCACCGCGCCCCGCCCGCCGTGCTCTGCCGCAGTCGGGCGCTCATCGTCATTCCGCTCTTGCCGCCGCCGCCGCCACCCCCGCCCCCCGCCCCCGCCCCCGCCCGGTCCCCGCCACCGCCGCCGCCGCCGCCTGCCCAGCGGCCCGGGAGGCGGAGGCGCGGGGGAGGAGGCCCCGCTTGGCTCCTCAGCCCCGGATGCTGCATGACTTCATCCTTCCGCCGGCTCCCCTGCTGAGGTAGGGCCGGTCCGGCAGCAAGCCCGCCGCCCGCGCCCCGCCGCAGTCCCGCTCCCGCCCCGCGCCCACCCCGCGCCCGCCATGTCCGAGATCCTGCCCTACAGCGAAGACAAGATGGGCCGCTTCGGCGCAGACCCCGAGGGCTCCGACCTCTCCTTCAGCTGCCGCCTGCAGGACACCAACTCCTTCTTCGCGGGCAACCAGGCCAAGCGACCCCCCAAGCTGGGCCAGATCGGCCGAGCCAAGCGAGGTACGCGGCCCGGGCCCGGAGTCGCCGCCTGACCCAGAAACCCTCCGCCGGGCGCCCCCCGGCTGCCGTTCCCCGCCGAGTGCCCGCAGCTCTTGCCGCAGACCAGCGCACCAGCCGCTCTCCAGCCCGGGCTGGAGGGGGGGGTCCCCGCTGCAGTGTGTGTCCCCCTCTTCCCTTCTCCCGGGAACACGGTGCCCCGGATTCGATGCTCGCCACCTCTGGAAGCAGAGCCCTGGCACCCGGGCGAGGGGGAGGGGCCGGTCGGGGCATTTGGGGCTGCACGGAAGTGGGAGCACGGGGTAACGGGCTGATTCTTTGGGATCAAATACTGAGTCGGTGGACAATACGAAGAACCTTCGGGTCGAGAGGGACGTCTAACAAGAGAGGGCAGGAGGCCGGGGGTCCGCTTGTCTTGGTTGTTTGCATGGGGAGGGGAGCTCTGTTGGTGCCAGGATCGGAAGAGGGGTTCCAGCGGCGAGAGGGCTCAGGTTGAGGAGAGGGCTGGACCAGCTGGATACTCGGTTTGAGCCCCATTTGAGCAGGGGGATCTGTTGAAGTGCGGGTTGAAGAGGGGGATTCCGTGAGCAAGAGGTTTCTGATCAACTCAGAGGGAGGAAGGCTCAGGTGGCAGGAGGGCTCGCACTGGGAGGGAGAATAGCTGGAGCCTTTGGAAGAGGGGCGTTCCGCCATCGGGAGGGGAGGGGGTCTAGGCTTGGCGGCGGGTTGGGTCTCCAGAAGAGTTCGGACGGGGAGGACACCGCGGCACAGGGTTCCGAGGGGCGTCGCTGGGCCACGGGCAGTAGCTGCGCGGGAAGCTAGGACGCGGGGCTCATTCTCATCGCCGCCGCCCCCCGAGGCCGCGCGGCTGACGCGCTTTCTCCCTGCGCAGTGGTGATCGAGGATGACCGGATAGACGACGTGCTGAAGGGGATGGGGGAGAAGCCGCCGTCCGGAGTGTAGACGCGCCGGCTCGGGCGGCGGGCTCCGGGCCCAGCCTCGCAGCGGCCAGGAGCGCGGGCCGGCGATGCGGCTGCCGGCGCCCCCCCGCCCCGGCCCAGGCGCCCGCGGGCGGGGGCTGCAGGGCCGTGCCGCCGCCGCCGCCAGGCACTCCGGAGCTGTCCGCTTCAGCACCACGGCGGCCGCGGTAGCGGCGGCGCGGACCCGCCCGGAACCCGCCGCCGCGCTCATGCACTTTAAAACCTCGGGCCGCAGCCCCACCCCGCACACCGGAACGGACACGGAGACCCGCGGCCCCCAGCCCCCGGCCCGCCCCCTCCCGCACGGCTCCCCTGCCCCGCCCCCCTCCGGCCAGTCTGGTCTGCAGACCGGGCGGCCGCCGGTGTCGGACCGCGCGCGGCCAGGGATGTTTGGCTGCGTACTTGCATGAGCTTTCCACCCACTTGAGCCCAGTCCTCCGGGCCGTTCCTCGCCCCCACCCCTGTCTGGCGTGACCCCAGCCTCAGCCTCTTTCTAAGGGACTTCCTCAGCACATTTGTATTTTTATATCCGACTCTTTGTTTACTGGCTCTGCTCATGGTTCCTGCCCTCCCCTCAGTCTCGGCCACGCTCTTCTGCGCCTGGCAGATAGGATGGGTGTTGAGGCTGGGATGAGACAAGCCCCCGACACGGTTACCAACCACATGGCCAGTCTGCCCAGGCCTGACCCCAGGAGGCTTTCTGGCAGACCCCTTCTCCCCAAGGTATCATCACCTTCCAAGGGCCCAGATCCGATTTTACCTTGGACCCCTGCGTCTTGCCCCTGGGAACCCAAATGGGGACTGCTCTGAACCTTTGGATGACATCTGTGGCCCCGGAGATGTTCTCAACCCAGGGGTGCCCTTCGTAAATGTTCCTCCATCCTCACTGTACCAGGAGTGTGTGAATAAACACAGACCCCCTCTGTGTGTGTGTGGCCGCTGCTTAGGTCTCAGGAGCCAGGCCAAAATGGGAGGGGGGGCAGGTACTTGGGAATCTCAGGTGCATGTTGCTGGTGAGGGACGGTTGCCAAGTAAGACAGACAGGCCAGGCTGGCCTGGGAACCTCATTATGATGTGGCCTCCTTGGGTAGAGATACAACCCAGGCGTGACTGGTCACCAGTGTTGGGGATGGAGCTAGGGTGAGAAACATAAAGCAATCTAGGTTCAAAGCCTGCAGTCTCCTGTGGATAAATCAAGGCTAGATGAGGATCAGTAACAGGCCCCAGGAACAACGGTCTCCAGGCTGGCTGGTGTGCAGAGGGGTTATGATGAGCTTTGCCCCAGGGGATGCATCACTGGTGGTTTGGTGTGGTGGCAGAGGAGGTTGGGGAACCCAGGAGAGAACTGAGGAACCCAAGAAAGAAGCAAGAAACCTGGAATCTGGATCTAGTTGGAGCTGGGCTGTATTGGTTCATGTGGGTTCGCTCCCACCCTCTATCTTAGGCATGAGGCCCCTGGGATGTAAGCACCTTGGACCCAACCCCAAGTCCTAAGTCAGGAATTCCAACTACCTGAGGAGCCCAGGGCAGAATGGCAGGAAGGGTGGAGGACCATGCTCTGGCCTCAGAGCTGAATGGCACTAAGGAAGTCCTCATGATCTGAGTCCTGAAGGAAGCAAGGTGAGGTGGGAGGTCTGGGGGGTGAGAGGATTTGGGCCCCCAGAGCCAGCTGGGCCACACTGAGCTTCCCGCCCTTGTGCATGAGGTAGAGATGGAAGTGGAAACCGCTGCCATAGGTAGCATGCCTCAGGGACCAGCCATAATAGGCTTGGGCATAGTGTCTGGTCCGAAAGTGGGGGGCAGCAGAAGTCATTGAGATAAACCGGCCTCCAGGGACAAGCACGCGGCTCACCTGCAAGGCAGACAGAGAAGCCATTGGTGAGAAGTGGATCTTCAGGTTCTCAAAGGTCAGTACTGCTCCAGATGCTCTCCCAGTCAAACCTCAGGAACCACCCCACATCTGTAGCTCAGGCTTTCCATGGCAAAGAGTGAGCCACTTTCTCTGCCCCTGGCCATTCCTTGGGATTAGGGCTATATTCTATTCAGGGAAGGGTATAGGAGTGATATCAGGTATAGGGGCACCACTTTCCTATAACTGCTCACCTTGGCAGTCTCTGTCACCTGTCAGGAACCTGGCTGCTACCTCATCCCTATGGCAACCCAGTAACCACATGTCAGCCTTTGTGAGCCTGACTACTCCAGCCGCCTCTATAAATCTCGACCCCGCTTAACCCTTCCCTCCCTTCAGAGAGCCACACTCCTGAGGGCGACCCACTACTTGCTCCAAAACATGCTTCTGGCTTCTGATTTCTTCCAGTCCCCTGAAACCTCAACCCCGCAGCCCCACCTATTGATCTGCTTTCCTCTCTTGTTGCTCCCTCACCTCACTCAACACCTGGTCCACAGTGTGGACACCTTCAGAGGACACGGTCCAGGGATCTCGTTCCCCAGCCAGCAGGGCATCCAGCGTGCCCTTCTCGAGCACCACATCAAAAGAAGCACTGGGGAAGTCCAGCTTCCGCACATCCATGGTCTCCCAGCGCAGCTGCGGCACATGGGCATGGCGAGCCTGCATGGCAGCCACCACGACTGATGAGTAGTCCACACTGGTCACATTAGGGAAGCCTCCGAGGAACAGCTCGTAGCTCAGGGCACTGTTCCCGCAACCTGGGGTGGGAGGGAATGGGTAGCAAAAGAGCTACGTTAGTTTTGGTTCTCACCTCCCCCTGAATATCCATCCACTCTTGGCCCCGTTTTCTCTCAATCCAAACCCTCTAGTACTGAGAGGAGGTGGCAGAGTGCAGAAAAAGCACAAGCCTTGGAATCGCACAGGCCTGGGTGCAAACCCTGGCTCTATCACTCCTAGCTGTGTGGGCTGGGACAAGTTGTTTAAATACTAGAAACATGGATTTTTTTTTTTTTTTTTTTTTGAGATGAATTCTCACTCGGTCGCCCAGGCTGGAGTACAGTGGTGTAATCTCGGCTCACTGCAACCTCCGCCTCCCGGCTTTAAGTGATTCTCCTGCCTCAGCCTTCTGAGGAGCTGGGATTACAGGCGCGTGCCACCACGCCTGGCTAAAACTTGGATTTCCTATTCAGAAAAATGAAGATAATAATACGTAGGCCATATACAGGATATGATGCATTAAACTTAAGAACTAAGAGCTAGGGGCCAGGCACGGTGGTTCACGCCTGTAATCCCAGCACTTTGGGAGGCCGAGGAGGGCGGGTCACCTGAGGTCAGGAGTTCAAGACCAGCCTGACCAACATGGAGAAACCCCATCTCTACTAAAAATACAAAATTAGCCAGGCGTGGTGGCACATGCCTGTAATCCCAGCTACTTGGGAGGCTGAGGCAGGAGAATTGCTTGAACCCGGGAGGCGGAGATTGCGGTGAGCCAAGATTGTGCCATTGCACTCTAGCCTGGGTGACAAGAGCGAAACTCCGTCTCAAAAAAAGAAAAAAAAAAAAAGAATTAAGAACTGTAGAGTAGCTGAAGGAGCTCTAAAGTTAGGAGTTCAGAGATTTGGGTCTGATATTCCTAGTCACACAGCCACGGCAAATCATTCAACTCTTTGAGCCTCAGTTTCCTCAAATTCAAAATGGGGATAATACTGGTATCATTAGGACCATAATATTATCAGTAGCATAATAATGATATAAATTAGTATTATCCTAATCCCCAACCTCTTAGAAAACCTTAGAAGATATCAACCCTGGGAAGGCCTCATGTTAGGGGTTATTCTACTTTGTTTTCCAAAACAGAATTAACAAGTGAAGGGGAAACTAGGTGGGGACACACAGTGGAGCTGACTAATTCCTTGCAATTCTTTTTTTCTTTTCTTTTCTTTTTTTTTTTTTTTTTTGAGATGGAGTTTCACTCTTGTTGCCCAGGCTGGAGTGCAGAGGCACGATCTCGGCTCACTGCAACCTCTGCCTGCTGGGTTCAAACAATTCTCCTGCCTCAACCTCAAGTAGCTGGGACTACAGGCACGCACCACCATGCCCAGCTAATTTTGTATTTTAATAGAGACGGGGTTTCATCATGTTGGTCAGGCTGGTCCTGACCTCAGGTGATCCACCTGCCTTGGCCTCCCAAAGTGCTGGAATTATAGGCATGAGCCACCACACCTGGCCGCAATTCTTAACGTATGTATTGAGCACTACATATTAGGCTCTGCCCATGAATAAAAGTCCCTGCCCTCAAGGAGCTCATGCTCCAGTAGGAACAAATGTGTCATCAGACAGTTGCTGCAAAACATGATGAGTGTTTCAATAGAGACAGGCTGTGAGAGCACACAGGAAGGTCTGGACCTCACCTCAGGTGAGTCAGCCAAGAGTTTCCGGGGAGCTGACAACCAAGCAAAGTCTTGAAGAACAGAGTCTTGACAACTTCCCAACACTCTGGTAGGAAGTGCCTGGAAAGCAGTCCCAAAGGGGGTAGGGTCAGGATGGAGAAGGGATAGAGGTGAGAGGAGTGGATGTGGATCTATAGTCCAATGGGCATGACTTCCTTAGAAGATCCAGTGGCCTCTTCCAGGCCCTCCTATGGCCAGTCCCAGCTTGACAATGGAGCTGGGTGACAGCTCTTGATAGCCCCACTGGGGATCTTCAGCTCTTGGGATTAGATTTCCTTTAATCCCCACTTGCCTCCCTAAGAGGATCATGGGATCAGCAGTTGGGATAGCCCTAATCTATCAGGGTTTGGCACCTGGACAATGTACCCAGAGGCAGCTGGCTGCTTGCTCCCCAGCTGCCCCTTCCCATGTTCCTCTTCAAGCCCTGGGGCTCAAGGAAAACTATCTTGCCTAGGAAAACCCAACATGTGCTACCCAAAGTTGAAGCCACAAAAAGCCATGATAGATACAGCACATGGGATGGGGGTAAGGGTGGCAGAACCTGACTTAGTTCCAGGTTGAAATCCCACTGGGTTTGCTGACCCACAATCCCTTCATTACCCCCACACCTGACCTCATATACCTGTAGAGCTCTGCCAAACTGTGGACAAATCCAGATTTCCTTCCTTTGTTCTCCTTAGTACAGGATGGCATCTTCCAAGATAACTTTACCAAAGGTGAAGGGGAAACAAAAGCTGGTCACTGGGGCAGTCATTTTTACAAGCAGTGACTTTTGATTCTGTTGACTCAGAGATTTGGGGCCAGCAACTAAGAAGGGGCTTGGGAAAGCCACTGCCTTCCAAAGTGGAGCCTGAGGGAAGTAGAGCCTTGGAGAATTGATCCATATCCAAGAATACATCACATGAGGGCCTAGAGCTGAGTGGATCCTAACTCAACACCAAGAGATTGAAATATAAGCCAGAATGCCAATTTACTAATTTATAACAAGAAAAATAGCCATCATGGGAACAGGAGTTGAATCCTCTGGCCAGTCCCTTTTCTCTTTATAGGAAATCTAAATTGGAAGTCAAATTGATTCCAAATTAAGTTTTTTTTTTTTTGAGACGGAGTCTTGATCTCCGCTCATTGCAAGCTCCGCCTCCCAGGTTCACGCCATTCTCCTGCCTCAGCCTCCCGAGTAGCTGGGACTACAGGCGCCCGCCACCACGCCCGGCTAATTTCTTTTTTTTTTTTTTTTTTTAGTAGAGACGGGGTTTCACCGTGTTAGCCAGGATGGTCTCGATCTCCTGACCTTGTGATCTGCCCGCCTCCGCCTCTCGAAGTGCTGGGATTACAGGCATGAGCCACCGCACCCGGCTGCTTCCAAATTAATTTTTGATTATGATCAAAAGATTCCAAAGAATCGCTTAAGCATAGGAGTTCAAGAGGCTGCAGTGGGCCAAGATCACACCACTGCACTCCAGCCTGGGGACAGAGCAATACCCTGTCTCTAAAAAAACAAGAAGATTCCTACAGAGCATGAAGTCAAGCAAGCATAACAAATTGGAGAAGCTCAATAACAGCAAAGTGGGGCCAGCCATCCATATACATTCATTTGCTATGAGGATGTCTCAGCCATAGGGACCAGACACACGAGTCTTCCAACAGGGTACTCTGTTCTCTGAACAGTCCTGGATAAACTGCCTCTCTGATTCCCATTTTCAATAAAAATAATAATAGCTAACAGTCATTGAACACCAAGTACTATGTTAAGCATTTATAAGAATTATTTCAGTTTACTTTCATGTTAGAGCCATATAAAGGATACTATTGGCTGGGCACAGTGGCTCATGTCTGTAATCCCAGCACTTCGGGAGGCCGAGGCGGGCAGATCACTTGAGGTCAGGAATTGGAGACCAGCCTGGCCAACATGGTGAAACCCCGTCTCTACTAAAAATACAAAAATTAGCCAGGTGTGGTGGTGGGCGCCTGTAATCCCAGCTACTCGGAAGGCTGAGGCAGGAGAATCGCTTGAACCCAGGAGGTGGAGTTTGCAGTGAGCTGAGATTGCACCACTGCACTCCAGCCTGGACAACAGAACGAGATTCCATGTAAAAAAAAAAAAAAAAAAGACACTATTATTACTATTCCCATTTTCTACATGGGAAAATTGAGGAAAGTGGTAAGAAACTTTCTCAAGGTCACATAGTCAGTGGAAGAGCCAGAATTTGGACCCAGGCCTCTATCGCTCCAGAGCCAGAGCTCTTAAACCACTGTGTTCAACTGCCTCCCAGTTTTCAAGAGGCCCACTCACCTTCAGTCGTGACATTCCATTGTTAGCTATATCCATATGACCATTAGGCTATAATTCACAATGTAGTCATTTTACCAGTTTTAAGAGTTCCAGATGCCTCCCTACTCCCATCTGTGTGGTGTCACAAAGCACCCTTACTTTACCACTTCCTTGCTGCATGACAGTAGTGGACACTGTCAGTGTTCTGACCAGATGCCCTGGGAGTCTTTTTACCGATTTTTATTTTTATATCCCTGGGTTTTGGTGTGTGTTTGCTTCTAATGGTGTACATCTGTGACTCTTCAGGCTGAAACTACCTTCAGGGAAACTTTGCTTCTTCCCTTTCTCTGTTCCCTCTAGCTCTTACCAATTCTCCTGGGAGCACATTCTTGACAAGTAACTTGGACATGAATCCTCATCTCAGGATTTGCTTCTGGGGAACTCAATCTAAGACAATGAGTGCAGGGGTTGCCAAATGCAGCTTGCCACCTATTTTGTTAGATAAAGTTATATTGAAACATGGCTATTCTCATTCACTTTTTTTTTTTTTTTTTTTTTTTTTGAGATGGAGTTTCACCCTGTCACCCAGGCTGGAGTGCAGTGGTGAAATCTTGGCTCACTGCAACCTCCGCCTCCCTGGTTCAAGCAATTAATTCTCTTGCCTCAGCCTCTGGAGTAGCTGGGATTACAGGTGCCTGCCACCACACCTGGCTGATTTTTATGTTTTTAGTAGAGACGGGGTTTCACCATGCTGGCCAGGCTGCTCTCGAACTCCTGACCTCAGGTGACCCGCCCGCCTCGGCCTCCCAAAGTGGTGGGATTACAGGCGTGAGCCACCCTGCCCGGCCATCATTCACTTTTGTATTGTCTGTAGCTGCTTTTCCACTACAATAGCGGAACCAAGTCATTGTAAAAGAGACTGTGTAGCCTGCAAAGCCTAAAAAATTTACTTGTTTGGCCATTTTCAAACAAAGTTTACAGACCCCTAACCTGGAGTAAGTCTCTTAGTACTTTTGACTTGTCTTCAGGGGTTGTCATAAGGATTAAGTAAGTTAGAAAGGGCCCAGCACATTCTCTGGCTCTTATCAGGCACTCAACTTAAGTCTGTTGAGGTGGAATGTAACGTAGAGTATTTCCCAAGTTGTGGGTCCTGTTCTTACATCTTGGGGATTCTAGAAATTCCCCTTTTGATTTTTAGACTTCTTGCCCCTCCTATCCAGAAAAGGATAGTTCCCAGTTAAGCAGATTTTTTTTAAAGCATCAGTTTGGTGAAAAACCAGTCAAGCAGATTTTAAGGCAGTGTTACTCTGCCAATCACCAGCATAAGAATCTGCTGTGAAGCTTGTTGAACATACAGATTCCTGAGACCCACATTAGACCATCCCTGGAATTAGAATCTCACAGTGCAGTCTAGTTCCCCAGGTAATTTTGATACACACTAAAGCTTGAGAAAACAGATCTAAGGTAAATCTATAAATAAGTGCAATGGTTTAAAATCACAGATTCAAGAAAGTGTTTACTTGTGGGGAGAAGGGGTTTTAGGAGGACCACACAGAGAACCTTGAATATACTTTTCATTTTGCCAGGCATTGTTCTAGGTATCCTTCATGCTCATTTAATCAACTTAAAGCCCAATTAATAAATATGCTTATGTTTTTAAGGTTGAGAAAATGGAAGCACAGAAATTCAAGTATTTTGTCCAGGATTACACAGCCAGTATAAGCCGAGCCAAGATTCCAACATAATTCACTGCCTCTGGAGTCCAAGGTGGTTTTTTGTTTGTTTGTTTTTTGTTTTGCTTTGTTTTGAGACAGGGTCTCATTCTGTCGCCTAGGCTGGAGCCCATTGGAGCCATCACAGCTCACTGCAGCCTGGATCTCCTGGCTCAAACGATCCTCCTGCCTCAGCCTCTTGAGTAACTCGGACTATGGGCACAGGCCACCATGCCCAGCTAAGTTTTAATTTTTTTTTTTTTTGAGACAGGGTCTTACTCTGTCACCCAGGCTGGAGTGGAGTGGTGCAATCTCAGCTCACTGCAACCTCCACCTCCTGGGCTCAAGTGATTCTCCTGCCTCAGCCTCCCAAGTACCTGGGATTACAGGCACGTGCCACCACACCTGGCTGATTTTTGTATTTTTAGTAGAGACGGGGTTTCACCATGTTGGCCAGGCTTGTCTTGAACTCCTGACCTCAAATGATCCACCCGCCTTGGTCTCCCAAAGTGTTGTGATTACAAGCATAAGCCACTGCTCTGGCCTAAATTTTTTGTAGAGATGGGATCTCACTATGTTGCCCAGGCTGGTCTTGAGCTCCTGCGATCAAGTGATCCTTCCACCTTGGCCTCCCAAAGTGCTGGGATTATGAGCATGAATCATGAGGCCAGCCCAGAGTCCAAGTTCTTTTCTTTTTTTTTTTTTTTTTTTGAGACAGAGTTTTGCTCTTCTTGCACAGGCTGGAGTGCAATGGCATGATCTTGGCTCACCACAACCTCCGCCTCCCTGGTTCAAGCGATTTTCCTGCCTCAGCCTCCCAAGTAGTTGGGATTATAGGCATGCGCCACCACACCCGACTAATTTTTTGTATTTTTAGTAGAGATGGGGTTTCTCCATGTTGGTCAGGCTGATCTCGAACTCCCGACCTCAGGTGATCCGCCCGCCTTGGCCTCCCAAAGTGCTGGGATTAATGGCGTGAGCCACCGCGCCCAGCCAAGTTATTAACCACTAAATTATACTTTTTTTTCTATCCCTAGTAATGTTCTATTTCTCAAACTGAGTGGAATAGACACACACATTAGATTTGTTATTTATACCTTACATATATATTACATATACCTTTTTTATTTATTAAAGACTTCACTTAAACATACAAAGGCTTTTACAAAGAGCAAAGTAAAAACGACAATTGGAAGAAAATCTGTTGCTCATTCAAACTTTACTAGCGCCTCCAAGGCTGACACTAGGAGAGAACCTCAAGAGGTCAGCCGAACACCCCAGAGCCCTACCTTTCCTCCAGCACGTCTCCCTTTGGGGAATCGTATCACCCTGGGCGGCAATCTCCCCTCCACCCCTAGAGGGTGCTGTTCTCACTCTCTAAGGCATAGGACCAAGTTTCAGACAGGACTCTCTCTAGGTGACTCTGGCTCCCAGTGCCCAGGGGCAAAAAGAAAAGCGCTGGGCATTATTCTCGAGGTGCCTGCGCGTGCCGCCTCCGATGTGAACTCGCAGTACCATTTCTAGAACTGAATCTAAAGCTCAGAACGGGTTCATGACTTGTCCTAAGTTTTACAAGTCAATTAGCGCTAGGACTTGATCTCGGTCCTCTGAGCAATCCGGTCCCCAAGGCTGCCTGCCTCCCGAGGGTCCGGACAGGGTCTTGGGTACCCCCAACGCTCAAACTCTGAGGGACTGTCTTTCTCCAGAGGGCCCCGGGACCAACAATCTCTTACTCCTGTTAGCCTTGACTAAATACAGCCGGGACTCTGAAGGAGCTGGATCTCGCGTCCCAACGCAGGCGTCCTCCAAGAGGGATAGACAGGCGGGAGGAAAGCGGACCAGGCCAAGCCCATGCGGCGCCGGTCCTGCCAGCTCTACCTGGCGGGGCCGCGCCGGGATTACCCACCTAGCACAAGGATACGGTCCTCGGGCCGCAGCTCCGGCTCTAGGAGGGCACGGAAGGAGGAGAAGTCCCCGAACCAATCGTAGGGGGCAGAATCGGCTGCGCCTTGGTAGCGCTGATCCCAGTACTCGACTTCGCGGTACCCGCAGTTCCGCTCCGGTAACTCCGGAGGCGCCCTACCTGCCCCTGGAGAGGCCATGCTCTCAACCGCCGGGCAGCCAGAGCCGCCGGCCCTTCAGCCAATACGGAAGGCAGGATGCAGAAGGCGGGGCGCTGGTGTCTCCGCCCACCACCTGCAGTTGCTCAACACAAACACGTGGAACTTCCGTCCTTTACTAAGCGCTCTTCGAAGAATCCTCCGGCTGGGAAAACTATCGTCCAGACCCTGAATCCTCCGGCTGTACTGCCAAGTCATTTCCTAGGGCCGCACTCAAGGTGTCAGACTCACGTGGGCTCATCACTGCGTCCTCTCATATTTTCAATATGAATGACTTTTATCAGGAAATCTGAAAATTAGTGAAAGGTTCATTTTTCTCAGCATCCGGAAGGCTCGAAGGGCAGGCAGGAGGGGCGCGAACAGGGGCTTTGCCCTCCTGGAGAGACAGCATGAACACAGATGTTCCCAGCGCAGGCGAAGGAGAATGCTGGCTTCAGCGGTTGTGGGGGAGGTAGGCAGGAATGTTGCTTTTCTGGACATTCGTTCTAAATTAGCGCCTGTGTACCCAGGGCTGGGTATAAACTGAGGAGTAAGACATTGTCCCTGCTCCTATGGAGCGTGGAGTGCATCAGAGGAGACAAATGCAGAAAAATTACATTTTAGTGGAGTAAATGAAGACTGGCTACTCGGATCGGCGCTTAGCCTGGTGGGACGCCAGGCACGGGAAGCGGAACCTAAGTGTCGAAGGTTCGGGTTTCCGGGGGTGGTGGGCCCACACAAGCGGCGCACCGTTAAGATGGCGGCTGGGCTGCGGAAACGCGGCCGGTCCGGTTCCGCGGCCCAGGCAGAGGGACTCTGCAAGCAATGGCTGCAGCGCGCCTGGCAAGAGCGGCGCCTGCTGCTGCGGGAGCCGCGCTACACGCTGCTGGTGGCCGCCTGCCTCTGCCTGGCGGAGGTGGGCATCACCTTCTGGGTCATTCACAGGGTGGCATGTGAGTGCGCCGAGGGGGAGGGGAGGGGAGGGAGGGAGACCTGAACCCGCGACCCAAACTGGATCTCAGACCTGGAACTCCAAACCAGACTCTGTATCCACTCACTCGTCAATTGCGAACCCATCCATATCCCTTACCTGAGCGCCAAGCCTGCTCTACAGAAAACCGGATCTTAATCTGCCCGCATGGCAGAGGTGGATACCCTAGAGATTGGCCTTCTGCACTGAACTTACAGCCTGCAAACCAGCTTAGAAGTCAGATTTGAGCCAAAATTGTTGTACTGCTGCTGCTGCTGCTTTTCTCTGTGGCTTTGGACACCTCAGGTCTCCTCCTGGATCTCAGCTTTTTCCATGTGTTCAGTTCTGTGATCTTTGAACGTCCCTTCTCAATGATGGCATCTTGTGACCACTTGAGTCCATTAGGCATTATTGGCTACTCCTTTCCAGGCTGAAACTATACTCTAGGCTTAAGGCACTTGGCTTTCTTGCTAAAGACTCTTAATTCAACAAATATTTATTTAGTGCTTATTATATGCCTAGCATTATGCTGGTTACCAGAGAGAGGTACAGTGGTGAATAAGAGATGCATTTCTGCCGGGCGCGGTGGCTCACGCCTGTAATCCCAGCACTTTGGGAGGCCGAGGCGGGCGGATCACGAGGTCAGGAGATCGAGGCCATCCTGGCTAACACGGTGAAACCCCGTCTCTACTGAAAAAAAAAAAAAAAAAAGAATTTAGCCGGGCATGGTGGCGGGCGCCTGTAGTCCCAGCTACTCGGGAGGCTGAGGCAGGAGAATGGCGTGAACCCGGGAGGCAGAGCTTTCAGTGAGCCGAGATCACGCCACTGCACTCCAGCCTGGGCGACAGAGCAAGACTCCGTCTCAAAAAAAAAAAAAGAAAAAGGATGCATTTCTAACTCGGGCCTGGACAGTAAGTTAGCAGGCAATTATAATGCATCATAATCATGGTAGTAGTAACACAGGATACCATAAAGGGCATAGGAAGTCACTTAAACCAGGTTGGAGGAGTCAGCAAAGGCTTCATAGAGCCACCCTTGGAAGGTAGGAATTAGCTATTTAAGGAAAGAAGAAAAAGGTGAGGGGAAGGAGTGCTGTGGACAGAGGATCCTCTATTAAAAATCTCCAGCTAGGCTGGGCGCAGCGGCACACGCCTGTAATCCCAGCACTTTGGTAGGCCTAGGCGGGTGGATCTCCTGAGGTCAGGAATTTGAGACCAGCCTGGCCAACATGATGAAATCCTGTCTCTACTAAAAATACAAAAATTAGCTGGGCGTGGTGGCATATGCCTGTAATCCCAGCTACTCGGGAGGTTGAGACAGGAGAATTGCTTGAACCCGGGAGGTGGAGGTTGCAGTGAGCCGAGATTGCGCCACTGTACTCCAGCCTGGGTGACAGAGCAAGCTCCGTGTCAAAAAAAAAAAAAATTCAGTTAGACTGGGCACGGTGGCTCATGCCTGTAATCCCAGCACTTTGGGAGGCTGAGGTGGGCGGATCACTTGGGGGCAGGAGTTAAAGACCAGCCTGGCTGGGCACGGTGGCTTATGCCTGTAATTCTAGCACTTTGGGAGCCCGAGGCGGGCAGATCACCTGAGGTCAGGAGTTCAACACCAGCCTGGCCAATATGTTGACACCCTGTCTCTACTAAAATAGAAAAATTAGCTGGGCATGATGGCAAGTGCCTGTAATCCCAGCTACTTGGGAGGCTGAGATGGGAAAATGGCTCGAACCGGGGAGATGGTGGTTGCAGTGAGCTGAGATCGCACCACTGCACTCCAGCCTGGGTGGCTGAGCGAGACCCTGTCTCAAAAGAAAAACAAACAAACAAACCAGCCTGGCCAACACGGTGAAACCCCATCTCTACTAAAAATACAAAACTTAAAAAATTAGCCAAGCATGGTGGCACACACCTGTAGTCCCAGCTACTCGGGAGACTGAGGCAGGAGAATCACTTGAACCCGGGAGGCGGAGGTTGCAGTGAGCTGAGATCGTACCACTGCACTCCAGTCTGGGTGACAGAGTGAGACTCTGTCAAAAAAAAAAAAAAAAGAAGACAGCCTGGTTCCTTTGAGGAACTGAAATGATTTTTTTAGAGCTAGAGTGTAGAAATCAAGTGAAGGGAGTAGTAAGAGATGGGAATGCAGAAACTGAGGCCAGATCATGAAGGAATTTGAAAGCTTTGTTAAGAAGATAGCATGATAATTAAGAACTTGGGACCCTGCAAGCTTCAATCCCAACTCCACCATCCTAGCTCAATTATCTTAAGCCAGTCACTTAACCTAATTAATTCTTAGGCTCCCCTTCAAAAAATGGGAATAATACAGAGTTTTCTTTATCTTAAGGGTCTTGGGGAATCATTGAGAGGTTTTAAGCAGAGGCCTGTTATGATTTGTATTTTAGGAGGAGCTCTTTGGTGTACGAGGTGGAAAATATATTGTAGCAGGGTGAAAGTAGAAGTCAGGAGCCTAATTAGCAGGCTATTGTATACTCATTGGGGCTAGAGATTACTTTAGGCTCAAATTTGAGTATGTAGTAGCAGAGAAGGATGAGATAGAGATATTTACGGTGAGGAACAGGCAGAACTTGTTGACGAAGGGTTGCAAATGAGAGAGGAGGGAGTATCAAAGATGTTACTCAGGTTCGTGACCTGGTAGCTAAGAGGTCGGTGGTGCCATTTGCGGAACCCAGGAAAAGGAGTAGATTGGAATGGGAAGAAAGATCACAAATTCACTTATAGAAATGTTGAGTTTGAGATGCCTGGGCTCACCCAGAGAATGTCAGATAAAGAGTTAGATTAAGAGGTAGTAAAGCCCTGGGAATTGGCTGAAAGTCTGTGTTTTGATGGTCTGGAGGCATGGGGAGGGTGGCAGACAAGTTCTAGACTCAGAAGTAACCAGATCATCTTGTCTTCTTCCAGACACAGAGATTGACTGGAAGGCCTACATGGCCGAGGTAGAAGGCGTCATCAATGGTACCTATGACTATACCCAACTGCAGGGTGACACCGGACCACTTGTGTGAGTGGGGACAGGAAGTTCAGGGAGGATGTGAGGGGCTGGTTAGGTACTAGTCTGTGTGACCTGACCCAGGCTCACATTTTCTCTCATCTTCCAGGTACCCAGCTGGTTTCGTGTACATCTTTATGGGGTTGTACTATGCCACCAGCCGAGGCACTGACATCCGCATGGCCCAGAACATCTTTGCTGTGCTCTACCTGGCTACCTTGCTGCTTGTCTTCTTGATCTATCACCAGACCTGCAAGGTGAGTCCATGCTACCAGGGCTAGAGGGCCCCAGCCTGGGAGGGCTGGGTGGTGGGGATGGCTCAGGCTTGCTGAGCTGACCTTGTACCTTACTGTGTTTTCCCTTTAGGTACCTCCCTTCGTCTTTTTCTTCATGTGCTGCGCCTCTTACCGTGTCCACTCCATCTTTGTGCTGCGGCTCTTCAATGACCCAGTGGCCATGGTGCTGCTCTTCCTCAGTATCAACCTCCTGCTGGCCCAGCGCTGGGGCTGGGGTTGCTGCTTTTTCAGGTCAACACCTCTTCCTTTCTGGTCCCCTCTCGTTTTCTGCATTTCCATCTCTTCCCAATTTCCTGCAGCAGAGGGAGTAAAGGAGTAGCCAAGACAGCATGGGTCACTCAGGGCTCCACAAAGCGAGTCCAGGATCTATAGAAAGTTTCTGCCCTGCCATCCCCCAACATACACACATGCCCTCTTTCCATCCTGTCTTCCTCCCAGACAGCATTCCTTGTTGGAATTAGTCCTTCACATTCTAAATACTCAGTATATGCTCATTCGCATCTAGTAGGCATAGAGACTATGTATCTGCCTCCTGCCTACTCCAGGCTCTTCCCTCCAACAGTTGTGAGTGTAGGTCCCATCTTGGAGTTTGTTGGCGTGGCGGCGGGGGGGAGGTTGCTGTGGTGATGGTGGGGGGTATGTCTTTGGGTGTTGTGTGCATGGCCCTGGAGCTGATCTCCACCCTTCCTCTCCCCTGCTCACCCCAGCCTGGCAGTCTCTGTGAAGATGAATGTGCTGCTCTTCGCCCCTGGGTTACTGTTTCTTCTCCTCACACAGTTTGGCTTCCGTGGGGCCCTCCCCAAGCTGGGAATCTGTGCTGGCCTTCAGGTACCCCCATCTCACCCTTCCTCTTTCTAATCAAGGAGAAGCCACTTGTCTTGATTGAGGGGCTCTATCCCTGAGACTCCCTCAAAGCCAAGAGACAGGGTTTTGGAGTTGATTCTGAGCTAGGGAGCCACTATCGCTAGGCTGTAGTTTCCATAGCTGTAAAATAGGGTATTAAATTTGATGGTCTCTGAGAGCCTTTTTGCTTTTTTTAATTTTAAGTTTTGAGATGGGCTCTTGCTGGGTTGCCCAGGCTGGTCTCAAACTCCTGGGCTCAAGCAATCCTCCTGCCTTGGCCTCCCAAAGCGCTAGGATTTTGGGCATGAGCCACCCTGCCTGGCTTCTGAGAGCCTTCCTTGCTCTGCCCAGTTATGACTTGGTGAATCCACACCTTAAAGCATTGTTATGACCTGCCTCCTGAGCTTCTTTGGCCCCAGGCACTGGCCTGGGCCGGGGGGTGGGGAACGTGGTTTTCCTGCTATTTCTAGTGGGAATTGGGGAACCTCTGAGGCCTACATCCCCGTCCCACACCCCTCAATGAGTAGCATGAAGGCTGGTCATTGGGAATGAGCCTTGGCAGCTCTGCTGACATCACACCAATCCTCAGGTGGTGCTGGGGCTGCCCTTCCTGCTGGAGAACCCCAGCGGCTACCTGTCCCGCTCCTTTGACCTTGGCCGCCAGTTTCTGTTCCACTGGACAGTGAACTGGCGCTTCCTCCCAGAGGCGCTCTTCCTGCATCGAGCCTTCCACCTGGCCCTGTTGACTGCCCACCTCACCCTGCTCCTGCTGTTTGCCCTCTGCAGGTGGCACAGGTGAGAAAAGGCAGTAGTGCCATGGGCAGAGTTGGGGGAAGGAGTGAAGGGCCTAAGCCTTAGGGGCTGCTTGGGGGAAGTGTCAGTTAAGCTCATGGGGTGAGTCTAGAGTTTGACTCACAAAAGGGGCTTGATAACTGTCTGAATGGCTTTTCTCCAGGACAGGGGAAAGTATCTTGTCGCTGCTGAGGGATCCCTCCAAAAGGAAGGTTCCACCCCAGCCCCTTACACCCAACCATATCCTTTAAATTGTGGGAAGGTAAGTCTTGCCCTCTCTAGGTGCTGACAGAGTCCTGGTCAGGTATCCCTTGACAGCTGGTGACCTGGGCGAGGAAAGGGGACCCCAATCATAGAAGTCCTATTCTGCACCACTGTGCTGAGCACTTCACATATTGAAGGATATTTGATTCTTAATTCTAAATACGAGCTACTCTTATGAGTACTTCTCCCTGGTACTATCATAAGAGATTTACATATGTTCTAATATTGAAAGCTCACAAGAGACCCCGAGACAGGGAGGTACACTTACATTTACTATTCTCATTTTACAGATGGAAAAATTAAGACTTCATGAGGTTAAGTAACTTACCAAGGTCACACAGCCAGTAAGTTAGGGGTTCAAACCCACAAGACCTTATGGCCCTAGGTATTACTCTCTCCATATTCCATATTTGGTTGAGGAGCAGGTCCAGAGAGGTTAATAAACTTGCCCAAAGGCATGCATCAAGGAATGGCAGAGCCAGAGGGCTATGTGACCTAAAAACTATTGCCCCTCTGTTTTGGGATAGTCCCCCCCACACACACTCCTGCCCTTGGCCTTGACCACCGCATACAGATCGTTTCTACCCTCTTCACCTCCAACTTCATTGGCATCTGCTTCAGCCGCTCCCTCCACTACCAGTTCTACGTCTGGTATTTCCACACACTGCCCTACCTCCTGTGGGCCATGCCTGCACGCTGGCTCACACACCTGCTCAGGTACCAGCTGGGACAACCTGGGGGAGTGGGAAGGGATAGGGAGTTCCTGTTGGGGGTTTATGTCTAGGGCATGAGGAGCTGCAGGTCTGCAGGCCTTGCAACTGGATGAAACGTGGAACCTGTTTCTCATCTCCAGGTTGTTGGTGCTGGGGCTCATCGAGCTCTCCTGGAACACATACCCTTCCACATCCTGCAGCTCTGCTGCCCTGCACATATGCCATGCCGTCATCCTGCTGCAGCTCTGGCTGGGCCCGCAGCCTTTCCCCAAGAGCACCCAACACAGCAAGAAAGCCCACTGAAGTCCACCCCTTTCCCTCAGGACCTGAGTCTACCCTCAGGACCTGGGGTTGGTTGGACTCTGCCCTTCCAAATAAACCTTGCTAAGTCCAACTCTGTGCAACCTACATGGAGGTGGGGGCAGCCGATGCCTGGTCCAGGCTGTGAGGGACACGTATGGAGCAGATAAAGAATTCACTCAAGCAGTCCTAAGAGGCACTTTATTGCATAGGATTTGGGGACTGTGGCTCTCTACCCTTCCACTGTGTTGCAGGGAGCTCAGAGGATGGAGGGGAGTGTGAGTGGGGTGGGAGGAGAGGGAGAGAGCACAGGCAGGCACTTTTTGTGGGGGCAAGAGGGCTCTAGGGAGGGAGTAAGAAGCAGTGGGGGACAGGCTGGCACCAGCCTACACTTTCCCAGCACCAAGAGGCCAGCCCTGGGCGGCAGTGACTTGAGTGTGTTGGGTGGGGCGCCAGCCCAAGCAGCAGGGGGCAGCCTTCACACGTTCGCTGGGCTGTAGCACAGCAGGTGTAGCTGCAGGTTTTGGTCCCAGTGGCGCAGTAGCAGGAAGAGCCCTCGGGCTGCGGCCTTGAGGGCGGCCAGGTCAAGGCCGTCAGGCAAGTGCTGGGCCCGCAGCCAGCAATCAGCCTTGGCCGCTGTCAGTTCCCACTCGTCGAAGGCAGCGGCGCATCGGTGCTCCAGCCAGGCGAGTGCTACGGCAGTGGCCCAGGTCCGGCCCCGCAGGTCGGTGCCGCCCAGCCCTTCCGCCCCCTCGGAGGCCTCGGTGTCTGAGCCCCGCCCACTGTCCACCTGGCCTGGCCCCTCAGAGCCCGAGCTGGGGGACGGGCTGCAGGAGGCCGTGGCACTGTCACCCTGGCCAACACCAGGGCCCAGAAGTGCCCAGGGCAATGAGGCCGAGGTGGGGCTGAGGCTGGCGCGGTGCACGGCAAAGGGCGAGGCACGGCAGAGGCGCTCCTGCGAGATGCGCACAGCGGCGCAGAAGGGCGCGTCCAGGCGGAAGGAGCCTGGTGCCTCCTGCAGCCGCACCTGAGGAGAGAGGAGGTGGGGGGAGAAGCGAGCTGAAACAGCGCCCGGCCCCGGCGGCACCACCCTCCACCTCCCGAGTCCTCACCAAGGGCAGGTAGTCATGGTCGCTGCCTTCACTGTTGTTGGCCTGGCCCGGGTCAGGGCTACAGAGTTTGTGACGGCGGCCCATGCTGAGCCGACAGGGAGGACGGGGAGGTGGGCGGCGAGGACCTTCCGTGGGAGTGGCAGGGTCCCCCAAAGCACGCTTGGAGTTGCCATTTTGGTCCGAGTCCCAGGCGCCTGCTGGAGAGCCTCTCTGAAGTCCTGCAGTGGGGATCATCAGTGCCAGGGGGCGGTCTCTAAGCCCAAGTGCCCCTACCCTTTCCCTACCTTTGGGTGTTACCTTTAGAGTAGACAACAGTGGGCAGAGGAGCTGCATCTAGATGGCTGTGAGAGGCAGGAGGGGTTCCTGGGGGCTCAGCGGGCTCTGCAGGGGCACATGGGACAGGAGTCAGGTTTGTCCAGGAGAGTGGCCAGTGAGGTGAGAGCTGCACCTGAGAGGTCACCAGAAGAGGCCCCTACCTGAGCTGCACACCTGCAGGGCCCCAGGCAGGACCTCCCTAGTAGTAGCATCCACAGCTACAGGGCAAGTGAAGCAGGAGGGGGCAGAGCTGACCTTACTTGTCTGAAGGGCTCGAAGCCAGCACCTCCGGGCATGGCCTGTGGAACCAAGGAGCAGTCTGTGGAGCCCCCACCACCCACCCTCTACAGAGGGCTCATAGAAAAAATTGCAGTGTTCTCCCCAGCTTCTCCCTCTATCGACTTTAACAGAGTAGATTGCCTTGCTAGGCCCAGAACCAGCTCAGACTCCCCAACTTTGACAAGAAGTGATCAGGCTGAATCTTCAACCCATAGCAGAGCAAGAGCCCCCTGGCTGCCCAGAAATTCAGCACTCTGGACAACACCCAGAGGAAGCATTAGCTGGCACATTTTCCTCCACCTGCTTCTGCACTAATAAAACTTGGAAATGTTCTCTCTCTTCATGATCCAATGTGGTAGCCACTAGTCACATTTGACTATTGAGTACTTCAGCTGTGGTTAGTGCAACTGAGGAAATGAACTTTAAGTATTTTCCTAAATGACAAAGATTTGTTTTTACGTTGTGGGTGCTGTGAATCATGACAGGATCACGTTGCCCTCTGTGCTGGCTGCTAGGAAGCTTGTCAGTTCTGGATCTGATCCTTGCAAGAGTATATAACCTCACAGCATGCACCTTTAATATAACCTCATTCTCAGTTTCCTTTTATTTTTACTTTTTCCCATTGTCCCGCTTAATTTTTTATCTTGTCTGTGATGAGCCTCAAATCCTTTGTGATCAAAGCGAGGTATAGAGAGTGATCAAACACACAGACCTCTACCTTTGCTGTTTTTAGCCCATGCCTTTGGGTCCTGACTGGACCCATGAGCAACTCACCCCGGTCAGCTGTGGTCTCTGCCCCTCCTCGGAGGGCCAGCTGCTCATTGTCCCGGACCACAGAGGCTGCTGTCAGCCGATGGAGTGCTTGGTCCCAAGCAGCTTCTCTTACAGGAGGTGAGGGAGGCTGTGAGCCATCTCCAGGTCCCCACAGTGTCTCCAGCCCAACACCCACCTCCCAGCACATGGGCTGCTCCCCACACAGGCCCCGGATCACCACATGGCAGCGTGGAGCCTGGGGAGGCACTGCTGGAGGGGCCAACTCCCCACTAGGAGGCACAGCCGTGAATAAGAAGGGTGGTTCCATCAGCATGTCCCAGTCCATAGGGGCTGGGGAGAGCAGGTTTCCTGGGGAGGCAAGACAGCAGGGGCATGGGCAGAGTGGTCCTCTGGGCTTTACCTCCCCAAGGCCTCTTTGGTGTCAGGGAAACCAGCTCCCCATCCAACACTTACCTGAGTCATCCAGGCCTTGTCCCAACTGTTGGCCTGGCTCAGGACTTGGGCCATCTAGTATTGCACCCAAAGAGGGTTTCCGGGGTCGGCCGGGGACTTGGTTTGCCCGGCCTGGAGGGGATGAGAGGCTTCGGCCAGCCAGAGCCGCTCTGTGCTGACGGCCCAGCACCTCAGTACTCAAGGCCCCCACCTGCATGTGAGATATGGGGGCCACTGGTCAAGGAATGCAGAACCCTTGACCATCATACATGGGTGCACAGCTGGCCCATGCCCCTTTTCTGAAACCCTGGGTGGCCGCTCACCAGCTTGAGGAGGAAGGCCAAGTTCCTTATGGCCTACAGTGACCTCTGGCCTTGGCCCCTTCCCAGCATCATCCCACTCCACTCCCTATTTCCCACTTGTGGTTGTTGCTTGTCTCTGTATTTTCGTTTATGTCTTCTCCCTCTCTGCATGGCTAACTCGTGCTTATTCTTCCAGATATGGCTCTGACTTTCCTGACTCTCTCAGGCAGAATTAGTCACCCTGACTTTAAGCCCCCTTAATACATGTCCTTGTGCTCATCACTGGTTGTTACATGGTATCGTTGGGGATTTACCCACCTTTCTCTCTAGCTAGACTTAATAGTAAACTCTACATAATATCTGGTGCACAGCAGGTGGTAAATAAATATTTGCTGGATACAAGGCGAATGAATGTGGGTTGGATCTCACCTTGAATGGAGCTGGTGTGGGTGCAGGCAGGGGACAGGAGCGGGAGCCTGCAGGTTCTCCCCAGGCCAGACTGCGGCAGCCCTGCTGAGAAGGGGGCTCCAAGGGAGCACTACCTTCGGGGGAGCCAGGGCCCTGTGAGCCTGGGGACTCACTGCTGCCTGTGGAGCCTGGGCCTGGCTCGGGGCTGGCAGAGCAGTGGGTGAGCACATACTGCTCCCGAATGTACGAGGACTGAAAGATGCGGCGCCATATGGCTGTGTCAGAGGGGTTGGGTCCAGGATCCGTGACTGGGTCTGTCAGAGCATCAGTACCTGCTGGGAGGCAGTAGAATGGGCCCTAGCCCTGACCCCTCCCAGCGCCCACTCCAATACAGCCACACACATACACCTGGGCACTCACTCTGCTCCGAGTCCCTGGCAGCCCATGGGCTGGACAGTTCTGCTGAGACAGTGCCTGTTCCCAGTGGCTCTGAGGTGCCAGTGGGCTCAGTGCCAGGGCTGGCAGCAGACGGGGCCTCTTCTGGGGATGGAAACACGGACCCACCCGAGCTCTGCCAGCCAGGCTCTTGGCCCTAGAGAGAATATTATTGGGAAAAAAATTAACTGCAGTTATGTGCTACCTCTTTCCAAACATTTTTAGATGGCTCACAGCAAGAGGCAACAAAGCTAATAAACCAGAAACAAAAGACCAGTACTAAAGAAGGAGGAAGCAGACATGTTCACTGTAAGGGTTAATAGAGCTGCTGGGAAGCTGAGCTTTAAGTTTGGCCCTGAGCTCCCTGGCAGCCAGGCAAAAAAAAAAGTCTGTTATGCAGCTCTCATGATCAAAAAGGAGGAAGCGTGCAGAGTTCTTCTAAAGAGATAAAGCTTTTCATTAAAAAATAACTACCATGTCCCCAGCTCCTACTGTGTCAAGTGTTCTGCCAGGAGTACTCACTTTATGACCCCTGATGACAACCACCTGTGAAAAACCTCATTTCCATATGAGGAAATGGGTCAGTGAGGTGAAGTGACTTGCTCAAATCAAATGGCTGGTAAGTGACAGAGCTGGGATTAGAGATTGTGCCTAGGTTATGCTCATCCATCACTGCGTGTCCCAGAAAATACGCTGGCTGGTGCTTTCTATAGGGAACTATGTGAAGCCATGAGCAAGCCTTGACGGAAACCTCATAGCAAATGCAGGTGCTGTTTTCTGTGGCTGTGTGCTTTAGTGACCTTGGGTAAAAACTGAGGGGTAACACTTTGCAGGACAACTCAGTGGAAGACTCCATGAAGGGGACAGGGTGTGGTCATCTTAGGGGGCCCAGTGTGATCTCTGTGGAGTCCTAGGGGATAGTAGAGAAGCTTGGTAGAGAGAGGCACAGAGAATGGAAAAAGGGTTTGGAAGAGATGCGGGGACTTCAGCCATCCCAGGCCCCCCTACCTCACCCTAGCCCCCCTACCACACCCCAGCCCAAGCTTACCCCTGGTGGGCGGGACCGGAAGCCATCCACCCTGAAGAGTGAGCAGTAACCGAGCAGCTGGTCCCCAGGGTAGAGTGCTGGGATCTCCCGGGGGGTCAGCAGTGCCTCCACAGTGTCGGGCACAAACCAGTCCACAGAGATGTCACTCAAAGCAGGCTCCAGTGCCTTCCGCAGAGCCTGTACCAGCTGTGGGGAGTGGCCACAGGGAAGACATGGGAAGGAAAGAGGTGTCATACGGCCAGACAGAGCAGGAAGGCTGCCCTTCCCCTGATGCCATCTGCCCAGCCCCTAAGCTGATGGGGCACAGGGCCAGGCTGGGGTCAGGAGAAGGAATGAGGGTAGGAGCAAGCAGGGGGCTGAGTGCTCAGCCCTCAGGATTTGGTCTGTCTCCTGGCCTGAGCTTTGCCACATGGATGGGGCAAGACTGTGAGGACGAGGCTCCGTTCCAGGACTAAATGGGATTCAGAGGGTGGTCAGAGACAGTGTCCTGACACCTTTGGCCTTCACAGCACCAACAGCTCTTCCCCTGATTGGAGTGGGGAGAAGGCCTGGTGAGGGCGCCAGGAGCCCCCATGGCCTGCCTGAGTTCTGTTTCAGACTTGATGTGTAACTTGGGAGAAAAACTTCCAGGTGTAGGGAACAGGGCCCAGGCTCAAGCTCACCATGGGCTGCAGCCTCTGCCCAGGCCTCAGGAAGTAGGCCTGGCCTCTGCTGAGGGCAGATAAACCCTGGAGCAGCTGGTGGCAGGTGGGCCCCAGCCCAAAGGAGAAGCATCTGATGAAGGAAAGGAAGCAGCTGTGATCTTCAGGAGCCCCTTGTGGGGGCTCAGTCTTACGCATCTGGTTCTGCCCATCCCATACCTGGCTGTCCCCCTGTGCCACCTCATGAGCTCCAGGGTTCGGTGGGTAGTGGCGGCCATGGGTGAGGCAGCAGTGAGCAGGAACAGCTGCCGAGGGTAGGCCCTGTGCTGGGGCTGCCCCACGGCCCAGTCCAGAGCAGCCAGCACGTCTGGGGGCCCACTCGGAACCTGCAGGGTCTCAATGCTCTCGCAGATCAGCTGCACAGCATCCTGGAGCGAGAAGGCACAGGCTGGGACGCACTGGGCTGAAACCTCTCTGTAAGGCCCCCAGATCCCTGGACCACACTCACATCACTGCAAGGCCGGCTCTCTGGGAAGAGTGGCTGCACCAACGTCCCAAACACGGCCAGGTTGATAAGCGTCTGGGGCGGGAGGGACTTCACAGCCAAAACAATGGCATCCTGTGGAGGGCCAGGGAGGGCGGCGTGAGGCCGGCCCCATGGGCCCTGATACAGAGCAAGGGAAGCCAGATCACTGCGTTATCCAGGCTGTGATTCAAGTGAGAGGCTGTGGTAACCTGGGAGAGGCCCTGGGTGTGAGGGAAAGTGTGCCAGTGAGCCCCCAAGTGTGTGTGAGAGACTGTGTGGGACTCTGGAGGTACACATGACTGTGTGTGGGACTCTGGAGGTATACATGACTGTGTGGGACTCTGGAGGTATACATGACTGTGTGTGGGACTCTGGAGGTGTACATGACTGTGTGTGGGACTCTGGAGGTATACCTGACTGTGTGGGACTCTGGAAGTACACATGACTGTGTGTGGGACTCTGGAGGTGTACATGGCTGTGTGTGGGACTCTGGAGGTACACATGGCTGTGTGTGGGACTCTGGAGGTACACATGGCTGTGTGTGGGACTCTGGAGGTACACATGGCTGTGTGTGGGACTCTGGAGGTACACATGGCTGTGTGTGGGACTCTGGAGGTACACATGAAACTTGAGTGTCCCTGTGATTGGAGTGACTCCCTGTGACTGAGTGCGAGTCTATGTGTGAGAGGCTCTTGGAATCCTGGAGAGATGTGTGTGCGTGAATATGAGCAAGAGAGCGTGACAGTGTCTGTTTGGCGGTTGGAGCAGGGCTGCTGTCTAAGGGAATCCCCTGAGGAGTTGCCATCTGCTTCCTCTTTGGAAGATGGTGTTTGAAGCAACAAGGTAACTCCTGGCTTCAAGAGGCTGCCCCCAGCCCTCCTCAGACCCACTGCCCCACCCAACCCCCAGGCCTGCCCACACCACACCCCCACGGGCCTTGTGTGCCACGCTGCTGCTATCCAAAAGGAAGAGTAGCTCCCGAGTAGCTGTCCCCAGGTGTCCGGGCTTGGAGCTCAGGTCTGGGCAGAAGCTCAGCGCCAGCACGGGGTTCAGCAGGATGTCCTTGTGGAAGCGTCGCTGCAGGAACCACACCTGAGCGGGGGAGTCCCAAGTCAGCCTGGGCAAGGCTTAGTGCTACTTTGTTGAGGGTGGGCAGTGGGACTGGCTCTGGGGCCTTTTTCTGTCTGATCCACCCAGAGGGGACATCTTTTTGTAGTAATTCGAATAAAGGCAGGAGCAAAGGCAGGTGGCTGTCTTCTGTTTATATCAGACCTAGCCTCCATCCTCTGAGACACACCCCAGAGAGATTCACATCGGCCCTCCAATGACAATACTCATCTGTCCTCTGTGATGGTTGGTGGCAGCTGTGGAGAGATCTTACCGAGAAAAGAGGCCTCCCCGCACCCATTCCAATGTAAGCCTGCTTGCCTGCTCCTTGTGCACAAATGCAGCCAAGGCCAGGGGCCAGGCCAGGCTCCTATGGCGGTACCTGCCGGTCCCCATCACTGTCCCTTCGCTGTAGCCTCTGAAAATCTCGGCGGGCCCTCACCCGGGCCTCATATTCTGCTGAGCTCAGGCTGCCGCCCTCCAGCATCAGGTGTGGCTGATGGGGCTCTGAGAGGAGAGGACACAATTCTGTCAAGGAAGGCCCTGCCTCTGGACCCCAAGTGCCCAGTTTCACTGTCCAGGAGGAGCCTGCAGGTCCAGCCTTCCTGCACCACAGGCTCTGCCCTCACAGATGACTCAGTCCATCTGGCTGGGGCCCAGAAACCTGCACTTAAGAAATGCTTCCCCCATTCATGTAGAAGCAGGTCAGAGCCGGCCCACGGTGTGTCCCAGTCTCTCACCACTGGGGTGCAGCAGGATCTCCAAGGCCCGGTCACAGTGGTGGCCCTCTGCCAGTGTGACACAGATGGTGGCTGCAGAGCTGGCATGAGGGGGGGCATCTGCCCGCAGAGCATGAGAGGGGCTCTCCAGGCCTGAGGGACATAGAGGCAGGAAGGGGAGATGTAGCCATAACACCTTCCCAGGGACAGCAAATGTTGGCAGGGGTCATGGCTGATTCAGTCAGCTCTCAGAGTCTGATCTATATGGGGTCAGATGGACGAGGGAGGATGTGCCTGCTTTCATGGGCTGGGAAGTAGATTCCAGCAGGGTTTCTGGCTGGTCGAAGAGTCATGCATCAGCCAGGTGCTGATTTAGCATTCACCCCCCACCTTCTGTGTAAGGAAAACCTACTTCATCACAGGTACTAGTCCCATTGTAAGTATCTCTCTTCCCACTGCTGGGTGGGATGAGATATAAATAAATTACCTTGATAAAATTGGGGTGTGTGTGTTGGGTAGAGGTGACCAGGGGATGCTCCCACCACTAACCCAGATGTTCCGGAGGCTGGGGTCCCTGTCTTTTTGTCCTGTGTCCCTCCTATCCCTGAGCCTTATTTCCCTTCCAGTCACTACACTGGGTGGAGTGGGCATCTGAAAAGAGGGCAGGCCAGCCAGATGCACCCACCTGCAAGCAGGCATGGCCCAGTCACCAGCATCTCGAAGGAGAAGGTATATGGGGCAGGGCAGCGGGCAGGGCCTGAGAACACGTCCCGAGGGGCAGCCAGCTCCTCCCAGGCCAGCCCTTCCTCCTGAAGGCTGCCCACCCCGAAGCAGCTGGTGGGGCTGGAAGGGAGCATGAGGAGGGTCACTGGGCCACTGTGAAGGCCCCTAAACCCTCCGGCTGACTGGCCCCAGCCCTTCCTCACCCTTCCCATCCCTGGGTACCCTGCCAGTGCCCCCTCACCCGCACTAGACCCAGAGAAGCCGAGGGAGGGACGAAGAGAATCACCATAGGCCCAACCTGTCGTCACAGAGCCCCGGAGGCCTGGGGGGCCCCGGCGGGCCTGGCGGGGCCAGCGGGGTGAGCACAGTGGGCAGGGCCACATGCAGCACCCCGTCAGGCCTTGAGGGCAGCTCCCGGCTGCTGTGCAGGGTCACCGTCATGGTGCCAGCCGCGGCGATAATGCCTGTGGGCAGCACCAACGTGGACCGGGCCTGGGCCAGATCCAAGACAAGATGACCTATGATGGGTGAGAAATGGGGTCAGAGCATGCTGGAAGCAGAGGAGAGGGAGGAAGCTAGATGTGGAAGCAGGCATTGGGTCAGGGAGCCTGGGCAAGGGGGACTTTGCGTGTTGGCACTAGGCTAATGCATTGGTGACGCAGGATGGAGGCATGAGATGAATGATGGCAGGAGAGGCAGACTAACTGTGAACAGATCTGGCTGTCATCAGGCAAGAGCAGCAGTGACATCCTTGCTAATGGAAGGCTGAGGAGAAGGGGCCATGTCCACTCTCAAGGCCCTGGGAATACCCACACCCTCTGCCCCTCTCCCCCTGCCTGCCTCTTTCCATTCAACCCTTGGCCACCATCCCTTGTGGATAGACATCTCCCTGTGGCCTGGGACCCCACTCTGCTCATAAATTTCCTGCTCCTGAACCATCAGGAGCTCCCCCATTGCCCACTAAGGTGGCTCCAGAATTCTCTACTCCTCCCGGGCAGGAGGAATAGAGAAGCAGGAAGCAGGCTGGAGGACATAAAGCTCCATTTGCACACTGCACACACTGTTTTATTTAGCTCCTAGGTTTGTTTGGGGACTGGTGGGGCTGCTAAAGGAATAATGACCAGCCATGTACAGTGGCAGCTGTGTACACCACCGACGTGGTCTGGCCCCAGCCCACGTTCACAGCCCTACTGTACCTCACTTCCTCACAATGACCAATTGTTCATCCTTTCAATAAATACTTGCTGAATAACTGAAGGGAAGAAAAAGATGGAAGGAAAGAAAGAAAGGGGCTTCCATCCCAGCCAACCGACACAGTGGAGACAGCACAGCATCAAGTTTTAAATATCAGCTCGGTGACCTCTAATTGAGTCCTTTGGCAGCTCTCTTGTTCTGAGGAGCCTGTTTCCTCATCCATAAAGTGGGGATCATAATAACTCTGTGATTGTGGTGAGGAACAAATGAGGCAATGTATGCAAAGCACCCAACATATAAGTCAGTGACCCCTGCTATGACTTTCATCCCCCATAACAGGAGGAAGGGGGATTATCCCCCTTCCATCCCCCATAACAGGAAGAAGCCTGCATTACCCACTACTTGGGATTCAAATGAGGTGATACTAGCGATTGTAAACTGTAAATCACTATAAACATGAGATATTTTATTGTCATTACCCACTGTAACCTACTTATAAGCATTTGCTTATACTGTTGCCCCTACCTTCCACTTAACTGAGTCCTACCCTTTCTTGCAGTCAAATGCTGGCTCTACCTCCTTCTGGAACATTCCTGGGGCCTCAGCCCAGAGCTCACTCTAGCCTCTAACCACAAGCCCCTAACGTGCTGGGCTTATGCCAGCTCTCAACACCACTGGATTCTGTTCCTCTTCTTCTTACCTGGATTGCAAATCCCCTGGGCAGGAATCAAAGCCATGTATGAATGAATCAATGAAAGAACCAGGTGCAAGCACAGCACACAGCACAGGGCTGGGCTTCTGTCCCTTCCCCGGGCACTCGCTGGGCCTCATAGTGCCAGGTTCTGTGTGAGGTGCTGGGATTTGGAGATGCTCCAGCGGGGAGACAGACAGGCAGATCTGTGACAATGACTCCCCCTGTAAGTGCCATAACGAGGGGGCACAAAAGGCTGGGGAGCCAGGAAACAGTGCAGCTATTTGTGGGAGAGTCAGGGAGGGTTTCCCTAGGAATGACGTTTAGTGGATCTTAAAGGACAAGTAGGAATTTGCTCAATAGAAGATGGAAAGACAGAGCAGAGAGTTGGGAAAGGACCTGTCAGTCAGTGTGGCCAGCGGCAGCGGTACCTGGTGTATGGGGTCGCTGGGAGAGGGATGGAATGGGGTGAGAGCGAGGGCCTTGGCTGCTAGGCACAGGAGTCTACACTTGATTCACTGGCCCACGCGGGGCCGGATTGAGGTGTGCAGCCTAAAATAGTAAGGGGCCGGAGGGGACCACCAGGGGAGAAGGCTCCCTTTGCAGCCCCCTAGAGAGACCGGTCTCCTGGGCTGTAAGGGTTGCTGGCGCCCCCGCAAGCCCTGTGCTGCCTGCTGTGTCTGTCTCCCAGGCTGTGAACCTCCGGGCCATGTTCTCCCAGCACCTGGCGCAGGTCAGGTGCCCAGCCCACGACTGCTAAATACCAGGATGAGCCAATGAATGCACAAGGCAGTGCCCGGAGGAAGGCGGGGGACGGGCGGAGGCCGAGCGGATGCGGGAGCCTGAGCTGCGCCCGGCTTTCAGGAGCGCGGGTGCGGGCGCGCGGAACTCACCCTGCGCGCAGCGGCGGGGCGTCGGGGTCCCCAGCCCCGGGCCCAGAGCGCGGCAGCAGGCGGCCTGCGAGCGGCGCCGGCTCTGCAGCTGGAAGGAGACGCGCCGTCCGGCGGCCTCGGCCTCGAAGCCGGACACCACCTCGGCCTCGGCCAGCGGGTACACGAACACGCCTGGGGAGGGCGGCGGGAGGCGGCGTCGGACCCTGCCCGGCGCACCCCCCGCCGCGCCCGCGCCCCACCCGGGCCTCACCGTCCACCGGCTGCGGCTGCGGGTTGCGGTAGGTGAGCCGGGCCCGCACGCTGAGGCAGGGGCCGTTGGCGCAGGCCCGGACCCAGGAGTCCGTGAGCGGCAGCGGCGTCCAGCTGGAGGGGCAGTACAGGCCGGGCATGGCGCCGGGAGGCCGGCCCTGCGGGAACGGGCCGGGGAAGCTGGGCGCAGGGTGACGGGACGCCCACCCCGCGCTCCAGAGGCCAGCGCGAGAGTCTCACTCCAGCACCCGGACGGGGCCTGCCGGGGCGCGAGGCCGAGCGGGAGCTCCTGAGGGCGACAGGTGGCGGGGGAGATAAGGGGGCGGCAGGCGTGGTGGCGAGGAGGGCATCCTCACGCGTTACCTGGGCAGCCGGGCCGCGGAGGGTTAATGATTAACGCGCGCTTCGGCGCCCAGCAGTCCCGCCGCGGCTCCCCCGGGGGTGGGGGCGGTCACAGCTGTTCCACCGCCCACTCCCAACCTCGCAGCCACCCCCGTACCTGCCGGCCCCCCGGGGCCCCCCGCGGCCGCCAGCTGTCGGAAGCGGCGCGGGTGGAGATGGAAGATGCTCCGGGAAGGCGGAGGTTTAAAGGGCCCGAATCCCCCCGGAGGCCCCCGGCCCTGCGAGGGATCGCGGGGGCAGGGTGGATGGGGCGCCGAAAGGGCCTTGGTCTTTCTCTCCCTGGTGCCTCATCCGACGGGGGTGCTGGCCGGAGTGGAGGGGTTAAGGGTGGGAAGAACGAGCTGGGAAAGCGAAAAGAGGGGGTCTTTGGGAGGCAAGCCCGGGAGAGGTGTCGGGCCAGGGAGAGTCCGTGGGAGCCGCCAGGTTACCGCTCCCTACCCCGGCAGAGCTGATGTGGGAGGAGGGGGCACCTGCAGTGGCCGCGGCCCGCGCAGGGGATGCCGCGGGCTGGCTCTGGGGATCGCCCCGCTCCCTGTGGCAGTCTCAGCCTCACCGTCGCGCCCTCCGCGGAGTTCTAGGTGCCCACGGGATCCGTGTGGGTGGTGCCGCCTCTGCGCTCCGGGTGGCCCTCGGTCCCGGCACCTGCCGGCCGCCAGTTCGTGACTGTGGCTGCAGCGGCTCTGAGTCCCGGCAGGGGCGCGGGCCCTGCCGGCGGTGGTCCCGCCCCCGTTCCGAGAGGCCGCCCCTCCAGCCTGCCCTGGCCACGCCTGCTGCTGCTGCGGCGGGGCTGGCGCTCCCCCCTCCTTCGGGCGCGGTACCGCCTCCGCGCCAGCCGCGGCAGCCCGAGCCAGACTGGGCACCGCAGTGCAGGGACCGCGTCCCCGCCGCCGCACGGATCCCCGTCACTGCAGGACCGAGGCCTCAGAGACCCCACCCTTTCCATTCTTCAGGAATCAGGCGTCCTGCAAGTGCCACCGACACTGCCGCGACCCCAGCTATCCCATTACCACGACGGCATCCCATTCCCCAGCCCACCCCACCCCCTGCCCTGGGTTGCTTCCCATCGCTGCAGAGACCCTCCCTCCTGACTGCAGCGAACCCCCCAGCCCCCCATCACCGTCACCGCAGGACTCTTCCCCCAAGAAGCTGGCCCCTTTCCTTTGCAAAGTGCTCTTCATCACTGCAGAAAACCTCCCCCATCCCTGCAGGTACTTTTAGTTCATGCAGCCACTTCAGTGACCACTCACTCCAAGCAGGGATTCCTCATCACTGCAGCGACCTCCTCCCACCCCCAAGCAGCCGGCCTTGGCATCGCTGCAGTGCCAACCACTTCTGCTGGGGTGGGAGGGTGTGCACAATAGCGCCCTCAGCCTATAACCCCTTGGTCTCTTCAGCTGTGCGGGCCTTGGGAGTGAAGCCTTCTAGCCTGAAGAGCCTTCTTATGGCTGCAGACCGTCCCCTCATAGCAGTGACCCCCACCCATCACCGCAGCCCTGAAGAGAAAACATCTCTGCTTGTCAGGAGGGCCCCTTGTTATTGGCAGACTTTGCATGTGCTTGACAGTGTTATGCTGTCAAAAAGTAGGAAGGTCCGGAAAACCTCTCCCAGGTCCCCCAAGGAAGAGTCTGAGAGCCCTGGGGAAGTGAGAGGAGATGACCATGTTTGGGGATCATCCATGTAAGCTTTTTGGCAGATGCCATACTGAGATTCTGCAGAGAGAGCTTGAGGAGAGCTGGGGATGGAGGACAGCCAGTAGGAAGTGAGCTTTCGAGTCGGGCCCATGGTTCTCACTCCTCCGCATTAACTCTCTCCTTCTGATTTCAATCACTATCACCAGGGATCATCCCCCCGGGGGATCCCTGCCTCCTTGAGTATCTGAGCCCTCAACCCCAACCATCTCCTTTGCTCACCCTACTTAGCATGGTGGAGAGAGCTTGACCTTTTCCCAGGGAATTTCATGGGTGGAAATGCACAGGAATGATACAGGGAGCACAGACACAGTCACACGTACCCAACACACAGGGAGCTCCAGCTGGGTCCTAGCCCTCTTTCCATACTACCTGGGTCATGGTTCCATTCACCTCTCTCCCCCTTTCTCTACTGAGTCTGTTCTCAGCTTCATCCTGAACGAGGGTCCCTCTTTCAGGCCTAGGGAGAAACAGTGGATGGGCTGATGGTCCCTCCAGGTGATCCAGGGCCTCAGGTAGGACCAGCCCTGGCCCTGAGGGCCTCACAAAGGTCCAGGCAGTGGCCACCTTTCCACAAGCACCTTGTGCTCTGCCCCTTCTACAAATGAACCAAGAGCTACATGTAGCCCTTGGACAAACATGAGGTTGCAAATAGCAGTCATTAGGGAGGTCTCCGACACATGGAAATGGAAAAAGAGGTCCTTCTGTTTGGTCCTGAGGAGAGCTTAGATGTAAGACAGCCTCCCAGGAAGATAGCATCCCTATCAGAGACCAGACACACACACTGGCAGAAGTCAAACTTTGCTGCAAAGCTGGACCAACCCTGAGATCTTGCTAGGAAGGTCTCCTTAGCTGAGGCAAATGGAGGGAGAGACAGGTGAATGGCTCCACAAAAAGCATAGGGCACCCTGCAGGATGAGGGGCAGGGGGTGGGGAGCCAGTGCTGGCTGCCTGGCACCTTGGGTGGGGCAGTAAGAAGGGTCTCTGAGGCCCAGCTGGAAGGCCCTCTGGTGGTGAGGCAGCAGCATGACAGCCAAGGGCAGAAGGGGACAGCACAGGAACCAGATTCCAGATCTGAGGCCGGGCTGAGGGATAGCATGGGGTGGGCTACGTGGTAGTCATAGGAGAATAGATGATATAGATGATATACATATAGATATAGATATATAGATATATTTTTTGAGACAGAGTTTCGCCCTGTCGTCCAGGCTGGAGTGTAGTGGAGCGATCTCGGCTCACTGCATGCAACATCTGCCTCCCAGGTTCAAGTGATTCTCCTGCCTCAGCCTCCTGAGAAGCTGGGATTACAGGCGAGCACCAGCATGCCTGGGTAATTTTTTGGATTTTTAGTAGAGACAGGGTTTCACCATGTTGTCCAGGCTGGTCTTGAACTCCTGAGCTCAGGCAATCTGCCTGCCTCAGCCTCCCAAAGTGCTAGGATTATAGGCATGAGCCACTGCGCCTGGCCCATAGGAGGATATTGAGCTGAAAAGACTTAGCTTCTGCCTAGGAGAGTCTCACACTTTAGTGAAAAGGGCAGACAAATATACAGTTACAGTAGCTTGAGATAAGTGCTGCATTACAAGAGTAATAGTAATGGATATTATAAAAGCTTTTAACTGGCTGGCGGTGGCTCACACCTGTAATGCCAGCACTTCAGGAGCCTAAGGCAGGAGAATCCCTTGAGGCCAGGAGTTTGAGACCAGCCTGGACAACATAGGGAGACCCTATCTCCATAACAATTAAAAATTAAAAAACAAATCTTAACCAAGGGTGGTGGTGATGTGGGGAATAGGGTGAACCTTAGGGAACTGACTTAGAAAATGGCACTCAGCCAGGTCTTCTTGTTGCAAAGCACAACTCAATTATCTCCTGCTTGTGGGCTGCCTGTCGGCCTTTGGAGGGCAGAGGTCTTATTTCCCCAAACTATAGATGATCTACCCTCTCAGATTGGAGCTCCAGAAGAGATATACCTAGAGAAAAAGAGGAATTTTGCCTCTTGCTGTCTAAAGCTTGACTTCCAAAATCCCAGCCCCTGCCTGAAACCCAAATTGGAAGATGGTTTAGTTCATTAATTCATTTGTTCACTCAAGAAATATTTCTTGTTGAAGCCTGCGGTGTGCTAGAGCTGGAACTACAGCAGAAAACAAGACAGTGGTAGCCCCTCCCCTCACGAAAGACGTCAATTAAACAATTAATTTTTAAATTTTGTATTTCAAAATAACTTCAAAACTTCTACAAAAGTTGCAAATAAAGCATTTTTTTCTGAACCATTTCAAATTAAGTTTTACACATCCGACCTCTTTACCCCTAAACACTTCGGTTTGTCTTTTCTTTTCTTTTTTTTTTTTTTTTCAGAGACAGGGTCTCACTCTGTCACCCAGGCTGGAGTGGAGTGGCACAATCATAGCTCACTGCAGTCTTGAACTCTTGAGCTCAAAGGATCCTTCCTCCTTGGCTTCCCAAAGTACTGGGGTTACAGGTGTGAGCCACCATGCCCAGCCAGTTGGTGTGGGGGGGGGTAGTTTTTTTTATTTGTTTGTTTGTTTGTTTGTTTTGAAACACAGTCTCACTGTTTTGCCTAGGCTGGAGTGCAATGGCTCAATCTCAGCTCACTGCAACCTCCGCCTCCCGGGTTCAAGTGATTCTCATGCCTCAACCTCCAGAGTAGCTGGGACTACATGTGCACGCCAGAATGCCTGGCTAATTTTTGTGTTTTTGTTTTTATTTTTATTTTTTGAGATGGAATCTCACTCCGTAGTCCAGGCTAGAGTGCAGTGGTGCGTGTGCAATCTCAGCTCACTGTGACCTCCACCTCCCAGTTCAAGCGATTCTCCTGCCTCAGCCTCCCGAGTAGCTGAGAATACAGGCACCCACCACCATGCCCAGCTAATTTTTGTATTTTTAGTAGAGATGGGGTTTCACCAAGTTGGTCAGGCTGGTCTCAAACTCCTGACCTCAAGTGATCTGCCTGCCTCAGCCTCCCAAAGTGTTGGGATTATAGGTGTGAGCCACTGCTCCCAGCCTTTAAGAGTCTTCTACTGGGAGTAGTTTCTCCTTTTTGTCTTTTGTGATACTGACACATTTGAAGAGTACTGGCCAGTTGTTTTGTAGAATGTCCGTCAGTTTGAGTTTGTCTGTTGTTTCCTCATAATTAGATTCAGGATATGCACTTCCCATAGGAACACCACATAAGTGACGTTGTACCCTTCTCACTATATCTCATTGGGAGGATGTACATGTCAGTTACAGTTACTGGCGATTTTAACTTTGATCCTTTCAATAAGGTGGTGTGTTAGGGTTCTCCAGAGAAAACAGAACCAACAGAGATTGAGAGAGAGAGAGAGAGAGAGAGAGAGAGAATACGTATATATAAAATAAGGAATTGGCTCGTGTGCTTGTACAGGCAAGTCCAGTGCGGGCTGGCGGGCTAAAGACCCTGGAGACCGGATGGTGCAGATGAAATTTGGAGGCAGCCTGCTGGAGAATTTCCTCTTTCTCATGGAGGTCCATCTTTTTGTTCTGTTCAGGCCTCAAGTGATTAGATGAGGAACATTGTGAAGGTTAACTCTGGGTCTTAGCTTGACTAAATTAAGGAAGACCTATTCAGAAGCCGGGGCCAGGCGCGGTGGCTCACGTCTATAATCCCAGCACTTTGGGAGGCCGAGGTGGGCAGATCACCTGAGGTCAGGAGTTTGAGACCAGCCTGGCAAACATGGCAAAACCCTGTCTCTATTAAAAATGCAAAAATTAGCCAGGTGTGGTGGTGGACAACTGTAATCCCAGCTGAGGTGGGAGAATTGCTTGAGTCTGGGAGGCGGAGGTTGCTGTGAGCTGAGATCACGCCACTGCACTCCAGCCTGGGTGACAGAATGAAACTCCAACTCAAAAAAAAAAAGAAGCCTGACTATAGTCTGGAAAAAAAAAAGAAGACTAGAGAAGCGGTAAAACATTCCTTCGGGTGCATCTGTGAGGGTGTTTCTAGAAGAGATTGGCATGTGAGTAAGTGGACTGAGTAGGGAAGATCTGCCCTCATTGTGGGAGGGCACCATCCAATCTGCTGGTGGCCCACATAGAACAAAAAAGGAGAGAAAAGAATTTCCTCTGTCTCCTTCTCCTGGAGCTGGGACACTCCTTTTCCTGCCCTTGGACATCAGAACTCTAGGCTCTCTGGCCTTGAGACTTATACCAGAGGCCTCCCAGGTTCTCAGGTTGTCGATGGCCTCAAACTGAGAGTTACGCCATTGGCTTCCCTGGCTCTAGGCCTTTGGATTTGGACTTGGACTTGGACTGCCACATCCCAGGGTCTCCAGCTTGCAGAGGGCTGGTTGTGGGATTTCTCAGCATCCATAGTCATGTGAGCTAATTCGCCTAATAAATCCCCTCTCATCCATTTATCTATTTATCTGTCTGTCCATCCATCCATCCATCCATCCATCCATCCATCCAACCATTCATCCATCATCTATCCCCTATTGGTTCTGTCTGTCTGGAGAACTGTGACTCATACACCCACCCATATTCTGGAGGGCAATGTGCTTACTCAAAATTCACCAATTTCAGTGTTAATCTCATTCAAAAACACTTCAAGTTGACACATAAAATTAACCATCACGGGTGTTGCTTGCCAGATTTCTCCACTATAATGCTACTATTTTTCTTTTCATAATTAAATAAGTACATTTGTAGGGAGACAATTTGATTGTATGTAACTATTCCAATCGTCATCAAAGTTTCACCCACCAGTTTTAGCATCCATTAATTACCTAAATAATATTTTACATCAGTTTTATTGAGGTATAATTTACATGTAGTAAAATGCACTATTTTTTATTGTGGTAAAATATACATAACATAAAATTTGCCATTAGTGATATTTAGCACATTTGCAATAGTGATTGATTGATTTTTTTTTTTTTTTTTTGGAAATGGAGTCTCTGTGGCCCAGGCTGGAGTGCAATGGAGCCTTCCGGGCTCACTGTAACCTCTGCCTCCTGGGTTCAAGCAATTCTCCAGCCTCAGCCTCCCAAGTAGCTGGGATTACAGGCGCCCACCACCACACCTGGCTAATTTTGTATTTTTATTAGAAATGGGGTTTCACCATGTTAGCCAGGCTGGTCTCAAACACCTGAGCTCAGGCAACCTGCCTGCTTCGGCCTCCCAAAGTGCTGGGATTACAGGTGTGAGCCACCCCTCCTGGCTCCATTCACAATATTGTGCACTCATTCACCTCTATCTAGCTCCAGAACATTTTTCTCACCCCAAAAGGAAGCCTTGTATCCATTAAGCAGTCACTCTCTATTTCCCCTCTTCCCAGTCTCTAAAAACCACCAATATGGCTGTCTCTGTAGCTTTGCCTATTCTGTATATTTCATATAAATGGAATCCTATAATATATGACTTTTTGTGTCTGGTTTCTTTCATTTAGTATAGTGTTTTCAACATTCATCCACATTGTAGTATTAATCAGTTTATTCCTTTTTTTTTTTTTTTTTGAGACGGAGTTTCATTCTTGTTGCCCAAGTTGGAATGCAGTGGCATGATCTCGGCTCACTGCAACCTCTGCCTCCCGGGTTCAAGCAATTCACCTACCTCAGCCTCCCGAGTAGCTGGGATTACAGGCATGCATCACCACACCCACCTAATTTTTTTGTATTTTTAGTAGAGACAGGGTTTCTCCATGTTGGTCAGGCTAGTCTCAAACTCCCGACCTCAGGTGATCCGCCCACCTTTGCCTCCCAAATTGCTGGAATGACAGACATGAGTCACCACGCCTGGCCAGTTCATTCCTTTTTATGGCTAAATAATAGTCCATTGTATGGATATCCCACATTTTATCTATCCATCTATCTGTAAATAGAAGTTTGGGTTGTTTCCACCTTTTGGCTATTGTGAATAATGTTGCTATGAACACTGGTATGTAAGTTTTTGTTTGAACAACTGTTTTCAGTTATTTTGGGTGTACACCCAGGAATAGAATTGCTAGGTCAGAGAATAATTTTGTGTTTAACTTGCTGAAGTTTTCCACACCAGTTGGACAATTTTACATTTCCATCAGCAATGTGTAAGGGTTTCTATTTCCCCACAGCCTCACCAACACAAATCCAAACCTCAGTTTATTTATTTATTTATTTATTTTTTGAGATGGAGTTTCGTTCTTTTTGCCGACGCTGGAGGGCAATGGCGTGATCTCAGCTCACTTCAGCCTCTGCCTCCCGGGTTCAAGTGATTCTCTCCCACCTCAGCCTCCCGAGGAGCCGGGATTACAGGTGCCTGTCACCATGCCTGGCTACTTTTGTATTTTTAGTAGAGACAGGGTTTCACCACGTTGGCCAGACAGGTCTCGAACTCCCGACCTCAGGTGATCCGCCTGCCTCAGCCTTTCCAAATGCTGGGATTACAGGTGTGAGCCACCGCACCCGGCCAAAACCTCGGTTTATTGTTTTGTTCTTTTATAGATCATACTTTTGGTATCATGTCTAATAGCTTTTCACTAAGCCCTGCATCCCAGATATTTTCTTCTAGTTAGCTTATAAAAGTTTTATAGTTTTACATTTAAATCTTCGACCCATTTGAAATAACTTCTGTATAAGGTATGAGGTTTAGGTCAAGTTTTTGTTTGTTAGTTTTGTCTGTGGATATCCAATAGCTCCAGCACCACTTGTTGAAAAGACAAGGGCACGGTGGCTCACTCCTGTAATCCCAGCACTTTGGGAGGCCGAGGAGGGCGGACCACCTGAGGTCGGGAGTTCGAGACCAGCCTGACCAACATGGAGAAACCCCATCTCTACTAAAAATACAAAATTAGCTGGGCGTGGTGGCGCATGCCTGTAATCCCAGCTACTCGGGAGGCTGAGGCGGGAGAATCGCTTGAACCCAGGAGACAGAGGTTGTGGTGAGCTGAGATTGCGCTATTGGACTCCAGTCTGGGCAACAAGAGCGGAATTCTGTCTCAAAAAAAAGAAAACAAAAGGCCAGGCATGGTGGCTCACACCTGTAATTTCAGCACTTTGAGAGGCCGAGGCAGGAGGAATGCTTGAGACCAGAAGTTTGAGACCAGCCTGGGCAACATGGTATATAAAAACATCTCATGTGCCCCGTAAATATATACACCTGCTGTTTACCCACAATAATTAAAAAAGGAAAATTAGTGAGCTGGCCAGGTGTGGTGGCTCATGCCTATAATCCCAGCATTTTGGGAGGCTGAGGTGGGCAGATTACTTGAGGCCAGGAGTTTGAGGCCGGCCTGGGCAACATGGTGAAACCCCATCTCTACAAAAAATACAAAAATCAGCTGGGTGTGGTGGTGCACACTGAAGTGGCAGGATTGCTTGAGCCTGGGAAGTTGAGGCTTCAGTGAGCCATGATCATGCCACTGCACTCCAGCTTGGGCAACAGAGTGAGATCCTGTCTCAAAAATAAATAAAAAATAAAAAAATAAAAAATGGCCGGGCGCGGTGGCTCATGTCTGTAATCCCAGCACTTTGGGAGGCTAAGGTGGGCGGATCACGAGGTCAGGAGATCGAGACCATCCTGGCTAAGACGGTGAAACCCCGTCTCTACCAAAAATACAAAAAATTAGCCGGGCGTGGTGGCGGGCGCCTGTAGTCCCAGCTACTCGGGAGGCTGAGGCAGGAGAATGGCGTGAACCCGGGAGGCGGAGCTTGCAGTGAGCCGAGATTGCGCCACTGCACTCCAGCCTGGGCGACAGAGCGAGACTCCGTCTCAAAAAAAAAAAAAAAAAAAAAATTAGTAAAGCAAATAAGATGAAGGATAAGTTTTCAGGCACAAGGACCTGTGTGTGCAGAAGCCATGAGTTGAGAGAAAGCTTGGAGCCTAACAGGGGATGAAGGGAAGCTCTTGTGAAAGCAAGCGGAGAGTGAGGCCAGACAGTCTGGAGAAGTCAGGAGGTGCTGGATTACTCAGGGCCTTGGAACCTTGATAAGGACTTTCAAACTTGTTTGGAAACTAGTGGAGGGTTATTTTTGTTTTGTTTTGTTTTGTTTTTTTAGACAGACCCTCACTCTGTCACCCAAGCTGGCGCAATCACAGCACACTGCAACCTCGAACTCCTGGGTTCAAGTGATCCTCCTGCCTCAGTCTCCTGAGTAGCTGGGAACTACAGGTGTGCACCTGTGTGTGTATATATATGTGTGTGTGTTTGTGTGTTTGTATATATATATATATATATATTTTTTTTTTTTTTTTGAGACAGAGTCTTGCTCTATTGCCCAGGCTAGAGTGCAGTGGCATGACCTCTGCTTGCTGTAGCCTCAACCTCCAGGGCTCAAGACATCTTCCTGCCTCAGTCTCCTGAGTAGCTGGGACTACAGGTGTGCGCCACCATGCCCAGCTTTCTTGTATTTCTTTTTTTTTTTTTTTTTTTTTTTTGGTTTTGCCATGTTGTCTAGGCTGGTCTCGAACTCCTGCGTTCAAGTGATCCACCCACCTCAGCCTCCCAAAGTGCTGGGACTACAGGCATAAGCCACTGCACCTGGCCATATTTATATTTTTAAATGGTAAAATATACATGACATAAAATGTACTGTTCTCACCATTTTTAAATACACCTCTGTGGCACTAAGTACATTCACATTGTTGTGCTTTAATTATTTTTAATATTGTAAAATTAGTTCACATTCCAGATATAAAGTCTTAATGGGTATTCAGTAGAAAGTAAAAAGTACCCCCCTTTCCCTTCTCTGTCCCACTCCTAGAAGTAATTAGTGCTATCGGTATCTCTTATTATCCTTCCATAATACACTGGGAAGCTGTCTTACAGAAATGAGCACACTATTGGGTAAGGGAATATAGTCACAGATACAAACCTGTCTGAAGGGGCAAAAAAAGAGGGCAACAACTTGAATGTTCACCAAAGAGAGAACCATTGAATACATGATGGTGCATCCATACCAGAAAATATTGTGCAGTTTTGTGCCGCTGTTAAAAAGAATGGGTTCTGGCCGGGCGTGATTGCCCACCCCTGTAATCCCAGCACTTTGGAAGGCTGAGACAGGTGGATCACCAGGTCAGGAGTTCGAGACCAGCCTGGCAAACATAGTTAAACCCCATCTCTACTAAAAATACAAAAAATTAGCCGGGTGTAGTGGTGGGCACCTGTAATCCCAGCCAATCAGGAGGCTGAGGCAGGAGAATTGCTTGAACCCGGGAGGCGGAGGTTGCAGTGAGCCAAGATCATGCCATTGCACTCCAGCCCGGGCAACAGAGGGAGACTCCATCTCAAAAAAAAAAAAAAAAAAAAAGAATGGGTTCTATTTATGTATATCGATAAAATTTTAAAAAGCTGAGTGCAGAATGATTTTATAGTATGATTCCATTTTTATAAAAACAAATAATTGTCAATGTCTTCTAGATCACGTTTATCACTTTTATGACCTGTTTTATAAAAAAAAAAATTATCACTACCTCTAATATCAGGAGAGTGCAGAAGTCCTGCCATGAGAGGATCTGATGAGAACAGAAGGGGACTGAATCACCTTGGCACCACTCTGCCATTTCCTCTTTCTAAAACCCCAGGGCTGGGAGATTACCTCCTCCCCACCTGCTTCTCCCTATGAGTTTAAAGGGCTTAAATGTCTTGGTGGGTGGCAGCAAATGGGAGTGATTAGTCGTGTAGTGTGCTGCTCTCTGCCGTAGGGTTCTTTCCTGGAACTCACCAGGACTACCATAGACTGGGTGATATAGCCTTCAGAGCTTTCCCAACACCCTCTACCAGATGGAATGGCTGAGACCCCCCAGCGGAATATAAGCTCCCAGGCCAAAATCATCACACACTTAGGGAGTCCAGGTGAAGGACAACAAACTGAACAACATGTACATTCTAAAGTGAAGTTTTATTAGCCGGGCATGGTGGCTCATGCCTATAATCCCAGAATTTAGGGAGGCCGAGGTGGGCGGATCACTTGAGGACAGGAATTTGAGACCAGCCTGAACAACGTGGTGAAACACTGTCTCCACTAAAAATGCAAAAATTAGCCGGATGTGGTGGCTCACACCTGTAACCCCAGCTACTCGGGAGGCTGAAGCAGGAGAATTGCTCGAACCCGGGAGGCGGAGGTTGCAGTGAGCCGAGATCACACCATTGCACTCCAGCCTGGGCAACAGAGTGAGACTCCGTCTCAAAATAACAACAACAACAATAATAATAATTTTGAGGACAATACTCACTGGGTAGCAAAATCTGAACCAACAAGGGGCTGTTTATATAATAATAGTAGTTATCCCATTCAGGGTGAATATTCATGTTTTGCTTCAGAAGTAAGAATGTGTCTGATTACAGAGTACCATTCCAGACCCCACTGGGGATGTTACCTAACACGCAGTATTGAATTAGACGATGGTCCCCAATCTATTTGGCACCAGGGACCAGTTTCTTAGAAGACAGTTTTTCCACGGATGCAGGGGACTGTTTCCGGTTGAAACTGCTCTGCCTCAGATCATTAGGCATTAGTTAGATTCTCATGAGGAGCAGGCAACCTAGATCCCTCGCACACACAATTTACAATAGGGTTTGCGCTCCTATGAGAATCTAATGCGGGGCTGATCTGAGCTCAGGTGATAATGCTTCCTGGCCCGTGGCTTACCTCCTGCTGTTCGGCCGGTTCCTAATAGGCCACCCTAATAGGGTACTGATGTGCAGCCCAGGGGTTGAGGACTCCTGTGTTAAAGTATTATTGTATTAACTTTCTAAAATTTGAAATATTCTGAATTCTGAAAAATATGTGTTCCTATGGATTTTTTCTTTTTTTCTTCTTTCTTTTTTTAGACAGAGTCTCACTCTGTCACTCAGGCTGGAGTGCAATAGCACAATCTCAGCTCACTGCAACCTTCACCTCCCAAGCTCAAGCAATTCTCCTGCCTCAGCCTCCCGAGTAGCTGGGATTACAAGCGCATGCCACCACGCCCAGCTAATTTTTGTATTTTTTTTTTAGTAGAGACGGGGTTGCACCATATTGACCAGGCTGGTCTCGAACTCCTGACCTCAGGTGATCCACCCGCCTTGGCCTCCCAAGGTGCTGGGATTACAAGCATGAGCCACTGGGCCCGGACCCATGGATTTTCAGTAAATGATTGTGGACCTCTTAGATATGAAAACTGCAGTTAAGGCCGGGCATGTTTGCCCATGCCTGTAAACCCAGAACTTTGGGAGGCCAAGGTGGGCAGATCACTTGAGGTCAGGAGTTCAAGACCAGCCTGACCAACATGGTGAAACCCCGTCTCTCCTAAAAATACAAAAATTAGCCTGGCATGGTGGCGCACGCCTGTAATCCCAGCTACTGGGGAGGCTGAGGCAAGAGAATTGCTTGAACCTGGGAGGTGGAGGTTGCGGTGAGCCGAGATTGTGCCATTGCACTCCAGCCTGAGTGACAAGATTGAAGCTCTGTCTCAAAAAAAAAAAAAAAAAAAGGAAAAATCAAAAACATAGGCCAGGTGAAGTGGCTCACACCTGTAATTCAAGCACTTTGGGAGGCTGAGACAGGAGGATCACTTGAGGCCAAGAGGTTGAGACTAGCTTAGGCAACATAGCAAGACCCCTGTCTGTAAGAAATAAAATAAATAAATAAAAATTTGCTGGATGTGGTGGTGCACGCCTGTAGTCTTAGCTACTAAGGAGGCTGAGACGGGAGGATGACTTGGGACCAGGAGTTCGAGGCTGCAGTGAGCTATGATCGTGCCACTAAACTCAAGCCTAGGTGACAGAGTGAGACCCTCTCCCTAAAAAAATAAAAACAGGCTGGGCGCGGTGGCTCACACCTGTAATCCCAGCACTTTGGGAGGCCAAGGCGGGTGGATCACTTGAGGTCAGGAGTTCGAGACCAGCTGGCCAACATGGTGAAACCCTACTTCCACTAAAAATACAAAAATTAGCTGGGCGTGGTGGCACACACCTGTAATCCCAGCTACTCGGGAGGCTGAGGCAAAAGAATCGCTTGAACCTGGAAGGCGGAAGTTGCCGTGAGCTGAGATTGCACCACTGCACTCCAGCCTGGGTGACAGAGCGAGACTCTGTCTCAAAAATAAATAAATAAATAAATAAATAGAAATAAAATAGTAAAAGACTTAAAATATACAATAAGTTTAGATACATTAGTTTATTTTACAAACATTTATATCATACTTACTACAGTGCCAGGCACCGTTCTAGGTACTTTACAAATACTAGCTGTTTTAATCCTTACGATAACTCTAAAAGGTAGATACTATTGTTATTATTTCCATTTATTAAAGGATCTGAAGCATAGGGAATAAAGCTTGCCTGAGCTCATATTGTTACTAACCTTAGAGCAGGGTGGGAAACTACGCAGGCTGACTCCAAAGCTTATGCTCTGAACTCCTGTGTTCTGCTGGATTGCACAAACAGGAAATACTCTTTTCATGTACACTCAGAAGATTTACAAAAATAAGCCATGCATTAGGTCACAAAGAAAGACCAAAATTCATTCCACCATTAGATCCACATCAGTGTCACATAGACTATGTTCCCTAACCATTATGCAGTACAACTAAAAATAAATAACAAAAAGAACACTTTGAAAATACCATAAATAACTGCTACACATCTTTTAGAATGGCAAAAATCAGAAAACTGACAATACCAATTGCTGACAAGGAGGTGAAGACACAGGAATGCTCATTCATTGCTGGCGGGAATGTAAAATGATACAGCCACTTCGGTTTTTGTTGTTGTTGTTTTTGAGACAGTCTCGCTCTGTTGCCCAGGCTGGAGTGCAATGGCGCTATCTTGGCTCACTGCAACCTCTGCCTCCTGGGTTCAAGCGATTCTCCTGCCTCAGCCTCCTGAGTAGTTGGGATTACAGGTGCCCACCACCATGCCCGGCTAATTTTTGTATTTTTAGTAGAGACAGGGTTTCGCCATGTTGGTCAGGCTGGTCTTGACCTCCTGACCTCAGGTGATCCGCCAGCCTCGGCCTCCCAAAGTGCTGGGATTATAGGCGTCAGCCAGTGCACCTGGCCCGATGCAGCCACTTTGGAAGATAGTTTGGCAGTTTCTTACAAAGCCAAACATAGTTTTACCAAACATAGTTTTACCCACAATCCAGCAATCACACTCTTAGGTATTTACCCAGCTGATGCGAAACTTGTGTTCACACAAAAACTAGCGAACTAGCACATAAATGTTTATGGCATTTTTATTCAAAATTGCTGAAAAGTAGAAGCAACCAAAATATCTTTCAATAGGTGAATGGGTAAACAAACTGTGATACATCTCTACAATGAAATACTATTCAGCAATAAAAAGCAATGAGCTATCAAACCACACAAATACATAGATGAATTTTCAATGCACGGTGCTAAGCGAAAGAAGTCAGTCTGAAAAGGCTACCGAGTGTATAATGTAACTTATATGACATTCTGGAATAGGAAAAACTATAGAAATAACAAACAAATTAGTGGTTGCCAGGGTTTGGGAGGGAGGGGGCAGTGAGGGTTAAATGAGGAAACACAGGAAATTTCGGAGGGGGGCATTGAAGCTTTTCTGTATGATACTGTGATTATAGATACGTGACACTATGTGTTTGTGGAAACCCATAGACCCTTACAGCTCAAAGAGTAAAACATCATGTATGCAAATTTTAAAAAATCATTTAGGAGATTGAGAGATCCAAGGATGGAGTGAAGAATGGAATAAAAGAATCTACCTGTATTACAAACATATGAAATAACTTCACTGAAGAAGAGTAGTGGGGAGAATGGTGCTGACCTAAGTCGACTGGAAATGTGTAGAGTCTGTAAGACTAAAGGTAAAATGAACTGTACACAAGTACTGTACTCTTGTGGATACAGCTGTTTCCTTGAGGAAATAGGTTAACAATTGTTGAGATCACTCCACGTGTATCCTGGATTTGAACAATTAAGTTCCAGTGGTGCATGGTGGGAGGTAGATTTTTTTTTTTTTTTTTTTTTTTTTTGAGACGGAGTCTTGCTCTGTCACCCAGGCTGGAGTGCAGTGATGAGGTCTCAGCTCATTGCAACCTCCACCTCCTGGTTTCAAGTGATTCTCCTGCCTCAGCCTCCCGAATAGCTGGGACTACAGGCACCCGCCACCATGCCTGGCTAATTTTTTGTATTTTTAGTAGAGACGGGGTTTCACCATGTTAGCCAGGATGGTCTCGATCTCCTGACCTCAAGTGATCTGCTCTCCTTGGCCTCTCAAAGTGCTGTGATTACAGGCATGAGCCACTGTGCCTAGCCAAGAGGCAGGTTTTTGCTGTTAGAATGAGAGCATAGGCTGGGCGCAGTGGTTCACGCCTCTAATCCCAGCCTTTCGGAGGCTGAGGTGGGCGGATCACGAGGTCAGGAGATCGAGACCATCCTGGCTAACACGGTGAAACCCCCGTCTCTACTAAAAATACAAAAAATTAGCCAGGCATGGTGGCGGGCGCCTGTAGTCCCAGCTACTCAGGAGACTGAGGCAGGAGAATGGCATGAATCCGGAAGGCAGAGCTTGCAGTGAGCCAAGATCGTCTCACTGCACTCCAGCCTGGGTGGCAGAGCAAGACTCCATCTCAAAAAAAAAAAAAAAAAAAAGAAGAATGAGAACATATAGGTGAGCAAGGGGGAAAGGTCAGAATGATCCATGCAGTAATGGATTGGAGTTGGAGTCATCAGTATGAATCCATGTGTAGCTTACTGTAGATATAGATAGCCACATGTAAAAATATTTATAGGTATGTATTCATATACATAACACCATAATTATTTATGTGGTATACTTCAAAATACCAATAGAGTCAAGAAGCTGTTGTAATTAGTAAGAGAATTCACCAAGGTAGCCAGATAGAAGATCTACAAAAATCAATAGCGTATCTATTTTTTTTTTTTTGAGATGGAGTCTTGCTCTCTTGCCCAGGCTGGAGTGCAGTGGTCTGATCTTGGCTTACTGCAACCTCTGCCTCCTGGGTTCAAGCAATTCTCCTGTCTCAGTCTCCCAAATAGCTGGGATTATAGACGCCTGCCAGCAGACCTTGCTAATTTTTGTATTTTTAGTAGAGACAGAGTTTCACGATGTTAGTCAGGCTGGTCTTGGACTCCTGGCCTCAAGTAATCCACCCGCCTTGGTCTTCCAAAGTGCTGGGATTACAGGTGTGAGCCACTGCGCCCGGCCTCAATAGCATATCTCTATACCAGGTGTAACCAACTAGAAAATGACAATCAAAGAAGCCATTCACAATAATGACAAAAACTATAAAGTATCTAGGAACTTAATTAATATAAGACCTCTATAGCCAGGCGTGGTGGCTCATGTCTGTAATCCCAGCACTTCGGGAGGCCAAGGCGGGTGGATCACCTGAGGTTAGGAGTTCGAAACCAGCCTGACCAATATGGTGAAACCCCATCTGTACTGAAAACTACAAAAACTAGTCAGGTGTGCTGGTGGTGCCTGTAATCCCAGCTACTTGGGAGGCTGAGAATTGCTTGAACCCGGGAGGCGGAGGCTGCAGTGAGCCGAGATCACACCGCTGCACTCCAGCCTGGGCAACAGAGCCAAGACTCCATCTCAAGCAAAACAAAACACAGCAAACTCTGAAGAAAACATTAAAACTCAAAGTCCAATAGAAGTGTTATGGGGGAAAAAAACTCAAAGGGCACAGAAGATGATCCAAATAAAATAGAGAGATATTTCATTATCTTGGACAGAATGGCTTAATAACAAATGATATTAGTGTTCTCCCCAGTTAATGTGTGTATTCAATGCAATTCCACTTAAAATCCATGGGAATTTTCTGAAAAACTTAAACTTACTTTAGTATTTATTTGCAGAAGTTCATTTTCAAAATTAGCAAAGTCAATATATAAAAAGAAGAGTAAAGAGTGGGGCTTGGGCAGGGTGTAGTGGCTCACACCTGTAATCCCAGCACTTTGGGAGGCCGAGGTGGGTGGATCACCTGAGGTCAGGAGTTCAAGACCAGCCTGGCCAACATGGTGAAACCCCATCTATACTAAAAATACAAAAAATTAGCCGAGCGTGGTGGCACAGGCAGCATGTGCCTGTAGTCCCAGCTACTCAGAAGGCTGAGGCAGGAGGATCACTTGAATCTGGGAGGCAGAGGTTGCAGTGAGCCCAGATTGTGCCACTGCGCTGCAGCCTGGGCAACAGAGTAAGACTCCAACTCCAAAAAAAAAAAAAAAAAAAAAAAAAGAATGAGGCTTGCTCTACCAGATATCAAGACATACTACAAGACTAAAGACTACAGTAATCAGTCCGTGCGCAGTGACTCAGACCTGTAATCCCAGCATTTTGGGATGCCAAGGTGGGCGGATTGCTTGAGGTCAGGGGTTCAAGACCAGCCTAGCTAACATAGTGAAACCCCATCTCTACTAAAAAATGCAAAAAAATTTAGCCGAGTTTGGTGGCGCTTACCTGTATCCCAGCTACTCAGGAGGCTGAGGCAGGAGAATTGCTTGAACCTGGGAGGCAGAGGTTGCTGTGAGCTGAGATCGTGTCACTGCACTCCAGCCTGGGAGACGAGTGAAACTCTGTCTTAAAAAAAAAAAAAAAAGATTCTAATCTACAGTAATCAAAACAGTATGGTACGGGTGTAAGAACAAAGAGACCAAAACAGAACCTGACCCACAATGTAATATAAATGAGAACATCATGTGCGTAAATGTGGCATCACCATCACTGAAGAGAGGACAGACTGTTTCATAGGTAATGTTGGAAAAATTAGCTCATTCTATGGAGAGAAATGAAAAGCATGTTCCTATACAACAGTACGTACAGGGTGAATTCTGGATGGATTAAAGACCTAAATAAAAATAAAATGATACTATCAATAGAAAACAATGGTGTAGAAAATCTCAAGGACTCAAAGCTTCAAAAGAACAAATTATTCTTGCAAAACATCGATAATTTGTATTAGATAAAAATTACATATTTCTTCTCTACAGGAAACTTGTTAATTACAAAGGGAAAAATAGTGATTTACAGCATAGAAACCTGGCAGACACCACCTTAACCAAGTAATCGAAGTTAACATCAGCAGTAATGGGACAAATTGGCATCACATGCCTCCTGATAAGATGCACTGAGAAGGAACAGCATCATTTCCGTGGTGTTCCTGCCAAAAATGCATAGCCCCAATCTAATCATGAGAAAACACCAGACTAGCCCAAATTAATAAATGCCCTGCACTCTTCCAAAATGTCAAGGTCATGAAAGATAAAGACTAAAGAATTGTTCCAAATAAAAGGACGCCTAAATAGATGTAACGACTAAATGCAATATGGGATCCTGAATTGGATCCTGAATCAAAAAAACATTGTTTTTTGTTTTTTTGTTTTGTTTGTTTGTTTGTTTTGAGACAAGAGTCTCATTCTATCCACCAGGCCCCAGGCTCATTCTATCCCCTAGGCCCCAGTGCAGTGGCGGGATCTGGGCTCACTGCAATCTCCGTCTCCCCAGTTCAAGTGATTCTGCCTCCCGAGTAGCTAGGAATACAGGTGTGTGCCACTACGCCCAGCTAATTTTTGTATTTTTAGTAGAGACTGAGTTTCATCATGTTGGCCAGGTTGGTCTCAAACTCCTGATCTCAGGTGATCCGCCTGCCTTGGCCTCCTGAAGTGCTGGGATTACAGGCGTGAGCCACCGCGCCCAGCTGTTTGTATTTTTCTATAAAGAAAATTGGGCTGGATACAGTGGCTCATGCCTATAATCCCAGCACTTTGAAAGGCTGAGATGGGAGGATTGCTTGAGTCCAGAAGTTCAAGGCTGCAATGAGCTATAATCAATCTTGAGCATACAGAAAAATGGAAGTACAGAACAAATAGCTTTTTTTATTCTTTCTTTTTTTTTTTGAGACAGAGTCTCCTTCTGTCACCCAGGCTGGAGTGCAGTGGCATGATCTTGGCTCACTGCAAGTTCCGCCTCCTGGGTTCATGCCATTCTCCTGCCTCAGCCTCCCAAGTAGCTGGGCGTGGTGGCAGGCGCCTGTAGTCCCAGAACCAATAGCTTTTTTACCCCATGAACCATTTACAAGTAAGTAGCCAATCTGATGCCCTGTCACTCTTGAATACTTCAGTATATTTCATGCAAACATTCTCCTACATAACCACAGCACAACCATCAAAATCAAGACATTAACCTAGATATATCTCTACCATCAAATCCTCAAACTTCATTCCAGTTTTGTTTAGTGTCTCAATAAATTAAATTTAAAAAAATTGGCTGGGCGCAGTGGCTCATGCCTGTAATTCCAGTACTTTGGGAGGCCGAGGTGGGCAGATCACGAGGTCAAGAGATTGAGACCATCCTGGCCAACATGATGAAACCCCATCTCTACTAAAAATACAAAAATTAGCTGGGCATGGTGGCGGGTGCCTGTAGTCCCAGCTACTTGGGAGGCTGAGGCAGGAGAATCACTTGAGCCTGGGAGTCGGAGGTTGCAGTGAGCTGAGATCGCACCACTCCACTTCAGCCTGACGACAGAGCGAGACTAAAAAACAAAACAAAACAAAACAAAACAAAACAAATTGGCTGGGCCTGGGATTACACTCCTATAATCCCAACACTTTACACTTTGAGAGGCGGAGGCTGGCGGATCACCTGAGGTCAGGAGTTCAAGACCAGCCTGGCCAACATGGTGAAACCCTGTCTCTACTAAAAATGCAAAAATTAGCTGAGCATGGTGGTGCTTGAACCTGGGAGGTGGAGGTTGCAATGAGCTGAGATCTCACGATTGCACTTCAGCCTGGGTGACAGAGTGAGACTCTGTCTTAAAAAAAAAAAAAAATTCCTGGCTGGGCATTGTATCTCTCGCCTGTAATCCCAGCGCTCTGAGGCCAAAGTGGGAGGATCGCTTGAAGCCAGAAGTTCACGACCAGCCTGCACAGCAAACCATGACCTCCCACCATGCCTACAAAAATAAAATTAGCCCAGCACAGTGGTGAGTGCCAGTAGCCCTAGCTATTTGGGAGGCTGAGCTGGGAGGATTGCTTCAGCCCAAAAGTTTGAGGCTGCAGTGAGCTATAATTTCATGACTGAACTCCAGCCAGGGCAACAGAGTGAGACCCTGTCTCTTAAAAAACAAAAAAAGCCAGTGTAGATTACATGCTACATTTTGTTATATTTCTTTAATCTCTTCTTCACTCCAGAACAATTTATCTGTCTTTTCTTGACCTTGACATTTTGAAAGAGTACAGGATGTTTATTTTGTAGACCGTCCCTCAGTTTGGGCTTAGATTCAGGTTATGCAACTTTGGCAAGAATATCACAGAAGCAATGCTGTGTTCTTCTGACTGCCTCCTATCGGGTGGCACAAGATGCTGATTTATCCCGTTATTCATGATGTTCACTCGATTACTTGATTAAAGCGGTGTCTGCCAGGCTCCTTCATTGCAAAGTGACTCTTCCCCGCCCCCATAGTGAATTAATGTTTGGGGTGGAGATATGTTCAACATATGTATCTCATTTCTCATTAAATTTTTACTGTATTAATGTATTTATATATATCAGTATGAACCTGTGGTTTTCTACTTTATTCAGGGGTTATAATTCATTGCTATCATTATATACACATACATATATGTGTATATATACATATATACACATATATACGTATATATACATATATACACATATATATGTATATATACTTACATATATACATATATTGTATATATACATACATATATACACATATATGTATATATATACACACATATATATACACATACATATATACACACATATATATACATACATATATATACACATACATATATATATACATACATATATATATATATATATTTTTTTTTTTTTTTTTTTTTTTTTTGAGACAGAGCTTCACTCTGTTGCCTGGGCTGGAGTGCAGTGGCCCCATCTTGGCTCACTGCAAACTCCGCCTCCCAGGGTCAAATAGTTCTCCTGCCTTAGCCACTCAAGTAGCTGGGACTACTGGTGCACACCACCACGCCTGGCTAATTTTTGTATTTTTAGTAGAGACGGGGTTTCACCATGTCGGCCAGGCTGGTCTCAAACTCCTGACTTCAAGTGATCCGCCCACCTCGTCCTCCCAAAGTGCAGGGATTATAGGCATGAGCCACTACCCTCAGACTTATCATTATTTATGCTGATGCTCAAACAGTCCCTAATTTGAAGTGGGAGCACCTCGAGCTGACTTTTTTGTCTTTTTTTCTTTTCTTTTCTTTTCTTTTTTTTTTTTTTTGAGACAGGGAGTGCGGTGGCCCAATCAGAGCTCATTGCTGCCTCGAGCTCCCAGGCTCAATTGATCCTCCTACCTCAGTCTCCTGAGTAGCCAGGACTATAGGTGCACACCACCACAGCAGCTATTTTTTTTTTTTTTTTTTTTTTTTTTTTTTTGGTGACAGTTTCACTCTTGTTCCCCAGGCTGGAGTGCAATGGTGCGATCTTGGCTCACTGCAACCTCCGCCTCCCAGGTTCAAGCTATTCTCCCGCCTCAGCCTCCTGAGTAGCTGGGATTACAGGCATGCACCACCATGCCTGGCTAATTTTGTGTTTTTAGTAGAGACGGGGTTTCTTCATGTTGTTCAGCCTGGTCTCGAACTCCCGACCTCAGGTGATTCACCTGCCTCAGCCTCCCAAAGTGCTGGGATTACAGGCGTGAGCCACTGCACCCAGCCCACCAGCTAATTTTTGTATTTTTTGCAGAGACAGGGGTCTCAAACTCTTGGGCTCAAGAGATCTGCCCACCTTCGCCTCCCAAGGTGCTGGGATTATAGGCAAGAGCCACTGTGCCAGCCCTGTATCCTTTTTAGATGTCTCCATCATTGTTTCAGTGCTTCTTTGCTTTCTAGTATAAGAGTCCTAGACTCATCCTGTAATTTCTGTCTCAGGCTTTTCACCAGGGAGCCCTGGTACCTTATAGTAGAGAATGGTATTTAGCCAAGATCTGGGGCCGGGTGTGGTGGCTCACGCCTGTAATCCCAACACTTTGGGAGGTCGAGGCGGGCAGATCACAAGGTCAGGAGTTTGAGACCAGCCCGGACAAATGGTGAAACCCTGTCTCTACTAAAAATACAAAAAATTAGCTGGGCGTGGTGGCAGACGCCTGTAATCTCAGCTACTCAGGAGGCTGAAGCAGGTGAATTGCTTGAACCCAGGAGACAGATGTTTGCCACTGCACTCCAGCCTGGGTGACAGAGTGAGACTTCGTCTCAAAAAAAGGAACCCAAGATCTGGACGCTGGGTGTGCTCATTGAGAGGGGCGTGGGTGTCACTTCTCCAAGTCCCTCTCAATGGACAGAGCTGGGACAGAGCTTACATACACACTTAAATCTGTATTTATTTCTATATCTGCCTCTTTGTATTGAAAATCGTGAGTTCACACCAGTATCTACATTTTTGATCCAGCACCACAGAGTTCATTCTAGTTTTCTTCTTTCTATATTTGTAATTTTTTCTCCACCCGTGAGAATCTTGGCTCTCATTTTCCTTCACACGTTTACCTCTAGATCAGTCTCCTGTCACTGCTCCCGCTTCCACACTCAGTGCCCTTCTCACTTTGTTCAGTCTTGGGTTGCACTGGGTTGCTTTCCCCATCACCTACGATAAATGATGAATGCCCTCTGCATCCCAGCCTTGCCAGACACCCTGCCCTGGCCCTTCCTTCCTCAGCAATGCCCTCCTTGGGCCCTTCCTGGGCTCTGACTCTCCACACCGGGCTTCACTCCCACCCCATTGCTGCAGGTTCACGCTGTTGAGTCTCTGACGCTCTGGTACCAGGCCATACATGGATGTCCTCACCTTGCTCAGGCTCTGACACTCACACTGGGCAACCTTCCTACACAGATGCCCTCCTCAGGGTCGGACATCCTGCTCTGAAATACCAAGGGAGCCCCCAACCCTAGTGCAGATACCTAACCCCATTCTTCTCCACCTAATGGCATCAGGACTGAATTACTCAGGAAGGGAAGGGGAAGAATGAAGAAGAAGAAGCAGGACTTTTTTAATTTTCAAAAATCCAACCAGTGTGCTAATTGCTTTTATAAAAAAAAACAAACCAAAAACAAAATCAGTAGAAAGCTTTACCTGAAATTAGGCAGTAGCAGAAATGCACAACTAATATCTTCAGTGGCAACCTGGGTGACAGCAATCTGAGAGATTGAGAGAGAGAGAGAGAAGGAGGGAGGGAGGGAGGATGCTAAATAAGTGCTTGCCATAGTCTTTCTTTCAAAGGAGCTGCACCAGCTGTTCCAACGCAAGGAACCATACACAGCACTGTTAATTGTACAAATACTTCCATGGACTTGCTGGGATATAGACCCATAAGGCTAGAGAAGTGCAGCTATGGAGACCTAAGAATATTCCTTTCCACATACTTTTGAGTATTGCCATTGTGTTCCTGGCTCAATGCTGGCCCCACAAGGGATTCAAAGATGAATCAGACAGGGCCTCTTGTCTTGCAACTTGTATGCAGAGGATGGTCCTTTAAGGCCGCAAGTAACCAGTTCACCAAGAGGGGTGGAACCAAAGTGCCATAGGAAGCCAGAGGAGGAGCGGGAGAGACTACTCAGGAGGAAGGGGTTTCTTTTTTTGCGGGTTTTAATTTTTTTAGAGATGGGGTCTTTCTGTATTGCCCAGGCTGGTCTCAAATTCCTGGCCTCAAGCAATTCTCCCACCTTGGCCTCCCAAAGTGCTGGGATTACAGGTGTGAGCTACCACGCCAACCCTAATTTCGCCTTTTCTATGGGGCTGAATGTATTTTGCTGCACAAAACTTGTCTATGTGTTCACTGTCTCAGAAACATAGGATCTCTGGTGCTCAACAAGCTTCAGGGAAAACAACGCCATGAGAGAGAGAGAGAAAGAGAGAGACAGAGACAGAGATAAAGATGGACTAGGGGGAAGGGGGAGAAAGAGAGATGATCTCACAATTCCTAGCATGATAATTTCCCTAAACGAGATTTCTAAGATACTGCAGAAAAATAAAGCTACTGTATATAATGAGCAAAAAAGTTCAGGAAGGTTTTTATTTGTTTCCTTTCTTGAGACAGAGTCCCACTCTGTGGCCCAGGCTAGAGTGCAGTGGCAGGATCTTGGCTCACTGCAATCTCCATCTCCCAAGTTCAAGCAATTCTCCTGCCTCAGCCTCCCCAGTAGCTGGGATTACAGGTGTGCGCCACCACGCCCAGCTAAATTTTGTATTTTTACTAGAGACATGATTTTACCATGTTGGCCAGGCTGGTCTCGAATTCCTGACCTCAAATGATCCACCCACCTTGACCTCCCAAAGTGCTGGGATTACAGGTGTGAGCCACCATACTCGGCCTCAAGACAGTTTTTAAGAAGTGTGAATGAGGAGCCAAGATCATGCCACTACATTCCAGCCTAGGTGACAGAGCGAGACTCTGTCTCAAAAAAAAAAAAAAAAAGTGTGAATGAGAATGTTTTGAGATGGGAGTCTCACTGTGTTGCCTAGGGTGGTCTTGAACTCTTGGGCTTAAGCAATTCTCCCACCCCAGTCACCTAAGGTGCTGGGATTACAGGTGTGAGCCACCACACCCGGCCACATTTCTTTTCTTTTCCTTCTCTTTTCTCTTTTCTTTTCTTTCTTTCTTTCTTTTTTTTTTTTTTTTTTTAACAGAGTCTCGTTCTATCACCCAGGCTGGAGTGCAGTGGCACAATCTTGGCTCACTGCAACCTCCACCCACCAGGTTCAAGCGATCCTCCTGCCTCAGCCTCCCAAGTAGCTGGGGTTACAGGTGTGTACCACCATGACCAGCTAATTTTTGTATTTTTAGTAGAGATAGGGTTTCACCACGTTGGCCAGGCTGGTCTCAAACTCCTGACCTCAGGTGATCCACCCGCCTTGGCCTCCCAAAGTGCTGGAACTACAGGCATGAGCCACTGCACCCAGCCCACATTTATTTTCTTGAAGCTGATATTAGATAACTTGAGTTGACAACTGTGATTATTTAAGGCTGATCAGAAACCATGATTAGTATTAGTTGATGAAATTTTTATGGAAAATAATTGTTATTTAACAAATTAGGTTTGTTTCATAGATAAAGTCTTTTGAAATGTGGTATGCCCCAGGAAGGCTGTTCAGATATGACCTTCAGCGGTCACCACAGCACAGAGCACCAGGTCCCTCTACCTCATGTCCCCAGTGTCCGTGGTTGGGGTGTCTCGCTGTGCTAAGTCGGCATGCTTAAGCTTTGGGCCCAAGGTGACCTTAGTTCAAGGCCCAACACAGAGTCTTACTAGCTGGGCAGACCTGAGCAAACATTCATTTATGTAACTTTTCTGGGTCTCCATTTTCTCATTTATAAAATGGGGATAAGGCCAGGTGTGGTGGCTCATGCCTGTAACCCCAGCACTTTGGGAGGCCGAGGCAGGAGGATCGCTAGAGATCAGGAGTTTGAAACCAGCCTGGGCAACATGGCAAAACCCCGTCTTTTCAAAAAATACAAAAGTTAGCCGGGCGTGGTGGTGTGTGCCTGTGGTCCCAGCTACTTGGCAGGCTGAGGTGGGAGGATTGCTTGAATCAGAGAGGTTAAGGCTATTCAGTGAGCCAAGATTGCGCCACTGCACTCCAGCCTGGTAGAGAAAGTGAGACTTTGTCTCAAAAAAAAAGGATGGGGTGTAAATCATACCTCATTGGCTTGTTGTAAGGATTAAATGAGTTAATTCATGTTAAATGCTTAGAACAATGCTTTGTACAGAATGCTTGTGTTATTATTGGATCAAGCTAAGGGGTTCTATCTTATACTGGTGAAACTTAGAGACTGATATGTAAGCTAGATGCCAGTTTATTAATTCATCATTAGAAACGCAGCTGACAGGTGGCCTGAAAGTCCGTCTTCCTAAGTCAGCACATCCTCTGTGGGTGAGAAGTTACACCAGAAGCCGAGTCATACACCAAAGGAGCTACGCGAGAGTGGAATGCAGTTAGGGAACGAGAAGGAGCTCAGGGGCCGGTGGTGTCAAGCTCTGATGAACTGAGGCACCCAGGGCCTTGCCCAGTCCTGCTCGCAGGACAGTCACTAGATAGGGTCTGCCTCCTCCAAGGCAGGGCTGGGGATCCCGTGACCACAGCTCGCTCCGTCACACCCTTCCCCGTTGCAGGATCCGATCATACCTCACGTGTTCTTCCAATCACTGTGTTCTTCTTTGGCTTATTGTGCCCTAGTCAACCTGATGTTTCTTTGTTTGTTTTTTTTTTGAGATGGAGTCTCGCTCTGTCGCCCAGGCTGGAGTGCAGTGGTGCGATCTCAGCTCACTGCAAGCTCCACCTTCCAGGTTCACACCATTCTCCTGCCTCAGCCTCCTGAGTAGCTGGGACTACAGGTGCCCACCACCATGCCCGGCTAATTTTTTGTATTTTTTAGTAGAGACGGCGTTTCACCATGTTAGCCAGGATGGTCTCGATCTCCTGACCTCGTGATGCACCCGCCTCGGCCTCCCGAAGTGCTGGGATTACAGGCGTGAGCCACCACGCCCGGCCAACCTGATGGTTCTTAAATATGCCCCTAACCTGACACCACCAAACCACTGTTTACAATATCTTGAATGACTTCTACATCTCAACCACTATCTGTAGGTTCTCACTAGTTTTACTCTAATATAACTCTACTCCCAAGTTCTGGGTATGCTATACCTGTGTTCTCACTGCAGAGTTCATGGTGGAAGAAGAGTACTGGATCTTTGGTGGGAAGGAGGTTCAGAATGACCACACTTGGGCTGGTTGCGGTGGCTCATGCCTGTAATCCCAGCACTTTGGGAGGCTAAGATGGGTGGATCACCCGAGGTCAGGAGTTTGAGATCATCCTGGCCAACATGGTGAAACCCGTCTCTACTAAAAGCACAAAAATTAGCCAGTCGCGGTGGTGCACACCTATAATCCCAGCTATTTGGGAGGCTGAGGCAGGAGAATTGCTTGAACCTGGGAGGTGGAGGTTGCAGTGAGCTGAGATTGCATCACTGCACTCCAGCCTGGGCAAGAGAGCGAGACTCTGTCTCAAAAAAATAAAAATAAAAATAAAAGAATGACCACATTCAAGGGTCCTTAACAGTCAAGAAACACCTGGACCCTACACTGATGGAGAGTTACCAACCTGGAACAAGATAGAAAGAAGCAGAAGTACGTGTATGTGTGTGTGTGTGCATGTGTGTGCAGTGGGGGCAACCAAGGAGGGGTTTCTTCTGGGCCCAAGGAAACAAAGTTGGAGGCGAGGATACCTTTTCATTTTTGCTGAGGCACTATGACTAAATATGGCCATGCCTCGGTAACCATGGGGGATTGGTTCTAGGACCTCTTGCAGGTATCAAAATTTGTGGATGCTCAAGTCCCTGATATAAAATGGTATAGCATTTGCATATAACCTACGCACTTCCTCCCCCTCGTATACTTTAAATCATCTCTAGATTACTTATAATACCTAAGTAATACCTAGATTGTTCAAATTGTAAATGTTAGTAAATAGTTGTTATACTGTATCATTTAGGGAATAACAAGAAAAAAGTCTGTACATGTTCAGTACAGATGCCTCTTTTTTTGGAACATATATATGTGTATATACACACACACACACACACATATATATATATATTCGTTTTGTTTTGTTTTTTTGAGACTGAGTCTCGCACTGTCACCCGGGCTGAAGCATAATGGTGTGATCTCGGCTCACTGCAACCTCCGCCTCCTGGGTTCAAGCGATTCTCCTGTCTCAGCCTCCCGAGTCGCTGGGATTACAGGTATACACCACCATGCCTGGTTAATTTTTGTATTTTTAGTAGAGACAGGGTTTCCCCATGTTGGCCAGGCTGGTCTCGAACTCTCGACCTTGTGATCTGTCTGCCTTGGCCTCCCAAAGTGCTGGGATTACAGGTGTGAGCCACCTCGCCCAGACTTTTTCTGGAATATTTTCTATCCATGGTTGGTTGAATCCATGGATGTGAAATTTATGGATATGGAGGTCTGACCCTACAGTGGTTCTCAGCCACAGAACATTACAATCAATATCTCACTAAAAATCAACAAAGTAGTGAGGGGCTCAACAAATACTAATAGTCATCATAATGGCTAATACTTATTGAACTGCTAGAAACCATAATGAGAATTTTGCTTGCATTATCTTTTTTTAAAAAAATTATTTTTCTTTCTTTCAAATAGAGACGACAGGGTCTCGCCATGTTGCCCAGGCTTGTCCTGAACTCCTGGGCTCAAGCAATCTGCCTGCCTCAGCCTCCCAAAGTGCTGGGATTACAGGCGTGAGCCACTGTGCCTGGCCTGCTTGTATTGTCTTATTTAATATTCACCGTAATTCTTCAGTGCAGGGTCTATTATCATTCCCATTTTATAGAACAGGAAACTGAAGTGCAGAGAGGCTTAATTTGCCAAGGTCACACAACCAATACATAATAGAATCCAGACTCAAATGCAGTTCTTCCTGACTCCAGAGTGGGCTCCCTAATTTACAAGTTAAAAACAAATTAAATCAGATTCACTATCCCTCATTCTGGGTTCAAAATACTTCCTTAAAAGGACAGATGGGCATGCCCCTGGGTGTGCTCAAAGGCATGAGGGACATGAGAATGTCACCCATTGCATGAATAGCCCCACAGGGGGCTCAAAACAAATTTGAGACCAGTTGACCTGGATGTAAAAAGGCTGGGACCCAGATACTTGGGTTCTTGCCCCATCTCTGTGCACACAGGTATTTAAACCAAGCAAAACAACATCTTTCTGCCCCAAACTCCTCTTGTTGTTGTATTTTGAGATGGAGTCTCGCTCTGTCACCAAAGCTGGAGTGCAGTGGTGCGATCTTGGCTCACTGAAACCTCTGCCTCCCAGGTTCAAGCGATTCTCATGCCTCAGCCTCCCAAGTAGCTGAGATTACAGGCGCCCGCCGCCACGCCTGGCTTTTGAGAGGACCAAAAGAAAAGGTTCAGAGGCCGGGCGTGGTGGCTCACGCCTGTAATCCCAGCACTTTGGGAAGCTGAGGCAGGTGGATCACTTAAGCAAAGGAGTTTGAGACCAGCCTAGCCAACATAGCGAAATCCCGTCTCCACTAAAAATTAAAAAAAGCCAGGTGTGGTGGTGCACACCTATAGTCCCAGCTACCTGGGAGGCTGAGGCATGAGAATCGCTTGAATCCAGGAGATGAAGGTTGCAGTGAGCTGAGATCGAGCCACTATACTCCAGCCAGCCTGAGCAACATAATGAGACTGTCTTAAAAAAAAAAAAAAAATTTGGGAAAGCATTCCCCAGTGTTAAAAATGCTGTAGTATGGGCTGATGAATATTTATTCTAATTTAGGGTTTCACAGGTTTCTCTATATACAGTAAAACAGAAATCACTTCCAAACTACGTATTTATTTAACATAAAGAAAAAAGAAACCTAGAATTACTGACAGGGCATGATCTATACATATTATTAGAACAGGCTTCAATTGCATGGTGATTTCTGCCTCACGCCATGGGAATCAGTGGGTGCCAGGCAGAGCCTCATGTGGCACTTCTATGTGCACGCTTTTTTTTTTCCCTCACATCTGAGCAGCCAGAGTGCATGCTTACTATTTTTATTTTTATTTTTTGAGACAGAGTTTCGCTCTTGTCACCCAGGCTGGAGAGCAGTGGCACGATCTTGGCTCACTGCAACCTCGGTCTCCCGGGTTCAAGCGATTCTCCTGCCTCAGCCTCCTGAGTAGCTGGGATTATAGGTGCCCGCCACCATGCCCAGTTAATTTTTTATATTTTTAATAGAGACATAGTTTCACCATGTTGGCCAGGCTGGTCTCGAACTCCTAACCTCAAGTGATCTGCCCGCCTCGGCCTCCCAAAGTGCTGAGATTACAGGCGTGAGCCTGGCCTTATTTTTTAGAGACAGACTTGCTCTGTTGCCCAGGCTGGATGAGGTGATGAGATCATAGCTCACTGCAGCCTTGGGCTCAAGTGGTCCTCCTGCCCCTGCCTCTTGAATAGCTGGGACTGCAGTTCTGCACCACCACATCCAGCTACGCGCATGCTTTCTGATGCCTGGTTCAGCAGACATGGAGGCTATGGGGGCTGTCTTGGGGTGATCATCGTGAGGATGGCCTGGAATATTTATGTGCATGTGTGTAAGCATGTGTCTCAAGGAGGCTCCAGGCTGCTGACCCCAGAGCCAGCTCTCTCCTTATGAAATAACACCTCTTAGATCCATAAGACTTTACAAAAATTTTTATTCTGTTTACACAGGACCTTGTCTCATTCAATCCTTCCAATTACCAAAAGAAGCAGGCAAGACAAACTGTTACACCCATTTTATGGGTTAGAATGATTTACTCCAAGAGAGATGCACTTGCCTAAGACCATCAGCTGTAGAGCTGGGCTAATCCCAGTGCATGACTCTTCCATGAATTGTGTGTTAATTATTTATTTATTGAGAGAGGGTCTTGCTCTGTCCCCCAGGCTGTAGTACAGTGGCATGATCACAGCTCACTGCAGCCTCAACCACCTGGGCTGAAGTGATCCTCCCACCTCAGCCCCACAAGTAACTGGGACTACATGCACACACCACCACATCTGGCTAATTTTTGTATTTTTTTTAGAGACGAGGTTTTGCCATGTTGCCCAGGCTGGTTTTGAACTCCTGGGCTCAAGTGATCTGCTCATCTTGGCCTTCCAAAGTGCTGGGATTACAGGTGTGAGCCACCGTGCCCAGCCCCATTTATTTCACGAACAACTAACTACTCACTGACCACCTAGCATGTGTCAGCCACTGTCCCAGGAACTTCTACTCACCGGCTTGCTCTCCTGAGAGAAGTGTGTTCAAGGCCCCTGCCCCTGCCACTAAGGATGAGTTTTAAGTGATGGAATTAACAAGCCACGACTCTACTGCACATTAAAAGGCAGGTGGCAGCACAGTGTGGCAGTTAAGAGCTGTGCTCCTCGGCCGGCCGCAGTGGCTCATGCCTGTAATCCCAGCACTCTGGGAAGCCAAGGCAAGCGGATCACCTGAGGTCAGGAGTTCGAGATCAGCCTAGCCAATATGGTGAATCCCTGTCTCTACTAAAAATACAAAAATTAGCTGGGTGTGGTGGCACACGCCTGTAGTCCCAGCTACTCGGGGGGCTAAGGAAGGAGAATCGCTTGAACCCAGGAGGTGGAGGTTGCAGTGAGCCGAGATCTCACCATTGCACTCCAGCCTGGGCAACACAGTGAGACTCTGTCTTGAGAAAAAAAAAAAAAAAAAAAAAGTCGGCCGGGCGCAGTGGTTCACGCCTGTAATCCCAGCACTTTGGGAGGCCGAGGTGGGTGGATCACGAGGTCAGGAGATCGAGACAATCCTGGCTAACACGATGAAACCTCATCTCTACTAAAAATACAAAAAATTAGCCAGGCGTGGTGGTGGGCGCCTGTAGTCCCAGCTACTTGGGAGGCTGAGGCAGGAGAATGGCATGAACCCGTGAGGCAGAGCTTGCAGTGAGCAGAGATCGCGCCACTGCACTCCAGCCTGGGCAACAAAGCGAGACTCCGTCTCAAAAAAAAAAAAAAAAACATACACATACACACACAAAAAGTCAGCTGGGGGTGGTGGCACACGCCTGTAATCCCAACTACTGGGGAGGGTGAGGCAGGAGAATCCCTTGAACCTGGGAGGTGGAGGTTGCAGTGAGCCAAGATTGAGCTACTGCACCTCCAGCCTAGGCAACAGCGAGACTCTGTCTCTCTCTCCTACACACACACACACACACACACACACACACACACACACACACAAACACAAAGAAAAAAGAAAAAAAGAAAAACAAAAGAGCTGTGCTCCAGAGTCAGACTGTCCTTGAGTCCCAGCCCTGCCATCCAGTATGTCAATTCCCTGTATTTCCTCATGCACAAAACAAGGGTATAATTATGCCAGTCATATAGGGCTGTTGTAAGGATTGACTGAGTTAATATAGGTAACGCAATTACAACCCTGCCACTACACAGTAAGAGCCCAGCAAATATGAACTGCTACAATTTTAAAGTTCCTTAGCATTGTCTTGAAACAAGGGGAAGTTAAAACAAAACAAAAAAAAAGTCCCTGGCCGAGCATGGTGGCTCACACTGGTATTTCCAGCACCATGGGAGGACAAGGCAAGCGGATCACTCGAGGCTAGGATTTCAAGACCAGCCTAGGCAACATAGCGAGAACCTGTCTCTACAAAAAAATTTAAAAATTAGCAGGGCGTGATGGTGCGTGCCTGTGGTCCCAGCTACTGGAGAGTCTGAGGCTGCAGTGAGCTAGAATTTTGCCACCACACTCCAGCCAGAGCCACAGAGTCAGATCCTGTCTCAAAAGAAAAAGGCTCTTTTAAGGTTGGGCGCGGTGGCTGACACCTGTAATCCCAGCACTTTGGGAGGCCAAGGCGGGCAGATCACCTGAGGTCAGGAGTTTGAGACCAGCCTGGCCAACATGGTGAAACTCTGTCTCTACTAAAAATACAAAAATTAGCCAGGCGTGGTGGCAGGTGCCTGTAATCCCAGCTACTCAGGAGGTTGAGGTGGGAGAATCTCTTGAACCTGGGAGACAGAGGTTGCAGTGAACTGAGATCGCGCCACTGCACTCCACTCTGGGTGACAGAGTGAGACTCCGTCTCAAAAAACAAACAAAAAAAGTCCTCTCCCAAGGCCATGCTCCTGGTGGCAGCTGGCACCCAAAGGCTGAGCACTTGAGCAGAATGGAAGCCTGACCACCTGCCCTGACTTAGAACAACTCTGCCGGGCTAAGCTGGCGGAGGCGCACACTGGGCTTGCATTGCTGCTCAACCTCTCCCTCTGCTCCAGTCTGTCACCTGGGCCTGCTTTCCTGGGTGTTGATCCCAGGAGCAACCACAATAAATGCCCTGCATGTTGGCCTCTCCAAGCCGCTTCCCAAGGAACCCAACCTGTGACAGGCACAGCAGATGCAGAGATGACTAAGCCACAGTCTGGCCTTCAAGAATGTCAAGGCCAAGTGGGAACTGCGATCTCATGCAGCTCGCTGGGGTTAGCACAAAGTGCAATGAAGCCTGGTTGGAGGGGCTGGAATTGAGGGAGTCCAGGCCCTACTGGGGACCAGCCAGGTTGCCCACGAAGGTGTTGGTGAGTGTGGTCTGGCCAGGAGAAACAGGGAGCCCAGGATTTCACTGAAGAATCTGTGGACTGAGGCCTAATGTCAGCAGAGCAGCTCCAGAGTCAGCAGCTGTGGAAAGACAGCCCCCCAGCTAAGTGGGGTTTGGGAGTGAAGAGGAGGCTGCCGTGATGCGCAGTCCAGAGTGAGCAGGAGTGACCTCCCACTCTTCCACGCCAGGTTCCTCTCTCTCCCTTCTCTGTCCTGTGCTTTCCGAAATGGAGCTGGCTGACACCACGTTTTCCATCCTTCAAACCAACTATCTTCTGCTGACTCCCCTCTCACCTCCAAAAGCTAGGCCTTTCTCAGGGGCTCCAGTTCCTTGATCCCGCCTCTCTGAAGTCCTGCAGCACCGGCCCGTATTGCCATACATGCAGGCTGCTCACACGACTTTCATGGAATCATAAAATTGGAAGCCACCCCGGAGGCCCATCTAGTGCTGCCTCCTACCTCAGGGAGGGCCCTTCTCTACAGCCTGTCAGGGCCGAACAGTCCCACTGACTGGGAACTCTCAGAAGACAGCCTGAGCTAGTCACTTTCCTTCCTTTGAGCCCAAACTGATCTATCTCTGGAGTCACTGATTGAAATATCACTTCTTTTCCCATATGATAGTCCTTCAAATCAGATGGTCACACAAGAGTCACTTTTTTGAGTGCTGATACATTGTTCTTGTCAGCAAATCCTCATAACAATCCTATAAAGAAACCAAGAAGGTGCTCAGAAAGGTTGAGGAATTTGCTGTGGCTACCTTCTGCTACCAGCTGTGGTTATTTCTGCTACCAGCAACAGAGCTGAGATCTGATATTCGACTCCAACTCCAGTGCTCTTGAAGCACAAAAGCAGATTTGGCATCACAGAACCCTCCAGATGCATTCCCAAGGACTCTAAGGAGTTGAGAGAACTCCTCTAGGGTTCACTATTGGTGAGGGGCTCAGAGGCTGGAAGCCTGGCAAGTAGGCAGGCATGATCCTATAACGGATGGCTCCCTGATACACCCACCTGCAGGTCTGAAGTTGGAAGAGAATTATGAGGGCTGTGAGCAAGCTCTCTGGAGTGCTGAGCTAAGGGTGCCCATGGCCACAGACATGGGAGGAAGGATGCCAAGGAGGCAGGCACATTAGTCGTCCTTCTGCCAGCTTCACCAGTCCACAGAGCCTTGCTGTCTTTATCTTCTTTAACCCCCGAAACAGGGCTCTCTCCCCGGCGACCCATACCATGCTACCCTCAGCAGCTCAGAGTTAAGATTCTTTGGTCAAGCTTTTTTTTTTTTTTTCTTGAGAAGAAGTCTCGCTCTGTCGCCCAGGCTGAGTGCAATGGCACGATCTCAGCTTACTGCAACTTCCGCCTCCCAGGTTCAAGCTATTCTCCTGCCTCAGCCTCTTGAGTAGCTGGGACTACAGGCATGTGCCACCACACCTGGCTAATTTTTGTATTTTTAGTAGAGACGGGGCCTCCCTATGTTGGCCTGGCTGGTCTTGAACTCCTGACCTCAGGTGACCTGCCCACCTTGGCCTCCTAAAGTGCTGGGATTACAGGCGTGAGCCACTGCTCCTGGCCTGGTCGAGCTTTTTGACTACAATCTGCATGAAGGCGGCAAGTTCTTTCTGCTGACTTTGTTGTCACTGAGAGCAACGCAATATGTCTGTTTTATTTTTTTCTTTTGAGAGAAGTGGTCTTGCTAAGTTTCCCAGGCTGGCCGCAAACCCCTGGGCTCAAGCAATCCTCCCACCTTGGCCTCCCCAACAGCTGGGACTACAGGTGCGTACCACTGTGCTCAGCTCAAATGTCTCTATTTTAACGTCCTCTGCATAACAATGACATATAACAGCTAACTCCTCAAGAAATAATATTTATAAATGATACTACCTGTGTTCAACATCTCTCCCCTCTTAAAGATTGCTTCATTTGAAAAGAAAGTGTTCTATGCCTTCCTGTTAGACCCTGTCCTAAATTCCCTATTTCCCAGGCCCCTCCTATATGGTTAGAGGAAATATAAAGAACATGCAATCACCCAAGCAAAGTGAGGACAAAGATGGTTTCTCTTCAGTGCTGAGTCTAGAGAGCAGAGAAGCAGGGCAAGCCGGAGCCAGATATGACTGGAGAAAGCAGCTGGCCACGTGTGAGGCCAGGTTACACAATCAGTTCAACTGCCCATCAGTGGGGGCTGTGACGACAGAACCCAAGACCCCTTCAGCTGAGGCTGAGCCCAGGCTAGGGCTAACAGCACCGCAATGATGCCAATACACTGCCCTTCATTCCACTGGCTCAGCCCACCCCAAGGTCAGGCAGGCAGATGACCTCCATGCCCCAGTAGCTTGACAATGTCTCTTCTAGAGGCAAGGCTGGTGCTGCTATTGCTTCCTACACGTGAGGGATACAAGTGCCATAGGAAAACGCCAATCCGAGAGTCCACAGCCCTCAGTAGGAGGCAACCACTGCCCAGGGAGCAGCAGACATGAGGCAAAGGAGACGCGGGGAGAGATTTAATTTACATAGCAGCCACTTGGGGTCCAGTCAGAGCTGGGGCAGTGGGGGAATCTATAACCCCAGAGGGTACCCCCCAGACCCCCACCCCCGGGAGACCAGTCCTCACCAACCCTTGGATGGGCTCCCAAGGTTGTGCAGAAGATGCTCCAGTCAAAAGGATAGAGACATTTGGGAATAAGGCTGTCCCCAAGTTGGGGGAAGTCCACGGCCTGGAGTGGTGGCCTACATGGTGGCCCAGGGGTCTGAGAGACCAGTCCATGTCCTGGGCGAGTCCTCAGCCTGGTGGCCCTAGAGGAAGCCTTCGCGGCGGAACTGTTCCTGGAGGAGGGCGCGGTACTGGTCAAATCCTCCTTCCACACGGGTGACGCCGCCTCCTTCGCATACCCACAACTCCCGGCACACCAGCCTGATAAAGCGCTCATCGTGGGACACCAGAATCACACCACCCTGAAAGACAGGAGGGCAGGAGGTGCTCAGGGGGACACAAGAGGCACCGAGGCCTGGGAGGAGTGGTCAGGGTGAAGGCACACTCACCCTGAAATTGTTGAGGGCACGGCCCAGAGCCTCAATGGTCTCCATGTCCAGGTGGTTTGTGGGTTCATCCAGAATGTAGAAGTTGGGGCTGGAAGGCAGAACCAGGAAGGTGGGCAGTGAAGGGGTGCGGTGAGAGAAAATAAAGCCTTCTGATACAGTTTTCTACTGGGCAAGAAGGGGAAATGGGAGGGGAAGAGCTCTGGAAAATGAGGCCTCACCAGGGCATAGTCATCTGAGCAAAGGCCACTCGGCTCTTCTGGCCCCCAGACAGGCTGGCAAGAGGACGCATGGCCAGTTCTCCGGAGATGCCATACCGACCCAGCTGGTGACGGTACTCCTCCTCAGGCCGCCCTGGAAAAGGACTCCCCAGATCAGGTGGCTTCTTGGCCCAACACCCTCCCTGTGCCCTCCAGCCACACCTCCAAGTCCCCATGTCCTTCCATCTAGGCTTGGCGGGGCTGCTCTGCACGCACCCCAAGGCAGGCCTAGCTGCCGGGGTCAGCCTCAGCCCTCTTCCCTACTCAAACTCTTCCCCCGACTCAAATCCCTAACTCACCAGGAAACTTGCGTGCCAGCAGTTCCACAGCACTGACGTTTAGGTCCAGCTGCTCCACATGGTGCTGGCTGAAATAGCCAATCTTCAGATTCCTGCAGGCAGAAGCCGAGGTGGAAAAACAGACAAAGGCAATGGCCACGAAGGAGCGCAGGCAGCATGGGTGCCTGCAAATGTGCTCATGGGGGCAGGGGTGCGGGTGGGCCTGACCTGTGAGCGTGTCTGATGCCCCGAACAGGTGCCAGGTCCCCCAAAAGCAGCTTCAGCATGGTAGACTTCCCAGCCCCATTCTCTCCAACCTTAAGAAACATGAAAATGTCATACAGTGTGTGCCAGAAAAATAAATACGGTATGTTCTCATTCATATGTGGGCACTAAAAAGTGTTGAGCACATAGAAGTAGAGAGCAGAGTTGTGGTTACTAGAGGCTGGGAAGGATAAGGGGGGAGGAGGGGAATTGAGAGAGGGGTTCGGGAGAGGTTGGTTAACTGAAACAAAATTGCAGTTAGATAGGAGGAATGGAGGAATAAGTTCTAGGGTTCTACAGCACTGCAGGGACGCTACAGTTCACAATGATAGACTGTACATTTTCAAAAAGCTAGAAGATTCTGAATGTTCCCAACATAAAGTGATAAATGTTTATGATGAATATGCTAATTACCCTGATTTGATCATTACACATTGTATACATGCATGGAAGTATCACTCTGTACCCCATAAATATGTACAATTATGTATCAATAAAAAGAGCACCGCTGTGTGTAACACAGAGGAGAAGGAAATTAGAAGGGGTCCCAGGCAGTCCCCAGTCCCGATGACTCCTTCAACAACCAAAAAAATATTTTTAAGGACTCTAGCCGGGCACGGTGGCTCAGGCCTGTATTCCCAGCACTTTGGGAGGCTGAGGCAGGCAGATCATTTGAGGTCAGGAGTTTGAGACCAGCCTGGCCAATATGGTAAAACCCCATCTCTACTAAAAATGCAAAAAATTAGCTGGGCATGGTGGCGGGTGCCTGTAATCTCAGCTACTTGTGGGGCTGAGGGAGAACTGTTTGAACCCGGGAGGCGAAAGCTGCGGTGAGCCAAGATTGTGCCATTGCACTCCAGCCGGGGCAACAGGGCAGGACTCTGTCTCCGAAAAAAAAAAAAAAGGAACTCTAACTCTACAGAAAAATGCATATACTAAGGTGAGCAATACTTGAGTATTTGCTAAGTGCTGGGGACTTACTTTTCCCAAGAACCAAGTGAGGTAGATGTCAGCGCCATCTTAAGAGTTAGGAAGCTGCTTGGTAACCAAGCTAGGAAATGGCATAGTCAAGATCCGAAGTCTGACCCTGAAGCCCATGCTCTCTCCTCAATGTCTCCAGGTTTAGAAAACTCAGAACCGAGACCAATAAGGTAAAGCACTGCTTTAAGTATTTTTAAGTATTTTTAAAACACTATACACTAGGCTCTTCCTCCCTGAAGAGCAGCGCTGTGCGGCCAGAGGACAGGGCTAGTGTAAGTCCTGCAAAATCCTTAGCCCGGGCCCTCACTCCTGTTCCACAGACCTCGTCCCTTTACAGCCTGAGGATCTGGGCCAATCCACACCACACACTTAGACAGGAGAGTCCCAGCTCGCAGCACAGAGAAACAGCAGCCTTACCACACAGATGCGAGACTCGAGATCAGCAGACACAGAGAGGCGACTGAAGATGACGTGCTTCGGATCGTAGTAGAAATCCACCTCATCTAGCTGCAGAATTGGCGGCGAGAACTTCTCAAACCCATCAGGGAACCTGCAGGAGGTAGGGGTGAGGATGTGGGGGCAGCTGGAAGCAAGCAATTCCCCACCAGCCCCACTGGCCCAGCACTTACTTCATTACGACCTCTGATTCCTTGTCCACAGGCTTCAGCTCAGGCCTGGGAGAAGAGATGAGGTAGACTAGATTTATTACTTAAAAAAATAACTTCCTACACGAGTAATATATGTTCAGAGAAAACTTAGAAAGGGCTTGTACTCCTACCACTCAGGTATCATTACTTTAGAGTCCATTCTTCTCATTTACTGTATGCTAAAAAATAGAATTAGGCTTTTTGTGACTTTTTATCCCCAGTTACTATATTGTGATATGTTTCCACGTCGCAAACATCTAAGCTTTATGATTTTAAGCTTCCTGCCAGCACTTATAGAAAGGGCACTTCAAAATTAAACTCCCAATGCACATTATCATTAGTTATTAAGGCAATGCAAATCAAAACCACAATGAGCTATCACTTCACAGCCACTAGGATGGCTAAAACTAAAAAAAAAAAAGTCAATAACAGTGCTGCCAAAGACATGGAGAAATTGGAACTCTCATCCCTTGTTGGTAGGAATGTAAAATGATGTTGTTGCTTTAGAAAACAGTTTGACAGTTCCTCAAAACATTAATTTGGAATTACCAGGTAACCCAGCAATTCTGCGCCTAGGTATACACCCAAGCAAGCTGAAAACATATGTCCACACAAAAATTTGTACACCAATGTTCACAGCAACATTATTCATAATAACCAAAATGGAAACAACCCAAATGGCCCCTCATGACTCAATAAACAAAATGCTGTATATCCACACAACAGAATATTATCCAGCCACGAAAAGAAATGAAGCTCTGACGCACGCTACAATATGGATGAGCCTCACACATGACGCCAGGTAAAAGACACCAGGCACAAAGGTCATATTGTATGATTCCATTTATATGAAATGCCCAGAATAAGCAGATACGTAGAAGCAGAAACAGAAAGTAAATTAGTGGTTGCCATGTGCTAGTCAAGATTAGCCCTCCAAGAACAGTGTGGAATACTCTGCTTCCCAGCAGAGGAGGAAGTCACAGTTGGCTTCTAGCGAAGGGGAGACCTAGAATGGTAGGGCAAGGGTGGCGTGCAAATGCGGAAGGAGACGAAGAGAACAGGAGTCAGGCCCTGGCCAAGGATGCTGTACTCACAGCTTCTCCAGCATCTTGAGTTTACTCTGCACTTGAGAGGCCCTGTTGGCATTGTAGCGAAACCGGTCAATGAAAACCTGCAGGTGGAGGAGTGTAGGCATTGGTCAAATTCCCCCACTATCCCCCACTCTGGAACCCCTGGGATGGGACCCCCAGCCCTGCCAGGCCCCACACCTGGATGTGCTGGCGATACTGCTGCTGCGCCTCATATTCACGCTGCTGGTTGAGCAGCCGCTCCTGCTTACTCTTGATGAAGGTCTCAAAGTCTCCCCGGTAACCATCTAGCCGCTGGCTGTGCAGGTGGATGATGTCTGTGGCGATGGCATTCAAGAAGTTGCGGTCGTGGGAGACGACTAGGATGGTGGAGGGCCACGTCTGAGGGGTCACAGGACAGCAGGCCCGGTTTGGGAGGGCAGTCAGTTCTCAGGCCCCCAGGTATCTTGGAGGCCGCCTTTCCCCAACACACTCCAGCACCCACAGGCACTCACCTGCAGGTAATTCTCCAGCCACAGGATGGCCCTGACATCCAGCATGTTTGTAGGTTCTGGAGAAGCAGGGGAGCACACACTTGGGATTGAAGGGCTGGAGAACTAGGAACTTGGATGCTACCACCCCTGCCCATCCTAAAGTCAGGGTGCCCCATTTCAAACTCACCATCTAACAGCAGAAGATCTGGCCTATGAAAAACAATACATGGCCTGAGGTTTTAGGTCAGCAACTCATGCCACCTCCCAAGAGCTAAGACCAATCTTCCATAGGGCTTCATACACTGGCCCAGGAGACTCACCTAGCAAAGAGGGCCCGGGCCAGGGCCAGCCTCATCCTCCAGCCACCTGAGAACTCCCTAAAGAATGATGGAGTCACATTATGGGTGGGTGTTCATCAGGGCAGGAAGGGGCTGAGACAACAGGGTTCAAAGCCAAGAATGGCAAGGGTCACTCACCGGGTGGGCTGCTGCTGCATTTTAGGGGTAAAGCCAAGCCCAGCGAGAATGACTGATGCCCTAGTAGAGAAGAAATCGAAGAACTCAGTTGGAACAGTCCACAGAAGGGAAAGGAAATCTGAAGGAGGGAGGGGGAGCTTTAAATACCTGGCAGGTGCCTTGTCAGCCTCAATCTCCTCCAGTTTGGCATAGATTTCTGCCAGCTCTGCAGCTTCAGAGCCCTCCGCCCTGGAGGGAGGAGAAACAGCAATTGGCCTAAGCAGGGGCAGTCTAGGAGGATGTCCTGCACCCTATACCGTTGGAAAGGCCATTGGCTACCTTGTGGCTGGAAGAGGAAGAGAATACAGGAAGGGTTTGCACAGTGCTCATTACCTTGGGCACTATGGAAATGGGCACTGTGGAAAGAACAAGAAAGGGCAATGGGCACTGTGGAAAGAACAAGGGCTTCTGAGTCCCAGAGTGCCAAGTTCTAAGCTCTGCTGATTACTAGGATGTACATGCAAATTATGGATTGTTCCAGGACGGCAGGCGCTCTGTAAGCGACAGCGGCTGCTAGTTACTCCCTAGCCGGGAGTCCTCACCTGCCAGCAGCAATCTGGGCAGTGAGCTCCCGCTCCCTCCGTAGCAAATCCTCTCGCACACTGTCACTCTCCAGCACACTCTGCAGGGCAGGAGTGTCATCTCCAGCAACCTCTTGCTCAACGTGCAGCAGGGAAATGTGGGCTGGAACCCGCAGACTCCGGGTGGCCAGCATCTTCAGTAACGTTGTCTTCCCCAACCCATTCCGCCCCACCAGCCCGTAACGGCGGCCCCATGCCAGGTTCACATCCGCTCCAGCCAGCAGTACTCTGCAGGAGTGGAGAAAGGAGACCAAAGATGCTCTAGAAATAGGTGCACAGCAAGTTTAATGACAAACCTAACATTGTTTATAGCCCCGTTTCACCTCTCCAAATTGTCCTCTAATTAGAAAAAGAAAGCCAACCCCTGCCACCACTATTCCCTCACCTATCGCCAAAAGACACATCAAAGTTCTCAATTCGCACATCATAGGATTTGTTCTTGCCAGATGATTCCAACCGACTCTCCTTTCTGCTGCCTGCCTGGCTGGCTGATGCCTCTTCTAAGACTCTTTAAAGGGAGAAATGGACAGCTCTTAGTGCTCCCCACCACCTTCTGTCCAGGCAAAAGCTGCTCTGCTCTCTTCTGAGCCATGCTTCCCCCACTCACAGAGGGTTGCTGGTCTTGAGCGTGTCCTTCTCTGAGCGCTTCTCCTGCTTTGCCTTAAGTCGAGCCTCGGCCTTCTCTAACTTCTTTGCATTCACTGTCTAAGGGTCCAAACACATCGACTTCACTCTCGGGTGTAGGCTCAGAAAGGAACCCCAAGAGAGAACATCTCGAGTAAACCCTCTTAACTTACCCATGATGAACAGACTCAAAGGCTCAGGAAAAGACATAGTCAGAAATCCCCCCAAAAGATACTCCAATTAGACAGTCAACTCCCAACCCCATCACAGACAGTCCCCTCCCTTGCTTCCTCCTCCTCACCGAGGACTGTTCCCTCTTTAGCAGTCCTGGAAGTTTGGTTCCACAGTCTGTAAGCGATAAGAAAAGCAGTCACCTTCTCCCTGAGGGAAGGGAAACTAACATTTTGAGTGACTAATAGGAACCAGGCACAGACACAGATGTTTTCTACAAAACCTTATAATACTGCAGATAGATGGCTATTATCTTCCCTGCACTAAAAACAAAACAAAACAAAACAAAACAAAACTCACGTAGAAGGATACAGAGGCATAGACAAGGCTGGGGACAGATAACCAACTCTTACAAGATCATGCAGCTGGTTAGCAAGTTGCAAAACTGGGGGTGAAAGCAAGTCTGTCCAGCTCCAGGCTCTTATGCTTCCTATCCTACCCAAGAGCTTGGAGGGAGAACCCTCCAACCTCCTCCCCACCCCCATCATGGGCTCTTCTGCCCTCGGTAAAGACATCAACTAGCTCCTACAACCTTGTCCTGTGGAAAAGACGTAGGAGCCCTAAGCTGCAGGCAGCAGATGGTTGGGGGCGGAGAAAAGCACAGGGGGGCAGTTAGTTCAACCTCCCCTCACTCTCACCGTAGTTCTCCGTTATCTTTGACAACTGGATAGGGGCGTCCAGTAGCACCTGGCTATTTCCCTGGCTTTGTGGCTCAGCCCTATGTGGGTAGGGATAGAAAGCGCAGAGTTAGGAGTTGAGGGAAAAGCTCTATGGCCATCAGATCTTCCTCCCCCACCTCTTGTCTCCGGACCGTTCGCCGTCCCTTCGCCCCCATCAACCCCTACTCCCTGGCACATACAGACGCAGAGTGTTGTACATGCGCTGGCACACGGCCCTGATGCCCGCGTCATCCTTGCTGTCCCCGGACACCTCTTGCAATAGTTCCCCTACAGCTTCCACCAGGTCATCCACAGACTCGAAGTCCGCGCTGCCGCTGTGCAAGACGCCTGGGCAGGGCGTGGTAGAACGAGGAAGGTATCGGGTAGGGTGGACACACAAGCAGTTTCAGACCCCAGACAGAGGCCCCAGTCCAGGCTCCAGACCCAACCAGCCCCCGGGACAAGAGGTCATGCAGAGGAGAGGCCTGGCAACAGTCCCGGGCACGACGCTCGCTTAGACTTTCCCCCGGCCTCCACTTCGGTCTCCCCAGCCGGCCGATTCAGTTCTGCTTACCGGTCACGTAGTCGAAGACTTGTCCGTCAATTTCGGGGAACTCGCTCCGCAGGATTTCGGCGCAAGTCGCCATGTTCCACTCAGGAACCCGTCCGCGCAGTCGCTGTGAGACCCCGGCCTAGGCCCGCCCCCCGCCCTGCCCCCGAAATCTCGCCCTTCCTTGCAAGGCGCATGTGTAGCGGTGACGCAGGAAAGGAGCGGAGTGCGCAGAGCCCGGTGGGCGGGGCGAGCGGGGCCTTGAGGAGAGGCGCCGAGTCTGCGCCGGAGCCGCGCTCTCTGCGCGTGCGCGACACCTTTTCCGCTGAAAGATTAGCCACATGTGCGGTTCTCGCTGCCTTCTGGGAGGTGGAGTTCCGGGAGCGAGGGGTGGGGCAAAGGCTGGGAGCTCAAGGTTTATCGGGGCCGCGAGGCACCCGTGGTCTGGCGGGTGGGAGCCTCCCAAGAGGCAGGCGGCTGATAAAGCACTTTGGCTTTGCCAGGTTTTATGCGCTCCCTCGAGGCGCGTCTGCTGCTGGTGCGTACCCAGTCAGGCCCATTTTGGAGCCTGCCCAGAGCTTTGCTGACTCACCCCGGTCCCTGACTCTCAGAAGCCCCCTGCTCAGTGCTTTGCTTTCGCGGGTCCCCAGACCCTACGGGCTTCTCAGCCTGGTGGCCAGCGCCACCCGCCTCCCCGCCGCGACCGCCTTTTCACTGTGTAATTCAGCCGACCTTTGTGAATTAAGCCCATTCAGTTCTTCCACCACCCCAGGGCACGACCAAATCCACCGCCAAAGGGCAAGAAAACCAGGACAACGTGGCCTGTATAAATTATTCCCTACCTACACCCTGAGCAGACTTCTCTGCACTCAATAAATGCCAATAAAAGGCTATTTCCTTTCACCGATTCCCTCGGGAAGTTAGGAATTTCCTCCAAAATGATGCTACTGCTTTATATTTAACGTGAATATTCCTCCAATTGGTCTCTAAAAGTGGCACCGAAAATTACATTATTACCCATTCATCCCTTTGGATTAAACATTGCCATCATGAGGCATCAATCCCGATATTGAACCATTTTACAGGAAATACAGGTAAAGAGGAATATGTTAAGTGACTTCATGGGGACAACAGGCAAATTCTGATGTGGTAAACTACAGAACTCTGGTTTCTTCCACAAAATTGCAAGACCTGAAGGGAAACATCAATTTTTAAAATTTGAGGAGCATTAACCAACCACAATGGACCTTATCTGGAAAAATTTGATAAGACACCTGGTTAAGTGAACACAAACTGGATGTGATATTAAGGAACTGGCCACGCATTGATCATAGTTGAAGCTGGGTGATGAGACATGGAGATTCATTATATTCTTTTTTTTTTTTTTTTTAATTTGAGAAGGAGTTTCGCTCTTGTTGCCCAGGCTGGAGTACAGTGGCGTGATCTTGGCTCACCGCAGCCTCCACCTCCTGGGTTCGAGCGATTCTCCTGCCTCAGCCCCCGAATAGCTGGGATTACCGGCATGCACCACCACGCCCGGCTAATTTTGTAATTTTAGTAGAGACGAGGTTTCCCCATGTTGGTCAGGCTGGTCTCGAATTCCGGACCTCGGGTGATCCACCCGTCTCGGCCTCCCAGAGTGCTGGGATTACAGTGTGAGCCACCGCGCCCAGTCCATTATGTTATTCTCCTTGCAAATCTTTCCTCCTACCACCCAGTCAGCAAGATTTGGGAAGCTTGGGTAAATGATGGAATTAAAAGGTCAATTTCTTAGGATGGCTACAAGACCAAATGTAAACTTCACACTTAATTTATGCTTAATCTAATTAGAAAACATCTGCCTAAGAATTAGAGAAAGAGCTGGGTGCTGTGGTGGTGCGTGCTTGTGATCCCAGCTACTCCAGAGGCTGGGGCAGGTAAGATCTCTTGAGCCTAGGAGTCCGAGGACCAGGGGGAATAAAAAGGAGCTAGGGAAAGAATCTATCCCCAGGGTACTGGGGCCCGCTGCGGCTGCATGCCCTTGAGGCTTTCTAAGAGGAGCCAGGAAACCTGGGCCCAGAACCCACAAGGATAAGGGCTTGGATGGCCCAGGAGGGGCCTAACTGGGACAAGACAAGGAAAGAGCCTTTAGAGTATTCAGTACAGAAAACTGCACGGAGAGCAACACCAGTTCCCTCCCCATGTAGCTCCCACATCAACACTAAGCCAGCAACTCCACTCTACAGAGTTTATTGGGTTTGTAACTGGACGAAGTCACACGTGTACAAAATGAAGCTCACACTATCCCAAAGCAGAGTAGGGACTGAGGCCGGGGATCCATTACTGGCCTTTGGGGGAGCTCTGAGGTGAGGGGCAACCAACCCTCCCACTCCAGAGCTGTGGCCACAGGGGTGGGAAGGAAAGGGAACCCACCTGGCTTTGGTCACAGAACTCAGAGCCTGGCATTAGGCCAGGACAGACAGGTGGATGGGAGAGCAGGAGCCTCAGAACTCCCCTGCCCAGGGAGCCCAGGGGCTGCTCCACCGGTCCCACTTGTAATGTGCTTGGCCCAGACCTAGACTCGGGCTGGTGCAAAGGGAAGGCAGCAAAGCAGGAGGGAGGAGACACTGATGTGTGGTGGGGGAGGGAGCGGCACCTGGACCTGTGGAGGAGGGTGGCTGGGGAGGTGGGCTAGCTGCCTAGTGGCAGCTAGCAGCGAGTTTCATAAATGCCACTGCGGCCAATGTAGCGCACCCATTTGATGACATCATGGTCGCTGTAGTTCAGCTTCGGTTCAAACACCTTCAAGTAGCGCACCTTGAGGCCAGAGGGCGCGAATGGCACCTGGGCAAGGAGAGCTAGTTAGAAATGTGGCCTTCCTCTTACAGCCGCTCTCCTCTGGGAAGTCCCGTTGCCCTGCCCTACTTCATCGCTACTACAGGTGTTTGTATGGCTGGGGTCCTGAAAGAAGCTGGGGCGGCGTGGGACCTTCTAAGAGGTGACTAAAGAAGAAAGCCCTACCTGTGACACCTTGAATCAGTTCCTTTAATCAGCAGGAGACAGCAACCAAAGAACTGCTTTAGAACATACTTATCCTGCTCAATATTATGAACTTAAAAATAAGGTGGAGAAAATTATGTCTAACATGCGCAAAGCAAAGTCAGCCCATTATCCTGTCTGTAAGTAAACTTTGTGTCTTACCTGGCATTTAAACAATCTAAGTTTTTTGAAAGAACTGTGTTAGGACAAGCCGAGAGAAGTAAAAGATTTGCCTCATCACAAATAGTAATTTCTACTAAGAGGCTTGAAAGGGGAAGAATGGATCTATGAATTAAAGCCAGTTCTTCTTTCTAGGCCTCAGTTTCCTCACCTCTAAGGTGCAGCAGTTTATCGGAATGATCTCTAAGAGGTCTTCCAGCATACCCTGGCATGACTCTAGGCCCCTCCTCTGCCATACCTCAAAGTTCATGGAAATGGGGGGTCGAGCCCATTTCTTCTTGTCGTTGGTAGGCAGAAGCTCAATCTCTGCGCTGATCTGCGATTCCTTCATGCCTGCCATGCGCTTGATCCTGGGAACACAGGGACAATGGGCAGCCCATTGGGGCTTGGAGGAGTTTCAAGGGCAGTTGCCCATTTCAAGCAAGGAGAGAGCCCAGGAGCTTGCAGGAGGTGCCAGAACAAGGAGAAGTGGTCAGGACCCTGCTAACCACTTGCTATGGAAACTTGGGTCTACTTCTTTAGAACAACAGGATGCAGTTTCTGCCTAGACACTTGGACATGCTATCGTTTGCTTTGTCTGCTTCACAGATACATTACAAAGGCAATGTATTCCCTTTGTAATGTATACATTACAAAGGGAAATGCCAAAGCATCTTAAAAAATAAGCACGTGCATGAACCCAAATGCAGGCGTGTACATACTCACATGGAGGTATAAAGACTGACAGTACAAGCAGAGGCTCCTAGAAAAGCAAACAGGCACACTCCCCTGCCCCTCATTCAGAAGGATCAAAGCTGAAAACAAGAGGGTATACTGGGATCTTGAGCCCTGCTGTGGCCTAATGAAGGAAAGACTCACTTCCACACGATGGCATTCTCGCTGGCCTTGTACTTGGCCTTCCCCTTCATGCAGATCACCTGCACCCCGCTTGTGTTCAGTGGGGTTGGGATCCTCACCTAGAAGTGACACACCTGTCAGGGAGCTCTGTCAAGCTGTGACATCAGCTACCTTTATTCCTAGGGACAAGTTCTTCCTCCTCCTTGAGCCCCCTGTCCTCACCTCGATCTTCTGAGCCAGCAGTGAGGGTTTAAAGTTGGACTTGATGACCACCTTGACCTCCAGTTTGGTGCGTCCCACTTCTCGCACTAGCGGGATCACCCGGAAGGGAAGGATGATGTCCTTGGTTGTGCGATACCTTAAGGGATGGGAAGCAAGGTTACCAAAGAGCTGACCCACTTCCTCTCCCCAGTCTGCCAGCAGCACTAGCTGCCTCCTCACACCCCAATGGCACCTCATAAGCTCAAACTCTCCATCTGGCGGGATAAAGCTGATGCTGCGTTCAGAGTCAAACTTGCTGAGTCGCACACACTGGTGGAAGGTGCAGTCATCAATGGCAATTGATTGCTTCCCGCTGCAAGCAGGGGCAGAAGAGGTCTCATTGGTACAGGAGAATGACAGCTGTCATGCTGGGAGACCACTCCACCCCAGGCTGGCACCAGAGACTATGAAAAGCTGCTAGAATGCAGCTTTGTGACTCGGAGGTCTGCCCCAGAGCTTGGGATGAGAGGGAAGCCTTGCAAGCTCATCTCTTGGGGCTCCTTCTGCTAGGGACCTGGGTGTTTCAGGCACACTGGGCAGAGGCTGTCAGTATGTACAGAAAAGGCCTTGGTCCTAGGGACCAAACAAAGGGGCTTGCTCTCTGAGGACGATCCCCTCATCTCTCGTAGCACTAATGTCAAGAGCGAACAGCCAGGCTTACCGTCAGGAACAGAGTTTGCAATTACAGTGGGAATGAAATCCAGAAGAAACTTGTGGTTCACTAGACCCCACTGAGCCCTCCAAGGGACACCCTCTCCCACCAGCTCTCCTGCCTCAGGCACCTCTTGCTTGTTTCATCAGCTGTGCCTTTGCCCTGCTTTTCAATAACAATCTTGTCATTCATCCCAAACTTGCATTCAGGCATGCCACTCAGGTAGCTCTTCATCACCACCCGGCCCGACACATGGGCACTCAGCACCTGCCCTGGTGATGGAACAGATAAATGGGGAGCAGCGGAGTCAGGCAGGCAGGCCCAGGATCCTGCCCTGGGCCCCCTCCAACTTTGTCGTGAGAGGGACCTCACCTTGTGGGGACATGAGCAGGTTCACACTCTCCAGCACATCCAGGAAGAGCTCATTCCGACGATACTTGATACCCTCTCGCCGCCAGCCAATCTGCCCAGTTACCTGGCTGGTGATCTGTGACTGCTCTTCTTTTGTCTACATGAGGGCAGAAACAAACAGCAATGGCCTCACTCCTCTGTCCCTTTAATCATCCTGTCTCTATCCCCACTCCACCCTCATTCCCCATCCCTTCTAGTCCCCACCTGTAATCCATTTTCCCCTATAAGCCCCAAAGGGCAGGGCCTGGAGAAACAAAGCAAAGCTGCAAGGGTGGAAGCTGAGGGAAGAGCTTACCTGATGCTGGAGGCCGCAGGGCCAACGAGGTGCCCACATGAAGCAGCAAGGGAGGCAGAAAAGGAGGAGAAAGCTATGAGGCTTGGATCCTAGAGGAGAGGGCCCAAGCTCGCTCCTCCTGAGGAATACCAGGCCTCAAGACCAGGCCTCCTCCCCCACCCCTCAGTGCAAAAGGAAACTGCTTGAGCTGTATTCCTGGTAATAGAGATGCTGAATTGGCTGCTCCTGCAGTGGGAGGACCACACAGAGCAAAATCGGCCTGCAATCATGGCAGGAGGCTCAGGCCAGCACTTCCTGTCATGGGAGGGCTCATGAGTCAGCTCAGACAAGGCTCAGGGGCCAGCTGAGATGAAGGGAGATTGGACTCCACCCTGACTATAGTCTGCACAATTCAAGTACCTGACTCTTGATGCCCTGCTGCGTGATGAAGGTTTTCAGCGCGCCTGTCTCGGAATTCTGTGGGTAGCCAAAGTCTAGAATCTCTGCAAAAAGAAGGGAACCATCAGCCCCTGGACAGAGCTTCTTCATTCCAGCCCCTACTTGGGCCTACACATCTGACCGGCACAGCTCCCAAAGCCCATGTGGGATCATCCGCAAGAAAGTCTTCTAGCTTTGTAGCATTTATTCTGTGATTTGTGCTTTACAGGAAAACAATTCAAATGTTTGATTTTTTTCAAATAGAGAAATCAAGGCCAGGTGCAGTGGCTCATGCCTGTAATCCCAACACTTCGGGAGGCCAAGGTGGGAGAATCACTTGAGCCCAGGAGTTCAAGACCAGCCTGGGCAACATAGCGAGACCCAGCTCTACAAAAAGTAGTAAAAATGAGCCAAGCATGGTGGCATGTGCCTATGGTCCCAGCTACTCAGGAGGCTAAGGCTGGAGGATTGCTTGAGCCTAGGAGGTCGAGGCTTCAGTAAGCTGCAATTGCACCACTGCACTCAGCATAGGTGACAAGAGCAAGACCCTGTCTCAAAAAAAAAAAAAAAAGAAAAGAAATCAATAGAAGAGTCACATGGCCAGTGGGTGGCAAGTCAAGAAGCTTTGAGCTGTTTTCTCCAGAAAATAGACATTGGGAAGGTGGAAGTATTCACCTTCTCTTAGATCACACTCTACAGAGGAACAGAGATAACAGTGCACCCCAAGAGGCTTGTAATATCTCACTCTCCCCCAGGCTCTGAAGCAGCTGCTGAGATGGAAAACTGGGTGGACAGTTAGTGAACTAAGGTCCAAGCCACAAAGGAAAGAGGATGAATACAGGAGGTTCAGCCACCAAACCTGAGTCAGGTTCCTAGCCCCTTGGAAGATCACCTGCTGGCCTATTTCTGTGTTCTACTTCAGACCAGCCTTCAGGTCTGGATGTGAACTGGCCTTCTGAGGGGCATAGAGATCCTAGCCCAAGAGACCAAATACTCAGGAAAGAAAGTTCAGAGTGTACCAGAGCCTCGGACCTACACCCACCTTCAGGCCAGGCCCAGCCTGGTTTTTTCCCACCCTACGCCCGCTGCCGTGCCAGCCCGCCAGCCTCACCATCCAGCAGCTCATATATGAGCACAAAATTGTTCTTGATGTTTTCCTCGCTGATCTTGCCAAAGTAGGCAGCCATCACGTCACACATCTTATAGAGGAATTCGAAGACCATGGCAGCGTTGACATTCTGCTTGGTGACTGCTGCCAGCCAAATGTTGGACCGCTTAACGTGGAAGAAGCTGGTGCGAGCAATGTTGGTGACGGGGCTGCGCACCTGCTGCCGGGCATGGATAACATTGACCCGAAAGGCATCCACTGCGTTCCTCCTGAGGGAAAAGAGTGCATAGGGCCTGCTCAGCACCCAGGTGAACCTTACCCCATAAGGATCAACCACAGCTGCTAACAGCCCCACCCTCCTTTCTGCAGAAGTCTGACACACACACTCCAAAGAAAGCCAATGCCTAAACCACTGGAGTGGTTCCCTTCTTATGACTCCCTGTGGAGGCATGGGAAGAGTGCCTGAGCTGGGCTAGTGTCTAAAGGCCACAAGAAATAGGGAAGTCAACTATTAAGGCTGATGTAACCTTAATAAAGTGAGGTTCATCAGGTTTAGAGACAGATATTCCTTACTCCCAGGGCTGGCCCTAATTTCCCAGCTTTATCTAGCTTCCCTGTAAGCTCCCAGGTCCAGGACAGAAAGAGACACTGCTTCTTCAGTCCTCCCGCTAGTGATCCCACCAGTGGGGAGGGCCGACTCCTCCAGATGTTAGACAAAGCCAGCATGGCTTCAGAAGTCACAAAGGAGGGAGAAGTACCAAGGGGCCATGGAATTGTGCTACCCATTCTTGCCCAGGATCCAACTCCAGAGCAAGTTGAGGGAATGAAAAAGGATGCAGGAAAACGATGGGGGCAGGCCCCCACCCACCTGTACCTGGGCAGCAGCTTGAGAGGCCGCTTACCTATTGCTACGGCAGCCAATGAGATGGGATGAGAGAAATGACGCCAGCAAGAAGAGGAGAGTGATAGCAACGAGAGAGAGGGTTAGACACACAACACACCGGGAGGGCGGCACACACCGTGAGGCAGAAGCAGACAAGACAGGCAAGGCGGCGTGTGACCTGGCCTTGGCTTGCCCAGTCCATCCAAGGCAGGAGGGGGTCTGGGGTGGGGGGTGTAGCCAGCCAGGTTCAGACAGGCCAGGCCTTGCCACAGCTGCAGCTCTAGCTCATGCCACACCACCAGCCAATGGACAAACGCCCGCAAGGGCCAAGCCAGCCCATCAGCCAGGGAGCCAAATGAAGAGCACTGCCACAGGCCCATTCTGTGACTTTATCTCAAGCTCTCTGAGGAAGAAAAACAGGCAGCAGGAACCAGAGGAGCCTACTCTTTAGCGCCTCGGAGGCTAGGATAGGTCCCTTCAGTCGCAAAGAACAAGGGCGTGCAAGGGGGCGCAGAATGAGAAGGCAGGCTGTGGCTCTGTGTGAAGGCCCAGGATATGGAGCTGCTCTGGGTCTACTGAGAGGGTAGCATGGCTTCCCTGCCCTCCCACAGTGACCCAGAGAGTGCCTCACGCTTCCAGCCACTCCCCAGGGAATGGGCCAGAGGAACTGAAGACAGCTGAGTCAGCAGCCTGACGACTCCTGAGAAAGGGAGCAGGAGAGGATTGGGCAGCCTGGAGGGGCTTTCAACAGAATCCAGTGAAGGCGTTTGATATGGGAAGGGCTTCTGAGAGCAAGGCTTAGATGGATTAGTGCCTCCAGCGTGGCCACTAACCCCACCCACTGGAGACATTTCTCCTCCTCCTCCTCAAAGAAGGAATTCACCAGCCTGGGCAAAGGCACTGTAACTAGAGAAACAGGATGCAGGAAGGGAAGGAGTTCCTAAAGCTGTGGGACCATGCCATTCCACAGGTCCCACCTAGGGGCTGGCAGGCTGGCTGCCGGGCCAATACCACCAGACCTAATGGGAGCCAGGCTACACTAGCTGAGCTTCCAGGGTGCAGCCAGGGGTCAGGGTGGCCCAAGTCAAGCCAATGGTGGGAAAAGACCTAATCCTGTATGCTGGGGCTGGGGGGCTGGAGTGGTGGGGCACAGCTGGCTCCGCCAGGGGACTCACCCGATGTCATCTCGGTAGACTCGGGAGATGAGCACCTCCCCCTTGTGATTATAGATGAATAAGCCTCCAATCATGGCGGCAGATCAGTCTCCGCGGCCCATCGCTCTGAGAACAGACCTAGGACAGGCGGGGGCAGGGTAAAAGAAGACCTCAGAATCGCTGCCAACATCCCCTGTGGAGCTGTGCAGGTCACTGGAGCTTCTTTCCTGACTCAACCCTTTAGTAAGTGACCCTGCAGCCCTCCCAGACATGCCCCTCCCCTCAGCCAGGCTCCAGTTCCTGTTTATTCCACACTAGATGGGAGAAAGAAACAGAGAGAGATTAGGCCCAGGATTCTAAGGCCATTTTGACCCTCCCTTTCCTGGGGCTGAGCATCAGTAACCCCCGCCCCCTCTCCCCAGCACTGAGCTCAGGAATGATCCTTTTCGGCCCCCTCCTGTGCAGACTCTCGGGCTCCCGCCAGTGACTCACTAAGGCTTGCCTGCCTGCCTGCGGCTGCAGGAATGGCGGTAGGCATTACTCCAGTTGGTTCAGGCCTGGGGCCCCCAGGCATAACCTTTAGAGCATCCAGTCTCTTGGGCTCCACTACCCTTCAGAGAAGGTCGCAGGGCCTGAACTTCCGGCACTCTAATTCACAGAATTCAAACATTCCAGGAAAGGGTATAAGGAGAAGAGAAGGGAGCCCTTAGGCCCTAATGTGGACCCGGGAGTGTGGCTTAACCTCTTCCAGGCAGTGGAATAAGCAGGCAAAGGGCACAGGAGGAAGGTCCTAGGGCTGGCAGACTACACTTCCATCACCCAAGCTGCTTATTACAGTTATTTCTGATTACCACCCCCCTTTCAAAAAGCTCTGGAATGCAATAAAAATAAGGACTGGGGGGTGGGGGTGGCGCAGGCTCATAAAATTAAGAAATCCTTCCATCTGAAATCGTGATTCCAGGCCCATGAAGTAACTCATTTCTGGCCTGGGTGCCTATAAGCAAGAAGCAGGGATGTCAGGATGCCTGAATTATCCAAATTATTTGGGTCAAATTAATTTAGACTGTTTGAGAAAAGGCATTAATTTGGTTTTAGATTTCCTGGATTAGCCCTGGTATTAATTTCACAGGGAGTACTTTAGAGGACTTTTCTAAACTGGAAAATAAAGCCTTTTCCTGTGGCTGTCAAGGTCTTCCAGAGGGGTGAGCGGTCTCTCAAGGTGGTGGACTCATCCCATCCCTCAGTCCCAAACAGGCTGGGAGAGGAGATGCAAAATGGAGGTAGAGCCTGGGGCAAAGCACCAAGTCCACAGGTATCGAGTGGTAGGTAGCGAAGGGCACCCGAGAACCAGAGGGGGGCCTTGGGCAAGAATGGAACATTTAGTTAAGGGGAAAGACCTTCAGTGAAAGCCAGGCAGCGTCCTCAGGTGAGCCCACAGCAGCAAACTGGGCTGGTGGAGTGAACGTAAAGGTAAGGGTTTCCAGTATGGAAAAGGTCAAGGCTTTAAGAAGGAAAAACCGGCCGGGGGAACTGACAGTGGTGAATAAGGGAAAGCTGGGGAGACAGAGCCTGCTTGGGGTTCAGGTGCAGAGTAATGAGAGGGTGGTAGGCTTTTCGCCTTGGGGAGGACATTGTGGGAAAAGATGGTGCCATGGGGGTGCGGGGGCTGTCACAGGTCTAAGGAAGAAGAGCCGCGGGGTGCCACTGAACTAAGAGGAGGGGGTGCCGCATGGCGTGAGACCTGTCACGGTGCAAGGCGGCGGCACAAAGGGGTGTCACTGTCCTACGAGACGGGGAAATTGTCCTTGCGCGGAGGGGTAGGGGGTTGGCACGATCCTAGGGAGGGGGCGCTGCGCAGCGTTCCTGCTCTGGGAGGATTCCAAGCGGTATCCCTCTCATGGGAGGCGCCAGGCGGGTCAGGTGGAGGGCACCGCTCCCCGCCAGCCCTGCAATCGCGCCCCGGGCGCCCCCGCCCCACCGTCAGCTAGCTCCCGGGTCCGAAGGCTGAAGCCACTCCCGGGTGTGGGCAGCTTTCCGCCAGCTCAGTGCAGGGCAGGACAAAGCTGCGCGGCGAGGCAGACGACCCGCAGCGTCCTCCTCCACGCCATAAGGCCAGATCCCCGGCTCACCTGGTGTCCTCGGCCCCCTGCTCTGCCGGCCCGGCCACTCTCCGGATCCCAAGATGTCCGCCCGCCCCCTGCTCGTCTGCCCGCTGCCTCGGCTTTCACCGCAGTGCCGCCGCCCCGCCCCGGCCCCGGCTGCGCGTGCGCGCCGGCGTCTAGCGCCGACTACAAATCCCGTCAGGCCTCGCGGCCTCCTTGCTTGCAATTTGAAGCGCTCTAGGTTTAGCAAAACTACAACTACCGACTGCCTTCGAGAAACCGCCCCCGCCTCAGGAAGGGGTAGGCGTGGCCTTAGTCGGCCCTACCAGAAATACACATTCCAGCATACACCGCTCCACCCGCCTCATTTTTTTTTTTTTTTTTTTTTTTTTTTTTTTTTTCACTGAGCGCTCTGGGAATTGTAGTCCCTGCACTTCCTCCTGTTCCTATTTGTGTTCTGGAGAGCTTTGGGATATTAATGCCATTTGTGGAAGCACATCTGTTAAGCCTTGGATTGCTGTAGGCCTTTTCTGTCTCCAGAGTCCCAGGACTGGCTGTCCTCACTTTACACACAAATAAATACAACTGGGCAGTAGAAGTGTTTGTGCTGAATTTACTGCTTTCTAACACTACCTCTGATTCTCTCAAGCTTTTCTCATATATTTGTTCCGGACATGAGCTTTTTCCAAGGGATCAAGACCCAAGGAGAGGAGCGGGGAGGAAGGAGGCGACTACTTGGAAGAAACTAAACCTTTTCACAAATAAGTCCATGACTGTACACTCTTCCCGGAGGTCAGCTACAGCTTTTCATGAACGAGCCGATGTTCTCCTTAGCTATACCTATGCGACTGTGTATGCCTTCTAGTGACAGGCATATATGTTGCTTAGAAGACGTTCGAAGAGTTGAATTTAGTTTGACATGGGATTTGAAATCCCCTCTTTGATAAACAGAATCTTTACATCCAAGCTGAGGAGACAGACCCAACCCTCACACATGAAAGGCCTGCTTGGTTCTTGCAGAGTCTTAAGAAAATCTGTTGGCTCTTCTCTTTCTGTAGGCAGAGATAAACTGCTGCCTTCCTTGGGCAGGACTACGCCTGTCATGGGAGGAAGGAAGGGCAAGAAAGGACAGATCTGGTTGCAAATGTTACAGTCCTTCCCAGCCTCCAGCCAGAAGCCACGATGTGGCAGGATGAAGATCTGACCTCTCTCACATCATAGTCACGGCCTGAAGTCATTAAGTGACTGAATACAGGCACTTCTAATTTTTGAACCAGCACTCAAGGCTTCACTTCTACCTTTGCAAAAGCTTTATCTTCCAAAAATACCCTAAACTGCTACCAATTTAGAGTAAATAATAATAATGATAAAATAATAATAATAATAGCTACCATTTATTGAGCACCTACTCTACTGTGTGCCAGGCACTGTGCTAGGCACTTTTCGTACAATATCTAATTTAAATCCTCACAACAACCCTGTGAGGTAGGTATTATTATCATCATTTTACATACGAGGGAACTGAGGCTCAGAGAGGTTAAATAACTCTATCACACAACCAAAAATAGTAGAGCTGGAATTCAAACCCAAAACCACCTAACTCCAAATCCCATGCTCCAATGAATTAAAGTAGAGAGGGGAGAGGGAGGGCCAAATTCAAGACAGAGTGTTGGAGTGAAATGGATATGATATGCTGATAAGATATGGGAAGAAGGAATGTAAGCTCATAAATGTTTCTAGCTGGTGAGCCTATGTAGATTGTGATGAAGTAACCAGGAGAGGAATTCAGGAGGAACATACTTGGTTGGGCAGATGAGTTGAGTCTATACGGAACTGTCCATAGAGATGTCCAGTAGGTAATACCAATACAGATCTAAAGTCTGGGGGAAGTTGGGGGTTGGAGCTATGTATTTGGGAATCACCAGCATATCAGCAGCAATTGAGGACATCAGGATGAATGACTCCATTTTGGGAGTAAATAGAAAGGAAAGAGAAGTGAATCAAAGATGGAACGATGGAAGCACTGATACTGACAGGCATGAGCAATCGTTGAGAAATTCTCAAGAGAGTCGGACAAGACAGAGTCAGAGAGAGAAGTACATGAAACAGCCCTGTAGTGGTGGCTAGAAGCCATGGACTGGGTTGGGAACAATTCTAGAGCTCCCAGAAGGCAGGCAAGATTGAGTCACACTTCCAACAAAGCCCTCTGCACACCAAAACCCCAGGAAGTATTGTTTTTCTTTGTTAGTTTGCTTTTGAGACAGAATCTCACTCTGTCACCCAGGCTGGAGTGCGATCTCAACTCACTGCAACCTCCGCTTGCTTCCTGGATTCAAGCGATTCTTGTGCCTCAGCCTCCTGAGTAGCTGAGATTACAGGCAGGTGCCAAAACACCCATCTAATTTTTGTATTTTTAGTAGAGACAGGGTTTTGCTATGTTGGCCAGGCTGGTCTCGAACTCCCGACCTCAAGTGATCCACCTGTCTCAGCCTCCCAAAGTGCTGGGATTACAGACGTGAGCCACCGCACCCGTCCAAGGAAGTATTGTTAATTGAAATAAATGCCAAAATGTTCCTACCTTGGTTTACCCCAAAACCTGGAGCTAAGAACTTCATCTCACTTTTGACACCCCAGCCCCCAAAATATGGAAGCCCAGGAGAGCCAGGAGAATTTATAGCAGAGGCTTAAAGAGAAAGTTATGATTTGTTTAAAGTAGAGAATAAGGTGAAAAATAAAACCTGGTACTCTGTCTGGAAGTCCTGGAAGTCTCCTTGCCCAACCTCAACTGGCCTGTGGGCTCCTGTGTCCTTGCTCTGGGATGCCATGGTGAATGTGAAAACAGGGGAGGTTGTGTGTGGGGGTGGGAATGGCCTGTCGGTTGCAAGGCGAGTCCTTTGCTGAGCCCAGCCTGAGACCCAGCTTATGGGCTTTATCCAGGTGAGAAAATGCTGGGGACATGTGTGCGAGGTTTAAGGTCTACCAGGAAGGGGAGAAGGGTGTCAGGGGACCAGCCCCACAACCTAGGAGAGGATTAGGAGGGTCCAGCCCTTTGGGCAGGGACCAGCCCTGAGGCTTAAATGAACTTGCATAGGCACCTGTGTATGCATCTCTGTGCATGTATGCATACATGAGTGAGAGAGAAAGATAAAGAGAGCTAAAGAGGCCCCCCTCCCCCCGCCGCAGGCTGCCACACGTGGTGCGATCCGATTCTCTCTGGAAAGGAGGAGAGTCTCTCATGCATGGGTGAAGTTGGGCCCTCCCCAGAAGCCTAGTGACTCATTATGTTAACGTGTGGGTGTGGGGGCTGGACATCCTTGGGAAGCCCTGAGGGGCTGCTGAAGCAGGGTTCCTGGTCTCCTCGGAGGCTGGGCCTCCCCTCGCTGGGGGCTCACAGAAAGTCAAACAGCCCGAAATTCTTGGCTGCTCCAGGCCCAGGGTAAATTGGGGGAGGAAAAAAGAAAGAAAAGAAATGTTTCAGGCCTGGAGGTGAGATGAGCCTGCTGGTTAGTAGGGTTAGGGGTCTGAAGGAACCAGCACGCAGGGCAGGCATGGGGCAGGGGTAGAGCAGAGATGCTCCCTGGAAGCCACCAGCTGCTCAGGCAACTGAGGGGGCCCTCTGGGCCTCTGATCTAGGCACAGGCAGGGATGGCATGGATGGCTATTGGAGGCGACTACAGCTTTAGGTTGCAGGACTGAGGCAGCAGGCAGGGGGATGGTTAGTAGGGGCAGATGAAGCAAATATATTTTGGTTTCAGTAATGTGGGGTAAAGTCAAGAGGTTTGCACACGTGCCTGATGGGGTGGGGTTAATAGAGGGATGATGTAGCTGAATAAATGGTGAAAGGGAGCTAAAGGGGAAACGAGAGAATGAGGGAGTGAGCGTGCCACCAAGGTCATTGCTGGGGTCAACTCCCAAAATGGGGGTTGCAGAGGGGAGTAAGGGGTAGCACCAACAAGTCTGGTCCCAGAGACAAAAGGGGTCCTGGGAAGTCCTGCGCAGGGATTAGTGGGCAGAGGAAACGAACTGGGGCCAGAGGCAGGTTAGGGGGCTGCAGAGCCAATCGGTAGGTGCACCCCACCCTCGCAGCACCCTGCGAGCAGTTAGCGCACCTGGATTTAGTTCCTTTTATTTCCCTTTCAGGTACCAGACAAAGTAAAAAAGACGGACGGATGGAGAGAGGAACGCAGCCGGCTGGGGTGGGAGCGGAATGGAGCTGGGGGAGGGGCCCTGCTCACATCACATCCACAAAGAACTCACTGGGGTTTCCCATGGCCATGCGGAAGGACTGTCTGCTGGCGGTCAGTTCCGGGGGCACTGAGGCCAGGTCGCGGCCCGGAGGGGCTCCTGGGGGCCCCATGGCCGCGGGCGGCGGGGGCATCATCAGCATGGGGGGGCCGTAGAGAGGGGGCACTCCGGGAGGACCGTAGCTCGGGTGTGTGTGGTGGCTGCGAAGGCTGCTGGCCAGGGAATGGTGGCTGCGGTGGCTGTGCTCGCTGGCCGCCGGCCCTGAGCGCTCGCTGGGCGCCCGCTCCCGCGGCCCCCGCAGGCTGCTGCGTGTGGTGTGGTCCGATTCGCTGCCGCTGCCCCCGGACTTGGAGTCCCCGGCCTTCGGGTCCTTCTCCTTCCTCCGATCGCTGCCGCTACGGTTGGAGCCACTGCTCCGACTGCCTGTAGGAGGCAAACAGGGCCGGGGTGGGGCAGGCTGAGCGGGCGGGGGAAGCCTGGGGCCCACCTATAGCCTTCCTCCACGGCCCCTCTACCTTACCTTCGCTGTGCTGACTGCTGGCGCTGCCCCCGCCGTAGCTGTAGCCCAGCTCCGGGAAGCCCGGGTGCGGGTTGTATGGGTGCGGGGGTGGCGGGTACTGGTACGGGAAAGCCATGGGCCAAGGGGCGGCCCCCGGGTGCGGCAAAGGGGCCAGTGTGTCCTGGTCAGAGGCGCCACTGGAGCCATCGTGATCGTGGAGAGACAGGTTGGCCATGTCTGTGAAGGGGAGGGCCGGATGGAGCTAGGTCTTTCCGGAGAGAGGTCCCTAGCCTAGGTCAGGTGGGCTCTGGATGAGAGAGACCGTGGTAGTTTCTGGCTAGAATGAGAGGAGGCACAGCCCAGAGAGCTCCCCCCTTCTGCAGACCCCCTTTGCCACCACCAGAGCCAGCCCCGGGGAGACCCTTCTCAGGACAACCCTGAGTCATCATTCTAGGTTCTCAGCCAAAGCTGTACCTCCCAATCCCTTGAAGGCCCTGGCCAAGCTTTTGCACTTTCTCTGCTGGCCTCAGTGGGCTAGAAGCGGCAAAACTCTTTGAGACGGAGTCTTGCTCTGTGGCCAAGGCTGGAGTGCAGTGGTACAGTTTCAGCTCCCTGCAACCTCTTCCTCCCTGGTTTAAGCGATTCTCCTGCCTCAGCCTCCTGACAGGGTTGCACCACCACACCTGGCTAATTTTTTTTTTTGTATGTTTAGTAGATACAGGGTTTTGCCACGTTAGCCAGGCTGGTCTCCAACTCCTAACCTCAGGTGGTCTGCCCGCCTCAGCCTCCCAAAAGGCTGGGATTACAGGCGCGAGCCACTGCGCCCGGCCTGCAAAACTCTTATGTGGCCATTTTCTCTTCCGTTCACTCAGCTGGTGCAAGACTGGAGAATTTGGAAGGCTGAAATACTAGACAGCCACCAGGTATGTCGCACCTGAAGTTCATGAGGCACAATAGCGAACACTACCTTCAGCTCAGCCTAAACTAATCAGAACAGACGCGAAGAGTAGCTTACTTTCTCCTTACCTTCTCAGATGAGGTCATTAATTAGGACAAGGAGCAGTTTGGGAAATTTAGGTAAAGTGTTACCCACCCCTTCACCTAGAACTAAATACCCACTAAAAGCCTAGAATGAGTGCAGGGCCTTCCAGAGATTCCCTATATAGAAGGTACTTGGCCCTGATTATACTTTCCCAGTGCTGCTGGGCAGGGTGAGTAGGGTGGGAAGGGGCCAGAAGGAAAGAACAACTTAGGTGCCTCCCCCACTGCTCTCCACCCCGTTCCCAGCCAGGCCTAGCTCTTCATAGCACTGTCTCACTCCACCAACATTACTCATCTCACGATCCTGGCGCCCCCGGGGAAATTATACATTCCTTAATGGCAAGGCTACTCCCACCAATGTTGGAACTACATTGAAGAGAATATAAGGGGCCACCAGGACTGAATACCTGCCTGGGACACCCTCTGCTCACACACTATCGGTACCAGGTCCCAGAGCTCCAAGAGAGCTACAACTGCCCTTGAGGCCACCGGCCCTATTAAGATGAGACATTCCTCCCAGCCCTAAGAAGAGCCAGCCCCAGCCTTCCAAGAGAGAAGTCAGGAGACAGGGCTCTGAGGCTGCCTGTGGAGCCTGCAGCCAAGCCATCAACCTGTCAAGAGGCCAGCAGCCAGCATGGGGAGTGGTGGTGGAGGAAAGCAGTGGTCTGTCAGCTGTTGCCCAGAGCTGGTGATGACGTGAGCCTCCAGGCTGTTTGTTTTGAGGGAATGACTGTGTGCTCCTCGGGGCTACCTAGGCCTCCAGTTCTTCCCTTTAAGCCTACAACACCCTAGCTGAGACCTTGACGAGTGAGAAGGAAAAGGCCTATTCTGGCAGTATCCTCCTGAGCTGGGCCTCTGGGAGGTTGTGAATATTGAGTAAGATGATGCTTTAGGAACAACCAACATGGTACCAGGCAGAGCAGGCACTTAGAAAATGCCAGGCCCAAGAGGGAGATGTGGGCCAGGTGAAGAGGCTAAACTGGACTCTTCTTCCACCATAGAACTCTCAGGCCTTGAATTGGGCCCCTGGCTCTGCTGTCCCCCAGTTTGGGTTCCCCAGAGTCTGCTGCCACTTCCCTGGCTACCTCCCCACTCCCAGCCAGGAGACAGGGCAAGAAGATGAGGGAGGCACATACTGCCGCAGAGGTCACCGAAGATGTAGTAGCACTGCTCGGAGAAGGTGATCTTGTTGACGGTATGGCGGATGAAGCCAGCTTTCAGCAGGTTGCTGGCATACTTGCGGGCCTCCCTCCGGTCCGTGAAGCCTTCCACATTGTGGTACAGCCAGTCCACCACATCTGAGCCTGGGGACAAGGCTGCCAGTTGATGGGGAGGCCCATCTGACTTGGACTCATCTGGCCTCACAGAAGCTATGAGGCTGGGGCTGGCTCCAGATCAAAGGAAGGGTCCAAGGCAAGTCCTGGGCCCTCCGGCCTGCCCTGCCCCATCACTCCCCACCCACCCTGCATCCCACCATGGGGCTCTCTCACCGATGAAAGCATTAGGGATGGTAATCTTGAGCCACATGCGGTCACGGACCTCCAACCCTGATTCAGGGGAGGCCATGGCTTTTACGATGGCAGCCATGTCACTGTGGATGGACAAGTGGAAGTCGTCTAGGCCTGGGGGTGGGAGGCAGAATGGTGAGGCAGAAAGGGGCTTTGGAGTTAGGTAAACAAGAGTTTGCATTCTAGCTCTACCATCTAGTAATTATGGGATCAATGCTGGGAAAATTACTGATTTCTTGGACACTCAGTTTCCCCTTCTGTAAAAAATGGGGATTTTAATATCTACTTTACAAGGCTATTTGAATAAAGGATTAAATAATGTAAATGCAGGTGCTTGGCCAGTGTACGATGTGCATGTGATGATAATCGAAATGGCTGCCGTTTACTGAATGCTTACTTTACACCACACATCGCAATGGTGCTTCACTTATATCCTCTCATTAAACCCACAGGAACCTGGTAAAGTTTATATCGTGAGTCCCATTTTGTAAGAGGAAACTGAGGCGCCCTGGGTGCTCATACAAGTTCAGAAGCAAACACTGTTTAGTGAGGGTTGGAGTGCCCGCTGTGGGGGAGTTGCAGTGTGGGGTTGCTGGAATGAGCCGAGCCCCATCTCCAGCCCTCTCTGATGCTCAAGCAAGAGTCTCCACATGGACCCTCATCAGTCCCCCCACCTGGCCCTGTCTGCTGGGCCCAGGAGACAGGGTGGGACACTCACGCTCTGTGTCAGGGATGGAACTGGTGATGGAGGAGCTGGTGGAGGTGATGGTGCTCAGGGAGGGGCTCATGCCGTATGCAGGGAAGGTGCCGGTCATGGCTGCAGTGTGGGAGACCCAGGCCGCAGGGTCAATGGGCCGGATGGGCTCGCCTGCAGGGAGGATGAGGAGTCATGGGCTACCCACCCCACCCACTGCTGGGCCCAACAGGATAGATATGGGGGTTCTGGGTGAGAGAAGAAAGGAGAGACAGTGCTCATGTATGTAAGCACCAGCTTTAGGACTGAGTCTCCCATCCACTTACTCCTGGGCAATGTGAAGCAACCACGTGGACTTGGGTCCCAGCACTTGGCTACAGTCAGGGTGATGGGCCTGAAAACAAGGGTGTCCTAGTGAAGGCAGGATGCGTATAGGCCAGACCAAGCCCCTTGCCCAGTGCCCCATTCCATCCATACCCCGGTTTGTGCACAATCTCCCGCAGTACCCGGACTGCATCGTCATTACTCATGTTCTCAAAGTTGATCTCGTTTACCTGGGAAAGGACCAGGAGTGGGATAAACAGCTGTGCTGGGGAGGATGAAAAGGGAACTCAACTTGGTAGGTCAGGGAGTCTTCCCCCAACCAAGAAGGGGCCTCTGAAGGAGCAGGGTACAGATGGTAGGACACCTCCCTGCCCTCTATCCACACCACCGCCTAGGATGGGCACTGATACCTGTAACAACATATCTCCTGGCTCGATGCGTCCATCAGCAGCCACGGCCCCACCCTTCATGATAGAGCCAATGTAGATGCCGCCGTCACCACGCTCGTTGCTTTGGCCCACAATGGAGATGCCCAAGAAGTTATATTTTTCTATAGAGAGTAATTTAAGACCTTAAGGGGGAGCAAGGTTCCTACCCGCATTCCCAGCCCATTAGAAAATGGAAAGGGACAGGAACTGAACTGACATTTGCTGATCCTGAATCAGGCACTGCACTCAGCATGCTCAAACATGCTTCCATGGAACCCTTGCTGGCTATAAGGTAGGGACTCAGTCCCATTTTACAGAGCAGGCAACTGAGGTTCAGTGAACTTAGAAGATGACTTTTCTAAGCCAGTAAGTGGCAGAGCCAGGAATCAAACTCAGATTTAAATCCCATAGTTGGGCTCCTTTTACTATATCCAGCTGTCTCATAAAGAGAGTACCTAGGGCAGAAATCGGAGAGCAAGGATGCAATGGCTGAGAGATGTGAAGGAGTGGGCACTCAGAAATCACTTCCTCCAGGAAGCCTTCCCTGATACCATTTTCTGCTTCCACAGCTCTCTGTGCTTATCTCTGTCATAGCCCTGATGGTGAGATACTAAAATGATCAGTTTATGTATCAGCTGATGTTTACGAAAGAGAGCTCCTTGAGGGCAGGGAACATATTCTACGCTCTCTGAACTCAAGTCTGCCCAGTGTCTGGCATATAGCAGGTGCTTGAGAGTGCTGTTTCCTCAGACTCACCCATGTTGAGAGTGACCGTGATGATGTTGAGTGACATGGTGGAGTCCGTGATGCTGCTGAAGGACGAGGACTGGAATAGACAGAGGCCCTGAGCAGCAGGTGGAGGTGGCAGGAATTCACTCCCACCTGACTCCTCCTCAAGGTGAGTCCCCGGTGCAGCCCCCAGCCCCAAGGTTCTCAACACTGCACTAGGGGGATGGGATCTAAGGAAGAACAAGCCTTGGCCCTGCGTAGGAAGGGCTCACAATCTGCCTCCACCCATCCCTAGCCTCCCAGACCCCATACCCGCTCAATCCGAGAAACCTTCTGCTTCCGCCGCCGCCGCTTGTGTCTTCTCATCAGGCGTGAGGCACTGCTCTGTTCTGTGGAGCTGCTGAACCTGTGGGGCCCACAGTCGTTCCCCACCAGGCTGGCCCAGCCCTGCCCCCATGAGGGGAGGCACTGCAGGGCCTGGGTCCCCAACACAAAGCCCATAAGCCTCCCAGGGGCCCCGCATCCTCAGGGTTTAGGGCTCCTCCAGGGTCACCTGCCCCACAATACCCATGAAACTCAAGCCCCACCTGCTGGTGGAGTCATCCTCATCTGAGTCAAAGAAGCTGGTGGTCTCCAGCTCACTGCTCATAAGGGTGGATGAGCTATCATAACCCCCTGGTTCTCGCCGCCGTTCCCCCTTCGCAGTTCCATTTAGCCGGGTTGCTGCAGGGGATGGAAGCAGTTGGGTTTACACAGTGCCCAGTGCAGGGGTGAAGGAGGGAGAGAGGCAAGCCAGGGGCTGCACTGGGGCCAGGCATATCCTGAGCTCGGGAAGTAGGGCAAGAAGGTGGGTAGCTGGGTGGAAAGTGAGGGGAGGGTGTGAGGTGCGGACAGTGTCCGTGTTCAGGAAGATATACCATGCTCTGGGCCATCCCTCCGGCGTGGCCGCTCTCGCTGGGCAGACACCAAAGAGTCCGTCTCTGTGTCATTGTCCAGGTTCTCCTGGCTGCCCCCACCAGCATGAGGGCTGCAGGGAAGAGACTTGATGGGGGAGGGGGCAGGCTGGGGGCTCCCTCCCCCAGCCCTGGGCTGAACTGATGCGGCCCTCCCCACCCTCAGGTCACACTCACTGGAAGGATGGGGGTCGGGAGTCCCCGATGCCTCCCGTGCGCTCCATAGGTGGTGGCAGCTCCGATGGGTTATCAGCACAGAAGGGGGCTGGGTCTGGGTGTGAGCCCTCAGCTGACACCAGCTGAAAGGGAGAAACTGAGTGAGTAGTATGTTACAGGAGCATCAAGGAGAAGGGGATAGTTCACTTCCAGCAAGGCATGAAGGCCTAAGAGGAAGGAAGCAGGAAATATCGAGGGAGAAAAGACAGGGCTGTGCGAGGGTGGCTGAGATGAACAGTGGCCCCTCTGCCACTTCCTGCTATTGACGGGGTTGTTGGAAGGCATGGGGTGGTGAAGTGGAATGGGGACAAAGAACAAGGCTCAGAGGTCTAAGGCAGAGATGAGCAGATGGCAGAAGGAAATCTGAGGCAAGTGTCTGAACGGCATAGGAAACGTTACTGTCTCCACTGTGTGTTTCCGTCTCTCCCTCTTCCCCCTTCCCACTAATTTCTCACTTTTCATCAAAGGTTACAGAATCTGGGGTGAGAAGCAGTTCATTTGCAAAACTAAAGAAAGATTCAGATACTGAAGCTTAAAACCACCAGCTACAATCTCAGTGATGCCTTTCCCTCGTCCAGCCCAGCACAGGGATGCAGGTGGATGGAAGGCTGAGGGCTCCTTACCCAGGACACCACCCGGCCATTGAAGCATGGTAGCTTGGCATTGTCATCCGAGATCTCCTCCTTCACCACTCTGCAGAGAAAGGGGGATGTCACAGAGAACCTTCTAGGGTGCAAATGGAGGATCCTCAAATCCCAACTCTCAGGGGCTCCTCCATCCTAAACTGGGAATCAAACCACCAGCACAAGACTGTTCAAATGAAAGCAGAGGTTGGGGAGACCCAGAGACAGCTCTTTGGCACCACCAGGAAGACACCAGCCCTGCCTAGGCCAGATACCTTCCCGGGGCATCCTCTCAGTCATCAGGTGATTGCAAATTACAACTGACACATCACTGTCCCCCATGCCACTCCCTAAAATCTCTAAAGTGCTCTACCCATCCCCAACATGACTCTCCTGGGCTAGACTTTCTCTTTCCCTCTGATCCCTAATTGGAAAAAAGCATACAATTATAACTGTCCTTCCTTTCTTAAGTGGGAATCCTAACATTGTTGTGGGAGGTATGGACAAAGAATTTAAGAAAATTAGAAAAGAGAAGGGGAGGCCAGGCGTGATAGCTCACACCTGTAATCCCAGAACTTTGAGAGGCTGAGGCAGGCAGATCACCCTGAGGTCAGGAGTACGAGACCAGCCTGGCTAACATGGCAAAACCCCATCTCTACTAAAAATACAAAAATTAGCCGGGTGTGGTGGTGTGCACCCATCTACTTGGGTGTCTTCCCATCTCTGTACTCCTGGCATATTTGACAGTCTGAGGGTCCTCAAACTTTTCCACTCCCCTTCCTAGCCCCAAACTGTAGTTACTGCCTGACTTCTTGCCTCACCACATTCCCCCGGCCAAACTACATGCCCCGTGACCACATTCCACACCCTTCATGCCTCACATCATTGTCCTCCAGCACCCACTCTCCACATAGACCCACGTTACCTCTGTTATTATATAGGAAAGAATGTGAAATACAGTGGAAAGAGTATGGATTTTGGAGTCAAGCCTGGGGTGAAATTCCAGCTCTGACATCTACCAGTCCTGTGATCCCAGCTACTTGGGAGGCTAAGGCAGGCGAATCACTTGAATCGGGCAGGTGGAGGTTGCAGTGAGCTGAGATCACGCCACTGTGCTCCAGCCTGGGCAACAGAGTGAGACTCCGTGTCAAAAAAAAAAAAAAAAAGAAAAGAAAAAGAAAAAGAGAAGGGGAGAAGGCATTTACTGAACATTTTCCACATGCCATTATGATAATTAACAGTAATAATTGCTCTTTCTCACGCTGGTAATCTCAGCACTTTGGGAGGCCAAGGCAGGAGGATCGCTTGAGGCCAGGAGTTTTGAGACCTGCCTGGTCAACATAGCGAGGTGCCGGCTCTACAAAACAAAACAAATACAAAAATTAGCCGAGCGTGGTAGCGTATGCCTGTGGTCCCAGCTACTTGGAAGGCTGAGGTGGGACGATCGCTTGAGCCTAGGAGTTCAAGGCTGCAGTGAGCTATCATTGTGCCACTGCACTCCAGCCTGGGTGACAGAGCAAGACCCTGTCTCAAAAAAAAAAAAAAAATTGCTGTCATTTATTGAGCATAAATGAGTATTATGGGCCAAGCACTATGCTAAACACTTTACTTATATAATTTCATTTAATACAACAATGCTATAAGGCAGCAGGTACAATGGGGAAACTAGGCTCAATAGGTTCAGTAATTCTCCTAAACTGCTGAAATTTGAATCCTGGTTAGCCTGACTCTAACATCTGCATTCTTACCATTACACCACCTTATCTTCCTATAGTTAGAACCTATAATCTTCACATCAGCCTCAGTGGGCAGACTATGATCTTCATTTCATGAATAAGGAAACTGAGATGTATTCAGTTAACTTGTCCAAGGTCACAGGACTGGTAGATGTCAGAGCTGGAATTTCACCCCAGGCTTGACTCCAAAATCCATACTCTTTCCACTGTATTTCACATTCTTTCCTATATAATAACAGAGGTAATGTGGGTCTATGTGGAGAGTGGGTGCTGGAGGACAATGATGTGAGGCATGAAGGGTGTGGAATGTGGTCACGGAGCATGTAGTTTGGCCGGGGGAATGTGGTGAGGCAAGAAGTCAGGCAGTAACTACAGTTTGGGGCTAGGAAGGGGAGTGGAAAAGTTTGAGGACCCTCAGACTGTCAAATATGCCAGGAGTACAGAGATGGGAAGACATGACCAAGGGTAAGATGACGCATGCCAGGAGCTCTGAGCAGAGAGGGAAGACAGCAAGGAGGAGGTTGGGAAGTTCAGTCCCCACTTGTTCTTTGGTTTTTTTTTTTTGAGACGGAGTCTCGCTCTGTCACCCAGGCTGGAGTCCAGTGGTGCAATCTCAGCCCACTGCAACCTGCGCCTCCCGGGTTCAAGTGATTCTCCTGCCTCAGCCTGCCGAGTAGCTGGGATTACAGGTGCCTGCCACCACGCCTGGCTAATTTTTATATTTTTAGTAGAGATAGGGTTTCACCGTGTTGGCCAGGGTGGTCTTGAACTCCTGACCTCAGGTGACCCGCCCACCTCGGCCTCCCCAAATGCTGGGATTACAGGCGTGAGCCGCCGTGCCTGGCCCCCCTTGTTCTTAGAGCAGCTTCTGCCCAGAGCTGGGAATGTGCTTGGCTCCCTTGTGATGCTCACATTTTTGGACTCACAGCCAAGTTCACAGGCCAAGCCTGCCCTCCCCACTCCCATCCAGCTCTGGCTCCTCTATCATTCCCAGAGCCACAGCGACCCTCGGAAAGCAGCCCAAATCATCCTACTGCGGCCCACCATGGCAGAAAGTGTAGAAAGGACAGGCTAGAAAGAAGGGACACAGAGGTAGCTCAGACCCACCAGCCACTCTGGCCACAGGGTACTCCAGGTTGGCAGCCCCACAGGGCTCAAAGGAAAAGGGAATATGTGGGCCACATGGCACAGCCTGCTTTGGATAGGGTCTGCCTGTCTGGGGGAAATTGCTGCTGAGTCCCTACCTCCCTGCTCCCCTGGCAGGCCCCACCACACTGCTCCACACTACACGTTTCCTCTCTTTCTGGGGGTCATCGACAGGCCACCAAGGCTCTGCTGACTCAAAACAATCAGCTGATCTTCAGCAGCTTTGGGGAACCTCAGACAGGTCTTACTCTCCCACCATGGAGCTGAATGGCTGGGGTTTACATAGCACTTACACACACACACACACACTCATACCCCAAATGGAGTCAAACAAATAATGACTCAAATTCCAATTCTACCACTTACTGGCCCTCTTATCTTAGAGAAGTTTCTTAATTTCTCCAAGCCTTTGTCTCATCCTGGTAAAAGGGATCCTTAAATGCCTGGCATGATCCAGGCATACAGTAAAAGCTAATTATATTGTCCATTTTTAGCAGGATCCATACACTATTTCTAACTACGTATACATTATTAAGGGCAAAGCAAATAAACCTGTTCATCATTCATTGTTCATCCAATTAAAATGCTTTGACTGGCAGGGCACGGTGGCTCAGGCCTGTAATCCCAGCACTTTGGGAGGCCAAGGTGAGCGGATCATGAGTCAGGAGATCAAGACCATCCTGGCTAATACGGTGAAACCCCGTCTCTACTAAAAATACCAAAAAAAAAAAAAAAAAATTAGCAGGGCGTGGTGGCGGGCACCTGTAGTCCCAGCTACTCGGGAGGCTGAGGGAGGAGAATGGCGTGAACCCAGGAGGCGGAGCTTGCAGTGAACCAAGATCGTGCCACTGCACTCCAGCCTGGGCGACACAGCGAGACTCCCTCTCAAAAAACATACAATAAAATAAAAATAAAAAATAAAAAAATAAAAATAAAATAAAATAAAATGCTTTGGCTGAGGGCCCAGTGGGTTTCAGGTCCTGAGCTTGCTATTGTAGGTTTTCTCATGAAACATCAGACCCAGAGCCTGCCTTGTTCTCAGAGAGACTATGGTCCAGTGGATAGTTCATGGAAATATACTGCAATCCAGGAAGTGGTTGGAGCCGTAGGAGCAGCACATGTGTTCAATGGATAGACATCTGCTGAGTGTTACACAGGTGTCAGGATATAAAGATAAAATATACCAGGCACGGTGGCTCACACCTGTAATCCCAGCACTTTGGGAGGCCAAGGTGGGCGGATCACTTGAGGTCAAGAGTTCGTGACTAGCTTGGCTAACGTAGCAAAACCCCATCTCTATTTAAAATACAAAAATTAGCCAGGTGTGGTGGCACACACCAGTAGTCCCAGCTATTTGTGAGGCTGAAGCAGGAGAATCGTTTGAACCCGGGAGGCAGAGGTTGCAGTGAGCCAAGGTCGCACCACTGTACCCCAGCCTGGGTGACAAAGCCAGGCTCCATCTCAAAAAAAAAAAAAAAGGATAAAATAAGAGAGTGCCATGACAGTTCTCACAGAAAAGCTCAACCCAGAAGACAGGAGAATTTGAACCTGGAGGAGACAGGGGAAGAAGAGTCTGCAGGTGGAAGGCCCAGAGGGAGGACAGTGGAGCAGGAAGCCACACAGCTAATGACCTGATCGCCATGCTGCCCTCTCTCACAGCTCAAGGCCAGACTAGCAGTAGGCACCTTACTTCTATGAACCATCCACCATGCCCTCAATGCTGAAAATGTTTATCCTTCCTCCATTTCTCAAATAACTTAAGATGGCAGGCCAGGCGCGGTGGCTCATCACCTGTAATCCCAGCACTTGGGGAGGCCGAGGTGGGTGGATTGCTTGAGGTCAGGAGTTCCAGACCAGCCTGGCCAACGTGGTGAAACCCCATCTCTACCAAAAATACTAAAATTAGCCAGGCATGGTGGCTCATGCCTGTAATCCCAGCTACTTGGGAGGCTGAGGCAGGAGAATCACCTGAACCCGGGAGGCGAAGGTTGCAGTGAGCCGAGATTGCGCCACTGCACTCCAGCCTGGGTGACGAGAGCAAAACTCCTCAAAAAAAAAAAAAAAAGAAAAAAAATTTAAAAAGATGGCTGGGCCTACCCTGAGCTTGACAAATACTTTTGTAGACCAGATGGGACTTGAGGAGCCTCACAACTAGCACCTCAAAGGCTGAGCCAGGAGTGGAGAAACTGGAGAGACAGCAGCCTTCCTCCTCTGACCCACTTTCCTTCCTCTAGGGTCACTGACCTCCGCCTGACCTTCCTCTTGTGGGGCTCGGAGAAATGGTGGCCTTGTCACCTCTACAGTTTTCCAAGGCTTACCACCTCCCTCGGAGAGGATTCATCAGTAAAATGGTGATAATAATGACACCTAAAATTGTGCGATTAAGGATTTAGATTTTTGGATCCAGATTCCTGATGTCAAAGCAAGCTCTGCTCTGCCTCTTATTAGCTGTGTGACCTTAGGCAAGTTACTTAAGCTTTCTGTGCTCTAGTTTCCTTTTTTTTTTTTTTCTGAAACACGGTCCCACTCTATTTTCCAGGCTGGAGTACAGTGGCACCATCACAGCTCACTGCAGCCCCAAACTCCTATGCTCAAGTGATCCTCCTGTCTCAGCCTCCCAAGTTGGGACTACAGGCACAAAGCATCATGCCTGGCTAATTAAAAAATTTTTTTGTAGAGATGGGGTCTTGCTATGTTGCCAAGGCTGGTCTCAGATTCCTGGCCTCAAGCAATCCTCCCACCTCAGCCTCCCAAATTGCTGAGATTACAGGTGTGAGCCACCATGCCTGACAGAGTTTCATTTGTAAACTAGAGATACTATTACGCTATCTATTTCATAAGGCTGTTTCGAAGATTAAATGAGTGAAGATTTGAAAAGCATTTAGATTAGTCCCTGGCACACTAAGCATAAAAGGCGTGTGTTAAATAAATGAAACATATATATATGCTCTTCAGCTATTAGTCCTCTGTGACAAGACAGCTCTATCAGTTCCCCTGCTCATTTATCCTTCTGGGGATACAAACAGAATCCATCTCCTCCACTTCATTTTTAATACTGTTTTCAACCCTGCTAAAATGGTCCAACTCTGATTTTGGTTCAAGTACCACTGATGTTTGCAAGATGGCTTCAGGTGGCACACAGATTAACATTGCTTAGTTCAATCATTAAATATTTATGTTAAACATATTTTAGAAAGAAATATAAACAGAAAAGTCAGACCTATGGTTTCATATTATTGCTTGGTTCAAGCTAAGAAAAACAGTAAGTGGACTGACAATGGATTTAAAGAAAAATATTAAGTAACAGTGACTGGATGTAATGGGGGCCCTCTTAAAACTGCAGTTAGGCCTTGGGATTGGGAGAGCAGCCCAGAGTTGTCCAGGCTTAGGAGGCAGGGGCCAGGTCCAGTGGGTCTGGAGATAAGTACAGGGTGGAGAGACAGCCTATCTTAGTCCCTCAAGGCATCTGGATCTGAGGTGGCCCCAGGGCACTGGACTCTGGCTCATCTTCCCCCATTCCTTATGTGGAGGCAGTAGCTTGATCCCTTCTAACCCTATTCTTCTCTTGCCAGGCCAAAGTATCCACCCCCTCACCCAGACCCCTTCTAGATCCATCCCTCCTCAGAATCTTCCAATTAGAGGTGTCTGTCTCTGGGCTGAAGGCAGACAATCATTATCACACCAGGAGCACCCCACCCCAGGGCAGGAACAACAACAGAAACAAGAATAGTTAGAATCTACAAAGCACTGCCCACTGTACAAAGCACTCTCACACACATGATTTCAGGGGCTCATCCAACCCTGAGTTCCAGGGCAGAAGGTGACAGCAAAACATGCCAGGCATTAGACAGAAGGTGCTTGCTTCCTAGTGCTAGGTGGGCCAGGGGCTTGGGAGAGAAGCCAGACAGATGAACACTGGGGAGAAGAATGTCTCCTCTTGGCTGTGGGGCCTCAGCTCCAAAGAGCAGTGCAGGCCTCAGGCTAGGGCTGGAGAGGCAGCCTTCAGGCCTGGAGGGGCCTTCCCCACCGCCTCCAGGCCCAGCGCCCAGTTAGTGAGGCGGCAGGCAAGTGTGGGCGCCTCCCCCTCCCCCAGTCTCCTGGGAGTTGGGGGGGTTCGAGGGGGATCAGCCAGGCCCCCCTCTTCCCAGGCCAGCTGCTTCAGAACCTTCCGGCTCCAACATTCCATCCCCTCTTAAAGGGAAAGTGACTGCTTCCAAACTGTGCCTGTCCAGATCTCTGCAGCTGGGTGGAAGGGAAGACCCCACCAGGGAGGGGAAGATAGAGAACACCAAGAAACTCTTCCTGGCTATCCCACCCAGGCCCCAGGCCCTTCCTAACGTCTCTCCACTGGCCACCAACTGGAGGAAAAAAGCCCGAATTGGAGGAAAGATCAGCACCTGGGTCAGTGAGGACTACTCCGCAGGGGTCAGGCTCTCTGTTCCGGTGACAACACCCACAACAGCCCACAAAGGAGAGGGCAGGCAGCTAGATAAACATCAGATCTGCAGACCCCGCTCGCGGCCAGGCGCCCGAGCACCCCCGACACCCCTCCCCCAGCTCAAAGTCCCAGCAGAGCCCTCAGATGCAGCATACTCCAAATATGGCTGGGAGCTGTGCTGCTGAAAAGATGAAGGGGGCGAAGAACGAGGGCCACACGACCCAAGTCTGTGCGGAAAAAGGTGGCTCTGGCTCCTCGGCAGGAGGAGGATGGGGGACTCGGGCTCTGAAACTAGGTGGAGGGGGGGTGTGTCTGTCTCTGTGGGCCACTGGTCTCTGAAGAGGTAAGGGGACCGCACCGGCAGGAACTCTGATTGCTAGTGGGGAATTGGACGTCCCCTTAAACAAGGGAGGCCAACGTCCCCTCTTCAGAGGTAAACGGGAGTTGCTACTGGGGCTGGAACCAAAGGGGCCCAAATGGGCCGAGTCGCCCCTAGAAGTCAGAGCGGGGCTAGGAGCCGGTGTAGCGAGGCAAGTCGAAACGGACCGCGTCATCCCTTAGAAGCCAGAGCGGCCGGGGCTCCCGGAGGCGGGGCGGGGGCCATCCTCACCCGAAATCGTCGTCCATAGACTTGAAGAAGAACTTATAGCTGGGTCGCTGCAAAACGCCCTTAAAGTCCGCCAAGGTGACGCGCTCGGCGGGCAGGGGCAGCTTCACAAGGTACGGCGTCTCCTGCCCATCCAAGTGGTAGATGATCTTGGTCTCGCCCATGGCTCTGGCCTCGGGCCCGGCGGCCCGCGCGCGGCCTGCTCGGGCGGCCGGGCCGAGCCTCCCAGACGGCGGCGGCGCGCGGCGCGGCCCAGCGGCTCAACCCAGCTCGGCGGCTGCTGGCGGCGCCAGCTCCCTTGTTCTCCGGCCGCTACCGGGTCCCAGCGCCGCCCGCCGCCGCCGCGGCCGCCGCTTCCGCTCCCCACTCTCCCGACTGGACTGGCGACCGCGACTCTTCCGGTGGCCGCGGCCCTCCCGGCCCAGGGCTTCGTCCGGGCCCGCTCCCCTCCTCCGGCCCGGCGCGGCCCCGCCCCGGCGCGCCCCGCCCCCGGCCGCCGCGGAGAGGCGCCGGCGTCGCGGCAGATGGCAGGGTTTCCCGCCCACTGGCCGGGCCGCGGCGCTCCGGTCCCGGGTCCCTAGAAACGGAAGGGGAGATTCACCGGGATGGCGGCGTTCCCGGACCCCTGAAGGCCCTGACTCCGGACCCAAGTGGGATCGGCGACTCCTCTGCAGTCCAGGAAGAGTGGAATGCAGGGATTGCTTTGGTCCCCAGAAATGGTCTGGGGAAAGAGGGTGGGTCTGACTCTGGATCCCTGGAGGAGAATGACCTCAACATGGCCCTTCAGTGTTTCTTGAGAAGCACAACTGCTGTCACTGAGTCTACTAAACTGATCTCGAGAGAAGGACAGCATCCAGTTCTGATTCCTCCCTATAACCTTAGCGTCCAGTTGCAAGGTAGTGGTTTAATAAATGGGTTGAATGCGGAATAAGTGGGGCCCGGGCGCGGTGGCTCACGCTTCTAATCCCAGCACTTTGGGAGGCCAAGGCGGGCGGATCGCCCGAGGTCGAGAGTTCAAGACCAGCCTGACCAACATGGAGAAACCCTGTCTCTACTAAAAATACAAAAAAATTAGCCGGGCGTGGTGGCGCATGCATGTAATCTCAGCTACTCGGGAGGCTGAGGCAGAAGAATCGCTTGAACACGGGCGGCGGAGGTTGCGGTGAGCCGAGATCGGTGAGTCGAGATCCTGCCTTTGCACTCCAGCCTGGGCAACAAAAGTGAAACTCCATCCCCCCTCGCCCCCCCCCAAAAAAAAAGATAAGTGGATGCATGCATGCCTAAGACAGTAAGTCTCAAACCAGAACTCCAGAACTAGGTATAGCCGGTTCCTCACAGATCTCCTCACCCCTTAACTTTTAATTCATTTAATAAATACTGAAGGCCTACTGTGTATAAGGCATATCGCATGAGATATAGCGATAGCGAGACAGACAAGGCTGCTCTCAGGACCTTCCCTCAGCTGGAGGGAAGCACATAGGCTTGTAAATACATAACTTCAGAGTGACCACTGCTATGAAGAAGGTAAAACAAAGTGATGGGATAGTGACAGGGGAAGCCAGGCGCAATGGCTCATGCCTGTAATTCCAACATTTTGGGAGGCTGAGGCAGGTGGATCACCTGAGGTTAGGAGTTCGAGACCAGCCTGGCCAAAATGGTGAAACCCCGTCTCTAGTAAAAATACAAAAATTAGCTGGACATGGTGGCGCATGCCTGTAGTCCCAGCTACTCGGGAGGCTGAGGCAGGAGAATCGCTTGAACCCGGGAGGTGGAGCTTGCAGTGAGCCGAGATCCCACCACTGCACTCCAGCCTGGGCGACAGAGCGAGACTCCGCCTCAAACAAAAACAAAAACAAAACAACCAAAACAAAACGAGAAAGAGGTTTCTGATTGGTTAGAGAAAACTTCTTCCAGAAAAAAAGACCTAGAAATAGCAAGGATGAAGTGGCTATGAGAAGATCTGGGGTGACAGCCTTCTAGGCAGAGGGCACAGCCAATATACAGGCTCAAGGCAGGAATAAACATGTTACATTTGAGGAATAAGAAGGCCATCATGACTAAAGGAACAGTCCTAGGTGAGGCTGGAAACATAGACCCGCCAGATTACATAGGGCCTTGGATGCTATGGTCTTAAGTATGGGCTCCTTCTACTCCATTTTATACACTGTTGCCAAATTAACACTAGAATAACAACATCATTCAGATACCTCTTCTACTCAGAAACCTTTCCACATTCCCCAAAGCCCCCAAATATCCCTATTCAAGGCCCCCCATAATCTAACCTCTACCTACTTTTACAGCCTTTTGTCTCATATCCTGGCCAAATTTTTGACTCCAGGAAAATGAACCCACTTGCTAGCCCCTGCACACACCTTATGTATATCGTCACTTCATACCCTTTCCTTCACCTTCTTTACATTTTTTATCAAAGTAATATGTTTGGAAGTCAAATAGTATTTAAACAGCTTTTTTTTTTTTTTTTTTTTTTTTTTTTTGAGATGGAGTCTCACTCTGTCGCCCAGGGTGGAGTGCAGTGGCACAATCTCGGCTCACTGCAAGCTCCGCCTCTTGAGTTCACGCCAGCCTCCCGAGCAGCTGGGACCACAGGCGCCCGCCAAATTTTTTGTGTTTTTTTTAGTAGAGACGGGGTTTCACTGTGTTAAACAGGATGGTCTTGATCTGAACTCGTGATCCACCTGCCTCGGCCTCCCAAAGTGCTGGGACTACAGGCGCAAGCCACCACGCCCGGCTTTTTTTTTTTTTTTTTTTTTTTTTTTTTTTTTTTGAGATGGAGTGTTGCTCTGTCGCCCAGGCTGGAGTGCAGTGGCACGATCTTGGCTCACTGTGAACTCCGCCTCCCGGGTTCATGCCATTCTCCTGCCTCAGCCTCCCGAGTAGCTGGGACTACAGGTGCCTGCCACCACACCTGGCTAATTTTTTACATTTGTAGTAGAGATGGGGTTTCACCGTGTTAGCCAGGATGGTCTCGATCTCCTGATCTCGTGATCTGCCTGCCTCGGCCTCCCAAAGTGCTGGGATTACAGGTGTGAGCCACCGTGCCTGGCCCTTAAAAAGCTTTTTAACAAAACAGCAGTCCTCCTTATTGGTATAGTGGTGAGAAAAACAAAACAAAAAACCCGAGCAATTCTTTGTCCTATTTCCCTACCACTCTTAGTACTTTTTTTTAGCTCATAATACTTGTTCTTGATTTATACATTTTAGACATTGCTTATTGATTTCCAAATTTGATTGATGATTCTCTGTCTTCCACCTTACCCTTCCCTCTTAAAATAGTGAAAGCACACTTTTTGGCTAAGTCAATATAGTACTTAGTAGTGACCTTATTTTGACTATGAGCAAATGTTCACCGCTAAGTCATGTGGAGTTTTTTTTGTTTTGTTTTTGTTTTTGTTTTTGATGGAGTCTCACTCTGTCGCCAGGCTGGAGTGCAGTGATGTGATCTCAGCTCATTGCAACCTCCACCTCCCGGGTTCAAGCGATAATTCTGCCTCAGCCTCCGAGTAGCTGGGATTACAGGCATGTGCCACCATACCTGCCCAACTCATTTTTGTATTTTTAGTAGAGACAGGGTTTTACCATGTTGGCCAGGATGGTCTCAATCTCTTGACCTCGTGATCCACCTGCCTTGGCCTCCCAAAGTGCTGTGATTACAGGCATGAGCCACCGCGCTGGCCTCATGTGTGTTTTATAATCGTTTCCTTTACAACTTTTTTGTTTCCTCTGACTTTAATCATTGCCTTGTGTTTTCATTTGTTTTAATATATTATACCTATCATTAGTTTTTCCCATGTAATCTAATAGTTTCTCAATACACATTTTGTTCATTCAGTCAAAGCTATTAGATAATCCATCAGTTCAATTTTTCCCTGGAGGCTTCCATCTTTTTTTTTTTTTTTTTTTAGATGGAGTCTCACTCTGTCGCCCAGGCTGGAGTGCAGTGGCGAGATTCCGGCTCACTGCAACCTCTGCCTCCCAGGTTCAAGTGATTCTCCTGCCTCAGCCTCCCAAGTAGCTGGGATTACAGGCGCCTGCCACCACGCCCAGCTAATATTGTATTTTTAGTAGAGACAGGGTCTCACCATGTTAGCCAGGCTGATCTGGAACTCCTGACCTCAGGTGATCGCTCGCCTTAGCCTCTCAAAGTGCTGGGATTACAGGCGTGAGCCACCACGCTTGGTGGAACCTTCCATTCTTTTGCTCTGGTCTGCACCGCCGGCTATCTCAGCCTGTGCACAGCTGTCATCCTGGGACTTCTCTGCATCCTCAAAATTCCCTTTACCTGTCTCTGTGTTGAATCTGTTTCCTGGATACTTTACTCCTTTGTTTTATTTACCTGTTTATTGAGACAAGGCCTTGCTCTGTTGCTCAGGTTGGAGTATAGTGAGGTAATCATGGCTCACTGCAGCCTCAAACTCCTTGGCTCAAGCGATCCTATCGAAGTGCTGGGATTATAGGTGTGAACCACCGTACCCAGCCAACAATAAATTCTTGAATTAAGACCAGGTCCATGCCTGTAATCCCAACGCCACTGCACTCCAGCCTGGGTGACAGCGACACTCCTTCTCAAAAAAACAAACAAACAAAAAAGTAGCCGTGTGTGGTGGTAAGCACCTGTAATCCCAGCTACTCAGGAGACTGAGGCACGAGAATCGCGTGAACCCGGGAGGTGGAGATTGCAGTGAGCTGAGACCACATCACTGCACTCCAGCCTGGGCAACAGAACAAAACTCAGTCTAAAAGAAAAAAAAAAACGGAAAAATGGTAATTAAAATGTTCTTTTTTTTTGAGACAGAGTCTCACTCTGTCACTCAGGCTGGAGTGCAGTGGTGTGGTCTCAGCTCACTGCAATCTCCACCTCCTGGGTTCAAGTGATTCTCGTGCCTCAGCCTCCTGAGTAGCTGGGATTACAGGTGCACACCACCACATGCGGCTAACTTTTTTTTTCTTTTTTTTTTTTTTTGAGAAGGAGTCTCACCCTATCATCCAGGCTGGAGTGCAGTGGAGCTATCTCGGCTCACTGCAACCTCTGCCTCCTGGGCTCAGGCGATTCTCCTGCCTCAGCCTCCTGAGTAGCTGGGATTACAGGCATGCACCACCATGCCCAGCTAATATTTTGTATTTTTAGTAGAGACAGGGTTCCACCATGTTGGCCAGGATTGTCTCAAACTCCTGACCTCAGGTGATCTGCCCGCCTCAGCCTCCCAAAGTGCTGGGATTACAGGTGTGAGCCACCATGCCCAGCCCTAATTTTGTATATATTTTTTTGTCTTTGTATGAGATTTTATTAAAGGTCTTTACAGAGCAACATCCAGACTCCAGAATACAGCTGCTAAGGAGACCCTGTTATGCTGTAGGGACTGGCTGGGGCATGGCAGATGGCTCTGGCTTCCCACCCTTCTGTTCTGAGATGGGGGTGGTGGGCAGTATCTCATCTTTGGGTTCCACGATGCTCACGTGGTCAGGCAGGGGCTTCTTAGGGCCAGTCTTACCAGTTGGGTCCCAGGGCAGCATGATCTTCACCTTGATGCCCAGCACACCCTGTCTGAGCAACACGTGGCACACAGCAGTGCCAACGTAGTAGTTAATAGGGTCTCCACTGTGGATCGTCAGGCCATCCACAAACTTCATGGATTTAGCCCTCTGTCCTCGGAGTTTCCCAGACGCCATGACCTTGCAGCCTTTGGCCCCACTCTCCATGATGAACCGCAGCACACCATAGCAGGCCCTCCACACAGCAAGCCCTCCTAGGAGTTTGTAACGCAGAGACTCTGCCTGGGCAATGGCACACAGACCTCTAGTGGCAACCTTTTCAGCATAAAGCTCTACACTGCCCTCTGGAAAGCCAAACCTCTTCTGAACTATAGCAGTCAGTTCCCGAATCCGTCAGCCCTTCTCACCAGGAATATTCTGTGTTCTGGTGGCTAAGATAATGATTTCTGTCCTGGTTGGTGTAACTTGCATCTCAACTCCAGAGTAGCCATCTTCAGCCAGCTCCTGAGTAAGAAACTCATTCAGTTCAGCTTTGAAGATGTCATCAGTGACAAACATCCTCTTCTTGGAAATTTGCACAGCCATCTTGCCGCCACGCTCCACTGAAAGGAAAGGCCTAATTTTGTATTTTTAATAGACACAGGGTTTCACCACATTGGCCAGTCTGGTATCAAACTCCTGGGCTTAAGTTATCCTCTGCCAACCTTGGCCTCCCAAAGTGCTGGGATTACAGGTGTGAGTCACATCACACCCAGCCTTTTTTTTTTTTTTTTGGAGGCAAGGTCTTGCTCTGTCTTCCTGGCTGGAGTGCAGTGGTGTGATCATAGCTCACTGCAGCCTCGAACTGGGCACAAGTGATCCTCCCACCTCAGTCTCCCGAGTAGCTGGGACTACAGGCACACACCACCACCCTTGGCTGATAATTTAAAATTTTTTGTCGAGATGGGATCTTGCTATGTTGCCCAGCTGGTCCCAAATTCCTGGCATCAAGCAATCCATCTGCCTTGGCCTCCCAAAGGGCTGGGATTACAGGCATGAGCCACCACGTCCAGCCGATTTTTCCTATTCTGTTTCCGCAGCCCAGTAGATGATTTTGGGCCTTATGGATTGATCCTTTACTACTTTTTTTTTTTTTTTGGATAGATAATATATTCATGATTCAAGATTCAAGAAGTATGTAAGAATGGAAATACAGTGAAACGTTACCCTGCTATTTGGTCCTCGAATCCTCCAATTCTCAAGAGAAGGAATTAGTTTACTTATTTTTAATTTCTAAGAACTCTTTCTTCTCCAATTCTTCCTTTTTAAAGTACTTCATAGACACAATATCTTTTCTTTGAGTTTTGAGAATAGTTATTGTAGCTTTTTCCCCATGAAGTTTTCAGAAAGCTCCCTACTTTGTTATTGTTTCCTTGGTTTCAATTTTCTATTTGTTTGTTTTGGTCTTTCATATTGGAAGGTTACTCAGATGTTTAATGGTCCTTTGCTGTCTATTCATATTTAACAGTGAGATACCAAAAAGTGGATTGGAAGCTCAGTCTATTTACAAGCTTTATTATTAATGAATAGGCTTCACTGTAGGGTGATCATGTGGGGGGAAAGCTGACATTTTGTTGTTGAAGAAACCAAAAATGTCAGTGTCAGTATGCATAGGCATTTTTTTCCCTGCAGTTGTTTCTTTTCATACTGGAGGTTCTGTCAGTGTGTGCTGATGTTGAGTCTCACCGCTCATATATTTTCACTTAATTCTTCATTTTCAATCTAATACCTCACCTCTATCCCCACTATGCCTGCTGCTGAATGCAGAGGCTCTGATAGTTTAAGTTCCCCTGGACATTCTGAAATTTCATGGGCTTTTTCATTCATTATGCTGGGCACTCATGGACAGTTGGTCTGGAAACTTGTGACCTTTGGGCTTAGGAAACCTTAAGTCTATCTTTGCTAACTTCCTCCCTACCATTTCTCCAGAGACGGAATCTCCCATTTTATGCAAGGGAGTAGGGGTAATCACTTGGCTGGATCAGATGAGGTTGGGACTTGGTGGGGCTTTTTCTTATACAGATCATCGTGTAATCTCCTTCCACCCCACCCCTAGTTCTCAGCGTCAGTCCATACCCTCCTCTGAGGTGCTGAACCTTTTATGGGTTCAGAAGGGCACATTGGCTTACTTCTTGCCATTAACTCCCTCAGCAGGTAGAACCCAACTCATTCTACTCTGTTAAGTGACTGTTGACTGTTCTGTTTTTCATCTTCCAAAATGTTGGCATCTCTCATTCATTGTCACCTCCTATTTTCCTTATCACTGGGTCATGTGGCTTTATTATTATATTTTTTGAGAGTTTCGCTCTTGTCACCCAGGTTGGAGTGCAATGGCATGATCTCGGCTCACTGCAACCTCCGCCTCCTGGGTTCAAGCAATTCTCCTTCCTCAGCCTCCTGAGTAGCTGGGATTACAGGTGCCCCCCACCATGCCCGGCTAAACTTTTGTGTTTTTTGGTTTTTTTTTTGAGATGAAGTCTCGCTCTTGTCCCCCAGGCTGGAGTGCAATGGCGCGATCTCGGCTCACTGCAACCTCCACCTCCCAGATTCAAGCGATTCTCCTTCCTCAGCCTCCTGAGTAGCTGGGATTACAGGCACCTGCCACCAGGCCCAGCTAATTTTTCTATTTTTAGTAGAGATGGGGGTTTCATCATGTTGGCCAGGCTGGTCTCGAACTCCTGACCTCAGGGGATCCACCCACCTTGACCTCCCAAAGTGCTGGGATTACAGGCATAAGCTACCACGCCTGGCTTTTTTGTATTTTTAATAGAGACGGGGGTCCACTATGTTGGCCAGGGTGGTCTTGAACTCCTGACCTCAGGTGATTCACCTGCCTCGGCCTCCCAAAGTGCTGGGATTACAGGTGTGAGCCACTGAGCCCAGCCAGCACGTGCCTTTTTAAAATAATTCCTTTACTGGTATTTCAATAGAATTTTTGGAGGGGGCATAAAGGCTCATGTGTTTAATTTTCCGTATTTAACTGGAAAGTTTTTGTTTTGCTTTTAATGCATGCTTCCAGCCTCTTCTATTTTTTAGGCCACTCCAGCATCAAATTTCTGTAAAGCCTTCCCTAATCACCCTAACTGGAAGTAATCTCTCTTTCTGAAAAAGCTCTGTAGACTACTTCTGATTTCTGCTATACATTCAGTACAGATACAGGGATGTCTCACTGTACTAGGTCCATGCCATAATGCCAGAATCTTCATACTAGACACTAGATCCTATACCTAACAAGACAGAAACTGAGATTTACTAGAAAATTAAGCCAAACCCTGGCCAGCCTGTCTTTTCCTTTTCCAGTGATGCCTTCATACCCACAAGCTGACTTCAGTCAGCCCATCCTCAGTTTATATCCTTTTTTTTGAGACAGAGTTTCACTTGTCGCCCAGGCTGGAATGCAATAGTGTGATCTCAGCTCACTGCAACCTCCGTCTCTTGGGTTCAAGCGATTCTCCTGCCTCAGCCTCCCGAGCGGCTGAGATTACAGGCACCCACCACCACGCCTGGCTAATTTTTGTATTTTTAGTAGAGACAGGGTTTCACCATGTTGGCCAGGCTTGTCTCAGACTCCTGACCTCAGCTGATCTGCCCACCTCAGCCTCCCAAAGTGCTGGGATTACAGGCGTAAGCCACCGCGCCTAGGCCAGTTTATGTCTTTCTATCCAACTAAAATGAATAAAGGCAACCATTTGTTCTGTAACATCTGGGACGGTAGGGATGGGGGGGTAGAGCATCACTTGTTACAACAGTCACATTAGCCACCGTTTAAGTACCACTAAAGGAAATTATTATTATTATATTGTTTTGAGGCAGGGTCTCGCTCCATCACCAAGGCTGGAGTGCAGTGGCACAATCTCGGCTCACTGCAACCTCCGCCTCCCAGGTTCAAGCAATTCTCCCTGCTTCAGCCTCCTGAGTAGCTGGGATTTCAGGCGCCTGCCACAATGCCCAGCTAATTTTTGTATTTTTGTAGAGATGGGGTTTCGCTATGTTGGTCTCGAACTCTTCGCCTCAGGTGATCCGCCTGCCTCAGCCTCCCAAGGTGCTGGGATTACAGGCGTGAGCCACTGCACGCGGCCAGAATTGTTGACTCACTCTATATGAAGACAAGGAACTCAAAAAGAAAAGACAGAAAGGCATGTCTCTTTTGGTTAAGGTTAAAGCAATACAGCAAAGTAACAAGCTCCAGGTCAAGAGTCCAATATCACACCTGGCTCTGTCAGTTACTAGCTAGGGAAGCTCTGTGAGCTTCAGGCACCTTATCTGAAAATGGGGATAAGACTTCATGGGGCTCATGTGAGGATTAAATGAAACAATATGTGAAAACTGCTTGCCTGTCACATAGTAAACACTCTCAAGGGAAAGCACCCTTCACATGGCCTTCCTGTGTTCTTGGGACCTCCATTACTGGCTCTGGGTTATATTTGTCTGTGGGGCCAATTTTCCCTTCACTGAAACACAATACGCTGAAGGACAGAGTTCTGGATTCTGAGGGTCAAGTCCTTAGCTTTACCCCTCAAGAGTCATGTGACCTTGAGCTGATTTCCTTATTTCTGATGAAGCGTGGCCCAGCTTCCTGACAGAACGAGTACCAGATCAACTGGAAAAGGCATGTGAAAGGAACTGGCATGTCTAATGGGCTTTACATATGGTTGGCAACATAATCCTCTGGCAGAAAAGTGTTCAAAATGGGACTCTATGGAAACGGGCTTAGGCACACCACCCCAGGATCACAAGTTGGTCCACAGAGGCTGGAAAAGAACCTCCGCCCTCCACTACCCATGAGCCATGGGAAAGGTTAATTAGCAAGGTACCACAGTACCACCTAGTGGCTGGCACACCCGTCCTCCCTCTCCCCCAGGTGTTAAGGAAAGGCTATCATGTGATTCTGGTCACATACTTCACTGGCTGATTAGTCAGGGATGGAGACAAACCAAATACACCACTCTCTCTTTTAATATTAACATATACAAGCAGCAGAAAGAGCCAACTGCTCTCTGCTGTTCCCTGAGGGAAAGCCGGAGCACAAAGCTGTTCCTCTGGCCTTCCTCCAACTGCCGGGCCTGCTTAGCTCCTCCCTAGGCAGAAGCTTTGTTCCAGCCCCACTTCCACATCCCAACTCCACAGTCAGGATGGGAGGCACATGGTTGCTAGCAGGGGAAAGAATACTGTAGTTCCAGCCTCTGCTCCTTTCAGTCTCAGCCTGGATGGTGGTCACTCATCCCTCTGCAGCTAGTTCCTCACTTGTCCCAGCCCAGGAGCCAGGAGGGCACTCAATCACACCCAAAGGAGCAGGCAGTGTGACTTCAGTCATCTTCAGATGACTCCTCTTCTGCCTCTTTTAGCCACTGGATGAACCTCTGCAGCTGTAAAGAAGCAGAGGAGAGATCGGCTGGGGGAGGTGCACATAACTCTCCTGCTCCCCTCGGCAGATAAACAGCTCTAACAACCAGAGCCCCAGAAACCAACCACCCTAGAGTCTAGGGGCCAGGACCTGGGAATGAGATAACCATCTTGGCGAGAGGAGGACAGCCTGACGCACCTGTTGATTCTTGCGCAACTGCTGGCCCTTGTCAGTTGTATCTCTTTGGCTGAACCAGCTCAGAATTGTTTCCTCAGCCAGGATCTCCAGCTGGTAGAAAGCCATCAGTACCTGCAAAAGGCCAATAAAGGGGACCTCAGGGGCCTTGGAAAGTCCAGCAGGATACTCTACCAGGCCCTCAGATCCCTCTATGCACTGAGTAGCCTCCTCCAAAACGGACAAGAGTGAGCTGTTCGCTCTGCTCCTGGGGCAGGTCTAACTTCTGGAACTATTGCTGGGGAGAGCTTTGCACATTTCCAGACCACCCCCCAGATGGCTACCTTATTAGTCCGGCTCCAAGCTGTACTATTCTAGCAATAAGCATATTGGGAGTGGATGGTCCATACTGGATTCACATTAGCTTCTATTTTATGTCTCCCAAGGGGGTCACCAACCCTCGTTTGAAAGCAAGTGCAGAAGAATGGGGCTTGAGGTCATATTCACCTTGGCCATGGAAATACCAAGAGCTTCATGCTCTAGGAAGAAGTCCTCAATGGCTGCTAACGCTTCCAAATGGTCGGCTGCGCGCTTTATGTAGTTCCTAAAAACAGGGCTCCAGGCCTTTAGCAGCTATGGAAGAAAGAAGGGAGCTGCAGTATATTCCTAAGCATTCACCTATACCTGGACATCCAAGCAAATCCATACTGATGACATGGGTGGACAAAAGGGAGATGATACAGGTTCTGTGGAATTATGTCAGAGGGACTTGGGAGTTGTTGACAGGGTTTGGGAAAAAGAGATTCCTTAGGGAAGGTGAAAGGGGATCAGATGCTATAGGCTGCCTCAAAATACCTATTCCCACCCCAGAGGCTGATCTTGTGTTGGGTCAAATTGCTGCCATAGAGTCTGAATGTCCAGGTCCATTCTGAATATACCTTTGTGGGCCTAGGATGGTATGAAATCCTGGAGTCTCAAAGGCCAGTCAGTATTGAACTCAATCTGACCCCTCTGAACCAGCCAAGGCTGCTCTAGAGCCCAACCAGCTTCCAGAGGCAAGGAAAAAGGAACCAGAAGTGACATACACCCAATATAACAAGACAGTCTACTCCTGATTTCCTTTGCCTGTACCCAATCCCTTGTACTCAGCTCCAATCTTTGCTCACAGGAAGCAGCAGGGCACAGTAGCGGCTTGAGTCAAGCGGGGAATCCATCTGTTGCAGGGGGAACTCCAGGACCACGTGGCTCAGTACCTGCATCACCTCCTTTAGACTTATGTTATAGGCATACCTGTGGGGAGACTGGGGTGACACCAGGGCCTTCACTGGCCTTTCAGCAGGCTTAGAACTATGACTTTGATAGACATTGGAGAGGAATCTGGATGGAACAATATGGAAGGGGAGGGTTTAGGAAGGAGAAAGTCTATGCTGAGGCTAGAACTTAATAATGCTCTCCTTGCTCCAAATACTACTGGTCTTTCCATTTGGGATGTCGAAGGAATAGGTTCCTATTTGGAGACAAAACACTTACGAGAAAGCCTCTACCTTCCCGGGATCACCCCGAGGAGAACAGGGAGGGGCTGCTCTTACTTGAGAGAGTTGATTTCCAGGACGAGATTGTCACAAGAAATGTTCTCCTCTTTGCCCCGCTGTAGTGTTCCTAAAACTTCATTCTGGAACACTGAAATCAAAGCAAGGATAAGTTCATGGGCCAACATCATTCAGAATGCTCTAAGTCATCTAGTCTTGACTCGATACCAAACCCTTTCTGAGGAACGTAAGCCTCTGGCTAGTTGATCCAGGCAGAGAATAAACTGGTCCAGCGCATTTCTCCCCTGCCACTCACCTTTGATGTCATCCATCTGAGGGGAGCCTCCCCGGCTGTCCGGCTCCTCAGAATCCATACTTTGCTCACTTTCACTTTCACTCTCTTCTTCCATGTTGATCTTGAGTCCTGAGAAGCCATAATGGGTGAGGAAAAAGAAAAAAAGAGTCATTGACAGAGAGCAATATACCTGCCCTGTCTGCCTGAATAAAGGAGTGAATAAGTAATGTGACTCTGAAGTATTCATTATCCTTCAAAATATTCCGATTCAGGAGGAGAAGGGCAGGCATCAGGCCTAGCTCACCCCACAGATTCTGCTGCAGTTCCTCCTCTTCCTCCATGTTCATGCCTGCAGCTTTCCAGAGGTAGCCCTTGCCAGCAGCTCCTACTTCTGCTGGATTGTAACCTGGAAAAGGCAATGATCTATAGAGAGGGCCCGGCGGAAGCACCAATCCCTCCAGGAGGAAACACTGGTTCTTCTATGAGGCAGCGAGACACACAGATGCCCCACACCTGTTGAGTCTCACACCTTTCATCTTCACTTTGTCCTTTTCTTGGTCAGCCCCAGAATCATCACTGAACTCGCCATCATCTTCATCTTCCTCTGCATCTGGAGGGTGCAAAGAGATCACCGAGCCCTCAGGCAGCGTGATATTTGGGCCCACGACCACCTAAGGGGAAAAAAAACACAGAACCATTAGGGTGTGGAGGAAAAGTGCATCCTGATAATGAGAGCAACTTTTTTAGACAGGATTATGGGTGGAAATAATGCCCCTTCTGGCTCAGTGTGACTGCCATGCAATTCAGGGCCTGTGCACAGTATAGATCAGGTCTCACCTGGGAAGTGAGGACAGAGCGTGGTTTCAGTGTCACTCGTTCCTTGACCTCAGCATTGTCACAAAGCAGAGACTGATGGATCTGTGCTCCAGCCGCCACTCGAACACCCTGCCACAGGTAGGTCTGGTCCAGCACCACGTTATCACCTGGCTCAGGATGGGAAGACCTCTGGGTAACTCAGGGTTCCAACCGCAGAGCAGAGCCCTTCATAGAGGACAGGGCTGACTGACACCAGCACAGCTCCCACCTAGCTCTCATTCCCCATCCCGCAAGTCACCAGAAACACCCACTCACCCCCTAAGCCCAGGCCTGAGAAGATACTTCACCAAGTTTACAACAATTATAGACTACACACAGAGCTTAAGAACCCGAGAACCTTCAGGATTTCTGGGGACCCTCTGAACTCAAAAAACCTTATTAGAATCATATCCACGCCTACAAGCAGAACCAAATAATTCCACCTCTTCTGGTACATTTTAGAAACCAAGTCTTTTTTTTCTTTTGAGACACGGTCTCATTCCATCACCCAGGCTGGAGTGCAGTAGTATGATCATGACTCACTGCACCCTCGACCTCTGGGCTCAGGTAATCCTCCTGCCTCAGCCTCCCGAATAGCTGAGATTACAGGCACGCGCCATCATGCCCAGCTAATTTTTGTATCATTTGTGGAGAAGGGGTGTCGCTATGTTGCCCAGGCTGGTCTTGAACTCCTGGGCTCAAGCGATCCTCCCACCATGGCTTCCCAGTGTGCTAGGATTACAAGCATGAGCCACCACGCTCAGCCCCTAGAATCTGAGCCTTACTGTTGTTCTTGGAAAGGGGCAGTACTATTAGACGCATCACACTCCTGCAACCAAAATGAGATACCAAGAGGCCAACCAGGCAGTTATGGTAGACTCAAAAGAACACTGGACTTACATTCAGAATACCCAGATTCAGGTCCCACCATTATTACCAATGACCTTGGGCAAGAAAATCTTGTTGAGCCTGTTTATTTGTAAATTATGAAGATTAAATGTAACAATGTATATAAAAGCCCTTTGTAAACTGTAATGTGCTAAATAGATGTTGTTACTGCATGTTAATTATCTACTTGCTCCTGAATGTGACTACAGGGTACCCTGGAATGTGAAGAGTCATCCAATGAGAGGCCCACAGGCTACAAATTAAGGTATCGCTGTTTTCAAATCCCTGTTTCCTCCTTTCCTGAGGTAGCCGCTCTATAGTTCCTTATTCCCAGGGACTGTCCCTTGTGTAGCCATCCCTTGTGTTTCTGGAGACGTGGCCCCCCCAGGTTCCTGTTCCTAGGATAGTTGGCTTGATTCCCCACCTGTGCTCACCAATGTGGCAGCCGGGGCCAATGACACTGTTGGTGATAAAGCAATTGCTGCCAATGACAGTGCCAGAGCCCAGGAGCACATTTTCCTCTAGGATGCTGCCATGGCCCAGGCTGACCTCAGGCCCTCGGTAGATGTTGTGCCGGGAATGAGTGCAGCTCTGGGTGGTGCTGTCAGTGAAGTTCGCCTCTGGGGTGAGAGGGTAGACCCATCGGCGGATGACGTCAGCACAGACAGCTGAGTACATGTGTAGGTTGGAGACACGGGCACCATATTCCTTAGCTGTTACGTGCATGTGGATCTGGTTCCCTAGGATCTGAATGAGAAGGAAAGGGAGGTCACCTAAGCAAGAAAGACAGGAAGAATGCCCCCAAGTACAACTTTTCTAATCCTTTTAAGTTCCCCTCTGCCTCTCACTGCCACAAAGATTCTTCTTTGTGTACTGTTCCTCCTGTCCCCTGCTTTTCCTCCCTCCTAAGCCTCAATAAAATACAAAAAAGATCAAAAGTTACCAGCATGAGATACAATCATAGCCTTCTCCTCTCTCCTAAAGAGGCATTGGAAGACTTTTCTCACCTCCTCATTCACTAAGAGACCTCGCACAAAGTCATCTCGAGTTTGGTAGTCAAAGTTGTCTGTAAAGAGTTGTGCCACCTGTGGAAGGGAAGTGGAGTGGGCTAGAATTAAGTACTATTCTTTTTTTTTTTTTTTTGAGACAAGTCTAGCTCTGTTGCCCAGGCTGGAGTGCAGTTGCATGATCTCGGCTCACTGCAACCTCCACCTCCTGGGTTAAAGTGATTCTTGTGCCTCAGCCTCCCAAGTAGCTGGGATTACAAGCGTCCGCCACCACGCCCAGCTAATTTTTGTATTTTTATTTTTTAGTAGAGATGGGATTTCACTGTGTTGGTCAGGCTGGTCTTGAACTCCTGACCTCATGATCCACTCACCTCGGCCTCCCAAAGTGCTGGGATTACAAGCGTGAGCCACCACGCTTGGCCAGGATTAAGTACTATTCTCTAGGAGCACAGATAATCCCCCAGAGACCTAGCAAACCCTATGACAGCTGAACATGGACCAGAATTCCAAAGAGACTCCCAGTGGGATACTGGAGACAAGATCTTTGCTTTACAATAGATTCTAAAAAAAAAAAAAAGGCCAGGTGCAGTGGCTCATGCCCGTAATGCCAGCACTTTGGGAGGCCGAGGCAGGCAGATCACCTGAGGTTGGGAGTTCGAGACCAGCCTGACCAACATGGTAAAACCTCGTCTCTACTAAAAATACAAAAATTAGCTGGGTGTGGTGGCACATGCCTGCAATCCCAGCTATTTGGGAGGCTGAGGCAGGGGAATTGCTTGAACCTGGGAGGTGGAGGTTGCAGTGAGCTGAGATCGCACCATTGCATCCAGCCTGGGCAACAAGAGTGAAACTCCGACTCAAAAAAAAAAAAAAAAAAAAAAAAAAAATGCTGGGTGCAGAGGCTCACACCTGTGATTGCAGCACTTTGGGAGGCCAAGGCGGGAGGATCACCTGAGGTCAGGAGTTAGAGACCAGCCTGGCCAATATGGTGAAACCCCATCTCTACTGAAAAATACAAAAAATAGCCGGATGTGGTGGTGCGTACCTGTAGTCCCAGCTACTTGAGAGGCTGAGGCAGGAGAATCACTGGAACCCAGGAGGTGGAGGCTGCAGTAAGCTGAGATCATGCCACTGCACTCCAGCCTGGGCGACAGAGCGAGGCTCCATCTCAAAACAACAATAACAACAACAACAACAAAAAAAACTGGTGGCTCATGCCTGTAATCCCAGCATTTTGGAAGGCTGAGGTGGTCAGATTGCTTGAGCTCAGGAGTTCGTGACCAGGCCGGACAACATGGCAAAACCCCGTCTCTACAAAAAAATACAAAAATTAGTGGTAGTGCATGCCTGTGGTTCCATCTACTCAGGAGGCTGAGGCAGGAGGTTCCCTTGAACCTGGGAGGCTGAGGCTGCAGTGAGCAGTCATGGTGCCACTGTGCTCCAGCCTGGGCCACAGAGCGAGACCCTGTCTCAAAAAATATATATAAATAAAAATGAAAATAAGGCCAGGTGTGGTGGCTCATGCCTGTAATCCCAGCACTTTGGGAGGCTGAGACAGGTAGATCACTTGAGACCAGGAGTTCGAGACCAGCCTGGCCAACATGGTGAAACCCCATCTCTACTAAAAATACAAAAATTAGCCAGGCATGGTGGTGTGCCTGTAATCCCTGCTACTCAGGAGGCTGAGGCAGGAGAATCACTTGAACCTAGGAGGCAGAGTCTGCAGTGAGCTGGGATCACACCACTGCACTCCAGCCTGGGCAACAGAGCGAGACTCTGTCTCAAAAAATAAAAGTAAAAATAATGAAAATAAACAGGGAGAAGAAATATACCCTGGCCTTCTAAGGGGACAATAACAGACCCACAGAGTTCTACTCTTTGGGTGTGCAGCCCCAGCCCTAAAGAGCTCACCTGAGGAGAACAGATGCTGATATGACAATCCAGTAAATCATATCGAACCTCCACTCCATCACTACTGCCCTGAAACAGGCTCTGTGGGGAGAAGTTACAAGGACTTTAATTTGTTTCTCCCACTGAAGCCTGTCACTTCCCCATCTCAAAGGACCCCAGATATCCACACACCAGAGGAAATGCAAAACGCCGGAGACCCTGGGTCTTCTGAAAATGGAGAACCCTGTTTGTGGTACTATCCACAGCCACTACCACATTGTCTTCGTGGCAACGAGTTGGGTGGCTGGGGGATGACTCCTTGAAGATCATCGTCATCACAGAAACATTTTTTTCTAGCTTCCGTCTCAACCTATAAAGGACAGGAGGGACAGAACTGCAAAAAAGCAGTCTCAGGGCTCTGCTGGTCTTTAACCCTTGTTCCTGTCATTTTCCCATCCTGACCTGTGTTCCTCAAGGGCTCTGGTGATATTGATGTTTGAGATGACATCCCCATACACCAGAAGAAAGTCAGAGCGCACCAAAGCCTTGGCATCAACATCACGGAGGACATCTCCCAGTGATCGATAGAGCTCTGATGTAATTATTCGAACCACATTGAGAGATGTAGGGCGGCACCACTTTGACTTCCTAAAGGAAGGGAGGGTGAGGGGAATGAGTGTATCAAGCATAAAGATCATTTGAGCCTTCCCCATTTTTCACCCCCTTTCAGCACTCACAGTCCTTCTCGATGGCTTTTTTGGGTTCTTGCCAGCGTCTTCAACTTCAAAGAGTATTATGAACTATAATGAATGCTTTCAGCATCCTGTGTCACCAGTCTTGTTTTATGGGTTAGGAAACATGGTTATTTCCTCTCCATACCTTGACCCCTTGTCCCTAAACATCAATTTGAACTCAAAATCCTGCTGAAGCCTAGGGTACACAAAGTAGCCTGGGAACACGCTTCACGTCAGCTTTCCCCTTCTGCAATCCATATAACATTTAGGAACTGTCTGATGGAGACCATGCTAATGTCCTAGTCTTTACATCCTGGACTTCCATAAGCAATGCGATTCCCTAGTTTTCAAGATTTCAACAAACATGTAAGTGCTCACTATATGCTTGGGACTGAGCTAGGCAGTGGGAATACAAAGATGACAAGGAGCTCATTTATATCCTTGAAGGTGAGAACAAACAAGATTTAGAAACTCAGTGGGAAAACAAAGATGTTATCATTGTAACTTCCATACTGAAGCCATTAAATAAAAGCAAAGTCCACTGGCACCAAACTTTATAATGAGATTCAGAAAAAACCCAAGTTTATTCTTTAATCTTTGTCACAGAAAACCCAAGACAGACAGATACAAAGTTTCAGCTGCTCACCTCCTGATAAGTGTAGAAAATACCCTTAGAACTTACAATGACATCTAAGTAGACACATTTTTCCCCTCTCACATTTCCCCTTAGTTACATTCATCCTGAAAAAACTGGAAAAAGATGGCGAAACATGGAAAGAAAAGTTGCAGGGCCTTACAGTAAATGTTCTTTGATTTGAGCAGCTTTCCAGCAACAAAAGACAAATGTTTCCTGTACACCTGTGGCAGTCAGGAATTCCAGAGTGTAGTCAATTAATGCCACATTGGCCAGGGGCAAGAGGACCTGAAGGATACAAGATGAAAAAAAACTTGAGGTCTCGAATCCCTTTGGGTACCCCACTGCAACAATTTTCACTCCTCTATTCGTATTTCCAAACAGTGTAATTTTGCTGTATCTTTCCAATTCAAAGATAAACAGGTTCCTGCCTTTGATGTTCATGCCATGCTCTAAGCCTGAGTCTGAGACATTGCAATTTGGGGATGGTAAGTACAGAATCTATGTGCCTTGTATCAGACACAGAGCTGTGACAGAATGGCAGTTCACTGCTGGCAAAGGATAATACTGGAAATCAATCATATTTCCATAAATTTAAGCATTGCTAAGGCCTTCTTCCCCATAAGATTTCCTTCCTTGATCCCTTTCTAAGTGTCAGAGGTTAGCCATCTCCCGTCACTTGTCAAAAATGAACAGCCATTAGGCTTTTTCGAGGGAATTAGAGAGGATTTTCCTTAAATCCAATGCAGTTCCCTCTTTCTGAACTGACTGCTGAACGACCCAGCTGAGTCCAATACCCCATTGTCTAGACAACTCGGGGGCTGATGGCAATCAACCACTAAACCCATTTTGTCCTTTCGACAGATAGCACCGGCTATCATTAGAACCTGGAAGGAAAAAAAAAATACACTGCCTGAGATCTAGCCCGCTCTTTTTAAGGCATATTACCGCCCTTTCAGAGGCAAAAGGTCGTTTCTTTTCACCTAAGCAACCGTCATCGGCAAGGTTAAAAGCGGCGCAGCCTCTTCTAGGGGCACTGAATCCCCGCGTGAAGGCTTCTCTCAAGCGCTGTTTCTACATTTAGCTCTCTTCATTCCTTTCAAACCCGAGGTGGACAGCATTACGAATGCCCAAATCTGCCGGCCACTAACTTGGTCAGCAGTCATCAGGGTTTAGACAGTCCCTCTGCATCCGGTTTTAGGATAACAGCATAGACGCAGGTCCTTCAAGGGCATGCTGTTGTAGTTAGCCGAAATGAGAACTTGCTCCAGCCCTGCCACCCTTCCTGCCCTCTGGCTGCTCGCGTGCGCGGCGCTCACCCGAGGCTGGTCCTTGGAGATGGGGAAGAAGCGGCGATCGAAGCTATCGGCCACCAGAACTGCTTGTAGGGGCGGCGGCGGTTCCTCCTCCGCCCCTCTGGCTCCCCCGCCACCGCTGCCTCCCGGCCCCGCGCCGCTGCGCTTGTTAGCCCGACTAACCACCACACCAGGCGGCGCCACTACAGGGGCCGCCATCTTCTTCTCTCACGGTCACCACTTCCGCAAGGAAGCTGCCACCGCACGCAGTAGGGGACAAAAAGGATCCAGCACTTGAAATGCGATGGACTAATTAACGAAGGGAAGGAGACGAGGAGGGAGCAGTGCGCATGCGTCTTCCCCGGGAGCCCACAGGGGTCTGAGGTTGATCCCGGAGGCGCGAGGAGTCGGTACGGGTCACGGTTGTCCCGGCCCCTGAGGCGCAGGGTAGGAGTGGGGTCCCATAGATGTCAGACTCGGTCTGCAAGTATCGTCGGCCTTCATTTGTAGGTGAACAAGCCGAGATTCTTGTGGCGTGATAGGACTTGTGGTCGCCACGAAGGGGCCAGCTCCATCGGGAATCTGTAATCGCCCAGCAGTTTCCCCGCCCCGCGCATGTGAAATATGTAGCCCTCCGTATTCATTCTAGAAACTTCTGGGAACCCAGCGCCTTGGGGAGATAGAACCGAGCCAGATGTTCCCCCGCTGCGAGGAACTCAGAACCTGCATAAATAGAGAAGGTGGCAGGCATATAGTAGGGAGACCAGTAATTCCATTGAGCGCTGATTTTGGGCCAGGCACGATACAAGCATTATCTCTGCAAAACATCTTATTCATTCGTTCAGCAAACGTTTCTTGAACTCTCAGAAGGATGAAGGAAGTTTACCCAGCTAGTAAGTGGAAGAACTGGTATTGGAACCCGATCTGTCTGACTGCAGAGTTCCACAATCTTGCTGCCAAGTTATGTGGGGATAACAATGACTATTTTATGTCATCTATTCATTCTTCCAGCCTATCAGCCTCCTGTGTCTTAAGCAGAGTGGAGACGGGGGTGGATCCAGGCGCACCAGTAAGTTGTACTGGAGTTAAGCAGTAAGCTTTCTGGGCAGAGGAAAGTGCGGGCGTAAAGGTCCAAGGCTTGAAAAGGCGCAGCAGCACCTTTTTCTCTTTGGGGAAAGAAGCGGTGGCTGCGGGGAATAAACCAACTCTGTAGAGGGGCGGGGCCGTGGGAAAGCGGTGGAACGGGGCAGGAAGGCTGGGCGTCATTTGGGAGGCAAGGAACTTTTCTGTAAGGCATAGCGCCCTTTCTGCACGGGACCTGTCCAGGTTCCACGCCACAGGCTTCTGCAGTTCCTGCAAACTGTTCCCATCCCGCCCCGCGTTGCACGTCGGGATTTGGAGTTCGCGATGCTGAGAGCTGTTTCCACGTGGCGATTCCGACTTGACCCGTCGTGCTCCGGCGCCCGCCTAGGGGGACCGAGGAGTTTGTCATTTCTTGCCTCGTTAGGGTGCGGAACGAAAACCATTTGATTTATCCTAGAAAAGGAAAGGCTGAAGCCAACTAAGTAAAAGTTTTCCATTAAATGAATGCACGTTGTAGAAAAGGAATGTTCAACTGCCCTACAAATCCAGAGGTAGAAATGGGGGAGGGGAGAAGGAATTAAATAGGACACACACACACACACACAAACACACACACACACACACTCTTGGGGGGGTGTTTGGGTATGGAAAGTAGGTCCGATTGCAGAATTTATTTTAAATGATTCCCGCAACCTTGGGAAGTTGGGAAGTGGTGAATCCGCTGCCGAAAGGCATTTGTGCTTATGGTAAATCCAGGTCTTAAAATTCTGTAGACTGGTAGCTATATGGATATGATTTTAATAGACGAGTTTCAGGAAGACTCTCTCAAACTGTTTTTTGTTGTTGTTGTTTAAAAACTTACTTGAAATATATTGGAAACCACATATACATAATCTCTCACACACACTACATAAAGAAGTAAAAATTCCTTTCCCTACTTCTTTCATCCTATCCAATTTGTAGAGTCATAACCATTCTTAATAATTTGATGGGTATTCATTTCTTCCCTAAATTTATATGTCTAGAACTAGAGCTAGAGTGTATGCCTACATACACACACACACACACCCATACATATATATTCAAACATAATATATGTATATCCACATGTATTCAAACACAGAATTATGTTTAGATAATTATGGTTATATGCTGGTATGCCAGAGCCAGACTGCCTGGCTTCGGTTCCAGGCCCTAGTTGGATAGCTTTGGGCTACTCAGCCTCTTTATGCCTGGACTTCTTCATCTTTGAAATGGGATAATAATAATACTTATCCCATAAAGTTATTGTGAGAATTAAATGAAATAATATATGAAAAGCCCTTAGAACAGGCATTGACACATTGTGAAGGTAATGTATTAGCTATTTTGATGATTATGCATTTTGTCTGCAACTTGATTTTTATTTAACATATGTGGGAAAGTAGACAAACATAGCCATTTTCAATGATTCCATAATATTCCATAGCACGAGTATACCATTGTTTATCGAACCATTTCTCTCTTGAGAAACATTGCAGATTTTTTTTGCAGTTTCTACGATTACAAATAATGCTGCAATAAACATCTTTCTACATATAGTCTTTATAAATTTGCGTTTATTTCTTAGAATTTATTATTGAATTAGAGTAACTGGTTCAAATTGGATGCAATTCCCATGGCAGAAGGTACATTGTTGAACTCACTGGCAAGCCTGATGAGGCACTGGTGGAATTCATGGAGATACTGCTTAATTGCTCTCCCTGGACAATGTGTCATTTTGCACTTACACCAGCAATGTATGAGAGCGCCTGTTTCCCCATAGCCTCACCAACAGAGTATTTTGTCAATAGTTTGGAGTTTCTGCCAATCTGTAAAGGAAAATAAGTGTAGTTTTAATTTGCATTTCTCTATTTCAGTGAGGTTGAACATTTTTTCATATATTTGGTCAACTGCCAGTTCTGGTTCTTTTTCTTTTTTTTTTTCTTTTTGAGACAGAGTCTCACTCTGTCTCCCAGGCTGGAGTGTAGTGGCACGATCTTGGCTCACTGCAACCTCTGCCTCCGAGGTTCAAGTGATTTTCCTACCTAGGCCCCCCTGAATAGCTGGGATTACAGGCTCACACCACTACACCTGGCTGATTTTTGTATTTTTAATAAAGGTGGGGTTTTGCCATATTGGCCAGGCTGGTCTCAAACTCCTGACTTCAGGTGATCCACCTGCCTTGGCCTCTCAAAGTGCTGGGATTACAGGTGTGAGCCACCGCACCCAGCCTCTTTTTCTTTTCTTTTCTTTCTTTCTTTTTGTTTAGAAACAGGGTTGTGCTCTGTTGCCCAGGCTGGAGTACAGTAGCACAATCATAGCTCACTGCAGCCTCAAACTCTTGGGCTCAAGCAGTCCTTCCTCAGCCTCCAGAGTAGCTGGGACAACAGGCACCTGCCACCACACCTAAGTTTTGTAGTTTTTGTAGAAATGGGGTCTTTCTGTGTTGCTCAGGCTAGTTCTGGTTCTTTCTCTGAATTTAGATTTCAAAATGAGTCTTGAATATGAAATCAGTTTAGAATATAATCTCTGTGGGCCTTCTGTTTATTTTATTCACTACTATACCCCAGGTACCTAGAAGAGTAACTGGCACATGGCAGATGCTCACTAAATATTTGTTGAACGAATGACTGGTTGTTGCTAGTCAGTAACTGAGTATGTGATCAACTGTAGACAAACAAAAGTAATTCCTGACTCTCCCAAGGCTGAGGCTGTTTTTAAAAGATTATGGTAAAAATACAACAAAACATAAAAGTTATCATCTTAACAATTTTTTAACCTTGGCATGGAAAATTGATCGAAGTTGGCCATTTTTAAGTATACAACTCTGTAGTGTTACTTATGTTCACGTTGTTGTGCTACCATCACCAACATCCACCCACAGAACTCTTCATTTTGTAAAACTGATACTCTGTACCCATTAAACACAATCCTCATTTCCCACTCAGTCCAGCTCCTGGCAACTACCATGCCACTTTCTGTCTCTGTGAATTTGACTGCCCTAGGTCCCTCATATAAGAGGAATCACATAGTATTTTTTTTGTATCTGCCTTATTTCACTTAGCATAATGTCCTCAAGGTTCATCCATATTGTTGCATGTTTCAGAATTTCCTTCCGTTTAAAGGCTGAATGATAATCCATTGGCTGTAGATACCACATTTTATTTATCCATTTATCTGTCAATGGACACTTCTTCGGTTGTTTCCCCCTTTTGCTATTGTGGATAATGCCACTACGAACGTGATCGTACAAATATCTGTTCCAGTCCCTGTTTTCACTGAAATAAATGGAACTACTGTATCATATGGTAACTCTACATTTAATTTTTTGAGAAATTGCCATACTTTTTTTCATTTTTCTTTTCTTTTCTTTTTTTTTTTTTTTTTTTGGTTTTGAGATGGAGTCTTACTCTGTCACCCAGGCTGGAGTGCAGTGACACGATCTCGGCTCACTACAACCTCTGCCTCCCGGGTTCAAGCAATTCTCCTGCCTCAGCTTCCCTAGAAGCTAGGATTACAGGTGCACACCACTGCGCCTGGCTAATTTTTGTATTGTTAGTAGAGACGGGGGTTTCACTGTTTTGGCCACAGTGGTCTCAAACTCCTGACCTCCGGTGATCCACCTGCCTTGGCTTCCCAAAGTGCTGGGATTACAGGCGTGAGCCACCGTGCCTGGCCCCCATTTTTTGAGACAGGGTCTTGCTCTGTCACCTAGGCTGGAGTGCAGTGGCGCAATCATGGCTCGCTGTAGCCTCAAACTCGTGGGCTCAAGCAATCCTCCTGCCTCAGCCTCCCATAGTGCTGGGATTATAGGCATGAGTCACCACACTCAGCTGCCATATATATAATTTTTACAGCAGATGCCCCATTTTACATTCCCACCTGCAGTGAACAAGGGTTTCAATTTCTTCACATCCTTAGTAACACTTCTATTTTTTTTTCTTTTTTTTTTTTTTGAGATAGAGTCTTGTTCTGTTGCCCAGGCTGGAGTGCAGTGGTGTGATCTTGGCTCACTGCAACCTCCACCTCCCAGGTTCAAGCAATACTCCTGCCTCAGCCTCCTGAGTAGCTGAGATTACAGGCATGTGCCACCATACCCAGCCAATTTTTCTATTTTTAGTAGAGGCAGGGTTTCACCGTGTTGGCCAGGCTGGTCTCAAACTCCTAACCTCAAGTGATCCGCCCGCCTCGGCCCCCCAAAGTGCTGAGATTACAGGCATTAGCCACTGCACCTGGCCTGTTTTCTTCTAACTTTAAGTGGCACTTTTCCCATTCCAAAATTCTACTTATAAATATATTAAAATAATGGTAGGATATGTCCCCTTCAGGGCACCCTTGATGCGTATACAAGAGCTGGCTTTTTCTAGGCACTGCTAAAGAGCCAGGGCTCTGGTGACAGGAAGCATTAAACTGGTGGAGCACCTTGAGGGTAAGTCTTGGGGCCTTTTGTGCTTCTCAGCTGGGCTCACTTGTTGCTTAGTGGACCAAGCTTGTTCACTGCTGTGAGTATCATTTATTTTTCTAGTTACTTTGGGTCTGCAGTAGTAGTTGAGTTCTAAATATACTATGGGATAGCTGAGGTCCGTGTCCTAGGTTGCTAGAAAATGACAGAAGAAATACAGTTCTGGACTGGATATGTGGCTCACACCTGTAATCCCAGTACTTTGGGAGGCCGAGGTGGGTGGATTACCTGAGGTCAGGAGTTCGAGACCAGCCTGGCCAACATGGCAAAACCCCATCTCTGCTAAAAAACAAAACAAAACAAAACAAAACAAAAATTAGCCGGGCATGGTGGTGTGCACCTGTAATTCCAGCTACTTGGAAGGCTGAGGCAGGAGAATCACTTGAACCTGGGAGGCGGAGGTTGCAGTGAGCTGATATCACCCACTGTGCCTGGGTGACAGAGCGAGACTCTGTCTCAAACAAAAACAAAAACAAAATCAAAAACAACAACAACAAAAAACAACTGAGTTCTTCCCTGTTTTTCTTAGCATGTCCAGAGATATACCTAGTCTCCAGGGTATAACAATTCTTTTTGTCTTCTAGGCTGAGGTTTGAGGGAAAAAATGTCCTTTAAGTTTTATCCATAGTAGAGTTGAAACAGGTTGGGATTTTTCAGAAGAGACTTTACTCAAAATCCTAAGGGAAGAGAAGGGAGAAAAAATGAAAATAAAGTCATTAACAATAAATACACTACTTTGGCTGGGCCCTGCCTCATGAGAGGCCAGAGTGGCTTGTGGAGTTTGGCAACACCGCCCCCCCTAGAGGTAATTGCTGTGCTGCGCTCCAACCTCTCCAACAATTGTTAGACTCTTCAGATCCCTGTTGATACAGAGCATTCCAGGATTGTGAAGTGGGAGCCAGCCACATCCATGATGTTCATGGAGCCTAGAAGAGCCCTGTGGAAACAAATTTTACCTGGTTACACTGAGATCCAGACATGCACAGACCAGCCCTCTTGAAGAGAGCTTGAGCTTCCTGACTGGGGCTGGAATGGAGAGAGACAATGAAGTTCCTGAGAGTATTGCCAGGAGAAAAAGGTGTGGCTGAATGGATCAGCCGAAACATCAGGGGCTTGAATCCAGAGGGAGGATGGGGTCTCGCTATGTTGCTCAGGCTGGTCTCAAACTCCTGGCCTTAAGCAGTCCTCCTGCCTCAGCTTCCAAAAGTGCTGGGATTGCAGGTGTGAGCATCTGCACCTAGCCAACAATCATTTATTGTATATTTCACAGTAGCTAGAAGAGAAGGGTTGTAATGTTCCCAACACAAAGAAAGATAGGGCTGGCCACAGTGGCTCACGCCGGTAATCCCAACACTTTGGGAGGCCGAGGCAGGTGGATCACCTGAAGTCGGGAGTTCGAGACCAGCCTGGCCAACATGGTGAAACCCCATCTCTACTAAAAATAGCAATTGAAAATCCTGCCTCCTGGGCTGAAGGAAGCTGCTCAGTTCCTGGCCCTCTCAAATGAATGGTCACCATAGATAAGGGTCACCCAGTGCCAAGAGTTCCGCTGTGGAAACTCCTTTCTAAACAGTTGACCAAGAGAAATAGCCAGTTTCCCCAATGCCTGGGCAGGAAGGAGTCCCTTAGTTTGGTGGGTCACAGGTTAGCAACACTGTGGCACTTATTGTTGGCAAAACACCAAAGACAACAACAACAGAAAATTAGAAACAGCCAGAGAGAAAATATACACAGTATTACCTAAAAGGGAACAAAAATAAGATTGACTTCACTACAGCACAAATGGAAGCCAGGAGAAAATGGCATAACATCTTCAAGGCGTTGAGATCAAATAATGTCAACGTAGAATTGTCTTCCCAGAAAAATTATCTTTCTTTTTTTAAATTTATTTTTAGACTGGGCACAGTGGCTCACGCCTGTAATCCCAGCACTTTGGGAGGCTGAGGCAGGTGGATCACCTGAGGTCAGGAGTTCGAGACTAGCCTGGGCAACATGGCGAAACCCCGTCTCTACTAAAAATATAAAAATTAGATGGGTACGGTGGCATGCGCCTGTAATCTCTGCTACTCAGGAGGCTGAGGCAGGGGAATCACTTGAACCCGCAAGGCGGAGTTTGCAGTGACCCGAGATGGCGCCACTGCATTCCAGCCTGGGCAACAAAGTAAGACTCCATCTCAAAAAAAAATTTATTTTAAAAAATATTTATTTCTTTTTTAATAGAGGCAGGGTCTCCCTATGTTGCCTAGGCTGGTGTTGAGCTCCTAGGTCAAGTGATCCTCCCACCTCGGCTTCCCAAAGTGCTGGGATTACAGGCATGAGCCATCATGACCAGCTGAAAAATTATATTTCAAGAACAAGGGTAAAATAAATACATTTTCAGATAAACAAAAATAGACAACTGATCATCGAAAGACCTTTATTGAGATCCAGATATGCACAGACCAGCCCTCTTGAAGACAGCTTGAGCTTCCTGAATGGGCCTCCCAAAGTGTTGGGATTACAGGCGTGAGCCACTGTAGCCGGCCCTATCTTTCTTTGTGTTGGGAACATTACAACCCTTCTCTTCTAGCTCCTGTGAAATATACAATAAATGATTGTTGGCTAGGTGCAGATGTTCACACCTGCAATCCCAGCACTTTTGGAGGCTGAGGCAGGAGGATTGCTTAAGGCCAGCAATCCTGGCCTTAAGATGATTAAGGAGAAGCTGATTAAGTGGAACAAAAATACAGTTAGATAGAAAGAATATGTTCTTGTATTTGATAGTACAGTAGGGAAATTATAGCTAATAATTTTACAATTTATTTATTTATTTTTTATTTTTTAGACACAGAGTCTGGCTGCATTACCCAGGCTGGAGTGCAGTGGCATGATCATGGCTCACTGTAGCCTTGAATTTCTGGGCTCAAGCAATCTTTCCACCTCAGCTTCCTGAGTAGCTAGGATTACAAGCATGTGCCACCATGCCCAGCCAATTTTTAAATTTTTTTTGTAGAGATGGGGTCTCGTCATGTTGCTCAGGCTGGTCTCAAACTCCTGGCCTTAAGCAATCCTCTGCCTCAGCCTCCAAAAGTGCTGGGATTGCAGGTGTGAGCATCTGCACCTAGCCAACAATCATTTATTGTATATTTCACAGTAGCTAGAAGAGAAGGGTCGTAATGTTCCCAACACAAAGAAAGATAGGGCCGGCCACAGTGGCTCACGCCTGTAATCCCAGCATTTTGGGAGGCTGTGGCAGGTGGATCACCTAAAAAATACAAAAAATTAGCCAGGTGCAGTGGCACATGCTGGTAATCCCAGCTACTTGGGAGGCTGAGGCAGGAGAATTGCTTGAACCTAGGAGGTGGAGGCTGCAGAGAGCCAAGGTCATGCCACTGCACTCCAGCCTGGAAGCCTGGACGATAGAGCGAGACTCCGTCTCAAAAAAATATATAAATAAATAAATAATAAATAAGTGAATAAAAATTATATAAAATTAAAAATTCAGTGATACAGTCACATTTGCCACATTTCAAGCACCTAATAACCATGTGTGGCTAGTGGCTACTATATTGGACAATGCAGATGTAGAATATTTCCACTATTTCAGAAAGTTCTATTAACAGCACTGTTCAAAGATGTACCTCAAGCCGAAGGAGAAAAATTCCAGAACAAAGGTCTGAGATGCAAGGTGAAAGTTCTAGTAAATAAAATGCTAAGCATGTGAGTAAATATAAACAAACATTGATGATATAAAATAATATTAATGTCTAAGTTGGACGGCTAAAAAAAGAAAATGCTAAACTACTTATACATGTTAAGTCAGACAGGAAGTGACTAGAGTTAAAAACATTCTAAGATCTTTTTTATTATTCACATAAAGTCTGGGCCAAGGAATAAAATTCAGCAATATATTGTTTACAAGCAATACCCTTAAAACATAAGGATTCAGGATGGGCTCGGTGGCTCACCACCTGTAATCCCAGCACTTTGGGAGGCCGAGGCATGTGGATTGCTTGAGGTCAGGAGTTCAAGACCAGCCTGGGCAGCATGGTGAATCCTCTACTAAAAACACACAAAATAGCTGGGCATGGTGGCACGTGCCTGTAATACCAGCTACTTGGGAGGCTGAGGGAGGAGAATCACTTGAACCTGGGAGGCGAAGGTTGCAGTGAGCCGAGATTGTGCCACTGCACTCCAGCCTGGGCGACAGAGTGAGAATCCATCTCAAAAAAAATAAATAAATAAACAATCGACGAATCCATTATTATAGTAAAACATTTTAAATATATCTCAGTATTTGGTAGATCAAACAGATAAATGAATAAGGAAACAGAAGACTAGAATATCATAATTAAACATCTTGATCTAATGAATTTATGTGGAACTCTGCATTCGTTAATTGGATAATATGCAGTCTTTTCAAATGTTTGGGGAATGTTTGTGAACATTATACATAAAGCAAATCTCAACAGATTTCAAGGAATTGGTATCATGTATCATATGGACCTTTTCCACTAAAAGTATGGTGCATACAACAGTAGCAGCAGCATCACACGAAAGCCTGTTAGAAATGCAGACGCCCACGTCTCACCCCCGACCTCCTGCATTTTGGCAAGATCCCCAGGGGATTCACATGTACATTAAAGTTTGACATGCTTTGACACAAAGCATATTTTCTGACCACAGTATAATTAAGTTAAAAATCGGTAACATAAAGATAATTAAGAAAACTCCATATTTAAAAATTAGGCCAGGTGTGTGTGGTGGCTCACACCTGTAATCCTAGCACTTTGGGAGGCCAAGGCAAGCGGATTGCCTGAGCTCAGGAGTTCGAGACCAGCCTAGGTAACATGGTGAAACCCTGTCTCTACTGAAATACAACATATTAGCTGGGCATGGCAGTGGGTGCCTGTGATCCCAGCTACTCAGGAGGCTGAGCCATGAGAATCCCTTGAACTCGGGAGGCAGAGGTTGCAGTGAGCCGAGATCGTACCATTGCACTCTAACCTGGGTGACAGAGGGAGACTCTGTCTCCAAAAAAACTAAAAAATAAATAAAATGAATAAATAAAATGAATAAAAATTACAACACCTCTAAAAATAGCTAACTGGCCAGGTACGGTGGCTCATGTCTGTAATCTTGGCACTTCCGGAGGCTGAGGCAGGAGGATCACTTTAGACCAGAAGTTCAGGACCTGCCTGGGCAACATAGTGAGACCCTGTCTTTGCCAAAAAAAACTATTTAAAAAAATAGCTATGTATGTGTGTGTTTATGATACTGTTTGTTTCATTTACAGATCACGTGATATATTTGTGTATTTGCCAACCCCATAGGATTGGTTCCCTAGGTCCATAACCCAGAAATTGGGAAGTACCACCTTGAACTTTGTGTCTTTGGTTTTTTTTTTTGTTTGTTTTTTGTTTTTTTTTTTTTTTTTTTTGAGACGAGTCTCACTCTGTCGCCCAGGCTGGAGTGCAGTGGCGCAATCTCGGCTCACTGCAAGCTCCGCCTCCCGGGTTCACGGCATTCTCCTGCCTCAGCCTCTCCAAGTAGCTGGGACTACAGGCACTCGCCACCACGCCTGGCTAATTTTTTGTATTTTTAGTAGAGACGGGGTTTCACCGTGGTCTCAATCTCCTGACCTCGTGATCCGCCCGCCTTGGCCTCCCAAAGTGCTGGGATTACAAGTGTGAGCCACCGCGCCCGGCCGAACTTTCTGTCAACAATACCAGTTTACTGTAGGTGATGTCTTGAGAGTCACTAATGTGCCCCCCCACCTTTTACCTTTTCAAATACGTGATGTTATCTCTGGTTGACCTGAGGCATGAATGTGCCAAAGAAATTAGGATTTGTAACAGAAAGGAGGCAAAGAGAAAGAAACAAACAATTTAAAAAACTTTCTATTACTATAAAGAAAAAGTCTAAACATGTACAAAAGCACACATGGATACACATGTATCCATCACCATGTGGAACAATGATCAATTCAATCTTGTTTCATCAGTACCTGCCCCTACACTTTCCTCTCTCCCTTTGGATTATTTTGAGGCAAATCCTAGACATCTTATCATTTCATCTGTAAATATTCTAGCATTTATCTCTAGAAGAAAATGATCATTTAGCACAAATAATCGTGTCATTATTCCACTGAAAATTAACATAGTTTTAAATATCATTAACTACTCTGCTCAAATTTCCCCAATTTTCCCATCAGTATCTTTTTCTTATAAATGTTTATTGTTTTATTCAGGCTCAAAATAATGTTTATATATTGTAATTGATTGAAATGTCTCTTAAATTTCTCACTTTAAAAGTTTTCATAGGAGGGGCATGGTGGCTCATGCCTGTCATCCCAGCACTTTGGGAGGTCTAAGTGGGTGGGCTACTTGAACTCAGGAGCTTGAGACCTGCCTGGGTGATGTGGCAAAACCCTGTCTCTACAAAAAATACAGAAATTAGCCCGGCATGGTGGTGGGTACCTGTAGTCCCAGCTACTCTGGAGGCTGAGGTGGGAGGATCACTTGAGCCTGGGAGGCAGAGGTTTCAGTGAGCTAAGATTGGACCATTACACTCCAGCCTGGGTGACATAGTGAGACCCTGTCTCAAAAAAAAAAATTACTTTCAAATAATTTTAGATTTACAGAAGAGTTGCAAAATAGTGTAGAGAGTTTCCTAATATTTTCTGCTTAAAGTTAACAACTTATGTAACCATAGTATAATTATGAAAGTCGGGAAGCTAACGTTAGTACAAAATTATTCTTAGTCTTATTCTTAGAGACGGAGTGTCGCTTTTGTTGCCCAGGCTGGAGTAAAATGGCGTGATCTCGGCTCACCGCAGCCTCCACCTCCTGGGTTCAAGTGACTCTCCTGCCTCAGCCTACTGAGTAGCTGGGAATACAGGCATGAGCCACCATGCCGGGCTAATTTTGTATTTTTAGTAGACATGGGGTTTCTCCATGTTGGTCAGGCTGGTCCCCAACTCCTGACCTCAGGTCATCCGCTCGCCTAGGCCTCCCAAAGTGCTGGGATTACAGGCGTGAGCCACCACACCCGGCCATATAAAATTATTAAATAAACTACAGACCTTTTCAGAATTTCAACAATTTCCCCCCTCAGTATCAGTTTTCTGTTCCAGGATTAGATCAAAATCTCACATTGCATATAGTTTTCACTTCTTCCTAGTTTCCTCCAATCTGTGACAATTCCTTAGTCTCTCCTTGTCTTTTATGACTTGGACACTCTTTCTTTTTCTTTTCTTTTTTTTTTTTTTTAGAGACGGGGGTCTCACTATGTTGCCCAGGCTAGACTCAAACTCCTAGGCTTAAGGTATTCTCCTGCCTCAACCTCCTGATTATCTGGGATTATAGGTGGGCTCCACCACGTCAGGCTCTGACTTTAATACTTTTGATAAGTAGCGACCAGTTATTTTGTAGAATGTCACTCAATGTGGTTTTTAAAAAGCAGCTTTTTCTCTTTTTTTTTTTTTTTTTTTTGAGACGGAGTCTCACTCTGTTGCCCAGGCTTGAGTGCAGTGGCACCATCTCAGCTCACTGCAACCTCCACCTCCTGGGTTCAAGCGATTCTCATGCCTCAGCCTCCCAAGTAGCTGGGATTACAGGTGCCTGCCACCACGCCCAGCTAATTTTTGTATTTTTAGTAGAGACGGGGTTTCACCATGTTGGTCAGGCTGGTCTTGAATTCCTGCCTCAGGTGATCTGCCCGCCTCAACCTCCCAAATGGTTGGGATTACAGGCATAAGCCACTGCATCTGGCCGTACAATTTTTTGTGTATGTTTGTCTTTCATTTAGCATAATGGTTTTAAGGTTTAGCCGTTTGTGATGTTATCAGTACTTCATTCCTTTGCATGACCAAATAATATTTCATTGTATGGAGATACCATATTTTGTTTATCTATTCATCAATTGATGAACATTTGGGTTGTTTCTATTTTTTGGGTGTTATAAATAATGCTGCTATGAACATTTGTGAAAAGTTTTGTGTTTGTTTTTTTGAGACAGAGTCTGGCTCTGTAGCCCAGGCTGGAGTGCAGTGGCGTCATCTTGGCTCACTGCACCCTCTGCCTCCCAGGTCCCCGTTCAAGCAATTCTCCTGCCTCAGCCTCCCGAGTAGCTGGGATTACAGGTGTGCGCCACCATGCACAGCTCATTTTTGTATTTTTGATAGAGACGGGGTTTCACCACGTTAGCCAGGCTGGTCTTGAACTCCTGACCTTGTGATCCACCTGCCTCAGCCGCCCAAAGTTCTGGGATTACAGGCGTGAGACACTACGCCTGGCCAAAAAGGTCTTCGTATAAGCATTTGTTTTCATATATTCTGAACATACACTTTGGGGTGGATTTTTTGGTCATATGGTAATTCTATGTCTAACATTCTGAAAAACTGCCAAACTATTTTCTAAAGTGTCTACACCATTTTGATTTCCAACTTGTTATTATCCACACTTGTTATTATCTATCTTTTTTTTTTTTTTTAGACATATCCATCCTTGACTGGGCACGGTGCCTCACGTCTGTAATCCCAGCAGTTTGGGAGGCCGAGGCGGGCGGATCACCTGAGGTCAGGAGTTCGAGACCAGCAAGACCAACATGGAGAAACCCCATCTCTACTAAAAAATGCAAAATTAGCTGGCATGGTGGTGCATCCCTGTAATCCCAGCTACTCGGAAGGCTGAGGCAGGAGAATTACTTGAACCCGGGAGGCGAGGGTTGCGGTGAGCCAAGATCGCGCCATGGCACTCCAGCCTGGGCAACAAGAGTGAAACTCTGTCTGAAAACAAAAGCAAAAACCAAAACCAAAACAACAAAAAACATCCATCCTCAGGAGGGTAAAGTGTATTGCATTTCCCTAATGACTGATGATGTCAAGCACCTTTTCATGTGCTTTTTTGTTTGTTTGTCTGGACAGAGTCTCATTCTGTTGCCCAGGCTGGAGTGCACTGGTGTGATCTCGGCTCACTGCAATCTCCGCCTCCCAGGTTCAAGCAATTCTTCTGTCTCAGCCTCCTGAGTAACTGGGACTACAGGCTCACGCTACCGCACCTGGCTAATTTTTGTATTTTTAGTAGAGACCAGGTTTCACCATATTGATCAGGCTGATCTCGAACTCTTGACCTCAGGTGATCCACCCATCTTGGCCTCCCATAGCGTGGGCCACCCAACCTGGCCTGCTGTTTTTTTTTTCTTTTCTTTTCTTAAATAGGGATGGGGTTTTTTGGCCAGGCTGGTCTCGAATTCCCGACCTCATGTAATTAGCCCACCTCAGCCTCTCAAAGAGCTGGATTACAGGCATGAGCCACTGTACCCGGCCTTCATGTGCTTACTGGCCATTTGTGTATCTTCTTTGGAGAAATGACTATTCAAATTCTTTGCTCTTTTTCGTTGATTATTTGTTTATTTATTGTTCAGGTGTAAGAGCTCTTTATGTATTCAGGGTACATATCCTGTATCAGATATATGACCTTCAAATATTGTCTCCCAGCCTGTGGGTTCTTTTTTCACTTTCTTGATGGTTTATTTAAAGCATGATAGTTTTAAATTTTGATAAAGTCCAATTTCTCCTTCCTTCCTTCCTTCCTTGCTCTTCTTTCCTTCCTTCCTTCCTTCCTTCCTTCCTTCCTTCCTTCCTTCCTTCCTTCCCTCACTCCCTCCCTCCCTCCTTCCTTCTCTCCCTCCCTCCTTCCTTCCTTCCTTTCTTCTTCTTCTTTTTTTGGGATAGAGTTTCCCTCTTGTTGCCCAGGGTAGATTGCAATGGTGTGATCTCAGCTCACCACAACCTCCGCCTCCCGGATTCAAGTGATTCTCCTGCCTCAGCCTTCCAAGTAGCTGGGATTACAGGCATGCGCCACCACGCCCGGCTAATTTTGTATTTTTAGTAGAGACAGGGTTTCTCCATGTTGGTCAGGCTGGCCTCAAACTCCTGACCTCAGGTGATCCGCCTGCCTAGACCTCCCAAAGTGCTTGGATTATAGGCATGAGCTACCGCGCCCAGGCTTATCTATCTTTCTTTTTTATCGTTTGTGCTTATAATAGTCATATATAAGAAATCATAGCCCACCCCAAGATCGTGAAGATTAACTGCTATGTTTTCTTCTAAGAAAACATTTAGCTCCTATGTTTAGGACTGTGATCCATTTTGAGTTGATTTTTGTGTATGGTGTGAGGGGTAGGGGTCCAAAGACATTCTTTTGCATGTGGATATCCAGTTGTCTAAGCACCATTTGCTGAAAAAAACTATTCTTTTTATCATTGAATTATTTTGTTCCCTTTGTAGAAAATAAATTGACCGTAAATGTTAGGGTTTATTTATGAACTCTCCATTCGAATTTCGTTGACCTATATGTCTTTCCTTATGCCAGTATCACACTATCTTGATTACAATATCTTTGTAGTAAGTTTTTTTTTTTAAGATGGAGTCTTGCTCTGTCTCTCAGGCTGAAGTACAGTGCCACGATCTCGGCTCACTGCAACCTCCACCTCCTGGGTTCAAGCGATTCTCCTTCCTCAGCCTCCCGAGTAGCTGGGATTACAGGCACACGCCACCATGTCCAGCTAATTTTTGTATTTTTAGTAGAGATGGGGTTTTGCTACTTTGGCCGGGCTGGTCTCAAACTCCTGACCTCAGGCGATCCCCTCGCCTCGGTCTCCCAAAGTGCTGGGATTACAGGTATGAACCACCGCGCCTGGCCTGCAGTACGTTTTGAAATGAGGAAGTGTGAGTCTACCAACTGTGTTCTGCTCCAGGATTGTTTTGATTATTCTGGGCCTGTTGCATTTCTGCCTTTTTTTTTTTTTTCTTTTAAACTCATCTGTATTTGTTACAACCTTTTTAAGCAGAATGTGACTTGGGTACTACAGTTCCATTCACAAGCCTCGCTCTGGGTTATTTCTGAACAGCTTTACAATATGCCTAGGTAGGCTTATAATTTTGCTCCTGCAAACAATATTTTCCTTTGGAAAACAAGTCCTGTGGAGAGTTCCTTCCATCAAGTTGCTTCAGTTTAACATATTTCCAGAGGACAATTACATGCAGAATTGGCAACTACAGGATGAAAAGTTTAAAAAGTAGATCCTAGAAGATGCAACAAATACTTTTCCTCTAAACATCAAGGTATTTCTCAGAAAACTTCAGTGACAAAGATTTGGCCTACTAAGGAATCTGGCTTGATAGCTTAAACAGTTTAGATCACAAAGTTAATGTTAGGTTACATACATCTTTTTTTTTTCTTTTCTTTCTTTCTTTCTTTCTTTTTTTTTTTTTTTGAGGTGGAGTCTCTCTCTGTTGCCCAGGCTAGAGTACAGTGGCGTGATCTTGGCTCACTGCAACCTCCACTTCCTGGGTTCAAGCAATTCCCCTGCCTCAGCCTCCCGAGTACCTGGGATTACAGGCACCTGCCATAGCACCCAACTAATTTTTGTATTTTTAGTAGAGACGAGGTTTTGTCATGTTGGCCAGGCTGGTCTTGAACTCCTGACCTCAGGTGATCCACCCGCCTCGTCCTCCCAAAGTGCTGGGATTACAGGCGTGAGCCACCGCACCCAGCCTACATACATCTTACAACACACATTACCCCAATCTGTTAAAATAAGCCAATGTGAAACTAGAAAAGCATTGCTAGCTCTGTTTTAGTGCCTGAAGTATCACAAAATCACTTAGAAGTATCACAAAATCACTTAGAAGTAGAAAGAAACCTTACCTTCCCCCTGAAATAGTTATTGTCATGCCATGCAGACTTTTTTTTTTTTTTTTTTGAAGGCAGAGTCTCCCACTTTCTCCCGGGCTGGAGTGCAATGGCGTGATCTCAGCTCACAGCAACCTCCGCCTCCTGGGTTCACATGATTCTCCTGCCTCAGCCTCCTGAGTAGCTGGGATTACAGGTGCACACCACCACACCCGGCTAATATTTTGTTTTTTTTTAGTAGAGATTGGGTTTCGCCATGTTGGCCAGGCTGGTCTCGAACTCCTGACCTCAGGTGATCCACCTGCCTCAGCCTCCCAAAGTGCTGGGATTACAGGTGTGAGCCACCACGCCCGGCCCCCATACAGACTTTTTAAATGTTAACAAAAATAACTAAAATAATCCTGAAAATATATTATCAGAGAGAATGAAGATAGAGTATTGAACACATGTACAAGTCATTCCTCAGCCAGAGCCGCCTACTTCTTCCATGCGTGATGTGTCATCACCTCCTCTGAGGGGCGGCATTTCTTTAGTTATAGCGGCATTGATATCATTAGCAGTAGGATCATATTCATCAACACCCAGACCAAGTTTGATCATCCTATAGATCTTGTTAGTATGTCTCTGAGGGTCTTCCATACTGAAGCCAGGAGATGGGAGTGCAGTTTAGTAAAGCAAGATGACCAGATCCTTCACTGACTTGTTGTTCTTATCAGCCTCTGCCTTTTGCCTTAAGGTTTCAATCATGAATGGTCAGGGTTTATCTCCAGGTGTTTCTTTGCTGCCACGTAGCCCATTGTTGAGTTGTCTTACCGGGCTTGAGCTTTCATGATTCTTTCCATGTTTGCTGTCCAGCCATATGTGCTTGTGACAATACAGCATGGGGATGTCACCAGTTTGACACAACCACCTTTTTGACTTTTTTCTCCAACATGTCTTTCATGATTTTGCAGAGGTTCTCAAACTTTGTTTTTTTCTCTTCCTGTTTCTTTTTTTCTTCTTCATCTTCTGGAAGTTCCAAACCCTCTTTGGCAACTGACACTACAGTCTTACTCTCAAGTTCCTTCAGCTGCTGGACACAGTACTTATCAATCAACTCGATCATATAGATCACTTCTAAGCCATGCTTCTGAAGACATTCCACAAAGGCTGAGTTAGCTACTTGGTCCTTGGTCTCACCTGTAATGTAATAGATATGTTTCTGGTTTGCCTTCATTCTGGAAAACACAATGAGATAAACCATCTCATCACGAGAGGCAGATGTGCACTATTTCAACAGCTCTGAAAGCTTCTTCTGATTTTGAGAGTCTATATATTCAAAGATTTATGTTTTCAGATAACTTCTCGTGGAACTTTTTGTAGTTCTTTTTATCCTCTGCCAGTTCAGCAAAGAGTTCTAAGTATGTTTTGACCAAATTCTTCCTAATAACTTTCAAAATTTTGCTTTGTTGCAACATCTCAGAAAAAATATTTAGAGGGAGATCCTCTGAGTCCATCACCCCTCTAATGAAGTTCAGGTATTCAGGGATTAGCTCCTCACAGTTACCCATGATGAAAACTCTGTGTACATACAACTGAATGTTGTTCTTTTTCTTTCTGTTTTCAAATAGGTCAAAAGGAGCACATCTTGAAACAAAAAGAGCTCTTCTAAACTCTTCGACTGTCCTTCAACTCTTCCAACTGCCCTTCAACTGAAAAGTGCTTCACTGCCAAGTGATCTTCCCAGTTATTGGTCAAGCTCTGATGGAACTCTCCATACTCCTCGTTAGTAATAGCGTCAGGATTTCTGGTCCAGATAGGCTTTGTTTTGTTGAGTTCTTGATCAATGTACTTTTCCTTACTTTTCTTCTTCTTCTTGTCAGCATCCTTCTTTTCTTCTTCTTCATCAGAACCAACATCTTCAATTTCAGGTTTGTCATTGGACTCTTTCTTTTTCTTCCTCTTATCTTCCTTTTTTTCAGCCTCAGCATCACTGACTTGTTTATTACGTTTCTTCTCCACAAAAAGAGTAATGGGATAGCCAATAAACTGAGAATGCTTCTTCACAATCTCTTTTATTCTTCTTTCCTCCAAATACTCAGGTCTTCTTTCAAGTGCAGGGTGCCCTTTGCTCCATGCCCCATAGGTTCACTGTGTCAGTCCTAACTGTGAGTGATCCCCCTGAGGAGGACTCCCGAGCATGCTGCTCATGTTTATGTTTGGTGATCACAGTTACTTTCTCAGCAACCAAATAAGCAGAATAAAAACCAGCACCGAACTTGCCAATCATAGAGATTCTGCACCAGCCTGGAAAACTTCCATGAATGCTTTGGTCCCAGACTGGCGACAGTACCAAGGTTATTGATCAAGTCAGCCTTGGTCATTCCAGTTTCAGTATCCATAATAGTAAGGGTTTGATCTTGTGTGCTTGGCATAAGATTAACGTGGAGCTCTTTCCCAGCGTCTAATTTACTGGGATCCGTCAAGGTTTCATATCAGGTTTTGTCCAAAGCATCTGATGAATTTGAAATGAGCTCTCTTGAGCCAGGCACTGTGGCTCACTCCTGTAATCCCAGCACTTTGGCAGGCCAAGGTGGGTGGATCGCTTGAGGTCAGGAGTTCAAGAGCAGCCTGGGTAATATGGTGAAACCCACCTGGGCAATATGGTGAAACCCCATCGCTACCCAAAATACAAAAAGTTAGCCAGGCATGACGGACATGCCGATGGTCCCAGCTTGTCAGGGGCTGACGCATGAGAATCACTTAAGCCCGGGAGGTGGAGGCTGCAGTGAGCCGAGATCACCCCACTGCATTTCAGACTGGGTGACAGAGTGAGATGCTGTGTCCAAAATAAAAATAAAAAGCTAAAAAAAAAAATGCTGAAATGAGCTCTCTCAGAAAGGTTTCTTTGTTCAAGTAGAAAGTATTGATGATCAGTGACATCAACTGGACAGTTTCTGCTTGAAAGGCAAACATCTCAACCTCTTCTTCCTCCATCGGTTGGTTTTGGGTCTGGGTTTCCTCAGGCAGCTTGGCTAAGGGACCACAGGGCTCTGCAGTATAGCAGCACCAGGATGCTAAAGCATGCAGGCCTCTTGAATTTCTATACGAATTTTAGAATCAGCTTGTCAATTTCTGCAAAAAAAAAAAAAAAAAAAAAAAAGACAGCCAAGATTCTGATACAGATTGCATTGAATCTGTAGATCAATTTGGGGAGTAATGGCATCTTCAGAGGATTTAAGCTTTCCAAATCTTAAACATGGTATATCTTATCTTTCCATTTATTTAGATCTTCTTTAATTTTTTTCAACAGTGTTTTTTAGTTTTCAGTATACAAGTGTTGCACTTCTTTTGTGAAGTTTATCCCTAAATGCCTTATTTTTTTAAAAATGATTCTTAATTTTATTTTCAGAATGTTTATTGCTAGTATATATAAATACAATACTTTTGGTATGTTGATCTTGTGTCCTGTAACCTTGCTGAACTCATTTATTAGTTCTGGTAGATTGTTAGTGAATTCCTTGGGATTTTCTATTTACAGGATCATATCATCTGCAAACAGAGATTGCTTTACTTTTTCCTTTCAATCTGGATGCCTTTTTATTTATTTTTCTTTTTTTCTTTTAGACTGTTCGCTCTGTCGCCCAGGCTGGAGTGCAGTGGTGAGATCTTGGCTCACCGCAACCTCCACTTTCTGTGTTAAAGCGATTCTTCCGCCTCAGTCTCCCAAATAGCTGGGATTACAGGTGCCCATCACCATGCTTGGCTAATTTTTGTATTTTTAGTAGAGATGGGGTTTCACCATGTTGGCCAGGCTGTTCTCCACTTCCTAACTTCAAGTGATCCACCCACCTTGGCCTCCCAAAGTTCTGGGAGACATGAGCCACCGCACCCGGCCTGCCCTGAATAATGTTAAGTACAATGTTGTATAGAGGTGGAGAGAATAAATATTCTTGTGTTGTTCCCACTTTTAGGGGGAAAAGATTCAATTTTTTGCCATTTGGTATGATGTTAGCTGTAGATTTTTCATAGATGCCCTTTAACAGATTGAGGAAGTTATTTTTATTTTTAGTTTGTTGAGTGTTATTTTTTAATCATAAAAGGTTTTGGATTTTGTCAAATGCTTTTTCTGCAGCTATTAAAATGATCATGTGGGTTTTGTTCTCTTAATATAGTGTATTACATTAATTGATTTTCTGATATTATACCAATCTTGTATTCTTGGGATGAGTTCCACTTGTTCATTGCATATAATCCTTTTTATATGTTGCTGGATTCAGTTTGCTAGTATTTTTTTTTTTTTTTTTGAGACAGTCTCACTCTGTTGTCCAGGCTGGAGTGCAGTGGTGCAATCTCAGCTCACTGTAACGTCTGTCTCCTGGGTTCAAGTATTTCTCCTGCCTCAGCCTCCCAAGTAGCTGGGATTACAGGTGCACGCCACCATGCCTGGCTAATTTTTTTTGTATTAATAGAAATGGGGTTTTGCCATGTTGGCCAGGCTGGTCTCGAACTCCTGACCTCAGGTGATCCACCGGCCCTGGTCTCCCAGTGTGCTGGGATTATAGGCTTGAGCCACTGTGCCCGGTCTGTTTGCTAGTATTTTGTTGAGGATTTTTACGTCTATATTCATATGAGATATTGGTCTGTAGTTTTTTTGTTTTTAAATATAACATCTTTGTCTGGTTTCAGTATCTGGATAATAATACTGGCCTCATAGAATGAGTTGCAAAATGTTTCCTCTTCTTTTAATTTCTGAAAGAGACCGTGTAGAATTGGTATTAATTCTTCTTTAAGTATTTGATAAAATTTACCAGTGAAGCTGTCAATGCCTATGGGAAGCTGTTTCAAATTATTAGAATCAACTTAAGTTTATTTAACATTTTATCATGACTAGTGTGAAGTTATGCACCTTAATTTTTTTAATTGAGAGATTCCTTCTCTCTCTCTATAAACTTGTAATTTATGAAAAATGAAAAAACCCATGTTTTGAAAAAGGTAACATTTAATGGCTCATATTAAAACTGTGATTATTCAGCAAGGTAATAGTTTGAGAGTGAAAGGAATTTCTATATACTTTTAGATCTCTCTTAAGCATACCAAGCATAATTTGACCTAGTTGGTCAAATTATGAGCTTTCCCCATAATCTAGAAGACAACTTTGTCTACCATTTAGTCAAGAAACTAGAGTCAGGAAGAATGATGATATGATGCAGGGGAAAATCTCACCCCTGACATTGTAGGGGGTTTGGGGAAAATAAAGGAGTGAAAAGAGGTAAGAGAGTGGAAAGAAGAATGATGGTCAGGTCTGTGCCTTTGTTTCCTCTCTTTGGGTTCCAATTGAATGATATGGACCAGTATTGAGGAAAAAGCTTGTCTCTCTTTGAGGCTTGTGTAAAGATCAGAGCTTTACAGTCCTCCGAAGGAGTCCAGCAGATAGACTTCAAATAGAAACCTGTGAACTTGGGGAAGAGCTGCCTCTAACTGTTTGCTGCTGTGGTCATTGGACAGCCTGACTGGTTCATGTTGGAAGGCAGGGGAAATTGAATGAATACGTTCAATTATTTCCATTCTCTGCACATGGGAGAGGATTGCTACTTGTTCCTGGATTGACCTGGGAATTGAGGCATGCCCTCCATGTGCTTCAGCAGAATGACAGTGTTTCATCACTGGTTCATATAAGCAGCCTGGCCCAGGCCGCCACAGTTAAGTTGGTTTGCTCTTCTTCGAAAGAACCTTACAGTGTGACCTATACAGGTACTGAGAGGACACAAAATTACGAGCAGGCAACGAAAACAACGGGGCCAGGCGCAGTGGCTCACACCTGTAATCCCAGCATTTTGGGATCCCGAGGCGGGTGGATCACTGGAGGCTAAAGTTCGAGACCAGCCTGGCCAACATGGTGAATCCCCGTCTCTACTAAAAAAATGCAAAATTAGCCAGGTGTGGTGGCACATGCCTGTAATCCCAGCTACTTGGGAGGCTGAGGCACGAGAATCGCTCGAACCCAGGAGGCGGAGGTTGCAGTGAACTGAGATCGCACCACTGCACTCCAGCCTGGGCAACAGATACTCTGTCTCAAAAGGAAAAAAAAAAAAAGCCTACTGATTGTCAATCACATATACAAAATACCTTCACAGCAACATCTAAACCAGTGTTTGACCAGACGACTGGGCGCCACAGTCTAGCCAAATTGACATTTAAAATTAACCATGTCAGGCCGGGCACAGTAGCTCACACCTGTAATCCCAGCACTTAGGGAGGTTGAGATGGGCGGATCACCTGAGAGGTCAAGAGTTCGAGACCAGCCTGGCTAACATGGTGAAACCCCTTCTCTACTAAAAATACAAAAATTAGCCAAGCACGTTGGCAGGCGCCTGTAATCCCAGCTACTTGGTTGGCTGAGGCAGGAGAATCTTTTGAACCTGGGAGAATCTTTGGAATTTTTTGAACCTCACTGGGTTGCAGTGAGCCGAGATCATGCCACTACACTCCAGCCTGAGAGACAGAGCAAGACTGCATCTCAATAAATAAAATAAAATAAAATAAAATAAAATAAAATAAAATAAATAAACCATGTCAATGACCAATATGAATATTGAGGACAAGGGCTCCTTCTGAAGTAGGATTAAGAAAGGAGAGAAGATAATTTCTAGGACATGTGATTAGAACACTTAAAAGACTTCATGAGGCTGGGCATGGTGGCTCATGCCTGTAATCCCAGCACTTTGGGAAACCGAGGTGGGTGGATCACCTGAGGTCAGCAGTTCAAGACCAGCTTGGCCAACATGGTGAAACCCCATCTCTACTAAAAATACAAAATTAGCCGGGTACGGTGGCATGCACCTGTAATCCCAGCTACTTGGGAGGCTGAGGCAGGAGAATCATTTGAACCCGGGAGGTGGAGGTTGCAGTGAGCCAAGATCGTGCCACTGCACTCCAGCCTGGGCAACAGAACAAGATTCCGTCTCAAAAAAATAAAAAAAGACTTTATGAAATTAAAAATTATTTTTAATTAAAACATTCAGTAGATGAGCTGAGAATAGAAATGGTCACTCCTGAAAACTGAATTGTTGTCTGAAAGATTGGTCACAACACAAAGCCAAGCCACAAAAAATGGAAGCTGGAAGAGAAAAAGACAGTTTAGAAAACAGATCCATAGGACCTAACTTGTGAATAGCACAAATGCCTGAACAGCGCTGGGTACGGTGGCTCATGTCTGTAATCCCAGCACTTTGGGAGGCCGAGGCGGGTAGATCACGAGGTCAAGAGATCAAGACCATCCTGGCCAACATGGTGAAACCCCATCTCTACTAAAAATACAAAAATTAGACGGGCATGGTGGCGTGCGCCTGTAGTCCCAGCTACTTGGGAGGCTGAGGCAGGAGAATCGCTTGAACCGAGGAGGTGGAGGTTGCAGTGAGCTGAGATCACGCCATTGTACTCCAGCCTGGTGACAGAGCGAGACTCCATCTCAAAAAAAAAAAAAAAAGAAAAAAAAAAAGAAATGCCTGAACAGAAAAAGAACAGATGGAAGAGAGTAAGTAGAGTGTTACTTATATCCTAGAAAAAATTCCCCAAACAGAAGAAAGATTTAAATATTCACATTGAAAAAGGTCACTGAGACACAGAAAGGATTAGTGAAAACACACATTTGACATAACCTAGTGAAATTCAAGCGTCTGTAATCGCCAATGGGGTCACCTTGCCTGCTGCCTAGACAGAGCCAACTCATCAAGACAGGGAAATTGCAATAGAGGAAGAGTAATTCATGCAGAGCCTGCTGTGCGGGACACTGGAATTTTATCAGCCTCCCTGAGCATTCGGGGATCAGAGTTTTTAAGGACAACTTGGTGGGTTGGGGGAAGCCAGTGAGCCAGGAGTGCCGATTGGTCAGATCAGAGATGAAATCATGTGAAGTTGAAGCTGTCCTCTTGTGCTGAGTCAGTTCCTGGGTCGGGGCCACAAGATCAGATGAGTCAGTTTATCGATCTTGGTGGCCAGCTGATTCATTAAGTGCAGGGTCTGCAAAATACCTTAAGCACTGATCTTAGGAGCAGTTTAGGGAGGGTCAGAATTTTGTAGCCTCCACCTGCATGACTCCTAAACCATAATTTCTAATCTTGTGGCTAGTTCGTTAGTCCTATAAAGGCAGTCTAGTCCCCAGGCAAGAAGGAGGTTTGTTTTGGGAAAGGGCTGTTATCGTTTTTATTTTATTTTATTTTATTTTATTTATTTTTTAATTTTAATTTTTTTAAAATTTTTGTTTATTTATTTATTTTTGAGACGGAGTCTCCCTCTATTGCCCAGGCTGGAGTGCAGTGGCACAATCTTGGCTCACTGCAACCTCTGCCTCCTGGGTTCAAGTGATTCTCCTGCCTCAGCCTCCCAAGTAGCTGGGACCACAGGTATGTGCCACCATGCCCCGCTAGCTTTTGTATTTTTAGTACAGATGGAGTTTCACCATATTGGCCAGGCTGGTCTATTATTTTTATTTTTATACAGGCATGAAACGCTGTGCCCAGACCATACTGTACCTTTTGATATTTGTACCTTGTATGTATATTACTCTTCCAAAAATGAATCAAGAATTAATGAAAGAGATGTGCGAAAATATACTAGGCAAAAGCAAGATTTGCAACACTATCCTACAAATGGAAATCATGTTCAAAACACATTGAACAGAACAAATAGTGACAATATATGAGGATAAAATCAGGCACAATTCAAGAAGATATAATAACCATACATTTTTATGCATCAAATCACATAGCTGTCAAGCATATAAAAGGAAAACTACAAGTACCCAGAGAACATGGATAAAATACTTTTGAACTTTAACAGACCACACAGACAAAAATAAGCTATGATATAGAGGATTTGAATAATGTAATAAATAAGCTCTATTTAGTAGATGCATATAGAGAGAATATATACTTTTTTTAAAAAAAAGAACACCTAAGAACACAAATATATACTTTTTAAATGTCCTGAAACAAAGCTTGTTACAGAACCAATCATGCATTCAGCCAGAGAAAAAGCTTTTTTTTTTTTTTTTTTGGGACAGAGTCTCCCTCTGTCTTCCAGGCTGGAGTACAGTGGTGTGATCTTGGCTGACTGCAACCTCCACCTCCTGGGTTCAAGTGATTCTTCTGCCTCAGCCTCCTGAGTAGCTGGGACTACAGGCATGCGCCACCACGCCCAGCTAATTTTTGTATTTTTAGTAGAGACGGGGTTTCACCGTATTGGCCTGGCTGATCTCGAACTCCTGATCTCGTGATCCACCCGCCTTGGCCTCCCAAAGTGCTGGGATTACAGGCATGAGCCACTGCGCCTGGCCAAGAAAGCTTTATAAATCCAAAAAGGTTTAAATTTATACACCATGCTCTCTGATCATAAACCAAGAAACTAGAAATTAACAATGAAAGGATAACAATAACAAAAATCCCTTATCCATAGATATGAAGACACATTCTCCCAAATAGCCTTTATTTCTATTTTTATTTTTTTTGAGACAGGGCCTTGCTTTGTCGCTTAGGCTGGAGTGCAGTGCAACAATCAGAACTCACTGTAGCCTTGATCTCCTGGACTCAAGCAATCCTCCCACTGCAGCCTCCTGCACAGTGGGACTGCAGATGTGTGCCATACATGCCTGGCTAATTTTTTTTTTTTCGTAGAGATGGGGTCTCGCTATGTTGCCCAGGCTGGTCTTGAACTCCTGAGCTCACACAATCCTCCCACCTCAGCCTCCCAAGCTATTGGGATTATAGGCATAAGCCATTGCATCTGGCCCCAAATAGCCTTTATATCAGAGAGAATTAAAACAAATTATGAATTGTCTACAAAGTAATGAAGAGGAGATCACCTTATTCTAAAACCTATGGGATACAGCTTAAGCTGTTCAGAGTAAAATCAATAGAAAGACTGAGAACACTTTAATGGAGAATTCAACTTGGAAAACCAGAAAAAGAATAACATGAAACATAATAAATTAGGAGAGTGCTAAAATGAGATCAGTACAAGATAATGGAAAAGATAAAAGAATCTACTAGTAAGAAAATATTTCTGAAAACACCTAAGAGAATTAAAACTTCTCAAACCCAACAGTTGTCACTTCAGTCTTGGGAGAGAGGATCGTTCCTGATGACATGGAAGCTTTATCACAATCAAAGAGTCAAAGAAATGTACAGGTTATGTTTTAAAACTATCAGTTCTGGTTAGTTTTCTTTCTTTTTTCTTTTCTTTCTTTTTTTTTTTTAATGGAGTTTCATTCTTGTTGCCCAGGCTGGAGTGCAATGGCACTATCTCGGCTCACTGCAACCTCTGCCTCCCGGGTTCAAGGGATTCTCCTGCCTCAGCCTCCTGAGTAGCTGGGATTACAAGCACACACCACCACACCCAGCTAATTTTGTATTTTTAGTAGAGATGTGGTTTCTCCATGTTGGTCAGGCTGGTCTCCAACTCCTGACCTCAGGTGATCCACCTACCTTGGCCTCCCAAAGTGCTGGGATTACAGGTGTGAGATATCACGCCCAGCCTCTTTCTTTCTTTTCACAGAGTCTCACTCTGTCACCCAGGCTGAAGTGTAGTGGCAGGATCTTGGCTCACTGGAACCTCCGCCTCTCGGGCTCAAGTGATTCTCCTGCCTCAGCCTCCTGTGTAGCTGGGATTACAGGCATGCGCCACCATCTCTGACTAATTTTTGTATTTTTGGTAGAAACAAGGTTTCACCATGTTGGCCAGGCTGGTCCCCAGCTCCTGACCTCAAGTGATCCACCCGCCTCGGCCTCCCAAAGTGCTGAGATTACAGGCATGCGCCACTGCTGCCCAGCCAAGTTTCTTGTATTTATTTATTTATTTTTATTTTTACTTTTTTTGAGACTAAGTTTCACTCTTGTCACCCAGGCTGGGGTGTAGTGGCGCGATCTCCACTCACTGCAACCTCCACTTCCCGGGTTCAAGCGATTCTCCTGCCTTAGCCTCCCAAGTAGCTGGGATTACAGGTGTGCACCACCACACCTGGATAATTAATTAATATTTATTTATTTATTTATTTATTTTGAGACGGAGTTTTGCTCTTGTTGCCTAGGCTGGAGTGCAGTGGCACGATCTTGGCTCACTGTAACCTCCGCCTCCTAGGTTCAAGCAATTTTCCTGCTTCAGCCTCTGGAGTAGCTGGGATTACAGGCACCCACCACCACACCCGGCTAATTTTTTGTACTTTTTGTAGAGATGAGGTTTCTCCATGTTGGCCAGGCTGGTCTCTAATGCCTGACCTCAGGTGATCCACCTGCCTTGGCCTCCCAAAGTGCTGGGATTATAGGCGTGAACCACTGCACCCGGGTGGTTAGTTAAGTTTCTACCCTACGACCTGACAAAGAGCCAGAAATCTCTGCAGAATTATTTATTGGGCAAGTCAGCGGACAGAAGAGGTATAGTCTGCTATGCAGATGACGTAAGAGGGACCTAGAACCATATGGTAGGACTGAAGGAAGCCAACAAAATGCAGGAACAGGGAGAAATGTCTGGGATTGGAATTGATCAGCAGGACCGGATTGGGATACATGGAATACAGCAGAGACTCAGTCATCTTTGGGGATATGATAGTTGGTACTCAGGAAAGGGGGGAGACCTGGCCAGTCCCTGGAGGCAAGAGAAGCTCCAGACTGAAGTTGGCAGGTGAGCACCTGCCTAGGTGTTCCAGAGGCATATGACGGTGATGATAGAGGAGGCCATGAAGAGCAGGTAGAGGCGGAAGAGCATGGCGTCCATCGCGTGGCTGAACTGCAACCACAGCTCCACTGAGTGCTGCTTCTGGGCCTCGTGTTCCCGCTGGGCCCTTGTCCATTCTGAGCCCCCTGTCAGCTCTGCCTCCGCAGGGCCCGGCATCTGCCCTGCTGATACCTCTGGCTCCTTCACACCTACAGAAAGACAGAGACTCAGCCATGGGCTGCAAATGTCACCTGTGGAGGGAGGGAGACAGGGAAGGAGGCAGGAGCAGAGAAGTGGAGGTGGGGGAAGAGGAATGTGACTTCCCTCACCGGGCAGGTGGGTGGGGGTGAGACCCGGGCCCTTATTTTCCTTCTGGGGCGCAGTGGGACAGCATCTCCCCGGGCTGTTGCAGTGGAGCAGCAGGGAGTGGAGCCACCGAGGCAGGGGTGGGGGCTGGGTGGTGGCCACGTGCAGCAGGTGGGTGATGAAGATGGTCTCCAGCAGGCTGCCCACCATCAGGGACAGGCACAGGGCGAAGTAGACACCTGGAGGGAAGGGGGGCCTAGTGAGGGCCAGAGGCACCACCTAGAATTTCTTCTCTTCCAATCCCACCCTGGCAGGCATACGGCCTCCTTTTTCCAAAATACCTCCCTTCCTGAGTTAGTTCCCACCCTTCTCTTCCAAAAGGTGGGAGGAGCCATACCGATGAGGGGGGTGCCACTGGTGGGGAGCAAGTCACTCATCATGAGCAGGAAGACGTTGTAGCCCAGCAGGAGCGTTATCTTGAATGGGACACGATTCCCACTTTTCACTGGCAGGTAGAAGCTGAGGGCATCGATGGCAACCAGAAAGCCACTGGGCACGAGAAGGTTTATGACATAGAGACTGGGCCTGCGCCTGATGGCCACCTGGTGGGGTAGGAGAGGGTGGTAAGTAGTTATGGGGTCAGAGGAACCCTCAAATCCAGGAATAGCAGTGACAATTTCTGTCTCTGCCTTTTTCTTTGGCCTGATATCACCCTGGGATCTGGAGCTGTGGGGAATGCAGCTTTAGAATCTGGTATAGAACCTGCAAAGAGACAGTTAGGCCAGAGCCCTGAGCTTTAGGATGAAGAATGAGGCTGGGAAGCCAGGAGAGAGGGTAACATTGGGAGACCCTGAAACTTGGGAGATACATATTTGATGGACATTCTAGGCAAGGGTAAAAGTGCGGGAGGAAGGAAAGAGTAAGAGCCTCCAAGCTCACATAGAACACGATCTGATCATACAGGTTGCCTCCCCTGGACAACTTTGCGGTGGCCTTGCTGAGGCCCAGGAGCTCCCATTCTCCATGGGTCTGAAGGATGTTCCGGGATGCGTCTGTTATTTCCCACACTTCTTTCTCCATGTCCAGCAACATGCTGTCCACTGAAAATGAGAACCATCTGAATCATTTTTCAAGGAGATAGTTTCCTGGTGGCTCAACTGCACTCTTTTTCCATCCTTTCTTTCAACAAATATTTTTGAGTGCCTCCCACATGCCAGGAAACTTGCCAGGAGCTTGGGATGGTAAGGAACAAGACAGACTTGGGTTCTGCCTTTATGGAAAATATTTTAGCATCCATAGAGCCTTATTCTTCTCCCCACCCATACTCCTTGGTCACCATTTACTCATAGTTTCTTTATATTTGTTGGTTGCTCTCATTCACCCCATCCCTGAGACCTCACTGCAACTTACCTGTGTAGAGGAATGAGCTGAAGGTGAGTGTGCAGTTCTGCTGGTCGAAGGGGAAGTAGAAGATGTCCAGGTTACAGATACTGTCCACCTTCATGGGTTTCTTATACCTGATGCGACCTTCATTACTTACATATGCTGTGAGGCCTTTTGGGGTCTTATCCACATCCATGCTGGAGGAGAGATAACGCAAGAGGCAGGTGCTGCAGTTTCTCTCTCTCTTTTTTTTTTTTTTTTTTTTTTGAGACAGGATCTTGCTCTGTCACCCAGGCTGGAGTAGAGTGGCATGCTCTCAGCTCACTGCAACTTCCATGTCCTGGGCTCAAATGATCCTCCTGTCTCAGCCTCAGCCTCCCAAGTAGCTGGGACTACAGGCGCACCACCAGGCCTGGCTAATTTTTTTTTTTTTTTTTTTTTTAAGAGATGAGGTTTCACCATGTTGCCCAGGCTGGTCTCAAACTCCTGAACTGAAGTGATCCACCCACCTTGGCCTCCCAAAGTGCTGGGATTACAGGCATTAGCCACTGCGCCTGGCTCAGTTTCTCTTCTTATCTCTCTGGTTGTTTCTTAGCCATCTAAAGACCACTTACAGTGGCCCCAATGGTAAACTGTGATCTCTGTGGCTACCAGGAGATGGGACTTCCCTCTGACCAGCCCTTGATACGCACAGTTCAATGATGAAAATGTCTGGGAGCCACAGGTTCTTGGCTGCCATACTCATCTTCGTGATGCCCTCACATTCCTCTGGGTTCCAGCTGATAAATGGGTTATCCCAAACCTAGAGCCCAGGTGGAGGAGAGGTGAGTCTCCTGCCTTTTAATTTCTTCTTTAAAAAAAAAAGTTATGAAATACTTCAAGCATATAGAAAAATATATAAAATGCTGTGACAAACATCTATGTATTTACAACCCAACTTTGTGGCATTAATATTTTATTAAATTTACTTGCTTTTTTTTCAAGAAATGAGAATTATAGATAAAATCGAACCTGCCTGGGACCATTCTTCATAAATTTTGATCAGCCAGCGCTGGTGGTCTGGGAACCACACTTTGAGAGTGAGGTTAGATGATTGTATTATCTTTCTCCAGCTCCTTCCTTCCTTTCCTCCAAGCAGGCTTTTCTTTTTTTCTTTTTTCTTTTCTTTTTCTTTCTTTTTTTTTTCTGAGATGGAGTCTTGCTCTGTCACCCAGGCTGGAGTGCAGTGGCGTGATCTCGGCTCACTGCAACCTCCACCTCTCGGGTTCAAGCGATTCTCCTGCCTCAGCCTCCTGAGTAGCTGGGATTACAGGTGTGTGCCACCATCTGGCTAATTTTTTTTTTTTTTTTTTTTTGAGATGGAGTCTTGCACTGTTGCCTGGGCTGGAGTGCAGTGGCGCGATCTTGGCTCACTGCAACCTCTGCCTCCTGGGTTCAGGCCATTCTCCTGCCTCAGCCTCCCGAGTAGCTGGGACTACAGGCGCCTGCCACCACGCCTGGCTAATTTTTTGTATTTTTAGTAGAGACGGGGTTTCACCGTGTTAGCCAGGATGGTCTTGATCTCCTGACCTCATGATCCACCCGCCTCGGCCTTCCAAAGTGCTGGGATTACAGGCGTGAGCCACCGCGCCCGGCCACCACCCGGCTGATTTTTTTATATTTTTGGTAGAGATGGAGTTTCATCATGTTGGCCAGGCTGGTCTCGAACTCCTGACCTCAAGTGATCCACCTGCCTAGGCCTCCCAAAGAGCTGGGATTATAGGTGTGAACCACCAAGCCCAGCCATCAAGCAGGCTTTTCAAGTTGGAAACTCAATTCATTTGCTTTTATTTCCCCCCATCCTCCCACACACCTTGTTTTCTTATCAATGCAATTAAGATATAAATTTTCCACTGGGTTATGCTTTGACTACATTCCATAGATTTTCATATGTATAATTTTCATTTCTAATTACTTCGTAATTTCTACTTAATTGCTTTATTTTCTCCTTTGCCTCAAATATTTAGAAGTTTAATTTTAAATTCCCAAGAAACAAGGTTTTCTTTTCTTTTTTTTTTTTGAGATGCAGTCTCACTCTGTAGCCTAAGCTGGAGTGCAGTGGTGTGATCTCGGCCAACTGCAACCTCTGTCTCCCTGGCTCAAGCGATTCTTGTGCCTCAGCCTCCCGAGTAGCTGGGACTACTGGCACATGTCACCATGCCTGGCTAATTTTTTGTATTTTAGTAGAGACGGTGTTTCACCATGTTGCCCAGGGTGGTCTTGAACTCCTGAGTTCAGGCGATCCACCGGCCTCGGCCTCCCAAAGTGCTGGGATTACAGGTGTGAGCCACTGTGCCCAGCTTTTTTTTTTTTTTATATACTTTAAGTTTTAGGGTACATGTGCACAACATGCAGGTTAGTTACATATGTATACATGTGCCATATTGGTGTGCTGCACCCATTAACTCATCATTTAACATTAGGTATATCTCCTAATGCCATCCCTCCCCCCTCCCCCCACCCCACAACAGGCCCCGGTGTGTGATAGGGTCTCACTCTGTTGCCCAGGCTACAGTGCAGTGGCACAATTATGGCTGACTGCAGCCTTGACCTCCCAGGCTCAAGTGATCCTCCCATCTCAGGCTCCCCAGTAGCTGGGACTACAGACGTGAAACACCATACCAAGCTAATTTTTGTATTTTTTTGTAGAGACGAGGTTTTGCCGTGTTGCCCAGGCTGGCCTCAAACTCCTGGGCTCAAGCAATCCACCCACCTTGGCCTCCCAAAGTGCTGGGATTACAGGCATGCGCCACTCTGCCTGGCGTTCATACCTTTTTGTGGTTAAAAATGTGGTCAGTTTTTGAGAATACTCTATGTGTGTGACAAAAAATTATGTATGGTCATTGATACAAAGTTTGACATGTTTATTAGACTAAGCTTCTTAATTGTGCTGTGAAAATCACTATATATTTACTCCTTTTCTACTAGATTTTTGTTTTGTTTTGTTTTGTTTTTGAGATAGAGTCTCACTCTGTTGCTCAGCCTGGAGCGCAGTGGCGCAATCTCGGCTCACTGCAACCTCTGCTTCCCAGGTTCAAGTGATTTTCCTGCTTCAGCCTTCCAAGTAGCTGGGATTACAGGCGCCCGCCACCATGCCCAGCTAATTTTTGTATTTTCAGTAGAGATGGGGTTTCACCATGTTGGCCAGGTTGGTCTCAAACCCCTGATCTCAAGTGATCTGCCCACCTCGGCCTCCCAAAGTATTGGGATTACAGGCGTGAGCCACCCGTGCCCAGCCTCTCCTTGATTTTGAAAGCAGTGTATTAAAGCCCCTCACCATTATGGTCGATTTTTCAATTTCTCCTTCATGTGTTTCAAACCAATGTTAGGGACATAAAAATTCATAATTATTATATCTTCGTTTAAAATCCTTTTTGACTGTAACTGTAGGGAGAGAATAAAGTGTTGTCCATACCATTTCCAGCCACAGGAATGATGACAAGAGGTGCAGCTGTTCATTCTGCCAAAAGAATTTCCTATTTCCATCATGTTGCCAGTAAGAAGTCTGTTCCATCTCCCCCACTTCCCATGCTTGTTTACCAACTCCCAAGGTATATAAAGGGGATATGTGATCCAGAACAAAAGCTCTATCCAAACCCATGTGTTAGGCTACGGACAGGAGAGTTCACAGCAGGGCGGGAGTAAAGTAGTCCTTCTCAACCCTCGCTGTATATGAGAATAACTCGAGAAGCTTAAAAATATCGATGTGGCCGGGCGCGGTGGCTCATGCCTGTAATGCCTGGGAGGCCGAGACAGGCAGATCACTTGAGGTCAGGAGTTTGAGACCAGCTTGGCCAACATGGTGAAACTCCGTCTCTACTAAAAGTACAAAAATTAGCCAGGTGTTGTGACGCATGCCTGAAATCCCAGCTACTTGGGAGGCTGAGGCAGGAGAATCGCTTGAGCCCAGGAGGTGGAGGTTGCAGTGAGCCAAGACCGTGCCATTGCACTCCAGCCTGGGCAACAGAGTGAGACTCCATCTCAAAAAATACAAAAACAAAAACAAAAACAAAACAAAAACGAGGCTTGGGTTTCATCCAATCAAAACCTCTGAGATTAGAACCTGGTCACTGGTATACAGCCAGAGAGAGAAGAAAAGATTCTCTTCCATGTGCTGTTATACCTCACCCTGCTGCCCTGGACAGAGCTTCTTTGAGATCCCCATGCCAGGCAAATGCCATCCAGCAGTGGTGGAGGAAGCAGAAATGTGGATAAGGGCTTTGGGGGGCCACTTTGCCAGGGGCTGGAAAAAGGTTAAGGACACCAAGGAGGGCTAGAGAGGTCAGCACTCACCACATCTAGGATGGCAGACATCGCGAAGGAGATGTTGACTTGGGTGGGGACGCTGATGTTGGTGACCGGACGGAAGGGCTTTCTATTAAACACTGAATTCAGAGCAGTGGGATCCGCCCCGTGCTGGCCAAACCCTGAGCAATTGATGGTGAAAGTAACGCCCCTTCCTGTAGTGGACATCGAATGTGTGAGATGAAGGAGAGCAACCCTGTGCTCCCTATATGAGAGGGGCCCCAAGGCAGGGCGTGGGGTCGCCCGTGATAAAATGAAAGCTAACATTTGTTGAGCACTGGCTGTGTGTCAGGTATATTCTAAGCCCTTTAAAAATGGATTACCTCATTTAATCCTCCCAATCCCCTATCAGGTAGATACTGCTTTACCCTCATGTAATAAACGAGCTAACTAAGGTGCAATAAGAGGAAGTAACTTCCTACAGTCAGACAGCCAATAAAAGGCAGAAGCCGGACTTGTTCTGAACCCAGGTTTGTCTGCTGCTGCTGTGCTATACGTCCCCAGGGATGAGATGAAGAATGGGGAGGGGATCACCGAGAGGGGTCCAGACGCTGGGCTCTTCCTTCCGAGGCCCGGGAGGATGGGGTGAGCTGGAATGCAAATTCTGGAAGCTAATGTAGCAAAGCTGAGCTAGAGCTCCAGCCTCCTTTCTAATATTTCTGTCTCCATGCAAAGCATGCCCAAATCTATATGCAAACTGTGCCTGGAATGTTGATAGTCATCCGATAGGATTACAGTCCCGGGGCCCCGGAGAGAACACACCTGTTTTCACCCCGACTGCCCCAACCTTCCTTCTTACTTGACTTTACCCAACTCTATCACCAGCGTTCTAGTTTGAGGCTTTAAAAAAGTTTTATTTTATTTTTAATGGACATATAATAATTGTGCATATTTCTTTCTTTTTTTTTTTTTTTTTTTTGAGACGGAGTCTCGCTCTGTCGCCCAGGCCGGACTGCGGACTGCAGTGGCGCAATCTCGGCTCACTGCAAGCTCCGCTTCCCGGGTTCACGCCATTCTCCTGCCTCAGCCTCCCGAGTAGCTGGGACTACAGGCGCCCGCCACCGCGCCCGGCTAATTTTTTGTATTTTTAGTAGAGACGGGGTTTCACCTTGTTAGCCAGGATGGTCTCAATCTCCTGACTTCATGATCCACCCGCCTCGGCCTCCCAAAGTGCTGGGATTACAGGCGTGAGCCACCGTGCCCGGCCTAATTGTGCATATTTCTTAGTTTGGGGTTTTTGGGGGTTTTTTGAGACAGCGACTCACTCTACTGCCCAGGCTGGAGTGCAGTGGCGCAATCACTTGGCCTCAGCCTCTGGGCTTAGGGGATCTTCCCACCTCAGCCTCCCAAGTAACTGTGACTACAGGCGTTCCCCACCACACTTGGCTAATTTTTTTAAAAAATTTTTGTAGAGACGGGGATCTCACTATATTGCCCAGGCTGGTCTCAAACCCCGGGGCTCAAGTGATTCTCCCACCTGGGCCTCCCAAAGTTCTGGAATTATAGGTGTGAGCCACCATTCCTAGCCACATAGCTATTTTTAGAAGTGTGGGTGGGATTTTTTTTTAATTTCTTTTTTAAATTTTTAAATTTTTTTTAGAGGGAGTCTCACTCTGTCACCCAGGCTGGAGTGCAGTGGTGCGATCTTGACTCACTGCAATCTCTGGCTCCCAGGTTCAACCGATTCTTCTGCCTCAGCCTCCCAAGTAACTGGGATTACAGGCACTACCACCACATCAGGCTAGTTTTTGTATTTTTAGTAGAGATGGGGTTTCACCATGTTAGCCAGGCTGGTCTTGAACTCTTGACCTCAGGTGATCCGCCTGCCTCAGCGTCCCAAGTGCTGGGATTACAGGTGTGAGCCACCTCACCTGACCCGTCCCACCCTCTTCTAACTAATAAATTTTTAAATTTTCTAGTCATGAAAATGTGTTGGAGGAGCAACAACTTGGACTGAGAGAGATGGTTGATAACCTCTGTGCCAAGGACATTGAGCCTTATCCATTCCCAACGTCACAGTGCTTTCCAGCAAATTCTTAAACCACTCTAAGAACAGTGAATATTCATTTGTCAACCCCTGTGTGCAAGTGCCCAGAGGAGCTTTCATAACCATTTACACTGCCTAGACCAGGTGTACAATTTGTGTCTCTTCCCTGTGCTGGCCTTTAAAGTCACCTCTGGTTCAGTCCTCTCCTGTGCCTCCTTATCCAAAGTCATGGAATAATCTAACGAGGAGAGATGACAGTTATTGGCACTTTTACCAAGTGCCAGACACTGTGCTTCCCTCCTTCTCTTACTGAATCCTCACAACCCTGCAAGGTAGGTTCTGTTTTACAGATGAGGAAACCAGAGCTCAGATAAGTTAAGCAGTGCATCCAAGTTTATAAAACTAGCAACGTGAGACACCAAGATTCAAACCCAGGTCCACCTGTCTCCAAATCCCATGTTCTTGTCTCTCTACCATGCTGACCCCCTGGAAGAGAAGCACATTCTACTTTCACCCTTGACCTGCTGCCTTCTGGCACCTTACCTAACCTAGAGCCCTTGGATCCAGCAGATGGACAGGGAAATTATGGCTAAAGGAGGTGGGCACTTTGCTACAATGGTTTGGGTTTCATACCTGTAGAGAGAAAGAATTACACCTGTGGATAGAAAGATGGATGGATATAGAAGCTAAATACAAGAGAAGACGATCGTGGATGGTTGTCTTCCATGTAGGGTACCAATGGAGAAAAGACAGACTTTTCAAGTAGTATTGGGAAAACTGGATATCCATATGTGAAAGGATAAAGTTTGCTGGTGTTGAACTCTATTTTTCGAGAAGGAAAATGAAAGTGCTCTTGTTTGGCATGTAACTGGAAGGGGATTTTCCGTCTTTCAGAAAAGGAAAGTCTATGTGGGCATCTTAGTAATGTAGCTATGAAAGAACTCTATCCATCTTAGACAATCTCTAGGAGTTGGAAATTTGAAAAAAGTTCCTAGATGTTCTACTAGAGAGAGGTCCTCCTTCTTCCGCCTTCCCCCATCATTGCTCCTTTCTTACCTTGAAGCAGAAAACCGAGAAGGAGGTAGAAGGAAAATCTTTTCCTGTGGAACCAGCTTCCTTCCATCTTCTTTGTCTAAGTTCTTCTCTGAACATGTACTGGGACCCAGGAATGCCCAGATTAAAGCAGCACAGGCCACACCTAGAGTCTGACTTTGAATACTAATAGCATTGGTTGACCACTGACATTTGTAACCTTCCTTCAAAGAGTGTTCTGGTTGTCTTGTTCTTGCCTATGCTTAAGGTTCAGTCTGCTTTTAAGACTTTATCTTAGTCTTAGGTATTTCACTGCAACGTAAATGGTTATAGATAGTTCATACGTGATCAACTTGCAGATCTTGGTGAGATCCCTTGGTCTGAAGACTCATCTCTTCAATTTTGGAAAATTCTCAGACATTTATAAATGTTTCACTTCCTCTATTTTTCTTATTAGACATGTGTTGAATGGTTTCCTTCTATCTTACATGCCTTTTATTGCTGTTGTAACAAATCACAAACCCAGTGGCTTAAATAAACACAATTTGTTATTTTACTGTTCTGTGGGCCAGAAGTTTGAAATGGGTCTCACTGGGCTAAAATGAATGTGTCAGCAGGACCGCATTCCCTCTGGAGGCTCTAGAGGAGAATCCATTTCCTTGCCTTTTCCAGATTTTTTTTTTTTTGAGACAGGGTTTCACTCTGTTGACCAGGCTGGAGTGCAGTGGCGCAATCGCGACTCACTGCAGCCTTGACCTCCTGGGCTCAAGGGATCTTTCCGTCTCAGCCTCCCAAGTAGCTGGGACCTCACAGGTGTGAGCCACCAAGCTTGGCTATTTTTTTTTTTTTTAGTAGAAATGAGGTCTCGCTTTGTTGCCTAGGCTTGTCTCCAACTCCTGGCCTCAAGTGATCCTCCAACCTTGATCTCCCAAAGTGCTGGGATTATAGACATGAGCCATTGTACCCGGCCTTTTCCAGCTTTTAAACTGCCTGTATTTCTTGGTTCATTATTTTTACTTCTCCATCTTCAAAACCAGCAACATCAGGCCAATGTTTCTCACAAGGCATCTCATCTCTCTGGTTCTTATTTGTTTCTCTCTCCTTCTTCCACTTATAAGAGCCTTTGTGATTGCATTGTGTCCATTTGGATAATCCAGGATAGTCTCCCCATCTCAAAGTCCGATAATTAACAACCTTAATTCCATCTGCAACCTTAACTCCCCTTTTCCATATAACCTAAGGTTCCAGAGATTAGGATGTGGACAAATTCTGGGGGCCGTTATTCTGCCTAGCACACCTCTCTTTCCTATTTTCTACCTCTTTATCTCTGTCCCTAATGATTTCTTCAGATCTAGCTTCCAGGAAAAAAATTCTCTCCTCAACTGTGTTTATTTTAATTAATTAATTAATTAATTTTTGATGAAACTCAGTAATTTTTATTGCAACTGGAAGACAATACATTGCAGAAACTTTATGGTAGGTCTGGGGAAAAGTGTTATTTACAATAGATTATGACATAATTTGTCTTTGACAATATGATTACATACGAAGAATGCAAAATGCAAGTATGGATGCCTTCCATATTTTATTTTATTTTGAGATGGAGTCTCATTCTGTTGCCCAGGCTAGAGTGCAGTGGCGTGATCTTGGCTCACTACAGCCTCCACCTCCTTGATTTGAGCGATTCTCCTGTCTCAGCCTCCTGAGTAGTTGGGACTACAGGCTTGTGCCACCACACCCAGCTAATTTTTGTATTTTTATTAGAGACAGGGTTTCACCATGTTGTCCAGGCTGGTCTTGAACTCCTCACCTCAGCTGATCTGCCCACCTCGGCCTTCCAAAGTGCTGGGATTACAGGAGTGAGCCACTGTGCTTGACCCTCAACTGTGTCTAATCTGTCCATCTAATCTGCCCACTGAGTTTTGGTTTTGTTTTTTTGTTTTTTTGTTTTTTAGAGAGAGGGTTTCACTGTCTCCCACCATGCCTGGCCCTCAACTGTGAGCCACCATGCTGGGATTACAGACGTGAGCCACCGTGCCCGGCCCTCAGCTGTGTCTAATCTGTCCACTGAGTTTTGCTTTTTGTTTTGTTTTGTTTTTTTTAGAGACAGGGTCTCACTGTCTCCCAGGCTGGAGTACAGTGGTATGATCATAGCTCACTGTAGCCTTGAACTCCAGGGCTCAAGCAATCCTGCCACCTCAGCCTCCCAAGTAGCTGGGACTACAGGTGCATGCCACCATGTGTGGCTAATTTTTTTTTATTGTTTCTAGAGACAGGGCCTTGCTATGCTGCCCAGGCTGGTGTTGAACTCCTGGCCTCAAGCAATCCTCCTGCCTCAGCCTCCCAAATCACTGGAATTTACAGGTATGAACCACTATGGCTAACCTTTTACCCATTTTTAAATCAAGTTGTTTTTTGTTGTTGAGTTTCAGGAATTCTATGTATAGTTTGGATATTAATCCCTTATCAGCTATATAATTTGCAAATGTTTTCTCCCATTTTGTGGGTTGTCTTCTTTCCTCTGTTAATAGTGTCTTTTGATTCATAGATGTTTAATATTTTCATGAAGTACTATTTGTCTATTTTTTCTTTTGTTGCCTATGCCTTTGTGTCATATCCAAGAAATCACTGCTAACTCCAATGTTTTGAAGCTTTTTCCCTATGTGTTCTTTTAGGAGTTTTATTGTTTTAGGTCTACACTTAAATCTTCTTTTTTTTTTTTGAGACGGAGTTTCACTCTTGTTGCTCAGGCTGAGTGCAATGGCATGATCTCAGCTCACTGCAACCTCCACCTCCTGGGTTCAAGTGATTCTCCTGCCTTAGCCTCTCAAGTAGCTGGGATTACAGGCATGTGCCACTACCCCCAGCTAATTCTGTATTTTTAGTAGAGACGGGGTTTCTCCATGTTGGTCAGGCTGGACTCGAACTCCCCACCTCAGGTGATCTGCCCGCCTCAGCCTCCCAAAGTGCTGGGATTACAGGAGTGAGCCACCGCGTCCAGCCCTACATGTAAAATATTTTATCCATTTTGAGTTAATTTTGGTATATGGTTTTAGGTAAGGGTCAAACTTCATTTCTTTGCATATGGATATCCAGTTTTCCCAATACTACTACTTGAAAAGTCTGTCTTTTCCCCATTGGAACTCTTGCAAAAATAATTTGGCCATTTGTGTGACGGTTTATTTCTGGGTTCTCTATTCTATTCCATTGCTATACATGTCTGTCTCTTTTTTTTTTTTTTTTTTTGAGACGTAGTTTCACTCTTGTTGCCCAGGCTGGAGAGAAATGGCACGATCTCCACTCACCACAAGCTCCGCCTCCCAGGTTCAAGCAATTCTCCTGCCTCAGCCTCCCGAGTAGCTGGGATTACAGGCATGCTCCACCATGCCTGGATAATTTTTTGTATTTTTAGTAGAGATGGGGTTTCTCCATGTTGGTCAGGCTGGCCTTGAACTCCCAACCTCAGGTGATCCGTCTGCCTCAGCCTCCTGTGTAGCGGTGATTACAGGTGTGAGCCACTGTGCCCAGCCTTTTTTTTTTTATTATTTGAGACAGAGTCTCACTCTGTCGCCCAGGCTGGAGTGCAATGGCACAATCTTGGCTCACTGCAACCCGCACCTCCTGGATTCAAGTGATTCTCCTGCCTCAGCCTCCCAACTAGCTGGGATTACAGGTGCATGCCACCACGACCAGCTAATTTTTGTATTTTTAGTAGAGACGAGGTTTCACCATGTTGGTCAGTCTGGTCTCAAACTACTGACCTCAGGTGATCTTCCCGCCTCAGCCTCCCAAAGCGCTGTGATTACAGGTGTGAGCCACCGTGCCCAGCCTGTAGTATGTTTTGAAATCAGGGAGTGTGAATCTTCCAGCTTCATTTTTCTTTTTAAAGATTGTTTCAAGTATTCAAGGTCCTTTGACATTCCGTATGAATTTTAGGATGGGTTTTTCTATTTCTGCAAAAATTGTCATTGGGATTTTGATAGGAATTGCATTGAGTCTGTTCATTGCTTTAAGTAGTATTGACATTTTAACAATTTTGTGTCTTCCAATCCATAAACATGAGATGTGTTTCCACTTGTTTATATTTTTTAAAAATTTCTTTCAGCAATGTTTTATAGTTTTCATTGTACAAGAATTTTACTTCTTTGGCTAAGTTAATTCCCAAGTATTTTTTTCCTTTGATGCCATCGTAAATGGAATTGATTTTTGTAATTTCCTTTTCTGATCATTCATTGCTAATGTATAGAAATGCAACTGATGTTTGTTTGCTTTGTATCCTGATACTTTGCTAAATTCATGTATTAGTTTTAGTGCTACTAGTTTTTGTGAGATCTTTTGTATTTTGTACATATAAAATAACATCATCTGCAAACAGAGATAATTTTACTCTTTCTTTTCCAATTTGGATGCCTTTTGTTTCTTTTTCTTGCTTACTTGCTCTGGCTAGAACTTCCAGGACTATGTGGTTTTTAGTTTGTTTTTGTTTGTTTGTTTTTAGAGATGGGGTCTTGCTCTGATATCCAAGCTGGAGTGCAGTAGCGTGATCATAGCTCACTGCAGCCCAGAAATCCTGGGCTCAAGTGATCCTGCCACCTCAGCCTAAGTAGCTGGGACTACAGGCATGTGCCACCATGTCCAGCTAATTTGTTTTTTTGAGACAGAGTCTTGCTCTGTTGCCCAAGCTGGAGTGCAGTGGCACAATCTTGGCTCACTGCAACCTCTGCTTCCTGGGTTCAAGCGATTCTCATGCCTCAGCCTCCCAAGAAGCTGGGACTACAGGCATGCACCACCATGCCTGGCTAATTTTTGTATTTTTAGTACAGATGGGATTTTGCCATGTCTCTACTAAAGACAGAGTTTGAGGCTGGTCTCAAACTCCTGGCCTCAAGCAATCTGCCTGCCTTGGCCTCCCAAAATGTTGAGATTACAGGTGTGAGCCACCGCACCTGGCCAACTACGTTGAATAGAAGTGGTGAAATTGAGCATCTTTGCCTTGTTCTTGATTTTTAGAGAAAAAGCTTTCAGACGTTCACCATGGAGTGTGATGTTTGCTGTGGGTTTTTCATATATGGCTTTTATTATGTTGAGGTTGTTTCCTTCTATAAGTGTTTTTGTCATGAAAGGGTGTTGAAGTTTGTCAAATGTTTTTCTGCATTAATTGAGATGATCATTTTTTCCGCTTCATTCTGTTAATGTGGCGTATTGCATTGATCAATTGTTGTATATTGAACCATCCTTGCATTCCAGGAATAAATCCCACTTGGCTATGGTATATAATTCTTTTGATATGCTACTGAATTTGTTTGCTAGTATTTTATTGAGGATTTTTGAATCAATGATCATAAGGGATGGTGCCTTTGTCTGGCATTGGTATCAGGGTAATAATGATCTCTTAAATGAGTTAAGAAGTTGGAACATAGTTGTTTTATAATCTCTTTCAGATTGTTTTATTATGTCTAGTTCTTGGTATGCTGACTGTTTTGATAACTGTCTCATTGTGGTTTGTTCCTTCATGTAATTTATACTTCTTGGTTGAAAGGATGAGAATCTATATCTTTAGATAATTTTGAGATCATCTATTATAATCTTTCAACAAATGTACAGTTGACCTTTGAACACTACTGGGGTTTAGGAACACCAACACCCTGCACAGTCAAAAATCTGTGTATAACACATATTTTATATATTATATGTATTATATGCTGTACTCTTATGATAAAGTAAACTGGAGTAAAGACAATGTTATTAAGAAAATCATAAGGCAGAGAAAATATACTTACTATTAATTAAATGGAAGTAGATCATCATAAAGGTCTTCATCCTTTTCATCTTCATGTAGGTAGGCTGAGAAGGGGTTGGTCTTGCTGCCTCAGGGTATCAGAGGCAGAAGAAAATCTGAAGATAAGTGGATCCTTGCAGTTCAAACCCATGATGAGGAATGAGATAATTATATAGTCTCAAAGTAGTGCTCCACAAAAAAGTTACCTATATGCCATACTTACTAATTAGCTTTACAGTGGAGAAATCTGGCAGACATCTTTTTAACTGAGTGATAACAGTTATCATCAGTAAAGTGACAAATTGACATTGTGTACTTTCTGTGATGCACTAAGAAGAACTTGGCACCACTTCTAGGGTATTCCTACTAAAGAGGCATAAGTCATGAGTAGTTGAAGAAGTAATTAGGCAAACCCAAATTGAGGGACAAAATAACTACAAAATTACTAGCTATACTCTTCAAAATATCCAGATGACGAAAGACAAGAAAAGACTGAGGCAGTGTTCCAGATTGACAGACTGAAGAGATGTAACAGCTAAATGCAGTGTGTATTCCTGGATTGGGTCCTACACCTATAAGAGACATTACTGGAGGCTGGGCGTGGTGACTCACATCTGTAATCCCAGCACTTTGGAAGGCCAAGGCAGGCAGATCACTTGAGGTCAGGAGTTCGAGACGAGCCTGGCCAACATGGCAAAACCCTGTTTCTACTAAAATTACAAAAATTAGCTGGGTGTGTTTGCGCACACCTATTATCCCAGCTACTTAAGAGGTTGAGGCAGGAGAATCGCTTGAACCCAGGGGGCAGAGGTTGCAGTGAGCCAAGATTGTGCCACTGTACTCTGGCTTGGGCGACAGAGTGAGACTGCCTCAAAAAAAAAAAAAAAAAGACATTATTGGAAGAATTGGCAAAGTTCAAATAGGGCTTATAAGTTAGACAATACAATACATTGTATTGATACTAATTTTCTGATTTTGATGGTTGTACTATGGTTATATAGGAGAGTGTTCTAGCTTTTAGGAAATATACACTGAAGTAGTTAGGGTTAAAGGGTCATCAATTATGAAGCTCACTCTCAACGATTTAGAAATATCCACAATTGGCCTGGCATGGTGGCTCACACCTGTAATCCCAGCACTTTGGGAGGCCAACAGGGGTGGATCACCTAAGGTCAGGAGTTCGAGACCAGCCTGGCCAACATGGTGAAACCCCATCTCTACTAAAAATACAAAAAATTAGCCAGGCATGGTGGTGGGCGCCTGTAATCCCAGCTATTTGAGACGCTGAGGCAGGAGAATCTCTTGAACCTGGGAGGCAGAGATTGCAGTGAGCTGAGATTGGGCCATTGCACACCAGCCTGGGCGACAAGAACAAGACTCTGTCTTAAAAAAAAAAAAAAAAAGAAAAGAAAAGAAAAGAAATATCCACATTTGGAAAATCTGGGTGAAGCACACACAGGAGCTCTTTGTACAAGCTTCACAACACTTATGTAAATTTTAAATAATTTGGCTGGGCACGGTGGCTCATGCCTGTAATCCCAGCACTTTGGGAGGCCAAGATGGGTGAATTACTTGAGGTCAGGAGTTCCAGACCATCCTGGCGAACATGGGGAAACCCCATCTCTGCTAAAAATACAAAAATTAGCCGGGCTTGATGGTGCATGCCTGTAATTCCAACTACTTGGGAGGCTAGGGCAGGGAGAATTGCTTGAACCCAGGAGGTGGAGGTTGCAGTGAGCCAAGATTGAGCCACTGCACTCCAGCCTGGGCAACAGAGCGAGACTCTTTCTCAAAAAAATTTTTAAAAATCATTAAAAAATAAAAAGTAAAAGAAAGGAAGAAAAAGAAAAAGCAAGTCTAGAGGAACTGTGTGAATCTATGTCCAAAATCTCTTTCCTTTGGACCAGAACTGAATTGGGTATTGGCCTCCAGGAGAGCGCAGCAGACCTCTGGCCATGTGATTGGAGCCTTCAGTTACATTTTAATTTCTTTTTAATGTTAACATGGTCACCTTTTTACTTCTTCAATTTGAATCTAGCATCTTCTAGGCCAGTAGGTTGCAACTAGGGATTCAGATAACTTATTTATGTAGTTTTATTAATATACAGATACTCAGAAATTCAGACTTACTGAATCTCTTGATGTTCTCAATATGTTCTTTGTATGTTCTTGCTATAAACTTAGCAAGTTCATGATATATGATTTTTAAAAATGTTTGCCTAAGAATAGCCATTCAAAGACTCCTGAATACTCCTGGTCCACTTCTTATATATATGATATATTAAGTCAGGATTATTGTATGTTATATCTTCATTTTTTTCTCTGTAAAGATCATGTTCATCCCTTTTTATAAATTAGATGTAATGTTCACTGTCTTTTTTGAAAATCTAGTTAATTGTCACATTTATAATGATTTTGTCAGAAGCTTTTTTTTTTTTTTTTGGAGATGGAGTTTCTCTCTGTTGCCCAGGCTAGAGTGCAGTGGTGTGATCTTGGCTCACTGCAAACTTCGCTTCCCGAGATCAAGCGATTCTTTTGCCTTAGCCTCCCGAATAGCTGGGATTACAGGTGTGCACCACCATGCCTGGCTAATTTTTTGTATTTTTAGTAGGGATGAGGTTTCGCCACGTTGGCCAGGCTGGTCTTGAACTCCTGACATCAAGTGATCCTCCCACCTCGGCCTCCCAAAGTGCTGGGATGACAGGCTTGAGCCACTGCGCCCAGCCCAAAAGCTGTTGTTGGATTGACTTTATTATCTTGTTTTGCATTTCACAGAAACAATCAAATTTCCTTGCCAGCTGTGTAATTCTTGTAATGAACTTTCATCGGATCTTTCATGTTTTAAAATTATCATTAATAAGTTAGTAAACTAATCATAACCATTTTAAGTCTTTTGTTACCTACAGATAGTTTTTTATTTTACTCTGATACTTCCTTGAAAGCTCAACAATCAGCTACAGGCCAGAGCGGTCTGTCTTCAATAAAGGATTATCACAAAATCCTGTGGGAAAGGACTATGCTGGATACTTTGGGCATAGTGTCTGATGGCAACACTTAAACAGCTTTGAGATCATACTAGTGGACTGAGTCAGGATTTCTAGAACTCTAGTTGAGAAGCCAATGGATTTCATGAGATTGTTAACCCAAGATCTAGTCAAATAATAATTAATTATATAGGACCAAATGAACTAAGAAGGGACACTTGCAGTTTTCATTTGAAATACTGTTCATGTTGTAATATATTTTCTTTTTTCTTTTTTTTTTTTTTTTTTTTTTGGGACAGAGTCTCGCTCCATCCCCCAGGCTGGAGTGCAGTGGCGCAATCTTGGCTCACTACAACCTCTGCCTCCCGGGTTCAAGCCATTCTCCTGCCTCAGCCTCCCAAGTAGCTGGGATTACAGGTGTGCACCACCATGCCCAGCTAATTTTTGTATTTTTAGTAGAGACAGGGTTTTACCATGTTGGCCAGGCTGGTCTCGAACCCCTGACCTCAAGTGATCCACCCACTGTGGCCTCCCAAAGTGCTAGGATTATAGGCCTGAGCCACCATGCCTGGCCATTGTTGTAATATTCTATTTTCCAGATATTTAAGGAAGCCCATTTTCTTTCCTCTTAAGCTATTTATAAGTCAACAATTTAGTAATTATAACTCTGCTTTTTAAAAAGACTCTGTTTTTTACACTGAAGTGAAACATTTGTAAATGATACTTCTTCTCCCTGCCTGACCTCTACAGGATTTGCAAACTCTTATAAAATATTCTTAATTTCATGACAATATAATTATTGTATTTTCATGACAATGTAGTTATTGGTATAGGTTCGATGACTCTGTCTTCCTTTTTACCAGGATGGAATTGGAAACGTTGGTTATGCAACCAAGGCCTTGCCTGGAGTATCATATTTCAGAAGGATGCTCATTTAATCAAATATGGTTAGACATTTCTAAAGAACTAAGGTTGACTTTGTGGAACCAATGCTTACAAACCCCTTCCATGAAAACTGGCCTAGTACCTGGCTTATAGCGTTGCCAGTCTTACAGGTCCAGGTGGACCCAAGAACCCTAGGATATTTTGAGGACCTTAAGAAGAGACAAATTCACTCAAATTTAGGGGTCCTTCAGGTGAAATCTGGTGGTGAGTTCTTGGTGTGGCTATCTGGCTTCAAGAGGCTTTTGAAAGTCAAGTTTGGGATTTTTTGAAAACTTTTAGCAAGGCAAACTTAAGAAGCCCTAAATGGTACTTTACCACTCTTGTTGTACCCATGTAAAGACTTGAAGCCAAATGTTAAGACCAGTCTCATTTTGTGACCAAAAAGAATCTTCTTGCCAGGCACAGCGACATGTACTTGTAATCCCAGCTACTCAGGAGGCTGAGGTGAGAGGATCATGGAGTTCAGAATCAGCCTGGGCAACATAGCAAGGCCCCATCTCAAAATAAATAAATAAAACAAATTAGCCAGATGTATTGGTACACACTTTAACCTCAGGTTCTTGGGAGTTAAAGTGAGAGGATCACTTGAGCCCAGGAGTTTGAGGTTGTAGTGAGCTGTGATCGTGTCTCTACATTCCAGTCTGGATGACTGAGTGAGATTCTGTCTCTTAAGAAAAAAAAAGGCTGGGCGTGGTCGCTGATGCCTGTATCCCAGCACTTTGGGAGGCCGAGGTGGATGGATCACTTGAGGTCAGGAGTTTGAGACCAGCCTGGCCAACATGGTGAAACCTTATCTCTACTAAAAATACAAAAATAGCCACGCATGGTGGTGGGCACCTGTAATCCCAGCTACTCGGGAGGCTGAGGCAGGAGAATCGGTTGGAACCGGGAGGCGGAGGTTTTAGTGAGCCGAGATTGCACCACTGCACTCCAGCCTGGGCGACAGAGTGAGACGTCATCTCAAAACAAAACAAAAAAAAAAAAAAAAAGAAAAAAGAATAATTTTCCTGGCTGGCCTGAAGGTAGTGAGTTATCTCAGTTGATTGTTCATAGTCAGTTACAGACGGAATTCCTTGTTCTACTCCTTCCCTTCTTCTGCCTACTGCACTTGACTAGTCTTCAAAAAAGATTATAATCTTCCCTTGAGGTTAGGAAGGAGATTATCGAAAATGGAGAAGATTATAGAAAAAAATTTTGTACTTCCATGAGAAACTATGCATTGACCATAGCAACTATTCCAGCTGTTGGATTCTAGCCCTGTTTACTGTCTTTGAACTATTTTGCAGCTCTTTTTAAATTACAGGCAATTGAGGAATTTTGTAGAAGACAAAAACCGACCAATAAGAAGACTAATTTTTTTTTTTTTGAGACAGAGTCTCGCTCTGTCTCCAGGCTGGAGTGTGGTGGTGCCATCTCGGCTCACTGCAACCTCCGCCTCCTGGGTTTAAGCGATTCTCCTGCCTCAGCCTCTTGTGTAGGTAGGACTACAGGCATGCACCACCACACCCAGCTAATTGTTTGTATTTTTAGTAGAGACAGGGTTTCACCATGTTGGCCAGGATGGTCTCTCTTGACCTCATGATCCACCTGCCTTGGCCTCCCAAAGTGCTGGGATCACAGGCATAAGCCACCACGCCCGGCCAAGAAGACTGATTTTTTTTTTTGTAAATAAATTTTTATTGGAATATAGCAACACCCATTCTTTTATGAATTGTCTGTAACTGTTGTAGAGTTAGTAGCTGTGACAGAGATTGTATGGTCTGCAAAGCCTAAAATATTTACCATCTGCTCTTTTACAGAAAATTGTTGCCAACCCCTGGTATAGCCATTTCTCTTTTGTGTAAACATATGAGCAGTTATAGGGGCTCTGCTTTGTGAAGTCCTCAGGGCCCCAGGATCTTTCTATCTTGTCACTTAACCTTCTGTAAGATGTTGCTTTTGTCTTCATAGTCCAGGCTCACCATGACGTTCCAGTCAATCTATATCCACAGTATAACAAGCAAAATGGTCTTCTCAGTTGGAAATGCAGAAATCACCCATCTTCTGTGTCACTCGCGCTGGGAGCTGTAGACTGGAGCTGTTCCTATTCAAGAAGACTAATTTTATTCAGGCTATTGCAATACGAAGATTACCCAGATCTGAAGGACAGGGTATCTCGACAGGGTGGTTTTGTCTTAGATTTTTATAGGGAGGAGCAGACAAGTTACTGGTGGGGTGATTTACAGTTGGGGTTGTTTTGCAATCAGAGGAAGTCTTGGCCACTTAGCTGAACAGGAAATGTTTACCTCTATGTCTAGCTTGTTTCAGGGGATGAGTCATCCTAATCTCAGCTAATCATTCATGTGACAAAGAATGGGGAGTTGGAGGGTCTGTGTCTGGTCTTGTTGGCAGGTTCAGGCAAAAGGGGAAAAGACTGTGTTTGGCCTTATCACAGGACAAGGGAGTCACCTATGAGTCCTGTGGGAACCAGGAGGAAGAACGGACAGAGTCTTGTCTAAGTTATATGGGGGAAGAGTGGTTCTTTGCAGTAAGTCATTTCCCAGAGCACAAAAGGGTTGGGGGATTTCTTAACCATTGCTGTTTTCTGGGAACGCAGGACTCAGGTAAAGTTGGACATTGTCAATATGCAAACTCTATCTTGTCCTGTAGACTTCCAGTTGACTTTCTCCCTAACCCCTGAGGAAAAACCAGTTTTGTCTCCATTTGCAATTTGCTATCTTTACTGTATATAAATTGATGGTTCTTGATGTTTCCTTTGAGCCTTTTATAACATCTGCCTGATGATCTCGTATCATCTGAGTTTAACCAATTCTTTAACACGTACTCCTTTTTACATTCATATGAGATTAATGATTTTGCCCTTTTCTGAAAATTAGCTTTTAACAGTACAATCCATAGAGTCTATTCAGAACTCACTAGTTATACATGCGTTCATTAGTGCGTGTGAACAAGCCATGAGAGGCAAGGAAATTCTGAGAGCTGGGGAAGATGGGTCAGTCCACAGGCTGATGGCGGCCACAGTGGAGACTGACACTCTGAGGTTAAGAGTTATCAAGTAGAGTGAGATAGGACTTCTTTGGTGGGAAGCAGAACTTTAAAAACACGTTCTACATCTAATTGAAATTATTTAACACACATATTTCATTTCTTCTGCTGGGCTAGAAGCTCTTTGAGGACAGAGCTTGTGTTTGATTCATCCTCAAGTCTCGAACAGGGCTTAGTCTCAAACTCCTGACCTCAGGTGATCCTCCTGCCTCGGCCTCCCAAAGTGTTGGGATGACAGGTGGGAGCCACCACACCTGGCTCAATAAATATTTATTAAAAGAGAATGACATGTGTTAGCCTATGTTTAAAAAACGAATCCTTTTCCTCCATACCAATAACATGAATTACTTTTCTGGTACATATTTGCGGTCACTTATGATAAAGTCTTTCTTTTCTATTAAATTATATTTCTAACATAAACATGTATCTTCTGAATGTATTCTATTTTGGAAATACATTCTCGTTTCTGGGAGTGCTAGCAGTGGTTCTATTTAACCACAGGAAGGGCTGGAGCAGGGATCATGGCATGGCTGGGGCTGGGTCTGCCGACTGCAGTGCAGAAGCAGCGCCTGGCATGGCCCGCTGAGGCCAAGGGAAGCTGAACCCTGCTGCTCGCGCACACTCAGAACTCAACTCCTAGGTGTTCCCGAGGCGGAAGAGCAGGGTGTCCATCGCGTGGCTGAACTGCACCCACAGCTCCACTAGCTGGGCGTTTGTCCATCCTGAGCCCCCATCTAGCTCAGTCTCTCCGGGTCTCACCTCCTTCCCTGCTAACTCCCCCGGCTCCTTTGGGCCTGTGGAGAGGACAGAGGCTCAGTCGTGGAGTGGGAAGGGGACAGGATTAGAGGAGTGCGGGGCCCAGTGTGAAGGGCGAGTATGGACAGTGCTGGCTTCCTTCACCAGGCAGGTGGGTGGGGGTGAGTCCCAGGCCCTTATTTCCCTTCTGGGGCGCAGTGGGACAGCATCTCCCTGGGCTGGTGCAGTGGAGCAGCAGGGAGTGAAGCCACCTAGGCATGGGTGGGGGCTGGGTGGTGGCCACGTGCAGCAGGTGGGTGATGAAGACGGTCTCCAGCAGGCTGCCCACCACCAGGGACAGGCAAAGTAGACACCTGGGCTGGGGATAAGAAGCAGGCTTGAGGCAGGTCCATAGGTGCCACTACTAAGCCCCCCTTTTCCCTGTTTCACACAGAGGGCCCTTCCTGAGACGCCTTCTTTCTCCCTTCTGCCTCAGGAGCCCCAGCAACCCTAAAAGAAAATACTTCTTTTTCTTTTTCCATTTTCCAACTGTGGGAGGAGCTGTGCTGATGAGGGGGTGACACTAGCGGGGAGTAGTGTATTCACCATGAGCAGGAAGACGCTGCAGCCCAGCTGAAGGGTGGCCTCGAATGGGGCATGATTCGCACTTTCTGCTAGTAGGTAGAAGCTGAGGGCATCGATGGCAACCAGAAAGCCCGTGGGGGGGCAGGCGCGGTGGCTTAGGCCTGTAATCCCAGCACTTCGGGAGGCCAGTGTGGGAGGATCTCTTGAGGCCAGGAGTTTGAGGTTACAGTGAGCTGTGATTGTGCCACTGCACTCCAGCCCGGGCAATAGAGTGAGACCCTGTCTCTAAAAAATATAGAGATAAATAAATTAAAAGAAAGCCACTGTGCACCAGAAAATTTATCACATAGAGGCTGGGCCTGCACCTGATGGCCACCTGGTGAGGAGGAATGAGCAGAGAACTGGTAAAGTCAGCCCTGAAGGGGGCCCAAAGGCTAGTTCCAGCCCTATCCTTCTTTGGTGTCCTCGCCCCAGCAAGGGCTCTCTCTATGGGGCTGAAAAAGAAGCAGCTTTCATATGACTAACAAGACGCCCCCATACCTCCAAACAAACCCTAGGCCAGAGCTGGCAGGTTCAAAAAGGGGTGATGCTTTAAGGGACTCGGGAGAGAGGAAGGCTCTGAGGGTTATGGTGCCCAGGGATTGTCTGGTCTTGGGGCAAGAAGTAAGAGGATCTGGCTCTTGGACTCAGATGGGTCTGGTGAGGGAGGAGGTGGTGGTGAGGGGTACAGGTTCACAGACAACATGATTTGGTCAAAAAGACTGGAACCCACAGATATCTTCAGTGTGGCCTTGTTGATGCCCAGGAGCTCCCACTCCCACTGTGTTTGCACAGTGTCACTTGAAGTATCTGCTATTTCCTATACTTCCTTGCCCCCGCCCATGTTATCCACTGCAGGGGAGACAAACATTTATTCAGCACACATCTGCATGACACCTACTCGTGCAGGTGTGATGAATTAGAAAACCAATTTAGCTACCTTTTCCAGATTGCCCAATACAATGACTTCCTTGCTGCTCATTTGCCTCCTTTCTATGCTGGGGTGTCTCAGAGCCTCACTCCTTTCTGTTGCAGGATTGCTGGGGTGTCACTTTTCTGGCTGGAAACCTCTGTGGCCAGTGGTGCCTTTGTCTGAGTTTTTCTTGGGCCCACTGGGCTCATTCTGCCCACTCGGTCTGGCAGGCTGCACTCGGCTCATGCTACCAGCCTGGATCCCACCCCTCCAAGGGCAAGCCAGGTGTGGAGTGGCGAGGAGGGTGTGAGCGAGCGAGTGTGGGGTCTGGCCACTGTGCACAGTCAGGCACGCCGGCTGCTGTGGTGGGCAGCTCCAGGTGCTGACATGGCTGCTGGCTCTCTGCAAGGCTGCGGCTGGACCAGGTGCACCGTAAGCAGCTTCCATGGCTGCTGCCAGGGAACACGGTGACACCTGGAAGCTTGGAGATTCCAGGAACTGCAGGGCCTCAAAGAGGGAGTCCCAGCCCTGGCTTGGGGAGCTCCCAGCTCTGGGCTCCCCAAAGGGCCACAGCTCTTCTCTCCTTCTCTTCAGCCACAACATGGTGAGCAAGGGGTATGTTTCAGCCCTGTTCGTGTTATAGCTCTTTCAGCCCTGCCATTCGGCAGGTCCCAAGTTCTTGTCCTGTGTCCTGGAAGAATGAGGTAAGCAGACAAGTGGAGGGTAAGCAAGAAGAAGAGGAGCTTTATTGAGTGACAGAATAGCTCAGAGGACACCGTGGGGTGAATAGCTCCTCTATGCAGCTGGTCGTCCTGCCGTCTGCACCTTTCAGCAGAGAGGAGGCCCTGGAGTGAGTAGTTCCTCTCTGCAGCCGGTCATTCTGATATCTGCTCAGCTCTGGCTGAGCCTGGGGCTTTCATGGGCCTCAGAGGTGAGGAAGTGTATGCCGATTGGTCCATGGGTGGCCAAGGGCAGGCCTGGAAAAGGCACCACAAGTTCTCACTCCAGTACGTGGGACTAGCAGCCTGATCCTCAGCCTTCAGGCACTCCCTGGCCTGAAGGTGGGGCCTCACCAGGAAATGGCCCCCTTCCGCCCAGGAACCTGTCTGCCTCTCACTGCTGTTCGTGGTGCCCAGGCCGTAGGTGCCAAGGGGTGGCTGTAGGTGCCACGGGGTGGCTGTAGGTGCCACGGGGCGCCTGCAGGCCAGCACCGAGATGCCCTCAGTGCCCCCCTTGGCTTCCCTCCTATGCTCCTTGGTGCCCAAATTCCAGAGGGGACCTAGGTGGCAGGGGGTTGGCATGTCAGCACTGCTCTGAGTGCGTGCACACCCAACCAGCACCTGGGCTCAGCCCCGACTTTGCTTTGAGATCGGAGCAGTCACCAACAGCAGGGAGAAGCCAGGCAGTGAGAGCAGGCATTCCCAAGCCTGTGAGAGCAGGGATGGGGCCTTCTTGGGCCTCCAGGAGTACAGGGATACCTGGGTCTGCAGCCATGGTTTGGGCAGCTGCAGCTGCACCCAGGAGGGTGGGGCTCCTGCCTGCTCAGTGGAGTGCGCAGCCCAGCCGCGCCTCCCTGTTGCAGTCAGCATGATGGCAGTGGTGCTCTAGACAGGATACTGCTGCCGTCACTAAGTTCAACTCCCACCTCACCATCCATACATCCCCAATCAGCAAATACCCTACTTTTCTTTTTATGTATTTTAAAATATGAGTTTGCCTTTTTTTTTTTTTTTTTTTTTTTGAGACAGGATTGCACTGTGTCATCCAGGCTGGAGTGCAGTGACACAATCAGAGCTGACTGTTGCCTCAAACTCCTGAGCTCAAGCGATCCTTTCATCTCAGCCTCCTGAGTAGTTGGGACTACAGGTGTGCACTACTACGCCTGGCTAATTTTTGTATTTTTTTGTAGAGACAGCATTTTGCCATGTTTCCCAGGCTGGTCTCAAACTCCTGGGCTCAAGCAATTCACCTGCCACCATCTTTTCTGCCAGCCGTTTTCTCATTTCTAGGGGAGAAGTTGATCAGCTGTGATCTTGCTTCTCTCTGAAGTACGTGTTTAGTGGCCATACTGAATGAGTTTGCCCTGCACTGTCCTGGCCTGTTCCTTGCAGACATGGCTTCCCTCCAGCTTCCCTAGCCCTCCTGCATACCCACAATTCCATGATGAAGATGTCTGGAAACCATGGGTTCTCAGCTGTCACAGTGAGTTTATTGATATCACCATATTCTTCTGGGTCCCAGCTGCTGAGTGGGTTTTCCCAGATCTAGAGCACAGGGCACAGAAGGATGTGGTATGGTTGAAGTCTGGAACTGGCTTATGTCAGCCATCTCCTGCCCTTCCATTCCTTTACAAATATATACATATGTATTTTTTTCTAAATGTAGGTGCTATGGGCTTATGATGAAACTTTAACAATTCCGCAATGGTGTAATATATAAAGCAACATTCTCCCTCCTCGATTCACCCCAATTCAGTCCCTGTCCCACCTCAGTCTCATTATTAACACTTTCTTGTGTATCATCAAAAATAAATAATAATACATATTCCAACACTTTTTTTTTTTTTTTGGAAACAGAGCCTCACTCTGTTGCCCAGCCTAGAGCGCAATGGTGCGATCTCGGCTCACCGCACCCTCCGCCTCCCAGGTTCAAGCGATTCTCCTGTCTCAGCCCCCCAAGTAGCTGGGATTACAGGAGTGCGCCACCGTGCCCGGTTCAGCACTCATTTTTATTTACATAGATAGAATCCTACTATGCAGATTGTTATGCATGTTGCTTTTTTGACCTCCCTTCCTGAAAAAAAATTTTTTTTGTTCTCTTTTTTGGTGCACTTTGGCCATGACTCCACCTCATTTCCTTTTTTTTCTTTTTTTAATTTTTAGAGACAGGGTCTCACCCTGTTGCTCAGGATGGAGTGCAGTGGCCTAATCATGACTCACTGCAGCCTCCTGGTCTCAAGCAATCGTCCCACCTCAGCCTCCTGAGTAGCTGGGACTACAGGCATGCACCACCACACGTGGTTAATTTTTAATTTTTTTATAGAGATGGGATCTTGCTGTGTTGCCCAGGCTGGACTCAAACTCCTGGCTTTGTGTGATCCTTCCACCTCAGCCTCCCAGAGTGCTGGTATTATAGGTGTAAACCACTGTGCCTGGCCCCTCATTTCCTTTTGAATTCTGATTTCTTTTCTCTCCCAGGTGTTAACTGTCTCCCCTTTTCTACTAACAAAATCTTATTGACCTTTCACCTCCCACTTTAGGGAAATCTTAAGCTGGACGCTGGATACATTTGGGCCCTGAAGCTTACTTCGGGACTTCCAACTATATGCCCTCCTTCTCCCTGTATTTTCTATCTATGTCTTTCAAAGTTGATTGGCAGCCTAGGAAGCTATTTGTCGTCAACACTGGCCCCATTCTGGTTGTATTTATTTATGCCTTCAGGCACTGTCAATTTCAATAAATGTGATTTTGCAAGCAAAGCCAGAAAAAAAAAGGGTAGGAGAAAGAGAAGAGAAAGAAACTGAATCTCACATACCATATTTAACCACAGAAATGACAACATCAGCTAAAGTTGTGCACCCTGTCCAAAATAAATAAATAAATAAAATTCCCATGCAGGATCATTCATGGCGTGAAACCAGGACCTAATCTACCTCCCGCCATTGTTTCCTAAGTGGTCCCCAGTGACAGTTCACCTTTTCAATCACAAGTCACAAAAGAAGGGTGGGTCAGACAAATACAGGTTGCATGGAAAATGTGGGTGAAAAAACAGTATGGGAGCCCATTGGGAATGCATTTTTTTGTAGAGTATTTCCACAAGAGCAGGACTCAAGGATAAATGTTCCCTACAGAAATATTACTGCAGCATTCCTGTTCATGTTTCCCCACCACATAGGATGAGCATCTAACTTGCACAAAACCCATTCAGGGGATTCATTGCTCATCACCGAACCAGGGCAATGCTGGGTTGACCATGTAAAGAGTCTTCGTTCCAGCTGGGCGCGGTGGCTCACGTCTGTAATCCCAGCACTTTGGGAGGCCGAGGCAGGTGGATTACCTGAGGTCAGGAGTCCGAAACCGGCCTGGCCAAAATGGTGAAACCCCATCTCTACTAAAAATAAAAAAATTAGCCGGGCATGGTGGCACACGCCTGTAATCCCAGCTACTCGGGAGGCTGAGGCAGGAGAATTGCTTGAACCCGGGAAGCAAAGATAGCAGTGAGCCAAGATTGTGCCACTGCACTCCAGCCTGGCCAACAGAGTGAGACTGTGTCTCAAAAAAAAAGAAAAAAAAATAGTCTTTGCTCCTCATTAGAAGCCATGGAAAAGATGCAGGGACCAGGTCTCACCACTTCCAGTATGGCAGACAGGGTGAAGGAGATGTTGACATGAGCGGGGAGGCTGGAGTTGATGACTGGACAGAAGGCCTTCTGGTTAAATATGGCCTGGAAGGCAGCAGGCTCCACCCCATGCTGGTCAAAGCCTGAGCAGTTAATGGTGAAAGTATTTGTCCTTCCTGTAGAGGGCTGAGACCTTCTGTGTTTGCTAGGTGAGAGAGGTACCAGGGCTGGGGTCTGAGAGCCTCCCTGCAGAGAAAAACAACGTGAACTCTGGGAGAGGCACGTGAGCCCCTCCTTCCTGGGCCAAGACTCCCTTCTTGCCGGAGGCGGGAGGATGGGCTGGGCTGGTAGGCAAATGGTGGGAGTTGATGTGGTGAGCTGAGTCCCGGCCCAGGCCTTTCTTCCTGTGTTTTTGCGCCCATATGAACCTACCTAAATTTGCATGCAGAGAGCCCCTCCAGGGAGTCCTATTCCATCCACACAACTCTAAGGCTTTGGCCTTTATCTGACCTTCCTTTTTTCCCCTCTGGCTCTGCTGTGATTCTTCCTTAGAGTCACTGGACAAAATTTCCCTAATATGCTTTTCCTCCATTTTCCCCTCTTCTTCTCAGGTTTTCCTGACTCCTGAAAGGAAAATTTAGAGAGAAGTAAACATGAGTGTGACATAAAACATGTGGGGAATAAAGGAATGTTGTATTCAATGTGAGTTTATTGACTACTTCTTATGTGTGGTTCTCACTGCCCTTCTCAAGTTCCTCTAAGATCTGTGGGCGCCATTTTTATCACCACCATCTTGCAAAGATCTCTTGGACCATCTATCCACCATGTGGTTGGTGGAGCCACACAATGAAGTGAAAAGCCCTTCTACCCACCTCACCCACACCCCACCTCTGGTTATTCCTGTAACTATAGCCCAGCAAGTCCTTTCCAATGCCTCTTCCACTGTCTTTCCATACCAGGTGATTCATAGGTTCATCTCCAAACTAGAGAGAAACACATCCCAGGGGAAGTGAACGTTCTTTCGCTCCACATAACCTCCTCCACAAGATCTTCCCAAGCAACACCGGAAAGGAGTTAAATTATTGTCAATAGGACCTGAGTTATGTTCTAGTAACTATAGTTTGGTAGAAAGGCACAGTTGGACGTTACATAAGAGTGGAATTGGACAGGTGGGAAAGTGGAGGGACAGACAATTTGGTAGATACCTTTGCTGGCAAATGAGAGTGGGGCTGTATGTACTGACCAGTGAAATCGGTGTTTCATCTGCAACAAAGAGGAAGCCAAAACATAGATCCTACAGAGAATTTTAACCTGTCTGTTTTGAATTTTCTGCAGCTCTGGAGAATGAGAAGTTTCCTGGATGTTGCCCTAAACAATATCCCCATCTTCCTCTGTGCTTGTCCTATCTTACCTTGAAGCAGAAGGCTGATAGTGAGGCATAACAGAACACTCCCAGGCCAGCAGGCCACCTCCCTCCATCCTTCTCTCCTGCGCTCTTGTCTGGAGACTCATCGGGATCCCCCCAGATGATCCCCCCAGACTCATCAGGATCCCCCCAGCTCCTTGAGCTTGAAGGAGCTGGGACCACTTTGGTTGCTGGTTTTGAATCTTCCTGTCAGGGGACCACTCCCTTTGAGAGGCTGTGGCCAGAGGGATCCCAGCAGAGTGTCCTGCCATGCTCCTGCCAAGTACACCTTCTGGGCTCCAGGCAGGCAGGAAGTTGGGCCAAGAGGAGGGAAGAAGCACCTATTTGGCACTACTGTCTAAATGAGGTTTTTTTTTGACAGAGTCTTGCTCTGTCGCCCAGGCTGGAGTGCAATGGCGTGATCTTGGCTCACTGCAACCTCTCCCTCCTGGGTTCAAGCAATTCTCCTGCCTCAGCCTCCCAAGTAGCTGGGATTATAGGCATCCGCCACCACGCCCGGATAATATTTTGTATTTTTAGTAGAGATAGGGTTTCGTCATATTGGCCAGGCTGGTCTTGAACTCCTGACCTCAGGTGATCCACCCGCTTCGGCCTCCCAAAGCGCTGGGATTACAGGTGTGAGCCACCGTGCCTGGCCTAGATGAGTGGCTTTAAATCTGTGTTCCAGGTACCTTTCAGAGAAAATGGGGCAGGTGAGGCCATTGACAAAGGCCTTATCACATCTTTGTGGAACTAACTGCCTCAGGGGAAGGGCATGGGCCACCAGGAAAGGAATGGTTATGCTGTCTCGTGGTGGGGACACCTGCTAGTTTTAGAAGGCAAGAACATGCAACAATTTTCTTGCAGACATAGAAATGTATTCTTTACTGTGGACATTAGGAATTATCATCAATGTTGAGTTAAGAAGCTCAGTTCAGAAGGTAAGCTCCATTTCATTACATAAACCCAAGTGACAGATCTCTGTCTCCACAGCTAGCACTGAAGCACAGATCTGCATCATTCCTTGTTTGCACTATTGCAGTAGCCTCTCCATAGGGTGTTCTCTGTCTGGTTTCTCCCCAGTTGAATCTTTCATTTTTGTCATTCTCCTAAAACAGAACTTTCCAGCTTACCCTTTCTTGTCTAGTATCTCTAAAGCCTATAGCCCTGGGGCCACTAGGGAGTAAGTATGGGCAGAGAATCATTTGATGAACTTTTTGAAATACCTGCACACACATGCTTCCACCCCCACTGAGAAGTGTGTGTGTGTGTGTGTGTGTGTGTGTGTGTGTGCGTGTGTTTAAAAGCTTCCCAACCAGCTCCGGCCTGGCCAACATGGTGAAACTCTGTCTCTACTAAAAATACAAAAATTGGCTGGGCATGGTGACTCATGCCTGTAATCCCAGCCTTTGGGAGGCTGAGATCACGAGGTCAGGAGATCGAGACCATCCTGGCTAACGTGGTGAAACCCTGTCTCTACTAAAAATACAAAAAATTAGCCAGGCGTGGTGGCGGGCGCCTGTAGTCCCAGCTACTCGAGTGGCTGAGGCAGGAGCATGGCGTGATTTCAGTAGGTGGAGCTTGCAGTGAGCTGAGATTGTGCCACTGCACTCCAGCCTGGGCAACAGAGTGAGACTCCGTCTCAAAAAAAGAAAAAAAATTAGCCGGGCGTGGTGGCGGGCACCTGTAATTCCAGCTACTTAGGAGGCTTAGGCAGGAGAATTGCTTCAACCCAGGAGGCGGAGGTTGCAGTGAGCTGAGATCACACCACTGCACTCCAGCCTGGGCGACGGAGTGACTCTGTCTCAGAAAAAAAAAGAAAAAAAATTCATAAACTATGCGGTAAACAGGTGTGCTATCATCTAGGCTTTGTTGTTCTATTTATAGAGCATAGACAGAGTAAATTTAGCATCATTCTTAAGGTCTCTAGAATTCTCCAAATGGCAAATAAGCATTGGCTTCAACTTAATCACCAATGGCCTTAGTGTCTAATAAAGTCAGTCTGTCCTTTAAAGCTTTGAAGCGAGGCATTGCCTACTCCTCTCTAGCAGTGAAAGTCCTAGATGGCATCTTTTGTTTTTTGATACGGAGTCTCTCTGTGTCACCCAGGCTGGCATGCAATGGTGCCATCTCGGCTCACTGCAACCTCCACCTCCCGGGTTCAAGCAATTCTCCTGCCTCAGCCTCTGGAATGGCTGGGATTACAGGCACGTGCCACCATCCCCGGCTAATTTTGTGTTTTTAGGAGAGACAGGGTTTCGCCATGTTGGCCAGGCTGGTCTCCAACTCCTGACCTCAGGTGACCTGCCTGCCTTGGCCTCCCAAAGTGCTGAGATTACAGTTGTGAGCCACCGTGCCCGGCTGATGGCATCTTCTTCTAAGAGAAGGCTCTTTCATCTATGTTGCAAATCTTTGTCAATGATCTTAGCTAGATCTCTGGATAACTTGCTGCAGCTTCTTCATCAGCACTTGCCGCTTCTTCTTGCACTTGTATGTTACAGAGATGGCTTCTTTCCTTAGACCTCACGGACTAACCTCTGCTAGCATCAACCTTTTTTCTGCAGCTTCCTCACCTCTCTTAGCCTTCACAGAATTGAAGAGAGTTGGAGTCTTGCTCTGAATTAGGCTTTGGCTTAAGGGACTATTATAGCTGGTTTGATCTTTATTCAGACCAGTCTAACTTTCTCCATATTAGCAAAAAGGCTGTTTCCCTTTCTTAACATTCATCCACTCACTTGGGAGTAACACTTTCAATTTCTTTCAAGAATGAACCCATGAAATCTGCTTCTCATCTCTGCAACTTCGGGCTGTGCTGTTTCAGAAGTCTTAGAGGAAGGCGTCCACCAGGTGATACAACAATGTTTCCATTAAACTGGAAGTTGAGACTACCACTTGACCAATTTGGACTCCGCATGCCCTTGAATTGACAGGCAACAAAAGGGGTGGTTGATCCTGACTATCCTGGGGAAACTGGGTTACTACAATATGATGGTGGAAGAAGGAGAATGACAAGAATGCAGATGCCGTGAGGTGCCTTTTAGCACTCTCAGGTCTTGTGACTAAAGTCAGTGGAAAACTACAGCAACCTAAAACACGCAGGACTGCTAAATGCTCAGTCCCTGGAGGGGTGAAGATTTGGGTCACTCTATCAGGCAAGAAACCATGGCCAGCCATGGAGCTTGTTGAAAACAAAAGGAATATGGACTAGGCTGTGGAAGAAGGTCATTGTAAGTACCAGATATAACCATATAACCAGTCACAGTCATGAAAACTGTGATAGTTATACCTATTTCTTCCTCATTTTGATATGAATATATTTGTGTATATGTTAGCCAGTTTTTTTTTCTTCTCTTCTCCCATGTCCTTCCATAGAACATAATATATGTTAACAGTAGTTAACTGTCTGGGTGCAGTGGCTCAAGCCTGTAATTTCAGCACTTTGGGAGGCTGAAGTGGGTGGATCACTTGAGGTCAGGAGTTCGAGACGAGCCTGGCCAACATGGTGAAACCCCGTCTCTACTAAAAATACAAAACTTAGCTGGGCATGGTGGCACGGGCCTGTAGTCCCAGCTACTTGGGAGGCTGAGACAGGAGAATCGCTTGAACCCAGGAGGCAGAGGTTGCAGTGAGCTGAGATCATACCACTGCACTCCAGCCTGGGTGACAGAGCAAGACTCTGTCTCAAACAAAACAAAACAAAACAAAAACCCAGAAGGCTGAGGCAGGAGGATTGCTTGAGCCCAGGAGTTTGAGACCAGCTTGGGAAACATAGTGAGACCCCCATCTCTACAAAAAAAAGAAAAAAAAATAGCTGGGTGTGGTGGTGTGCGACTATAGTCCTCGCTACTCAGGAGGCTGAGGCAAGAGGATTGCTTGAGCCCAGGAGTTTGAGGCTACGGTGAATTATGATCATGCCACTACACTCCAGCTTGGGTGACAGAGTGAGACCCCTTCCGTATTTTTTAAAAAATAATAAAATAAAGAAAAAAGAAAGCTCTATTGGTAAGGGATCTTTTTCTGGGAAAGTCTCCTACTTAAATTTCTCTCATTATTTGTAAAACCCTTTATTTGGTCTTCATTCTTTTTTTTTTTTTGAGACAGAGTTTCACTCTTACCCAGGCTGGAGCGCAATGGCACGATCTCGGCTCACTGCAAACTCTGCCTCCTGGGTTCAAGCAATTCTTCTGCCTCAGGCTCCTGAGTAGCTGAAATTACAGGCATGCGCCACCACACCTGGCTAAGTTTTGTATTTTTAAGTAGAGACAGGGTTTCTCCATGTTGGTCAGGCTGGTCTCAAACTCCCGACCTCAGGTGATCCACCTGCCTCGGACTCTCAAAGTACTGGGATTACAGATGTGAGCCACCATGCCCAGCCAGTCTTCATTCTTAAAAGATCATTTTGCTACGTATAGAATTCTAGATGGAATTGTTTCTTCCTGGCATTTAGAAAATATCTTATTGTTTTCTGGCTTCCTTTTTTTTTTTTTTTTTTTTCAGAAGTTGGCTGTCAGTTCAGTTGTTGTTTTTTAAAGTGAATTGTTTTTTTTTCTCTCTCTAGTTGGTTTTTTTTTAACTTAGTTTTTTACTATTGTTCTAAAATAGAAATAGAGTATTATGTGTAACATAATACTTACCATTTTATCCATTTAAGTATACAGTTCAGGGGCATTAAGTACATTCACATTATTGTGTGATCATCACCATTATCCATCTCCAGAACTTTTTCATTATCCCAAACTGAAACTCTGTACCCATTAAACAATAACTCCCACTCCCCCTCCCTCAGCCCATGGTAACCACTATTCTACTTTCTGTCTTTATGAATTTGATTATTCAATACTTTGACTATTATATATATTTATAATTTTATATATAATATGGTATTTATAATTTTGACTATGTCTATAAAAATATATATTTGACTATACTTTGACTATTCTTTTTTAAAATTAAAAAATACTTTATTGCTAAAAGATGTCTATCCTTATCCAATGCCCTATCATCTCAATTGTTGTGTCTTTATAGTAAGACAAAGTCAAATAGTGTAATTCCTCCACCTTTGTTCTTCTTTTAAGCATGCTATGACTTTTATTTCACAAGCTGATTCTAAAGTATATATGGAAATGAAAATGCCTAAAAATAAACAATTTACTTTTTAATGCTTTTTGTTTTTTGATTAATAACATACCAATTTATTTGAAAACTTTATTAACATTATTATATTTTTTCTCAAGAAATATAAAGATATGCTTATTCTGAAGTGCAGATTTTTAAAACTCTTAAAAATTAAAAGAAAAATGTAATTGTGGCAAATACACATGATATGGTTTGGCTGTGTCCCCACCCAAATCTCAACTTAAATTCTGTCTCCCAGAATTCCCATGCATTGTGGGAGGGACCCAGGGGGAGATAATTGAATCATGGGGGCCAGTCTTTCCTGTGCTATTCTCGTGATAGTGAACACGTTCCACGAGATCTGAGGGGTTTATCAGGGGTTTCCACTTTTGCTTCTTCCTCATTCTCTTGCCGCCACCATGTAAGAAGTGCCTTTCCCCCTCCACCATGATTCTGAGGCCTCCCCAGCCATGTGGAACTGTAAGTCCAATTAAACCTCTTTTTGTTCCCAGTTTCGGGTATGTTTTTATCAGAAGCGTGAAAACGAACTAATACAACACATAACATAAAATTTACTGTCTTAACCATTTTTAAGTGTGCAGCTAAGTAGTGTTAAGTACATTTACATTGTTGCACAGCCAATCTTCAAAACTCTTTTCATCTTTCAGAATTAAAACTCTATATCCCCTCTCCTCCTTTCCCCCAGCTTCTGGCAACCACCATTCTACTTTTTGTCTCTGTGAATTTGACTACTGTAGGTACCTCATATAAATGGGCTCATACATTTTTTGTCTATTCGTGACTTTATTTCATTCAGCAAAATGTCCTCAAGTTTCATCCATGGTGTAGCATGGGTCAGAACTTCTGTCCTTTGAAAGGCTGAATAATATTTCATTGAACGCACATACAACATTTTGTTTACCTGTTCATTTATTGGTGTCAAGAGTACTTTTTACAGCATATTTACTATAATTTGTCCAACAACTTAGTACTTTGTACCAGCCAAAGGCTGTTTTAGAATTCCTAACTCACCACATTGCTTGAAGCACAAATCCTCTCATTCTTTTTTTTACCAGTAGCGTAGCATTCCATTGTATGGATGTACCATGATTTATTAACTAGTGTGTTATTAATGGAAATTTCCCATTTTTTATATAGAAAGCAGCACTGCAACAAACATTTGGGTGTGTGTGTATGTATATTTAAGTATAAATGTAAGATAAATTCTTAGAAATGGAATTGCTAGGTCATATTTAATTTTGATCTATAAAGCCAAATTTCCAATAGAAAGTGTCACATATTTTCTAACTACATCTCAATATCCAGAACTCATAAAACAAAGCATTAATAAATCCAATTATACCAAAAAAGAAAAGCTTTCTGCATGACAAAAACTCTTTAGCTAAATCAAAAGCAAATTACAAATTAGGAAAAAGTATTTGCAATTCGTATCCTAGCAACAGACTAATCTTAATATAAGGCACTCCTCCTACAAATTAAGAAAGAAAAGACTCAATAAAAAAATGGGGCCAGGTGCTGTGGCTCACGCCTGTAATCCCAGCACTTTGGGAGGCTGAGGCGGGCGGATCATGAGGTCAGGAGATTGAAACCATCCTGGCTAACATGGTGAAACCCCGCCTCTACTAAAAATACAAAAAATTAGCTGGGCATGATGGCGGGTGCCTGTAGTCCCAGCAACTCGGGAAGCTGAGGCAGGAGAATGGCGTGAACCCAGGAAGCGGAGCTTGCAGTGAGCTGAGACTGTGCCACTGCACTCCAGCCTGGGTGACAGAGCAAGACTCCGTCTCAAAAAAAAAAAAAAATAGGAAAAGTCCAGCTACAGTCAATTCAGGAAAAGAAATGTTGCAGCTTCTTCGCTCCCATAGTTTGGTGAGCGGGATGGAGTGTTACAGCTCTTTCACTCCTGCAGTTCGGCAAGTTCCAAATTCTTATGTCATGACTAGGAGGAATGAGGTACACTGACACTGGAGAGTGAGTAAGGCAGAGTAGAATTTTATTTTATTTTTAATTTTAATTAATATTTTTTTTTGAGATAGAGTTTCATTCTTGTTGCCCAGGCTGGAATGCAATGCCATGAACTCAGCTCACCACAACCTCTGCCTCCCAGGTTCAAGCAATTCTCCTGCCTTAGCCTCCTGAGTAGTTGGGATTACAGGTGCACGCCACCACACTCAGCTAATTTTTTTTATTTTTTAGTAGAGATGGGGTTTCACCATGTTGGCCAGGCTGGTCTCGAACTCCTGACCTCAGGTGATCTGTCCACCTCGGCCTCCCAAAGTGCTGGGATTACAGGTGTGAGCCACTGCACCCGGCCCAGAGTAGAATTTTATTGAACAACAGAAAGAAAGCTCTCAGCAGTGAGAGGGGACCCGGGACTGGGTTGCTGGCTGTGAGGCTGAGTCTGGGATTTTTATGGGCTTAGAATGGGGAAATGTGTGCTGATTGGTTTATAGGTAGGCTTGGAAAAAGCACCATTCAGAAAGAGGTATGATAGTTTAAAGAACTAATCAGAGGCTGAAGTGAAGGCTTGGCCTGGGACCTTGGCCCAGGACCCGTCAGGGGCTGAGCGCACCATATGGGAATGGAAGTTCTCACTCTGGTCTGTGGACTCTATTTGGAACTGGTAGTTTGGTGTTCAGGCTTCAGGCTGTCCTTGGCTTGAAGGTTGAGTTTCACCAGGGACCATCCCTGTCTGCCTAGGAATTTGTCTGCCCCCTGTCTCTATCAGAAATATAGATGGCCCTTAAATATGTAAAAAGTTAACTTCAACCATAATCAGAGAACTGCACATTAAAATTACACTAATACCACTGTTTCACCTTCCTAATTGGTAAAAATCTAAAAGTCTGACTACACATTCTGTTGGAGAGGCTGTGGGAAAAATAAGCACTTTCACATACTGCCTGCCTTTTGGTGAACAATTTTGCAATATCTATCAGCATTACAAATGTATATCCTCTTTGACTCGGTATCACACTTCTGGAAATTTTCTTACCTGCACAATAAAGACATACAGTTTTTACAAGGTTATAAATTACAGTATTGTTTGTATAACAAAAGACAAAAACAACCAAACAGTCTACCATATGGGGACTGTGGCAGAGAGGACCCTCCTGTGGGCGACCAGGAGGTCCTGGTCAGGCCAGTGTGTTAGGCCTCAGGCCACAGCTAAGCCTCAGTCCACTGGGGGTGAGGCTGCTGTGCTTGCGGGCAGGAGGCTGGGCCCAGCGAGGAGAAGGCTGTACCTGGTGAGGAAAAGCCAGGGGAACTGAGTGGACGCTTCTCAGTGAACATGGCAGAGTCTGAGCAACCCAGGTGCCATCTTCTGCCTCTGAGTGGCTCTGTCCACATGCTCCTGGACAGTCCGGCATAATCCGTCATCATAGGGGATCCTCAAGAAGTTGTCACAGAGCTCAAGGAAAATGAAAAATACATTTCCTGACAGTCCTTCCTGATATAAAACTATGAACTCATCCATTCGTGCATTGGATGGTTAATAACCAAACATTAACTGAAAGGCAGGTGGTGCTGTCTTCTCTACTGACTGATCCTGCCCAGCTCATGGACCTGTTGAGAAAGGAGCCTCACAATTTTCTTCCCTCGTACTCGTGGTCGATTGAGGGGAAAATAAGGCTTTTCTCCCCACCAACGTTTTGTTTTGACTAAAGTTTCAGGCCTGTGCTCAGCTGCACGGTGGGTGAGTGCTGAGGCGTGGAGTTGTCTCAGTGTGTTTGGGTCTGGGGCATTTATTTCCAGCTTCTGGCCTGGGCTCATGCTGCAGATCGTTTGGGAAGAATGCCTGAGCTGATGGCCTGTGCAGACTGGCACATTGTCCCCTCCCTGCTAACAGAGTGGTAAAGGTTGGTGGTGACTGATCCGCAGATGGTCTGGAAAAGGAAGGCCAAATCCCTCTACTTCTGAGGCATACTCCCAGAGGAGTTACTGACCTCCATTCTGGAAGGCCCATGGATTGGAGAGGGTGAGGCGGTAGCCACGAGGAACTTGAAATAGCCCCTCAACCCTGGAACATCTGTTTTAGCTGGATAAGGAGGAGGAGATAAGAGCTGATAACTGGGAAGCAAGGGTTGTTCTCTTCTGAACCTTCCTCTCCTTTGTGTTTGAAACTCTGAAAAGAAGAATAAACACCAGATGAATTGCAGGAAAGAGTTATTGTTTTATTTATTTATTTATTTTTGAGATGGAGTCTCACTCTGTCACCAGGCTGGAGTGCAATGGCGTGATCTCAGCTCACTGCAACCTCCGCCTCCCAGGTTGAAGCGATTCTCCTGCCTCAGCCTCCCAGGTAGCTGGGATTACAGGCACCCACCACCATGCCCAGCTAATTTTTGTATTTTTAGTAGAGATGGGGTTTCACCATGTTGGCCAGGCTGGTATCGAACTCCTGACCTCAGGTGATCTGCCTGCCTTGGCCTCCCAAAGTGCTGGGATTACGAGCAGTAGCCACCGTGCCCAGCCTGTTATTATTTTTAATGGGGAGGGGGGATTTCTTTTGATTCTAGTAAAGAAAGTCAGAAAAAACCCAAGCTAGTGATAATATATAAAAAATGAGAAAAGTGAGTCTTAGAAAGATGAGGTGTCTGTTATAAATAATTGCTATGTGTGGGCAGCCTGATTTCCAAATCGAGAAATGCCTTTCTTGCTATAAAACCTCTGGCTTGCTCAGAGAGATACGACTTTTCCCTTGCATTTTTCTTTTATTAATTTGATATATCGATATTTTTTATAAGTTTCTTCCCTTTAAAAAATGATCACTATAGAAAATTTAGAAAATCATTATAGATCACATGTTCATTATAGAAAATTTTAAAAATATGGAGGAAGCCTGGCCACGATGGCTCTTGCCTGTAATCCCAGCACTTTGGGAGGCTAAGGCAGGTGGATTACTTGAGGCCAGGAGTTCGAGACCAGCCTGGCCAACATGGTGAAATCTCATCTTTATTAAAAATATAAAAATTAGCTGGACTTGGTGGCACATGCCTGTAATCTCAGCTGGGGAGGCTGAGGCACAAGAATCTCTTGAACCCTGGAGGTGGAGGTTGCAGTGAGCCGAGATCACACCACTGCACTCTAGCCTGGGCGACAGAGTGAGATTTTGTCTCAAAAAAAAAAAAAGTGTGGAGCAAAAGCTAGGGAGTAAAAAGAGACCCAGATCTGGAAAATGTTGGCTTTGGATAATTTGACAGAATTACCAAATTACCCTGAAGGGAAGAATCTTAAAGAATGACTTATTTCCTAATTGTGTTTATCTTCTATCTCCTAAATTGTACCTTTATAAGTCATCATGCTTGCTCATAAGAAACTGCAAACCTCCCAGTGTTCCTTGCAACAGATGGCCACACATGTAGTAGAACATTCTCATGGTGTATTTTATTTTTATTTATTTATTTATTTATGTTTGAAATGGAGTCTCGCTCGGTCACCCAGGCTGGAGTGCAGTGGCCTGACCTTGGCTCACTATAACTGCTGCCTCCCAGGTTCAAGCAATTCTCCTGCCTTAGCCTCCTGAGTAGCTGGGATTATAGGCGCCTGCCACTGTGCTAGGCTAATTTTCTGTATTTTAGTAAAGACGGGGTTTCAAACTCCTGGCCTCAGGTGATCTGCCCCCCTTGGCCTCCCAAAGTGCTAGGATTACAGGCATGAGCCACCGCGCCTGGCCGTCATAGTGTAGTTTAAGTGCTACTTATTTTGTATAGATTTTGACATCTATGCTATATATATGGAATAATCAATATCATGAGCATCACCTTTGAATTATTAAGGATGATGATATACACTAGTTTTCCTAAATGCCAGATGTGGATGAGAGGTTTGCAACAAAGCTAGTAAAATCATTAAGGAGAAATGATAGTGAAAGGGTTGGTATAAGGAAAAATACATGGGCCAGGCACGGTGGCTCACGCCTGTAATCCCAGCACTTTGGGAGACCGAGGAGGGTGGATCACAAGGTCAGGAGGTCAAGACCAGCCTTGCCAACATGGTGAAGCCCCGTCTCTACCAAAAACTACAAAAAAAATTAGCCAGGTGCAGTGGCAGGTGCCTGTAATCCCAGCTACTTGGGAGGCTGAGCAGGAGAATCGCTTGAACCCAGGTGGCAGAGGTTGCAGTGAGCCAAGATTGCGCCACTGCACTCTAGCCTGGACAAGAAGAGTGAAACTGTCTCAAAAAAAAAAAAAAGGAAAAATACAGGAAGAGTAATGGAGGAAGGAGAGAGGGAGAGGGAGTAGTGGTGAAGAGCAGACAGATGAGCTTGATTTTTGGAGAAACAAATAGAGATGAAAGAAGAGAGAGGATAATTGTGAAATACGGTATTGTCCATAGACATTTTGGATTTCCAGAAGATGGAAGGAATCAAAGATAATGATGAGACAAAAACATACCATAAGAGGCTGGGCATGGTGGCTCATGCCTGTAATTCCAGCACTTTGGGAGGCCGAGGCAGGTGAATCACTTGAGGTCAGGAGTTTGAGACCAGCCCGGCCAACATGGCAAAACCCTGTCTCCACTAAAAATATTTTAAAAAATTAGCCAGGCGTTGTGGTGCACACCTGTAATCCCAGCTAGTCGGGAGGCTGTAGAAGGAGAATGGCTTGAACCCAGGAAGCAGAGGTTGTGGTGAGCCAAGATCCCACCGTTGCACTCCAGCCTGGGTGACAGAGTGAGACTCTGTTTCAAAACAAAACAAAACAAAACAGAAAAACAAAACCCCCCAAAAAACATACCATAAGAATGGTCAGATGTAGGAACTACCGAAAGAATAAGTAGGGAGAAATTACTCTTGGAGAAAGTCTTCTGAGAATTATTTAAATAATAAGAAAATAGGATAGGCATGGTGGCTCACGCCTGTAATCCCAACACTTTGGGAGGCCAAGGCGAGTGGATCACCAGAGGTCAGGAGTTCGAGACCAGCCTGACCAACATGATGAAACCCCGTCTCTACTAAAAATACAAAAAAAAAAAAAAATTAGCTGGGTCTGGTGGTGGGTGCCTGTAATCCCAGTTACTTGGGATGCTGAGGCAGGAGAATCACTTGAACCCAGGAGGCGGAGGTTGCAGTGAGCCAAGATCGCGCCACTGCACTCCAGCCTGGGCAACAGAGCAAGACTCTATCTCAAAAAAAGAAAAAAGAAAAGAAAAGAAAGAAAGAAAATAAATAATGAGACGTGAAGAGGTTGTGAGCATAACCCTAGATGCTGCCAAGGAAAGGAGAGAGTGGGACATGAGTAGAAATTACCCAGGAAGTTAGACAATAATCAAGCATTTGATGAGAGTAGTGTATCCAGGGCCAATCGTCTGATTTTTACAGAGTTCATAAATTTCCAGTGTACACTCCTACAGAGGTTTTTAATAGAAAATAGAGGAAAAAAATAAAGTTATTATCACAAGGGCTAGTGTGTTGTGTGTGTGTGTGTGTGTATGTGTGTGTATTTATTTATTTATTTATTGAGATGGAGTCTCACTCTGTCGCCGAGGTTGGAGTGCAGTGGTGCGATCACAGCGCACTGCAGCCTAGACCTCCTGGGCTCAATCGATCCTCCCACCTCAGTCCCTCAAGTAGCTGGGACTACAGGCACACGCCACCATACCCAGCTGATTGTTGTTGTTGTTGTAGAGACGAAGTCTTTTTATACTGCCCAGGCTGATCTCAAACTTCTGGGCTGAAGCAATCCTCCCACTGAGGCCTTCCAAAGTTTTGGGATTACACGCATGAGCCACCACATCCGTCCTTTTCTCTTTCTTAAAATGAGAGGTATCAGAAACCAGAACCACTCCCTCCCAAACTGTGAAACACCTGTAACGTTCCTGCTGACCTATGTTGGCTAGTAGTAGTTTAATATATTTTGCTTCATTGTCAGGTCATGTTTTACCCCACAAATCGCACTTCCACCTGAACATATCAGCAGAATGTTCTTTTGCAAAGGGCATTGTCAAACAAAAGTCTTAGCACAGAAAACCTAAAGTTGCATATGTATGAAAAAATCGCAAGATGACATCTAGAGAAATATAAACATGGAAATGGGGAAGGAAAAAGAAATGATACAAAACTGATCTTAAGAAATTTGAAATTCCTCAAAGGCTTAACAGATATTCTTCATTTTAAGTTATTGGGAAAAACCAATTGAGTTTCTGAGTGGGAGATATGTTCCAAGTAATGGAAAGGAGAAGGAAACAAGAGAATCTGATATCAGAACTGCCTTTGCCAGGATATAAGTAACATCTCCAAGAACTCAGAGATAGTTGACACATGAAGATGTGTTGCTAATTGTCCACATTCCATAAAGAAAAGAAAAGAAAATATATTGGGAAGGGATTTACAGCTAGAGCTAGTAAAATGTGGATTTTGGCTGGCTGGCATTCATTCACACATTTACTCATTCAACAATGCCGTATTCATTTCTCAAAAGAAGAAATATGCATGGCCAAGAAGCATATGAGAAAAAGCCCAATATCATTAATCATTAGGGAAATGCAAATCCAAACCACAATGATATACCATCTCACACCCGTCAGATTGGCTGTTATTTAAAAGTTGAAAAAATAACAGATGCTGGAGAGGTTGTGGAGGAAAGAGAACATGTATATGCTGCTGATGGGAATGTAAATTAGTTCAGCCACTGTGGAAAGCAGTGTGGAGATTTCTCAAAGAACTTAAAATAGAGCTACCATTTGACCCAGCAATTCTATTATAGATTATATACTCAAATGAATGTAAACCATTCTACCATAAAGACACATGCAAATGTATGTTCATTTTAGGACTATTCACAATAGCAGACATGGAATCAACCTAGAAGCACATCAGTGGTGGACTGGATAAAGAAAATATGGTTCATATGCACATGGAATACTACACAGCCATAAAAAAGGAGATAATGGCCTTTGCAGAAACATGGTTGGAGCTGGAGGCCTTATCTTAAGACAATTAACATAGGAACAGAAAACCTAGTACTGCTAGGTGCAGTGGCTCAGGCCTGTAATCCCAACACTTTGGGAGGCTGAGGCAGGTGGATCACTTGAGGTCAGGAGTTTGAGACCAGCCTGACCAACATGGAGAAACCACATCTCTACTAAAAATACAAAATTAGCTGGGCGTGGTGGCACATGCCTGTAATCCCAGCTACTTGGGAGGCTGAGGCAGGAGAATAGCTTGAGCCTGGGAGGCGAAATTTGCCATGAGCCAAGATCGCACCATTGCACCCCAGCCTGGGCAACAAGAGCAAAACTCCATCTCAACAACAACAAAAAAAACCCTAACCTGTCGGGTATTAAGCTGATTACCTGGATGACAATATTATCTGTACACCAAACCCCTGCGATATGTAATTTACCCAGGTAACAAACCTGCACATGTACCCCTTGAACCTAAAAGTTGGAAAGAAAAAAAACAAAAAAAAACCCCCAAGTCTGTGTTAAGTATCCACGATGTGCCAGATGTGGTACCATGTGCTAAACTATAAAAATGGATGAGACGTTGACCCTGATCTTTATGAAAGCATACTCTTAGGGGAGGCAGAAGGGCCAACAAATAAATCCCTGAAATGTGTTTATCCAATTGAAATATCATCCAGAAATTTGTCGCTGGTGTTTTTTGACTTTCTCTTTCAATTTCTGTTTCTCCTCAGGGTCTTTCTTGCAGCTAGCTATTAGAATTCTCCCATGATTATAGCTGTTGATGAAGGTGTGAACTACTATATTATTATTATTATTTTTGAGACAGAGTCTTGCTCTATCACCCAGGCTGGAGTGCAGTGGCACAATCTCGGCTCACTGCAACTTCTGCCTCCCAGGTTCAATCAATTCTTCTGCCTCGGCCTCCCGAGTAGCTGGGACTACGGGTGCACACCACCATGCCCAGCTAGCTTTTGTATTTTTAGTAGAGATGGGGTTTCACCATATTGGCCAGGCTGGTCTCGAACTCCTGACCTTGCAATCCATCCACCTTGGGCTCCCAAAGTGCTAAGATTACAGGTGTGAGCTACCGAGCCCTGCTGTGAACTACTATTAACAGGGAACTTAAAAAACCTTTCTTCGTTTCATTTTATTTTTAAGAGACTGGTTCTTGCTCTGTTGCCCAAGCTGGATTGCAAGGGTGCGATCGTGGCTCCCTGTAACTTTGAACTGGGTTCAAGCGATCCTCCTACCTTAGTCCCTCGAGTAGCTAGGACTACAGGCATGTACCACTGCACCTGGCTAATTTTTAATTAATTAATTAGTTAATTATTATTTTTGTAGAGACAAGGTCTCGCTTTGTTGCCCAGGCTGGTCTCAAACTCCTAGCCTCTCTCCTCGGCCTCCCAAAGTGCTGGGATTACAGGCATGAACCCCCCAGCCTCAAGCACACATATTTAGAAAGCCCGCTCTGTTTGATGTTGTGAAGTAAGAGAAACCTGTTAGAATAAAAAAGAATGACACAAGATATGATTTATTTCAAAGAGCAATTTCAGGAATGAGAGGTAAAGGAAAGTGAAAAAGAAATGGTTGCTGAAAGGAACATTTTGCATTTGTAAATATTTTATTGCAAATGAAATAATTTCTTGCAAATAAGACTTGGCCTTCTTATTCTTATAAAACTCTGAAAGTATCTAAAACCCTTAAAATCACATCAGATTACACCTGCTTAGGGGGAAGTATCAAAGCTTCTGCAAGAGGACTCTCCACCGCAGAGTTTGTAGACTTATAATAAATATAATGAAGAGGGCTGGGCGAGGTGGCTCACGCTTGTAATCCCAACACTTTGGGAGGCCGAGGTGGGCGGAACACTTAAGGTCAGGAGTTCCAGACCAGCCTGGCCAACATGGCAAAACCCTGTCTCTACTAAAAATACAAAAATTACCTGGGTGTGGTGGTGTGCACCTGTAATCCCAGCTACTTGGGAAGCTGAGGCATGAGAATCATGCCTGGGAGGCGGAGGTTGCAGTGAGCTGAGATGGCATCATTTGCACTCTAGTGTGGGTGACAGAGTGAGACTCTGTCTCAATAAACAAACAAACAAACAAACAAACAAACAAACTGAAGAGCCAGTGCTTCCTGGAAAGTTGTTTATTGGGGTGATCAATCAAGGAGAGACTCCACTGACCTGGACTTCCATTGATCAGGGAGTGAGGAGTTAGGTGGTAGCTCAGGGAGACTGAGGGTGAGCAGGAATGAGCAGCCTGAGCAGCGGTCGGGAAATCGTCCAGGGCTGTCCCGAACCTGCTTGCTAGTGCTGCGTTGGAGTCTTTGGAATTTAGAAGGGGACATGGTAGTCACTGGGGATAAGTGGCTAAGATTAGGAAAATGAGTCCGGCTGGCCCAAGACCAGCAGAAACTCCAAGCTGTTGTTTGCCAGAGAGGGGGGATGTCTGCCTAGGTGTTCCAGAGGACAATGACAGTAAGGATGGAGGAGGCCATGAAGAGCAGGTAGAGGCGGAAGAGCAGGGTGTCCATCGCGTGGCTGAACTGCACCCACAGCTCCATTAGCTGGGTCTTTGTCCATCCTGAGCCCCCATCTGGCTCGGTCTCTCTGGGTCCCAGCTTCTTCCCTGCTAACTCCCCCGGCTCCTTTGGGCCTGTGGAGAGGACAGAGGCTCAGTCATGGAGTGGGAAGGGGACAGGATTAGAGGAGTGCTGGGCCCAGTGTGAAGGGCGAGTATGGACAGTGCTGGCTTCCCTCACCAGGCAGGTGGGTGAGGGTGAGACCCAGGCCCTTATTTCCCTTCTGGGGCGCAGTGGGACAGCATCTCCCTGGGCTGGTGCAGTGGAGCAGCAGGGAGTGAAGCCACCTAGGCATGGGTGGGGGCTGGGTGGTGGCCACGTGCAGCAGGTAGGTAATGAAGACGGTCTCCAGCAGGCTGACCACCATCAGGGACAGGCACAGGGCGAAGTAGACACCTGAGGGCAGAGCAAATTATAAATAAACCAGGCAAATTTATCTCTAAGCATTCCTCACGCCTCTTTCCTAAATCCAATCTTCTTTCACAGCCCCTTCCTTCCTTCAGTGGAGCAGCGGCCATTTCTCCTGGCCCTCCTCCCTGGCCCCGGGTGCCCTTTCTCCTCCTGAAAGTGGGAGGAGCCATACTGATGAGGGGGGTGCCACTGGCAGGGAGCAAGTCATTCATCATGAGCAGGAAGACGTTGTAGCCCAGCAGAAGTGTTATCTTGAATGGGGCACGATTCTCGCTCTCTGCTGGCAGGTAGAAGCTGAGGGCATCAATGGCAACCAGAAAGCTACTGGGCACCAGCAGGTTTATGATGTAGAGGCTTGGCCTGCGCCTGATGGCCACCTGGAGAGAGACCGGAGAAGATGGCAAATAAATAGATGTCAGAGGGCTCAATTTGTATATCTGACCCCTAATCTTTGCCAATGTGCTGTGAGGCTGCTGGGGACGATCTTTTTAAGTAACACTTTTGCATATAATTGTGCTCGCCTACATAGGGGCCTCTGATTTGTTGTCTAATTTTTATTCATTTTTAACCTACTAGGAACACAATGACTGTAGAATTTTAGGTGCAAGTGGGCCCTTTAAGTCATTCTGAGCAGTAGGGGTGAGCTGATCCATTCTGAGCAGCAGGGCTTATTACAGTCCAGCCATTCCTGCCCTCTCCAGAGCAGGAGTGGGTGAATGAGGAGTGGGCAAATGGGGAGTGGGGGAGGCCTTGGGGATCCTGCTTCAGGGCAATTAGGTAGATGGGGCAGTGGGGAGCAGGTGCCCAACCCTCTGGAGCTTTATTTTTATTTTATTTTATTTTTTGAGACGGAGTCTTATTCTGTCTTGCCCAGGCTGCAGTGCAGTGGCATTATCTCAGCTCACTGCAGCCTCCGCCTCCTGGGTTCAAGTGATTCTCCTGTCTCAACCTCCCGAGTAGCTGGGACTACAGGCATGTGCCACCACACCCAGCTAATTTTTGTGTTTTTTAAATTAGAGACGGGGTTTCACCATGTTGGCCAGGCTGGTCCTGAACTCCTGACCTCATGATCCGCCTCCCTCGGCCTCCCAAAGTACTGGGATTACAGGTGTGAGCCACTGCACCCGGCCTGGAGCTTCTTTTTTGCTTCCCAAAGAGCCATAGGTCAAGAGGACAATCAAAGAGCTGCTGGGATCAGAAGTCAAACAGGGGCCCCTGGACTCACATAAAACATGATCTGGTCATATAGGTTGTTGCCCATGGACATCTTTGGGGTGGCCTTGTTGATGCCCAAGAGCTCCCACTCCCCCTGGGTTTGGATGACTTTGCGAGACGTGTCTGTGATCTCCCACACCTCCTTGTCCATGCCCAGCAGCATGCTGTCCACTGGAAGGGAGGCCGGTCAGTTCATTGCAGACGTTTTCCCAAGCCTCCCGCCCACGAAATTGGAGTCCTCCCCCACTGAGCTTCTAAACCAAATTTTCCTCTATCCTTTTAAAGCAAGGTATCCTGGTTTTCTCAGAAGTGGGTTACCCGACTAGCAATTCATATGTGTGTGGGCAGCGGCATTAATTTCTTTTGTTGTTGAAAACAAGAGTGAGTCAAGTTCGTTATGGGAATATTGGATATGACTGAAACGTGAGTCAAGAACTTTTGGAGTCATTCCTATTTTCCTTCTCAGTCCCCCAGTCGTATGGTGGTGTTTTAGTGGAATCAAGCTTGAATAGCTCAATATTTTAATAATTATAGGCATGCCCATTTTGATGGTTTTAGTTTATCCAAATCTGCCACATGACACCTGGTGGCATTCGGTTATATTAATTTACCGGTTTTTAAGTGTGTTAGCTATTAGAGTTAAAAGATTTGAGCTAAAAATTATAGGTGTGCAGCAGCTCAGAGTCAGCTGGGCCTCATTTGGCACAAGGGCCACTCAGCTTGTAAAGCAGCAGGTCGTAACCCCGTCTGCACGTTAGCATCACCTGGGCCCCACCTGGAACAATTTAATCGGCATCTGGGGTGATGTGCGCTTATTAGGCTTTTGTTTTTGTTTTTTGTTTTGTTTTGTTTTGTTTTGTTTTGAGACGGAGTCTCGCTCTGTCGCCCAGGCTGGAGTGCAGTGGTGCAGTCTCGGCTCACTGCAACCTCCACCTCCCGAGTTTCACGCCATTCTCCTGCCTCAGCTTCCCAAGTAGCTGGGACTACAGGCGCCCACCACCAGGCCAGGCTAATTTTTTGTATATTTAGTAGATATGAGGTTTCACTGTGTTAGCCAGGATGGTCTCGATCTCCTGACCTCGTGTTCTGCCCACCTCGGCCTCCCGAAGTGCTGGGATTACAGGCGTGAGCCACTGCGCCCTGCCTGTTTTTTGTTTTAAAAACAGAGTCTCACTGTGTCACCCAGGCTGGAATGCAGTGTGCAATCACAGCTCACTGCAGCCTCAGCCTCTCTGGCTCAAACAATCCTCCTGCCTCAGCCTCCCAAGTAGCTGGGGCTAATTCTTTTTATATTTTGTAGAGATGGGGGTCTCACTATGTTGCCCAAGCTGGTCTCAAACTCCTGGGCACAAGCGTTTGTCCCACCTTTGCCTCCCAAAGTGCTGAGATTACAGTGTGAACCACTGTGCCTGGCCAGTTATTGGTATTTTCAAAAAGCTTTGTTAGGCCACCGGAGTGGAGCAACACTGATCCAAAACCTTTTCTAATGATACCTACACCACTCAAATGTCTTCCCTGAATCTTAAACAGCTACCAAAATGTGTCACACTTACCTGTGTAGAGGAAAGAACTGAAGGTGAAGGTACAGTTCTGTTGGTCAAAAGGGAAGTAGAAGATGTCCAGGTTACAGATGCTGGTCACCCTCATTGGCTTATCATACTTAATTCGACCTTCACTGCTGATATAGGCAGTGAGACCGGAAGGCGTCTGATCCACATCCATGCTGTTTGGGGAAGGGAGGGAAGAGATGGAGGCTTAATCAGCTCTTGTCTCCCTTCCTTCTGGGGTCTCCCCTGCTGTGCTCTCCTTCTGGGCTCTTTCTCTTTCTATTTTTATTTTTTTGTTGTTTTTGAGACAGTTTCACTCTTGTAGCCCAGGCTGGAGTTCAGTGGTGCAATCTCAGCTCACTGCAACCTCCGCCTCCCAGGTTCAAGCAATTCTCCTGCCTCAGCCTCCCAAGTAGCTGGGATTTACAGGGATGTGCCACCACACCTGGCTAATTTTGTATTTTTAGTAGAGATGGGGGTTTCACCATGTTGGCCAGGCTGGTCTCGAACTTCTGACCTCAGGTGATCCACCTGCCTCGGCCTCCCAAAGTGCTGGGATTACAGGCGTGAGCCACCGCGCCTGGCCCTGGGCTCTTTCTTTAATGTCACTCTCTCGCCTCTTCTACTCGTAGTGATGTGTGGAAGTCAGTTCGTTGAGACTGTGTGCCTGTCTGAATCTTTCGGTGGCCCCATGCCCTGTGCTGACCCTAGGCTGTTCTCGGCAGATGAGGTTTCACGCTGGCTTCCCCAGCCTGCATACGCACGATTCCACGATGAAGATGTCTGGGAGCCACAGGTTTTCAGCTAATACTGTGAGTTTATTGATGCCAACACACTCTTTTGGGTTCCAATTAATGAAAGGATTGTCCCATACCTGCATCAGGGCAGTGAGGGACAGAGGTGAGTGACGGTGAGCTTGTCCTGTCGGCCTCTCCCACCCTTTCCATTCTTCTTTAAACCTTGATCCTCCCACTCCCATTTGTGACCCTAATAACCACAGCCTATCCCCCCATTCTTGATTTAACAAGGTGTCACCAGAAAAGTACCCCTTGATAGCCTTTTGGCAGGCAGATATTAAATATGGCCTAAAACCACTTGGAGTTAGGACCACACCAATATATTGGCCTGCACTTGGCCTTTTTTTTTTTTTTTTTTTTTTTTTTTTTGAGTTGCTATTTCAACCTTCCTAAGATTCCCAGGGAGGTTTGGGTCCCCATGGTGAGTCCAGTTCTACATGGAGTTATTTTTTCCCAGATCCCAGAAAAAGTTATACTTTGGGTAGAGGTTTGAACTAGAAAACTTTTAAGTCACTTTTTCTGTGTGTGTGTGTGTGTGTGTGATGGAGTTTCGTTCTTGTCATCTAGGATGGGGTGCAGTGGCACAATCTTGGCTCTCTGCAACCTCTGCCTCCCCGGTTCAAGCAATTTTCCTGCCTCAGCCTCCCGAATAGCTGGGATTACAGGCACCTGCCACCATGCCCAGCTAATTTTTGTATTTTTATTAGAGATGGGGTTTCACCATGTTGGCCAGGCTGGTCTCGAACTCCTGACCTCAGGTGATCCACCTGCCTTGGCCTCCCAAAGTGCTGGGATTACAGGCGTGAGCCACTGCTTCTGGCCCCTTTAAGTCACTTCTAACTCCTCAGGCTTAAAATTATAAATGAAGTGGGGAGGAGATAGTTGAATCTGCCTTACCAAATCCATCCACAGGAATGATGTCAGCAGCTGGAGCTGTGCATCCTGACAAGGAAATTTCCACTCAGGATTATTAGTGTTAAAAGGTTTGGCCAATGCCCACCTCATATTCCCACCAATATTTACTAATTTATTGGGCCAGGCATTGTTGTAGATGCTGAATTGTCTTTTCCTCACTCGTTTCCCCTGTGTCTATGGGCAATTCTGATTTTGATTAATATACAGACTACTTTTTTCTAGAGCATTCTAGAAATGACAGGATTCAAAGACAAATGCCTTCCTGAAAAAACATCACTGCAGTATTCTTCTTCGTGCCTCTCCATCGCATAGGAAAAGCATCTAACTTGCGTTAAATCCATCCAGGGTGCCTATTGTTCACCACGGGGCCAGGGCCATGTTGGGTTGACAGGGCAGAGGGTCCTCGTTCCTTATTAGAAGCCATGGAAAAGATGCAGGGACTAAGTCTCACCACTCCCAGGATGGCAGACAGGGTGAAGGAGATGTTGACACGGGTAGGGATGCTGTAGTTGGTGAATGGACGGAAGGCCTTTCTGTCAAACACTGCTTGGAAGACAGCAGGGTCAACCCCATGCTGGTCAAAGCCTGAGCAATTGATGGTAAAAGCGTCGCCTCTTCCTATAGAGAGCAGAGACTCCGTGAGAGAGGGACTCTATTTCCAGGGCTGGAGTCTCTCTGCAGAGAGATAAAATAGGGGACGTACTGAGAGGAGCAGGTGAGCCCCTCCTTCCCATGCCAAGACTCCCCAAGGCCATGGTTGGGGAGGATGGGCTGGGCTGGTAGGCAAATGGTGGAAGTGGATGTGGTGAGCTGAGGTCAGGGCTCTATTCTCATTCCCATTGCTTCATCCTCATGCAAAGTTTGCCCAAATCTGTATGAAAACTTGGCCTAAGTGCAATGGCAGCTACTTCCAGGAGTCCTTTAATGTACCCATCACAAGACTCTTGGCTCACCTAGCAGTAGAACTGCCCAAAACTTGTGGTCCAAGTCACCTAAAAATCGATGCTAATGTATTTCTCTCTCTAACTCTTAGGATCTTAAGTCTACTGAAGGCAAGAACTGATTTATCAAGAGGATAAGAGACATTTTACACAACTGCACTCACCAGGTAGATATGAGAAACACGGTAGGTATCTGACTGGGTGCTTACCTTGGTGCTATGCATTTATTTTGCTCTTCTCAGATTTAGTGACCTCAGTTGTCTCGTGGGTTATTTCTAGCATCGGGATCATGAGGTGACATCACTGAGCATACAGCATTTGTTCAGTCACAAAGTGAGGCCGGTGTGCCGGGCGCGGTGACTCACGCCTGTAATCCCAGCACTTTGGGAGGCCGAGGTGGGCGGATCACAAGGTCGAGAGATCGAGACCATCCTGGCCGACATGGTGAAACCCCATCTCTACTAAAAATACAAAAATTAGCTGGGCATAGTGGCGCTCGCCTGTAATCCCAACTACTCAGGAAGCTGAGGCAGGAGAATCGCTCAAACCCGAGAGGCGGAGGTTGCAGTGAGCCAAGATCGTGCCACTGCACTCCAGCCTGGGCGACAGAGCGACACTTCATGTCAAAAAACAAACAACAACAACAACAAAACCACAAAGTGAGGCCGGTGCAGATATTGTCTCTCGGCCATGGCCAGGGAGTCATCTGGGTAGTACCTGAGTGGCATCTTTGCTCCATCGCCATCATTATATGGTCCTTTTCTCTGCCTCCTTCTCTCTATCTCCATCTCTTTCCATAATATTTAAGGTATGTGTCCAGATTGGGAACAAATATTACCTCATGGAAGCAAAATATCTGCTCATTTCCACCTCAGATTGTCCCCTCCCTCAGGGCATGTTTAAAATCAGTGGCTACTCTTCTCATAGATATCATGTCAGGAGAAACAGAGACAAGGAGAGGGGGAAGAAGGGTGTGGTAGTGGAGCATCAGAAGTCAGTGAAAAGGTGGAATTGGAGAAGTGGTGAAATGAGACAGTTTGATAGATCCCTGTGCAGGCAGGAACAGAGAAAGTCTGTGTGCACTCATCAGTGAACTGTCTTTCTATCTGTCACCAAAAGGAAATCAGGACACAGACATTATGGAAGAAATATTTAACACATTAATTCTGAATGCCCTCCAAGTGCTAGAGGTGAGTCCAGGTGTCCCTCGGAACCACACTCTGGTCTTCCCTGTTCTCGTCCCATCTTACCTTGAAGCAGAAGACTGACAGTGAGGCAGAGGAGGGCACTCTGCCTTGCAGGCCACCCTCCTTCCATTCTTCTTTCTGGACTCTTCTCTGGGGATTCACCAGGAGCTCCCAAACCCTGGAGCTTAAAGGAGCTCAGACCACACCCTGGTTGCTGGTTTTGAATACTACTCATGGCAAGTGACCACTCCCTGTGACAGCCTGTGACCAGAGAGGTCCCAGCCAAGTGTCCTGCATTGGCTCTGCCCAGATGCACCTTCCGGGCTCCAGGCAGGCAGGAAATTGGGCGGACACTAGGGGAAAAGCATTCTATTTGGCAGCTGTGTGCTGAGATCCAAAACAAAATAACGTGCCTTAATGAGAGAATGTAGGCTGGGGAAATTAGGATTGTGTGCTTCCAAGACCAGGGAATCTGTGTGCACCAAGACCAGGTGCAATACTTAGTGATTTGGTTATGAATACCAAAGTATCTTTTTTTTTTTTTTTGAGACAGAGTCTCTCTCTGTCACCCAGGCTGGAGTGCAGTGGCACGATCTTGGCTCACTGCAACCTCCACCTGCCTGGTTCAAGCGATTCTCCTGCCTGCCTCAGCCTCCTGAGTAGCTGGGACTACAGGTGTGTGCCACCACACCCGCCTAATTTTTTGTATTTTTAGTAGAGACGGGGTTTCGCTGTGATAGCCAGGATGGTTTCGATTTCCTGACCTCGTGATCCACCCACCTCAGCCTCCCAAAACGCTGGGATTACAGGCGTGAGCCACCGCGCCCGGCCCCCTTACCAAAGTATCTTACAGCTTTTGTTGACATTGGAATTATTCCAAATGCCAAATTATAAAGCTTGGTTCATACCTTCATCATCTAGTGTCTATGCTTTTCCAGTAGCCCCTAACTAGATTTCCTCTTTACAGCGTCTCTGCCTTTCTGATTTATTCTCTCCAAACCAATGTTCTCCGTATAATTTTTAGGCTATGCACTGATTACATGATAATAGAACTCATAAAATTAAGATAGTAACACTTTGTGCTGTCAATAGTGTTAATATATAGCATTATTGTAAACTAGTAATCTCAGCTAACATCAATATCATTGGCATGTGTTAATATTATGTCTTATGTCACCACATTCCTATTAAAAAAAATTGGCTCAAATGAATGAATTGGAGCATTTTTATTTCAAGTATCTTAGCTACGTTTCCAGAAAGACTTGGACAGTTTTTCCTTGCAGAAAGGGTGAAGGGCCAGATGTAGAATACAAAAAAAACTTTGTTCAGAATTAGTGATCATGACAGCCCTAAGTAGAAAGTGCTGAGAAATGCAGGAATGACTTAGAGGCCCAAAGTAGGAAGGCACAGGAGAGGGCTGCAGTGGATTCCATTTGAGGTTTGCGGTAGCTGCAGTCCTTCAGACCTACCACCTCTGCAAGTAATTTCTTCCCTGACTTGGAAACTTGGCCAACTTGAGCCAGAGGTTGAAGGGAAAGAAAGAATCAAAGAGGGGAGAAAGAGAGGCAGAAAGGTGGCTAGAAGTACTGGAGTGGAAGGAGTGAGAAAGGGAGGAATAGAAGGGAACAGAGGAATTGCTAGAAAACCTGCTCCAGGCCAGGCACGGTGGCTCATGCCTGTAATCCCAACATTTTGGGAGGCCGAGGCAGGAAGACCGCTTGAGCCCAGGAGTTTGAGACCAGCCTAGGCAACACAGTGAGACCCCATCTCTACAAAAGGTAATTTTTTTTTTTTTTGAGACAGAGTCTTACTCTGTCACCCAGGCTGGAGTGCAGTGGCGCAATCTCGGCTCACTGCAACCTCTGCCTCCTGGGTTTAAGCGATTCTCTGCCTCAGCCTCCCGAGTAGCTGGGACTACAGGCACGCGCTACCACGCCCAGCTGATTTTTGTATATTTAGTAGAGACGGGGTTTCACCATGTTGGCCAGGATGGTCTTGAGCTCTTGACGTCGTGATCCACCCGCCTCAGCCTCCCAAATTACTGGGATTACAGGTCTGAGTCACCGCACCCGGCTAAAAAGTAATTTTTAAAAGGAGCCAGGTGTGGTGACATGTGCTTATAGTTCTCACTACTTGGGATGCTGAGGTGAGAGAATTGCTTCAGCCCAGGAAGTGAAGGCTGCAGTGAGCCATAATGGTGCCACTATGCTCTAGCCTGAGCAACAGAGCAAGACCCTGTAAGAAAGGGGAAGGGAAGGGAAAGGAAGGGAAGGGAAGGGAAGGGAAGGGGAGGGGAGGGGAGGGGAGGGGAGGGGAGGGGAGGGAAGGGAAGGGAAGGGGAAGGGGAAGGGGAAGGGAGAAAGGGAAAGAAAGAGAAAGAGAGAGAGAAGGAAGGAAAGAGAAAGAAAGAGAAAGAGAAAGAGAAGGAAGGGAGGGAGAAAGACACGAGCTACTCAGGAGGCTGATGCAGGAGAATGACTTGAACCCGGGAGGTGAAGGTTGCAGTGAGCCGAGATCACGCAACTGCACTTGAGCGTGACTCCGTCTCAAAAAAAAGGAAGGTAGGAAGGAAGGAAGGAAGGAGTGAGAGAGAGAGAGAGAAGGAAGGCAGGAAGGCAGGAAGGAAGGAAGGAGAAAGAAATAAAGGAAAGAAGGAAGGAAAACTGCTCATGGTTTAGAGCTCTCCTTCATGACTTGAAAGGGTTCAGCTGGGAGACATGTTAGCATCTGCAACATAAGGTACTGGCTGACACAAGGAGGAAGTTGTTGTCATGAGGGCTGGGGCAACTGGCCAGGCTACAGATGCCTTTCCAAGCCAGGAAGCCAGGTGGTTCTATACATAATGTACCTTTAAAGCAAGTCAAACACAGGTGCGATCTAGGACAGATCTGGAAAGCCAGGTGTGTGAATGGCCCTGGAAGTGGATGGAAGAAGAGAGAGCAGCAAATGAGATCCTAGGACCCTTGGTTTTGGACTATACAAGGCATCAATCTGGGGGATAGGCGCCCTGGAAAAAAATGGGCTATAATCAGGGTGATTCTCAGCTTAAAAGGAGGGACGTTGGGGCTGAGGATGACTTAACAACCTGGTAGAAATTGAGCGTGAAATCTATCCTTTAGATTTGACCCATCATGCCATTTAGGACCAAAGTACAATGTCACCATGTGACTTGGAGAGTGTCTCCTGGGAGTGCCTGCCTCCTCTGTCCCTTCTCCAGTGGGCTCTCAGAAAGGGGAGGTCAGCCATATTTAGACAGAGCTTCAGTAGCTGAGATATCTTTTTTTTTTTTTTTTTTTTTGAGATGGAGTTTTGCTCTTGTCACCCAGACTGGAGTACAATGGCGTGATCTCGGCTCACTGCAACCTCTGCCTCCAGGGTTCAAGCGATTCTCCTGCCTCAGCCTCCCAATAAGCTGGGATTACAGGTGCGTGCCACCACGCCCGAATAATTTTTGTATTTTTAGTAGGGATGGGGTTTCACCATGTTGGCCAGGCTGGTCTTGAACTCCAGACCTCAGGTGATCCGCCTGCCTCGGCCTCCCAAAGTGTTGGGATTATAGGCATGAGCCTCCATGCCTGGCCCGGATATCATTTTTCTAAGGCCATCAGGATTACCTGTTCCCTACATTCCTACATTCTCTGGAATATCCTGGGTAGTCTTTAGGGCTCCTATTTTAATTCCCAGCACATGTCCTTCCTAAGCCAAGCTATGGGCTTTCATGGTGGCTCAGAAGCTCTTCTCTGACTCAGAGGTCACTGCGGAAGGGTCAGGGACTTCCTCCACACTGTCTTCTTTCTCTGCGCATCTTTGGAGCTTATGTCTTGGGTTTACATATCTCTAGAATTCTTGGGCACTCGGCCAGGAAAACATCTAGAAATACAGCCTCTGAATCTAGGCTTTAACTGGCTCCTTGGGTAATTCTGGGTCCAGTTGGGATTCTTATGAGCCTGGGGTTACCTAGAGCAGGGTTTCTTAACCTTAGCACTGTTGGCATTTGGGGCCGGGTAATTCTTTGCAGAGTTGTCCTATGCATTGTAGGATGTTTAGCAGCAACTCTGGCCCATCAGGTGCCAGTAGCATCCCCCCGCCCTAGCTGCAACCATTAATAATGTCTCTAGAGATTGCCAAAGGTCTTCTTAGGGGTAAAATTGCCTGCACTTGAGAACACTTGGCAAGTTGGGATTCTAGAAATTTAATGCTTTTTAAAATCCCAAACGACAATAGGGTGGTCATCATGTCCTCTCCTCTCCTCCCACCCCCTGTTCTGACTGACAAGACAATTCCTGGCCTCTCTCATAAAACTCCCAGTATGGACTGGCAGCAGACACTTGAGACTCCTGTCCAGGCACTTTAGTATTGGTACCGGGTGTCTGCTGGGCCGTACTCTGGGGATCGGAAATAGGGAGGTTGGGCAATAGATTCCCTAAGACTTTAGGACATCAAGGTGGAACTTCTTCAGAAGGGCTGGAACACAGACACTGGATTTAGGAGCACAGTGCTGGGCTCCGGCGCCAGGCCAGCCAGTAAGGCCTGCGTGAGTAGGCACGAGAGCTTGTTCTACTCTGAAATGAGGGCAAGTGTCACCTTTCATCAGTTTCATAAGCCCTGTGGAGGCACCGTGTGAGTATTGTCCTGACCTGGGATGCATAGCTTGCTCTGGCTGAGGGTACCCAGGGTGGCTGAATAGTCAGAATCGGACATTGCAGAAAGGCTAGAGGCTGGACACAGGAGCACGTGGGCCTTCAGAGGCTCAGGAGAGCCAGAGGTTGTTTGAGTCAGTGCTAAGGACACTGCTGGGCTGGGTTTCCAAGGCCTTCATGTTTGGGGGTGCAGCCCTAGATCTGTTGGAGAATACCATCAAATCAGGTGTGGGTGTTTCCAGAAAACTTTGTGTTTCCTTGGGATTCCCTAAACCTTGGTTGCAGGTCTGCAATAGCTATGCCTGAGTTGACTGGAAAAGCATTTCCTTCAGCCTAGAGCTGCCCATCCTTTAGGTGCCCCTTGTTGGAGAATGGCCTTGTGCAGCATAGCCAGCCTTCCCAGGAGGGTAGAAAGTTAAGGCGAAGAATCTCTCTGGCAACCGTGCATTACCATCAAAACCCTCCAGCTTCACACCTGGTCACCTCCTTAGTGGTCTCACTCCTAGTTTGGTATTTTCTACATTATCTATCCTTCTAGATTATTCTGAGTTCATTTGTTTGAAATGCAAATCTGACCATGTCTTTCTTTCTTTTTTTTTTTTTTTTCTTTGTTTTGGAGACAGAGTCTTGCTCTGTCGCCCAGGCTGGAGTGCAGTGGTGTGATCTCGGCTCACTGCAACCTCCGCCTCCCGGGTTCAAACAATTCTCCTGCCTCAGCCTCCCAAGTGGCTGAGACTACAGGCTCACGCCACCATGCCTGGCTAATTTTTTGTATTTTAGTAGAGATGGGGTTTCACTGTGTTGCCCAGGCTGGTCTTGAACTCCTGAGCTCAGGCAATCCACCCGCCTCAGCCTCCCAAAGTGCTAGGATTACAGGCGTGAGCCACCGCACCCGGCTGACCCTGTCTTTCTTATACTTGAAATTTTGCAATGGCTCCCATTGTTGATAGCAGTTAAAATTGTTGGGCCTGAGAATCTGCATTTCCAGTGAACTTCCAGGTGTTGCTGCTGCTGCAGCCAGCTGGTCTTGGGACCACACTTGGAGAACCATAGGCCTACACAATGAAATGCTCCTGAGCATGATGTAAAATACACTCCCTGACTTAACTCTCACCTAGCTCCCCATCATTTTTGCCCGGAATTTTATGTTCTAAAAGAGTTATTCTTATCTTTAACGTGTATCAGAATTACCTCATGTGCTCTACCCTCACACTTCTGTCCCTAAATCACAGTCTTGGCCCCAAATCAGAAGTGCAGGCAGTTGTGCTCAGGAATTTCCATTTCATTCGTGGATGATTCTAATATGGGTGGGCCATGGACCACACATGGAGAAACATACTACTAAACAGCACCCCCCGCCACACAATACGTGATTTTACACCTCTATATTTTTCTCAATCTAAAATACACCTTCTACCATTGTTTTCCTGTGCTATTAATCAATTCTTTTTTTTTTTTTTTGAGACAGAGTCTCGCTCTGTCACCCAGGCTGGAGTGCAGTGGCGCGATCTCAGCTCACTGCAGCCTCTGCCTCCCAGGTTCAAGCAATTCTCCTGCCTCAGCCTCCTGAGTAGCTGGGACTACAGGTGCGTGCCACCACGCCCAGCTAATTTTTTTGTATTTTTAGTAGAGACAGGGTTTCACTGTGTTGGCCAGGATGGTCTCAATCTCTTGACCTCGTGATCCACCCACCTCGGCCTCCCAAAGTGCAGGGATTACAGGCATGAGCCACCATGCCTGGCCTAATCTGTTCTTTTTTTTTTCTTTTGAGACGGAGTCTCACTCCGTCGCCCAGGCTGTAGGGCAGTGGCACAATCTCTGCCTCTGCGTTCAAGCAATTCTCCTGCCTCAGCCTCCTGAGTAGCTGGGACTACAGGCGTGGGCCACTATACCTGGCTAATTTTTTTGTATTTTAGTAGAGATGGGGTTTCACCATGTTGGCCAGGCTGGGCTTGAATCCTGACATCAGGTGATCCGCCTGCCTCTGCCTCCCAAAGTGCTGGGAATACAGGCATGAGCCACTGCACCCAGCCAATCAATTCTTAAAGATTCAGCTCAGCTCAAGTGTCTGGTCTTCTGTGAAGCCTTCCTGTTGCAAGCACATGCATGCCTGCACACACCTGAACTCTATCATGACCCCTACATTGGAAGCATCTTTTTGCATGTACATCTCCCCTACTGCTCTGTAACATCTTGGAGAGCAGGAATCACATCTTCTTCTTTTTTGTACCCCCAGTATATGGCATGTAATAGTAGGCAGTCAATAAATGTTTGTTAAATGCCTGGACTGCCAGTTCACTATGCATGAGCGGAGGGGACACAGGCACCCTGGGAGGATGTAAGAGGTGGTTGGGAGCTGCACGGGAGTCCTGAGGCCATATCAGAGAAGTTAGCTGCTGTTTCTGTGGTGTGGCTGGGGTGTGGGCCTTTGTCTTGGGTGCGGTCTGGTAGAGATAGGGGTAGGTAGAAGCACTGCGGTCTGCAGCAGGTGGGATCCGGAGGGCTGAAGCCAGGGCCTAGCCTTTTCTTTCTTTCTTTCTTTTAATTTTATTATTTTTTTGAGACAGAGTCTCACTCTGTCACCCAGGCTGGAGTGCAGTGGCATGGTCTCGGCTCACTGCAACCTCCGCCTCCTAGGTTCAAGTGATTCTCCTGCCTCAGCCTCCCAGGTAGCTGAGAATACAGGTGCGCACCACCACACCCAGCTAATTTTTGTATTTTTTTTAGTAGAGATGGGGTTTTGCCATGTTGGCCAGGATGGTCTTGAACTCCTGATCTCAAGTGATCCACCTGCCTCGGCTTCCCAAAGTTCTGGGATTACAGGCGTGAGCCACCACGCTCAGCCCCAGCCTTTTATTTCTGAATGCTTCTCTAACTTTCCAGAAAATGCCAGGCTCAGAATAGTCTACCAGAGCCACCACCAACTGAGTTTGTGCCATGTGCCCTATACTGTGCTAAGCACTTTACTTACAGCATTCTTATCCTCATGACTGCTTTCAGACAGAATTCTCATTTTACAGATTGGAAAACTGAGGCTGGGGTGTAGTGATTCACACCTGTAATCCAGCACTTTGGGAGGCCAAAGTGGGAAGATCGCTTAAGGCCAGGAGTTTGACACCAACCTGGGCAATATAGTGAGACCCCATTTCTACATATGCCTGTAGTCCCAGTTACTTGGGAGGCCGAGGCAGGAGGATCGCTTGAGCCTAGGAGTTCAAGGCTGCAGTGAGCCATGATTGCACCACTGCACTCCAGCAAGACCCTGTCTTACAAAAGAAAGAGGCTGGGTGGGGTGCCTCACACCTGTAATCTCAGCACTTTGGGAGGTTGAGGCAGGCAGATTGCTTGAGCTCAGAGGTTTGAGGCTAGCCTGGGTGACATGGTGAAACTCCATCTCTACAAAGAATACAAAAATTAGCCAGGTGTGGTGGCGCATGCCTTTAGTCCCAACTACTTAGGAGGCTGAGGTGGAGGTTGCAGTGAGCTGAGATCACACTGCCCTCCAGCCTGGTTGATTGAGTGAGACCCTGTCAAAAAAGAAACAAAAAGAAGGAAGGAAAGAAGAAAGGAAGCAAATAAAGAAAGAAAGGAAAGGAAAGGAAACTGAGGGGCAGAGAGGTCCAAAATCTTACTCAGGCCGGGCATGGTGGCTCACGCCTGTAATCCCTGCACTTTGGGAGGCCGAGGCAGGTGGATCACCTGAGGTCAGGAGTTCGAGACCAACTTGGCCAACATGGTGAAACCGCGTCTCTACTAAAAATACAAAAATTAGCCAGGCATGATGGTGGGTGCCTGTAATTCCAGCTACTCGGGAGGCTGAGGCAGGAGAATCACTTGAACCCAGGAGGTGGAGGTTGCAGTGAGCTGAAATCGCACCACTGCACTCCAGCCTGGGCGACAGAGTGAGACCCTATCTAAAAGCAAAACAAAACAAAACAAAACAAAAAACAAACAAGAAAAACAACAAAAAAAAAACTTGCTCAGTGTCCACTCAGGTGGAAATTGGTAGAATCCAGATTCAAAGCCAGATTAATCTGATTCTATTGCTCTTTCTTTGCTCTTTTTATTATTTCACAGCTAGGGAATCTTGTTGACTGGTTCATTATGTTCCTAGGTTTTCATCAGTGAAATCCCTGGGCCTGAACAGTGCTTGGATCCCAAGGTAAATAGCAGGGGCAGCAGCTATAGTTTTGCAAATCACAGGTACCAATATCTAGCTCCTCAGCTTATCCCAAGAGGATCACACTGCATGGCCCCTGGTGGTCCGTTCATCTGGGACTCTGGGAGATCAGATTTGGAATATAGATGTTAGCTGGCAAGGGCAGAATTTGATGGTGGAAGGAGGCTGTGAGGGCTGCCATTCTGCATCCCGGATAGATGGCAATCACATGCAGAGGGCATTGGCCAGGGCTAGGGAGCTGGGAGAGCAGGAGGTATCTAAAGCACCCAAATCACCAGCTGGGTCACCAGCTGAGGTCAGGCTGCTATAGTGCCTGGGAGCAGGAGAGTGGGAGCGTCCTGGGCCTCCTGAGCCGCACCTAGGATAAAAGGCTGATGGACAAGCCTTCACCTGTGGCTGCCACTTTCACAGGCCCAGGCTCTTTTCCCAGGCACTGTTGAATGATGATAACTTCATACTTGTCACTTCACTTCTCTCCACTTCATTTTTCCCATCTGAAAAAGGAGGGGGTTGACCTGGAAATCTGTAATTCTTTATGTCTCTTGCCTCCCACCTAGAAGACTGTTTTGCACTTCAGATTTCAGCCTGTGTGAAAAATGGACGCTCTCTGGTGTTTCACATTCAGTTTTGCAGCTTCTATCAACTTATTAATAATTGTCAATAGCAATATTCGAAACATAATTTAATCTGTGTTATTAGCTCTACTTCACAAATGAAAAAAATTTTTAATATATAAGGTTAAGCCACTTGGCCAATATGATCCAACTAGCAAGTAATGGCATCAGATTAAAAACCCAGGACAGCCAGATGCCAGATTTCTCTCTACTGTACCTTCGTTTTTTTCCTGCTGTATAAAAGAACCAGTGCCAATGAACTGTCAAATAAGAGAGGTTATCAAAGGGAGAATCAGAAATAGAAGAGGAGAAAAAGGACAGGTTTGAAACAATGCCTGTGGCTTCACATCCTAGAGTAGACCTGAAGGAAGGGGCAGGGCCTTCCTTCAGGTCCTTCAGGTCCTGCCCTGAAACACGATAACAAGACAAATATTCTAGTGTGAAGTTAATATGGAACCAAAAGAAAGTAGATTAAACATGGAAAAATGCTTTTTTTTTTTTTTGAGACAGGGTCTCACTCTGTCACCCAGGCTTCAGAGCAGTGGCGTGATCTCGGTTCACTGCAGCCTTGACCTGCCAGGCTCAAGAGATCCTCCCACCTTGGCCTCCTAAGTAGCTGGGACCACAGGTGCATGTCACCATGCCATGACTAATTTTTCGTATTTTTTGTAGAGATGAGGTTTAGACTGTTGCCCAGGCTGGTCTCGAACTCCTGAGCTCAAAGGATCTGCCTGCCTTGGCCTCCCAAAGTGCTGGGATTACAGGCGTGAGCCACCATACCTGGCTGAAATACTGTTTATAATGGTTTAGATAATGAGAAAGTGAACATGTGAGAACCACAGGATAGCACTGCAGATGAATGGACAAAGTGAGGAGCTGCCAGGCAGAAACAGGCTGTCAAATGCAAGGTGGCACAGGAGGGACCAGTGCCTGTCAGCAAGGTTTCTAAAGAGGTCATAAATTACCTTGCAAAGCCTTTCAGAGGTTTGCCAGATAACAAGAGGAAAGTCATTAGCACAAACTGTACTTATCATATGATTCTATTATAGATGGAACAGCAAAGCAGCAGGCACACCTGTTAATTTTGTGGGAGAGCTCCAGATTCAAAGGTTCTGTATGATTACCATTGATGTTAGGATCACATGTTCAGATTTTGCTTGTGGAGAAAATAAAATCACTATAATTATATCATGCCTTCTCTTACTAAAAGGAGATATATAGAATATTAATCCATGTGTCAAAAAAGATAAACTGCACACTTCTGTTAAAATAAAACTTAAAGCTACATTTTGGGGAAAATGTGAAGAAACGAAGCAGAGAAATATGTACCTGGCCAGACATGGTGGCTCCCACCTGTAATCCCAGCACTTTGGGAGGCCGAGTTGGGCAGATCACCTGAGGTCAGGTGTTCGAGACCAGCCTGGCCAACATGGTAAAACCCCGTCTCTACTAAAAGTACAAAAAAATTAGCCAGGCATGGTGGCGCATGCCTGTAGTCCCAGCTCAGGAGGCTGAGGCAGGAGAATTGCTTGAACCTGGGAGGCAGAGGTTGCAGTGAGCCAAGATTGCACCACTGTACTCCACCACTGTACTCCAGCCTGCGTGACAGAGTGAAACTCTGTCTCAAAAAAAAAAAAAAAAAAAAAAGAAAGAGAAAGAAAAAGAAAGAAATATGTACCTGAAGATGGGGGGAAGACAAAATAATGCAAATTGATCTTAAATAATTTCAGAGCCCCTCAAAAGCTGGGTAAACAAGCTACTCTGAAAAAGTTGAGGGTGAGTTTTCAAGTGAGAATGACCATCTCAGTATGGGGTTATAGGAGTGGAAGGTCCGCAAGGGTCTGGCAGTACAATGTACATTAGCAGCCAAAAAACTAAATCCAGAGGGAGCACAGAGAAAAGATGAATCGGTCAGAGTCGATTTGGGAAATACACTTTCCAGAAAGGAATGGAGAAAGTATAAATAGTGAACTTAGGTGCTGGGCCTTATGACGGGGTAAGGAGAGAGTGGGTAAGGGATAGAGGTGGGACTTGGGAAAATGGCGGAGGGAGTAAAAGGAAATGTAAAAGAAAGTTTGTCTTTGGGACCCTGATCAGGGCCTTGCTCTTGCTGTTTTAATTCTCCTAAAGTGTCAGCTGATAGAGACTTGAAGTGATACCGATGTCTCCATATGGGACTCTGAGCACCTCTCTGGGTTTCCTCCTCAATTTGGAAAGCAATGTAGCAGACAGGTTAGGAGTCCAGCCTCTAGGAGTCAGCCAGCCTCGGGTCAGACTGCAGCTCTGTCGCTTAACTAGCTGTGGAACCTTGTGAGGCCACTAACTGGCCTCTCTGTCTTCATGTTCTACAGGTAAAAAATGGAGACAATAATACAAAACCACAGTTCTAAAATCTAAAGAGCTTGGAAAACTAAATGATTTTTTACAAATATTTGGTGGCGGCCGGGCGTGGTTCCTCATGCCTGTAATCCCAGCACTTTGAGAGGCCGAGGCGGGTGGATCACCTGAGGTCGGGAGTTCGCGACCAGCCTGGCCAACATAGTGAAACTCTGTCTCTACTAAAAATACAAAAACTTAGCCGGGCATGGTGGCGGGTGCCTGTAATCCCGGCTACACGGGAGGCTGAAGCAGGAGACTCGCTTGAACCCGGGAGGCGGAGATCGTGCTGAGATTGTGCCATTGCACTCCAGCCTGGGAAACAAGAGCGAAACTCCGTCTCAAAAAAAAAAAAAAAATACACCAAATATTTGGTGGCAAAACAGACCAGAATTGATGCAAAGCTATTCATAGTTTTATTTTTTCCACCTAGTGTGAATATTCTTAGATTTCATTGCAGAAATATTAATCTGCTGGTTACAGGGTGCTGCTCCATACCCCAGTTGGGGCGTCAGTAACATATAGTAAATAAATGCACACTTATGACCTTTTTAAAATCTGAAAAATTCCGAACTCCAAAACACATTTGGCTCCAAAGGTTTTTGAATCTATGGTTCCTACTTCATAGCGTTACTATGAGCATTCACACGGCGCACTTAGAGTGCCTGCCGCGTATTAATAACTCAGTAACTGGTGGTTATTATTACTAGTACTGTGTCTTTCCTGAAGGCCCACCTTTTAGAAATCTGTGAGTTGAGGAACTGCCAAAATAATGACAGACACAGCAATTTACTTAGGTGAATGTGAGGGCTGTATTCCCCAGGTTGTGGACATGCCTGGAGGACGGTAATGGTGAAAAGAATGCCGGCAGCGTTCTGGAAACTGAGGAGCAAAAGATCTTCTTGGAAAAACAAAAACAAAAACAAAATGCATCCTAAAAAGAGAATGAAGGGACACAATTTGGTTTGAAGACCATGGGCCTGAGTGACAGGAGGGATTCAGAGTATTGCAGGGTATTTCTGATTTAACACCCCAGATGCCCATGGGCCCCTCTGGAGTCCCAGTGGAACTGAAAGAAAAAAGCGAGTGACAGCTGGTCCTGGGGTTGCAGCATCCAGCTGGGAGCCTCTGTAGCTCCAGGATCCAGTCCCGACCATGGCTATGGCTCTGAGAGAGCAGATACTCTTGCAGCTAATGTGGGGTAGAACCTTTGGCAGGCACTAGCACTACCTCTAGTGGACATTAGCAACCTTGCCACCCTTTGGGCATCTACAGTGACCAGAGGGAGCCGAAGGAGTTTGGGAAAGAGCAGTGGAGAGGAGAAGCCAGAGAAATATTATTTAGTGAACCATTTTGTGAGTCTATTTTTACTCCTAGATGGTCATGATTTGGGAAATATGAGCTACAGATAGAAAGTAGTAGAATAAATGAAAGAAATGGAAATAAATCGTTGCGAAAAAGAAAATATGATGTTTGAGTGTAGTTAAGTTGCCCTCAAATAGGTGCTTTCTGAACCAACAAATGCCTTAGCTCTCATGTCCAAGGGCACAGTAGAGCCTCAACTTGTGCAAGGCAGCTAGTGCTCCCTAGGCAAAGACCTTCGAAATAATAAGACAAGTGTTAGGAAAAGGCACTTTCCAGTTCATACGGGGGCATTTGTGTTCCTCTCAAGTAAAGTAGATGTCATTTTCAAATGTGCTTCCCTTGGCCTTATGTTCTTTTCTTAGCATGATTAAGGGTACATCAACTCAAATTGCAACACAGATACTTTAACGGTAATGCAGGATTATGTTAACACTCTAAGTACTTAATGATGAATGAGTCATACGTCAGGGTGTAACAAAAGGCTGCGCTCTTTAAGCAGGAGAGGCCTAGTTTTGGCACATTAATTTCTGAAGCTTAAGTCCAGAGTAGCTGGATTTAGGAAGTTAATCTCTGTTTTTCTATAATTCCTTCTAATAGATTTTGGCCCCTTCTTTCTCTTCCCCTACATTTCACATGTTGTCTGATAGACTTAAAAAAACACACACGTAAGAGAAAATCCTTTTTACTTTGGCTGAGAAGTTTCTGCAAGAAGACTCTCAATCCCAAGATTTTTTTTACCATAACAGAATTCAGGGAAAAGCCAATACTTTCTGCAAAGGGGCATATTGGGGTGATTTAATCAAGGACGTACCCTAGGAACCTGAATCCTGAGGAGCCAGGGAGGTATGGGAGGGCTGAGTGGGGCTGATGGCATGCAGGAGCAAGGACCCGACTTTTGGAGGGCATAGGAGACTATTCAGGTCTGGTCTGAAACTACACAGAGGACTGGGTTAAAAATGAGGCGGTTGACAGGGCCACAAGGCTGACTGAGAGCCTGACTGGTTTCTGGAGTTCTCTGGCAAAAAGAAGTCCAGACTGAAGTTTGCAGGTGAGCACCTGCCTAGGTGTTCCAGAGGCATATGACGGTGATGATGGAGGAGGCCATGAAGAGCAGGTAGAGGCGGAAGAGCAGGGCGTCCATCGCGTGGCTGAACTGCACCCACAGCTCCACCGAGTGCTGCTTCTGGGCCTCGTGTTCCCGCTGGGCCCTTGTCCATTCTGAGCCCCCTGTCAGCTCTGCCTCCCCAGGGCCTGGCATCTGCCCTGCTGATACCTCTGGCTCCTTCACACCTACAGAAAGACAGAGACTCAGCCATGGGCTGCAAATGTCACCTGTGGAGGGAGGGAGACAGGGAAGGAGGCAGGAGCAGAGAAGTGGAGGTGGGGGAAGAGGAAGTATGACTTCCCTCACCGGGCAGGTGGGTGGGGGTGAGACCCGGGCCCTTATTTCCCTTCTGGGGCGCAGTGGGACAGCATCTCCCTTGGCCGGTGCAGTGCAGCAGCAGGGAGTGGAGCCACCGAGGCAGAGGTAGGGGCTGGGTGGTGGCCACGTGCAGCAGGTGGGTGATGAAGATGGTCTCCAGCAGGCTGCCCACCATCAGGGACAGGCACAGGGCGAAGTAGACACCTGCAGGCAAGGGGGTCTGCATGAGGGCCAGAGGCGCCACCTAGAATTTCTTGTTTCTTTCCCAGAGGATCTTTTTCCAGGATCCCTTTTCACTTCGCCTGGTTCTGCCCATCCCTCTCCCCATCCAACACACACCTCGCTTTTGGTCTCTTGATGGATGAGGACGTACTAGTGAAGCATGTGATGAAGTGCTAGTGGCTGGGAGCAAGTCATTCATCATGAGCAGGAAGACGCTGTAGCCCAGCAGAACAGTCATCTTGAATGGGGCACAATTCCCACTTTCCAGTGGCAGGTAGAAACTGAGGGCATCGATGGCAATCAGAATGCCACTGGGCACCAGAAAGTTTACCACGTAGGGGCTGGGCCTGCACCTGCGCCTGATGGCCACCTGGTGGGGAGGAGAAGGAGGGGCAAGTGAGAAGTAGGCTGGGAGGCTGTCAAGACAGGTAAGAGTAAGAACTGGGATTTGTCCCAGGCCAAACTGTCTAGTAAGGAAATATTACCTCCCGTCCCTTTCAGCATCCGGTCTTTTCATCCAAAGGCGTCTCACAAGGTTAGAGTCTCCCATGCTGCTTACCTCTGAAATGTATCTCATTCCTTTTGGCCCAAGGTGTCAACTTTCTCCACTTAAATTTTTATTCCTACCGACGTGCTCTTAGCAAGACTGTGGAACCACCGACTTAGGTGTCGCGTGTGTTTTATCTTTTCATTTCTAATTGCTTTTCTCGTCAAGGTCTAATCTCTAGTGACTTTGCAGGGGAACATTTGAGACCAGTGGGAGGGAAAGCAGACAGTATCAGATATTTTGGGGTTATCAGGATTTGGAATCATCATATCCCTAAGGCAGTGTTTCCTAACTCTTTCTACCATATCTTTTTAAAAATAAACAAAAATTCCTGCCTTCCAAAAAGTTCTGACAGCCATTGGGGAAGGCGGGGCTCACCCTCACCATGAATCACTGGCATAGAGCCTTTGTTTCTTCCTCAAGGGATGCTTTATTTAGTAACTATTTACTGAGTACCAGGTATTGTTTTAGTACTGAAGGTTTATCAGTGAAAAAAGTGACAAAAGGCTGGGCACGGTGGCTCATACCTGTAATCCCAGAACTTTGGGAGGCCGAGGCAGGCAGATACCTGAGTTCAGGACTTTGAGACCGGCCTGGTGAACGTGGTGAAACCCCATCTCTACTAAAAATACAAAAATTAGCCGGGCATGGTGGCGGGCCCTTGTAATCCCAGCTACTCAGGAGGCTGAAGCAGGAGAATCACTTGAACCCAGGAGGTGGAAGTTGCAGTGAGCTGAGATCACGTCATTGCACTCCAGCCTGAGCGACAAGAACAAAACTCTATCTCAAATTTAAAAAAAAAAAAAGAGTGACAAAGGCCGGGCTTCGTGGTTCACGCCCGTAATCCCAGCACTTTGGGAGGCCGAGGCGGGCGGATCACCTGAAGCCAGGAGTTCAAGACCAGCCTGGCCAACATGGTGAAACCTTGTCTTGGCCCCTGAGCTCACATGGAAGATGGCTTGTTCATACTGGTTAGTGGCCACGGTCACCTTTATTGTTCTTTTTTGGATACCCAGCAGTACCCACTCCCTCCTTGTTCTGAATGAGGTTCTGTGATGTATTTGAAAGCTCCTGGACATCCTTCTCCATGCCCGGGCTCGTGTTCTCCACTGCAAAGCAGGCCCAGAAGACTCAGCCTCCCCAAATGCGCCCAAGTCCCTTGCCCAGACTGTTGGATCCCTCACTGCTTAGCTTCCAGGCCCTTTTCAGCAAGATTCCCTCACTGTTCCCAGCTTTCTGTCCTCTTCTCACTCAAAGCCCTTTCTCTGCCTCTCAACAGTCTACTTTAGTGAGCCCCACTTACCTGTGTAGGTGAAAGGGCTGAAGGAGAGCGTTCACCTCTGTCCATGGAAGGGGAAATAGAAGGTGTCCAGTTTGCAGATGCTGACCACCCACATTGGCTTATTGTGTTTGATGTGGCCTTCACTATTGACATACTAGCCATGAGACCTGCAGGTGTCTGATCCACACTGATGCTGTGTGGGAGAAGGACAGGGAGGTAGGTGCTGTGGGTTTCCCCATCAGACTTGGCCTTCTTTCTCTGTCAGGTCATCCCATTCTCGAGCTCCAGCCCCACTCAGATGACTGCTCTCTTCTACCTATAATCATATTCTGGGGGTTTGTAAGCTCTTCAATTCAGACTCTGCTCTTTTCTAAGTTGAGTCTTTGTGTGGCCTTATCGGTAACATTGTGTCCTTCCCTGTAGACGTGGTTTCCATTCTGCTTTTTTGGCCTGAGACTCACGACTCCTCGATGAAGACATCTGAAAGCCATAGGTTCTCAGTTGCCATGCCGGACTTCTTGATGCCTCCGCATTCATCTGGGTTCCACTGCACAAATTGATTGTGCCAAGGCCGGGCATGGTGGCTTCTGTCTGTAATCCCAGCACTTTGGAAGGCTGAGGCGGGGGGATCACTGAAGGTCAGGAGTTCAGGACCAGCCTAGCTAACATGGTGAAACCCCATCTCTACTAAAAATACAAAAATTAGCTGGGTGTGGTGGTGGGCCCCTGTAATCCCAGATACTCAGGAGGCTGAGGCAGGAGGCAGGAAAATCGCTTGAACCCAGGAGGTGGAGGTTGCAGTGGGCTGAGATCGCACCACTGCCCTTGAGCCTGGGCGACAGAGTGAGACTCTCTCAAAAAAAAAAAAAAAGAATTGATTGTGCTAGGTCTGTAGGAAACCATGGCATGAGAGAAACAGGGGGAAGGAACTAGTTTTAGTTTTGCTCTGTCTTCTGCACCTTCCCTTTCCTTTTTTCGCCCATTTCTTCACTCTCCTGCCACCTCTCTGGTGGCAGCCATCACACTAACACTTGCTTACCTCAGTTTTCTCAAGACAGAGCTTGAGCTTGAGCTTGGCTCAGGATTCTCTGGGATGGAGCCACATAAGTATTGACTCCCATGGCCTTAGTGTATACCACCTTCTCCCTGTGCCCATTTTCTGCCCTCCTAAACCAGCAGAATAATCAGAAAGTTTTGTATTTTCATTATTGGTCTATTTGAACTTGTCTAATTTATGGATATTCTCAGCTTTAACCAATATAATCTGCAAAGCTGGACCTAGGAGTGGAAAAAAGAGAGGCACCAGAGTAGAGGAAAGGGGAAACTGAGTCTGTCATACCATATTTAGCCACAGGAACGATGTCACCAGTTGAAGGTGTGAATCCTGGAATAGCAGCTTTCATCTAGATGATTAACTCCAGGAAGGCAGGTCCCATGCCACCACCCTCTCCTTGTTCACTTCCAAGGCTGGTCCATGTGGCAATAATGATTTTTGATCTAAGCCACTGAAAAATGATGTAGATCAAAACAATTCAAGGTACATGGAAAATGTAAATGAAAAACACAGTATGAAGGTCCATTGGGAATATGTTTTGACAAGTATTCCAAAAAGAACAGATTTTACCTGCAGTAATGTCATTACAGCATTTCTTATCATGCCTTTCTACTCCTCACCCCCGCCGAATGCACCTCTAATTTTTTAAACACTTTTAAAAATCATTTTTTCTTTTTTTTGAGACAGAATCTTGCTCTGTCGCCCAGGCTGGAGTGCAGTGGCGCCATTTCGGCTCACTGCAACCTCTGCCTCCCAGGTTCAGGTGATTCTCCTGCCTCCTGCCTCAGCCTCCCGAGCAGCTGGGATTAGAGGCACACACCACCACGCCCAGCTAACTTTTTGTATTTTTGGTAGAGATGGGGTTTCGCCATGTTGCCCAGGCTAAAAATAATTTTTTCAATATTTTATTGTGATAAAAATATATAACATAAAATGTACTCTCTTAACCATTTTAAGTGTACAGTTCCGTGGCGTTAAACACATTCACACTGTTGTCCAGCCACCACCCTCCATCACCAGAGCTCTTTTCTTCTTGCAAAATGGAAACTCTACACCCGTTAAACAGTAATTCCCTATTTCACCCTCTCTCCAACCCCTGGCAACAGCTATTCTACTTTCTGTCTCTATAAAATTAGACAAATACACTATTTGTCTTTTTGTGACTGACTTATTTCACTTAGCATAATGGCCTCACAGCTTATCCACATTGTGGCATGTGTTAGAATTTTGTTCCATTTGAAGGCTGCATAGTATTCCATTGTAAGTACATACCACATTTAATCTGTCCATTCATCTGTCAATAGACACTTAGACTGCTTCTGAGTTTTAACTATTGTGAGTAATTCTGCTATGAACATAAGTGTACAAATACCCCGTTTTCACTTTTTTCGGGTATTTATCCAGAAGTATAATTATTTGGTTGTATGGTAATTCTATTTTTAATATTTTGAGAAAAAGCCATACTGTTTTTCCACAGTGGCTACACAATTTTACATCCTCACAAGCAGTGCACAAGGGTTCCAATTTCTCCACATTATCACCAACACTTGTTATTTTCTGGTTTTTTAATTTTGTTTTGTTTTGTTTTTTTGAGACAGAGTCTTGCTCTGTCACCCAGGCTAGAGTGCAGTGGCACAATCTTGGCTGTCTGCAACCTCTGCCTCCTGGGTTCAAGCAATTCTCCTGTCTCCTCCTCCCGACTAGCTGGGATTACAGGTGCCCACCAACACGCCCAGCTAATTTTTGTATTTTTAGTAGAGATGGGGTTTCACCAAGTTGGTCAGGCTGGTCTTGAACTCCTGACCTCACGTGATCTACCCGCCTCAGCCTCCCAAAGTGCTGAGATTACAGGCATGAGCCACCTCGCCCAGCTTCTGTTTGTTTTTTAATACTAGCCATCCTAGTGGGTGTGAGATATCTTACTGTAGCTTTGATCTGCATTTTCTTAACTATTAGTAACATTGAACATACACCTTTTCTTGTGCTTATTGGCTGTTTGTATTTCTTCTTTGCAGAAATGTCTATTCAAGTCCTTTGCCCATTTTTGAATTGGGTTGTTTGATTTTTTTGTTGTGAGTAACTAATTTTACAAAATCCAATCAAAGGGCCAGGCACGGTGGCTCATGCCTGTAATCCCAGAACTTTGGGAGACCAAGGCAGGTGGATCACCTGAGGTCAGGAATTTGAGACCAGCCTGGCCAACATGGTGAAACCCTGTCTCTACTAAAAATACAAAAATTAGCTGGGTGGGGCAGCACGTGCCGGAGGCTGAGGCAGGAGAATCGCTTGAAACTGGGAGGCAGAGGTTGCAGTGAGCTGAGATTGCACCACTGCACTCCAGCCTGGGTGACAAGAGCAAGACTCCATCTCAAAAAAAAAAAAAAAAAATCCAGTCAGAGGGTCCACTGCTCACCACTAGACCACTGCAATGTTGGGTGAGGACTTACAACTTCCAGATGGCAGACAAGGTGAAGGAGATGTTGACATGAGTGGCGACACTGTAGTTGGTGACTGGACCAATAGCCTTTCTGTCAAACACTGCTTGAAAGGCTGCAGGGTCCACCCTGTGCTGGCCAAAGCCTGGGCAATTGATAATCAAAGTGTCGCCATTTCCTGTAGTGAGCAGAGACTGAGAGAGGAGGGCCAGGGCTGGGGGGCCTGGAGAGTGTTTCTGCATGGAGAGAAAACAGGGGGCACTGGGAGAAGCATGTGAGCTCCTCCTTCCTGGTCCAGGAAGAGTAGGCTGAGCTGGTAGGCAAATGGTGGAAACTGATGAGGTGAGCTGAGTCAAGGATCCATCCTCAGTGCCATTGTTTTGTCCCCATGCAAAACCTGTCCAGATGTGTATGCAAACTCAACCCCGACCGCCACTTTACAGTGTCCTGCCATGTCCTTAACAATCTCACTGCAACCTCTCCACCTTCTGCCAGTGTCCTTCTCTTGCTTACCTCCAACCTGGAGCCATGTGGGTGATGTCAGTGACAAATTTTGCACTCACAGTTCTCCGCCTCGCTGTATTAATATGGCATAGATGCTAATAAATTAATGATAAGGGGAGTAATCAGATAGGTAGTGTGAGATATATGGGATCTTAAGGAAACAAATCAATTTCAGTTTTTCAATTTGATGAGTATTTACTGTGTCTTTACTATGTGCTGTGATTGTTCTAACATTTAGTAGTCTTCATCACTAGGATTATCTTAAAGAGTTCCCAGGCTGGGCTCAGGGGCTCACGCCTGTAATCCCAACACTTTGGGAGGCCCACGCGGGCAGATCACCTGAGGACAGGCATTCAAGACCAGCCTGGCCAACATGGTGAAACCCCATCTCTACTAAAAATACAAAAATTAGCCAGGCACGGTGGCAGGTGCCTGTAATCCCAGCTACTTGGGAGGCTGAGGCATGAGATCGTTTGAACCTGGGAGGTGAAGGTTGCAATGGGCTGAGATATTGCCACTGCACTCTAGCCTGGGTAACAGAGCGAGACTCCATCTCAAAAAAAAAAAAAAAAAGAAGAGAAAAGAGTTAACTAAATATTAGGATCCTAGGAAGAGGTACAAAGCCATCAGTGTCACGAGCATCATTTTTACCATAACGAACATCCAATCATTGACTATCTCAGAATAAAAAATATTAGCCTGTTTTCTCTGCTTCCCAGGAGTTACATGTCTGCTCAGCTCTTGCTCTTATCTTAAGGTACTTGCAGCAGCAGGTGGAGGATGAAGCCAAGGAGGAATCCTTTCCCATGGAACCAGCCTCTTTCCATCTTCCTCTCTTTGGCACTTCTCTGGGTACTTGATGATGATGTTAACCTTTAAAAAACCTCAGATCACACCTTGAGCCCTACCTTTGAATAATATATATATCAGCTGGCATTAACCGCCTCTCTAACAAGACCCCTTGGTGACAAAAGAATGTCACAGAGGAATAACTCACCCTGTGCTTTAACTGGGCCTGAATCTAGCCTCCAAAAGTAATATGGCAAATCAGTTTGGAGAAGAGGAAGCAAAAATATGTGGTCCCTGGAGCAGTGCTAATGGCTTCCTCATACTTTAAAGTCACTCTGGCGTACAGTGCCTCACCGAGAAGGCATGGATGACTACCACTGCCTCCAGGTGGCACGTGAACTTGTTAGACCCTGCTGTCATCTTTCTTTCTTTTCTTTTCCTTTCTTCTTTCTTTCTTTCTTTTCTCTTTCTTTTTCTTTCTTTCTCTTTCTTTCTCTTTCTCTTTTTCTTTCTTTTTTCTTTCTTTCCTTCTCTCTCTCTCTCTCTCTCTCTCCCTCCCTCCCTCTCTCTCTCTTTCTCCCTCCCTCCCTCCCTTCCTTTTTTTTTTTTGCGACGGAGTCTCCCTCTGTCTCCCAGGCTGGAGTGCAATGGTGCAGTCTTGGCTCACTGCAACCTCCGCCTCCCGGGTTCAATCGATTCTCCTGCCTCAGCCTCCCAAGTAGCTGTGATTACAGGCGCCTGCCACCATGCCTGGCTAAGTTTTTGTATTTTTAGTAGAGACGAGGTTTTACCATGTTGGTTGGCTGGCCTCAAACTCCTGACCTCAGGTGATCTGCCCACCTTGGCTCCCAAAGTGCTGGAATTACAAGCGTGAGCTACCATGCCCGGCCCCCTACTGCCATCTTTCAAAAAAGAAAGCGTGTTGGGGGGAGGGGGGTCCCTATTAATATAAGCAACTTCATACACTGAGGTTTTAAACATGACTTCAGTATAGTTAAGACTTTAAAGTATGAGGAAGCCATTAGCACTGCTCCAGTGATGACATATTTCTGCTTCCTCTTCTCAAAGCTGATTTGCTATGCCTTTTTAGTGTTTCAAAAGCAATCTGGACCCAGGTCTACCCAATGAAGGGAGTGATTAGTGGAGTAGGGGGTGGTGGCAGAGGTAATACTTTTTTAAAATAAAAGCTGACTTATGATTTTTTTTTTTAAATGGAGTTTCTCTCTTGCTGCCCAGGCTGGAGTGCAATGGCGCGATCTTGGCCCACCACAACCTCTGCCTCCCGGGTTCAAGCGATTATCCTGCCTCAGCCTCCCGAGTAGCTGGAATTACAGGCATGCACCACAAAGCCCAGATAATTTTTTTTTCATTTTTTTATTATACTTTAAGTTCTAGGGTACATGTGCACAACGTGCAGGTTTGTTACATATGTATACATGTGCCATGTTGGTGTGCTGCACCCATTAACTCGTCATTTACATTAGGTATATCTCCTATTGCTATCCCTCCCCGCTCCCCCCACCCCATGACAGGCCCCAGTGTGTAATGTTCCCCACCCTGTGTCCAAGTGTTCTCATTGTTCAATTCCCACCTATGAGTGGGAACATGCAGTGTTTGGTTTTCTGTCCTCGCTCGTTTTCTCAGAATGATGGTTTCCAGCTTCATCCATGTCCCTACAAAGGACATGAACTCATCCTTTTTTATGGCTGCATAGTATTCCATGATATATATGTGCCACATTTTCTTAATCCAGTCTATCATTGATGGACATTTGGGTTAGTTCCAAGTCTTTGCTATTGTGAATAATGCTGCAATAAACATACATGTGCATGTGTCTTTATAGCAGCATGATTTATAATCCTTTGGGTATATACCCAGTAATGGGATGGCTGACGCCCAGCTAATTTTTTTGTATTTTTTGTGTTTTGTTTTAGTAGAGATGGGGTTTCTCCATGTTGGTCAGGCTGGTCTCAAACTCCCAAACTTAGGTGATCTGCCTGCCTTGGCCTCCCAAAGTGCTGGGATTACATGCATGAGCCACCACGCCCAGCTGCTGACTTATGATTTTAAAGAAAAGGTCATGAGCTATTAGCCTGAAAGTTTATGTTATTTTTGGCCCTGCTAGTGTTTTTTTTTTCTTTTTTTAAAGTTAGTTGTGTAACACTTAAACATTGAGATTTCACATAAAAACTGTTTCTGGCTTCATTTGAAAAATAAGATCTAGCAACATGAGGCTCACGTTTCTGCTTGACAACAATCTGCCAAAGCTCAGAAGTAGTGAAACCCTTTGGATGGTTCATACTCACTCTAGATCACCACAGTCTCCATCACCCCTCCTGTCTTATTCCTGAGCAGCTCTCCTCATTTATGTTACCTGGTTGGCCTCTGTAGGTGTTTGACTTTGGCTTTCAATGTTAAGAATTTCTTTTGTGATTCTTTTTTTAACTTTTTTTTTTTTTTGAGATGGAGCCTTGCTCTGTCGCCCAGGGTGGAGTGCAGTGGCGAGATCTCTGCTCACTGCAAGCTCCGCCTCCCGGGTTCACGCCATTCTCCTGCCTCAGCCTCCCAAGTAGCTGGGACTACAGGCGCCCACCACCACGCATGGCTAATTTTTAGTATTTTTAGTAGAGATGGGGTTTCACCATGTTAGCCAGGATGGTCTCGATCTCCTGACCTCATGATCCACCCGCCTTGGCCTCCCAAAGTGTTGGGATTACAGGCATGAGCCACCGCGCCCAGCCTCTTTTTTTGACTTTTAAGTTCAGGGGTACATGTGCAGATTTGTTATATAGGTAAACTTGTGTCGTGGGGGTTTGTTGTACAGATGATTTCATCACCCAGGTATTAAGCCTAGTACCCATTAGTTATTTTTCCTGATCCTCTCCCTCCTCCCACCCTCCACCCTCTGATAGGCCTCAGTGTGTGTTGTTCCCCTCTATGTGTCCATGTGTTCTCATCATTTAGTTGGTACTTATAAGTGAGAACATGCAGTACTTGGTTTTCTGTTCCTGTGTTAGTTTGCTAAGGATAATGGCCCCCAGCTCCATCCATGGTCCTGCAAAGGACATGAACTCATTCCTTTTTATGGCTGCATAGTATTCCATGGTGTGTGTACCACATTTTCTTTATCCAGTCTATCATTGATGGGCATTTAGGTCAATTTCATGTCTTTGCTATTGTGAATAGTGCTGTGGTGAACACATGCATGCATGTGTCTTTATAATAGTGATTCTTAAATAGCCTTGGGAAGTAATTTCAAAATACCATTCCATGTGTAGGTAATCATAGGTCTTATCAGATTAATGTATGTAATTAATTGGTTCATGATGGAAGCCAGACATGATAAGATTAATTGGGCCAAGGTCATCAGTGGTTTAACCTGTTTTATTCTAGAATTATTTCTGGCAGGGAAGGCTTTAGGGAAAGTAATAAGTGGCTTACAGAGCAAAGAGAGAGCAGTCGCCTCAATGAAGGTTTACAGATTGAGGTAGCACAATGTATTAAGAAATGTCTAAGACCAAATTCTTTCTACAAGAATCACGTCACCCTCTCAGCCTCAGTTTCCTTATCTCTAAAATTGGGAGGGTAAAATCTATCTTGCAGGAGTCTTATGTGGTTTGAGATAATATATGTATAGTGCCTTGCCCATCTTAAGCAATTAATAGCAGTAAATTGAAGCAGAAATAACAGTAAAAATGGCAGTAACGGTTATCCTGTCCAGCCTAAGATCGCCCAGGTTGCTTCAGCCTAAATGGAATATTCTGAACTTAAAATGTCTGGGTTCACTGCAGCAACCCCAGTTCCTGTAAGCATAAGGCCCTTTTCTCTTAGCCTCACTCAGCTGGATACTGATAGGATTCACCCTTCTGCTGTCCTCAGCATCACTCTTTATCACTGGAGAATCTCTGCCCCTTTGGAAAGTTTGTTGTTGTTTTTTTTTTCTTTTTTTTAAAAAGTGACAGTACTGTTTTTCGCAACAGGTTTGCCGCTAGAACACAGGTGTCATGAAAACTCCCAAGCCAAATGGGAAAGGAAAAGACGCATATCAACATTATTGTCACTGGACATGTAGATTCAGGCAAGTCCACCACTACTGGCCATCTGATCTACAAATGCGGCGTCATTGACAAAAGAACCATTGAAAAATTTAAGAATGAGGCTGCTGAGATGGGAAAGGCCTCCTTCAAGTATGCCTCGGTCTTGGATAAACTGAAAGCTGAGCATGAACGTGGTATCATCATTGGTATCTCTTTTGTGGAAATTTGAGACTAGCAAGTACTACGTGACTATCATTGATGCCCCAGGACACAGAGACGTCATCAAAAACATGATTACAGGGACATCTCAGGCTGACCGTGCTGTCCTGATTGTTGCTGCTGGTGTTGGCGAATTTGAAGCTGGTATCTCCAAGAATGGGCAGACCCGAGAGCATGCCCTTCTGGCTTACACACTGGGTGTGAAACAACCAATTGTTGGTGTTAACAAAATGGTTACACTGAGCCACCCTATAGCCAGAAGAGATACAAGGAAATCGTTAAGGAAGTCAGCACTACATTAAGAAAATTGGCTACAACCCCGACACAGTAGCATTTGTGCCAATTTCTGGTTGGAATGATGACAACATGCTGGAGCCAAGTGCTAACACGCCTTGGTTCAAGGGATGGAAAGTCACCGGTAACAATGGCAATGCCAGTGGAACCACACTGCTTGAGGCTCTGGACTGCGTCCTACCACCAACTGGTCCAACTGACAAGCCCTTGTGCCTGTTCCTCCAGGATGTCTACAAAATTGGTGGTATTGGTACTGTTCCTATTGGCTGAGTGGAGACTGGCATTCTCAAACCTGGTATGGTGGTCACCTTTGCTCCAGTCAACGTTACAACTGAAGTAAAGTCTGTCAAAACGCACCATGAAGCTTTGAGTGAAGCTCTTCCTGGGGACAATGTGGGCTTCAGTGTCAAGAATGTGTTTGTCAAGGATGTTCGTCATGACAATGTTGCTGGTGACAGCAAAAACGAACCACCAATGGAAGCAGCTGGCTTGACTGCTCAGGTGACTATCCGGAACCATTCAGGCCAAATCAGCGCTGGCTATGCCCCTGTACTGAATTGCCACATGGCTCACATTGCATGCAAGTTTCCTGTGCAGAAGGAAAAAATTGATCGCTGTTCTGGTAAGAAACTGGAAGATGGCCCTAAATTCTTGAAGTCTGGTGATGCTGCCATTGTTGATACGGTTCCTGGCAAGCCCTTGTGTGTTGAGAGCTTCTCAGACTATCCACCTGTGGGTCGCTTTGCTGTTCATGATCTGAGACAGACAGTTGTCGTGGGTGTCATCAAAGCAGTGGACAAAAAGGCTGCGGAAGCTGGCAAGGTCACCAAGCCTGCCCAGAAAGCTCAGAAGGCTAAATGAATGTTATCCGTAATACCTGCCTCCCTGGTCTTCTTAATCAGTGGTGGAAGAACAGTCTCAGAACTGTTCGTTTCGACTGGCCATTTAAGTTTAATAGTAAAAGACTGGTTAATGATAATAATGCATCGTAAAATCTTCAGAAGGAAAGAAGAATGTTTTGTGGACCACTTTGGTATTATTTTTGTGTGTGTGGCAGTTTTAAATTATTAGTTTTAAAAATTAGTACTTTTTAATGGAAATACTTGACCAAAAATCTGTCACAGAATTTTGAGACCCATTAAAACAAAGTTTAATGAGAAAAAAAAAGTGACTATTTTATTTTATTTTTTGAGATGGAGTTTTGCTCGTTGCCCAGGCTGGATTGCAATGGCGCAATCTCGGCTCACTGCAACCTCCACCTCCCAGTTGGTTTCAAGTCTGTCTCAGCCTCCCGAGTAGCTGGGATTACAGGCACCCACCACCACACCTGGCTCATTTTTTGTATTTTTAGTAGCAACGGGGTTTCACCATGTTGGTCAGGCTGGTCTTGAACTCCTGACCTCAGGTGATCCACCCACCTCAGCCTCCAAAGTGCTGGGATTACAGGAGTGAGCCACCGCACCCAGCCTAAAAAGTGACTTTAGATAAGCATTTGTCAAAGCATTTTCTGTAAAACACTAATTCCAGAGGGTGTTAAATGCTGTTTCTAAAATATTATTTTTGTTATTTCATGTTTGATATGGTTTGGCTGTGTCCCCATCCAAATCTCATCTTGAATTGTAGCTCCCATAATCCCCACATGTCATGGGAGGGACCTGGTGGGAGGTAATTGAATCATGGGGGCGGGTTTTTCCCGTGCTGTTCTCCTGATAGTGAATAAGTCTCACGAGATCTGATGGCTTAAAAAAGGGCAGTTCCCCTGCACACGTTCTCTTGCCTGCTGCCATGTAAGACGTGCCTTTGTCCTTCCTTTGCCTTCCACCATGATTGTAAGGCCTCCCCAGCCATGTGGAACTGAGTCCATTAAACCTCTTTTTTCTTTATAAGTTACCCAGTCTCAGGTATTTCTTCATAGCAGTATGAAAATGGACTGATAAAATGTTCAAATAAGTCTGAGAAATGCTGAACTAAACAAGACTAACCAGCTTTCATTGTTGCAGGATTTCCCAGAGTATTTAGCTTATATTATAAATATATATTTATATATTATATATTTATATTTATATATTTAAATATATATTATATATAATTTAATATATAATATATTTTAAATATATATTATATATAATTTAATATATAATATATATTAAAATATATATTATATATAATTTAATATATAATATATATTAAAATATATATTATATATAATTTAATATATAATATATATTTAAAATATATATTATATATAATTTAATTATAATATATATTATATATGATATATATTTATTATATGTATATATGATATATATATGTATTTAGAGATGGAGTCTCACTATGTTGCCCAGGCTGGTCTTAAACTCCTGGGCTCCTAGAAATCCTCCTGCCTCAGCCTCCCAAAATGCTGAAATTACAGGCATGAGCCACTGCACTTGGCCTAGCTAATATATTAAAGTAAATTTTGACTATGATATACACAATTTTCCAAACCTTTTTGATTTTGGAAATTCTCCCTTTTTTTCAGAATATCTTGCAGGGCTAGTATTTCATGGGTTATTTTGTGGAAATACTGTTTTAAGTAAATAGGAATCTAGAAAAAAACTTGAAAAAATTATCTCAAATATGCTACATATAGAATATAAAATGCAAATAGCATATATACAAATAAATGAAGAAATTTTTAAAAACCTGATAAGTATTTTAAAACCTAAAGATTGTTGAAAACTATAAGCTGCAAGCAAGTAGAAAGTAAAACAGACATAAATTTTAATCCCTGAATCCTTGAGCAATTTAAACTTAGACTGACTCAAGGAGGAATCTTTTCTTCCCTTTTCCTTTAGATCAATGACCTGACAGCTGCGGGCCACATGCCATCTACCTAGACCTAATATTAGGATGAAAGTTTAAAAAGATGCTTTGGTATCACGACTTATCAAATACACCTATACGGCAACTTTAGTTGCTGAAAAGCAATGCTGATTTTTTCTCACTGGTGGTCTCCTATAATCAATAAAGTACACAATTTCTGTTTTAAGAATACACATTTTTTCCTCAGGGTCTCAACAATTGAATTGTTTTGATTGAAAGAAACTGCAGCCTGCCAGGTGCGGTGGCTCTCGCCTATAATCCCAGCACTTTGGGAGGCCGAAGTGGGCGGATCACTTGAGTTCAGGAGTTCGAGACCAGCTTGGCCAATATGGCAAAACCCCTGTCTCTACTAAAAATACAAAAATTAGCCAGGCGTGGTGGTGCATGCATGTAATCCCAGCTACTCCAGAGGCTGAGGCAGGAGAATCACTTGAACACAGGAGGCAGAGGTTGCAGTGAGCCGAGATCATGTCACTGTACTTCAGCCTAGGTGATAGGGTGAGATTGCCTCAAGAAAGAAAGAGAGAAAGACAGAAAGAGAGGGAGAGAGGGAAGGAGGGAGGGATTACTAGTGATAACAACCTTTACACCAGAGTTGTTTCTCTCTTCTTCTGGTCAAAAGTCCATATTTATCAAGCAAAACGCTTAAGAGAAGTATTGGGGAATGACTGGGATTGACCATTCTGTCTGACAAGTCCTGTTTTTTGGAGAAGGCTCTGTTTTTTCTGGACTATTGGTCCTGCTTCTCTGGCTTAGAGGGATCCTGTTGATTCTCAGGTAGTGGGTGCTCAGTCCATTCTTCACAATAAAATGTGGGAGAATTCTCCATATACATCTCATCATGAGATGTTAGACATATTGTACCATTTTATTCCGTTGAATAAGTAAGTAATTGTCATTCTGGGAGGATTAAAATCCCAAGACCTGCCTATGGGCTGTGATTATTATTTTAGCTGAGTAGATTTAGAAGGGTGTTCTGGAGAGAGGGAACAGCTAGAATAACAACATGGAAAATACAATGTTGGCAGGACCTCAGGTTTGACTAGGAGAGTGACAGGAGATGAGGCAGTGGTATTTTGAGGGCCAGATCACGGAAGACCTTGCATACCCAGCCAAGGTTTGCTTTTATTTTATAGCCCAGTGTTTCCCTAACTCAAATAAGGCTCAGACCCCTTTTAAGAGAAACAATTCTCTCAAACCCCTGATGTTGACTTCTTATTTACATGAGAATATTACTTAAATAAATCCGTTCATAAAGCTGTGTGCAAAGTCATTATGCTTATAGTTCTTATAGCACTATAAAGTTGAAATTAATTTACAAATATTGTTTTGCTAAAATTAGATAATTGCTGTCAATTTCTTTCCTGTTTTTAACAAGGAGCTAGTTTTTGAACAGCTATCTGTTATTGTTGGGCCAATGAATCTGATAGTGCATCTCAATGTAAGAGTACTTTAAAAAATTTTTAAAGCAGGCCAGGCATGGTGGCTCACGCCTGTAATCCTAGCACTTTGGGAGGCCGAGCAGGCAGATCACCTGAGGTCAGGAGTTCGAAACCAGCCTGACCAACATGGTGAAACACCATCTCTACTAAAAATACAAAAATTAGCTGGGCGTCGTGGCATCCGCCTGTAATCCCAGCTACTAGGGAGACCGAGGCAGGCGAATCGCTTGAACCTGGGAGGTGGAGGTTGTAGTGAGCCAAGATTACCCCATTGCACTCCAGAGCGAAACTCCGTCTCAAAAGAAAAAAAAAATTTAAAAAGCAACGCTTCATACTAACTACTTCATACTAATGAAGTAACGTAACAATGAAATAACAAGGGAAGTTGTTACCACAAAGGAAATGTGCAATGCTTTCCTTTATAATGATGAATGTGCAATATGACTGCTCATAACATGCCTATACTTCTGTGTACTTTAGGAAGACTTGGCTTCTCTATGAAAATATGTGAACCCTTTGGCTGTATAACATGCTGTCATGTCATCTGGCTTTCATCTGGCATTATTTAAAACTTAAATTCTCTTGTCTTCTAATTTGCCTGAGGCCATTAAAGAGTGCATTATTCTTTCACACTACATGGTTTCCATGATGTCAAATATAAAACTTAGGTTGGGCACAGTGGTTCACGCCTGTAAATCCCAGCACTTTGGGAGGCCGAGGAGGGCGGATCACCTGAGGTTAGGAGTTTGAGACCAGACTGACCAACATGGTGAAACCCTGTCTCTACTAAAACTACAAAAATTAGCCGGGCATGGTGGTGGGTGCCTGTAATCCCAGCTACTTGGGAGGCTGAGGCAGGAGAATCATTTGAACCCGGGAGGCGGAGGTTGCAGTGAGCCGAGACTGCGCCATTGCACTCCAGCCTGGGTAACAAGAATGAAACAATGTCTCAAAAAACAAACAAACAAACAAAACAAAAAACAAATATAAAACTTGATTTATTAACTAACTTTAAAAAAGGTCTTATTCCATGAAAATGCCTTTCATTGAAAAATTGAACTACAAAGGGAGCTTCTGTCTTGATAACTGTTAGAAGAATTCAACGTGAGTACCATAGCAGATATGGGGTGACTGTTAGCATGTGACATTAGTTCTAGACAAGCTAGGTAGAGGACGGTGTCAGGCTATTGCAGTAGAGCACTTCTGCCAATGAATGGACCACCATCTATCCAGTTCCACAACCACCTACATGTTACCCTTGACATTTCTTTCTCATTGCCCTGTATCTAATCTATCCACATGTTCTGTTGATATCACCTCTTAAATTTCTCTTGAGTTCATCTTTTTCTCTCCATCTTTTCCATCACAACCTTAATCCAAGCCACCATGATCTCTTTCCTACACAACAACAGTCACTCCTAGGTGGCCCCTTCTCTCCCATTCTAGTGGTCTCAAATTCTTTCCCAGTCTGCCAGCCACAGTGCAGTTTCCAAAAGATACATTTTTTTTTCTGTTTTTTTGTTTGTTTTTTGAGACTGAGTCTTGCTTTATCACCCAGGCTGGAGTGCAGTGGCCAGATCTCGGTTCACTGCAACCTCTGCCTCCTGGGTTCAAGGGATTCTCGTGCCTCAGCCTCCCGAGCAGCTGGGATGACAGGTGTGTGCCACCATGCCCAGCTAATGTTTGTATTTTTAGTAGAGATGCGGTTTCACCATGTTGGCCAGGTTGTTCTCGAACTCCTGACCTCAGGTGATCCACCCACCTCAGCCTCCCAAAGTGCTGGGATTACAAGCTGTGAGTTACCACGCCCGGCCCCAAAATGTAAATTTAATTTCTCAACTCCTAACATATTCACCCTTTTAAAACTTTTTAGTGGTTGCCTTTTGCTCCTAAACACCTGTAACAAGATCTACATGTTTGGAGATACTCCCTTCATTCTACCACAACCTGGTCTTCATTGTTTCCTCTGCTTCAACTGCTGTCTCTGCTGCCCACTTCCACTGTCTTCACTTCACACACTCCTACTTCCTTCAGATGAAACACACACCTCCTTTCCTTGCACTTACTACAATTATCATTTAAATACTGGTTAGTGTTTATTTGGGAGTCTAAGCCCCATGAGGGCTGGAACCGTGTTTGTTTTAGCTCCACTGCATCTCTACCAAATATTTAATGAATATGTTTAGTACATTACACAACATAAATATTATTTAGAAATACCCACAATTCTGGCCGGGCGCGGTAGCTCACTCCTGTAATCCCAGCACTTTGGGAGGCTGAGGTGGGCCGATCACTTGAGCTCAGGAGTTCGAGACCAGCCTGGACAATATGGTGAAACCCCGTCTTTACTAAAAATACAAAAATTAGCCAGGTGTGGTGGGACATGCCTGTGATCCCAGCTGCTCTGGAGGCTAAGGCAGGAGAATCAGAATCACTTGAACCCTGGAGGTGGAGGTTACAGTGAGCCGAGATCTAAAAAAAAGAAAAGAAAGAAAAGAAAAGACACACAATTCTACACTGCAACATAGATTCTCTAGCCCCCTTGCCTGAGGGTTGGGAAGTATCGCCCCTCTAAACAGTTCACAACACAAACACATTTTGAGGGGGTAATTTTGTAAGTATAATTCTTTCACTCAGACTATACTTGGACAGACCAAGACAGTACTACAGTGTATTGAAGCCTGCCACCAAGGCTGTCTGGTGTTCATCTATTCTTTTTTAATAAAAAACAAACTATAATCAACATATATGAAGTATTTCAGCGGGATTTAGAAGCTTTTTAAAAAATATGATGATATCAGATCTGCAGTTTTGGGTGTTACAGTGTTTGAGGCATTGTTGGAAGGTACTAGAATCTTTGGTGAGGTGGTATCTCATTACTATTTTAATTTACATTTCCAGGCCAGGCGTGTTGGCTCACGCCTGTAATCCCAGCACTTTGGGGGGCCTAGGTGGATGGATCACAAGGTCAGGAGCTCAAGACCAGCCTGGCCAATATGGTGAAACCCCATCTCTACGAAAAATACAAAAATCAGCTGGGTGCGGTGGCCGGTGTCTGTAGTCCCAGCTACTCCAGAGGCTGAGGCAGGAGAATTACTTGAACTCTGGAGGTGGAGGTTGCAGTGAGCTGAGGTGGCACCACTGCACTCCAACCTGAGGGACAGAGAAAGACTCTGTCTCAAAAAAAAAAAAAAAAAAATCAATTTCCCTGATTATGAATGAGATTGGGTGTCTTTTCATATTTGAGTGGCTGCTCAAGTTTCCTATTCTGTGAGCTGTCTGTTCATGTCATTTACCTATTTTCCTATTGGGTTATCTGCCGTTTCTTACTGAACTTAGAAATTATTTTGAATATTTATTATTCAAAAACTTTGTCAGTTATAACTTGTGGTTTATCTTTTCAATTTATGCCATCTTTTAATATGGCAAAAATTATCAATCTTTCTTCCTTTATTCTTTGTTTCTTGTTTAAAAAGTTCTTTCCTACTCCCAAGTTCATAAAGATATTTCCTATCTTCTTCTAAAAGTTTTTAAGTTTTCCCTTTCACATTTAAGCGTTTGATCTACCTGAAATGGGTTTTTTCTGTGTGGTATGAAGCGGTAATCCCTGATTGTTTTTTCATATGTATAACCAATTGTTCCAGTACTATTTACTGACTCTTCTTGCTTTCCCCACGGATTCGTAAGGTTTTCTGTCACAGATCAAGTTACATGGATGCACCAGTCTGTTTGGGGGCTCTTTATTCTATTGCATTGGTCTATCAATCCGTGCGCAAGAATATGCTGCTTTACGATACAGTAGTGTCTTCACACTAGCTAACTAGCTAGCTGTTATAAAGATGGACAAGTCACTTTACCTTCTCCTTCTTCCTCTTCCTCTTCTTCTTCTTCTTTTTTAATCTTTGAATTAAAAAAAAATACGGCGGGGTGAGGTGGCTCGCGCCTGTAATCCCAGCACTTTGGGAAGCCGAGGCGGGCGGATTACCTGAGGTCGGGAGTTCGAGACCAGCCTGGCCAATATGGCGAAACCCTGTCTCTACTTAAAAAATACGAAAATTAGCCGGGCGTGGTGGCGGACGCCTGTAATCCCAGCTACTCGGGAGGCTGAGGCAAGGAGAACTGCTTGAACCCGGAAGGCGGACGCTGCAGTGAGCCGAGATCGCGCCATTGCACTCCAGCCTGGGCAACAGAGCCAGACTCCTTAAAAAAAAAAAAAAACTCATAATACCTACTCATAGGGCTGTAATGGAGATTAAAGGAAACAAGAATGGTATGTAAAGCATCGGATACAAGGTAGGGAAGAACTCAACAGTGGCTTTTATTTAATGATGCTGAAGGTACCGATGAAACAGAGAAATAAAGGGATCAATCTTTCTGGGAGCTTCAGTTTCATTTATAAAAAGAAGAAGATGAGTTAGCATAACATTTCTAAGGCTCTTGCCACTTCTAAGACTGTGATCCTGGCATTTTATTATCTAGAGACCAGGCAGCGAGACATTGATGGGCAGTTGGTGTTAAAGTGAGAAAGGCGGTATCTGCGCAGACTGCAGGGTCGAACCATGAGCAAGCAATCGTATCTGCCACAACAGATAAGAACTGGGGCTGGCCGGCCTGACGACTCTCAACGGGTTAGACGCGGGCTACGATGACCTTCACGATCTTTTCTGGCAGCTACACGGCCACGCAGGGTGGGACTGCTCTGCCTACGAACAGCACTGTGTGCGAACACAGGGCCACGGTTAAGCCTCCCGGCTGCCTCCCCCAGGGAACACGACCCCTGAGAAGATTCCAGACAGTCTCGCAGAGGCACGGGGAAGGATGGAACAGAGCCGGGAGCTCGGTGGGAAGAGGGGCAGCCCGCACCGCCCCCGGGATGTCACCGGCGCTTCTGGGAAATGTAGTCCTTCGCCGCGTCCGCAGCCCTGGGCACTCGGAAGGAGGACTACAGTTCCCTTCAGCCTTGGGAATGCTTTGTGCAGCGCGCTTGCGCGGTGTGGCGGCCGATGCCGCTATAAAGGCTTGTTTTGCTGCAGGGCTCATGCTCGGGAGCGTGGTTGAGCGGCTGGCGCGGTTGTCCTGGAGCAGGGGCGCAGGTAGGTGATGGCTGCTGCCGCACCCCTGCCCTCCAGCTCGGTTGTCACGGGGATCACCCCTTTGCATTTCCTCGGGGCGTGGCGGGATGTGGCCAGGGCTGCGAGCAGTTCGGGGGACACTGGAGACTTGGGGAACGGCGTATGGCCTCCCCCTGGTCTCCTGCCGCCGCCTCCTAGGCCTGTGAGCCCGGGGTCTGGTGACGGGGTCGTGTGCTGGAAGACAGGCAGGTAGGATCGGGATGAGCGGGCAGGGACGCGGGCTACGTCCCTGGCCGCGGCCGCCAGGGGGCGCTGCGCCCGCGGGCCGTGGGTGTGGGTCGCGCTCGCCTGGGCAGGCCGGAGCGGGCTGTGGGAACGCCCTAGGGCCCGGGCATCCCAGGCGAAGCGGGTCTGAGAGAAACGCCCACCTGGGAGGCTGTGCAGCGGGTGGCTCGGGGCACCCTGCTCAACCCGCAGCGGAGCCGCCAGCGACCTTCGAAGTAAGTCATCCCCTTCGTTTTTGCAAGCGGGTAAATGGAGGTACGTGACATAAGCACGCGCAGCAAAGCCGTGGCTGTGCCGGGAACGCAGCCCAGATCTCTCCACGGTCATCCAGTGCTCTTTTCGCTTCTGCCACACAGAGCCGCGGGTGGCTTTGTGTTTATCACACAGGGGCCATTTGGTTTCTGCACAGACGGAGAGGCTGGAGGCAGGTGGGCACAGGAACGACGGGGAAAGTTTCAGGAGGTCTTGGAGGAGGAGATGGCTAGGTTTTACTGTGGTCCGCAGCGTGTATGAAAGGTGAGGCTGCTTGGAGACGCAACAAGTGGATTACAGTGGGTGTGGTAAATACGTATCCCTTTAGCGTGGTGTCTTCCTCGTGCAGCTTGAGGGCCTGGAGGTGATGGAAACCTACTCATGAGTGTTGGGATGACTGCAGCTTGCACACACCAGTCTGGTAATCCCGTGCAACTCTCCTCCTGCCATGCAGTTGAATCAGTATCATTGTGCAGGGAGAGTGTCTACACTTTTATCAGTGGAAAGAGAATCTTGGTAAAAAAGGGCAGCTGACTAAGTGGCCTCAACCCTATTGGGCACTTCTTTGGGGTTCTCCCACGTTGATTATTCTGCTTCTACCCTTGTACATGTCTGGACAACAGGTTTGTTTTTTACAAACAAAAATCCCTTCTCTTTCTTCCTCTCTTGATAGCTGAGGCAAGTGAGCATTTAAAAAAGATATTCCAACAACTTTAAAGGAGGACACGAGAAGATAGGGAAATATAAATAGTATCAGTAAAATGGCTGGCCTGGGGATCCATCCTTGCTTGCTTGCTTGCTTCAGACTGGGGCTTTGTTTCTTTCCAAACCTGTCAGGATTCCCAGCTCTTCGCCGGCCTCCACGTGGGGTGCCCTCTTTTATGTTCCAGATACACAGACGATGGTGTCCTTATGTTCAAGGCCACAGACAGTAACTTTGTGCCTACTTTGGGCCTGCCTGCTCTCCTGATTGTGCCTCTTTTTCCAGGAAAGTAGAGATGAGTGTGTTAGAGATAATGGAACACTGTTCCCCACACCCTTCATACATAGAATAACTTAGTCCCTTAGGATAGTTTAGCAGTGTCTACCACAGCAGTCACTGTAGGCACAAAACAGTCATTATTTGTGTCATAACAGGGAAGTCGTTTTGTCCCTGCCTCTCTCTGCTCCTGTGCTCCACTGATTCTACTTCATCCTTTGAAATAAAAGTGGTTGAAAGAATCTTTGGTTATCATGGGTGCTTAGATAATTAAGATTATGTTCGTGTTCTTCTTGATGTGGCATTTCATATTGTGGATGAGTTCCAGTGACCTCCTCTGTTTCAAACTGCTCACCGCCCCAACCCCCACCTTTTAAAAAGGTAGTACTAATCTTTTCCTCTTCCAGATAATCAGCTAAGCTAGGGAACCCTTGAAGGGGAAGGTTAGAATTTCGTGATTCCCGTAAGAAGGTTACTCTGATCTACAGCTACAGCTCAACACTGGGGACACTGGCAGATGCCAGGTCTGTTTATAGTTTAGCCTTAATGAGGTCTCAATGACGTGATTGCTGCACTCTGGCTTGGTGAGCCGCTGTTCTTTATGGTGTAGTTTGTCATTGGACAAGGTGACTTTTTTTTTTTTTTTAAAGATAAGTAACAGCTATATCAACTTAGGGTACTTGAACCAGAATTCTGAAAGGCAAGAAATCAAGCTTTCTTTGGACTGGAAACCTGTCTTTGCATAGGAGATTTAGTCCTTTTTATTCAGAGGATTAGTAAGTGTTCTCTTTTTATCTGACACTTTAAAAATTGCATTATAATGGTTAGAATTTTGTGCTGCAGAAGTAGTAGTTTTAAGTCACAGCGATAGCCAGGGATTTATGGAATCCAGAAGGCGACACGGCTACACGTCTTTAATTTCCGTTGGAGGCTAGTATGAAAGGTGTTTTCTCAGCTTGTCTCTGGGAGGCTGTGACCCTTCTTAGAGGGGGGAAACATTTTGGAGAAGTATGTATGTGTTTTTTGTTTTTAAGTGACCTGAGTTGATACAGCATATTGATTAGACTTAGCCAGGCAAGCAGTGGTTTAGAATAGAGTTTCAGGTAAAAACTAGGTAAGACTTAGTAATACAGGGTGGAGAATTTGTTTTTGTTATTGTTTTTTACTAACAGCTTTGTTGCCATAGGATTTATATGACATGAAATTCACTCTTTTAAAGTATAAATTCAGTGTGTTTTTTTTCAATGTATTCACTGCATTGTGCAACCATTACCACTATCTAGTTTTAGAACATTTTCAGTACCCAGGGAATTTGTGTTTGAAGTTAAGTTATAACATTGTTTTAACTGGATAACTTCATGGAGCTTTAAAATAACACCAGCTAACCCATTAGTTAATTATAAAAAGGCAGAGATGGAATATATCATTGGTAGAATAAGTGTTTGGTAAGTTTTTATTTAGTAAAATTTAGTAGAAGAAATGATGTCCACTTTAAAATTGTGGAGTTTTTAATACTTGGGACAAACTGAAATTGTTTCTAGAAAGTCTTTAAAAAAAAAACCAACCTTTCTATTGTATACACTGGATTTGAGCTTAGTTGAAGAGAATGGGTGTCTCTTTACTAGTGTGTTTACTGTTTCTAATTTTTTTTCCCTTAGAGTTGGGAGAAGGTAATTTTTCTTGATTCTCTTATACTGAATCTTTTTCTTTAAAAAAATGAAATCAAAATCTTTGAACTTTTTTTGAAAATTAATTTTTGTAGCTATAACAGTAGAAAGCTTTAGTACTTTTGCCTTTTTTTTTTTTTTCCTATTTTTAAGGCACTTGAGCTTATGGTTAAGTACTGTTTAGGAAATAATCTATTTCTTGATGAATTTTTAATTTCAGGAATTCTGATGTGAAACTAACAGTCTGTGAGCCCTGGAACCTCCACTCAGAGAAGATGAAGGATATCGACATAGGAAAAGAGTATATCATCCCCAGTCCTGGGTATAGAAGTGTGAGGGAGAGAACCAGCACTTCTGGGACGCACAGAGACCGTGAAGATTCCAAGTTCAGGAGAACTCGACCGGTCAGTTTCCTTTCCTAAGAGTCTCTTACCTGCTTGTTGTACTAAAACACATCTTTTTTCGTATAATGGGTAATTTAGAAACTTATTTTTTGGCCGGGCGCGGTGGCTCACGCCTATAAACCCAGCACTTTGGGAGGCTGAGGCGGGTGGATCATCTGAGGTCAGGAGTTCGAGACCAGCCTGACCAACATGGTGAAAACCTGTCTCTACTAAAAGTACAAAAATTAGCCAGGCGTGGTGGCGGGCGCCTATAATCCCAGATACTTGCGAGGCTGAGGCACGAGAATCGCTTGAACCCAAGAGGCGGAGGTTGCAGTGAGCTGGGATCATGCCACTGCACTCCAGCCTGGGCGATAGAGCGAGACTCAGTCTCAAAAAAAAATGTGTTTTTCTTTATTGGCTTTAGGTTACTGTTAAGAATTTATGGTTATTGATAAGTCTCTGGTCCATAGTAAGCACTCAATAAGTGGAAGAGAGGCTGGCTGTCACCCTCTCACCCGGTCTGTTCTGAGCATTCTCCTCTTTTTCACTTTTATTCTATGTTGGTGCCTTCTGAAAAGGCTATACTTAACAGAAGACAACTTATTGAGGGGGAGGGGGTCATGGGGTCAATGACAGGGAATATAAAGCCAATTAAGCTTCATTCATGTACCTAAACAAAATTGGTGTTTTCTTCTACTTTCTGTCATGTGTGTTTAAAATGTGAACCTGGCCAGGCACAGTGGCTCATGCTTGTAATCCCAGCACTTTGGGAGGTTGAGGTGGGTGGGTCACTTGAGGTCAGGAGTTTGAGACCAGCCTGGCCAACACGGTGAAACCCTGTCTCTGCTAAAAATACAAAAATTAGTGAGGTGTGGTGGTGGGCACCTGTACTCCCAGCTACTCAGGAGGGAGGCAGGAGAATTGCTTGAATCCAGGAGGCAGAGGTTGCAGTGAGCCAAGATCACGCCACTGCACTCCAGCCTGGGCAACAGAGTGAGACTCCGTCTCCAAAAAAATAAAAAATAAAATAAAATGTGAATCCTTTGGAGAGACTCAGATTTCAGAACAATTCTAGATAGTTGTGGGATTATCAGTATGTTTTTCAAGCGAATTCATAAGTTAAGCAGTCTTTAGATAATAATCTAATTTCCTCCAAGGGAAATAATGAAGATGCGTTTTTACCTCGAGAAAATATTCTTTTTCCTGAGGAAAAAAAGCATTATACCTTTTCTTACAAAAGTACCTAATAAGGCAGAATGGACTAGGTTTAGGAAGTTGAGGTTTTTGTTGGTGTATTTGTTATGTGAAAATTTGAGAAAGATAATGGACTTTGCAGCTGACACTGGCCTTTCCTTAGCCTGATACTACCTTTCCCTCTTTGGTTGTGTTAAAGCCATTGCTTTATTAATGAACATTTTCTTGCTAATGAGTCTTTTCTGTACCCTACTGTGTATTATAGAATGCTTTTCCATTCAGGTTTAACTTCAGAGAAACAGGCTTAATGTAATCAGTGTCAAATGCTTCTCGTGGTGCCAGTTTTATAACTTCCTCATGTCCTTTTGTCTAGACCTTATGTTGATTAAACATCTATCCATTACATCTGAGTGCTAGACACATTTAGTGTAACAGTTAAGTCTGGAAAAAGTCAGAAGGTAACATTGGGGCAGGGCCTTAAAGGGTGATTAGGTGGGGAGGCTTTTTAGGCGGTACAAGTACAGACCCAAAGGTATGGAAAGAGCGTGTGACATATTGGGACTTTGGATAAGCTACTTACGTCATTTGTATATAAAATGGGGTTGACAGTAGTACCTGACTCATGGGATCACTGAGGAGTAAATGAGATAATACATATAAAATATTTAAAATGGTACCTGGCACATGGCCAGTGCTCAATAAATGTTAGCTCTTAGAACTAGTTGTTCAGGGCATAGGATGTGTAAAGAGATTATAGGTCGGGTGAAATTCTGCATGCCATGCTAAGAAATATTTCACTGTGGGCATTAGGGAACTATTGGAAGTTAATGAGATTAAAAAAAAAAACCTTTTTATTTTGAGCTAACTGTAGATTTACATGCAATTATAAAAAATAATATAGAGATCCTATATATTCTTCATCCAGTTTCCCCCAGTGGTAACATCTTGCATAACTATAGTCCAGTATCACAACAGGATAATGATTGACATTGATACAATCCATTGACTTTAGGATTTCACCAGTTTTATATGCACTCATTTGTGTGTGTGTGTGTGTGTGTGTGTGTGTGTGTTGTGTTCTATGCATTTTTTAAAGGTGTAAATTTGTGTGACCGCTTCCACAGTCAGGATGCAAAGGTTCCATCACAAGGATCTCTCGTTACCCTTTTATAGCCACAGTCATGTCCCCTCAACCCCAGTCTCTGGCAACTGCTAATCTTTTCTCCATTTCTGTAATTTTGTCATTTTAAGAATGCTATATACATTGAATCATATAGTATATAACCTTTCGAGATTGCTTTTTTCACTCAGCTGAACTCCCTTGATAGCCATCTAATTTTGTTGTGTGCATCAATAGTTCTTTCCTTTGTATTGCTGAGTAGCATTCCGTGTTATAGATGTACCATAGCTTCTTTAACCATTCATTTGTTAAAGGACATATGGGTCATTTCCAGTTAATGGCAATTATACATAAAGGTGCTCTGAACCTTCAGTTACAGGATTTTGTGTGAACATAAGCTTTTATTTCTCTGGATTAATGCCCAGGACTGCGCTTGCTGGGTCATATGGTAAGTGCATATTTAGTTTGTAAGAAACTGCAGTACTCTTTCCCAGAGTGTCTGTGCCATTTTACATTCCCACCAGCAATGATCCAGTTTTTCCACATTGTTGCCAGTACTCAATGTTATAATGTTTATTTTAGCCATTCCTATAGATGTGCCTGGTATCTGATTGTGGTTTTAATTTGCAGTTCCCTAATGGCTACGATGTTTGAGAGTAGATTTTTATCTTAGATTAGTCTTGAAGCAATGCAGAAAAAAACCTGTACAGGAGAAAGAGACCAAATATAAAGAGCATTCAGGAAGCGGCTCTGCCTATCCATGTCAGAGAGGCCAGGGTTCTGTTGTAAAGCACAGAAGTGAGGATGGAGGAAAGGCGTTTCTAGAAGATAGGGAGGCATTGGGGTGTCTGGGATTGATGGTAAGGATTTAAACCTATTCGTGGACATAAGAAAAGGAGATTGGGGAGATATTAAGAATGAGTTTGGGCCGGGCACGGTGGCTCACGCCCGTAATCCTAGCACTTTGGGAGGCCGAGGCTGGTGGATTGCCTGAGCTCAGGAGTTTGAGACCAGCCTGGGCAACACAGTGAAACCCCATCTACTTGGGAGGTTGAGGCAGGAGAATCGCTTGAACCTGAGAGGCGGAAGTTGCAGTGAACCAAGATCGCGCCATTGCACTCCAGCCTGGGCAACAGAGTGAGACTCCATCTCCAAAAAAAAAAAAAAAAGAAGAAGAATGATTTTGATTTTGAAGATGTTGAATTTGAAGTGCATATGGGTAAAATTATCAGTAGGTAGAGCATAGACAAGAAGTAGTGTAGGAAAAAACATTTAGAGCCTTTAGTGTGTCCACATAGGTGAAGCTGTGAGAGTGAGCAGGCTTACCCAAGGATGGCTTGCAGAGCAGGAGAAGGTGGAGGCTGTGGAGCTGGTGTGTGGTCCTGTGAAATTTCTGGGGATAGGGTCCCCAGCTTGTGAGAGTAGAGTTGACATCAGGGTTTGCAGTGGCAGCAGCGAGCTTTTCCTCTACGAAGTGGAGAAGAACAGCAGGTAGGCACCGCTGGGCTTTGAGTACCCTAAAGGATATGGAGTCAGCCACCACTGTAGCAGGTTTTCAACATGCCACTGAAGCCTTATCTCAGAGAAATATGAAGGCTAATACCACTTTTATAAAATTTCAGGAATCCACATGAATTTTATGAATTTTATTTTTATTATTCTTTCATGTTTCCTAAACTTTTTTTTTTTTTTTTTTTTTTTGAGACGAAGTCTCCTTCTGTCACCCAGGCTGGAGTGCAGTGGTGCAATCTCAGCTCACTGCAACCTCCACCTCCCGGGCTCAAGCAATTCTCCTGCCTCAGCCTCCTAAACAGCAGGTGCCTACCTGCTGTTCTCTGTTACCACATTGGCCAGGCTGGTCTTGAACTCCTGAGCTCAAGTGATCCGCCTGCCTTGGCCTCCCAAAGTACTGGGATTACAGGCGTCAGCCACCACATCTGGCCATGAACTTTTATTTTTTATTAAATTTTTTTTGTTTGTTTTTTTGTAGAGGCACTCTCACTGTTGGCCAGGCTGTTGTTGAACTCCCAGCTTCAAGCAAGCCTCCCGCCTCAGCCTCCCAAAGTGCTGGGATTACAGGCATGTGGCACCACACCCTGCCCCTAAACTTTGAAATTTGAGTACTGTTTTCCTGATTTTTACTGTATCCTTGTAATCTCTGAACTTTTTTAAAAGATTTCTTTTATTCTACTCTCTTTCTGTTACTTAGTCTAGACCTAGCAAAACAACAACAATAAGCCCATAGGTTTATTCAAGCTATTTTTGTATATACATTAAAATGAATGCATCGCTACTAAGTATTTTTGTAAGTTCAGACACCATCTAGAATCTGCTTGACCGTTACCTGTCAAAAAACAAAATTTCTCAGATGTATTTATCTTTAACTTGTCTTCATGTTACAAGTTTGCTGACAGAAGCAACCAGCAAGATGACAAGAAATTTTGTGGTCTGAGAAAATTGTATAAATGGTATAAAATGGATAATGTAAGTAGTTGGGAAGCAGAATTCCTGTATAAGCATATAGTTTTTCTTTTTTTAAAGTAAGCAGTTAATTGGGCAGAGATTGCAATTTCATGTCACATCATCATTACCATCATTTTTATATTTGTTAGAGAGGAAATCTGGGACAGGATCTCCCAGGATGCCAGGTATGCCTACTATCTGTCAAAAATTTAAAACAAACAACAAAAAAGCCTCTAAGTAACAAAAGATAAGGATACATCTATGGCTCTTATGTGGAAAGCAAGGTTTCATTCAGCACTATTAGCCTTTAACACGTGGAATTAACCGAGAAGCAGGAGACCTGTGCTGCTGGTGCCTCACGCCTGTAGTCCCAGCACTGTGGGAGGCCGAGGGAGGAGGCTCGCTTGAGCCTGGGAGTGCAAGACCAACCTGGGCATCATGGTGAGACCTGTCTCTACAAAAAAATAAAAATAAAAATAAATTAGCTGGGCACAGGGGTTTGTGCCTGTAGTCCCAGCTACTTGGGAGGCTGAGGTGGGAGGATCACTTGAGCCCAGGAGGTCCAGGCTACAGTAAGCTGTGATTGTGCCACTGCACTCCACCCTGCGTGACAGAGCGAGACCCTGTCTCACCAAAAAAAAATAAAGAAAGAAAGAAAAGAAATGGTGTCAAACAGAAGTCAGAAGCAAAGCACCAAAGAATAAGTTCTGACTTTGAGCAGGCCAGTGCTTTTCTTCTTCAAGGTGTAAGTGAAGATGCAGATTACATGGTTTGCCCATTTCTCAGTATTGTGACCAAATCATTCTTTTGGAATATGACTTGGAAAAATTGCTCTATTAGTCACATCTTCAAATATTTATAATTTCTCACGTATGCTTAGAAATAATTAGGGTTGAAATAAAGCATTCGCACATCTACCCACTTTCTTCGGGACTGTAATGTTAATGCTTGTGGCCACACACAATTTGAGGCTTAGCAGGCATCCTTTAATCCTGAAGTGTTAATAAAGTGGTGGTTTCTGTTGCTGTTAGTTCTTTGAGCCTGAGTACTAACTTTGGCTGGCATTAGGCTGGCGTTACTTCAGCTAACATGAAGTTTTATACCTAGGCTGCTCCTAAACACTGTTCCTTTGCCTGAGGCATGATTATTCAGGCATGGTTCCTTTTTTTAATCCTATTTATATATGCACATGTAGATCATATGACTCCACGAGCCCTGATTTTTTTTTAAGATGCAGTCAGTGTTTATTCATTTTTTTAAATTTAGCAAATATTTGAACACTCTTCAAGATGCATGCACAGCACTGAACCGAGTGGTCTGGTGCAGATAAAGATAAATTGGTGCTGGGCCTGCTTGTCCACCAATAGAAGCTTAAACTCACAACACGTACTCTACATAGATGACTGTAATTTAGATGCTGTGGGAATTAGTAAAAGGAGAAAGTGCTTCTCTCTCAGGGAACTCTTTAGGAGGAGGTATCATTTGGCTGGAAACTTGAGGAATGGATAGAATTTGGAGAAATGAAGAACTTGCCAGGCAAAAGAAAGAGTTGTGGGATAGGGATACCTAGTCCTTGTTGGTATTGAGCATCAAATGTGTGAAGTCTTAGCTATAGTGCAATACCTCAGTGAATTTCACATTATGTGTGGGGTTTTTTTGTTTTTTGTTTTTTGTTTTTGAGGTAGAGTCTCACTCTGTAGCCCAGGCTAGAGGGCAGTGGTGCGATCTTGGCTCACTGCAACCTCCGCCTCCCAAGTTCAAGCGATTCTCCTCTCTCAGTCTCCCAAGTAGCTGGGATTACAGGCACATGCAACCACACCCAGCTAATTGTTTGTATTTTTAGTAGAGATGGGGTTTCACCATGTTAGCCAGGCTGGTCTTGAACTCCTGACCTCAGGTGATCCCTCCGCCTCAGCCTCTCAAAGTGCTGGGATTACAGGTGTGAGCCACTGCGCCTGGGCATGTGTGTTCTTGAATAATAAGCCAAGGAGTTTGGATTTTAATTGCTTTAAATTAATATTTAAGCAAAAGCAAGACAAAGCTTGTCAGATGCTTTTATGAGCTTTATTTTATTGTGGTGGTGGTTTGTTTTCTTAGTGCTCTCAGGCAAAGGTAAGGGTGCCTTGTTTTTCATTAGCATGTCTAATCTGGGAAAGAAGGAAGAATGGAAAAATAAGCAGAAGTGGGCCGGGCGTGGTGGCTCACGCCTGTAATCTCAGCACTTTGGGAGGCCGAGGCGGGCAGATCACAAGGTCAGGAGATTGAGACCATCCTGGCTAACATGGTGAAACCCTGCCTCTACTAAAAATACAAAAAATTAGCTGGGCATGGTGGCATGCACCTGTAGTCCCAGCTACTCGGGAGACTGAGGCAGGAGAATCGCTTGAACCCGGGAGCCAGAGTTTGCAGTGAGCCGAGATCGCACCACTGCACTCCAGCCTGGGGAACAGCAAGACTCTGTCTCAAAAAAAAAAAAAAAAAAAAAAAAGCAGAAGTAAACTAAAGTTCATGTACCATTATTACTGGCACATGAACTTTAGTTATTTTTTCCCCTTCTCTCAAAAGTGTGTCATTGGTGGGATTTTCTTCCTACCAAATTAGAATATCCTGTGTCTAGGAAAGGTAACAAAGCAAGTATTCATAAAATCCAGGGCTCTTACTTAGTATTTCCTTAGTTCTGTGGTAGGCTGACCCTTTAATCTTGGTTGGAGTTTTCATAATTAATGCTTTGAAATATTTTGGTGAGCTCAAGTTGTATCTTAGGGATCAAAGATGTGGGTCTAATCTCTTACCAGAAATGATTCGAAGATGTATTGTTAGGAAAGAAATATGGGCTCATTATAGAAAATGTACAAAGTGTGTAAAGTTGTAGAAAAAAAGTAACCACCCTTAATTCCTCTACCCAGAGACAGCCATTGTTTTCATAAAATAGTTTTGTCTAGTACATTGTACTTTTAGAGTTTGCTCCTGAAAGCTTTTCTTTACAGACTAAGGACGTGTGAATTTGTCTATGCCCTTGTGTTTTCCAAGTCAAGAGTATTACCTGTGAGTCGGCTTGCTGTTAGGAAGGAGAGCAGGAGGAAGGAGATTAGCATTTTGCAGCTCTGCATTATTTTTCTCTTGATTGATACTCGGTGACTCAGCAGATTTTCTGGACAGGGTTAAGATAAGTAAGAATACCTGCCTTTTTTTTTTTTTTTTTTTCTTCTCTCCCTGTAGGCATCCATAAAGCTTTATGAGGCACAGTAGTCTCTTAGGCGCTGCTGGGTGTGACACCGTATCTGGTCTGGTGCCAGGTGTTGGTCTCCAATAGCAGCCCAGAGATCTCCGGCTGAGGTAACAACAGTGTGCGATTGGTGTGGAGCCCAGGTGGCTCTCATGCTTGGTAACTGCATTGACAGCTCGCTGGGGCTCTTGAGGTTGGGCTGCTGCCGGGATCATCAGCTCTCTTATGCCGTTTGCTGCAAGACTGCCGCGGCTTTCCTAGGAAGTGCTGCTTAAGGGAAATAAATATAGCCTGTTGGCATGAGTTAAAGGAACTTTCTGTCAAAGGGGAAGAAAAGTGTTGGAATTAGCTTCCTGTTTTTTTTTTTTTTAAGTACCTAAATCTTTATTTGGTTAAGATAACTTGGAAGTTACAAATGGTTAATGAAAACTTTTTCAATGAAATATTGTTTCCACAGTTAGGTGGGTTTCCGTTAATGCTTTCTTTTTTTTAGTTATTATTATACTTTAAGTTCTAGGGTACATGTACACAACGTGCAGGTTTGTTACATATGTATACGTGTGCCATGGTGGTGGGCTGCACCCATTAACTCGTCATTTACATTAGGTATATCTCCTAATGCTATCCCTCCCCCCTCCCTGTTCATGCTTTTTTTAATGTCTTACCGTTTTTCCCTCTCTTTTAGTCAAAAATAAAAAGGTCAACGCAAAGAAACAGGGACTCCAGAAGGCTTTGCAATGGTTAAACCTGTCATTATTAAACTCACAGACTAATGTGAAGTTAATTTGGTGCACTGAAGTCCACTAATGAGCAGAATTAAATTTATCCTTTTCCTCCCTGCCCCCCTTTTAAGGAGTTAGCCTATTTAGATAATTAGATGTTATATATGTTTTAACTATTTAAGATTATTTTATGAATTAGCTGTTCAAAGAATCAATTGTTACTAGATATCAGATGAGAACTTCCACTTACCAAAGCCTGCTCATGGAGGTAGAAAGCAAGACTGACATGTGTACTTTAAAAGATGGATGGAACCTCAAAGGCCGTCTTGCCCAGTCCCCATTTAGCCTCACCTCTCTGTAGGTGAGGCCCAGGAGAGACACTTACTAGGCAGACTATGCTGGGGCTGGGTGAGCTTCCCAAGGATGTTCTTTCTGGAATTCGGTGGCTCAGAATACAGCACTTGGCTCCTCTTTGAAGCATGATGGCTCTGTTGCCTGTCTCTGGCCCAGTGTGCTGGGCTGCTGAAAAGAGCATGGAACCACCCAGGAGACGCCACGACACTGACAGCTGTACCTGACCTGAGGGTTCAGGATATGTTTTCAAAAGCAAATCTCGCTAAAAAGGATTTGTATGTTATTATGAAATCTATATTTATGTGGTGGAAATAGACACACTCAGGCTTTTAGAGATAAACTACACAGAATGGGTTACAATAAATGCTTATAATTGTTTGGCTTTTTTAAGAATCCTGTTAACTTGACAACCTTCTGTTTACTTTTCTTTGGTATTATGCAGGTATGATATTGAGCAGTCACTTAGTTTTCTTAAATGTTGTGTCTCACAGTAGAAAAATAGCCAAACCACTCAGCCCCTGACCTTTGTGTTTGCTTCTCACGGTGATCAGCAGTTCTGGTCTGCTCTGCAGTATGGTGGTCACATGATGGAACCCAGAAAGCCTTGTACTAAGCATTTAACACACATTGTGTTAGGCACTGGAGGAAGTTTCATTTACAAATTATATTTTGGCCTTTTTTTTTTTTTTTTTTTTTGAGACGGAGTCTCTGTCACCCAGGCTGGAGTGCAGTGGCATGGTCTTGGCTCACTGCAACCTCTGCCTTCTAGGTTCAAGCAATTCTCCTGCCCTCAGTCTCCCAAGTACCTGGGATTACAGGTGTGCACCACCATGCCTGGCTAATTTTTGCATTTTTAGTAGAGACAGGATTTCACCATGTTGGCCAGGCTGGTCTCGAGTCCTGACCTCAAGTGATCCACCTGCCTGGGCCTCCCAAAGTGCTGGGATTATAGGTGTGAGCCACTGTACCTGGCCTTTTTTTTTTTTTTTAGCTAAAGCCTGAAAATCTTGTTGAAGGGATTTTGTCAAATGCAAAAGACCAATATTCACAACTCTCTAAATCAGTGGTTTTCAGGCCAGGCTGAATGTTAAAATCACTTGAAGAATGTTCAACAAATACCAGTGTTGGGGTCCTATTCCAGACCAATTAAATCAGTCTCTGGGATAGAACCCAGACATTGGTATTGTTTTAAAACTCCTCTGGTGATTCTAGTAGGTAGGCAGTGCTGGGAATCTCTAGATCTCATGGAATAAAGTCTGTTCTCTCCCCTCACTCAATGGCTCCAAGTGTTTCCTGTAAATCCCGTTTTACCCCTGTGATTCATTTTCAGTTTAATCCTTTGAAACCTTACCATGCTATTAACAAAGTTAATCTTAGACCCAACATAACAGGAACTTTGAATAAGTTCCTTGGAATTTAGCTTATGAAACAACTGAAAGCCCTCAAATTCCTGGTGATTATGGAGTAATGCTAGATTATCAACTGCAGACAAATACCTGTTTTACTGTGGTGGTGGAGATATGTTTGTGAATTGTATTGCTAGCTGATCATCGGCTTGAGAGTAACATAGCACAGCTACAGATAAGTGAGCTGATGCTCAAGTTAATTCTTTTCTCAGTGTAGTATAGCTGTTGAGTGATAGGACTGAGTTTAGCAGCTTCCCTGACTTGGAATAATAGCTCTTTCTTTTGTATTCTGCTTCTTCCCCATATAGGTTGGGTTCTAGAATTTTGCTGATCCTCTTGACTGAAATGGCTACTATTTGGAAGTTCTTAAGGGAAGAGCTTAAGATGGTCAGGGTTGTGATAACAACCCACTGGGGAGTAAGGATGTGGTGGGAATTGCAGAGGAAACGTGCTTGGTAGGTTTCTTTAACTTGTTGGAGATTAGGAAGGGCGGGAAGGCCTGAAGTCAGCCGGTCTTGGGAGGACATCAGTTTTTGATCTTTTTAAATTTAAAAGTGAATTTTAATTCACTTTTAAATTTAATTTCTAATATTCTGAGTCCCTTAAGAAGTATATCTAGTGGCACAACAGTTCCCCTTAAAAGTTTGTCTTTCTAGATGTTTGTCATAAAGGCTGCGTGGGCCTGGGACATCTGTAGAAATGGTTTTCTTGGCCAGAAGGATGTATTTGAAGAGGCGCCCATTGTCTTGTTTGTCTTAAGGTCTTGTGAATGAGGAGAGGAGAGGAAGACAGTGTTGTGAGATCTGAGGCCTGTTGATTCCGATTGTGCCCCAGATACCGCTTTATTTGAGGGGTGTGCCAGACAGGAGCAGGCAGCCTTTAACCCCCTTGGAAACCGAGGTACCTCTCTGTTGCCAGTTGACACCTGCAGTCTCTGCCTTCAGGAACAACTTGGTTGAATCCTCAGCCCGAGGCTTATTAGGCAGGCTACCCTGCTGTTGTCCGGCCTCCAGGAAGGGATTGGATTGTTCAGACGGGGAACGATTTCTGGCCCCTGGTATCTGTCCCAGAGGCCTCCGTGCAGGGGAAAAGCCCTTGGTTGCCCTGTCAGCAGGCATTTGCTCTGGCAGCCTGTTAAAATGAGATGGGACAGCTGGAGAAGTGGTGGCCATGGGGTGTGATAGGTGCGCTGATTATCTGAGGCCTGAGGATGGCGTTAGCGCCCGCAGAAGCGTCTTTTGCAAGAGCAGATCTGTCTGCTTATGAATCGAATGTTACCTGTTTTTCATACCAGAGGTGTCTATGAATGTGTGTTTCCCTGATCTTTGTTTGAACCTTGACAGAATCTGAATTGCTTTTTGTTATTGTTGTTTTTGTTTTTCTCTTTTTTTTTTTTTTGAGACGGAGTCTGGCTCTGTTGCCCAGGCTGGCGTGCAGTGGTGCGATCTTGGCTCACTGCACCCTCTGCCTCCTTGGTTCAAGCAATTCTCCTGCCTCAGCCTCCTGAGTAGCTGGGATGACAGGCATGCATCACCATACCCGGCTTATTTTTGTATTTTTAGTAGAGACCGGGATTTCACCATGTTGGCCAGGCTGGTCTCGAACTCCCAACCTTAGGTGATCCTCCCACCTTGGCCTCCCAAAATGCTGGGATTACAAGCATAAGCCACCCCACCCGGCAGAATCTGAACTTCATTGTCCCTCTTTAGCTTCCCTGTGACCTTACTCCTGCCCCATTGCCATTACCTTGGTAGGAAAAATGCTGAGTATCCTAGTCACATAGTCATGGGGAAGATATAAATGGCAGTCATACTTCCTCGTTTGATATTTTTCTCAGCTCCTGGATCTGCCAGTATTTTTCCCTTTAAGACAAAGCAGCTGCTGTGGGTGCCTTTCTGTGTGGCTGGGTCGTCTGGCCACTGACAGCCTTTCAGTGTGCTGTGCTCCTTAAGAGAAATGGGTCCCCTCATCTTGTTTCAGGGGAAACTTTAAAAAGTTACTTGTAAAAGGGATTGAAAGCATCATAACAAAAAACAAATGGCCTCATAAAATACATTCCTCTAGGTCAGCCTATATCAGTACTAACTGTGTTAGCTCTTCAGCTATCTAGGGTTACCTTAGTACGATTGACATTTTGGGCCACATAATTCTTTGTTGTGGGGGCTATCCTGTGCATTGTAGGATGTTCAGCAGCATCCCTGGACTTTACCTGCTAGAGCTAGTAGCACCCCTCAAACATTTCCAGATATTGCCACATGTCCTCTGGGCAAGCAAAACACCCTCACTTGTGAACTCCTGGGCTGCACCGTGCGACACAGTACTATTGTGGCTATTAAGCATTTGACCTGTGGCCAGTCTGAACTGAGATGTGCTGTAAGCATAAAATACCTGATTTCAGAGACTTAGTACGAAAAAAGAAATACCTCGTTTGTAAAATACCTAATAATTTTTCACATTGATTATATGTTAAAAAAGATAATACTTTGCATTGGGTTAAATGAAATATATTATTTAAATTAATTTACCTTTTACTTTTTATTTTTAGAGTCAGAGTCTCACTCTGTCACCCAGACTGTAGTGCGGTGGCATGACCATGGCTCACTGCAGCGTCAAACACCTGGGCTCCTGTGATCCTCCTGCCTCAGCCTCCTGAGTAGCTAGGACTACAATCTCGTGCCACCATGCCTGGCTAACTTTTAAATTTTTTATAGTGATGGGGTTTTGGAGGGTTACACAGACTAGTCTCAAACTCCTGGCCTGAGGCCATCCTCCCACCTCAGCCTCCCAAAGTGTTGTGATGACAGGCATAAGCCACTGTACACTGCCTACTTTTTACTTTTTAAATGTGGCTACTAGAAAAATTTAAATTACATTATGTGGCTTACATTTGCAGCTTGCATTATATTTCTATTGGACAGTGCTGAACTAGAGTGTTGATCTACTGTAGGTTAGCCATTGATTTTGTATTAGGCATTTAGATCCCTGTAAGCTGTTGGGTTTAATGATTTTTTCCTTTGGAAGATTTTCCTTTATGCAGTAAAATTATGGAGACACAGAGTATGTAGTATTACATATTACCAGTTTGCTCTCCTGAATCCCTGCTGGTAGCATATTAAAAATCAGTTTAATGTTCAGACCGTGTATGTTTGTCTATATTTCTCTCCTTTCCATATTGCATTTTCTTTTCCATATTAGATTTTATCTCTTTTAAGGCTTATGTGGTTGTATCTTAAATTTAATTTGTATTTCTCGATTGGTGACATTGGGTCTGTGTGTTCTCTCCTGTATCTAGAACAGTGCCTGGCACATAGTAGGCCCTCAGTAAGGACTAGTTGAATGAATGGATGAAAAAATACTGTATTTTACTTTTTCAGTACAAGTCCACTACTCGAAATATATTATTATGTTAGCTACTTGGTTACTTCTTATTTTTATTTATTTATTTATTTATTTAGAGACAGGGTCTCACTCTGTCACCCAGGCTGGAGTGCAGTGGCATGATCTTGGCTCACTTCAGCCCGATGGTCCTGGCTCAAGCGATCCTCCCACCTCAGCTTCCTGAGTAGCTGGGGCTAACGGTGTCCCTTTTTTGTATTTTTTTGTACAGGCGGGGTTTCATCATGTTGCCCAGGCTGGTCTCAAGCTCCTAGGCTCAAGCGATCTGCCCGCTTGAGCCTCCCAGAGTGCTGGGATTGTAGGTGTGAGCCGCCGCGCCCAGCCACTTGGTCACTTCTTTAGCTTTATCTTCCCTTCTCTTAATGCTAATTTCCTTACGCAAAAAAGTTTCCTTTTCATGTTTGAACCTCTCTTCCCTTTGATACATTTCTGCTTGTTGGGTGTAAATGGAGGCTGTCCCCCATCATAGCTGGACTAAGTATGCTATATAATTTATGTCATCATTTTTAATGTAATTTTTGGGAGGTTAATTCCAGATGGATTAATGTATGATATGAAACCTGGATATCAATTAATTCATCTCCAATCTGGTTAGTTGGTAGGAAGGTAGGTAGTAGGTAGGATGTGAGTGACTGTCTCTGTCACCCAGGCTGGGGTGCAGAGGTGCAATCATGGCTCACTGTACCCTCGACTTACCAGGATCAAGCGATCCTCCTGCCTTAGCCTCTCAGGTAGCTGGACCACAGGTGTGCACCACCATGCCCGGCTAGTTTTAAAAAATGCTGTATATAGATGGGTTCTCACTTTGTTGCCCAGGCTGGTCTTGAACTCCTGGGCTCAAGCGATCCTCCCACTTTGGCCTCCCAGTGCTGAGATTACAGGTGTGAGCCAGTGCACCTGGCCCAATCTGGTATTTATTTGTCCCAACAATATTCACTGACTCATGATTCCCTACCTTGTTATATTATTTATGCTTTTGTATAGTAAGCCCTTATAGCTTGAATATATTAAGTCTTTTCTCTTGGTTCATTGCCATTTTTAATCCATTCAACCTTAGAATGTTGATAACTCACTTTATGGAATGTTAACTGTGGTAGAAAATATTTATTTTTACCTTCAAATAGACATACTTTTTTTTTTTTCCTGGCATGCTTGGCCATGTGAGCTTTTTTAGGAAGCCTAGAGAGGAAGAGAAGTTAGACATCCAAGCATATAGTTAGTTTCAAGTGGGAGACATCTGTGCAGTTACTGGCAGGTTAGTATAAAGATGCTGTTATTTTATGTTTCTTTTTTTTTTTCTTTTTTTTTTTTGAGACAGAGTCTCCCTCTGTCACACAGGCTGCGGTTCAGTGGCGCGATCTCAGCTCACTGCAACCTGCACCTCCCAGGTTCAAGCAATTCTTCTGCCTCACCCTCCCGAGTAGCTGGGACTATAGGCATGTGCCACCATGCCCGCCTAATTTTTGTATTTTTAGTAGAGATGAGGTTGCACCATATTGGCCAGGCTGGTCTCGAACTCTTGACCTCAGGTGATCCACCCGCCTCAGCCTTCTAAAATGCTGGGATTACAGGCGTGAGCCACTACGCCTGGCCCTGAGTCATTGTTTATCTTAATCTGGTATTCACCCTGGGGAAGAGAGAAGAGCCATTTATGAGGTACACCTGGGATCATTTTGTACAGTTATGGTTTATTTGCTTGGTTTTGTTTTTTGTTTTTTTGTTTTTTTTGACAGGCCCATAGCATAGTGATCAAGACCCTTAGCTCAAGGCTGGATTGAAATCCCTGCTGTGACCTAACATCGGTGTGCCTCAGTTTCCTTAGCTGTAAAACAGGGATACTAGTACCTACCTCAAAGGGTTGTTATGAGGATTAAATTAGTTAGTATCTGTAAACCATTTAAAACAGTGTCTGGCACATAGTACATGCTATGTTGGTTTGTTATAAATTTGTATAAATTTTCTTAATTACCTTTAAGTGAAAAGCTTGCCTTTATAAATGCATACTAGTCGTGAGATTTGGCTGTACACAAGGAAGATTGCTATAGCTTCCTTTATTTCTTGCTAATGTCAAGACAACCTGAGGTCCACAAAATAGAAGTGAAAGTACTAAAGTTAATAGCAATTCTCTTTTGCAATAATACTGGAGCACATATCCTGTAATAAAGTTAATTGGGGCAAACTGGGTAGAAGTCTAATTGCTAGGAGCTACATTTTTTTAATCCTGTAACCCCAGGGATAGAATTTATCCTAAATAATCTAGAAGGAGAAAAATAAAACTATAATTGTATATTATACTATTAATAATAAGCAAAAGCTGGGTGTGGAGACTCATACCTGTAATCCCAGCACTTTCCGAAGCCAAGAATGGAGGATTGATTGCTTGAGCCCAGGAGCTCAAGACCAGCCTTGGCAACATAGTAAGAACCCGTCTCTACAAAAAATAAAAAAATTAGCCAGACATGGTGGTAGTGCATGCCTGTAGTCCCAGCTACTCTGGAGGCTGAGGTGGGAGATTGCTTGAGCCAGGGAGGTCAAAGCTGCAGTGAGCTATGATTGTGCCACTGCATTCCAGCCTGGGTGACAGAGCAAAATCCTGTCTCAGACAAAAATAATAATAAGCAAAACAGCTAGAGAATCTAAACAGAAGTGGAATGGGTAAGATCGCCTCAGTGGTATATCATGTAGCATTAATTGATGATATGTAGAATGTAAGGGAAAGAAGGTATTTTGAAGGTGTTTTCATTGACGTTTGAATACTGGGTGCCAAACTCTCTACTATGCCAGAGGCCAGGGATATAAACAAGAGGAAGACAGCTTGCCCTCTAGGAGCTCTTACCAGAAGCATTGGGCTGTGGTGGTATAGGTACAGGGAAGACATAGGAGGAAGGAAGTAAGTTCCCCGACCTTGAAAGAGTCAGGGAAAACTAAAGGAAAGAAGAAATCGTTGAGACAGACCCTAAGATTTATTGGCTAAGTAAATTGGGATAATATAGCTAACATGTATTGAATGTTTATTATATACCCAATATTTTGCTAAGCACTTTTAATTATCCCATTAATTCCTCTCATCCCTATGTGGTAGATGCATGTATCATTGTAAAAATGAGTAAACTGAAACTTAAATCTGTATCTATCTTCTAAAATTCATGTTTGAAATCACTGTATTTACTATGGCTTCCAGCTGTGGGAAAATTCTGCCTGTGGAGATCTTCATACTTTAAGGCCATAAGAAAAAATAGTTTTGTTGGAGTAAGAGAATTATTTTCTCTTGTTTTTATTTTTTATTTATTTATTTTTCATGTTAACATTTGAAAGTTCTTGCCAACAGCTGAATATCTGTTGCTTATTGTTTTGAGAGACCTGTCTCTGAAGGAGGTAGGTGCAAATATGGAGTAGGACAGTGGTTCCTTCAAAGGAGAAGATCCTGTATCATATCCTGTATTTCCATCAGATATTTCATTTTCCTGACTTGGGCAATGTGTAAAGATATGACAACAAGATTGACAATTTGGGAAAACGTTTAGGAAAGAATAACAGGGACAGGATGTGACTTGGAAAGTTCGTTGCTTAGAGTAGCAAGGTTTGATTCTTTTTGATCAACAATATAGACTTTTCCATCCTCTTACTGTGAGAATTTCTACTCCATGCTTTGTTACATGAGAATTCTGAGATTAGTGCTATTTCAACCACTTTTATGGGGGTTTGTTAGGATAAAATTGCACTGAGTGCCTGTTCTAAAACCAAAGGCAGCAGGAGAGCCCTGAGTCTCTGCCATCAGTAGTGCCACTGCAGTACTCACGAGAAACCTGGGGAATGAAGACTTGCCTGGCAGCTTTCATTTGAATCTTTTTAAAAAGAGCCTTTGATTTTGATGTTTTCCAATATAGGAAGTAACTTACTACCTAGGAGGTGGTGAAACATGACATAGTTATATATAGTAAAAAGAACAAAAACCATGCAATCAGAGGATTTTAAAAATATTAAGTCCATTTAGTTTTCTATGAATAGGTTTTAGTGAAAACTGTCACTAGGCATTTTAGAAATGAAGAAAATGAAATCAGTGTGTTATACACATAGGAACTGGCATTTTTTTGGTTCCCACCATCTGGAATAGTCTTACAGATCGGAGGCACTCGGTAAGTTATTTGTGGAAAGAATGGATGAAAGCTGTGAAGATTCTGGTTTCCTATTAATGCTAATATGCCATGCTCATGTAAACATACTGATGGATTGCTTGCCAAGTTTTCCTCTTCTGATGCTTCTCAAACATCAAAGATGTTTATAGAACCCTTCTGGCCGGACACGGTGGCTTACACCTGTAATCCCAACACTTTGGGAGGCCGAGGCAGGCGGATCATGAGGTCAGGAGATCGAGACCAGCCTGGCCAACACGGTGAAACCCCATCTCTACTAAAAATACAAAAAATTAGCCGGGCGTGGTGGCGGGTGCCTGTAATCCCAGCTACTCGGGAGGCTGAGGCAGGAGAATGGAGTGAACCCGGGAGGCGGAGCTTGCAGTGAGCTTAGGTCGCACCACTGCACTCCAGCCTGGGCGACAGAGTGAGACTCTGTCTTAAAAAAAAACAACAACAAGAAAACCCCTTCTAACTCTTGAACTTGGTTCACCTGGAAAAGCAAAAGAACTAGAATAGCTAAAACAATTTTGAAAAGGAAGGATAAAGTTGAAGGCATCACACTATCCAATTTTAAGACTTAGTTTGTAGCTACAGTAATCAAGTCAGTAGTATCAATGTAGGGGTAGACAAATAGATCAATGAAATAGAGTCTAGAAATAGACTCACACAGGCATGGCCAACTTTTCGACATAAGTGCAGCACACCTCACTGGAGAAATGGTAATCTTTTCAACACATGGTACTGGAACAACCGGACATCTGTAGGCAAAAAAGTGAACCTTTGCCGAAACCTTACACTTTATACAAAAATTAACTCAAAATGAACCATAGATTTAAATATAAAATGTAAAACTATAAAGCTTTTAAGAGAGCACATAGGAGAAAATCTTCATGACCTGGGGGTTGGAAGAAGAGTTCTTAGGCATGACACTAAAAGCACAATTGTAAAAGAAAAAAATTGGTAAATTAGACTTCAAAATTACAAACTTTTGCTGCATGAATGGCCCTAATTAGGAGGATGAAACATGGCCATAAAATGGGAGAAAATATTTGCAAATCATATGACAAAGAACTTTAATCCAGAATATATAAGGAACTTGCTAAACTCAATAATAAAAAAAAAAATTCACTTAGAAAATAAGCTGTAATTTCAGCACTTTGGGAGGTCAAGGTGGGAGGATCGCTTGAGCCCAGGAGTTCAAGACCGGCCTGGGCAACATAGTGCTGTCTCCACAAAATAAAAATAATTAGCTGGGTGTGGTAGCACGTGCCCGTAGTCCCAGCTACTTGGGAGGTGGGAGGATCACTTGAGCCTGGGAGTTCAAGGCTGCAATGAGCCGTGATCATGCCATTGCACTCCCAGCCTGGGCAACAGAGCAAGACCTTGTCTTAAAAAAAAAAAAAAAAAAACATAGAAAATGGGCAAAAGACTTGAACAGATACTTCAGCAAAAAGAATGTAGGGGTGACATATAAGTACACATAGATGTTAAACATTATTCGTTCACCATTAGGGTAGTGCAAATTAAAACCACAATAAGATACCATACCACACCTATTAGAATGGCTAAAATAAAATATAATGCCAATACTGGCCAGGTGCGGTGGCTCACGCCTGTAATCCCAGCACTTTGGGAGCCCAAGGCAGGCGGATCACTAGGTTAGGAGTTCGAGACCAGCCTGACCAACATGGTGAAACCCCGTCTCTACTAAAAATAGAAAAATTAGCCAGGCGTGGTGGTGGGCATCTGTAATCCCAGCAACTCAGGAGGCTGAGGCAGGAGAATTGCTTGAACCCTGGAGGCGGAGGTTGCAGTGACCCGAGATTGCACCACTGCACACCAGTCTGGGCGACAGATCAAGACTCCGTCTTGGGGGTAAAAAAAAAAATGCCAATACCAAGCACTGGTGAGGATGTGGGGAAACTAGATTTCTCATCCATTGCTAGTGGGAATGTAAAATGGTACTGTGGTCAAGTAATTTCAATGACAACTAATATTTGAATCATAAATAATGTCAAGCTGCTTTATATACTTCTTGTGCTATCAAAAGTTAAACAAGAAGTGAGATCTCCACTTGAAGTCAGGAGTTTGAGACTAGCCTGGGCAAAATGGCATCTCTACTAAAAATACAAAAATTAGACGGGTTGGTGGTGGGCATTTGTAATCCCAGCTACTTGGGAGGCTGAGGCAAGTGAATTGCTGGAACCCGGGAAGCGGAGATTGCAGTGAGCCAAGATTGCGCCACTGCACTCCATCCTGGGTGACAGAGCGAGATGCTGTCTCAAAAAAAAAAAAAAAAAAAAGTGAGATCTCCATTCCAGTACAAATTTGTAGTGGATATATTTTTCAAACTGAAATTACAGTTCTAGTAGTGATTTTTAGACCTCGATGATGTATGAGGCAAATTTCCATATTTCAAGATCCGTGTATTTTGGAAATAGTGGCAATGGTTGTATAGTATTGTGAATATAATTAATGCCTCTGAATTCTATACACTTAAAATGGCTAAAATGGCAAATTTTATGTTATATATATTTTGCCACATAGAAATAATCCATTTAACTGTGGCATTTAGTTGCTTCCACATAACTTTCCATTGAAAGTGATTAATCTGCAGTGGGGTGCATGCATGTAATGATATGATAAAGGTAAATGTCAAGAGAGGAATCTAATAGAATTCTATAATGTCTTCCATGAGATAAAAGGCTCAATTAAAAATGTGTATTCCTGGATTTAGCTCAGTATTTGGAAGTTCCTGTCTTTTTTTTTTTTTTTTTTTTTGAGACAGGGTCTTGCTCTGTCACCCAGGCTGGAGTGCAGTGGCACAATCTTAACTCATTGCAATCTCTGCCTCCCTGGTTCAAGAGATCCTCCTACCTCAGCCTCCTGAGTATCTGGGACTATAGGTGTGTGCCACCACGCCCTGCTAATTTTTGTATTTTTGGTAGAGATGGGGATTCACCATGTTGACCAGGCTGGTTTCAGACTCCTGACCTAAGGAGTCTGCCTGCCTTTGCCTCCCAAAGTGCTGGGCTTACAGGTGTGAGCCACTGCGCCCAGCCCGGCAGTACCTTCACGAAGACATTTGCAAAAGTGGAATTGTAGACTCTCATTGCAAATCAGCATTCATAGATGAAGATTTGCAATCAATTTTGATGAAAGGGAAAACTATTTTAAACCCCAGTTAAGTGAAATGTTATTCCCCCATAAAAGAATTTCATTCTTCTCATCAGTAGACCTGCATTACAAAAAATTGTACTCAATTATTATAATCTGAATTGTGTCAACATTTTGTGGAGATTTGTTTTCTCTTGTAATAGGAGTACCTACTTAATATCTTTGATTTTGCCTCTTAGCCCACAAAACTGAAAATATTTACCTCTGGCCTTTTACAGAAAATGTTTGTCAACCCCTAGCTTAAAGCATTGATTTTTCTCTTTTTCTTCTTTTATTTTTTTATTTTTTATTTTTTTTTTGAGACGGAGTCTCGCTCTTTCGCTCAGGCCGGAGTGCAGTGGCGCTATCTTGGCTCACTGCAAGCTCCGCCTCCCAGGTTCACACCGTTCTCCTGCTTCAGCCTCCCGAGTAGCTGGGACTATAGGTGCCTGCCATGGCGCCCAGCTAATTTTTTGTATTTTTTTTTAGTAGAGACGGGGTTTCACCGTGTTAGCCAGGATGGTCTCGATCTCCTGACCTCGTGATCCGCCCACCTTGGCCTCCCAAAGTGCTAGGATTACAGGCGTATATGCTTTGAAAGCGATGAAAATCTCACCTTATTCTCTGTTTTAGCTGCATCCCAGAGATGTTGATGTATTGCAGTTTCATACTGTTTAGCACAGAATATGTTCTGGTTTCCATTTAATGCCTTCTTTTTATTTATTAATTTAAAGAGATAGAGTCTTGTTCTGTTGCCCAGTCTGGAGTGTAGTGGTGAGATCAAAGTTCACTGCAGCCTCAAACTCCTGAGCTCAAGCAATCCTCCCACCTCAGCCTCCTGAGTAGTTGAGATTATATAGGTACAAATTGTCATGCCCGTTTGATGTTTTCTTTCACTTACATTACTTAGAAGTATATTGCATAATTTCTGAACATTCAGATATTTTAAAAATCTTTGTTACTGAACTCTAATTAAATCCTAAAGTGGTCAGAGTGCATGTATACATGATGTCAGTCTTGAGATTTGTTGAGGTTTGCTTTATAGCCCAATGTATAGTCCATTTTGGCAATGTATTTGAAGTGACATTTTTCAGATCTTTTGTCATCTTCTGAAGCTTTGGATATCCAAATAAGGCTGGTCCCTGTAACATTCTGTACCTACTCTGTACAGATTCCCAGTTTCTACTCACTTAAAGTAGGTGTGCTTGTATTTTTAGTGTATCTTTCTCTCTCAATCCAGGAGGTTTTTTCCTTCCCCTTGTGATTATATGCAGCTCATAGGTAAGAAAAACCTTTGTAATGTACTTAAATCTCAGCAGTCCTCAGCTCATTATCAAGTGCCGTAGTCCCTAACCACTAAATTAAGTGTTGACCTTATACATAAGGACTTCATTTAAGAGCGAGTTCGTTCTTGTTGTTGACTCCTGTCATGTTGTACCATTATTCTCTTGAAACTGGTCTGACTTGCCTTTGACAAAAGGAAAGGAGTGTGCTTTGCAGGGCTATGTGCTTTCCTAATACCAGAAGTTATCTAAAGATACTTAACTGTGCTGTGAACTAAAGCTATTGTGTTTGATCTGCCCAGGCATCCAGCTGACTCCTGTATACAAAATTCTACCCGTTCAGTTCTGTTAATGTTTAAGTTCCCGCTGTTCTTTGGTGGGAAAGGAGGTGATGTATAAAAATCAACTGCTTTGTATAAGGCTTGGTGTGTTAGGTGCTAAACCACTTAACTTTTTCTTGATTTGGGGATCTATTCTCCTTGTTTTTTTGTTTGTTTGTTTGTTTTTTGTTTTTTTTTTCCTTCTTTTAGAGACAGAGTCTTGCTCTGTCACCCAGGCTGGAGTGCAGTGGTACGATCATAGCTCATTGCAGCCTCCAACTCCTGGGCTGAAGTCATCCTCCTGCCTCCATCTCCCAAGTAGCTGGTACTGCAGGCACGCATCACCATGCCTGGCTGATTTTTTTTTTTTACTTTTTGTAGAGATGGTGTGTTGCTGTGTTGCCCAGGGTGGTCTTGAACTCCTGAGCTCAACCGATCCTTCCAAAGTGTCAGGATTACAGGCGCGAGCCACCATGCCCAGCTGAGATCTGTTTTTTACTGTTTCACAATAATTGCTGGAAATATTTGTAATAATGTGACTTTCACTGCTAAGACAGAAAAGGAAGATAAGGAAATTGAGGAAAATGAAGCTTCTGCTTCTACAACAGGAAAGCATAAACGTTTGAGTTACTTTTAGAGTAAACGGGGGATAAGTGTGTCTAGATTCTTGACCCACCCTCTTCTGCCACAGTCAGACTTAGAATGCACTTTTGCATGCACTTTTGTTAATCTAATGAACGAACATTTATACACTTTCTAGTTAGTAAATACGTGTAACTTTATATTTCAGCTCATGAGATCCTTTGCTGCGTGCTGCAGGGAAGTGTAGAGCTCTTCAGCTGTGCAGCCAGGATAAGAACTCACGTTCTGTTCTCCCTGCTGCTGCTGTGACAGGGGAGGCACGTGTACATCCAGGCTCTTTCTGTGTGGCAGGGCTGTTTAATTGGGGCTGATGGAAATTTTTGTCATAGGAAATGGGCAATCAGATTTTCAGTTAGTAGTGAAATAATTGACTCTCAATCCATATTGGGAAACAGAAGATAAAACATTTGGTAATAAAAATGTAAATTTTAGAACATAGAACACAAAGAGTGGTCCATAAGCTGGGCGCGGCAGCTCACACCTATAATCCCAACACTTTGGGAGGCTGAGGTGGGCGGATCACGAGGTCAAGAGATCAAGACCATCCTGGCCAACATGGTGAAACCCCGTGTCTACTAAAAATACAAAAATTAGCTGGGCATGGTGGTGCACGCCTGTAACCCCCCTACTCGGAGGCTGAGACATGAGAATTGCTTGAACCGGGGAGGCTGAGATTGCAGTGATCCAAGATCATGCCACTGCACTCCGGCCTGGGCAACAGAGCGAGACTCCATCTCAAAAATAAAATAAAATAAAAACAGGGCCGGGCGCGGTGGCTCATGCCTGTAATCCCAGCACTTTGGGAGGCCAAGGCAGGTGGATCATGAGGTCAGGAGTTCGAAACCAGCCTGACCAACATGGTGAAACCCCACCTCTACTAAAAATACAAAAATTAGCCAGGCATGGTGGCACATCCCTGTAATCCCAGCTACTCAGGAGGCTGAGGCAGGAGAATTGCTTGAACCCGGGAGGTGGAGGTTGCAATGAGCCGAGATTGCGCCACTGCACTCCAGCCTGGGTGACAGAGGGAGACTCTATCTCAAAAAAACCCAAAAAAACAAAGAGCGGACCCTAATGTAACCTATGGACTTCAGTTAATAATGAATCTGTATTGGCTCATCAATTGTAACAAAGGTACCACACTAATGGAAGATGTTAATAATAGGAAAAACAGATGAGGAGGACGGGAGAGGTACAGAGGTATATGGGAGCATTCTGTACTATCTGATTAGTTTTTCTGTAAAACCTAAAGATGCTAAAAAAAAAAAAAAGAAAACTGTTTAAAATTTTTAAATATCTAGCTTAATGTTCCCCAATGGGTTCAAATCATACAAAGTTAGTGTTTAACCTCCTGACCCTTGCTTGGAATTTCTCAGTTAAGATGAGTCCAGTTTGCAGTTTGAGCTGTTTCATCAGTTCCGTTTGCCTCTCGCCTGTGTATTAACTGTGCTCTTGCCTTTCTCCCTATCTGCTGGAACAGTTGGAATGCCAAGATGCCTTGGAAACAGCAGCCCGAGCCGAGGGCCTCTCTCTTGATGCCTCCATGCATTCTCAGCTCAGAATCCTGGATGAGGAGCATCCCAAGGGAAAGTACCATCATGGCTTGAGTGCTCTGAAGCCCATCCGGACTACTTCCAAGTAAGATGCCGTGCTGAGTGATGACAGTGAAGCATCAAAGGCCTTTTTTTTTTTTTTTTTTTTTTTTTGAGATGGAGTCTTGCTCTGTCGCCAGTGGCATGATCTCGGCTCACTGCAACCTCCGCCTCCTGGGTTCAAGTGATTCTCCTGCCTCTCAGCCTCCTGAGTAGCTGGGACTACAGGCGTGCACCACCACCAAGCCCAGCTAATTTTTTTGTATTTTTAGTAGAGACGGGGTTACACCATATTGGCCAGGATAGTCTCAATCTCCTGACCTCATGATCTGCCCGCCTCGGCCTCCCAAAGTGCTGGGATTACAGGTGTGAGCCACCGCGCCCGGCCCATCAAAGCCGTTTTAGAACATTCAGGCTAAGATTAGATCATCTGGGGAGACTGGTCTTTAGCTAAGAGCTGTGTTCACTAAACAGTGTCCATTAAACACGGGCTGCCCTCTCCGTGCGTGTTGATAGCTTTGTGATTTCGGTTTTCTCTCCTTAGACACCAGCACCCAGTGGACAATGCTGGGCTTTTTTCCTGTATGACTTTTTCGTGGCTTTCTTCTCTGGCCCGTGTGGCCCACAAGAAGGGGGAGCTCTCAATGGAAGACGTGTGGTCTCTGTCCAAGCACGAGTCTTCTGACGTGAACTGCAGAAGGTAGGCGCCTCTGGTCCACCCTCATCTCCCCCATGCCGGGTGGGCAGGGCCTGAGCTAGGAGTGTGAAGTCCACAGCTCTGTGTCTTTAAAGAGCCGAGCTGTCCAGTGGAGGGCGGGCGGCCTGGGGATGACTTTCTCTTTGCTCTTTTGCTTTATCTCCTATTTCACCTTTGATCCTGTTTTAACCACGGGCTTTCTCTCTCTCTCTCAGCCCCGCTTCTCTTCCTGAGTCTGCAGGGAGATTATGTTGCTGCCTTGTGACAGAATACATTTTTGTGGTAGCTGATTGTCATGATTAAAATGTAGTTTACAACTTTACATTTTACCACAGGAACCTTCAGAAAGGGTTGGGGGCCCCTGAAAAAGAAAGTTCTTATTCACAAATTGCATTCAGGGATCATTTTCCTGGGTGGAAAGAAAGGCTTTTGCTCTCATCATTTTCTGTATCCTGGGAGGCTCCTTATACAGGGTAAATGTGTAGTTCCCTAGGAAGGGTATTTTTTCCCAGAAGGTGAAGACTATGTACATAATTTTAAAGGAGAGACTTGTGTGAGTGGTGGCAAAACCTGGAGACAAAAAGTGGTGGCAGGCGGGGAGCTAGGTGTGCCTTTCCCCCGAGGAGATGTGTAACGAGGACGTGTGCCCTTGTTAAGACTAGAGAGACTGTGGCAAGAAGAGCTGAATGAAGTTGGGCCAGACGCTGCTTCCCTGCGAAGGGTTGTGTGGATCTTCTGCCGCACCAGGCTCATCCTGTCCATCGTGTGCCTGATGATCACGCAGCTGGCTGGCTTCAGTGGACCAGTAAGTTCTAACCATCCTTTCCGACAGTCTCCAGGGGCCCGGCCACGGCCAGCTCTAACACTCTTATTCTGTTGCAGAGGTTGTGCTCAGCTTTGGGCTAGGTAGCAGTCTTAGAGATGCCTTCAGGTCTGTTGAAAGGGGTCGATGGATTTTGGCAACAGCTGGAAGGATGAAAGGGCAGTGTTGCCAGAGAAGAAATGGAACTGGCTTGATTTCTGGGTGGGGGTGAAATGGAACTGACTCCAGTTCTGCACAGGACTGTGCTTCTCGGTTGTGTGTTAACATGAACTGACAGTCGGTGCAGGCAGATGTGTCTTGCAGTGCTATGAGTGGGTGAGAGCACGTTGTGTGGCCCGGGCTGGTGAGCCAGCACCGGGAACATACCAAGTGCCTGGAGGCAGTTATCACATGTTTGGCAGGTCTGTGGCAAATAAGCCCTGAGAAAACTAGAGGACTGTCGAGGATTTTAGAGTCTGACCTGGAGTCCGTTTAAGTTTGGCTTATAGTGTGACTGTGTGGCAAGTGTTGGGGTGGCAGCCGTGGTTTTCCCCAGTCTGTACTGATGCAGAGTAGACAAGAGAGCCTTTGACGTTCACTCTGTTTCCTGGGCACCTGTTTCTTACACCTGCTGTGCTGCCTTACACTTGAGACCTTGATTAAATCTATTCTCTACACATTTGCCTTGAGGCATCGGAGCAGTAGTACTGCTTGTACTGTGCGTTTTCCATATGTGGGTAAGCTGGAGGTTCATGGTTTTGGTAAGTATGTGCCTAAGATGCATGGCAATTAGGTAAAACTAATTTGCAGTTTTGTTTTTGTTTTTATTTTTTTAACGTTTGATGCCTCTTGTTAAAGTTTTGATCTCTTTTCTGAAGCAGAGAACACTACTTTTCTGGTATTGGGTTTCTATATTATTAATAATTGACCAACTAACATACTTTATATAAAAGTTTTAAGTAAGAAGGACCATGTAACTGAAATGTTGTGTTATGTAATTTACCAAAATGGCAAACATTTTCATAGAGCCAGCTTCCCCCAAGAAGAGCTTCTGTCATTGTTTCACTACAGGGCTGGTGGCTGCTCTGATCTCATAGAATTCATTCCTCTGGGTAGCACCATATGCAGGCTTTGCGAATAAAGTGATCATGGGCTTTCTTGATTCCATTTGGCCAATGCAAGAACTTCATTGGCTCCCCTCTAAAAAAAATTCCATGGATTGCTGGGATTTTTATTTTTTATTTTTTGAAAAAAATGGTACCTATCCGTATTCAGCTTGGTGGCTTCACAGTCCCTCCCCTGAACATCCGTATATTCCTTATTCTCTCATTTATGGTGCAGAACACTGGGGTACTAACCTCTAGGAAACTGTTCTAGCTGCCAGGGAAAGCTAAGAGCCCTCCTTTAACAGGAAAGCAGCAGCATGCTTTTTCTTCTCTCTGCCGTTTCAGGGAAGAGCACCTTAAGGCCAGTGTTATTTCATGGGATTCTGCCCTAGAGCTGAGAAAGTAATGGACTCATCCATAATCTCTTTTATAGATTTGAAAGTGTAAACAATACACACTTCCTTTTTTGGAACTCCAATTCTAATATGTTTCTTTTTCATTGGAAATTGAAAAACCAGGCTGGTTTTGAGATTAGTACTAGCAGTGAGTAAACCTCCTGTCTGTGGACTTAAATCCTTTTGAGGAACATTTCGTTTTAGATTTTTACAAGTTTTCTAATCTGGCACGACTTTCAAACTAGCTTAATCTGTTCTTACAGAAACCTGTGTAAGGACAGACTGCCCACATACGGGCTCCCCAAATAAAATGGCATTTTTATTTCTTGTCCCTGCTCGGGTTTCACCGAACCTTGGTAGCCATAATCAGAACAAATGAAACACAGTCAAGTTGTTGTGTTCTGTTTGTTTTTACCTGCCAGCCAGCTGATGCTGACATTTATACACCAAGATGATCCAAGGTTTTGGTGACGCCGGTGGGGACTGCCGCTATATGTGCAGGGTGCCCGGGGGTCATAGTAATGTTAATGGAGTACCAGAATCTCTAACAGTGTGGTCCTGTGTAGCCACATTGCTACACTTACAGAGATGCTTTGGGGCCTTTTTGGATTAAGACAGTTCTAAAAGACCAGGCCTCACCTATGATCTGTGTATAAAGAATTAGCATCGCACTGTAGATCTGCAAGAGAAGGCCGCCTCCTGCAGTGCTCTCTCTTGGTGAATGCTAACTCTGCTCGAGGGCCTTTTGGGGAAAGGACAGTGTAAAACCCTTAGAGAGGTAAGTTTCCCACCCTTCCAACCTCTCTCCACCTGCAGCTTGCTTGGTGCTGTCAGGATCTGGATTTGGGGGGAGTCTCTCTGTAGTGGAACCAGTGACAGAAGCTGTTCTTTAGAATTTTCAGGATGGCTGTATTCTGCGGTCAGAATGAGAGAGTCAAGCTGGGCAGAATCTCTCGCCAAGAGTTCAGGTAAGGTAATGTTTATTCACTGGGAATGCTTTCCACAGCCAGACAGCTATGCTAACAGTCTCAAGTTTTCTTCCAGTTTGTTTAGATTTAAATGATACATTTGTAACTTTTTAAAAACTAAATTTTGGTTGGATTTTTCATGAAAACCTCTTTTTTCTTTATCCCCTAAAAAATGGTTTGAAATGTCATTGTTATTTAAAAACCCGATGTGTTGGAACTTCTTTAATCTGCTGTTTCCTCTTTTTCCCCCCCTTTGAAAGTTTCGCATAGTGTAAACATTCACTATGTCTTTTACCTTCCCTGCTCCTCCCATCTGGGAGGCGCTGATGCTATTACCCAGTGCTGAAAAATGGCACTCTAAAGGTATGGGAAGGAAGGAGCCCAAGGCAACCACCTGCTGTCCTTTCAGCCTTCCTTTGGAGACTGCTCCATCAGTGCCGAGGTGTGTGGGAACAGGCTTCACTGCACCGCCATCTTACTGAGTTGCTTCACGTGAGGAAAAGGGGGCTTTGGCCCTGTGACTCAGTTCCACATTTTGGATTGCATACTGGAAAAGAAGCCAATCTTCTTGCTAGTAAACCAGCAACCCGGCTGTATACAGTGGTGACCCAAGCAATGGATATAAACCTAAAAATCTGAGGGAGGGGAGAGGTGGAATACAGTAGTTCTTGGAATCTGAAGTCTCCTATTTGATCAGGTTATTTCCTGGGACTTGGCAAAAATCTGATTGGTGGGGATCTCCTAGGACCTAGTGGACATCTGGTATTAATTTAATCTCAGGAAAAACAAGAAATTAACCCAGAGAGAGTCTGGGTTTTGGAATTCAGCGTAGCTACCTCCAGACCGTGGTGTCTGGCCTCCATTTTTGTCTGTCATTCAGCTCTGACTTACAGCTGCAGTCACCTTTGCTATAAGGCACCTGGGTAGAAGGGTGGATGGGCTTCACATCAATTTTTTTCTTCCTTTAGGGTGGGGGATTGGTTTGGCTTTCTTTTGTTGTGGTTTTTTGTTTTATTTTTGTCAAGATTGATTTTTAGATGCAAGGACTTGAAAAGACCCAGAAGGATGCCACCAGTTTTTCCTTGAGGCCTAGGATTTTTTATTCTGTCCCGAGCAGAGGTAATTCCTCACAACTTAGTGCACCAGTAGCACCAGCCATTTTGAGCAGAGTACCTCTTTGGGGAGCTTTTCGTTTTGTTTTGTTTTTAATTCTCTTTCCTTAGCAGCAAGGTCTTTTTTCCTAGAGAATCTACTCCGTTGCAGAATCATTGCAACCTCAGGAGCCCTCACTGATTGAGTGCTGTCAGCCTGATATACTACTTTGGACTCTGGAAACAGATATGGGTTCTATTCTCTATTTCTACTGTGTGTCGTTAAACAACCGTCGGAGACCAGATGACCTGTTAGATGGCTAGTCCTGTATAACTCGACTCTGTATGTTTCAATGTATGTTACTGCAATGCTTCACCTGCTGTACAGTGTTTGTGAGATGCTCTTTGAAGATGGTACTTTTATATTTTTTCATTTTCAATAAAAGTACATTCCTTCCCACTTCCTGGTATTTAATACTGTTGCTGAATGTGCCTTGTGTGAGTGTGTGCTCCGGCGTTGCAGGACCTCAGCTGGAGGTGGCACTCGGTGGTTCTTGGGGGCTGGCCGCCTTCCCTCTGCAGGTGGTGTTAGACATATGCTACCTGAGGTAACATGTTTTCATTTTTGGGAGGGAGTCGGGAGTGGGGCGGGCCCATGGGAGGGTCTCTGGATTTTTGATAGCCTGCTTTGTTTGCTCTCTTCTGTACTATTAAACTGCTGATGTTTATTTTCAGGAATGTTTTGCAAATGCACTTCTCACTCTTCCCCAGTACAACTGTAGGTACACTGTTCCTTTTTATCAAATAAGCACGTTTGAAACGATCCAAAAAAAAGGTCTTAATTTCATGTAAACAAATGTATCCATGTGTGGAGATACTGGAATAAGGTCAAAGCTATACTTTTGAATGACCATGTGTTTAGAGTTAATTTCAGCTCATTGATAGGTTTATGTTACATTAGAAAGAGTAATGGTTTTGATGATGTCCTGTAAGGAAGAAAGTTTGCAATTAGACCTAGCTCCTGCAGAATGCCCTGAGTAAGTTACTGCAGGCAGCTTGTAATAATTGGGTCTTCCAAAGTTTTGCTTTGCTTGCGCACTGGTCCCTGAGTGGAGCTGCCTACTCTTTCTAACTTAACATAAAACTATGGCATTGTGTGTGAGTGCCGTGGAGATGTTGACAGTGGTGTGTGTCTCTCCCTGTAGGCCTTCATGGTGAAACACCTCTTGGAGTATACCCAGGCAACAGAGTCTAACCTGCAGTACAGCTTGTTGTTAGTGCTGGGCCTCCTCCTGACGGAAATCGTGCGGTCTTGGTCGCTTGCACTGACTTGGGCATTGAATTACCGAACCGGTGTCCGCTTGCGGGGGGCCATCCTAACCATGGCATTTAAGAAGATCCTTAAGTTAAAGAACATTAAAGAGAAATCCCTGGGTGAGGTGAGTGAGGGGTGTTTGCTTCACAGCAGAGAGCAACTTCCTAGCTTGAGGTTCATTCCTCTAGGGCCCTGCCTTATCCTTTATCTTCCTCCTGAGACAAATGAACCGTGTCCTTGCAGGGTCCCCTCACTACTCTTTGTATCTTATAGCTCATCAACATTTGCTCCAACGATGGGCAGAGAATGTTTGAGGCAGCAGCCGTTGGCAGCCTGCTGGCTGGAGGACCCGTTGTTGCCATCTTAGGCATGATTTATAATGTAATTATTCTGGGACCAACAGGCTTCCTGGGATCAGCTGTTTTTATCCTCTTTTACCCAGCAATGGTGAGTAAGCCTCCCAGCTGAATCCTGGCAGCTTCTCCTTAGGAGATGAGTTACTTCCATTGGGTTATAGTAGGCATTGCTGAGGTCTCACAGCTCTGATTGGAAATTTCCTCAAAGCAGGTTCAATCTAGAGCTCGATAGTGCTTGCTCTATAGGGACAGAATTTTGACTTGAGAGGAGGTAAGGTGTCACTTGCATGAAAGAGAGTCTGAATGAGAAGGTCAGCTGGTGAACCCTGTCCCACTTGACATAGGAGTGTTTGAGTCACTGCGTTGGAGTTGGTGCTAAGTGATAGGGCCCTCCTGCCTCCCCTTTGGAAGCACTCAGTCTCTGTGGTCACTATTGAGAATAAATACTTTCTTGTCTTCATTGCCTTATAAAGAGATAAGAATTCAGTAATGTTTTATTACAATTCAATAGGTCACTTTTATTAAAGACAGTACGATTACATAACATTTGGCCCATCCTAGCAAGCAGGATTATATGCTCATTTTATTGAGAATGACCTTAAGCAGATTAGGTAGTTCTCAAGTTTGAATGAGCTTTAATTTGGCGTGGCATCGCTTTTCCTTTCAGATGTTTGCATCACGGCTCACAGCATATTTCAGGAGAAAATGCGTGGCCGCCACGGATGAACGTGTCCAGAAGATGAATGAAGTTCTTACTTACATTAAATTTATCAAAATGTATGCCTGGGTCAAAGCATTTTCTCAGAGTGTTCAAAGTGAGTTTAAAGATTTTGTATGTGCATGTGGTAGAAGGACCTTGGATTCTTTGGGTCTTATAATTCACACACTTTGCTTTCTGAGCACATTACGTACTAGGACTAGTGTCTAGTATCGTAGGACATAATATCATAGAATCTTTGTGTTCAAAAGGGATCTTAGAGGTTTGAACCCATAACCTCATCTCACTGATGAGGAAATTGAGACCTGGGAAAATGTTGATTTTTCCCAGTTAAAACACAGCTAGTTAGGAATAATCCAGTTTCGAAGCCCCCTGTGTATATTCTCATCCTGCCCATGATTTTCCAGCCTGGTCATGAGGCTTTCACAGAAGACAATATCAAATTACTACTGAGAGCATCACCTTTGCCCACTCTACTCTGTGGTTTCACGGGAAATAGTTTGTGGCCCTTGAGGTAAACTGGGAGTCAGGATGGCTGGATGCTGGTCCTAGCTCTGTCAAACGTGTAAGTGCCCACAAAGCTAGGAGAAATGGCACAGATGGGGCATTCAGAAAGATCTCAACACAAATTGAACCAGTGTGCCTTGAAACAGGTGAAATTTAAGTAGTAGATAATTAAAAACAAACACATAGATACTTAATTTAAATAAAAGAGATGAGGCTGTTGGTGGACCATAACCTCATCAGGAGCTGAGTCCAGTGCTGTGAAACAGTCAATGCATTATAGTTGGAGTAGAAATACAGTGTTCAGGCCAGGCGCCAGTGGCTCACGCCTGTAATCCCAGCAGTTTGGGAGGCTGAGTTACGTGGATCACCTGAGTTCAGGAGTTCAAGACCAGCCTGGCCAATATAGTGAAACCCCGTCTGTACTAAAAATACAAAAATAAGCTGGGTGTGGTGGTGCATGCCTGTAATCCCAGCTATTCGTGAGGCAGAGACAGGAGAATCGCTTGAACCCAAGAGGCGGAGGTTGCAGTGAGCTGAGATCACACCATTACACTCCAGCCTGGGTGTCGCAGCGAGACTGTCTCAAAAAAAAAAAAAAAAAACAAAACAGTGTTCAGAGCAAGGCAGCTGTTGTTTTCCTTTCATTGAGTAACCTTCAGGAACATGATGTCCAATTCTGGAATCTACATTTGATTTATGAGGGCTGTTAAGCTAAGAAGCATCCAGAGGAGATGAGCACTCAAGAGGTGCCCAGCAGTGGACGGGGCTGCCTTGTTAAGCAGTGAGTTTGTTTCTACTAGAGTGGAACAAATGGATTCTGAATGGACATCTGCCAGCAGGTTGATGGCAGGATGGCTGCCACTGGTCCCTTCTGGCTCTCTGATTCTGTAGTTTTATGATCTTTTTTCTGAAATTTCCCTCATCCATCAGCCCCTGACTGGTTATCTTTACCTGTATGTATTAATTTGAAAAGAGTGTTCTTACTCATTATAGACATGGCCAAGGTGTATAATACATGTTCAAGTAAGGAGTTCAGTGTTTTTATGTGACTTACAAGCTAGCTGTGAAGATAGTTCCCAATGCCTTAGGCAGTGGTAATACCTTTAAGGTCAGTGTATACCCTCTTAGAAGAATTAAGTATTTGCCAGGTACAGTGGTACATGCCTGTAATCCCAGCACTTTGGGAGGCCTAGGCGAGTAGATCACCTAAGGTCAGGAGTTCAAGAGCAGCCTGGCCAAAATGGCAAAACCCCGTCTCTACTAAAAATACAAAAATTAGCTAGGCGTGGTGGCACAGCCTGTAATCCTAGCTACTCAAGAGGCCGAGGCAGGAGGATCACTTGAACCCAGGAGGCAGAGGTTGCAGTGAGCTGAGATCACACCACTGCACTCCAGCCTCGGCAACAGAGTGAGACTCCCGTCTTAAAAAAAAAAAAAGTATTGGCCGGGCGAGGTGGCTCATGCCTTTAGTCTCCACGCTTTGGAAGGAGAGACAGGATCACTAGAGCCCAGGAGTTCAAGACCAGCCTGGACAACGTACTGAGACCTCCTCTCTACAAAAAATAAAACATAACTGGGCATGGTAGTGCACATCTGTGGTCCCAGCTACTTGGGAGGCTAAGATGGGAGGATCACTTGAGCCATGGAGGTTGAGGCTGCGGTGAGCCGTGATTGTGCCACTGCACTCCAGCCTGAGCAACAGAGCGAGACCTCGTCTGAAAAAAAAGTATCTTATTGTTCTGCTTCCTGCTCCACGGTCTTCAGTACACTATGGTTGCTTTGCTAATATGGGGGTTGATTTTGCAAATATTTAAGAAAAATCATTCTGCCTATAGAAATTGTATTTCACCTATCTTCTTCCGGTTGTCATTACTGCATTTTTATATGGAAGCTTCTATCCCACTGCCAACATACAGCAGGCACTCTGGGAAATGTTAGTTCCCTCCCCACTGCCCCTTTTTTTTTTTTTTTTGAGATAAGGCCTGGCTTTGTCACCCAGTCTGGAATACAGCGGTGCAATCTCGGTGCACTGCAACTTCCACCTCCCAGGTTCAGGCAATTCTCCGGCCTCAGCCTCCCAAGTAGCTGGGATCATAGGCGTGTACTACCACACCCGGCTAATTTTTGTATTTTTAGCAGGGACGGGGTTTTGCCGTGTTGGCCAGGCTGGTCTCGAACACCTGACCTCAGGTGATTCCCCCTGCTTTGGGCCTCCCAAAGTACTGGGATTATAGGCATGAGCCACCGCACCTGGCCTCTTAGTCCCTCCCTTTTTAATTCTCCAGTGCCATTGTGTTGTCTTTCCTATTAATTCCTTAGGCAAAAAGTCAACAACAACCAGGTAAGCAAACACAACTGCCAATTATAGATACAATTAATGTGTTCATTCCTTCTCAACCTAAGAAATTTACAAGAAGAATCAGAAAAAGGTATCATAGAAGATGATGATTGAGTTCATACATAGTGACTGCTTTCTGTTAGATTCATTCCTGTCACTTGATCCATTTCAAACCTCAGCCTTTTATACCAGCTTTAGTGGTAGAGTTGATAGTCATAGGTGTTGAAGGGTGGCTGGAGACCTACAGAGTCTTGTTTGGAGGTGGAGGAACAACATCCCTAGGCTTCTTTTAACTTGCTTTGAAATTGGCTTGCTTTTTATTCATAGAAATCCGCGAGGAGGAGCGTCGGATATTGGAAAAAGCTGGGTACTTCCAGAGCATCACTGTGGGTGTGGCTCCCATTGTGGTGGTGATTGCCAGCGTGGTGACCTTCTCTGTTCATATGACCCTGGGCTTCGATCTGACAGCAGCACAGGTCAGGGAACCCTCAGGGATGGGGAACATTTTAGAAATACCACATTTGCTGGAGGCTGAGGCAGGAAAATCACTTGAACCCAGGTGGTGGAGGTTACAGTGAGCCAAGATCATGCCATTGCACTCCAGCCTGGGGGACAGAGCAAGACTCCATCTCAAAACAAAACAAACAAACAAACAAAAAAAAAATACCACATATGGAGATGATGCTGTGGTCCTCTCCTTACTGGACCTGGAGGTTCCCCCAAGAATTAGTAGGTATTTTTTCATTCATGGGATTAAGCTGAGAAGCAGAAGAGTGGGGAGCCAGCCCTTATGCACAAATAGTGTATGAGTTGTTTTTAGTCAACATAAGTTTGAGTTTAATTCTGAAATTACAGATCATCCTGTGGTTCATATTTACTGACAATTTTAATTGAAGGTCTCAAAAACTCTACTTAAAAAAAAATGTGGCCAGGCATGGTGGCTCACGCCTGTAATCCCAGCACTTTGGGAGGCCGAGGCGGGCGGATCACTTGAGGTCAGAAGTTTGAGACCAGCCTGGCCAACATGGTGAAACCCTGTCTCTACTAAAAATACAAAAATTAGCTGGGCATAGTGGTGCATGCCTGTAATCCCAGCTACTCGGGAGGCTGAGGCAGGAGAATTGCTTGAACCTGGGAGGTGGAAGTTGCAGTGAGCCAAGATCGTGTCACTGCACTCCAGCCTGGGCGACAGAGCGAGACTCCGTCTCAAAAAAAAAAAAATGTAATTGACTTGTAATAACAGCTGACCGTGAAGTTGCAGCCTTCCTAGCGCCTGAGAGGAAATTCATGGTGTCAGGTTACTTCAGTTGCATAGCATCATTAGGCACAGTTTCTTCTCTTCTCCTATTTTCAGGCTTTCACAGTGGTGACAGTCTTCAATTCCATGACTTTTGCTTTGAAAGTAACACCGTTTTCAGTAAAGTCCCTCTCAGAAGCCTCAGTGGCTGTTGACAGATTTAAGGTAAGTGGCTCCTTCCCCTGCCCCCGTGTCAGGAGCCCTCCCCACACAACTAACTGCTGGCTCTGTTCAAGGGGCCACCCAGGCTGGCCTCACTGGGCTTAAGCTTGGCTTTGGCCTTTTGGCAAGTTGGTAAGAAAAAGGGGGCAGTGGAGGAGACTGAATTGAGGGATGAGACTTGTCACCTTTTTTAATTAATGTGAATTTTTACCTTTTGTGAACGGCCATGATCTGGGCTCCCAGGATTGCAGAGTTCCCCTTTAGAGCTAGCCCCTTCCACCTGGGCCTGACATGGATGTGTCGCAACTCACTGGGCCTTGAAGTGGCTTAAACCTAGAAGACCAGCACTGTGGGGCATCTTCCCCTTGATCTTTGCTACTGTCACTTTGATTGATTGACATGCTGAATCCTTTTTGATACTTTCTTTTTCCTGCCCTGTGGTGCTACTCACGATGCAGGGAAAGCAGTTACATGGAAATAGTCATAAAACTAGGTCATGTTGAGAAGTGCAGTTAAGTAAGTCTCAGCTTCTTTTCTTGCAGGTGGTTAGTTGATCATACCTTGGCTGTGTTCTTTGTTCCTTCAGAATACTACACATACATGATACAAAAGGGAGTATATTTGGGAGGGTGGAGAGAAATAGATATTTGATAGTGGTTAATACTTAACAAAAAAAGGGATGCCATGTGGGCTGGAATTCCTTGATGTTGCCACTGCATAGATTAGCTCCTATGTCCCTGCTTGTCTTTATTGGCCAGTGAGAGGAATAAGAAAGCAATTTTGGTGATGTGAAGGCTTGAAGCTCACATGTTTGAGGGATGAATATAATCATCTTGGAGGTTCAGGAGAAAACAAATTGGATTTTCTTCTTAAGAAACATGGAAACTCAGTTCCCGAGATTTGTTTGTATTCTACTTGTTTACAGTTGACCGGGTGACTTTTATTTGGTCAAGAAAGCTAGTCCTGGCTGGGTGTGGTGGCTCACACCTGTAATCCCAGCTCTTTGGGAGGCTGAGGCAGGTGGCTCACTTGAGCCCAGGAGTTCAAGACCAGCCTGGGCAACACAGCAAGACCCCGTCTCTACAAAAAAATAAAAAAATAGCCAGGTGCAGTGGTGTGCGCCCACAGTCCTAGCTACCCGGGGGGCTGAGGTGGGAAGATTGCTTGAGCCCAGGAGGTCGAGCCTGCAGTGAGTTATGATCATGGCACTGCACTCCAGCCTGGGCAACAGAATGAGACTCTTATCTGTGTTTTTGTTTTTTTTTGTTGTTGTTTGTTTGTTTCTTACAAAAAGAGAAGAAAGAAAAAGGAAGGGAGGGAGGGAAGAGAGAGAAGGAAGGAAGGAGAGAAGAGAGAAAGGAAGAAAGCTAGTCTTCGAATGTGCCCCTCCCCCACCCCAACGTGGCCACTTCTTAGAAAACCAAGAGCTGAGTCATATGAAAAAAAATGGCCTAATGGGACTCAGAGCTTTATTTTGCTGAATCCGCAATAACCAGTCGTGGATGAAAGCAAATGTTTGACCATAAGTTCTCCCTGCTGTTCATTTCTATATTCTTGTTAGTGAATGGATTTGGTAGCACTTTGGATAAAGTAAGGGCATGTAGTGTAGGTTGGTCCTCCCCTTGTTTTTCGAGGGCTCTCATCTCCTGCTTATTAGTGAGGACTTGGATTAGCAGGTGGCTTTCACATCATAGGTCCCTCCTCTCTCCAGGAAGCCTCAGAATTAATAGTAGAAGCAGCACCACCCACAGCTCTATTTGATGCCCCATGAGACTTTAGACCCCTTCTATCTTACTTCTCTTGGTGGTCTCAGTCTCTTTTTTTCCTTGTTATTCTTTTTTTAATTAGATGCTTGGCACAAGATAACAAGTATTTATGGCCAGCCTTGGTGGCTCACGCCTGTAATCCCAACACTTTGGGAGGCTGAGGTGGTTGGATCACTTGAGGTCAGGAGTTCAAGACCAGCCTGGCCAACATGGTAAAACCCTGTCTCTACTAAAAATCCAAAAAATTAGCCAGGTGTGGTGGTGTGTGCCTGTAGTCCCAGCTACTCGGGAGGCTGAGGCAGGAGAATCGCTTGAACCTGGGAGGTAGGGGTTGCCATGAGTCGAGATCGCGCCACTGCACTCCAGCCTGGGCAACACAGCGAGACTCTGTCTCAGAAAAAAAAAGATAACGAGTGTTTATTACTTAATTCCTCCCGAACTCTAAGCCGGTTCTTTCTTCTTATCTTCAGATGTCTATTAATTAGAATTACATTGACTTTATGAGGGTTGGGGGGCTGTTTTTTAGGTGTAAGGCAACTGTTTATTATGTTTCTGAGTACGTTAAAGGAAGTTTGCCTCAATCTTGGGGGACCATCTAAGGCAGCCTTTTGAAAACAACAGAACTGTTCCTGGGATTGTATCTCCCCAAAAGCATCTGCCCTCTCATCATTTTTAGAAGATGGAATATAGAATAACAAGGATGAGACTTGCTTCTTTGATTCATTTTACAGACCTTGAAACTCACTGACGATGTTGCAGAGCCCTGCTTTTCACCCTGTGTCTTGTTTTACATCATTTTCTTTCTTTCTTTTTTAAATTGGAGTTGGAGATCTGACAGATTTGCAAGTATAGTCTTTTCTCTATTTCACCTACCCTGCAAGTGCATATGGCAGGAGAACTTGTTGCTTCCTGTTGGGTAGTATGCATAAAGAATAGGAAAAGAGATATAAAATTTATTTATGTAACCTGTAATTTATTGATTTGATAACCTGTAGAAAGGCAGTGTGAAGCTGCACTGATTGTCACCAGTGGAATAGGGTGGCTTGCTCTAGCAAATACAGACACAGGACACCCAGTGAAATACTGCATGGAATATACTTATACTGAAAAATTATTATTGTTTTTCTGGAATTAAATTTAACGGGGGCCCGGCATGGTGGCTCACGCCTGTAATCCTAAGCACTTTGGGAGGCTGAGCAGGTGGATCTCTTGAGGCCAGGAGTTCGAGACCAGCCTGGCCAACATTATGAAACCCCGTCTCTACTAAAAATACAAAAATTAGCTGGGTGTGGTGGTGGGCACCTGTAATCCCAGCTACTCAGGAGGGCTGACACAGGAGAATGGCATGAACCTGGGAGGCAGAGGTTGCAGTGAGCTGAGATTGCGCCACTGCATTCCAGCCTGGGTGACAGAGTGAGATCCTGTCTCAAAAAATAAATAAATACATTAATTAATTAATTTAACTGGGCATCTTATATTTATCTGGCAACCCTGTGAGTAGTCCCCTCTTCTGTTCTCAACAGATTCATTCTGATTTGATTCTTCTAGTGAATGAATAGTGTTTTCATGGTCAGTGTCCTGTGATAAAGTTGAGGCTTATGGTTTATAGGTTTATATGGTTATAGGTTTATGTTATATCTAAGATTCTGTTGTTCTGACAGGTGCAAATTCAAGTAGATACAAGTTCAAGTATGGGGAGGCCCTTCTCTGCCTCTTAGCACGTCAGGGCAGAGTGATCTGAAGCCGAAACTCTCCTGGTAGAAGGGAGGGTAAGGCTGCGGGGAGTAGGAAGGAAACATGGGGCTGGAGCTGTGAAAACCAGTAGGTACTGGCATGTTTCTTAATAGTTCATTGAGGCCTAAAAGACCTTCATCCTTTGAATAACTCTTTAAGGGAGAGAAATGATGGAAATTCTGTCGGCATGTGGTTTTACTCTGTGAAGGTGATCAAAATGTTTGGCATGTTACTCTTAGTTCAATCTCTCAGGAAGGCTTTGAACAAATGAAAGCAGCAGCCATTTCAGCAAGCGGGGGCCACACCTAAGGTTACTCGAGAGTGAAGATTATCTCAGAAGTTTAGAATCATGACACTTCGGGGAAGATAGGATCAGGGATGAATGGGAGACGGGGGCTTAAGGGAGAGCTTAGAAGTTTAGAATCTAAGAGAGAAAGGGTTTGTTTTTGGGGAGAGGGATTATGTATGATATTTAATAGCACCTGCAAACTTTAAGATAGCTGGGGGGTTCTCAGTAACTAAGGAGGGTCCTGACCCTAAAAGCTATCTTTTCTCTAAAGATTTTGTAATGTTTAAAATTTTTTTAAATTAAGATAAATATATTTTAAATCATACTGTGAATCCAACTGGTATAGCATTCTGTAGAGAAGATCACTGGCTTAAGAGGATTGTTAGAAGGTGGCTCACACCTGTAATCCCAGCACTTTGGGAGGCTGAGGCGGGTGGATCACGAGGTCAGGAGATCTAGACATCCTGGCTAATATAGTGAAACCCTGTCTCTACTAAAAATACAAAAAATTAGCCAGGCGTGGTGGCGGGCACCTGTAGTCCCAGCTACTCGGGAAGCTGAGGCAGGAAAATGGCGTGAACTCAGGAGGCGGAGCTTGCAATGAGCCGAGATTGCACCACTGCACTCCAGCCTGGGCGACACAGCGAGACTCCATCTCACCAAAAAAAAAAAAAAAAAAAAGTGGATTCAAAGTCTTACGGGAAAATCCTGGGCTGTGATTTATTGTGATCAGTGTTTTACATCTTAATTTCAGAAACATTTCCCTCTTCAAGAGTTCATTCTTCAGCTGGGTGCGGTGGCTCACGCCTGTAATCCCAGCACTTTGGGAGGCTGAGGCAGGCAGATCACTTGAGCCCAGGAGCTCAAGACCAGCCTGGCCAACATAGTGAAACCCCATCTCTACAAAAAAATACAAAAATTAGCCGGGCATGGTGGCACGTGCCTGTAATTTCAGCTACTTGGGAGGCTGAGGCATCAGAATCTCTTGAACCTGGGAGGTGGAGGTTGCAGTGAGTCGAGATCGTGCCACTGCACTCCTATCTGGGCAACAGAGCGAGACTCCATCTCAAAAAAAAAATTATTTTTCTTTTAACATAACTCAGGGGTCTCTGGGAATGAGTGGGAGGAAAGTGTCTTGTTCTCTTCCCAAGGGTTGTTTCTCAGGGAGATACCCTTCACTTCCATGCAAGCCTGTTCCTTTGGTTGTTTGAACTCTCAAGTTCCAAGGCAAGGCTTTGAAGACATGAGAGTTTCTTGGCAAGAAGATGTTCTCTGCGGTAGATGAAACTTTAGATACTCTTTTCTGACGGTAGCAATGTAAGCCTGTGACAGTCTCTACTCCTAGATACATGCGGCGCTGTGAGTGTGGGAAGTGGGCAGGCTTTGGCATTCTGCAGGAGGGGTCTGGAAGGAAAACACGTAGTGAGCATCTGTACTGGAGGTCAGCATGCCCTTTGCTTTTCCTACCTGCTTTTTACTACTCCTTAGAACAAGGGGCTACGTGCCAGTCAGTTAAATGTCATTAGGTCCGCTTTAGGCTGGCTGAGGGGGAAAGGCAGTTTAGCATGTAATTTGTCATGTGGAATATTGGGTCATTGATAAGGCCCCTGGACCTCTTGAGGTTGCCCCACACTCCCGTGACCCCTTGATGGGCCTGAGATTGGGCTGCACTAATGAGCTACCTTTTGCCCTTCAGCTTCCTTCCACTGTATAGCCTGATGTGTTTTGCTACGTGAGTGTACGCCCTAGGCTTGTCTCCCTGGTCTTGATCCAGTGTCTCATCTTTGCACCTCTCTCACAACTCCTATCAGAGTTTGTTTCTAATGGAAGAGGTTCACATGATAAAGAACAAACCAGCCAGTCCTCACATCAAGATAGAGATGAAAAATGCCACCTTGGCATGGGACTCCTCCCACTCCAGTATCCAGAACTCGCCCAAGCTGACCCCCAAAATGAAAAAAGACAAGAGGGCTTCCAGGGGCAAGAAAGAGAAGGTGAGGCAGCTGCAGCGCACTGAGCATCAGGCGGTGCTGGCAGAGCAGAAAGGCCACCTCCTCCTGGACAGTGACGAGCGGCCCAGTCCCGAAGAGGAAGAAGGCAAGCACATCCACCTGGGCCACCTGCGCTTACAGAGGACACTGCACAGCATCGATCTGGAGATCCAAGAGGTAAGTGGTCCGCCCCCTGCCTCCCTGCCCGCACCCCACCACCCCATGCTGATCTGCCACCAATAGGCGGCTGCTGTTCCTTTTCACAAAGTGCTTTGTGGCTAGGAGTGATTTTGAACTAAAGAGCAAATTAGACCAGCTCTAACTCTAAAAAAAAACCAACTAAGCATTTAGCAACAGAAATGAATAACAACTAATCTTATGAGGTGATCATTTTATAAGCAAGGAAATGAAACATTCAAGAGGATTTTCCAGGATTTTTCCCCAAAGAGGATTCTATTTTAGTTGTATGTGAGCTGTGACAATTATTTCTGATTGTTACAAGTCTGTGAGCGCCCTTGTGCACTAGGCTGTGCATCATACCTGGCACATGATAGGTATTCTCAGTGCTACTGTGACAACATTTGTGTTGTAATGATTTATTCTTAATATAAGTTAAGGATCGTTAACGGTAGATGATGTCACAGCCCAGGTAGCACAAGATTAGTCTCAGAGGGCCTCCTATAGGGAATGGTGGAACAGAGATGCCAGGTTCAAGGCTTTTAAAATACAGACTATGTATTTCGGAACCAGCACCATATTCACAGGTCCGTGTCATTAGAGGGCCCCGGATGTGTATATATTCATTCATTCAACAGCCATTTCATGAGTATCAAACTCCATGCCAGATGCTGTGATAGGGCTGGGCACAGAGCCACAAAAACCCAAACAGACAAAAATCCCGTCCTTCTTGGAGTTTACATTCTAGCAGGCACAGACAGGTCGTGAGCAAATACAATATATTGCATATCAGATGGTGATAAGGGCTATGACAGAAGGGGACAGAGGCTGGGCATGGTGGCTCATGCCTGTAATCCCAGCACTTTGGGAGGCCAAGGTGGGCAGATCACTTGAGCCCAGGAGTTCAAGACCAGCCTGGCCAATATGTTGAACCCCTGTCTCTACAACAACTAGGAAAATTAGCCAGCTGTACGCCTATAGTTCCAGCTACTTGGGAGGCTGAGGCAGGAGAATTGCTTGAGCCCAGGAGGTGTAGGTTACAGTGAGCTGAGATCGCGCTACTGCACTCCAGCCTGGGTGGCACAGTGTGAGACTCAGAGTGAGTCTCAAAAAAAAAAAAAAAGGTGGGTGAGGAGAGAGTGTGCTGGGGCAGGGAGCAGGTGTGGTTACAACTTGAATAGGCTGCCTGAGGGAATGCCTTATTTAAAAAGTAGTATTTGGGCAAAGATCAAAGGAGATGAGGGAGAGAGCTACCTGGGTATGGGATGGGTGGGGAAGAACATTCCGGGCCAAAGGAACAGAAACACAGAGGCCGCAAGTGGTGAGTGTGTCTGTTATTGGAGTGGAATGAGCATGGGAGAGAGTAGTGGATGCCAAGGGCAGAGGTGGTGCCTGCCAGAGCCTCTGGTGAGACTTCAGCTTTACTCCAAGTGGGAAGAGGAGCCTTTGGAGGATTCACAGCAGAATGACATGATTGGACTTATGTATGAAGAGGATCATTCTGGTTGCTGCAGGGGAGACAAGGAAGCAAGGAGAACAGTCAAGGCTCTGTTACCACAGTAACCGGGAGAAAGATGAGGATGTCTTAGATCAAGGTTGCTGGTGGGAGGTAGTAAGAAATGTTTGTCCATGTAACTGGAAGTAGGGAGGAGGTTTGAATGCAGTGTATATGAAAATCAGCAACTGACCAGAGGCATGGTAAGCCAATCCAGAACTAGACTGAGAAGAGGACAAAAAGCTTCCAGCCCTTAAAAGCTATGAGCAAGAAGGGGACACAGTCTTTAGTGACACCACTTGAAACTATGAGTGTCATTGAAGGGCATGCAAGTCAGGTTTTTACTTCAGTTAACTTTTTTTTTTTTTTTTTTTTTGAGACAGAGTCTGGCTCTGTTGCCCAGGCTAGAGTGCAGTAGCACGATCTCGGCTCACTGCAACCTCTGCCTCCCGGGTTCAAGTGATTCTCCTGCCTCAGCCTCCCGAGTAGCTGGGATTATAGGCACGTGCCACTGTGCCTGGCTAATTTTTGTATTTTTAGTAGAGACGGGGTTTCACCATGTTGGCCAGGCTGGTCTCGAACTCCTCACCTCAGGTGGTCTGCCTGCCTGGCCTTTCAAAGTGTGGGGATTATAGGCGTGAGCTGCTGCATCTGGCCTTACTTCAGTTAACGCCTAACAGGCTTTTTATTTAGTAACTATTAGCTTGATTATTGAGGCAGCTCTAATACATTGCTATCAGCTCTATTAGAAAATGATTCCACACGTGCAGCTAAAATGTATTCTTTTGCTTTGTATGTTGACCCTCATTTTGCCCTTCAGAGCCCACAGACAATGGGAGACCTTTAGCCATTTGAAGAGAGATGCCTTAATTCTCCCTGGGCCTTTGCTTTAGGGAAGAGAAGGGGAGGTAATGTTTGCCAAGTGTCTTCTGTGCACCAGGCATTTTTCTCATTTTTGATGTCTCATTTAGTCATCATTTAATCATAAGAATAGCATTTTTCTCATGTAAATCTAACTGGCCTGAGCAGAGGTTGAACCTGTGACTTGACCTCCTTGTTGCCACCAGGCAGTAAACCATTCAGTACTCGTGGACCATGTCAAAAACTATTTGTTCAACTATCAGACACTGTACTTAGTTTTATGAGGATACTGCCTTTCCTCAAGGTGCTCAGAGTCCAAAGAAGGAGACAGACACAGTATTAGGTTAAGTCACGGGGCCTGGATCACACAGTTAGCAAGTGCTAGTGAAGTTGGGATTTAGATAAAGACCCATCTGCCTCCAGAATCCATGCTCCGTCCACACTACCACTCTCCCTTCCTTCCTGGGGACACTTGAACTGGCACGGGGTTGTAAACAAGTGACCCTTTTGAAGTCATCTGTCTGTCCCTTGAAAACTTTCAACACCACTTTGAGAACTCTTTATCTTGCCTAAGGATACTCAGTTAATCATAGACTTGGTGTTCTACTTTTTTGTGGGATTGATGGTATAAATATTCCTCAGATTTTTGGAAATGTTTTGCATGCAACAGTGTCCATGGTTTTTATTGAAAATTAATTATGTATACACCCTGGAGAAAAATCATAATAAAATGATTTTTAAGAGTCCTGCCCTCTCTTCTGGCAAACAACAAAAACAAGTAAATAAAGAATATGGGTGGCCAGGCGTGGTGGCTCATGCCTGTAATCCCAGCACTTTGGGAGGCCGAGGTGGGTGGATCACTTGAGGCCAGGAGTTTGAGACGAGCGTGACCAACATGGCGAAACCCTGTCTCTACTAAAAATATAAAAATTAGCTGGGTGTAGTGGTGCATGCCTGTAACCCCAACAGGAGAATTGCTTGAACCCGGAAGCGGAAGCTGCAGTGAGCCAAGATCGCACCACTGTACTCCAGCCTGGTTGACAGAGCAAGACTCCATCTCAAAATAATAATAATAATAATAAAATGATTTTTAAAAGCCCTACCCTGTCTTCTAAAAAATGACAAAAACAAGTAAATGAAGAACATGGGTTAGCAGCAGAATAGGAAAGAGGCTGGGCCTAAGAATGACGGTGGGATACTGGAATGTGTGCGGCATATTTACTTTCCCCAAAGGGCTTCCATTCCTGTTATCTCAGGTGTCTCCACAGAAACCCATGAGATAGGCAGCTAATGAGTGAGAAAACAGGTAAGTGGCCTGCTGAGTCATCAGGGTGACAGTTCTGTATGGGTAGACTACAGTTAATGTGTTTTTCCTCAAGTCCTTAGCGATGAGTGGTTAGTAGTCTCTAAATGACCCTCCTCTCTGTGTGCCTTGTCCAGGGTAAACTGGTTGGAATCTGTGGCAGTGTGGGAAGTGGAAAAACCTCTCTCATTTCAGCCATTTTAGGCCAGGTAAGATTTTTGTTATTGTCCTTTTCTGCTGCTTTCTCTGGTTTGCAAGAGTCTCAGGAAAAACGAACAAATTTCCTGGAGAGTCAGGAAAGGTGGAAACAAATGAACCCTCAGCCTGCATTGTATGCCCCCAATCCCCCGCAGTTCCCCCCAGTTCTCCCCCTTCACAGCCTTCTGCCTGGAAGGAGGCCTGGTGGGCGCCTGATGGATGACTGACTGTTGTCCCAGCTGGAACCATTTGGTCTCATGCCTTCTTTCATTCAGCATGTATCTATTGAGTGCCACAGGTATGCCCGTGTATTGAAAATGTCAGAGATAAGAGATGAGCAGACACCCTACACTGCAGCGCTGCCAACAGAGTTAACCTGTAAAGAAGCAGGGCGGCCAGCACTCCCAGCCTCTCTGTCAGACAGGACTGTCAGGGTTTGATCTAGAAGCAAAGCCCCTCTGTTTTCTGCCTAATCCCTGAAAGAGTCATGCCCTTGGGGAGTTCATGGTCCAGTGGGGAGCAAGGCCTTGAGAACACAACAAGCACATCTCCAGGCAGGGAGTGAACAGCGTGCAGGGCCCAGCACACGGTGGCCAGTGCTGAGAGTGAGGGACAGGATGGGGCCGGAGTCATCCCACTGAGACACACTATCATTGCTGTGTTTTAGAATCAAACAATCCAGAAAAAAAAAAAAAACAAGGTGCCCACATGCTTTTACATTAGAATTAAATTAACTTGACTTAGATGGTTGAGATGAGCATAAACTTATGATTATCTCTACACCCTGATGGATAAGGTCCACTGAATTGAAATGAAACAGAGGGGGAGCAGGGGTGCTTTTGTAGCCCCCAGATTATGGAATGCTTTCTTGTCTTGTTTGGCATCAGCTGTCACAGTTGGTGAGTTGTGGTCCTCCTTGAGGGTGGTGGTGCCTGGGGCTGTCTGAGTCAGATCATGGCAGGCATCACCTCCACCTTCTGCTTTATGACACTCTCCAGTGGCTGGGCCCAGCCATTGGTCTTGTAAAAAGCACCAGACTTCCTAGGTGATTTATGATGACCAACCAGATTTGGAGGGCCAGTGAGGAGAGACAGAGATGGGGGGAGGGGGAGAAGGAAAGAAAAGGTCAATTCGTAAGTGCTGCTCTGCCATCTAGCAATGTGCTCCTTTTTCCAGGGTTGACTAGGCAGTGGTTAGGTTGAAAACCAAGTCAGGCTTTGCTTCTGGACAAATCCTGGCAACCCTGTCTCTGGCAGGGAAACGGGTTGGGCTGGTCAGCCCTGCTTTAACTGTAGTTTACATCTGTTGATAGCGCTGCAATGTGCGGTGTTTGTGCAGCAGCCAGAAGTGCCGGCTTTCCACAGTAGACCCCCTGGGGACTTCTGAACCCTTTGAAGTGCACATCAGAATGCTACCAGTTTGTGGTGTACGTAGGTACACCTGTGTGTGTACACGCTGTGTGAGGGTGTTTGAGAAGACCAGCTTATATGAACAAGTACTGCACAGGCTGGTTAGTGAAACTTTGCTTCAAAGCTGTAGCATCCCTAAACCAAGACAAATGTCTACTATCAGTCCCAAACAAAAGAAATCATGGAAGGGGGTAAAATGGATAAGTCAATTCATATCAAACCATTGCAACTGAACACAAACTTCAAAGCACATGGTTCATCACTGCTTGTGGGCAGGCAAGGTCCATCATTGGTAAATGGACACTGTGTATATATTATAAATACTAGGTGATGTCTAACCTGGACTTTTTTTTTCCCTTGGTCCTCATTTCATAGAAGCAACTGGTCTAGCCAGCATCCTAGGTAATTGCCTTGGATGAGTTGGCCTGCCCCCATGTTGAGGCAGGGATTAGCTGGAAACCCCTACAGCATCCTCTCCAGGAGAATTCTGCAAGAACCTCTTGCTTGTGCTTCTCCTAATTTAAACAGTTTGCACACAGCAAATGGGCTGCAGAGGGAAGTGTTTGCCTTCAAGTTATGGGTTATGCTGAGCTCCCATCACACATAAGCAAGGAGAACTTTGATTTTCTTTGCTGCTTAGCTCTCTTTGGAATTAAAGGTGGAATCTGGATTTGGGTCCAAAAAGCATCCCGGGAAATTACCAGAGCTAGATTCCATTGTGGAAGGTGGGGGTTCCGTTGGCATAGGGTGATGGTTTTGAGTTATGATGCCATTGGATGGTGTCTCTCTCCCTAGATGACGCTTCTAGAGGGCAGCATTGCAATCAGTGGAACCTTCGCTTATGTGGCCCAGCAGGCCTGGATCCTCAATGCTACTCTGAGAGACAACATCCTGTTTGGGAAGGAATATGATGAAGAAAGGCAAGGAATGTTTGGCTTCTGTCATGCTTTCCATCTTGGCCGCGTGAGATGCAAGGCAGCCCTAGTCAGCAGGCTCTGCTCCCGCCGTGTCCCTGACGCTGTCTCTTTGTGTCCTCCAGATACAACTCTGTGCTGAACAGCTGCTGCCTGAGGCCTGACCTGGCCATTCTTCCCAGCAGCGACCTGACGGAGGTACAGGCCTTCCGCCCCTGACCAGGCATTTAGCAGAGTGGCAGAGCTGGGCCAGAGCTGCTCCTGGGAGTGCAACTGAAATGCTTGGGAGAAGAGCCTCACAGGGAGTTAGGCTGTCATTAGGCCTTTGTGTTAGGAAAGCATGTGTCCATTAGGGCAGGGATGTTAACACTGCTTGTTTTAAGGTTGTAAGTATTTTCTGTGTCTTGGGGATTGTAAACAAAATCCCATTGTTGACTCAGAGTTGATGTTTTTTATTCTATCCAGATATTTTTAAAACTACAAGTAAGCGTGTGCATGTTGAGCATCTTCCTTGAACTTGATTTTGCCAACCTCCTTAACTCAGATAGTCTGTAGAGAGCCCTTTTCTATTAGAAAGAGCCCTTAGAACAAATCCACATTTCTTTGGGTCTCTGCCCTGCAGCAGTTTCCAGAGGCTTGTCTTTGGAACTAATTTGTGCTCTTCAGTGTTAAAACTTGTCTCCCATGAATTGCCCTGAAGGTCTCTGGGATTGGCACCTTTATTTAGCTGATTTCAGTTAAATCCCTCAAACCAGATTTGGTGAATGGTTTAATTACTTTAGAGGTCCTTAAATCCATGTCCCCAGATCAGCAGCATCAGCATCAGCATCATCTGGGAACTTGTTAGAAACACAAATTCTTAGGCTGTTCTCCAGACCTACTGAATCAGAAACTCTAGGGGTGGGGCGCAAAGGTCTGTTTTAACAAACCCTGCAGGTAATTCTGATGCAACTTCCAGTTTGAAAACCTCTGAATTAATTGAATATTTGACAACTGATTTATTCATTTAATCATTTAGTAACATTTATTAGGTGTTTATTATGTGCCAGTGACATGTGCAGACACTGTTTGGCACTAAGAATATAAAGGAATAAGACAATAATCTGCACGTAAAGAAGTGTACAGTTAAGAGGATGAGATACCCAAACAAATAGGCACAAAATAATCTGATGAAAAGAGCCCCATCTCTTTGGGGTACTAGCGGGAAAGAGGTTGGGGGAGATTTCAGAGGAGATGATGCCAGAACTGAGCAGACAAAGTAGAGGCAAGCACATGACATTGTCATGTTCATAGTATACACATAATTTCAAATGGCTTAGGTCCCAGGATGTGGAAGGGGGATTGTGCACTGGAGGCTGAGAACTGCTGGGGAACTGGGTGACAAAGGGTCTGGTTTGTATGCCATGTTTGGATACTCAAGGTTTATCCTTTGAGGCTCTTGAAGAATTTTAAGCAAGGGTGGGAGATGGTCAGCTTTGTGTTCTGGAAAGATCTTCCTGCCATGTGGAGAATGGATTGGAGGGGGAGCATCCGGGTGGACTGGCAAGACCAGATGTAGGATTGATCGGTACCCAGATGGCAGTGGTAGAGGAAGAGGCATCTGGGCCAACTCCCCCACTTCGTTGAAGGATCAGCATGGCAGTTCATCTGCGGGGAATCAGCATGGCAGTTCATCTGCGGGGAATTGACAGAAGGAGCTGGTCTGGGTGGGCAAGAAGAGAAGTGACTGGGTGACCCCTCCACGCTGTTCTGGACTTGCGCTGGAGGCTTCACCACACTTCTGGGCTCTTGTAGATTGGAGAGCGAGGAGCCAACCTGAGCGGTGGGCAGCGCCAGAGGATCAGCCTTGCCCGGGCCTTGTATAGTGACAGGAGCATCTACATCCTGGACGACCCCCTCAGTGCCTTAGATGCCCATGTGGGCAACCACATCTTCAATAGTGCTATCCGGAAACATCTCAAGTCCAAGACAGTTCTGTTTGTTACCCACCAGTTACAGGTATGGTTCTTTCTTCCCTCGGCTGCCTGCCTGAGTTTGGGAAATCAGAAACAGGGAGGTAGGTTTGCTCCAGGTATCCTTGTGTTATAACTAGAAATTCCTGGAATCAAGGTTTCATTTTCTTAGCAAATTAGCCCCCTGTACCAATAAAGCTCACTGTACCAGTGTAACAGATGGCCATCTAAATCAGAGATCCTTGGAGCATATCAGCTTCTGCATATAGATCAGCAAGTAAAAGGGCTGAGAGGAGCAGGCCAAAAATGGAGTTTGGGTATAAGATAGTTTGGAAAGCATTGTGTTAACATCTCTATGCAAGTGGGAACTGTTTTGGGAAAACAAGCTTTTCTCCCTCTGCCATTCCATCATAAGCAGGCACTTTGGAGAGCAGCTCAAGGATGTTGCCATCTGGCTCACATATGTTGTCACGTTTAGGGGGCAAACCCTCCATTCTGCCAAAGAAAGTCATAATTATGTATATTTGTGAGTGCAGTGAAAGGGTGTAAATTTAATGCAGGGCTCATGTGGCTCCATCAGCAGATTCATGTGAAAAACCGGAGGGACTCGGCCAGGCACAGTGGCTCACGCCTGTAATCCCTGCACTTTGGGAGGCTGAGGCTGGCGGATCACCTGAGGTCAGGAGTTCGAGACCAACTGGTGAAACCCCATCTCTACTAAAAATACAAAAATTATCCAGGCATGGTGGCACGTGCCTGCAATCCCAGCTACTCAGGAGGCCGAGGCAGGAGAATCCCTTGAACCCAGGAGGTGGAGGTTAAAGTGAGCTGCGATTGCATCATTGCACTCCGGCCTGGGCAACAAGAGCAAGACTCTGTCACAAAAAAAAAAAAAAAAGAAAAAAACTGGAGGAACTGCTCCTTATACTATGTCACGAGGCACAATACACTGAAGTGGGGTTCTCAGTGTTGGCACCACTGATGTTTTGGACCAGATAGTCCATTGTTGTGTGGGGCTGCTTTGTGCACCCCTGGCCTCTAGCCACTAGATACCAGTAGAGACAGTCGCTGGCTTACGGTTCAACTTACAGTTTTTTGACTTTATGATGGTTTCCACACAACCATTCTGTTTTTCACTTTCAGCATAGTATTGAAAAAAATTGCATGAGATATTAAACATTTTATTATAAAATAGGCTTTGTGTTAGATGATTTTGCCCAACTGTAGGCTAATGTAAGGGTTCTGAGCATGTTTAAGGTAGGCTAGGCTAAGCTCTGATATTTTCAATTTACGTTGGGTTTATCAGGATGTAAGCCCATTGTAAATTGAGGAGCATCTGTGTACCTCTCCCCCGAGTTGTGACAACCAAAAATGTCTCCAGCTGGGCGCGGTGGCTCAGGCCTGTAATCCCAGCACTTTGGGAGGCCGAGATGGGCGGATTACCTGTACGGCAAAACCCCGTCTCTACTAAAAATACAAAAAAATTAGCCAGACATGGTGCTGCATGCCTGTAGTCCCAGCTATTCGGGAGGCTGAGGCAGGAGAATCGCTTGAACCCAGGAGGCGGAGATTGCAGTGAACCGAGATTGCGCCACCACGCTCCAGCGTGAACGACAGAGCAAGACTCTGCCTCAAAAAAAAAAATGTCTCCAGATGCTGCCAAATGTCTTCTGGGAGCTTAACTCGTCTCCTGTAGAGAACTACTGAACTAATGTATGGGTTTTTGAATGTATTTGCACAAACAGCATATTGTGTTGTCTCTGCCTTTGCCTTCAGTACCTGGTTGACTGTGATGAAGTGATCTTCATGAAAGAGGGCTGTATTACGGAAAGAGGCACCCATGAGGAACTGATGAATTTAAATGGTGACTATGCTACCATTTTTAATAACCTGTTGCTGGGAGAGACACCGCCAGTTGAGGTAAGATCTGATGGTGTTTGCGTGTGTCCCCTTCTGTCTCTGCAAGGGAAACACAGCCGGAGTGAGTGATGGAGAGACCTCAGCTGAATCCAGTGTCTGTGTCTTATTGGCAGGGGCCCTGTTTTCTGGTGAACAGACTGCTGTGCCTTAGTTCACACACTGATTCTGCTCTAGGAGAGCAGGATTGTGGGGCTGGTGAGCTGAGGTCTTCTGTCACTGAGAACTTACTAATATGACAATGGCAGGGAGAAGGATATGGGCTCAGTGAGGGCAGAGAAGATGTGTGCTGCTGTTCATTCACAGCTTAGTTTCCTAAGCTCCATCCACCTGATTGAAGCATTATGAAGCTCTTTTTTAAATAAACAAGTGAATAAAGTGCCAAGGTAGGGAAATTAAATATTGCATACATTTGAAAGCACTCAGGTCAGGTGCTGCGGCTCTTGCTGGTAATCCCAGCATTTTTGGAGGCTGAGGTGGACAGATTGCTTGCGCCCAGGAATTCGACACCAGCTTGGGCAACATAGAGAGAAACCCCGTCTTTACAAAAAAATACAAAAATTAGCCAGGTGTGGTGGCAGGCGCCTGTAATCCCAGCTACTTGGGAGGGTGAGGCAGGAGAATCGCTTGAACCCAGGAGGCAGAGGTTGCAGTGAGCTAAGATTGCACCACTGCACTCCAACCTGGGTGACAGAGCGTGATTCCATCTCAAGAAAAAAAAAAGACATAAGAGAAACTTGGAAAGGAGAGCATTAAGTAGTTTCTGTTATCTCAGGTAGAACCCTGATGGCTGTTTATTGAGTCCCTGTGTGCCCTGTTATAGGCAGTTCTCAGGGGTAGGGCCTGTGCAGGTTGTAACCATGTGAGAGACATCATCTCTGTCCTTAAGGGACTCACAGTGTTCTAGGGAAGACCGATGCTTTTATGCTCTTACAAGCACTTACAAATGTGGCTTACAAGACCACATCACATGTATAGTACTAATGGAGTTCTAAGGGCGAATGGGAGGGTGAGCTTTCCAGGGAGTGTATGTTGCCTCATGAAGAATGGAAGACTTGAATCTATCTGAATGGGGACAACTGTGACTGCGATTGGGACAAGGGGAGGGGCATTCCAAGTGGAGGAACGAGTGTGGACCAAAGTAGAGAAATGGGAAATTGCAGTGTGGTGTAAGGAATGGTGTGAAGTCCAGTGTGGCTTGAGAGTAGGGGCTGTGGACACCAGTGAGATGGGAGAGGAGCTTGCAGGATTAGGGCAGGGCCAGAATATGGAGGTCCTACAGAACCAGGTGGAAAAGCTTATGTTTATCCTGTGGTAGCAGTGGGAAATGATCAGATCTATGGATTTGGTTTAGTGATGTGGGCTCAGAGAGGAGGAATGGAAATGACCCCATGCCTAATACTTTGTGCAACTTGGAATGGACAAGAACAGAATAAAGGTTACTGTGTTTGGAGTTTAGTGACTGGGGAGAGCAAATGTCAGTGGACTAAATTTTAAATCTTAAAAATTTAAGGAGATGAGGAAGTACAAGAAATGAGTATAGGTGACCCTTTTAAGAAGTTGGATGTATCTTTTTTCAGTAATAGCAGTTTAATTGATGATTCCCTAATATGTATCCTGTGGACATTCATCTGGATGGCTAACATGACTGGAGACTTTTTTTTTTAAATATTATTAGATCAATTCAAAAAAGGAAACCAGTGGTTCACAGAAGAAGTCACAAGACAAGGGTCCTAAAACAGGATCAGTAAAGAAGGAAAAAGCAGTAAAGCCAGAGGAAGGTAATGGCCTTTTTTGAAATTTTTAGATTTGTCATCAAAGTTTATCAGAAATAACTTGTGTAGTAAGTAATTCATGATGTTTGATAGCAGTGTGTGTACAATATAAATACTTGGTCTTACATTTCTGGAAAACAAAGTTCTTATATAATACTGGGAGACCACGAGGCACCTTCTGTTTGCTTAAACAGACCAGGGCAGTAAGAGTCACCTTCAGACCCATGTCTTCTCCTGTGCAGGGTGGGGTCAGGTTTAGGTAATTAGAACTGAGTCATCCTGAGTAAGGAAAAATCGAATGGTGGGTACAGGTACACCCTTCCATCCAGTGATTCGCCTCTGCTCATGAAAAGTCCCAACCAAATCAGAGGTGTTCTGGCTCTAAGAATATCTGTGTCCTCAGAAGCACCCATGTTAGAACAGTAGACTCGTCACTTTGTCTTGACAATATAGCACCAGGACTATGAGTAAGAGTGACAGAGAGGGGTTTTTCCTACTTGGCTTTTCCTGTCCAGAGCCCTTGATCCTGTTTCTTAAACCCTTTATGTTATCAACAGTAACAAATCTTGAGAGTTAAGGGAAGATATTTGCAATAATGTGGGCATTTTCACCTTTGAATTTTAAGTTGCATGTCAATTTAAATACACACAAACACTGTGTGTGTGTGTGTGTGTGTGTGTGTGTGTACTGTATAGATGTAGACATGTGTGTTCTTGTTTTAATCTCTTTGTTGCTTCACCTCCTTACCTCACCCTTTTGAATCCAGGGACTTTCTTGGGTTTGCCATTGCTTTGGAGACGGAGCCTGTTGCTACTTCCTTATCCTTAAAACTGCAGGAGGTCAGGCACAGGTGGCTTATACCTGTAGTCCCAGTACTTTGGGAGGCTGAGGTGGGAAGATTGCTCGGGCCCAGGAGTTCAGGACCAGCCTGGGCAACATGGCACGCCCCGCTTCTCTCCAAAAAATATAAAAATTAGCCAAACGTGGTGGCACATACCTGTAGTCCCAGCTACTTGGGAGGCCGAGGTGAGCCACTGCGCTCCAGCCTGGGGGACCGAGTGAGATCCTGACAAAAAAAAAAAGAGGAAAGAAACTGCAGGAGATATTTGGTATTGGGAGTTGATCATCCTGACTTACTGCCTCTTTTATTTCTTTTTTTAAAAGGTATGGGATTTTGAATTCAGGTATGAGATTTTGAATTCAAGTGTGGTTTATGATACCTTATTGACACACCCCAAAAAACAAACAGCACAGAAGGCTGAGACATTTGTTAGTTCTTACCACGGGCAGTAAAAAATCAGAATATCATTAGCAAACATATGTTCTTCTGTACATAGTCACTAACCTGGCTACTCACAACTCTTAAAGTGCTCAAGGCATGAGGGAGGCTTATTCTGAGATTTGTAAACATTATTTGTGTAAAGAGGGAAAAGCCGGGTACTATGCTTAGTACCTGGGTGAGAGGATCATTAGTAACCCAGACCTCAGCGTCATGCAATATACACATGGATCTGCATGTAACAGATGTAATATACACACGGATAAGCATGTAACAGATGTGATATACACACGAATCTGCATGTAACCAATGTGATATACACACGGATCTGCATGTAACCGATGTGATATACACACGGATAAGCATGTACCAGATGTGATATACACACAAATCTGCATGTAACCGATGTGATTTACACACGGATCTGCATGTAACCGATGTGATGTACACACGGATCTGCATGTAACCGATGTGATGTACACACGGATCCGCATGTAACCGATGTGATGTACACACGGATCCGCATGTAACCGATGTGATATACACACGGATCCGCATGTAACCGATGTGATATACACACGGATCCGCATGTAACAGATGTGATATACACACGGATCCGCATGTAACAGATGTGATATACACACGGATCTGCGTGTAACCGATGTGATATACACACGGATTTACGTGTAACCGATGTGATATACACACGGATCCGCATGTAACCGATGTGATGTACACACGGATCCGCATGTAACCGATGTGATATACACACGGATCTGCATGTAACCGGTGTGAGGTACACACGGATCCGCATGTAACCGATGTGATTTACACATGGATCTGCATGTAACCGATGTGATGTACACACGGATAAGCATGTAACCGATGTGATGTACACACGGATCCGCATGTAACTGATGTGATGTACACACAGATAAGCATGTAACCGATGTGATTTACACACGGATCCGCATGTAACTGATGTCATATACACACGGATCCGCATGTAACAGATGTGATATACACATGGATCTGCATGTAACCGATGTGATATACACACGGATAAGCATGTAACCGATGTGATATACACACGGACCCGCATGTAACCGATGTGATGTACACACGGACCCGCATGTAACCGATGTGATTTACACACGGATCCGCATGTAACTGATGTCATATACACACGGATCCGCATGTAACAGATGTGATATACACACGGATCTGCATGTAACCGATGTGATATACACACGGATAAGCATGTAACCGATGTGATATACACACGGACCCACATGTAACCGATGTGATGTACACACGGACCCGCATGTAACCGATGTGATGTACACACGGACCCGCATGTAACCGATGTGATGTACACACGGACCCGCATGTAACCGATGTGATGTACACACGGACCCGCATGTAACCGATGTGATGTACACACGGATCCGCATGTAACCGATGTGATGTACACACGGATCCGCATGTAACCGATGTGATGTACACACGGATCCGCATGTAACCGATGTGATTTACACACGGATCTGCATGTAACCTATATGATATACACACGGATCTGCATGTAACCTATATGATATACACACGGATCTGCATGTAACCGATGTGATTTACACACGGATCTGCATGTAACAGATGTGATATACACACGGATCCGCATGTAACCGATGTGATGTACACACGGATCCGCATGTAACCGATGTGATTTACACACGGATCTGCATGTAACCTATATGATATACACACGGATCTGCATGTAACCTATATGATATACACACGGATCTGCATGTAACCGATGTGATTTACACACGGATCTGCATGTAACAGATGTGATATACACACGGATCTGCATGTAACCGATGTGATATACACACTGATCTGCATGTAACCGATGTGATATACACACTGATCTGCATGTAACCGATGTGATATACACACGGATCCGCATGTAACAGATGTGATATACACACGGATCCGCATGTAACCGATGTGATTTACACACGGATCTGCATGTAACCGATATGATATACACACGGATCTGCATGTAACCTATGTGATTTACACACGGAGCTGCATGTAACCGATGTGATATACACACGGATCTGCATGTAACCGATGTGATTTACACACGGATCTGCATGTAACAGATGTGATATACACACGGATCTGCATGTAACCGATGTGATTTACACACGGATCTGCATGTAACCGATGTGATTTACACACGGATCTGCATGTAACCGATGTGATTTACACACGGATCTGCATGTAACCGATGTGATTTACACACGGATCTGCATGTAACCGATGTGATATACACACGGAGCTGCATGTAACAGATGTGATATACACACGGATCTGCATGTAACCGATGTGATATACACACGGATCTGCATGTAACTGATGTGATATACACATGGATGAACATGTAACCGATGTGATATACACATGGAGCTGCATGTAACCGATGTGATATACACACGGATCTGCCTGTAACCGATGTGATAAACAGACGGAGCTGCATATAACTGATGTGATATACACATGGATCTGCATATAACAGATGTAATATACACACGGATCTGCATGTAACCGATGTGATATACACACGGAGCTGCATGTAACTGATGTGATATACACATGGATCTGCATGTAACAGATGTAATATACACACAGATCTGCATGTAACTGATGTGATTTACACATGGATCTGCATGTAACTGATGTGATTTACACACGGATCTGCATGTAACCGATGTGATATATACACAGATCTGCATGTAACCGATGTGATATACACACGGATCTGCATGTAACAGATCTGCAGATGTACTCCCTGAATCTAAAATAAAAGTTCAAAAACAAAACAGGGAAAATCTTCCTGTATAGCTGTTTCTCTTGCAAATGAAAAATTAAATTCTGTGCCCTGCAACTAACTGAATAAACTCTCCTCTAGGCCAAGGGTACCCAATGGAACCTGAAAATCTATTCAGACCATGAAGGGAAGACAATGTTGGACGTGCCTTATTATACTCCCCTGCCTTTAGAGTTCAGGCACACAACTGACGAGCATTAACATTTATATAGAGATCCTAAGACTGACAGAACAGTCTCTTTGTAGCTGTAAGATACCTAATTCCAACCTCACTCTATTAAAATAATAGAGCATCACAGGACAGATAGCAGGGCCCTGGAAGAAATGCATATTTTGAAATGTCTCTGCAAAGCTGTCTGTTGAAGGGGAAGTTCTGCATTACGTAGAGAATCTCCTTCCTTTACTAGGTCTCTCCAGAGGGTCTGACACCTTTGATAGGAGACATTCACATCTGTTCTCTCTGACGTCTGCTACTGGGAGGCTTCATCTACATGACAAGAACCTTGGCGTCCACACCCTGTCCCCCACCACTCCCCCACCACTCAAGCTAATTTCAACTCTTCAGGCAGAGCTTAACCCTTTCAACCAATTGCCAATCAGAAAATCTTTGAATTCACCTTTGACCTTTAAGCTGCACCTCCCTGCCCCATGTTGCCCCACCTTTCCGGATCAAACCAGTGATTACCCCACTTATATTGATTGATGTCTCATGTCTCCCTAAAACATAAAACCAAGCTGTAATCCAACTGCCTTGGGCCTGTTCTCAGGACCTCCTGAGGCTGCGTCACTGGTCATGATTCTTAACCGTGGCAAAATTAACTCCTAAATTGATTGAGACCCGTCTCAAGGTACTTTCTGGTTTACATTCTGTATTCTCATATTAGTGTTAAGAATCTGAGTGCGCCAGGGAGATCCTCAGGAATATATTTGAACCTTTTCTCTCCTCCAGCAGCCAGCCAGTTACTATGTCCTACTGAATTTACCTCCCGAAACTCCATCCCACCATCACAACCCCAGTTCAGGCCTTTATCATCTCTTACCTACAGTGTTACAGCTGCCTCGTTTTGAACCTGTCTTCCACACGGTCAGCTGCGAGATCTAGTTAAAAACATGAGACCAGCTAGGTGCGGTGGCTCATGCCTGTAATCCCAGCACTTTGGGAGGCTGAGGCAGGCAGATCACCTGAGGTCAGGAGTTCGAGACCAGCCTGGCCAACATGGTGAAACCTCGTCTCTACTAAAAATACAAAAATTAGCCAGGCGTGGTGGCGGGCGCCTATAATCCCAGCTACTTGGGAGGCTAAGGCAGGAGAATTGCTTGAACCCGGGAAGGCGGAGGTTGCAGTGAGCTGAGATCACGCCACTGCACTCCAGCCTGGGCGACAGAGTGAGACTCTATCTCAAAAAAAAACACACACACAAAACATGAGACCAACCAACTTTCCTGCATGGAGTCTTTCAGTAACCTTCCATTTTCAAATATTTTCCCTGATAGGGCACATACAGAAAAGGCTATTTGTGTGGAACACAGGAGGCATGAAAGAGGCTGCTCGCTCCCAGAGGCAGCTGGTGTGGCAATATCAGCCATCCCAGGTCCTTCCTAGCCCAACAGAAGTCAGACACACCTGTCACCCTTTCTGTTGAGAAGTTCTTTGTGGGGCCAAAATTCAAAGCCTTTCTTCTGTGACCACAGCCTGCTTAGTCGGCCTCATCTCCTGCCATTCTTTAAGTGCACATCTGTTCCAGCTGTGCCGAATCACTGTGGTGGTGTGTTTTGCTACCCCGTGCCTGTGCTTGTGTTGTTTTCTCTGCCTGCTCTCTCCTTTCCCCACCCGGTCATCTGTGGCTTACCTTTTGAGAAGCAATACAGAAAGTCTTACCTGAAACATGCCTGCCAACCACCCCACACCTAAGCCAAATAGGTCAAGTATGCCTCCCAGGGGTTCCCATGCTGCCCTGCGTATAGCTCTATCATCACATTGAGCACATTTCACTGTAATTATGTGATTATTGATCTGCCTGTCCTACCAGTCTGTGGCAGGCTCCTCAGCCAGGTCCCTAGGGGTGGGGACCTGGTCTTCATCCTCTTTGCTGCTCCTGGGCTTCATCCTGGGTCTGGTTTGTGGTAGGTGCTCAGTAAATGTTAAATAGATGAATGAATGCTTCTGACAAAGAGGAAATCTAATCTAGACCCCTGTGAAGCTGCCGGTTGTCCGATTCTGTTGCTCTGCAGGTGACTTAGTTTTATGGAAATAGTTCTTCCCTTCTGAGTCCATGTTTCTTTTTTTCTTACCTAGGGCAGCTTGTGCAGCTGGAAGAGAAAGGGCAGGGTTCAGTGCCCTGGTCAGTATATGGTGTCTACATCCAGGCTGCTGGGGGCCCCTTGGCATTCCTGGTTATTATGGCCCTTTTCATGCTGAATGTAGGCAGCACCGCCTTCAGCACCTGGTGGTTGAGTTACTGGATCAAGCAAGGAAGCGGGGTAAGGTTACTCATAAATGGGAAAGTTCTGTGTCTAAGAATGTGGCCGTTTCTCCCTATTCCCTGGCTATTCTTAGGGAAACTGTTCTAGTTTTCACTTAAAAGAAGCTGTAAAGAGAGATTTTTCCAGGATGAAAAGATGAGTCCCTAATGTAGCCTCACCAGAAGGAAAAAAACGCTGACCAACCCACAGGGCAGTAGGGCGTGCAGTAGGACACCTGCAGGCTATCTGTTCTCATCCGTTGTGTATTAGTCCATTTTTGCACTGCTACAGAGAAATACCCAAGACGGGGTACTTGACAAAGGAAAGAGGGTTAATTGACTCACAGTTCCACATAACTGGGGAGGCCCCAGGAAACTTACAATCATGGTGGAAGGCAAAGGAGAAGGAGGCACCTTCTTCACAAGGTGGCAGAAGAGAGACAAGACAGCGTGTGCGGGAGGACATGTCAAACACTTTTAAACTGTCAGATCTCATGAGAACTCACTGTCACGACAAGAATAGCATGGGGGAATCCACCCCACAATCCGGTCACCTCCCACCGGGTCCCTTCCTCAACACCTGGGAATTACAATTCAAGATGAGCTTTGGGTGGGGACACAAAGCCAAACCATATGACATTAGAATAGAGAGAAAGAGGGCTAGGTGTGGTGGATCATGCCTGTAATCCCAGCACTTTGAGAGGCCAAGGCAGGTGGATCACTTGGGGCTAGGAGTTCAAGACCAGCATGGCCAACATGGCAAAACCCTGTCTGTACTAAAAATACAAAAATTAGCTGGGCATGGTGGTGCACACCTGTAATCCCACGTACTTGGGAGGCTGAGGCATGAGAATTTCTTGAACTCAGGAGGCAGAGGGTGCAGTGAGCCATGATTGCGCCACTGCACTCCAGCCTGGGTGACAGAGTGAGACACTGTCTCAAAAAAAAAAAAAAAAAAAAGAGGTGGACAAAGCCATGACCAGGTCCCAGGGTGGGTCATTATCCTGTACCCTGCCCTGCCCTTGAGCTGAGAATGGCGCTGAGCAGGGGCTCTTGGCAGTCGTTAGGAGTCTGGCCTCATAGAACTTTGGCTTCAAACAGAACACCACTGTGACTCGAGGGAACGAGACCTCGGTGAGTGACAGCATGAAGGACAATCCTCATATGCAGTACTATGCCAGCATCTACGCCCTCTCCATGGCAGTCATGCTGATCCTGAAAGCCATTCGAGGAGTTGTCTTTGTCAAGGTATGCATTGGTGGGTGGTCTCTGCCCTCCTCCCTGGTGACCTGTGGTCAGGCTTTGGTGTGGCGTCTCTCAGTTCATGCTGAGTAGGGGAGCTCCCTTAACCAGGATGGCCCTGGCTGAGATGACTCATATTCCGTTAGCCTCCACCTTTTCTCACTTGCCACCTGTCCCTCCTGACCCCTCACACCTCCCCGCTTTGGGAGTGGATGTGCTGCGGAGCGGTTCTCTGGACCAGTAGGAACAGAGCCGTCCCTGGGCCCTGACCACTCTGTGCTCTGCTCCTCAGGGCACGCTGCGAGCTTCCTCCCGGCTGCATGACGAGCTTTTCCGAAGGATCCTTCGAAGCCCTATGAAGTTTTTTGACACGACCCCCACAGGGAGGATTCTCAACAGGTTTTCCAAAGACATGGATGAAGGTATTTCTCACTGAGCCTTTTTTTAATACTCTGGAGCTCACTGTGCTTCCAGCCTTCTAGATGATTCTCCAAATGTGCAGATCTGTCTGTCTGTAGATCCTGAGAGCACAGTGACTGCTGGTGTTTTCACCAGGAACATTGCAACTGCATTTTCTGTCTTGTTTGACCTGAAAATAAATTCAATGAATTGAGTTAGCAGAAAGGCTTTGAACAGAGGCATCTGAGATTCTGAAACACACACAGATTTTAAAGCAATGCATTGGTTTCTGGATGCCTACAACCTGGCAGGTTTTCTGGCTGTTGTATGGGCTGTGCCTGCACCAGAACTGAAATACTGTACCCCCACAGTTCAGAGTAACAGTAAAGCCCCTGACATTGACAGGGGGCTTCCTGTGTAGCAAGCAGCATGCTCAGTGTTTTATGCATGTTACCTTAATCCCCGCAGCAGGCCTGTCAGGCGGGTGTTGTTTCACTCCTTGAATAATGAGAAAGCTGCTATCTGGAAAGGTCAAGGAACTGGCCCAAGATCTACAGCTATTGAGTGACAAAGCTGCAAATTGAACCCAGATCTTTTTGACCCCAAAGCTAATGTTTTTAATTGCTGCACTGTAGCTGCCTTCATGGAAGGGGTTTGTTTCAGGCATTGATAGGCCATTGTAAACCCATGGCCAGAGGTAACAAGAAATCAGAACTATCCCTGATACTCGAACTGATACATAACATGTTCCCATTTCTGCTAAACACACACGCATGTGCTCACACATGAATGGAAAAAAGAAAAAAAGTAAATAATAGCAACATGTCTGGGATTTGCATGAAAATACTTTAACCAGAAGAAAAAAGGCGGTGGGGTGGGGAGACAGCCAAAAAGAGATGAAAGTTGATAACTGTTGAAGGGTCTGTGCTCTTCCTTTAATTTTTATGTATGTTTAAAAATTTTGCAAGACAAAAAATGTCTTAAATGTTAACAGCAGTTCATTGGTATTGGTAAGAATATAGTTTTTGTTTTCTTCTTCACATATTTATTTTCCAAACATTTTAAAATAAGCATAAGTTACTTTGTAAAGGGGGAAAATGTTTAAAGCAGTGGGGCAGGAAGGGAACCAAGAAAAGGGAGTGGAGTAAGAGGATTTTCTTGAGACGAAAAAAAAAAATCAGAGCATCCAGGTTTCTAAATTTTTCTTTGATCAGACTGTTTAAAGACAACATCACAAACTTCAGATAGAGAGTTTGTGGAACCCCTTTTTGTTTTTTTCAATTTTCAGTTCCATTTTTCCAAACCATCTGACACTTGCTCCTTTATTTGTTTCCACAGTTGACGTGCGGCTGCCGTTCCAGGCCGAGATGTTCATCCAGAACGTTATCCTGGTGTTCTTCTGTGTGGGAATGATCGCAGGAGTCTTCCCGTGGTTCCTTGTGGCAGTGGGGCCCCTTGTCATCCTCTTTTCAGTCCTGCACATTGTCTCCAGGTAAATAGGAAGCGTTCATGTCTGCTGGGGCCACGGAGAAGCCTCAGTTGCTGGGTAGGTGCTGTGACACGGAGCTCATTCTCTCTCCAGGGTCCTGATTCGGGAGCTGAAGCGTCTGGACAATATCACGCAGTCACCTTTCCTCTCCCACATCACGTCCAGCATACAGGGCCTTGCCACCATCCACGCCTACAATAAAGGGCAGGAGTTTCTGCACAGGTTTGTCCTGATGGGGGCTAGAGGCCTCAAAGGGGAGTCAGCATCCCAGCGTTTGATACTTGTCCGGGAGGCTCTTCAAGGCCAGAGATGGGGATTATAAACCTCATTACCAAGGGTATTCATGATTTAATGGAATAATCTCTGATTAAAATCCAATTGCTTGGCGGGACTCCTTTCTGAGCAAGTGAGAAAACAGAAATACAGATTTGGGCCGCATGCGGCATCACGTGCCTATAGTCACAGCTACTCAGGAGGCTGAGGCTGGAGGATGGCTTGAGCCCAGGTGTTCAAGTCCAGCCTGGGCAATATAGTGGACCCCATCTCAAAACAAAATACAAGGAACAAACCCCACAGATTAGGAGTCTATTGGCCTTGGCCCTGAAAAGCTATATTTCATAGAGTTTTGCTTTTTCTTTTAAGTAGTAAAAGGTAGTCATGACATTTGAGTAGATTTTATTTAAGCATCGAGTATTGTTTATTTGTGAAACTTATGTGCATTGTCATTGTGGAGCTTTGTATTAATAAGAGATTGGAACTAAAATGTTCTTCAATATAGGACAGGTTGAATAAGCTATGGTATATCCATAGAGTACTATGTGGCCCTTAAAAAGAATGAGGGAGCTCTATAGGTACTGATAGGGAATGATCTCCAGCATATATTAGTGAAACAGCAGAGTACAGATGTGTGTATTAATATATTGTATGCTACCTTTGAGTATGTGTTTTTATGTATAACATTTAGAATATCAGGCTGGGTACAGTGGCTCCCGCCTGTAATGCCAGCACTTTGGGAGGCTGAGGTGGGCGGATCGCCTGAGGTCAGGAGTTCGAGACCAGCCTGGCCAACATGGTGGAACCTTGTCTCTACTAAAATTACAAAAAAATTAACCAGGCGTGGTGGCAGGCACCTGTAATCCAGCTACTCAGGAGGCTGAGGCAGGAGAATCACTTGAACCCAGGAGACAAAGGTTTCAGTGAGGCCAGACCATGCCATTGCACTCCAGCTTGGGCGACAAGAGCGAGACTCCATCTCAAAAAAAATAAAAATAAAAATTTAGAATATCTCTGAAAGGATTAAAAAAAAAACCTGTTAGTTGCCACTGGAAGGGAGAACTGGGTAGCTGGAAGATGGGAATGAGACAGACTTGACCTTTCATGGTAAACCTTTGGTAACTTTTAAATTTTCTATTCTGTGTATATGTTGCCTATTGCAAAAGTTGGGTAATTATTTTTAGAGAGAAAATTTAGAATAGAAAGTTTAGAAAAAATTATTTTCAAAATGTTAAATGACTCAGAAAAATAATTCCTAAACTTTAAGCAGAAAAGAAAGTGAAATGTACTAAATACGTACATGTGTATATACCTACACACAGTAAATGTCAGTGCATTGAAAAAAACTGCTGGGAGGAAATGCAGCGGAATATCAACTCTGGTTTTAACAGGGTGATGAGATTACTGGAATTTTACATTTTCCTATTTCTATTGCATTTTCTAAATTTTCTCTAAAGATTACATATTTTATTGGAAAGAGGAAAAGTGATTTTTCAAAGCAAAGCACATCTGCGCAGCAAAACTTCCTGCTCTGGAGTTCTAGTCGTACATGGTGCACTGAGCCTTCAGAGGGGTCTGGTCTGCTCTCTGGGACCCCTACTGATGGCCGTGCCATGCTCCTTCAGTAGCAGCAGTAAACATTGCCTGAGTCCCTTTTGCTGTGGTTTAGCTTGCTTCTCCTGGTGCTTGGCTCCATAGCTGGGGAACAAGTGCCATTCTGCATGGTGGCGGCATGTGCACACACTTATGGTGTTCCCATATTCACTCTGAGTTTCTTTTTCCTCGCCTTGAACCATTTCTGCTGTTGGCGTTTGTAACCTTTCCTTCTTTCAGAAAATGCCTTCTGACCTAAGATATTTTTCTAAAGTTTAACACAAGCCTCTTTATTCAGTCTCTTTTCCCATGTTTACTCTGTGCTGAGATAGATGTTTTCCATAACATCTTTAATAGGATTTTTTTTTGTTTTTAAAGAGTAACTAAGATTAGAAAAACTTAATGTCCTCCTATGCATGCGGCCTAGAATACCTCCAGAATTCCTAGAATACCCTCCTGGAGTTTCCAGGGCATTCTCTCAGTTAGAAACAGGAAGTATTTAAATACGTGCCCTCCATCATCTGATTCGCTGAAGCTTTGTCCATGCGCGGGGTTGTGTAGTACTTTCTTTGCCCATTAAGTGTTGTCTTTCTCACAGATACCAGGAGCTGCTGGATGACAACCAAGCTCCTTTTTTTTTGTTTACGTGTGCGATGCGGTGGCTGGCTGTGCGGCTGGACCTCATCAGCATCGCCCTCATCACCACCACGGGGCTGATGATCGTTCTTATGCACGGGCAGATTCCCCCAGCCTATGCGGGTCTCGCCATCTCTTATGCTGTCCAGGTCAGTCTCTGGGATAGGAGCGTCATCTTTGCTTGTTTGAGCCCTTCCTCTGCTGACGTAAAAGAGGGATGATTGTGGGGGGCTCCACCCTGAGCCATTATTTCACCTCTGGACCCCTAGAATTGCTCATGGTCTGATTTGACCGTAACAATCTGGATTTGACTGGGGCAGGTAGGGATAGGAGAGAGGTAAGTGTGGAATCCAGGAATAAAGGAATCGAACTCTGTTGCATGTGTGTGAGAAGTAGATGCTGTTTTCTTCAAAAAGAAATATGATCTTGAAAATAGTTTCTTAATTGTGGGTTTCTGTGTTCACCACCATTTCATCTCTGGCCTCTTTCTAGTCTTCTAAGAAATGTTATAGACTCAATATGCTTCTTACGTGCATTTTCTTCTCAGGGCCCTGATTTTCCCAATACTGTTATATACATAAAACCTTCTAGCCCCTAGGGGTGATTGAGGGTCTTCAAATAGCTCAGAGAATAGTTGAGAACTTGAGCACTGACTAGATATTTTAAGATGTTGAGTGATTATTATTACCCTCTAAAATAATGGTATTGGAATTATGTTTTTAAGGAGTCTATATTTTAGAGAGGTACAAGCTGAAATATTTGGATGAGATAAGCTCTCTGCGATTTGCTTCCAAATAATATGGGGGGTGGGGGTAGGAATGGAAGGGAATACAGATGAAACAATATTGACTGTAAGTTGATCATTTTTATGGTAGAGTTTTGGTACCTGGGAGTTCATTATACTACTCTTTCTACTCTTGTGTGTTTGACATTTTTCTTTATTGAAAAGATAAAAATAAATAGTCAAAGGAACCCCAGAGATATGTGTCTTCACAGATACCCCGAGATGTCCAGCCACATTTTGCAATTTACTTGACAACTGGTTGGGGAAGACAATGCATTATATAGACTGTTTTTAGACTCCGCAGTCTATGGAGCACAGGGGCTCCAGACTCACTCATTTCCCAGCATTATGTATCTGATTTGACTTTCCTGGAAACATTCTTACTAGTTGCTCATAGGTTGATATCTCCATTTGTTGTGACTCCCACAAACAGGCTCAGATACAAGTAGGAAGTCCAGAAGTGAATCAGTTGCAGATATGTGTTATTGGAAATGTAAAGATGAATAGAAAGGCTTTGGGTACAAGGAAGTGGTTCCAGCAGTGCCATGATACTGCCCGCATTCACTGAGCATTGCAGTTGATGGGGTAACAGGTATGCCTTAAAAGCCAAGAGAATGACTAGGTCCCTAAGACCAGCTGCTGCATGTGCTCAGTTCTTAGTAGTCCTCTAGATGAAGGAAGTTCTCCAGCATTGGCCTGGCGTGTATTGATAATGAATTATCTCTTTGATTGTTGTTTTCCATTATCAGTTAACGGGGCTGTTCCAGTTTACGGTCAGACTGGCATCTGAGACAGAAGCTCGATTCACCTCGGTGGAGAGGATCAATCACTACATTAAGGTCAGACTGCTGTAGGCCTTTTACCGTGATCTGACTCCTCTTGGAGTCGGTTTACCCTTTGCTGCCTCAGCTGGGTGTACAAGGAGGAGGCTTGTGTTCTCTGCCTATCTAATCCCACAGAATCTCCAGCAATCTCTCAACCGTGCTTGGAATGGGAAAGAGATTACCGTAAGAGTTTCTAAGTATATTTGTAAATTATGTCGAGCTGAGAACTTCATTGGCTAATTTCCAGAATGTTCAGAACCTTGTCAGTTCAGCTTAACTGACTAATGGAGCATTTTCCTTACACTGTTTAAAACCATGTATTGTTTTAATTCTTACTATGTCCAATTGTTCTTAATCAGGGATGGCCATCAGGACCCCCTGCTGAGCTTTTGGCAGGACAAACGTGGCCTCATCTCTGGATTCTGTTGCAGTGGATTGGGGTGGGACCCAGGCTTCTATAGTTTGAAAAGCTCCATAGCGAATTCTAAACTGCTCTCCCAACTTACAAACGAGTAAATTTAATTGATACCAGAGTATCCAGCTCTTCCCACCTTTCCCCAGGAACCCCTTCCGTCTTGCCGTGGGTGGCAGGCATCTTGCTGCTGTCCTAACTGGCACTCTTAAACAATTTCCTACAGGGATGTCTTAATCCATTTCACACTGCTGTAAAGAACTACCTGAGATTGGGTAATTTATGAAGAAAGAGGTTTAAGTCACTCACAGTTCCGAAGGCTTAACAGGACGCATGGCTGGGAGGCCTCAGGAAACTTACAATCATAGCGAAAGGTGAAGGGGAAACAAGCACATCTTCCCATGGCAGAGCAGGAGAGAGAGAGAAGGGGGAAGTGCCACACACTTTCAAACAACCAGATCTCCTGAGAACTCACTGTCACGGGAACAGCAAGGGGGAAGTCCACCCCCCTGATTCAGTCATCTGCCACCAGGCCTCTCCCCTCACACATGGGGATTATTATACAATTCGAGATGAGATTTGGGTGGGAACACAGAGCCAAACCACATCAAGGGGTGTCCAATCATTTGGCTTCCCAGGGCCACATTGGAAGAAGAATTGTCTCAGGCCACACATAAAATAATACTAACGATAGCTGATGAGCTTAAAAAAAAAGATGGCAAAAAAAAGTCTCATAATATGTTAAGAAAGTTGACGAATTTGTGTTGGGCCACATTCAAAGCTGTCCTGGGCTGCATGTGGCTCAAGGGCCACAGATTGGACAAATTTGCTTATAAAGAAGCAGCATCATGAGTAGTTAGATTCTCAAATTGAACTCAATTCTTAAGAGTTATCTATTTTATTGAACTGCTGTGAGACTTTACAAGCATCTGTGTCATTGTTTATATGTGAAGAGTATATTCTGAGTTCCCAACACTTGACTTTGAAACATAGTTTTGAAAAGTTAGCTTTTTTTCTTTTTTTCCTTTTTTAATTTATTTTTTATTTTTTTATTTTTTTTGAGAGAGGGTCTTATTGTCACCCAGGCTTGAGTGCAGTGGCATGAATACGGCTCAGTCCAGCCTCGATCTCCCAGGCTCAAGTGATCCTCCCACCTCAGCCCCGCCAAGTAACTGGGACTACAGGCATGCGCCACTAGGCCCAGCTCATTTTTGTATTTTTTGTAGAGATAGGTTTCGCCATGTTGTCCCGGCTGGTCTCAAACTCCTGGGCTCAAGCGATCTGCCTCTGCCTCCACCTCCCAAAATGCTGGGATTATAGACAGGAGCCATAGTGTCCGGCCTGAAAAATTACTCTTTCAATTGGGAACTGAGTGTACGTAAACTGGATTCTCTAATAGAGATGTGCTTCACTGATTGTTTTGACAGTGAGCCTCATTAGTGGTAGAATATTTCTTAAGCTTACAAATGAATAACTTTCTTATTCTCAGAAAGGATGGCAGGTGGCTGCCCAGTGTATCTAGTAATAGCTCTTCTTTCATGTTTAGAAGTTAGCCTCTTTGCACACTGTCCTGGTGTGTAGATGACCCGTGTGTGTACATATGTGCAGTGTTTGAGTTAATGTTATGGTTGGCGAGAGCCTTGTGCTGGAGAGGTTAGGATTACGGTCAGTGGTGGTACAAAGTGGACCCTGCTGAAACCGGTCACATTTCAGAGGCCTGCCCTCCCACTGACTGTCCCAACACAGAGTCCTTCCAGCTTGGAGTTTTAGACTTTAGGCTTAACCCCCCAGAGTGCTACAGTCTTTGGCCCTTACTTCCCCCCATAAGGCTATATACTCCATGGCCAATTGCCAGAGAGTTTTAAAAGATCATGAGATATGATTGTTGATGATAAAAATTACCCAAGCAGTTATATCACAGCATTTTGAGCTGGAATAGATTCTCAAGATCATCTAATCCAGTCCCCACAATTTGCAGATAAGAAACTAAGATGCAGAAGAAGTGGTGATCTGTCCAGGTCACACAGTGGCAAAATTAGAATTAGAGTCTGTGTCTCCTGGATTGACCAAGACATGCCAGAATGCCAGGATCCAATCAGATGTTCAGTAAATATTAGTTTTCTTCCTTTGGATTTAAGCCAATGATTATCAAATGGTAGAATCCTATCTCAAAGAATTTCAGTAAAAACTGCTGTGGTGGAGGGGTGGAAGGCCTCATGTCTGCCCGTGTTGGTTTTCCTTTGGCCCCCAAGGCAGCTTTGTGGAATAGTTCCTTGAGACAAAAGGTAGTCTGAACACCACTTCCCTCCCCAGGCTGCTGCTAGTAGCCATGACACTTAGCCATTGTGCTCTGTCTCTGTCGAGTTTAGTGATGATAAGCATTTACTTCCAAGGGATTCTTTCCTAGCAAGGTGACAGGGTGGCAGCTACCTCTGTGTGGCTACTATGGTTGTCCTGGTTTTATTTCTCTGTGACAAAGCCTGCAGCTCCCCAAGAATCTGTGGTCAGTCTGAACTGGCCACCCTTGTCTCCCCAGACTCTGTCCTTGGAAGCACCTGCCAGAATTAAGAACAAGGCTCCCTCCCCTGACTGGCCCCAGGAGGGAGAGGTGACCTTTGAGAACGCAGAGATGAGGTACCGAGAAAACCTCCCTCTCGTCCTAAAGAAAGTATCCTTCACGATCAAACCTAAAGAGAAGATTGGCATTGTGGGGCGGACAGGATCAGGTAAGGATGTGCAAAGCCTTCTTTGAATCCATTGGAACGTAGCAGTTTATGAAATATCACTTTCACCCCTTTAAACCGGATCCTTGTTTGTTTGATGAGCAATTAGTGTCTCAGCCCCCTACTGAAACCAATTTTCTAGGTTTATTGTTGACCCCACTTTGATGACATTGAGTGCTTTTCACAGTCATAAATGTGCACATTCTCAATGCAGAACACTGGGGCACACAGCCAAGTACGAAAGAGGAGCAGCACCCACAACTCTGCTACCCAGAGAGAAGCACTGGTAACATTTTGGTAGCTATCTTGTTAGGCTTCCTCTAGTAATATGTAGGTTTACAAAAATGAGGTCATTGACACATGCTGTTTCATGGCCTTCTTTTAAAACTATCAGTAGGCTGGGCGCAGTGGCTCATGCCTGTAATCCCAGCACTTTGGGAGGGCGAGGCGGGTGGATCACCTGAGGAGTTCAACACCAGCCAGAACAACATGGTGAAACCCCGTCTCTACTAAAAGTCCAAAATTAGCCAGGTGTGGTGGCACATGCTTGTAATCCCAGCTACTTGGGAGGCTGAGGCAGGAGAATGGCGTGAACCTGGGAGGCGGAGGTTGCAGTGAGCCAAGATCACGCCACTACACTCCAACCTGGGTGACAGAGCGAGACTCCGTCTCAAAAAAAAAAGAAAAGAAATGCGTAACTGTAGATCCTTTAGATTTCTAGGGTCAGGACTTGAGTAATTTACTTCTTTTTTTTTTTGAGACAAAGTCTCACTCTGTTGCCAGGCTGGAGTGCAGTAGCACGATCTCAGCTCACTGTAACCTCCACCTCCCAGGTTCAAGCGATTCTCCTGCCTCAGCCTCTCACGTAGCTGGGACTACAGGGGCGCCAGCTAATTTTTTTGTATTTTTAGTAGAGACAGGGTTTCACCATGTTGGCCAGGACGGTCTCGATTTCCTGACCTCATGATCCACCCGCCTCAGCCTCTGAAAGTGCTGGGATTACAGGTGTGAGCCATCGCACCCGGCCCCTTTTTTCTCACTTTCGTTCCTGAATTGCATTCCAAAGACTGAACTTGTCTTCTTTTACTGTCCTTTTTATCCTTGTATAAGAGGTATCTTTGATTCAGTTTTCATTAGTTTTCTAGGCTCCATGCTTCTTTGGCATCAAAACTCTTCTAGCTTTTTTCCTTGCCATTAAAAAAAAAAAAACCTTTTGTCTTTTCTGGCCAATTGATTTTAAAGAACTTTCTAAGGAAGAAAAGGAAAAAGCCATTTCCTGCTTTCTGTTTGAGGGAATTACTTCACGTCAAAACAAGACATTGCTCCAGGTCTTTCATGCTGGAAGGGAATCTTTAGCCAAGCAGGGTGACTCTCCCCAAGCCTTTTTACTGTTCTCTCCCTTGAGCCCATCTGCTGCATTCGTCCCCAGGGGTACACTGCTCCCCTGAAAGCTGACTGATGTCCTTTGTTATGATTTCCCTTTAACACAGGTGAGATAGGCCAAAACAAGCACCACAACTTCATTAAACAGTAGTTAGTGACAGAAGAGAAACAAGAAAAAGAACATAGTGGCCAGGTGCAGTGGCTCACGCCTGTAATCCCAGCACTCTGGGAGGCCCAGGCTGGTGGATCACCTGACGTCAGGAGTTCAAGACCAGCCTGGCCAACATGGTGAAACCTCATCTCTACTAAAAATACAGAAAGTTAGCTGGGCGTGGTGGTGGATGCCTGTAATTCCAGCTACTCGGGAGGCTGAAGCAGGAGAATCTCTTGAACCCAGGAGGCGGAGGTTGCAGTGAGCTGAGATTGCGCTATTGCCCTCCAGCCTGAGCAACAAGAGCGAAACTCCATCTCAAATAATAATAATAATAATAATAATAACCTGATTTACACTCCGGTTCTAATAGGGCTTCTTCCAAGTTTCACGGGTAACTTGGAAACTCTCCTGTGGTCATGTCAGTCAAGGACACCATCTTGAGGACTTCACTGCCTTTCTTACCAGCACATTCCATCAGTGCAAAGGTAGTCAGATTCAGAGGACTCTAAAGTCTTCCAGTCCAGGTGGTCCAAACCTAGGCACCTTTTGTTAAACTGGAACAACTTGACCCATTGTTTCGGGCACCATTCCTTCCTTAGCTTAGATCTTAAAGCCCTGCCTCGGCCCAGAGGGAATGTCTCCTCCCCTCCTATCTGGGAAAGGGGCCAGTAACTGAGTCCCCCAACCCTGAACAGAGTCATTCATTTTTTTTTTTTTTTTTTTTTTTTTTCCTGAGACAGAGTCTCAGTCTGTTGCCCAGGCTAGAGTGCAGTGGTGCAATCTCGGCTCTGGAGTAGCTGGGATTACAGGCACATGCCACCATGCCCAGCTAATTTTTTTTTTTTTTTGTATTTTTTAGTAGAGACAGGGTTTTGCCATGTTTGCCAGGCTGGTCTCAAACTCCTGGCCTCAAGTAATCCACCCACCTTGGCCTCCCAAAGTGCTGGGATTACAGGTGTGAACCGCTGCGCCCACCGGCCTGGAGTCACTCATTTCTAGGAGGAGAACTATCCTGCTAGACGGACCAGGTTTCCTAACTCGTTTCTGGTAGAAGGATGTGAGGATTGTTGCATTAGGAAGATGGGTCCTAATACAGCTTTTTCCAAGTTTCCTGGGCGTTACTTCTTCCAAGTCTTATGGGTGTTTTTCAGGTTCCCATTAGGCTGTTAGACAGAGGTATGCCCAGGGGGTAGATCCCGACAGTGGGGTCGTGGCTGTAGACACTGGGGCAAGGCAGGCTGTTTGCGCCCTCCATGAGTGCTGAAGAGACAGCATCGTGGTGATCTCGATGAGGCCCTCACAAGAGGTCTTTCATGACATGGTGGCACGAGAAAGGTAGGAGGGTCAAGAACCAGGCGTACAGCCAAGGAAAAGTGATTCAACAGCTAAAACCCTGTAGTTCTAAATCTAAACCATGGAACCAAGTTGCAGAAAGGTAGACAGGACTATGGCAAACTTCTTTTCTTTTTGGCTCTGTAGAGAGAGCACCTTTTAAATGTTTATATCCTTTGACACAGTAATTTCAGTTCTAAGATTCTTTCCCAAGGAAATTGTCTGAGGTGGCAGTAAAGTTTCAGCACTAAGATAATAGGACATAACATTATTATAAGTTTTACATAAACTAAATGTTGACCCTTAGAGGGCTGGCTGAACAAGAATACATGCACATGATGGAATGCAACCACTAAAATTTTATCTTGAAAATTTTTTTAAAAGATGGTTGACTGAGTGTTATACAATGCTTTTGTTTTGTTTTGTTTGAAACAGAGTCTCGTTCTGTCGCCCAGGCTGGAGTGCAATGATACGATCTTGGCTCACTGCAACCTCCGCCTCCCAGGTTCAAGTGATTCTCCTGCCTTAGCTTCCCAAGTACCTGGGATTACAGGCACTCGCCATCTTGCCCAGCTAATTTTTGTATTTATAGTAGAGACAGGGTTTCACCATGTTGGCCAGGTTGGTCTCGAACTCCTGACCTCAGGTGATCTGCCCGCCTCAGCCTCCCAAAGTGCTGGGATTACAGGCATGAGCCACCGTGCCCGGCCAATGCAGTGTTAAGTGAAAAAAGCAATTACAATATTGCATTTCTGATATGATCTCAACTCTGAGGAAAGACCGAAAGGAAGTGTGCCTAAAATGATAGAAGTGAGATTATGGGAGATTGATGATGTCATCTCGTATTACTTATGTAAACTTTTCAAATGAAGATTTGGTTAACCTGTTCTGCTGATTACTGTAATAACACTGATCCCCCAAACCTGCTTCTCTGCCATAGTTTCCTATCACAGTAGGGCCATTGACAGCTACTCATTGAGTCGAGGCAAAACCTCCTTCCCGTATGTGTTTATTTATCCCTGGAACTTCTTCAATTCCCCAGCTGCTGCTGTGGCAACAGGAGGCCTTGTCTTAGTCTCTCTCTCAGCCCTAATAAGGGGGTAGGGAGAAAAAAGACATCTTGTCCTCTGGTTTGCCCCTCAACTGCTTGCTGTAAGATCTCTGTTCTCCTAACTTTGCCTAAGAAGCATTCAGCTCTGTGCACCTGTTCCTAAGGTGACCAGGAGGCATTTTTCCATTTTACTCTCATGAAAATGGAATGGTCAGCCAGGCGCGGTGGCTCACGCCTGTAATCCCAGCATTTTGGGAGGCCAAGGTGGGCGGATCACGAGATCAGGAGTTTGAGACCAACCTGGCCAATATGGTGAAACCCCATCTCTACTAAAAATACAAAAATTATCTGGGCATGGTGACGCGTGCCTGTAGTTCCAGCTACTTGAGAGGCTGAGGCAGAAGAATCACTTGAACCCAGGAGGCAGAGGTTGCAGTGAGCCGAGATCGCACCACCGCACTCCAGCCTGGGCAGCAGAGTGAGACTCCGTCTCAAAAAAAAAAATGAAAATGGAATGGTCCCTTCCCTTCCTTCTCAGGCTGAAGCTGTGTAATTTGAAGGTGTCTGCCTGGTATCTCAGGAAAGTTAATTGCATTTTTCTATCATTTTATACATTATCTCAGTTAATCAGTTGAAATAACAACTGAATAGAAATGGAAAAATAGTTGGCATTGCCCTGAGGCTAAACCAGCATTGTCCTCACAGACTTTGCTAACAGCTCCTCTCTTGCATGTCTTCTGACTCATCAGGGAAGTCCTCGCTGGGGATGGCCCTCTTCCGTCTGGTGGAGTTATCTGGAGGCTGCATCAAGATTGATGGAGTGAGAATCAGTGATATTGGCCTTGCCGACCTCCGAAGCAAACTCTCTATCATTCCTCAAGAGCCGGTGCTGTTCAGTGGCACTGTCAGGTGAGGACCTGAGCACCTGCATGTCTCGTGCGTCACTTAGAGGCCAGATGAGCATGTGGGACCACATGATGCTAGCACCGCCCCCTGGGACCATGAGCTCACCATCTCTAGTCTGGTGCTTTTCCCACTGCACCATGTGCTTGCTGGTGCAGAAGGGAGAGGCAGCACCACTCACAATGCCACTTGGTTGACTGAAGGGTGCAGGGAGGCCTGCAACACAGTGCTGAAGAGGCCAGAGAGGTCTGGGCCCAGGGCTCTGCTCCGTGACTTCGGACAAGTTATTTAACCACTCCTGTGCCTGTTTCCTCAACCATAAGATGGGGATGCTTTAAAGACCTGTTGCTGTGAAGGTTGAATAAGTTCATGTAAATTATATAAGCACAGGGCCTGGCAAATGGTAAGCATTCAGCAAATGGTGGCTGCTGTCATCAGCCTCATTGACATCATCCTCATCTGCCCCCCACTCCATTCTGTCATCTCTCCTAGGTGCGCTGAAAGTTGCAGTTTTTTTGTTCTGTTTGTTTGAGATGGAGTCTCACTCTGTCACCCAGGCTGAAGTGCAGTGGCACGATCTTGACTCACGGCAACCTCCGCCTCCTGGGTTCAAGTGATTCTCCTGCCACAGCCTCCCGAATAGCTGGGATTACAGGCGCCCTCCCCCAGGCCCAGCTAATTTTTGTATTTTTAGTAGAGATGAGGTTTCACCATGTTGGCCAGGCTGGCCTTGAACGCCTGACCTCAAGTGATCCACCCGCCTCGGCCTCCCAAAGTGCTGGGATTACAGGCGCGAGCCACTGCACCTGGCCAAAAGTTCCAGTTCCAATGGTGGCTTTCAGGCATTATTACTACTCATGTTATTTCATTTTCTACTATCTTCCCCTACCTTTGATACTCTGGAATTATGTCACTTTTTGAAATCTGCCAGGTTGCCAGAGATAAAATCCTTCTTCTTGGCCTATTAAAACAGTCCAAGGAGAAAGCATCACATTATCTTTCCTAAGCTTACCTGATCCTACCCTTAGCCTTAAGCTTCAGCCTCCTGAAAACAGTGGATTTCCATCATTTGTGTCCCTGTCTATTAAAAAATCATTCTGGCCTGGCACGGTGGCTCACGCCTGTAATCCCAACACTTTGGGAGGCCAATGCGGGCGGATCACGAGGTCAGGAGATTGAGATCATCCTGGCTAACACGGTGAAACCCCGTCTCTACTAAAAAATACAAAAAATTAGCCGGGCGTGGTGGTGGGCGCCTGTAGTCCCAGCTACTTGGGAGGCTGAGGCAGGAGAATGGTGTGAACCCGGGAGGCAGAGCTTGCAGTGAGCTGAGATCATGCCACTGCACTGTAGCCAGGGTGACAGAGTGAGACTCCATCTCAAAAAAAAAAAAATCATTCTAAAAGTAATTTTTAGCAGTTTTCAGAAAAATTGGTACCAACCTAATTTCAAATAATCATAGGCAGTGTTCAGACTTGTTTTAAAACTATCCCCTCCACCTTTGGAAATGGCATTTTGAACTCAAGGAACTTTGGTAGATATCTTAGTCTGCTCAGGCTGCTGTATATACCAACATACCATAGACTGGGTGGCTTAAACAACAGAAATTTATTTCTCTCAGTTCTGGAGGCTGGGAAGGCCGGGGATGGGTGTCTGCTGAGGGCCGTCTTCCTGGTTTGCAGATGGTTGTCTTGTTCTGTCCTCATGTGGCCTTTCCTCGGTGTGTGCCTGTGGTGCATGCCTGTGGTGTGTGCCCGCGGAAAGGAGAGCTCTTGTGTCTCCTCTTCTTGAGGCCCCACCCTCATGATCTCATCTAAACCTAATCTCCTCCTTACAGCCCCACCTCCAAACACCATCACATTGGGGTCAGTGTTTCAACAGTTTAATTCTAGGGGCACACAAACCTGTAGTCCATAGCAGTAAATCAGCAGAATTCTCACCTGTGTTTGTGTAGTGTCAACACCCTAGAGTATGTTTATTTTGGTGTTTCTGTAATTGAATCTGGACAGCATGCACTGTATCTGTGGTTGATAATAAACCATTCTCTTTGGGTATTGAGGTAATAAGGTCAGACAAGCAATATCAGAAGAAAATTAGAATTTATTGGTCAGGCGTGGTGGCTCACGCCTGTAATGCCAGCACTTTGGGAGGGCTAGGTGGGCGGATCACCTGAGGTCAGGAGTTCGAGACCAGCCTGGCCAACATGGCGAAACCCTGTCTCTACTAAATTAGCCAGGTGTGGTGGCCCATGCTTGTGGTCCCAGCTACTCCAGAGCTCCAGAGGCTGAGGCAAGAGAATCACTTGAACCTGGGAGGCGGAGGTGGCAGTGAGCTGAGATCGTCCCACTGCACTCCAGCCTAGGTGACAGAGCGAGACTCTGTCTCAAAAGAAAATTAGAATTTATTGAAGATGAAAGCCTAAAAATAGGCCGAGTGCGGTGGCTCACACCTGTAATCCCAGCACTTTGGGAGGCTGAGGCGGGCGGATCACGAGGTCAGGAGTACCAGACCAGCCTGGCCAATATGCTGAAACCCCGTCTCTACTAAAAAATACAAAAATTAGCCAGTCTTGGTGGCACACACCTGTAGTCCCAGCTACACGGGAGGCTGAGGCAGGAGAATTGCTGGAACCTGGGAGGTGGAGGTTACAGTGTGCCGAGATCATGCCACTGCACTCCAGCCTGGACGACAGAGCGAGACTCCATCTCAAAAAAAGAAGCCATTGCTTGGCCAGGCGTGGTGGCTCATGCCTGTAATCCCAGCACTTTGGGAGGCCGAGGAGGGCGGATCACCTGAGGTCAGGAGTTTGAGACCAGCCTGGCTCTTCCCATAAATCTCCCTATTTTTAGATGCCACAGGAACACCTTGAAAAAAAAAATTGGCCTTACAATATTTGGCTTTGGCCATAAGAACTAGTTTTTTAAATCATCATTTGGAAGAGAATTAAGAAATAAAGCACGTTAAACTTGAGATTTCTTTTGAAACTGCTGCCACCAAGAAGCCTCAGTTTTAATTTAACAATTTTATAGCATTTCATTTGGGTTTGTGAAATGGGGGCTTCTAGAGTTAGTGGTTAACAACTGACCATGAGGCCAGGTGCGGTGGCTTATGCCTATAATCCCAGCACTTTGGGAGGCCGAGACGGAAGGATCACTTGAGCTCAGGAGTTCGAGACCACCCTGGGCAACATCGTGAGACGTCGTCTCTGCTTTTTTAAATTATATAAAATGTTAAAAGAAAAAGAATTGACCATGGGCGCGTGCAGCTGGTGTGGGTAGAACATCGTGCGCCTGTAGCTTTAGTAGAATTGGAACCATTTGTCTCCAGAGAAAGAAATGTTGACTGCTTTGTGGCTAGCTCAGTAGTTGGTACACTGCTGTCCTGGGTTTGTAGCTACTGAGCTTAGGTGCAGCTTAGGAAGTCAGCTGTGCAAAGTGAGAAAATCATTTCAGTTAAATTTTTGCCAGCTCTAATTTTGGCTTTTTAGTCTGTAGTAGACACTGAGGAAGAATTAAATGCTGGACTTGTCTTTTATCCCCTAAGGTTTCCTTTTATCCTCTCAGGTTTGTTACGGATCCCAGAGAATGTTCAGCTCTTGGTATTCTTTTGTTTTTGAGACAGAGTCTCGCTCTGTTGCCCAGGCTGGAGTTTCAGCTCACTGCAACCTCTGCCTCCTGGGTTCAAGTGATTTGCGTGCCTCAGCCTCCTGAGTCGCTGGGACCACAGGCATGGGCCACCATGCCCAGCTAATTTTTGTATTTTTAGTAGAGACGGGGTTTCACCATGTTGGCCAGGCTGGTCTCGAACTCCTGACCTCAGGTGATCTGCCCACCTCAGCCTCCCAAAGTGCTGGGATTACAGGTGTGAGCCACCGCGCCCAGCCAGTATTCTTTTGCTTTAGTTAGAAGATAGAAAGCCTATGATGAGTTTCCCAAGGCACAGGCAGGATAAATAAGCTGTTTCCTCAGCTGCCTCCTAGAGACTCTGAATCTGGAAACCGCGCCTCCACCACCATTAGCCAGTATTGAGGGTGGGTACCTCTTCTTGAGATACCTGTAAACAATTAAAACTTGAAAGGAATTCTTAGAGGAAAAGCAAGGTAAAACCAAAATCAAACCAACAAAACTCAGAAAGTCACAAGATAAAAATTGTTGAGTTGTTCTGTGTACAAATATAATCTAATCTAAATCATAGGCCAGATAATTTGGGACCACACCCCTTCCTTAGATTAGCCAGAATGTCATTCTAGTACCTGCATCCTGGCCCTCCTTTATCTGCCTGTGTGGGCTTGAGCTCTCCAGCCTGTGTTTCTGCAGCTCCCTATTGTTTTGCCCTCATGATTGCCTCCAAGAAGAGAGGCCCCTTTTCATCCAGGCCTTAAAACACTTTTGCTGGCCTCTGTCTCATGGCCCTAGCTTTCCCCACCTTCTCCCAGAGCTCCCTGTGCTTCCTGGACCCAGGAAACCCAGCCCTGGCCTCTGTCCTATCCCCCGCAGCTGGAGTGTTTTTCATCCTGAGGACTGTCTGGAGCCTGGCTAGGCTGACAGTGAGCTGTCCCCAGCTGTCACTCTGGTATGTCTCTTGAGTCTTCGTCCCCTGTGAGTGATGGGTACCTTGTCTACCCGGAGCACTTCTGCCTGGTGCCCATTCATTAGCAAGAAACAGTGTTCTCATTTCTTCTTCTTCAGGTGCCTTCTCCTTTTGATCTGCTCATTAAATTTTTTTTTTTTTTTTTTTTTTTGAGACAGTCTCGCTTTGTCACCTGGGTTGGAGTGCAGTGACATGATCTCTGCTCACTGCAGCCTCCACCTCCCAGGTTCAAGCAGTTCTCCTGCCTCAGCTTCCCCAGTAGCTGGGATTACAGGCACCTACTACCACACCTGGCTAATTTCTGTATTTTTAGTAGAGATGGGGTTTCACATAGTTGGCCAGGCTGGTGGTCTTGAACTCCTGACCTCAGGTGATCTGCCCACCTCGGCCTTCCAAAGTGCTGGGATTACAGCCATGAGCCACCATTCCCCACCTGTCATAACCATCTTAATTGTATTTAACAAATGCTCAAAACTTCATAAGACAGACACCATTGTTATGCATATTTTATTTTACCAAATAGTGAGGTTTCACTATATTGCCCAGGCTAGTCTTAAACTCCTGAGCTCAAGAGATTCTCCCACCTCTGCCTCCCAAAGTGCTGGGATTATAGGCATGAGATGCCGCCCTTGGCCATTATTCCTGTTTTATATAGATGATGAAACTGAAATCCAGAGAGTGAGAGTAATTTGCCCAAAGACACACAGCTAAAAGTGGCAGAGCTAGGATTTGAACCCAGGCTGGCCGGCTGGCTCTACTCATTACACTCACTGCATTGCCTCCTGAAGCGTGTGTCACGACCCCACTGTTAACCACGACCTTGATATTCCATCTCTCCAAAAAACAGTTAGACGTGCCTCTTTGTGGATCTTGACCTTTAGTTACATTTCTTTTCCCAGCATCTTCAAAGTCTCATCTGCCTTCCTCATCTCAAAAACGAAAAAAGAAAGTCACACAATCTATGCCGTTCTCTCTAGTATTTTTCATTTGCTCTACTTTTTCCTCTTAACTTTTTTCACCTAATCTGACTCTTAACAACTAAAAGCCAAAATCAGTCCGTATTTCTGCATACCTCAGAATAAGATTTCCTTTTGCTTCCTGATAGAAGAAGGTATGTGAGTCCCAAAATCTCCTGCTCTGAAAACCAAGGCTACTATGAAGCACCCAGCACAGATGACAGGGCAGCATGGTTTACTGCAGTGTTTTCTACTATACCGAGGGTGAATTGCTGTGTTGTCTCACACTTTGGGAGATATTCTTGGCTTCATTTAGCAGTGGTCAATGTTGACTATTGCTAAAAATAAAATATGAAGAACCAAAGATGAAAATGTACCTTTGGCAAGATCAGGACTCCAGGGGTTCTGATTGTTAAAAATAATTGCCCTCATGTTCAGACACTTTTCTATCCAATCACTTAACTGAATCCTTTTGATTAAGTGGATGCATAACTTTGCTTTCATTTCTGTCTGTGGGTCAGACCCAGGACCATCTGGCTTCTCTAATGAGGGGAGATATTTTTCCATTCCTGATTGAGCTCCCTGTTGAGGTTGGTCTGGTCTGCCTTACTGTGTACCACCTACGAGTGTATGCAAATATTCATTTTCTATCTGGAACCCATTGTTTAGTGGTCTGAGGCTCCTTCAGCTGGTGTGATGGACCTGGGTGAATTGAATGTTAAGCCTGGGCTGGGCACAGTGGCTCACGCCTGTAATCCCAACACTTTGGGAAGCCAAGGCGGATGGATCACCTGAGACCTGGAGTTCAAGACCAGCCTGGCCAACATGGCAAAACCCTATCTCTACCAAAAAATACAAAAGTTAGCCAGGTGTGGTGGCGCACACCTGTAGTCCCAGCTACTTGGGAGGCTGAGGCATGAGAATTGCTTGAACCTGGCGGGGCAGGGCAGGGGTTGCAGTGAGCTGAGATCATGCCACTGCACTCCAGCCTGGGTGACAGAGCAAGATTCTGTCTCAAAAAAAAAAAAAAAAAAAAGTTAAGCCTGTTGTCGTATTTGCCCATAGAAAATCTGATAGGGCCGGCTACTCAGTGGGCAGGAGACCGCGCTTTTGTGTACAGCAGTTCTCGCTTCTCCATGGTTTCACTTTCTGCAGTTTCAGTTACCCATGATCAACCAGGGTCCAAAAATATTACATACTATATTTTGCAAGAGACAGACCACAGTCAAATAATGTTCATTACAGCATATTGTTATAATTGCTTGATTTCATTATTGTTAATCTCTTACTGTGCCTAATTTATAAATTAAACTTTATCATAGGTATGTATATATAGGGGAAAAAAACATAGCATTTATACGGTTCAGTACTATTTGTGGTTTGAGGCATCCACCGGGGCTCCCTGGAGCATATCCTTGTGGATGAAAGGGGGCTCCATGCCTGCTCTTTGATCCAGAGGCATCTGATGGACTTACTTGCTGTATGTGTTTCCTGGGGCTGTCATAAACAGTTTAAGCCACAAACTGGATGGCTTCAAACAACAGAAATGTACTATCTCACAGTTCCGGGGGCTGGAAGTCTAAAATCAAAGTGTCATTTGGGCCATGCTGCCACTGAACCCTATAGGGAAGGACGCTTCCTTGCCTCTTCCAGCTTCTGGTAGTTGTGGCCATCTTTGGCATTCCTTGGCTTTGGATGCATCCCTCTGGCCTCTGCCTCCATTGTCACATGATGCCCTCCCAGTGTTTCTCTGCCTTCACGTGGCCATCTCTCATAAGGACCAGTCATATGGGATTAAGGGCCCACCCTTCTCTATTACTCTGGTATGACCTCATCTTAACTAATTACATCTGCAAATTACCCTATTTCCAAATAAGGTCACATTCTTAGGTACTTAGGTGTCTTTTGGGGAGACACAGGTCAACCCATTAAACTGTACCATATTAAACAACACTTCCTGGGCCAAGGGTAGTGAGAAGCGAGCATGTTCCAAGCGGGAAAAACGCCGTGCAAAGGGCAAGAGGCGCTGGAGAGCAAGGCGGGTCAGAATCTCCCAGGAGATCGAGAGATGCCCAGATAGCAGGAATGAGGCGGTGCCGGCCTGCTGTCCTCTCACTAGAGTTCTGTGATAATGACGTGATTGTATTTGCATGCCTGTAATTAGTAACCCCAGATATGGAGACAGGTGTGTGGCATAGAGTAAAAGTCCATGTTTCTCCCAGAGAGTTTCCTGTTTCCCACATGCCAGGCATAATTTTATGAGCAAAGCAAATATACTTTTCAGATTACTAGACCTCCAAATGTTATGTGTAGATCAAGACAAGCCGTCCAAAATTACTGTAACATCCCAGTTTTCCACCAAATACCTGTTCCACCACCAATTCTCCACCCTCATCCTCAGTGGCAAAGATAATTTTCTCCTGTCCTAAACATTTCTAGTCCTGGCCGGGCACAGTGGCTCATGCCTGTAATCCCAGCATTTTGGGAGGCCCAGGTAGGCTCATCACTTGAGCTTGAGCACTGGAATTTGAGACCAGCCTGGGCAACATGGCAAAACCCCATCTCTACAAAAAACACAAAAATTACGTGGCATGCGCCTGTAAAAAAAAAAATTTCTAGTCTCGTTCTTTTGGTATCAACTCTGATTTCCTTGAGGTAGATACTGTTGGCACAGTAAGCAAAAATGGTCCCCAAACTGGTCTTCTGTGCCAGGAAAATTCCTTTTTCTTGACTTGTCCTTTATTCTTTCTCTCCTTCTTCCTCTTCCCTTCTACTGGATCAGTTTCTTTCCCTGGTCAGGCCAGCTGTCCTGGAGCCCCATACTCAATTACAGGGTTGTGAACCAGGTAAACCAAGAGAAAGAGGGTGCATTTCTAAGTTTGTACGTATGGAGAGATTTATTTTTTATTTTATTTTATTTTATTTATTGAGATGGAGTCTCACTCTGTCGCCCAGGCTAGAGTGCAGTGGTGTGATCTCAGCTCACTGCAACCACTGCCTCCTGGGTTCAAGCAATTCTCCTGCCTCAGCTTTCTGAGTAGCTGGGATTACAGGTGCCCACCACCACACCTGGCTAATTTTTGTATTTTTAGTAGAGACAGGGATTCACCATGTTGGCCAGGCTGGTCCTGAACTCCTGACCTCAAGTAATCCACCCGCCTCGGCCTCCCAAAGTGCTGGGATTACAAACATGAGCCATTGCACCCAGCCGAAAGATGTATTTTAACAAATACACGCACAGGAAAAAATCTAGAAGGATATTTGCCGATATTTGCATTTATAAATTGTTCTATAACTAGTATTATTTACATAGTAAAAATAGTAAAAGAATAAATCAAGTTTTATGGAGCTGAGGAGGTGGCCCAGTGTGCTGTCAGAGCTCCCATCTGTCTGGTTGTGGAATGAGCCGTCTGTGACCATCAGGGTTTGGAGTCTTCTCTCCCTATGCATGTGTGTTAAACATCTTCCACAGACAGCCTTTGCCAATGGGTCGCTTAGGGTGGGACCACTGAGAAATTCCTGTGTTTCTCCCTAGATCAAATTTGGACCCCTTCAACCAGTACACTGAAGACCAGATTTGGGATGCCCTGGAGAGGACACACATGAAAGAATGTGTAAGTGAAGAGCTTAGGGGAAGCCGTGCTGAGATGGTGAGGGTGGAAGCACAGCAGTGCCCTTGCCACACCCCGTCTGCTCTGGCCGTGCCTCCAGGATGCCTGTGGACAAAGGCTTCGTGGCAGGGCTCTCCAAGTCTTTCAGATACCTGGGAAAAGCTGATCCCTCTCAACCCCACCGCCCACACTGCCTACGGTCATATTGGCCTTGCACTATCCATTGATTGAAGATAGTAATGACAACTACTTAGAATTAAGTGATGCTTTTAATTTATTAGTCATAACAGTGTAACATACTTTGAAGCGTCCACATATACGCAAAAGATATATAACGTGGCCGGGCGCAGTGGCTCTCGCCTGTAATCCCAGCACTTTGGGAGGCCGAGGCAGGTGGATCACCTGAGGTCAGGAGTTCGAGACCAGCCTGACCAATATGATGAAACCCTGTCCCTACTAAAAATACAAAAATTAGCCGGGTGTGGTGGCATGCACCTGTAATCCCAGCTACTCAGGAGGCTGAGACAGGAGAATCGCTTGAGCCCAGGAGACAGAGGTTGCAGTGAGCGAGAGCGCACCACTGCACTCCAGCCTGGGCAACAAGAGCAAAACTCTGTCTCAAAAAAAAAAAAAAAAAGATACATAACATATTGAGTCTGCAGAAAGCACACAGTGTGCATATGGACCATGGACCACAGACATTTTGGGACAACTCAGTAGGCCCTCACAGGCCCTCACGAGCAGCTGCAGTCTACAGGTTGATACCACTGGCCTAGGGTGAGGCTTCTGTTATGCCTGGGTTGAGTCAGGATCCAGGATCCCCTGCCCTAATTCAACTATTAGTAGATGAGTTCTGTTTTTTCCTCTGCTCTATCGGGATTCTTCTCATTTGAAGAATAAGTTCTGCAGCTTACAAAAAATGTTTCACAGGCACGGGCCTACGGCTTTGGACTTCAGAAGGAGAGTACTTTTCCTTACTATACTATTTCCTATTGCAAGACCATATTTTCAGAACCAAAACTTAAGGCCCACTATGTGACTGGATTTTGGGGACATGAAAGCGTTGGGATTTCTGGGATGTTTTAATGGTATAAAGCTAACAGAATAGTCTATTGGAATCAGGGACTGCCTTGGAAGTGGGTCCTAGCACGCATGATCAGTACACCTGCACCTTCATTCCAGATGAGACAGGTTCTTGGCTAATAGTTCTTTCATCGCTTTCAGAATCATTTCTTTCTGTCCTTGGATTTTCAGGAAATTCAGCTTAGTTTCTTACCCCTCTGATCTCTAGTTTCTTTCTCCCTAGATTGCTCAGCTACCTCTGAAACTTGAATCTGAAGTGATGGAGAATGGGGATAACTTCTCAGTGGGGGAACGGCAGCTCTTGTGCATAGCTAGAGCCCTGCTCCGCCACTGTAAGGTAAGGCAGTTTGGGGTTGGCAGCAGCAGAGAATGGGAATGTTTTAGTGCAGCCTTGCCCTGACACACTGGGGTCCAAAGGTATTCCTGGCTCTGATCCCTGTTGGCACTTTCTAAGAGCATGACCAGAGATAACTCTAACCCTGACACAATTTGGGTATATTGGTTCTGGGGAGGGAGAACAGGGTTGCTTTGTTTTTACCTTCATCCAAGACCAACTTTTGTTTCTGGCCATTGAGTAGTTGTACGACTGCAAACCATAGACATAGAAGATTTTTTTTTTTTTTGAGACGGAGTCTTGCTCTGTCTCCAGGCTGGAGTGTAGTGGCCAAATCTCGGCTCACTGCAACCTCCACCTCCCAGGTTCAAGTGATTCTCCTGCCTCAGCCTCCCGAGTAGCTGGGATTACAGGCGTGCGCCACCATGCCCAGCTAATTTTTGCATTTTTAGTAGAGATGGGGTTTCACCATGTTGGCCAGGATAGTCTCGATCTCTTGACCTCGTGATCTGCCCGCTTTGGCCTCCCAAAGTGCTGGGATTACAGGCGTGAGCCACCGTGTCTGGCCGACATAGATTTTAAAATTGCAAGAGACTTTAAGGTCATCCAATCCAGCCCCTTCATTTTATAAACAGGAAAAGAATGTCCTTTTGTCCAGTATGTTACCAGCCATATTGGATTCAAGGGAAAAAAAGAATTAATTGTACATGCTCACTGTCACAGAGCATGTAGGGGCAAGTATTTGATTAAATCCGTGGTTTTGTTTTGTTTTGTTTTGTTTTTGAGACAGAGTCTCACTCTGCCACCCAGGCTGGAGTGCAGTGGTGTGATCTCGGCTCACTGCAACCTCCACCTCCTGGATTCGCGCGATTCTCTTGCCTCCGCCTCCCGAGTAGCTGGGACTACAGGTGCGCGTCACCACGCCCGGCTAATTTTTGTATTTTTAGTAGAGACAGGTTTTCACCATATTGGCCAGGATGGTCTCGATCTCTTGACCTCGTGATCCGCCTGCCTCGGCCTCTCAAAGTGCTGGGATTACAGGCATGAGCCACTGCGCTCAGCCTAGATCAGTATTTTACAAATATGCTGTTTTGGAAATCAAGGCAAACATGGTTTTGAAATTGTATCACTTCTAAGCAAAAGGATGTTTTTACATATATGCGTGCTTTCTTAGAAAAAAAAAAAAAAAACAATAGGCTGGGCACGGTGGCTCAAGCCTGTAATCCCAGCACTTTGGGAGGCCGAGGCAGGTGGATCGCAAGGTCAGGAGGTCGAGACCATCCTGGCTAACATGGTGAAACCCCGTCTCTACTAAAAATACAAAAAATTAGCTGGGCGTGGTGGCGGGCGCCTGTAGTCCCAGCTACTCAGGCGGCTGAGGCAGGAGAATGGCGTGAACCCGGGAGGCGGAGCTTGCAGTGAGCCGAGATTGCGCCACTGCACTCCAGCCTGGGCGACAGAGCAAGACTCCGTCTCAAAAAAAAAAAAAAAAGAAAGAAAAGAAAACAATAGATAGTGTAAAACTTAAATGAAATACATTTTAGTAAAATCTAGATTAACCAGAATGCTAAAGGAATTTAATCGAGTTTCTTTCTCCTCTGCTTCTCTGGCAGATTCTGATTTTAGATGAAGCCACAGCTGCCATGGACACAGAGACAGACTTATTGATTCAAGAGACCATCCGAGAAGCATTTGCAGACTGTACCATGCTGACCATTGCCCATCGCCTGCACACGGTTCTAGGCTCCGATAGGATTATGGTGCTGGCCCAGGGACAGGTACCGAGTCCTTCAGGAACTTTGGCTTGGCATGTCTGGGAGGAAACTGGCCCCTGGCAGGGATGGACTGATTGCCATCTTTGTAGGGTTCTGGGCATTCAGATAAGCACTTGCAGCAGCGCTATTTACTTGCTATTGGGAGGGATACAGCCTCCGAATCACAAGATTACTCAGGCACCTCTGATGGGGTTCTCATTTTACTTTACTAATTTGTCCTTTTGTTGCTTGTGAGTAGCGACACTGACTTAAGTCAGAGAGTACATGTACTTAGTGATTCATTCACATACACAATGATCACCCCTGGCATACTTAGGCCAGAGAGTATAGATACTTGTGATTCATTCACATACACAATTATCATCCCTGGTACATGTACTTAGTGATTCATTCACATACACAATGATTACCGCTCCCGGAGGCCTACTGAGACCAGCCAGCACATGTTTGCTTTTTTGCAATCACGCAGCGGCACCAAACTTCTTACCCTGTTGTTTCAGGCGTTCCCACAGCCTGGCCCTAGCCTTGCCTTCTTCATTTTCCACTCTTCCTTTGCAGGTGCGGTTGGCTATAGACATCTTGCATTCTCCAAGCTTTTTATCTGTCTTTAGTCAGATAGTTCCATCTACCTAAAAGGCCCTTTGCCCTTCTCTCTCCCATATCCACCTGCTCTCAACCTGCCTGTCCCTGAAGAATGACATGGCCCAGATGCCAAAGCCTCCATGAAACCCCCTGGCTGCCTCAGCCGCCCTAGACTGTATCTGTACCTCTCTTGTAGCTCTTCTGTCTCAGTTGATAGGAATTGTGCAATGCCCTGTCTCCCTAGAGAACTCCCTGAACGCTCTCTGAGGGCAGAGTCACCGCTCATTCATCTTTAGGGCCCCAGCAGTGCTTAGTACTACAGTTCTTTATACAGGTGATGTTAAGTACATTTATGTTAGACAAATACCTCTTTTGCATGCCCCTAGGATACAAGTAAATTAATAATTTGGAGGAAATAGCAAGCCATTTATAATGGGTAACATGTCTTCTATTGTAGAAGCTCCCACAGTGACAGCTACTATAATAGCTACTTCTACTGAATGTTTACTGTGTGTCAGGCACTGTGCTTAGTGCTTTACATATAATCTCTCAACATACCATCAGTCATCACAACAACCTAGAGAAAGACATAGCCTGGATTCTGCTTTACACATGAGGAGACAAAGTCTCAGGGAAAGTCCATAGGAAGTGGAGTAGGCCGGGCACGGTGGCTCATGCCTGTAATCCCAGCAGTTTGGGAGGCCGAGGCGGGCAGATTGCCTGAGCTCAGGCGTTCAAGAGCAGCCTGGGCAACATGACGAAACGCCGTCTCTACCAAAAATACAAAAAATTAGCCAGGAGTGGTGGCACACACCTGTAATCCCAGCTACTAAGGAATTTGAGGTGGAAGGATCATTTAACCCTGGGAGGCAGCGGAGGTTGCAGTGAGCTGAGATAGCGCCACTGCACTCCAGCCTGGGTGACAGAGTGAGACCTCATGTCAAAAAAAAAAAAAAAAAAAAAAAGCAAACAGTAAAAATTGGTGGGATTTAAAAAAAAAGGAAGCGGAGGAGATGGGACAGGACTCAGGCCAGCAACCGCACTGCCAGCACACTGTCTAAATTGTGGAGAAATATTGAGAAAAGGTTAAATAGCGCAGGTTCAGCCTGGGCTTCAAAGCTGAATTGAGAGAACTTGGGGGCTAAGGATTTTTCTCCTCATCTTGAAATTATTTTCACACTAGTGTTTTTTGTGACTATCTTTGTTTGCCTTAAACTAAGTGTTGACTGAGATTCTGTCATACATAAGATACGTTGAGCTACTACTTTGTAAGTAGGTGTTAAAATAGAGCCTAGTAAGGTATAATAGATGGGACCAAGAACATCTTCTGGGAAATTCTTTTTTTCTTTTTTTGAGCCAGAGTCTCGCTCTGTCGCCCAGGCTGGAGTACAGTGGTGCAATCTTGGCTCACTGCAACCTTCGCCTCCGGGGTTCAAGCGATTCTCCTGCCTCAGTCTCCTGAGCAGCTGGGAGTACAGGCATGTGCCACCATGCCTGGCTAATTTTTGTATTTTTAGTAGACACAGGGTTTCACCATGTTGGCCAGGCTGGTCTCGAACTTCTGACCTCAGATAATCCGCCCACCTCAGCCTCCCAAAGTGCTGGGATTACAGGCACAAGCTACTGTGCCCAGCTGGAAATTTTTTCTTAAGAACACAAATTGAGACCCCTTTCTTTCGATGGGTGGCTTGATGTTTTGGAGTGGGGAGCCCATTCACTCTTTATGAGGGACTCTATCCTTCTCTTCCCTTAATTTTTTTCTTGCTAATTAAAATTTCCTTGTAATTTCAGGAAAGCCTAAAAAAAAAAAACCACACACACACCAGAAAAGCATAAAGGCAAAAACAGGATGATAAGCCATTTACCCCCAGAGACGAGCATTGTAATACACTGACTTACCCCAGCTGTGTTTTTCTTGCATCTGCACACACAGACTCCAACAGATGGGATGCTCTCTGCCGCAGACACAAAATACCAGACTAAAAGGGGTTTGGAGGATGGGATTTTGTTATCCCACATGGGTTGGTTTTTGTGCAGCTCAGCAGTGTGGGGCTCTGTATCACTCTCAGCCAGTACTCACCTTCCCCTGCTGGTACAGGATGCCTGCTCAAGCACCCAACCAAAGGAAGGACACGTGTCCAAAGGAAGGACACGCTTATGTTCTCCTTGTGGCCTGTCCACTGAGCAGGACACCCTCTCCTAAAGCACCAAGGAGACTTCCTCTTACATCTCCTTAAACAAGGTTATGTTCCATGCCTTTGCCCTGTGGCGGGGGCGGCTGAGAAAGTTGAGTACATGCATTTCAGCCTCTGCCACAGGAGGTGGGTTCTGCCAGCGTATCATTCAGGGTTCTGCTGCCACATGATTTTCCACGGCTACATAGAAGTCCATCATAGGAATGGCCACCTGACTAAGTCACTCCCTGACTTCCTTTTTCTCCCCTGACAACTAGACATTCTGAGCTCTTCCATTTCCCTCTATAAGGTTAGATCAGCTTGCATAACAAAATGGCATTTGTCTGGTGTGCCCTTGACTTGAGCTGCAACTTCTCTCCCCTGCAGTTTATTTATTTTATTTTGTTTATTTATTTATTTATTTTTTTGAGACGGAGTTTCGCTCTTGTTGCCCAGGCTGGGAGTGCAATAGCACGATCTCTGCTCACCACAACCTCCGCCTCCCGGGTTCCAGCGATTCTCCTGCCTCAGACTCCCCAGTAGCTGGGATTACAGGCATGCACCACCACACCCAGCTAATTTTTGTATTTTCACTAGAGACAGGGTTTCACCATGTTGGTCAGGCTGGTCTCGAACTCCTGACCTCAGGTGATCCGCCTGCCTCGACCTCCCAAAGTGCTGGGATTACAGGCATCAACCACCGCACCCAGCCTGTTGTTTTTTATTTATTTATTTATTTATTTATTTATTTATTTATTTATTTATTATTTTGAGGCAGAGTCTCGTTGTGTCGCCCAGCCTGGCATGCAGTGGTACAATCTCAGTTCACTGCAACCTCCACCTCCTGGGTTCAAGCGATTCTCCTGCCTCAGCCTCCCAAGTCACTGGGATTGTAGGCACCCGCCAACCATGCCCAGCTAATTTTTGTATATTTAGTAGAGACAGGGTTTCACCATGTTGGCCAGGCTGGTCTTGAACTCCTCACCTCAGGCAGTCTGCCCACCTCAGCCTCCCAAAGTGTTGAGATTACAGGCGTGAGCCACCAGCCTCCTGCAGTTTATAGACCTGGTTGGTTGGTTCCTTCACTCCCAAGGCTGAAGGAATTTGGATTTATGTGAAGGAGGTCTGGAAGTCGTTTTCTTTTTTTTTTTTTGCTATGATACTACTTTATTAGGCAAAACCACATACTACAAAAATGCTGGAAGTCATTTTCTCTGTCCTTTCCCTTACTCCCTGGATAGTTGAAAATAAAAAAATAAGGGGGGAGGTGCACGCAGGGCTAGTTGAATTGTCCCCAGATTCTACCCTCAGAGGGCACTGGCACTTACTGAGCCGTGGATCCTCTGAATCACCCTGCATGACCCAGAGCTGTGTCCTGACGGCGTCTCCTTCTTTTGCAGGTGGTGGAGTTTGACACCCCATCGGTCCTTCTGTCCAACGACAGTTCCCGATTCTATGCCATGTTTGCTGCTGCAGAGAACAAGGTCGCTGTCAAGGGCTGACTCCTCCCTGTTGACGAAGTCTCTTTTCTTTAGAGCATTGCCATTCCCTGCCTGGGGCGGGCCCCTCATCGCGTCCTCCTACCGAAACCTTGCCTTTCTCGATTTTATCTTTCGCACAGCAGTTCCGGATTGGCTTGTGTGTTTCACTTTTAGGGAGAGTCATATTTTGATTATTGTATTTATTCCATATTCATGTAAACAAAATTTAGTTTTTGTTCTTAATTGCACTCTAAAAGGTTCAGGGAACCGTTATTATAATTGTATCAGAGGCCTATAATGAAGCTTTATACGTGTAGCTATATCTATATATAATTCTGTACATAGCCTATATTTACAGTGAAAATGTAAGCTGTTTATTTTATATTAAAATAAGCACTGTGCTAATAACAGTGCATATTCCTTTCTATCATTTTTGTACAGTTTGCTGTACTAGAGATCTGGTTTTGCTATTAGACTGTAGGAAGAGTAGCATTTCATTCTTCTCTAGCTGGTGGTTTCACGGTGCCAGGTTTTCTGGGTGTCCAAAGGAAGACGTGTGGCAATAGTGGGCCCTCCGACAGCCCCCTCTGCCGCCTCCCCACGGCCGCTCCAGGGGTGGCTGGAGACGGGTGGGCGGCTGGAGACCATGCAGAGCGCCGTGAGTTCTCAGGGCTCCTGCCTTCTGTCCTGGTGTCACTTACTGTTTCTGTCAGGAGAGCAGCGGGGCGAAGCCCAGGCCCCTTTTCACTCCCTCCATCAAGAATGGGGATCACAGAGACATTCCTCCGAGCCGGGGAGTTTCTTTCCTGCCTTCTTCTTTTTGCTGTTGTTTCTAAACAAGAATCAGTCTATCCACAGAGAGTCCCACTGCCTCAGGTTCCTATGGCTGGCCACTGCACAGAGCTCTCCAGCTCCAAGACCTGTTGGTTCCAAGCCCTGGAGCCAACTGCTGCTTTTTGAGGTGGCACTTTTTCATTTGCCTATTCCCACACCTCCACAGTTCAGTGGCAGGGCTCAGGATTTCGTGGGTCTGTTTTCCTTTCTCACCGCAGTCGTCGCACAGTCTCTCTCTCTCTCTCCCCTCAAAGTCTGCAACTTTAAGCAGCTCTTGCTAATCAGTGTCTCACACTGGCGTAGAAGTTTTTGTACTGTAAAGAGACCTACCTCAGGTTGCTGGTTGCTGTGTGGTTTGGTGTGTTCCCGCAAACCCCCTTTGTGCTGTGGGGCTGGTAGCTCAGGTGGGCGTGGTCACTGCTGTCATCAATTGAATGGTCAGCGTTGCATGTCGTGACCAACTAGACATTCTGTCGCCTTAGCATGTTTGCTGAACACCTTGTGGAAGCAAAAATCTGAAAATGTGAATAAAATTATTTTGGATTTTGTAAAACTCTTCGTGTATCAAACAATTCTCTGGGAAGGGAGTGAGATATCCCTGAATGGCTTTGGGACCTGCATATCCAGCAATGGAGTTGCATCTGGGAAGGACTGGTAGCAAAGCTGGTTGGTTGCAAGGGCCATGGGGCCCTGAACACCTGGAATCATCTCTGTGGGCCTTAGTCCCGCTGCCTGTGTTCCTGGACATGGTCCCCAAATAAAGCTCCTTGGCTGCCCATAAGAGGGTGGGGAGTGGAAAGGTGAGTGGTTGTGGTGAGGTGGGTGGTCGTGGTGAGATGTATTTAAAATGAATAGTTTATCGAGGATTCTTAGCAATTCAAACAATATAATTACCCTTTCAGCCAATTCATTCAGATTCACCCATTGAAAATTAGTAACCCCGTCTCTACTAAAAATACAAAAATTAGCCTGGTGTGGTGGCAGGCACCTGTAGTCCCAGCTACTCAGGAGGCTGAGGCAGGAGAATCACTTGAACTCGGAGGTGGAGGTTGCGGTGAGCTGAGATCGTGCCATTGCACACCAGCCTGGGCGACAGAGTGAGACTCCGTCTCAAAAAAAAAAAAAAAAAAAAAGCAAAGGGTACTCATTCTAAAGTTTCTGACTATATTGTGTTGAATGCAGCCAAGAAAGCTTTTAAACTGGTATTAGTTTGCTGGCCATCAGTAGAAATTATACTAATTTTTCTAAAGTACCTGTGCTGTCGTGAGAACCCAGGAGCTTGACTCTAAAGTTAAAACTTTAGTTCCTAGAGTGTCACATTTCAAGCGCTCAGTAGCTGTATGCGACCTGTACAACATAGTAATGTACAGTGCAGATATAGGACGTGTCGATCATTGCAGGAAGTTCTGTTGGGCAGCTCCAATCTAAACGGTAACCACTTTTACTGAGGCACTAGATTTATCTTCCAAGAAGGTAACAAGGTCAGCAGAACGAGACCCTTCAAACTGCTGGGATTACAGGCATGAGTCACTGTGCCCAGCCTAAATTGGATTTTTAAAAGCAATTTCCATTTTGCCATTTTGTGCTTTCCCAGCTCATAATTCTCTGTTGCCAAGTAGAGTAGGCTAACAGGTGTAAGAAACAAGCCCAGACTTTCAGCAGTTTACCACAGTAACCAAACTCCTGTAGCAAAGCAGTGTGGTCTGTGGAGGGGTGGAATGAAGGTTCTGCCCGTGCGTTCAGGAACCCAGTCTCCCTCCCTCCTGGTCACCCTGCAAACCTCTAGATTTGAGCTTCTCTGCTGGATCCACTGTGCTGATCAGAGAAGAGAGCACAGAATGTTGAGCAGAAAGTGTTATGAAACAGGCCTGAAAACATTAGACATCGCTTCTGTGCTCGTTTTCTTGGCTAGAACTCAGGGGCACCTGTAAGCTAAGCACTGTACTAGGTACTTCTAGCATGGCCTTACGTGATTTTCTCAACCACTTTACAAGGTAGCTAAAATTAAGCACATTTTGCTGATGAGGAAAGGCTCGTGAAGATTTAACTTGTCTCAAGCCAATATCCAGTATGAAGTGAATCACACAGAATTCAAACCCAAACAGCCTGCTCCCAGAGTTCAAGCTGTTCCTCATCTCATGACCTGAGCTTCAATTTCATCAGCAAATTCAATTTCATCAAATGCATGTGCTAGATCAGATTGCCTCTAAGATTTCTTCCAGCTCTAACTCCATGACTAGTGTGAGTCCATAACTAGGACCTGAAAAACCTGGATCCTGCTCACCTCATTTGGGACATGGCTCTAGAACTCTGCCTCTTCCTCTTTGCTTCCACTAGGGAGGTGGTGTGTACTGGGAGCAGATTTCCTCTTTTCCTGGAATCTTTTCTGTGTCCTGTTTCTTTCTGCCTGTGGCCTGAATTCAGCATTCTTCCTTGGCTCAGGCAAACTCCCTTCTACCTGCTCAGGTGGACTCAGCTTAGGAGGACTAAGCTGGCTGCTGTCCAAGTGAGAACCATCAGAGCTAGTACTTGGTCTCCCGCAGACCTGGCACAGCCCTGTTCTCAAAGGGGAGCTCCATACCCAGCTAGGACAGGCCAGCACCAGGCAGTTAGGACCGTGGGCACACACCTGTTGGGGCAGAGATACTGACGTTGCCTGGAATGGTTGGTTCACGGGGCTAGGGGCTGGGGGAGACTTCTCTGACTCATTTTTTGTGTCCTTGACAAAGAATCTGGTGGGCTGCAGTCCTGGGGCCATTCTGACCACTGGTGAGAAAAAAGGTGCCGTGAGGCCCACTCTGGGAGTCTCCATCTGATGTCATTCCCATGGGCCTCTGAGAGTGGCCTGCCCTCCGGGAACTTTAGCTCCCCACTTCTTCCAGACTTACTGATCCAACTGCCTCTTCCCTCAGCCTCCCAATACCTGGACTCCAGCCCCCTCGGGCTCTTTTCCCAAAAACTATTTATTGAACAGTCACTAGGTCCCATACCTTCTGCTGGGCACAGGAGACCAGAAACAAGACACAGGGAGATTATAGTCCAAAGGAGAAGAGAAACTTTAAGTAACTTGCTCACTTTTTCTCACCCTTTCTCCTCCTCTGAGTTTCTCGGTCATGACCTAGGAGTCCAGGGATGGCACCTGGCCAGTCCTGCCCTGGGTTATTCAGAGACACCCTTTCTCTCTTGTCCTTGGTATTCCCTATCTCCGATCTCCCTTCCTTTCCTAGGATGTGGTAAGATCTAAAGGTCCATTGTAATAAGGATGTGGGCCTGGGGCTGCTAGTTTCTGGGCCCTGGGCAACTCCTCCAGCCACAGGAGTCTTCAGGCACCAGACTCTCCGGACTAGCCCACCACGCTGCCTCTCAGTGCCAAAGGCGTGAAGTCGTCAACAGAAAGGTTTTGCTAGAGCAGCCTCTGTGTATATTTTCTCTGGGATCCTGACAGCTGATCAAAATACAGGGGCTGGATCCCAGCCACCTACCATTTGATATAATCGCTGGCATTCATACTTAGATAATAAGCAAAACAATGTTTGGCTAAGAGAAGTGACACCTTGGGAACATACATGCCATCCCGCCATGCCTACGTATGATCAGGTTCTACCCTTCAATCCCCAGCCGAGCCGTGTTGTACTTGGAGAAAGACTACCACTCCTTCAGTTTCAATACCCTTGGCGAGTCCTGGAGTCACTCTCGGAAATGGGCACATGAAGAAACCTGCTACTTCATCTTCCATAAAATCTCTGTTGGCAGGCCAGGCGTGGTGGCTCACACCTGTAACCCAGCACTTTGGGAAGCCAAGGTGGGCAGATCATGAGGTCAGGAGTTCGAGACCAGCCTGGCCAACATGGTGAAACCCTGTCTCTACTGAAAATACAAAATACAAAAATTAGCCAGGCGTGGGGGCAGGCACCTGTAATCCCAGCTACTTGGGAGGCTGAGGCAGGAGAACCACTTGAAACCGGAAAATAGAGGTTGCAGTGAGTTGATTGTGCCACTGCACTCCAGCCTGGGCAACAAGAGTGAAACTCTGTCTCAAAAAAAAAAAAAAAAAAAAAAAAAAAAATCTCTGTTGGCAGTTGTGTCCACACAAGAAATCCCTTTCAGAATCTGATCTCGGGAAAATTCTCTGCTTCTCAGTGAGGATTCTGGAACACATTGTTTCCTCCTTCTTATTTTAGCCGACAGGAAGCTCAGGGCCCTGTATGTTTATCTCAGCTTGTTTCCCTCATCCTTCATAATATTTTGATCTTTCCTTTTGACCGTCTTGAATATTATTTATTTATTCATTTATTGAAATGGAGTCTCGCTCTGTCTCCCAGGCTGGAGTGCAGTGGCACGATTTTAGCTCACTGCAACCTCCACCTCCCGAGTTCAAGCAATTCTGCCTCAGCCTCCCATGTAGCTGGGATTACAGGCCCGTGCCACCACGCCTGGCTAATTTCTTTATTTTCAGTAGAGATGGGATTTTGCCATGTCGGCCAGGCTGGTCTCGAACTCCTGACCTCAGGTGATCCACCTGCCTCGGCCTCCCAAAGTGCTGGGATTACAGGCATGAGTCACTGTGCCCAGCCTTGAATATTTTTAATATTTTAAATAATAGCTGCCATGAATCATTCTCGGATAAGATGAATATCCTGGGAACAATAAAGACATCATTCTGGTTGGATGGCTAATTCTACTGCCCTTGATGGGGTGCGATTGTGGGTGTGTGTGTTGGGGGCAGGGAGGGGGAGGATGTTGGCTGCCCTTTGCCACACTCTTCGGACACGAAGCCTCTCCCTGTGCCCTGAGATCATCCTGGCTGGAGCACAGCATGGCAGTGGCGAGTCCCACTGCCCCGCTCCCCTTACTCAAAGCTGGGCTTGAAGGAAAGCAGCTCCCCGTGGGAACTCCACTGGAACACTCTGCAAAATTCTAGATGCTGAGTTCATTGCAAGCTGTCAGGCAGCACGTCATCCTTTCTTCATCTACGAAACCTGGGGATGTGCAGAACCACTGGTCATAGAGTCACACCAAGAGTGAAAGAAGGAACTATTGATAATAAAATATGCAAAGCAGGGCTATGTCCTCTAGCGCTGGCCCGTGCCCTGGCTTGCCTGGATGTGGTCCCTGAGTCTGCCCCTCCTTCAGTTAGAGGATCCTGGGTCTCCCAGCCCTCCCCAGAAATAGCTCCTGTCCTTTGGGGCCTTCACATAATGTCTAGAGGCAGGCAAGCCCCCTGTATTTGTTCCCATTCACTCCCATGGGCACTGGGACACATTGGACAAGTTAAACACAACCGCAAGGAATGGAATTCTCCTTCTGTGTTCAGGTGCATGGAGGTAACTGGAGGGGGGTCTCTTCTGCCTAGTTCTCATTCCTTCCACCTCTAGTGGTCTCTGTAGCTCCTTATTTTTATCTCCTCCCTTTCCTAGTCAGGGAGAAGTAGGGGGTGGGCCTACCTTGCTGGAGTGGGGGTGTGGGGCGGAGCAACTTCCAGGCACTGAGTGTGGAGTGGGTACTGGGTTTGGGTCGCTCTAGAAGGGGAAAGGGGTGTTCTTTTGTTCTGAGATCTATCCACAGGAGGGGGTGTTGCGGGATCTACAGTGAGGGTCAGTCTGCTATGGGAAACGGCCCCTGCCTGGGCACAGGCCCATGGCTAAAGCTGTTGATCCAGCATTCCTTAACCACTGTTTCTCCAAGGGCCATGGAAGGGGCTCTCCCCTGGATGGGGTCTGCAGACAGACAAGGGAGGAGAAGAAAGAATACACCAGCTCTGAGGCCCTGGGGCAGCCTCAGGCGGGAAGCACACGCCAGGCCCGGGGGCAGCCTGAGCCACACGGAGGCCTCTGAGGCCAGGCCGGAACCTTTGGAAGTGTGACTAGCTCTGCTTCCTCGTGTGTGTGTTCTCTTAGCCTATAGGAACCTTCCTTGTGAGAATGCCAGCCTGTCACAGCTGGGAGGCAGCTGTGGAAAGAGAACACTGAATTTGGAGACTGAAGGCCTGGGTAGAATTGTGGCCGCCCTCCCACTTCCTTGAGCAAATCACTACACCTGCTGAGCCTTGCCTTCATCTGTGAGGGGATGAAGCCTTCACATAATAGCCTTCACCGTGCTGTAGAGGGGATAGATTTAGAAATTTGGTGTGGAAATACCTCATATAGGGAAGGGGCGCAGCCGCGTCATCTGTCATCTTAGTTGAATTGTTTTTGTTTTGTTTTGAGACGAAGTCTCGCTCTGTCACCCAGGCTGGAGTGCAGTGGTGTGATCTCGGCTCACTGCAACCTCCGCCTACCAGGTTCAAGCGATTCTCCTGCCTCAGCCTCCCGAGTAGCTGGGATTACAGGCACCCATCACACCTAGCTAATTTTTGTGTTTTCAGTAGAGATGGGGTTTCACCATGTTGGCCAGGCTGGTCTCGAACTCCTGATCTCGGGTGATCCACCCACCTCAGCCTCCCAAAGTGTTGGGATTACAGGTGTGAGCCACTGCGACCTGCCTGAGTTGTTCTTAGAGGAGCAGAGGCTGAGTGTTGTCCATTCTTGGCCTAGAAGTCAAACAAGGAAACAGAGAGGCCTGTGGTCTGGGGGGCAGGCATGGCTGGAATCATAAGGATATCACTGAGGGGGAAGGTGCAACTTGGACAGGGGCTGCCACAGGGTCAGCCACTCTGCATGGGAACTCCTGTAAGGGGGACCGTGTGGCCCACCTCCACCTGCTCACTGAGGAGGCCGCAGCTCACAATCAGACACGGAGGGCCTTGGCTGGGCGCAGGAGGGGCCGGTCACCCAGGGCCTCCGCTCCAAATCTGTGTTCCTGTGACCTGCCACCCTGGAATCTGATCGCACCCTGGCCCGTTGTGCTGGGTAGTCTCTGTTCCCAGTACCGTGTCCCAGCCTTAGCTGCCAGCATGCTGTCACCCTTGGGCACAGAGGGAGGGTAGGAAGTTTGTCAAAGTTCAACACACTTGGAAATGTTGAGCAGGCAAATCTCCTTTTGGGATGATAAACTTTAAGAAACAGCTACAGGCCGGGTGCGGTGGCTCACGCCTGTAAACCCAAAGAAAGTTGAGAACTGGCGCCTGCCCTTGAACTGCTCATGCTGTGTAATCAAGGCGGGGCGAACACAGTGATAACAGGGCAAGTCTCAGCCCAGAACAAAGCAAGGGCCACTGTGGGAGACGGTTGGTGTGTTTGGAGGTAGTAGAGATTGGCGGAGTAGCTAGTGAAGCTTTCAGAGGCCTGCAGTCTCTTCAGCAGTATTTTGAGGAGGGAGGAACGTGATTTGTTGGAAACAGAAGGCAGGGGTTTGTGGAAATTGCAGCAGTATTACTATCTGCACAAGCATAGTACAAATAGCACTTCCATAGCACAATCCATAGCACTTTCACACCAGCTCAGCTTATCCCCCAGCAGCCCTGTGGGGTAAGCACTGTTATCATCACATCAACCTGAGATAAGGTAGGTAGAAATTCTAGAGATGGAGATGCAGGGGTGAGGTGCTCTGAGCAGAGGGAACTGCAGACGCTTGTTAACAACCTCTCCAAACAGGTAGGGGCTCCAGGCCTCTGATATCTCTGTCCCTTGACTTTTAAAAAATTTAGTAAAATAGATGCAACATAAATTTTAGCATTTTAACCATTTTTAAATGAACAGTTCAGTGGGATTAAGTACATTCACATCATTGTGCTATCATCGTGACCATCCATTTCCAGAACACTTTTTCATCTTTCCAGACTGAAACTCTGTACCCACTGAACACTGTCCCTTGACTCTCTAAGCCTCAAGTGGAAATGGGTCTCTGTCATGACTGGCATTATGCCTATGGATTCCCTAACACATCTTTGCAAACACTCTTTTTTTTTTTTTTTTTTTTGAGATGGAGTCTCGCTCTATCACCCAGGCGGGAGTGCAGTGCTGCGATCTCAGCTCACTGCAACCTCTGCCTCCCAGGATCAAGCGATTCTCCTGCCTCAGCCTCCTGAGTAGATGGGATTACAGGCACACACCACCACACCTGGCTAATTTTTTGTATTTTTAGTAGAGACGGAGTTTCACCATGTTGGTCAGGCTGGTCTCGATCACCTGACCTCGTGATCTACCCACCTCTACCTCCCAAAGTGCTGAGATTACAGGTGTGAGCCACTGCGCCAGGCCTGCAAACAGTCTCTTAATTAAACTATCCTCAATGTACCCCACTGGACTGTGACATCATTCTCTTGCTGGGCATTGGTACAGTAGCTCTATGATGCAATTTGCTAAAATGATCTTATCTCCATTGTACAAATAAGAAGCTGAGGCAAGAGGAAGCTAAATAATTGCCCAAGGTCACAAAACCAGTAAGAGATAGATCTGGGATTTAAACTCCAGCAGTCTGGTTCCAAGATAGTTGAAACCTAAGAGAAGGCTACATAGTTGAATATGGTGGTGCCGCTGTAGTCCCAGAGACTCAGGAGGCTGTGGCAGGAGGATTGGTTGAGCCCAGGAATTTGAGGTTACAGTGAGCTATGATCATGCCACTGCACTGCAGCCTGGGTGACACAGTGAGACACTGTTGAAAGAAAGAAAGAAAGAATGAGAGAGAGAGAGAGAAAGAGAGGGAGAAAGAAAAAGAAAAGAGAGAAAGAAAAAGGAAGAAAGAAAGAAGGAAAGAAAGAACGAAAGAAAGAAAAAGAACGAACAAACGAATGGGAGAGAGAGAGACAGAAAGAGAGAAGGAGAGAAAGAAAGAAAACAAAGGAGAAAGAAAGAGGCCAGGCATGGTGGCTCACACCTGTAATCCCAGCACTTTGGGAGGCTGAGGTGGGCGGATCAGGAGTTCAAAACCAGCCTGGCCAACATGGTGAAACTCCATGTCTATTAAAACTACAAAAATTAGCTGGGCGTGGTGGTGGGCGCCAGTAATCCCAGCACTTGGTACTCGGGAGGCTGAGGCAGGAGAAAGAACCGAGAGAGAGAGAGAGGAGAGAGAGAGAGAGAGAGAGAGAAGGCAGAGGGGCAAGGGGAGAGAGAGACAGAGAGAAGGCTACAGAGAAACATGGGGATTCAGCACAAGCTGAAGAGACCTCAGGAAGGCTGCTGCACATCTGGGCGGAGGAGAGCAGGAGTAGGAGCCCAGCCTCAGGCGTGTTGAGATGGAAGAGCATGTCCTGATGGGAGACACTGCCACTGCTAGCGGCTGCCTGCCCCTTGTCCCTCCCTGAGCTGAGCCATGCAGTCAGCTGACCCTGCCATGAAGAGGCTGTGAGGAGCCTCACCAGGGATGAGCTCCGAGGGCCAGAGGTGAGGATGATGCTGATATAGGAGTGAAGGTGTCTCAACCTGTCCCGGGCCACAGCCTTGCCACCCTGGTGAGTGGCATGGCCCGGGTGTGACTGATGTGACCAAATGGATTTACTCCACTGGGGAAGGGCTCCTGGGTTTGCCTCCCTCCACAGCACTGCCTGGGAGCACCAGCATAAAAGCAAGGCCAGGCGCCTGGAAGAGCGGGGAGAGAGTGGTGGCCACAGTGTGTCAGAGCCTTGGGACCGAGAAGCAAAAGTGAGGAGAGGAGACACAGGACCAGGGAGATGCTCTCCCTGCTCAGTGGGCTGGCTTTACTGGCCATCTCCTTCCTGCTCCTGAAACTTGGCACCTTCTGCTGGGACAGGAGCTGTCTTCCTCCTGGCCCACTCCCCTTCCCCATCCTTGGAAACCTGTGGCAGCTATGCTTTCAGCTGCACCCAGAGACACTGCTCCAGGTAGGAAGCCTGTGCTCAAGCTGGAGGCCCTAAAGGGGTGGACAGATGAACCCCTCTTCTCTCTCAGACCAGCGGCACTGGAGACAGAAAGAAGGAACAGAGGTCAGACACGTGTGGGGTGAATCCTGGTCTTACCATTCATTAGCTGGGAGGCTTTGAGCCTCAGTTTCCTCGCCTGTCAAATGCAGGGTGGGAGGGGGATTGCAGAAATTGTGGACTTCGTGCAGAATCTAAGAAGTCTAATCTAAGAAATTCTGAGTGCAGGAGAAGTCCACTGCCAATGGAACAGGGTGGCGAAAACCACTGAACAGAGCTCAACTCCAGGAGAGCACTGTGTGTGGCTGGAAGAAGTTTTCTGAAAAGCCACTTGAGATGGGAGTTGGGGGGAATGGGACCCCCACAAGGGCACATTCAAGTGACGTTACTCAAGGAATCTGTGCACAAAGCCACCACCAGGGTAGCTGGAGCCTCAGCTGAAGGGCGCTGTTGGATTGAGTGGGTGGGACTGGGGTGCTGCTGAGAATGATTGTGGGCAGGACACTGTCTTTCCTAAGGCCATGTTCAGCCCTCTTCTTATTCACACTCAACACATTTTTAAAAAATATCTGGTTGGCGCTATCAGACAATTATGATCCTCAGGCTTCCCACGCAGTGGAAAGAGCACTGTACTGGGAGTCAGGAGACCTGGGTTCTAGGTCTTCATCTTTTACTGTCTTTTTTGGCCTGTTTTTTTGGGGGTTTTGTTTATTGTTTTGTTTTGAAACGGAGTCTTGCTCTGTTGCCCAGGCCGAAGTACAATGGCACAATCTCAGCTCACTGCAAACTCCACCTCCCGGGTTCAAGCGATTCTCCTGCCTCAGCCTCCCAAGTAGCTGGGATTACAGACGTGTACCACCAAGCCCTGTTAATTTTTGTACTTTTAGTGAGACGGGGTTTCACCATGTTGGCTAGGCTGGTCTCAAACTCCTGACCTCAGGTGATCCACCCGCCTCGGCCTCCCAAGTGCTGGGATTACAGGCGTGAGCCACTGCACCCGGCCTGGCCTCTGTTTTTTTTAAACTCATAAAATGGAGATAAATTGCCTACCTGCACACTTATACTGAGGGTGGACTCAAGCAAAATATGTAAAGCCCACGTAGGACACCAAGCCCTTGAGAAACTGGTTATTTAATATCATCTGTAAAATGGGTAGAACATTCCACCTCCCAGGATTAATGGGCCCTGACTATTCCAAGTGCACAGGGGACCTGTGACCCAGGGCTTGGCTTGCCTGGGGAACGGGGCTGGAGGCACTCTGAGAAGGTGCTCCTGCAGTAAGTGTCCCCCATCTCTCCACAGCTGGCGCAGAGTGTGTTCACCGTGTGGGTGGGCCCGATCCCCGTTGCGGTGCTGAGTGGCTTCCAGGTGGTGAAGGAAGCACTGGTCTCCAACTCGGAGCAGTTCTCCGGCAGGTCCCTCACCCCGCTCTTCCAGGACCTGTTTGGAGAACGAGGCAGGGCTGCCCCTCCTGCTGGGGAGGGGGAGGCGGCTAGATGGTCACTACACTCAGGGAGTTGGGGATGGCTCAGAGCTGTTAACAGAGAGGGGACTGCCCAGGAGGACCTGCGTGAGGGGTGGGGGTGGGATGACAAGGAACCAGCTCTGGGAGTTGAAAGACCTGGATTCAAGTCTCAACCCAAGCCCTGGCCAGCTCTGGGACCCCGGACAAGTCGGCCTCACTCTCTGCCCCTCAGTGGGCTCCTGTGTAGATGGGGATAATGATGGCTTTATATCCTGAGAATGTGGGGAGGGGATTAAGTGGCCAAAATACCTGAGAGTGCGCACTCAGTGCCTGGCTCAGCAAATGCCCTTGTTCCCTCCTTCCCTCTCCCCAGAACCCCTCCTCCCCTTCTTCTTCTTTTTTTTTTTTTTTTTTTGACCCAGAGTCTTGCTATGTTGCCCAGGCTGGAGTGCAGTGGCACAATCTCGGCTCACTGCAACCTCCACCTCCTGGCTTCAGGCAATTCTTGTGCCTCAGCCTCTCGAGTAGCTGGGATTACAGGCAGGCACCATCACGCCCGGCTAATTTTTTTTTTTTTTTTTTGTAGTAGAAATGGGATTTCACCATATTGGCAGGATGTTCTCGATCTCCTGACCTCAGGTGATCCACTCGCCTTGGCCTCCCAAAGTGCTGGGATTATAGGTGTCAGCCACTGCGCCCAGCCCCCATTGTTTATCTCCTCTTCCATTTCTTGTGGGGACTTTTAAAGGAAAAATCAGGTTGGTGGGCTGGGGGAGGGCATAGCTGAGACCACCTTGAGGGCACCAAGCTCACTGACCACTCCCTCAAATGCCCCTCAGCCCTGGGACACAGCATCTTCCCAGAGGTGATTTTGGGGTCTGCCCTCCAGGCCTGGCCCAGGTGAGAGCCAAGTGGTCTTGGCCTGGGAGGCTGGGAGGGGCTGGCGACTGTCCACCCCACCCCACCCCGGACCCAGGCATCATCTGCAGCAGCGGGCACACGTGGCGGCAAAAGAGACGCTTCTGCCTGGTGATGATTTGAGGGCTGGGCCTAGGCAAGCTGGCGCTGGAGGTGCAGCTGCAGAAAGAGGCAGCAGAGCTGGCAGAAGCCTTCCGCCAGGAGCAGGGTAAGTAGCAGGCTGGCGGCAGGCCTACCCTCACCCCCTCTCCCCACGCACGCGCACACCCCTGCAGAACAGGCGAGCTTCACTGCATAGGCGTGTGTGTGTCCATTAAGCCTCAGAACGTTAACAGCCGTTTTAAGCTCCATTGAGTGGGAGTTTCTCCAAGGTGGGTAGACAGAGGTCCAGGAATGGCCAAGGTCACTGGAAAGCCACAGCCCTCCTTGATAGCTGGGGATTTTCCATCAACATCCAAGGCAGCCGGGCACGGTGGCTCCCCTCTGTAATCCCAGCACTTTGAGAGGCTGAGGCGAGCGGATCACCTGAGGTCAGGGGTTTGGGAGCCGCCTGGCCAACCTGGTGAAACCCTGTCTCTACTAAAAATACAAACAATTAGCCCGGTGTGTTGGGCACGTGCCTGTAATCCCAGCTACTCTGGAGGCTGAGGCAGAAGAATCGCTTGAACCTGGGAGAAGGAGGCTGCAGTGAGCCGAGGTCATGCCATTGTACTCCAGCCTGGGCGACAGAGCAACACTCCATCTCAAAAAAATAATAATAAATAAAATAACAACAAACTAACAAACAAACAAATCATCCCAGGCGTCTCACACCTCCAGCCATTGGCATATGCATTTCCCCTTCCAGAACGCCCCAGCCCATGTCCCTTCCCTCCCCATGAGAAACCACTGTTCCTTCCTCCAGACCAGCTGCGGTCACCTGCCCTGAGAAATCCTCCTGAATGCCAGGCCCCCAAACCTTTTTTATTCCCTGCTGTGCCATACCTGCCCCACATTCTGTTGTTATTCTGTTGTCATTCAAATTGTTGTCTGTCTCCCATGCCTCTCTCTGACCTGGCTCGTAGAAGGTGCTTGGTAAGCACTTGGGTTTTTTTGTTTTTGTTTGTTTTGTTTTGTTTTGTTTTTGAGACGGAGTTTCGCTCTTGTTGCCCAGGCTGAGTGTAGTGGCACAATCTCGGCTCACTGCTACCTCTATCCCCCGGGTTCAAGTGATTCTCCTGCCTCAGCCTCCCAAGCAGCTGGGATTACAAGTGTGCGCCACCAGACCCAGCTAATTTTTGTATTTTCAGTAGAGACAGGGTTTCACCATGTTGGTCAGGCTGGTCTCAAACTCCTGACCTCAGGTGATCCACCTGCCTCAGCCTCCCAAAGTGCTGGGATTACAGGCATGAGCCACTGCGCCCGGCTGGTAAGCATTTGCGGAGTGCATGAGTGAGGAATGGGAATGGAGGACTGAGTTAGTAAATGAGCGACTAGATACGAGATCAGATGGGTGCTCAGGGTAGTGCTTCTCGTGCCTCCTCGTCCTGAGCCCTGCCCCTCTACCCTCAGGTAGACCCTTCGACCCTCAGGTATCCATTGTCAGGTCCACAGTCAGAGTCATCGGGGCCCTTGTGTTTGGCCACCACTTCCTCTTAGAGGATCCCATCTTCCAGGAACTGACTCAAGCCATCGACTTTGGCCTGGCATTTGTCAGCACTGTGTGGCGCCGGGTAATTGGCATTTGGGGAGGCAGGTGTGCAGGCCATTACCTTAGGGGCCCGAGGCAGGCAGGGGCCTCAGCCAGGGCCTGGCAGGGAGGGTGCAAGGTGGGCAGGAGGGAGACCGTGGCTTCTGCCTGGTGAGCTGACACATTCAGAGCATCAAACCTTTGTTGTGGTTCAGCATGAATGCATGGGCAAGGAATCAGAGGCTGGTTATATCCTAGGACATACAGCTTTCTGGACCTGCAACATCCCAGCGAAGCCCTAAGCACAGCTGCTCTGACCACAGCTCTCATTTCTGTCTAAATTATTTGGGGAGTCTCCAGATGAGAGGCAGCCCTGGGTTACTCAAGTCAAAGGCTCCAGCCCACTTTGGAGCCCCCCGACTCAGAGGCTGGCTCCTGAGTAGGCCCTGGGTGGGCGTCTCTCTCCACAGCTGTATGACGTGTTTCCCTGGGCCCTCTGCCACCTCCCAGGACCCCACCAGGAGATATTTAGGTACCAAGAGGTCGTGCTGAGCTTAATCCACCAGGAGATCACCAGGCACAAACTCAGGGCACCGGAGGCCCCCAGGGACTTCATCAGCTGCTACCTGGCCCAGATCTCCAAGGTGAGCCTGGAACAGCTGCTCAGGAAAGGAGGGGCCATCTTTTTGGGCTGCACCTCGTTTCTGAGCACCTCCTTTCTAAGCCATGGTCTCAGTTTCTCATCTTTGACTCTATCTACGAGCTTCCAAAGCACGCTGAAAATGTGAGTTAAAACAGGGTTTTCCTCCCTACTTTTTCCCAGGGCAGGGCTGGCTTCTACAGACATGGGTAGGGTGGGAAGCAGAAGACCTGGCTGATGTCAGGGCCAGAACACCAGGGCAGCCACCCACCAACATCAATGCAGTCCTGAGAATCAGGCCCTCTCAAGGGGTTGGAACCTCAAGTTCTGGCCGCACAGGTCTCAGATCAGGCTTCAAGGAAACCCCAGGGCTCTGTCAGGAGAGAATTTTAGACCTGGAGCTGCGCCCCCCACTCGCCCACCCCCGACTCGCCAGGCCATGGATGACCCTGTCTCCACATTCAACCAGGAGAACCTGGTCTAGGTGGTGATCGACCTGTTTCTGGGAGGCACCGACACCACAGCCACCACCCTGTGCTGGGCACTCATCCACATGATCCAGCACGGAGCTGTCCAGGGTGACAGGCCCTTGGTCACACTCTGGCTGACTGCCCCATGCATGGGGCTTCTGGGCCATGGGCATTGCCTCCATCACTCTCCTTGCTCTGTGGCCCCAGGGGTGGGTCCTGCTCTCGCCACTGTGGTACAGGAAGTGTTCATGGCTTCGAGTCAGACAGGAGGGGCTTCAGTTCCCACCCTGCTGCTTACTGCGTAATGCTGGGCAAGTCATTCCACCTCTCAGACCCAGTGTACAATGGACAACACTATTCTACTCATTCAGTAATGATTCAGCACCTACTAAGTGCCAGGCCCTGTGCCGATGTCCACCTCAAGATCACAACTGTGGAGGGGAAAATGTAGCTGGATTTCTCTCAAGGACAAACTGACTATGACCTGAATTCAAATCTGGTGCCACAAGTTTCGTGACCTTGGGCAAAAGTACCTGTCCTGTTAGAGCCTCAGTTTCTCCATCTGTAAAATGGAGACAACAGTCCCTCCTCCATAATGCTTTTTTTTTTAGACGGTATCTCACTCTGTCACCCAGGCTGGAGGGCAGTGGCACAGTCTTGGCTCACTGCAACCTCTGCCTCCTGGGTTCAAGTGATTCTCCTGCCTCAGCCTCCTGAGTAGCTGGAATTACAGGCGCACCACCACAAGCCGCTAATTTTTTTGTATTTTTAGTAGAGATGGGGTTTCACCACGTTGGCCAGGCTGGTCTCGAACTTCTGACCTCAGGTGATCCACCTGCCTTGGCCTCCCAAAGTGCTGGGATTACAGGTGTGAGCCACTGCCCCCGGCCATAATGCTGTTCATATAGAGCACCTGACACATAGCAGGTTCTCAAATCTGGGTGCTCTCTCTTCCCTCCAGTGCCCCCTGGAGGAGGAAACCCTACAAAACCTTGTTCATAAGAAGCAAGCTCTGCCTCAGAGAAGGGTCTGCTCCTGTGAGACCAGGGGTGACAGGGTGGTTTGGGGTGACCCAAGGGCCGCAAGCCTCGGCAGCAGTGTCCTGGGTGGGGACGGAGGCGGTGAGGGAGGATGGGGGTGCCAGGGCACAGGAACCCTCCCCAGACCCACACTAAGCCACCTGCGGAGACGGTGCAGCTGGAGCTGGACGAGGTGCTGGGTGCTGCCCCGGTTGTCTGCTATGAAGACCGCAAGCGACTGCCTTACACCATGCTGTCCTCCATGACGTGCAGCGCCTCAGCAGCGTCATGGCCATGGGTGCCGTGCGCCAGTGTGTGACCTCCACCCGTGTGTGCAGCTATCCCGTGAGCAAGGTAGGTGGCCCTACGCAGCCCCACACCCAACCCAGTGCCTGCAGAAAGCATCCTTCCTGCCAGCACAGCCATCTGCTATAGCTTCTGCCAACCTGCCAGCTATCAGTCACTTAATCTCTCTCTCTCTCTGTGGCGTTTGGGACGGGGGTTATGATTATAAAAGAATGTAGCCGGGTGCCATGGCTTACGCCTACAATCCCAGCACTTTGAGAGGCTGAGGTGGGAGGATTGCTTGAGCCTAGGAGTTCAAGATCAGCCTGGGCAACATGGCGAGACCCCGTCTCTATAAAACATAAAAAAAAATTAGCCAGGCATGGTGGTGCACACCTGTAGTCCCAGATACTTGGGAGGCTAAGGCAGGAGGATCGCTTGAGCCCGGGAGGTTGAGGCTGCAGTGAGCCATAATTGCACCACTGCACTCCGTACTGAGTGACAGAGTGAGACTCTGTCTCAAAAAAAAAATGTATAATATAAAGAATGTACTCACTGAGGGATAATTTTTAAAGTTCTCTGTTGTTCAGAGATAACCTTTGCAGACATGATAATCCACCACTCTCCAATCTTTTTTTGCACACATATAGTTTACATAGTTGCAATTCTGCTGAATATATCATTCTGAATCCTTCATTGCACTTAATATTCAGATTCTTCTATAGCAGTGGTTCTCAAACTTCCAGGTACATCAGAATCACCTGGACGGCTTGTGAAAGCAGACACTGCTGGACTCTTCCTCCAGACATTATCTGTCTAGGGTGGGCTGAGAATTTGCCTTTCTAACAAGCTCCCAGGTGGTGCTGATGCTGTGAGTCCAGGGACCATGCTTTGAAAACCACTGCTCTACATCATTCTGTTTTTTGTTGTTTTGTTTTTGTTGTTGTTTTTTTGAAACAGAGTCTTGTTCTGTCTCCCAGGCTGGAGTGCAGTGGTGTGATCTCGGCTCACCACAACCTCTGTCTCCCACGTTCAAGCGATTCTTCTGCCTCAGCCTCCTACATAGCTGGGACTACAGGTGTGCCACCATGCCTGGCTAATTTTTTTTTTTTTTTTGTATTTTTAGTAAAGACGGGGTTTCACCATGTTGGCCAGGCTGGTCTCGAACTCCTGACCTCGGGTGATCGCCCGCCTAGGCCTCCCAAAGTGCTGGGATTGCAGGTGTGAGCCACCACACTGGGCATCTACATCATTCTTAATGGCTGCATAATGTTCCACCAAATGGATGTTTTGCAATTTTAACCCTTGTTGGTGAACATTTAGGCCATTTGCAATTTATGTGCCTTAGGCTTGGTCTGCATTTTGTATTATCTCCTTAAAACTGGTTTCTAGCAGAAATGCCTTGCTTGCTTCTTTCATTTTATAGCAAGGTTAAGAAAACAAGTGCCAAATAAGGAGAGAGGAAGAAAGTTATAAAAATAAGTCAAATCAAGAACAGTTGCCACATATGTACATAAAACTCGAGTCTGAATTTCATTGGAGTGAAGGGAAAAAAGGAAATCTCGATTAATTATGAGTTATTATGTAATAAAAGGAAGCATGCCTGTATCAGGAAAGCTTTGGCTTATCACATGCCTGTAAGTTATGACAAGGATCATCATTCACAATATTCTTTTGTGGGCCAGTGGACCATGTAGTGGCAGTGATTTAAGCAGGAGTTTTTAAAAGATGCAGAAATATTCTTCAAGATGGCAGCTGCTTCTTATCTCAATTCCTTTTAAGAGATAAAATTCCTTTCATTCCTACAGTCAGCCAAAATAACACAGTTGAAGTTTATATAAATAATTATTTATTTTTAACCTCTATTCTTTTTTTTTTTTGAGATGGAGTCTTGCTCTGTCACCTAGGCTGGAGTGCAGTGGCTCAATCTTGGCTCACTGCAGCCTCTGCCTCCCAGGTTCAAGCTATTCTGCCTCAGTCTCCCGAGTAGCTGGGATGACAGGTGTGTGCCACCATGCCCGGCTAATTTTTGTATTTTTTAGTAGAGATAGGGTTTCACCATGTTGGCCAGGCTCGTCTAGAACTCCTGACCTCAAGTGATCTGCCTGCCTCAGCCTCCCAAAGTGCTGGGATTACAGGCATGAGCCACCGCGTCCGGCCAATATTTATTTATTTTTGAGACAGAGTCTTGCTCTGTCACCCAGGCTAGAGTGCATTGGCACGATCACGGCTCACCACAGCCTCTATCTCCCAGCTCAATCGATCTTCCCACCTCACCCTCCCGAGTAGCTAGGACTACAGGCATGAGCCCCCATGCCTGGCTAATTTTCGTTGTTTTTGTTGTTGTTGTTGCTTTGTTTTTTTGCAGAGATGCAGTTTCACCATGTTGCCCAGGTTGGTCTCGAGCATAGTTGAAGATGATAGCTCTCTGGTGATCCAGCTTGAGATAGCTTTCCGAGCAGATTTTTGACGTGAGCTGGACAATAACATGAGGACACCTGCTCTTTGCCCAGGCTTGCTGTGTGCTGAGGGCTTTGTGCCCACGGTGTCATTCGGTACAATGGTGCTCTGTATTGTTGACGGAGCCTTGCAGATCCTAGATGACAGATGTTGAATTACTTACCTATCTTACTGTGTAACAAATTACCCCAAAACTTAGTGGCTTAGAACAACAGCATTTATCATTTCACAGTTTCTGAGGGTTAGGAAAATGGGTGTGGCTCAGCTGGATGCCTCTGACTCAAGGTCTCTCATGAGGTTACCATCAAGTTGTTGTTGGGGCTACAGTGTCACCTGAAGACTCCCCTAGGGGAGGCTCCACTTCAAGCTCACTTACATGGAGGTCTTCAGGACCCGGTTGCTCATGAACTGTTGGCTGGAGACCTTCAGTTCCTTGACACATGGGCCTCTGCATAGGGTAGCTCAAAACATGGCAGCTGAACCCCATCAGAGAGAGCAAGCAAGAGGGCACCCAAAATAGAAGCAATGGTCTTTTTGTAACCTAATCTTAGATGTGATATCCCATTGCTTTTGCCATATTCTTTTTTTTTGAGACAGAATCTCGCTCTGTCACCCCAGGCTGGAGTGCAGTGGTGCAATCTCAGCTCAGTGCAGCCTCTGCCTCCTGGGCTCAAGCAATTCTCCTGCCTCAGCCTCCCGAGTAGCTGTGATTACAGGCATGTGCCACCATGCCTGGCTAATTTTTGTATATTTTAGTAGAGATGGAGTTTACCATGTTGGCCAGGCTGGTCTTGAACTCCTGACCTCGAGTGATTGGCCTGCCTCAGCCTACCAAGGTGCTGGGATTACGGGTGTGAGCCACCGCACCCGGCCGCTTTTGCCATATTCTATTTGTTGGGTTTGTTGTTGTTGTTGTTGTTGGTTTGAGACAGTGTCTCCCTCTGTTGCCTGGGTTGGAGTGAAGGGACACAATAATAGCTCACTGCAGCCTCAACCTCCCAGGCTTGGGTGATCCTCCCACCTCAGCTGCCTGAGTAGCTGGAACTACAGGCACCACATTGTGCCACCACAATGGGCTAATTTTTAAATTTTTGGTAGAGATGGGGTTTCACCATGTTGCCTAGGTTGGTCTCAAATTCCTGGGCTCAAGTGATCCTCCCACCTTGGCCTTCCAGAGTGCTGGGATTCCATGCATGAGCCACTGCGTCTGGCCCATTTTCTATTTGTTAGAAGTGAGTTACTAAATCCATCCTATCCTCAAGGGGAGGGGATTACACAAAGGTGTGTATCCTGGGAGTCAAGGCTAACTGGGGTAACTATCGGGGAATCTGTCCCGATAGTCACGTAGGTTCTTTTCTGTTTTTCCTAAGCGTCGGCCAGCTTGAGAAATAAAGGGACGAGTACAAAAGAGAGAAATTTTAAAGCTGGGCGTCTGGGGGAGACATCACGTGTCGGTGGGTTCCGTGATGCCCCACAAGCCGCAAAAACCAGCAAGTTTTTATTAGGGATTTTCAAAAGGGGAGGGAATGTGCAAATAGGTGTGGGTCACAGACATCAAGTACTTTACAAGGTAATGGAATATCACAAGGCAAGTGGAGGCAGGGCAAGATCACAGGACCACAGGACTGGGGCAAAATTAAAATTGCTAATGAAGTTTCGGGCACCATGGTCATTGATAACATCTTATCAGGAGACAGGGTTTTGAGAGCAACTGGTCTGACCAAAAATTTATTAGGCGGGAATTTCCTCTTCCTAATAAGCCTGGGAGTGCTATGGGAGACTGGGGTCTATTTCACCCCTATAGCCTCGACCATAAGAGACAGGCACACCTAGGGGGGCCGTTTATAGGCCTATACCCCCAGGCGCGTATTCTCTTTCCCAGGGATCTTCCTTGCTGAGAAAAAGAATTCAGTGATATTTCTCCCATTTGCTTTTGAAAGAAGAGAAATATGGCTCTGTTCCACCCGGCTCATCGGTGGTCAGAGTTTAAGGTTATCTCTCGTATTCCCTGAACAATTGCTGTTATCCTGTTCTTTTTTCAAGGTGCCCAGATTTCATATCATTTAAACAGACATGCTCTACAATTTGTGCAGTTAATGCAATTATCACAAGGTTCTGAGGCAACATACATCCTCCTCAGCTGACAGGATTAAGAGATTAAAGTAAAGACAGGCATAGGAAATCACAAGGGTATTGACTGGGGAAGTGATAAGTGTCCATGAAATCTTTACAATTTATGTTTAGAGATTGCAGTAAAGACAGGCATAAGAAATTATAAAAGTATTAATTTGGGGAACTAATAAATGTCCGTGAAATCTTCACAATCCAGGTTCTTCTGCCATGGCTTCAGCCAGTCCCTCCGTTCGGGGTCCCTGACTTCCCGCAACAGGTAACATACCAACATGTGTAGGTGGTGAGGTTGCCATTTTAATGAAAATGAAACAGAGCGACTCATCTTGGTGCCCTGGTGCAGGGTGATGCCTCTGTACATAGAGGTGGTGGCGGGAGCCCTGAGACTTTCCTCGGAAAGGAGCTTTGGCTCTGCCCCGAGTACTGCCCTGGAGTACAGTGGTGTGATCTCAGCTCACTGCAGCCTCCACCTCCGGGGCTCAAGCAATTCTCCCACCTCATCCTCCCAAGTAGCTGGTATTACAGGCACGTGCCACCACGTCCAGCTAATTTTTATTATTTTTATTTTTTTTTTAATTTGTAGTAAAGACGGGGTTTCACCAGGTTGGCCAGGCTGGTCTTGAACTCCTGCCTCTGCCTCTCAAAGTGCTGGGATTACAGGCATAAGCCGCCATGCCCAGCCCCATTATTAACTTATTATTAATTTGCCCAGACTTGAGGTTCCTTCCTCCACAGATTTTTTTCTTCACAGAAGCCCTATCCTTCGGACGCTTTGTTGCTGTTTCTTTTCCATAGATAGAGAAACTTCAGCATAGGCAGCTTAAGAAACTGCCCAAACACAGCTAGTAAGTGACTTAGCTGAGTTTCAAATGCATGTCCCTCTGACTCTAAAGTGTTTTCTTTTCCTACCATATGCCCTGCTGTTTGTATTTATACGAAAATGCCACTCTAGGTAAGTGAACCAATGTGTTCAATGGAGATGTTTTACACTGTCATTCTGTCCTTGGCAGAAATTGGCCAGCAAGTTTACAGGTTTGTCAAGAGTCTCTGGGAAAGTGGATAGGACCAGGGCATCAGGTCATCTTGCTGCTGGCGTGGCAGAAGGACCCAGGCCCAGGTTGTCTAGAAGCTGTGCCAACTTAAGTTAAAAAGAGGGGGCCAGGGTACTGCTCTGTGTTATGCCGTTTGGGATTAGAAATTTCCTTATTAAGAGCTCATTCCTGCCAATTTGATTCTAGGACTTGTTCTGTGATAAAGGCTCCAGGGGCCCATTAACGAGCTGAAATCAATATTGAGCTTTTACAACTTGGACGAGAGATGTCTGCTGAAAGTGGAATCAAAGCTTGACAGTAGATCATTAAATGTTACAGATATTCCTAAACTGTTCCTAACCATTTCATCAGCTGAGTGATCGTGACAACAGCAATAGTCCCTGATACGACGGTTGCACTTCCAGCCTGTCTCTCTTCTCAGACATTCTATTTGATTGCGAATTCCAAATTGCCATTTACTGGGCAGAAGCTGGCACAGCGACCCCAGGAGGTACCCAGCAGGTAGATGGTTCTACAGTCTGGGGAAGTGGAGGGCGGTTGTTGCGGGGGGCGGGGCGCTGTCCTTTTTGCATACTGGATAGGCTGTGCTCTGAACCTGTTCCATGAGCTGAGAACCTCCTTTGCAAGGAGGCCAGAACATCACCCAAAAAAGGACACAAATAATTCTGGAGGGAAAAGAGCATCTTGCTAGGAGCCTCCTCCTCTGAAGGTGATTAGTAAGAACCGTTGCAATGCAGAGGTTACTTAATCCCAGGTAGAGAAAATGGGGGAATTCCCATGACTAGAACTGGGAAATCTATAGCTCACTCAGGCAGCAGCAAGAACACAGGCCTCCCCAACACCTCTGCTTGAAGCTACAGAGTGAGCAAGTCTGGGTGCCCTATTGGTACACATGGCTAGGATGAGGCACCTTGCCTAAGCGTGCCGTACTGCAACAACGGCAAAAAAGAACAATTTCCCCTGAAAACAATTTCTGCATTCTGTTTTTTTTTTTGTTGTTGTTGTTTTGTTTTTTTAGATGGAATCTTGCTCTGTCGCCCAGGCTGGAATGCAGAGGCGTGATCTTGGCTCACTACAACCTTTGCCTGCCTCAGCCTCCCGAGTAGCTGAGACTATAGGCACTTGCCACCACGCCCGACTAATTTTTGTATTTTTAGTAGAGATGGGGTTTCACCGTGTTGGCCAGGCTGGTCTCAAACTCCTGACCTCAAGCGATCCGCCCTGATTGGCCTCCCAAAGTGCTGGGATTACAGGTGTGAGCCACTGCGACCAGCCAGCATCTGCTGCTCCATTTCTGCATTCTTTATTGGTTTCTGTTTAGAATGCAGGCTTCAAACTCGCTAAGCTTTTTTTTTTTTTTTTAATTTCAAGCTTTTTCTTTGGTCAGAATCAAGAATTCTGTAGTCAGCCCTCTGGTCTCTACAGGGATAGCTGGTTTAATTTTGTGGTATTTGGTAAATGAGCCCTGGGGTATGAGGCCTTCCCCGGAATCCCAGAGCTGAGTGTTCTAGGGCTGGGGACCATAACCGACCCCATCCTGGCTCCACTTTGGCCTCCTTATGCTGTTTCCGGTCAGCCCAGGGCCCACATGGTAAGGAGCAGATGTTACCCTGCTCCCATCTGCTTGGTCTGATTCTCTTTCTAATCACTCACTTCTCCTTTGAGATAGAGTGAGGGCTGAGGTGAGGGTGAGAGGGAAGATTTGGGTTTGGGTTTGGGGGAAGGTGAGGGTTGGGGTTAGGTTGAAGGTTAGAGTTGGGCTTATGGTTCATGTTTTCCTCTCCCCAACCCTAAAGAGTGAAGCTTGCTGTCTCCTCTCTGTCTTTCCATCACTCAGTTCCTCTTTCTCTGCTTGTTTGCCATTCCATTTCTCCTCGTTCTGTCTCTTCCTCTTAACACCCACGTGTGCACACATCCCCTGCCCCAGTGTGTATTGTCCTGGGCTGTCCTTGGCCCCTTCCAGACATGCCCCCAGCTGTTGGCCTTCTCTGTAGGAGGCAATGGCTTCATGTCCCTAGACGTGGCTGGGAGTCTTCAGGACAAAGCTGGGCAGTCCTTAGCCAGGAGGGTGTCCTGCTCAGCTCCTTCACTGATGTGAGCCTGGAGGAAGGGCAGCCTGAGGGCCGGCTGCTGAGTCTCCTCAAGGCCCCTGGACTACTCCCACCAACACACTGGGTATTCTCCAAGCTCACTGTGGCTCAGTGTCAGGGCTGGGTACTGGGTACCATCTGAGGCTCCCTGAGCCACACCAGCATCTCTCTGCAGGGCACCATCATCTTACCCAACCTGGCCTCTGTGCTCTATGACCCTGAGTGCTGGGAGACCCCTCGACAGTTCAACCCTGGCCACTTCTCGGACAAGGATGGAAACTTTGTGGCCAATGAGGCCTTCCTGCCATTCTCTGCAGGTACTAGGCACAGAGCTGGATCCTGGGTGGTGGGTGGGGCTGTGGTGGGACAGACACAGGGACAGCTGCCACCTCTGACTTTTCTCTCTGTTTCCAGGGCATCGTGTCTACCCAGCAGACCAGCTGGCTCAAATGGAGCTCTTCCTGATGTTTGCCACCCTCCTCAGGACCTTTCGGTTCCAACTGCCAGAAGGGAGCCCGGGGCTCAAGCTGGAGTACATCTTTGGCGGCACTTGGCAACCCCAGCCCCAGGAGATCTGCGCAGTGCCCCGCCTGAGCAGCCCCAGCCCTGGTCCTAGGGAGGATGGCCTGTAGCCACTGGGGGTCTGGAGGCCTGTCCCCCATGAAGTCCTTCCTCAGTCTCTTTTGGTTCCTGCAAAGTTAGAAAAGAGGAGGACCAGGGGTTCATGCAGCTCAGCTGCTCATGGTTGCCCCTAACACAAGCTCTGTGGGGTGACACTGGAGAATAGACTTAGCAAGGATTCTACAGAGGTAGCTCAGTTTGGGTAGTTCAATTCTTAAATTAGGTTAGTTATGCTTTGGCAGGCGAAGATTTTATAAGATTGGTTAAGTTTGGCATTAAATCAGTCCACAAAGTTAATATTGGGGAATCAAGCCTCACAAGGCAGCAGCTAACTAGGTTCAGAGGAAAAGGCAAACTTTCGAGCAAAACTATGAATATAATAATGCATGCAAATGCGAATACTCTAGATGCCGGGGACTGGTAAACCAAAAAAAAAAAAAAAAAAAAAAAAAGTGAAGCGGGGGCAGCTTATTTTCTGCCTTCTCCTGCCCTCTCCTGACCAGAAGGAAGAACTGCAGTTCTCTGCAGACCTGGGGCAGAGAAAGATCTCACCATCTCAATACAGCAAAGCCAGCAGACCATATAACTGTTTCCAGCAAATTCTTCACCAAAGACCCACTTTAGTTTCCACACAAGGGTCCCTAAATTTTGAATCCTTGCATCTCCAGACAAGCCTTGTTTATTAAAAAAGAATGACTTGTGGCTGGGCATGGTGGCTCACACCTGTAATCCCAGCACTTTGGGAGACCGAGGCAGGTGGATCACTTGAGGTCAGAAGTTCAAGACCAACCTGGCAAACATGGTGAAACCCCATCTCTACTAAAAATACAAAAATTACCCGGGCATGGTGGCAGGCACCTGTAATCCCAGCTACTCGGGAGGCTGAGGCAGGAGAATCGCTTGAACCCAGAAGGCAGAGGTTGCAGTGAGCCAAGATCGCACCACTGCTCTCCAGCCTGGGATCCAAGAGTGAAACTGTCTCAAAAACAAACAAACAAACAAACAAACAAACAAAAGCAAAAACAAAGAATGACTTGTGAGTTCCTGGAGGCAGAGGTTGCAGTGGGCGGAGATTATACCACTACAGTCCAACCTGGGTGACAGAGCGAGACTCTGTCTCAGAAAAAAAAAGACTGACTTGCATCAAGGAAATGCAAACTAAAATCAAATGAAATACCATTACATACCGATTAGAACTGCTAAAAAGAAAACCCTGACAATCCCAAGTACTGGAAAAGATGCGAAGCAAATGGAATTCTCATACCCTGCAGGTGGAAATGTAAAAAGGTACGACTACATTGGAAAACAGTTTGGCAATTTCTTGTAAAATTAAACATTACACCACACAACCCAGCAGTCCCAATCTTAGGTATTACCCAAAAGAAATGAAAATATATGTTCACACAAATGCATATCTATGAATTATATGATTCCATTTCTGTGATATTCTTAAAAAGGCAAACCTATAGGGACAGAAAATATTCCATAGATAAGTGGCTGCCAGGATTCGGGAGCAGGGTTATAGGTTGACTGTAAAAAGACATGAGGAAACTTTCTGGGGTAATAGAAATGTTCTGTATCTTGATTGTGGTGATGGTTACACAACTGTATGTGTTTGTCAAAACTCATACAACTGTACACTTAAATGAGTGTTATTGTATATAAGCCATGCCTCAATAAATCTGAGCTTTAAAAAGGAAATGCCTCGGGCCGGACACGTTGGCTCACGCCAGTAATCCTAGCATTTTGAGAGGCCAAGGCGGGCAGATCACCGGAGGTCAGGAGTTCAAGACCAGTCTGGCAAACATGGTGAAGCCCTGTCTACTAAAAATACAAAAAAGTTAACTGGGTATGGTGGCACGTGCCTGTAATCCCAGTTATTCTGAAGGCTGAGGCAGGAGGATCGCTTGAACCTGGGAGGCGGAGGTTGTAGTAAGCAGAGATTGCACCACTGCACTACAGCCTGGGAGACAGAATGAGACTCCATCTCAAAAAAAAAAAGGAAATGCCTTACCTCTCTCTTTTGTGTTATTTAAAGGACGTACATATGAATGAACCAATGTTTCTAATTAGTAGGAGATCAATCATTACTGCTACACCAGGCTGAAAGGAGTCTAACCAGAAATAAAACATGACGTATTGGCCAGGCTTAATGGCTTGCGCCTGTAATCCCAGCACTTTGGAAGGCTGAGGTGGGTGGATCACTTGAGGCCAGGAGTTCAAGATCAGCCTGGGCAACATGGTTAAACCCCCATCTCTACTAAAAATACAAAAATTAGCCGGGCGTGGTGGTGCACACCATAGTCTCAGCTACTTGGGTGACTGAGGCAGGAGAATCGCTTGAACCCAGGAGGCGAAGATTGCAGTGAGCAGAGATCGCGCCACTGCACTTCAGCCTGGCTGACAGAGTAAGACCCTGTCTCATAACAAAACCTAACAAAAAACAAAAACCATGATGTGTGAATTAGCCTCTGGCCTTTCTTCAGGCTTTGTGAAATCCTGGAGCTTTCTCATAGATATCTTATTTTCTGTGCGGTGCCATATCCAGGGCCTCGGGAGTCCAGACTGGGAAGCACTAGGCAAGTGGGGTCCCAGAGAGCAGGAGACAGCCTGGGGTTCTCGGCCCTGGGAGGTCCCACCCTGAGCTGGCAGCTCTCTGTGATCCAGGCAGGATCTGGGGCAGAGAAAACAAAGCCAGGCTCTAATTCACCTGCTTCCTACCTCACTTTCCTAACCCTTTCTCTGTTAGAGCCCCTGTCTGGAGCTTGCAGCCCCTTCTAACACTCATCCTCTCCACCATCCAGCCTCCTGTCTTTGATCCTGTCCAGCCCTCTGCGTGTTATTCCATTGAAAGGCCAACTCCTCCAGGAAGCTTTCCCTCACCTGGACTTTGGCCTTGGTTGAAATCCCAGTTTTGCTCTCAATAACCCAGTCCTTGTGTGCTTCGGTCTCCTCATATGACAAATGGAGGCTTCCTTTAGGATTGTCGGGAGTGACAATGCCCAGCACAGGGCCTGGCGGGTGATGAATGCTCTGTTTATGTTGGCAGGGCTCTCCTTCCCCTAGACAGCATCCAAAAGTACTCGCACCTTTGTTTTTAGCTCTAAAATGATGACGCTGCAGGGAGCCCTTCCCCTGTGGATAGGCTTCCCTTTCAGCTTCCATATCCTCATGACGATATGACAATAGCTGCCATGTGTTGATTGCCAACCGTGTGCTAGGAAGTGCACTGGGCACCTAACATAGACGAAGCCATTTAAATACCAAAGTGACAAGGTAGATACAATTATCTGAATTAATTAATTAATTTTTGAGATGGAGTCTCACTCTGTCACCCAGGCTGGAGTTCAGTGATCTTGGCTCACTGCAACCCCCACCTCCCGGGTTCAAGCAGTTCTCCTGCCTCAGCTTCCCGGATAGCTGGGATTATAGGCACGCGCCACCACGCCTGGTTAATTTTTGTATTTTTAGTAGAGACAGGGTTTCACCATGTTGACCAGGCTGGTTTCAAACTCCTGACCTCAGGTGATCTGCCCATCTTCGCCTCCCAAAGTGCTGGGATCACAGGTGTGAGCCACCGGGCCAGCCTGAATTTACAGGAATAAAAGTCAGAAGCTAGCCGGTGAATTAGTTAGAAAGTATCAGAATATCAATAAGCCTCAGTTCCCTCATCTGCAAAGTGGAGATAACAATGCTAACTCATTTGATTGATATTAACATTAAATATAATAATGCGGCCAGGCGCAGTGGCTCACGCCTGTAATCCCAGCACTTTGGGAGGCTGAGGCGGGTGGATTGCCTGAGGTTAGGAGTCCGAGACCAGCCTGGCTAACATGGTGAAGCCCTGTCTCTACTAAAAATACAAAAATTAGCTGGGTGTGGTGGCGCACGCCTGTAGTTCCAGCTACTTGAGAGGCTGAGGCAGGAGAATCGCTTGAACCCGGGAGGCGGAGGTTGCAGTGAGCTGAGATCATGCCACCACACTCTAGCCTGGGTGACAGAACAAGACTCCGTCTCAAAAAAAAAAAATATATATATATATACACACACACACACGTATATATACATATATATACACGTATATATATGTATATGTGTATATATAGTGTATATATGTATATGTGTATATATGTATATGTGTATATATGTATATATACGTGTATATGTGTATATATGTATATATATGTGTATATGTATATATACACGTATATATGTATATATATACGTGTATATATATGTATAATAATGCAGCCGGGTGTGGTGACTCATGCCTATAATCCCAGTACTTTGGGAGGCCAAGGCGGGCAGATCACTTGAGGTCAGGAGTTCGAGACCAGCCTGGCCAAATATGGTGAAACCTTGTCTCTACTAAAAATACAAAAATTAGCCGGACTTAGTGGCGGGCACCTGTAATCCCAGCTACTCGGGAGGCTGAGGCACAAGAATTGCTTGAATCGAGGAGGCGGAGGTTGCAGTGAGCAGAGATGGCACCACTGCACTCTAGCCTGGGCAATATAGCGAGACTATCTCAAAAAAAATAAATAAATAAAAATAAATTTAAAAATATAATAATGCATGAAGAATACCTAGCACAGTCCCTGGTACATGCTAAGTGCCTAATAAATTGCAACTACTAATAATAATCAATAAATATTCCTTCGCCTGGTTCATGGTCAGCACACCTTACCCAGTCCTTCCCTTTGTCAGCTGACTGAGCCCTGGCTGTCCCCTGAGGATGCTCCTGCAGCCTCTGAATGGAGGGTGCTTGTTTCCTGTGCCAGTTCAGGTTCTGATCAGAAAGGGCACGCTCACTCACTCAAATGGAGCAATGAGGAGAGTTTCAGAACAGAGAACACAGAAGCCAATGCATGTGGCTCAAGAAGGGAGGGACTGGGAAGAATAAGTGCTCTAAACTCATTTTTCCCTTATGCTCCGATCTCTTGTTTGTGGCTGTAATTGGCTGAGCCCAGCTAGGAGCCAGAGAGCAAGAGAGCCCATTGATGTAGTCCATAAAGGTCAGCCTCCTGGCCGGGCGCGGTGGCTCACACCTGTAATCCCAGCACTTTGGGAGGCCGAGGCGAGTGGATCACCTGAGGTCAGGAGTTGAAGACCAGCCTGACCAATATGGTGAAACCCTGCCTCTACTAAAAATACAAAAATTAGGCCAGGCACAGTGGCTCACGCCTATAATCCCAACACTTTGGGAGGCTGAGGCAGGCGGATCACAAAGTAAAGAGATCGAGACCATCCTGGCTAACATGGTGAAACCCCATCTCTACTAAAAATACAAAAATTAGCTAGGTGTGGTGGCGTGTGCCTGTAATCCCAGCTACTCAGGAGGCTGAGGCAGGAGAATCGCTTGAACCCAGGAGGCAGAGGTTGCAGTGAGCTGAGATCGTGCCACTGCACTCCAGCCTGGCGACAGAGTGAGACTCTGTCTAAAAAGAAAATAATAAAATACAAAAATTAGCCAGGCATGGTAGGGGGCACTCGTAATCCCAGCTACTCGGGAGGCTGAGGCAGGAGTATCACTTGAACCTGGGAGACGGAGGTTGCAGTGAGCAGAGATCGCACCACTGTGCTCCAGCCTGGGCGAGAGAGCGTCTCAAAAAAAAAAAAAAAGTCAGCCTCCGGTGGCCTGGAGCAGTGTATGAGAGTGAGCTGGAGGGGCAAGCGGAGGATATTCAGCACACCCCAGCCCCAGGCCCCTTAGGTTCCGGAGGTGAGCATCCTCCTCATGCCCTCATAATTCTTCCAGATTACTTGCCCAAAGACCACCTTGACCACATATGTCTCCTCTGCTGAAACTGTCTCCTTTATCTCTAGCACCTCTTCAGCACTATTAATAGCCTTCTAGTCACCCTCTTCTTCACTGAAATGTTAGGATTTCATTCCAAGTCCTGCCATCACCCTGAAGACCTCAAGTTCGTGTGAGCAATGCAGTCAACGTCCAGGACCTCTCTGTTTCTGAGCTCCCTCATGTTTAGTGACTTTCAGTTCGTTCCTCTTCAGCCATCAGCCCTATGGCCACACCCAAGTTCTTTTCAGTCCCTAAGAGAAGCTCTCACCCTCTGAAATGGTAAATTCACAGATCCCTATAGAGAATCGTGAAGGGTCTAATATTTCACCCTACTTGAAAACTAACAAGTTAGCCTGGTATAGTTTTATGGGTGCTGGCAGAAAATACAAGACTCCTGGGTCAGAAATGAAGGACAATTTATTACCCACAGCAATAGCATTAGCCAGACTATTAGAATTTTTGTGCTGGTTCCTTGAGTCCCAATTCTCATGGAGCAATGTGAAGAGGGCTGGACTGTACCTGCAGACTCAGTGGGTTGCATTAAGGAGAGGAATTCTGAACTGAGGAAGTAGAATCTTTTATTTATTTATTTTGAGACAGAGTCTTGCTTTGTTGCCCAGGCTGGAGTGCAACGGCATGATCTCAGCTCACTGCAGCCTCTGCCTCCATGGTTCCAGTGATTCTCCTGCCTCAACCTCCTGGGTAGCTGGGATTACAGGCGTGTACCATCACACCTGGCTAATTTTTGTATTTTTAGTAGAGACGGGGTTTCACCATGTTGGCCAGGCTGGTCTCGAACTCCTGACCTCAGGTGATCCACCCACCTAGGACTCCCAAAGTGCTAGAGCCACCGTGCCTGGCTGAATCAGAATCTTTTATTTATTTAATGATTATTATTTTTTTTGAGACAAAGTCTCGCTTTGTCCCCCAGGCTGGAGTGCAGTGGCACAGTCTTGGCTCACTGCAACTTCTGCCTCCTGGGTTCACCTGATTCTCTTGCCTCAGCCTCCTGAGTAGCTGGAACTACAGACGTGTGCCACCAAGCCTGGCTAATTTTTCTAATTTTAGTAGAGATGGGGTTTTACCATGTTGGCCAGGCTGGCGTTGAACTCCTTGCCTCAAGTGATCCACCCACCTCGGCCTCCCAAAATACTGGGATTACAGGCATGAGCCCCTATGCCCCGTCATGGCATTAGAATCTTTTATGATAGGCAGCACACAAGCCTGTGCTCTCTAGGGTGATATTATCTTTCTTCCAAGGTTATAAGCCAACTGCCCTTTGCTCTTGAGGAAAACATCTCTACCTTTCAAGATTGTTCGCTTGTTTACTATAAAAACTCACTATTAAACAGTAGATTCCCCAGGCTCAGTATTCTTTGGTTGAGATGCAAATCCACTGCATGTTCTTCATCCATTTGGCTCATGGCATTGCCACCATGGGACTTGGAGAACATGCCGTGGTAATATAAAGTGTTTTGTCTCTGACCCAGGAGTCTCCTGTCTTTTGCCAACATCCAATCTTTTAGCTTGCAAATAGGGTAAAATCAAATCCCAGACTTGACACCTCTGATATAACCAAAGTGAATTTATTTTTTAGAAACTGATGTGTATTTTCCATCAACGTTATTTCCATGTTGCTTAAGAGCCTGTGCAAGAACAGCTTAAGACCATTCAGTGGTTGTTTCTACCCATTCAGTGGCCTGAGCAGTGGGAGCTGCAGACCAGTCTTCTGTGGCAGGCTGAGCACTCCAGTCTTCAGTAGGGACCTGATGAATAGGCACAGAGGGCACCTGTACACCATCAGACCAGTCTCCAACCTCAGGCTGAATAGCGGTGAACTCAGGAGCTGGAGCAGTCCATTTGCCCTGAAATTCCTCCTTGGTCACAGTCTTTTCAGCAGCAACCTGCTCCTCTTTTCCAATCTCTTCAGGATCTCTGTAGAAGTAGAGATCAGGCATGACCTCCCATGGGTGTTCGAGGGAAATGGTGCCACACACGCGCAGAACTTCCAGGGCCAGCATCCACCAGCTCGGACCCACTGAGGGAGCTCCCTTGTTGTTGCATGTGATGGCAATGTCCACATAGCGCAGAGGAAAATCTGTGTGACATAGAGCAATGGTAGGTAGGTTAACATAAGATGTCTCTGTGAGAGGCTGGTGGTCAGCCCTGGGATCAGTAACCACTAGAAGCCGTGGCTCCCTGAAGGCTGCCTGGGTCTGGCTAGTGAAGGTTCCAGGAGTGAAGCGGCCAACAATTTGAGTGGCTCCAGTGGCAGCAGCAAACTTCAGCACAGCCCTCTGGCCAGTATTGCTAGAGGACATGACACTGACATCAACAGGGTTTTTAAAGGCAGCGATGGCACGAGCTGCCAGCAGAAACTTCTTGCTTCTCCCAGGTCCTCTTCAGATGTAGGATGTAGACGCCATCACTTTTCTTCTTACAGATGTGCTACTCCATTTGGAAGTCAAGGTTGGTACCACCTAAGTGGGTTCCTGCTGCAAGGAACTTAAGGACATCCTCCTCCTTCATTTGCAGGACATCAAGGGCTCTAGACATTGTGAAAGTTTCCCTTTAAGTTACAATGAGAATTGTAGGGACCAGCCCCACAGGGTCGGTGGGTCTCTCCCCACATGCAGAGACGAGAGAGCGTAGAAATAAAGACACAAGACAAAGAGATAAAAGAAAAGACAGCTGTGCCCGGGGGACCACTACCACCAAGACACGGAGACCGGTAGTGGCCCCAAATGCCAGGCTGCACTGATATTTATTGGATACAAGACAAAGGGGCAGGATAAGGAGAGTGAGCCATCTCCAATGATAGGTAAGGCCACGTGGGTCACGTGTCCACTGGACGGGGGCCCTTCCCTGCCTGGCAGCCGAGGCAGAGAGAGAGAGGAGACAAAGAGAGAAACAACTTACACCATTATGAGAGACTTTTAGTACTTTCACTAATTTGCTACTGCTATCTAGAAGGCAGAGCCAGGTGTACAGGATGGAACACGAAGGCAGACTAGGAGCGTGACCACTGAAGCACAGCATCACAGGGAGACGGTTAGGCCTCCGGATAACTGCGGGAAAGCCTGACTAATGTCAGGCCCTCCACAAGAGGTGGAGGAGTAGAGTCTTCTCTAAACTCCCCCAGGGACTACTAAGTAGCAGGTGTTTTTCCTTGACATGCTACCGCTAGACCACAGTCTGCTTGGCAACGGGCATCTTCCCAGACGCTGGCATTACCCCTAGACCAAGGAGCCCTCTGGTGGCCCTGTCTGGGCATAATAGAAGGCTCGCACTCTTGTCTTTTGGTCACTCCTCACTATGTCCCCTCAGCTCCTGCCTCTGTATGGCCCGGTTTTTCCTAGGTTATGATTATAGAGCGAGGATTATTATAATATTGGAATAAAGAATAATTGCTACAAACTGATGATTAATGATATTCATATATAATCACGTCTATGATCTAGATCTAGTATAACTCTTGTTGTTTTATATATTTTATTATACTGGAACAGCTCGTGCCCTTGGTCTCTTGCCTCGGCACCTGGATGGCTTGCCGCCCACAGAGAATCTAGAACAATGCCGTATGGGCCCCTCTCTGGGTTGTGTGGAAAAGGCGTGAATTTATTTTAGTTTTTCAAACAAGTCGTGCGCTGGGAGACATCACAAATGCTATTCTTTCTGAGGAACACTTCAATCCTCTTCTCTTGGTGACCTCTATCAGTTTCTCTGGGAAGCCTTCTCCCTGAGCCTCCCATGCCCCTTCCTTCAATTGGGCTATATCCCCCCTCTCTAGACTCCTACAGAGCCTTCTCCCCCAATACAATAGAATCTTTGTGAGGTCAGATATAGTGTCTTCTCAATTGTATCCCCAGGTTTAACATATCACCTGACACACTGTAGGTGCTTAATAAGAGCTTATGGAATGAATGAAGTGCTATTGCAGAGATAAGCATAAAGCGGTATGTGAGTACAAAGGAAGGGAATCTAAATTGGAGTGGAGGTCTGGGAAAGGCCTCCTGGAAGAGGTGACACTTGAGGCTGACCTGAAGGACAAGTCGGTTAGATGTTTCAAGTGGTGAGAACGGTAGCATGAATGCTCAGCAGTGGGAACGCGGATGGTGCCTTTGAGTAATGGCCAATGACTGTATGGCTGCAGCTAGGGTCGGGGGGAATGGAATGGCAGGGAATCAAGCTAACTGACAGGTAGTTGAGGGATGGATTATGAAAAAGTGAAAGCCCGCTTTTCATTTCAGGCTTGGATTTTGTGTTTATTTACTTATTTATTTATGAGAAAGGGTCTCACTCTGTTGCCCAGGCTGGCACGATATCGGCTCACTGCAACCTCCCGAGTTCAAGTGATTCTCCCACCTCAGCCTCTCGAGTAGCTGGGATTACAGGTTTGCGCCACCACGCCCAGCTAATTTTTGTATTTGTATTTGTAATTTTTTTGAGACGGATCTCGCTCTGTCACCTAGGCTGGAGTGCAGTGGTCCAATCTCGGCTCACTGCAACCTCCGCCTCCCAGGTTCAAGCAATACTCCTGCCTCAGCCAACTGAGTAGCTGGGATTACAGGCCCCTGCCACCATGCCCGGCTAATTTTTGTATTTTTAGTAGAGACGGGGTTTCACCATGTTGGCCGGGCTGGTATCGAACTCCTGACCTCAGGTGATCCGCCGGCCTCGGCCTCCCAAAGTGCTGGGATTAAAGGGGTGAGCCACCCCGCCCGATAGGCTTGGACTTTGTTAAAGGCATACAGAATAACACGAAGTGGTGAGATGCAGAAAAAAGTAGTAATTTAAGAAAACTTGGCTTGCCACGTTGGTTCCTCTAGGGACCAGCCCTGCAACTCCGGGCAAGTCCTATCCCCTCTGACCAGAGGCAAAGTGAAACAGTGATGACATCTACCTCTAGCAGTGCTGTGACGATTAAATGCGATCTTAGGCAAAGCGCCTGGTATGTGCCGTTACTCGAAAAAATGACAGTTGTCCCTCTTCGCTCTGGCCCCATCCTCCTCATCTGCAAATGCCGGGAGGCCGGGCCACTCTCGCAGGTCGCTCCCGGAGCCAGCTGAGCAGTGGGAGGGGAAGCGGTGGGACAGAAGGGCGCCAGCCAGTCGTCCGGGCACCGTGGCTGGTTCGGCTGCCGCTCAGCCGCGCGGGGGCGCTCTAGACTGCTCCTCGTGCTCTATGGTGTTGCCTTCGCCCCGGAAGTAGTTGCGCAGCTGGGGTTGGTAAGGTCGGGCCATGGTGGGGCAGAGGTTGGGAAGATGGCGTGGCGAGGCTGGGCGCAGAGAGGCTGGGGCTGCGGCCAGGCGTGGGGTGCGTCGGTGGGCGGCCGCAGCTGCGAGGAGCTCACTGCGGTCCTAACCCCGCCGCAGCTCCTCGGACGCAGGTAATAGCCGCCGCGCTCTGGTCTTCTCGCCTCTTGGTCCCTGAGCTCTGGCCGTGTATCCTCGGGGGCGGAGGCCGTCTGGGCCTCTTGTGCTGGCCCCAGCTCACCCCCTTCACCTTACCTGCCCCTTCTCTCTCCTCTCTCGCCTCCGTCCAGTCCTCGCTTCTCGCTCCCCTTGCCCAGCCCAGCCCCCCGCGAGCCTGCGCTTTCTCCTTTCCCATTGGGAAGGACGTGACTGGAAGGGGAACTAAGCTGAGGGTTCATTGCGTGCCACACTTCATAATCGCGAGTGGAAACTGTTGAGCCAGTTTCTGAAGTGAAGAAGTTAGTACAGCTGGCAGAATGGCGGTTTTTATTCTTTTTCCATCTAATTATAAAGGTTGTGTTCCATTACAACCAGTCGCCTTCTTTAGCTTGTGATCTAAGGGAGGACGAAGTCTGATGGAAGGTATCACTTTGTGTCTGGCAAAGTCGTAGGAGAGGCTTTATTGTTGAATTGAGACAGTGGAAGATTTCGTTTCCGGTTGATTTGGAAAGAAAACTGCCGAACCTTCCGAGTAGAAGTGTGAAGCGTATGGTTGATCAGTATTGCTGATTTTTGCATCACAGTAATTCATTTCTAATTTGAGAGAGAAGAGAGAAATTCCTCACCTGTTTAAGAATCTGATGTGCATTTGGCTTTGAAAATTTTCCTCCTCTTTTGTTCAAAACTTCATTCCTTCCAATTTCTGACTTGGTTAGATGGGTGCCTCGAATCCACCTGATTGCTGATAAGAAACATTGTTTATCAACACGTGGGATAGTCAGTGGTAAATAATCGAGGCTCTAATGTGGCGGAGCCATTGCCTAATCTCAAGGATCACCTGAAGAGTTTGTATGGATTTTATGTCCCAGGCCTCACCCCAGTCCTCCCAAATCACAATCAGGAGAGGGGTGGGTGGAGTGGAAGAACCTATATGTCCGACAAGCATTCCAGGTGAATTTTATCAGGGACTTGTGAAAACTTTACATACATTGTATCTTCATACACTAACATAGATCTGTCAGGCACTAATCTTAAACTCCTGGGGAGGTGGAAAATGAGGACAGATGGAGGTGGTAATCCCATTTGAGATTGCATGGTTTAAGGGGGAAAGAAAAGATTAATACTGGCCGGGCGTGGTGGCTCACACGCCTGTAATCCTAGCACTTTGGGAGGCTGAGGCAGGTGGATCACCTGAAGTTAGGAGTTCAAGACCAGCCTGGCCAACATTGCAAAACCCCGTCTCTACTAAAAATACAAGAAATTAGCGGGGCATGGTGGCGGGCGCCTGTAATCCCAGCTACTCGGGAGCCTGAGGCAGGAGAATGGCTTGAACCTGGGAGGCGGAGGTTGCAGTGAGCCGAGATCGTGCCATTGCACTTCATCTTGAGCAACAGAGTGAGACTCCATGTAAAATAAATAAATACTGTACGTGTATTAGGAAGCAACAGGAAGTGTGTTAAACATTTAAGATTTATGTACACATCACCGTATTGGTTTTAGGAAGGGGAAGCAAAAGAAAACTAATGAGCCTCTAGTAAAAATTGAGTATAAAGACCATTTGAAACAGTGAACCAGAAACACATGAAATGTTGAAGATTAGTATTTAATGTCTGAAAAGCTTGCCATTTGTATAGAAAGTTTGAAAATGACATTTTCGTGGTTGCATAAAAAATATACATGAGAATGTAGGCCTGAAATAGAGCATTTGCCTCTGGTAATAAGTTCTTAAAGTTAATAGTATCAGTTTACCTTATATATAACCTTTATTAGCTATATGTTGACTTCTTATGGCTTTGAAATTAGCGTGCAGAAGAATGACCCAATCCGTGTCATTTGATGTATTAATAATAGGCCTGAAGTGGGACCAGGAATTTGCATTTTACAAGCACTCTAGGTGGTGATACTAGGGTCTGAAAACTACTGCAGGCCCAAGGCGGCCCACCAGCCAAGAATGGTTTACATTTTTAAAGGATTGTAAAACAAAAATAGTAATATGTGACAGATTTCAGTAGTCCACAAAGACCGAAATATCTTCTATCTGGCCTTTTACACAAAAGGGGAAAAAAATCTTATTTGGGCTCCTTGTAAACTTTACTGTTACCAAGGTTTGAGGCTTGAAAGTGGAAACCTGTTTAATTTGCCAGTTATATGAAACTATCCAAGGGAAGAAAATAGTTGAATTGTAACACTTAACATTTTATATTTTTAAAAAACTTGCCGTTTGTATGGAAAGTTTATATTGAGATGATAGTCTCTCTCTTTCTCTCTCTCTCTCTCTCTATATATATGTGTGTGTATATGTGCATATATATGTATATATGTGTGTGTATATATGTGCATATATGTATATATGTGTGTGTATATATGTGTATATATGTGTGTATATATGTGTGTGTATATATATGTGTGTGTGTATATATATATATAAATATATATATATATATATATATAAATATATATATATATATATATATTTTTTTTTTTTTTTTTTTAGAGACATTGTCTTGCTCTGTTTCCCAGGCTGGAGTGCAGTGGCACGATCTCAGCTCACTGCAACTTCCGCCTCCCGGGTTCAAGCGATTCTCCTGCCTCAGCCTCCCGAGTAGCTGGGATTACAGGCATGCACCACCATGATGCCTAGCTAAGTTTTGTGTTTTTTGTAGAGACGGGGTTTTGCTGTGTTGGCCAGGCTGGTCTCGAACTCCTGGTCTCAAGTGATCTGCCTGCCTCTGCCTCCCAGTGTTGGGATTACAGGCTTGAGTCACCATGCCTAGCCTCAAAATATCTTTAAGTAAGATACTTGACATATTAGTCAATCGTATATATTATATTTTGTTTTAACTGACCATCTATTAACTCACGATGGGGTCAAGAAAATAATTTTGTTATGCCAGAGTTTATGTAGAATCCATCCTCCCGCCCAGTATCTTTTGTATTTTTTAGAGGCGAGTTGTTCTGTCACCTAGGTTGAAGTGCAGTGGCACTATCATAGCTCACTGCAGCCTCAAACTCCTGGGTTCAAGGGATCCCCCTGCGTCAGCCTGCCTGGTAGCAAGGACTACAGGTACACACTACCATGCCTCGGGCTCTATTTTGTTTTAAGTGGAATGAATCTAATCAATTGTGTGTGCTTAGACACATTTTGTCTCCATTTGAACATTAGGCCATTTCTACTTAATTTGTTCATACAAATCTTGAGTAACATAAACATTAACACTGACCTGTATATTTAAGTTGTATTGTCTTTACCGTTGCACTCTTAAAAACAATGCACAGGCTGGGCATAGTGGCTCACGCCTGTAATCCCAGCACTTTGGGAGGCCGAGGCGGGTGGATCACCTGAGGTCAGGAGTTCTAGACCAGCCTGGCCAACATGGTGAAAACCCGTCTCTACTAAAAATACAAAAATTAGCCAGGCACGGTGGCAGGGGCCTGTAATCCCAGCTACTCGGGGGGCCGAGGCAGGAGAATCCCTTGAACCCAGGAGGCAGAGGTTGCAGTGAGCCGAGATTGCATCACTGTACTCCAGCCTGGGGGACAAGAGCAAGACTTCATCTGAAAAAAAAAAAAAAAAATGCACAAAGGCTGTGCGGTGGCACAGGCCTGCAGTCCCAGCACTTTGGGAGGCTGAGGCAGGAAGATCACTTGAGTCTAGGAGTTTGAGACCAGCCTGGGCAATATAGGGAGACTCCTGTCTCTACAAAAAGTAAAAAAAATTAGTGGGTATGGTGGTGCTGCCTCTGGTCCCAGCCACGTGGGAGGCTAAGGGAGGAGGATTGCTTGAGGCCGGAAGGTGAAGGTTGCTGTGAGCTATGAGGGCGCCACTGTCCTCCAGCCTGAGTGAGAGAGTGCAACCCTGTCTCAAAAAAAGACCCAAAAAATAAAAAACCAAAACATTTATGAGACTGTATTGTAACTATTAGGTGAACACATATATTGGTGTAACTTTTTCTTCTTAAAAGTTATAGGATTGTATTAAAAAAAAAGTCTGAGCTGGCCAGGCACAGTGGCTCATGCCTGTAATCCCAGCACTTTGGGAGGCTGAGGTGGGTGGATCACCTGAGGTCAGGAGTTCGAGACCACCCTGGCCAACGTGGTGAAACCCCCTCTCTACTAAAAACACAAAAATTAGCCAGGTGTGGTGGCAGGCGCCTGTAATCTCAGCTACTTGGGAGGCTGAGGAAGGAGAATCGCCTGAACCCGGGAAGCGGAGGTTGCAGTGAGCCGAGATCACGGCATTACACTCCAACCTGGGCAGCAGGAGCAAAACTGTGTCTTAAAAACGGAAAAAAAAAAACTGAACTATAACTGTGGCTGGTGGCAACTTAAGTATTCATGACATCCTCCCACTTTGAGCACATTTGATTGCTTCCCCAAATCACTAGTTCCTGGCAGAAGGACCAAAGCAGCAGAGTCAAGGCAGGCCTGCTGTCGTGAGTTGTCATATGCCTCAAGGGACCCTCTTTCCCATCCCCATCCATTTTATTGCGGCGCTTCACTTTGTTTTCCAACTTATTCAGGTAAGTAATTTATTTCCCTGTCTTATATACCCATCTGATTGGGAAGAGGTGAATAACCTAAACCTGTGAATAAGATAGCAAACATTTGCAATTAGGGACATTTATCATGCTTTTGCTTGTTTCACACTTTAAGAAATTTAAGGCTGGGTGCAGTGGCTCACTCCTGTAATCCTTTGGGAGCACTTTGGGAGGCCGAGGCAGGCAGATCACCTGAGGTCAGGAGTTCGAGACCAGCCTGGCCAATATGGCGAAACCCTGTCTCTACTAAAAATACAAAAAAAAAAAAAAAAAAAAAAATCAGTCCTGGTGGCAGGCATCTGTAATCCCAGCTACTTGGGAGGCTGAGGCAGGGGAATCACTTGAACTCTAGAGGCGAAGGTTGCAGTGAGTTGAGATGGTGCCACTGCACTCCAGCCTGGGTGACAGAGCGAGGACCTCCCCCCGCCCACCAAAAAAAGGAAATTTAAAATGAAAGCTCATTAAAAAGAGAAAATGTACCTTATATAATATGTAATAAACATACTACATCTAAAAGCATCCTTATTCCAATAGAAAACCAAACTCTTAACTGACCTAAACAATTAGGGGAATTTATTGGTTTATGAAGTTCAAAAGTGTAGAGGTAGGACTGGCTTCTAGCGAGACAAGTCCAGTGTCTCAAATTGTCACCAGACACCATTTTCTCCATGGCTTGTCTCTGTTTCCTAAATGTTGGCTTTATTCTCTCAGCATGCTATCTCCTTGTGGTTATAAGATGGCTGCCAGCAGCTCTTGGGGCTATATATTTTTAGGTGCAAATCTAGCAGAAAAAAAAGTTGTCTTCTCCGTTATCACAAACAAAATCTTGAAATTGAATTTCACTGGACCAGATTGGCCTAACTTGGGACAGGTGCCCATCCTTGAATCCCTTGAAGTTGCCAAGGAATGGGATGTGAAATTTGGCTTAAGCCAATCGTGGGCTTGGTGTGTCTCATCAAATGAAATGGCTGGAAATTCTAGAGTATGGTTTGGAAAAGGAGAAGAGGGCATGGATGCTGGGAGTAAGTCGTAGTGAAACATTTGTATTGGAATTCTTTATTTGGTTACCTAGATAGGATTAATCTGTGGGACAACAAACCATTCTAATTTAAGTACAAGTATTGTTGGAAGAGTGAGGAATCAGGTTCTAGCTCCTTGCTATTCCAAGTGGTTCATGAACTAGCAGTTTGGGTATCATCTAGGACAGGGGTTTGGCAAACTTAGTTTGTAAAAGGTCAGATAGAAAATATGGCCGCATGTGGTCTTTGTCGCATATTCTTTCTCTTTCTTTTTAAACAACTCTTTAAACGTGTGAAAACCATTCTTAGTTGGAGACTCAAATCCACTCTATAGGCCGCAGTTTGACAACCCCTAATTTAGGCGCTTGTTTAGATATGCAAAATCTCAGACTCACCTTGCCCCAGACCTACTAAATTACAATGTTTTTAATGAGATTTCCAGGTGATTTGTATGTAAACTAAAGTTTCCCCAAACCTGTGGTATGAATAGATCTTGACTCTGGCGGCACATGAGAATCACCTGGGGAGGTCTTACAACTACTAAGGCCTTGGGTCCACTCCTAGACATTCTCATTTGTTATGAGGTAGAGCCATGGTGTAGGACTTTTAAGAGCTCACCAGGCAGTTCTAATGTATAGCCAGAATTGAGAATTACTGCTCTAGACTAGGAAGCATAACTGCCTCTGCCACATCTAGTGTGGTAGATAAAACACCATGGCCACAATATTTTGTAGTTCTTATCCAAAGCTGGAGTCAACTTCCCTATTCCTTGCAGCTGGGTTGGACTTGCGGCTTAGTTTGATCGGTAGCATGTGGTGGAAGTAATATTGTGCAAGGTCCAGAGTCGGCCTCAGAAGACCTTGCAGCTTTTGCCTTTGCCCACTTGGAACACTCCCTCTGTCATGGTAGAAGCCCCCGCTAGACTACTGAACACCAAGGACTGGGCGGTGAAAGAGCAAGCAGACAACAACCAGCACTAAGGCTCCAGGTACGAGTGAAGCCATCTGAGACTCTCCAGCTCTGATTAAGCAGTCAAGAGTACTGGCTGGGGCTGGGCGCGGTGGCTCACGCCTGTAATCCCAGCACTTTGGGAGACCAAGGCGGGTGGATCACTTGAGCTCAGGAGTTCGAGACCGGCCTGACCAATATGATGAAACCCCATCTCTACTAAAAATACAAAAATTAGCCAGGTGTGCTGGTGTGTGCCTGGAGTCCCAGCTACTCAGGAGGCTGAGACAGGAGAATTGCTTGTACCTGGGAGGTGGAGATTGCAGTGAGCCGAGATCATGCCACTGCGCTCCAGCCTGGGTGACACTGTCTCAAAAAAAAAAAAAAGTAATAAATTATGGTTTTAAGCCAGTGCATTTTAGAGTGGTTTGTTAAGATGTAGATACCTTAATTTTAAAATGCTTTATTACTAAAAAATTCTAATAATCATCTGAGCCTGCAGTGAGTCATAATCTTTTTGCTGGTGGAGGGTCTTGCCTCTGTTGATGGCTGTGGACTGATCAGAGTGGCGGTTACTGAAGGTTGGGGTAGCGGTGGCAATTTCTTAAAATAAGACAACATGAAGTTCGCCACGTTGATTGACTCCTCCTTTCACAAAAGATTTCTCAGTAGCATGTGATGCTGTCTGATAGCATTTTATCCACAGTAGAACTTCTTTCAGAGTAGGAGTAAATCCTCTCAAACCGTGCTGCTGCTTTATCAGCTAGGTTTATGTAATCTAAATCCTTTGTTGTCATTTCAACAGTGTCCACAGTGTCTTCACCAGGAGTAGATTCCATCTCAAGAAACCACTTCCTTTGCTCATCCATAAGAAACAACTTCTCATCTGTTCAAGTTTGATCATGAGATTGCAGCAATTCAATCACATCTTCAGGCTCCACTTCTAATTCTAGTTCTCTTGCTCTTTCTTTTTTTTCGAGATGGAGTTTCACTCCTGTCACCCAGACTGAAGTGCAATGGCACGATCTTGGCTCACTGCAACCTCTGCCTCCTTAGTTCAAGCGATTCTCCTGCCTCAGCCTCCTGAGTAGCTGGGATTACAGGCACCCACCACCATGCCCAGTTAATTTTTTTGAATTTTTAATAAAGATGAGGTTTCACCATGTTGGCCAGGCTGGTCTCGAACTCCTGACCTCAGGTGATCCGCCCGCCTCGGCCTCCCAGGGTACTGGGATTACAGGCATGAGCCACTGCACCCAGCCTCTAGTTCTCTTTCTATTTCTACCGCATCTGCAGTTACTTCCTCCACTCAAGTCTTGAGCCCCTCAAAGTCATACTTGAGTGTTGTAATCAACTTCTTCTAAACTGTTAATGTTGGTATTTTGACCTCCTCTCATGAATCATGAGTGTTCCCGATGACATCTAGAATGGTAGATCCTTTCCAGAAGCTTTTCAGTTTACCTTGCCCAGATCCATCAGAAAAATCACTCTGTGGCTATTGCCTTACAAAATATATTTCTTTTTCTTTCTTTCTTTCTTTCTTTTTCTTTTTCTTTTTTTTTTTTTTTTTTTTTTTTTTTTACAAAATGTATTTCTTAGGGGAATAAAAAAAGAAAATATATTTCTTAAATAATAAGACTTAAACGTTGAAATTCCTGCTTGATGTATGTGGTTGCAGAATGGACATTGTGTTAGCAGGCATGAAAACAATATTCATCTTCTTGTACCTGTGCATCTGAGCTCTTGGGTGACCAGATACATTGTCGATGAACAGTAGTATTTTGAAAGGAATCTTTTTTTCTCAGCATTTGGTCGCAACATTGGGCTTAAAATATTTGGTAAACCGTTTGGGCACAGTGGATTGCGCCTATAATACCAGCACTGTGGGAGGCCAACACGGGCGGATCGCCTGAGATCAGGAGTTCAAGACCACCCTGGCCAACACGGTGAAACCCCATCTCTACTAAAAACACAAAAATTAGCCGGACATGATGGCAGGCGCCTGTGATCCCAGCTGCTCGGAGGGTTGAGGCAGGAGAACTGCTTGAACCTGGGAGGCGGAGGTTGTAGTGAGCTGAGATAGTGCCACTGTACTTCCAGCCTGGGCGACAGAGTGAGACTCCATCTCAAAAAGTAAAAATAAACAAATAAAAAATATTCCATAAACGATGCTGTAAACAGGAGTGCTGTAATCTAGGCTTTGTTGTTCGATTTGTAGAGCACGGGCAGAGTAGTTTACCATCATTCTTAAGGGTTCTAGGATTCTCAGAATGGTAAATGAGCATTGGCTTCAACTTAGTCACCAACAGCATTAGTGCCTAATGAAGTCAGCCTGTCCTTTGAAGCTTTGAAGCCAGGCATTGCCTCCTCACCTGTAGCTATGAAAGTCTTAGATGGCATCTTCTTCCAATAGAAGGCTGTTTTGTCTGCTTTGCAAATCTGTTTAGTGTAGCCACCTTCATCTTAGGATCTTCTTGATAAGTTGCTGCAGTTTCTACATCCACACTTGCTGCTTCAAGTTGTACTTGTGTGTTATAGAGACAGCTTGTTTCCTTAAACCTCATGAACCAACCTCTGCTAGCTTCAGACTTTTTTCCTGCAGCTTCCTCAATTCTTTCAGCCTTCATAGAATTGAAGGAGTTAGTCTTGCTCTAGATTGGCTGTGGCTTAAGGGAATGTTGTGGCTGATTTGATCTTCTATTCATGTAATTTTTTCCATGTTGGCAATAAGGCTGTTTTGCTTTCTTACTCTATTTTTTTTTTTTTTTTTTTTTTTGGAGACAGAGTCTTGCTCTGTCGCCCAGGCTGGAGTGCAGTGGCACAATCTCAGCTCACTGCAGCCTCCATCTCCCAGGTTCAAGCGATTCTCCTGCCTCAACCTCCCCAGTGGCTGGGATTACAGTCGCCCGCCACCACGCCCAGGTAATTCTTGTATTTTTAGTAGAGATGGAGTTTCACATTGTTGGCCAGGCTGGTCTCGAACTCCTGACCTCAGTTGATCCTCTCGTCTTGGTCTCCCAAAGTTCTAGGATTACAGATGGGAGCCACCACACCCAGCCTACTATTTTTCTCTTCTCAGGAGTAGCACTTAAAATTTCCTTCAGTAGTTTTGCTGTTGTTGATACAGAGTCTAGTTCTGTCATCCAGGTTGGAGTGCAGCAATGCATTTGTAGCTCACTGCAACCTTGACCTCCTGGGCTCAAGTGATCTTCCTGCCTCAGCCTCCCAAGTAGCTAGTACTATAGGCGCAAGCCACCACACTTGGCTAATTTTTAAATTTTTTATAGAGACAGGATCTCACTATGGTGCCCAGGTTGGTTTCAAACTCCTGAACTCAAGTGATCTTCCTGCCTTAGCTTCCCAAAGTGCTGGGGTTACAGCTGTGAGCCACCATGTCTGGCAAGAATTGTTTCTTTGTATTTACAAGTTGGCTATTTGTGCCAGAGGCTTAGCTCCTGGCCTATCTCAGCTTTTGACATGCCTTCTTCACTAAGCTTAATTATTTCTAATTGGCTGGGCACTTTGGGAGGCCGAAGCGGGAGGATCACGTGAGGTTTGAGTTCGAGACCAGCCTGGCCAACATGGCGAAACCCCATCTCTGCTAAAAATACAAAAATCAGCTCGGTGTGGTGGCAGGTGCTTGTAGTCCCAGCTACTTGGGAGGCTGAGGCAGGAGAATCGCTTGCACCCGAGAGGTGGAGGTTGCAGTGAGTCGAGATCGCGCCACTGCACTGCAGCCTGGGTGATAGAGCAAAACTCCATCTCAAAAAAAAAAAAAAAGATTATTTCTAATGATTTCAAGCCAGAGACATGTGACTGTTCCTTTCAGCTTGAACACTTAGCGGTGATTGTAGGGTTATTAATTGACCAGTGTCAATATTGTTGTGTTCCAAGGAATAGGGGGGTCCAAAGAGAGGGAAAGGTGGGCAATGGCTGGTTGGTAGAGCAGTCAGAACCTACACAACATTATTAAGTTCATTGTCTCATGGTTCATGGCACCCAAAACAATTTCAGTAGTAACATCAAAGGTCACTGATCACAAATCACCATAACAGATAAGAAAAAATTGAAGTGTTGTGAGAATTACGGAAATGTGACACAGAGCCACCAAGTGAGCGCATGCTGTTGGAAAAATGGTGCCAAAAGACATGCTAGATGTATGGTTGCCACAAACCTTCAATTTGTGTAACAAACTTGGGATATCTGTGAAGTACAATAAATCGAGGTATGCCTGTGTGTGATGTATTCAGTATGTGTACCTACTGATAAGTTCTGAACTTAACCCTGGGGCCAGCTTGTGTAATGTACTCTTAATGTCCTCAGCTTGATGCACACTTCTGGTGAGATCCTCGAGGTATATATTTTAGGCAAAAAGGTCTGGCTTTGCCTCAAGTCCAGATTCCCAACCTAGCGTGTTTATGTTCCTTTTAAAACTTGTGCTTCAAAATTTTAAGTGAATTGGTGACAGGTAGAAGTAGTTTTTTATTAGAATTGATTGTGTAGTATTAAGCTGTTGGAAATACAAATCCTTTGTATTTCTTATCCTTTGTATTTCTCAGTCCAGTACATGACAAATGCTAGGAACCAAGATTACTGGGTTACAACTTGCCATCTTTAATTAATTAATTAATTTTTTTTTTTTTGAGACGGAGTCTTGCTCTGTCACTCAGGAGCTCTCACACTGGAGTGCAATGGCGTGATCTCGCCTCACTGCAACCTCTGCCTCCTGGGTTCTAGAGAGTCTCCTGCCTTAGCTTCCTGAGTAGCTGGGATTACAGGCATGTGCCACCACGCCTGTAATCAAAATACAGGCGTGCGCCACCACGCCCAGCTAAGTTTTGTATTTTTAGCAGAGATGGAGTTTCACCATGTTGGCCAAGCTGGTCTCGAACTCTTGACCTCAGGTGATCCTCCCACCCCAGCCTCCCAAAGTGCTGGGATTACAGGCGTGAGCTACCATGCCCGGCTGTCAACTTGTCATCTTTATGGTAAATATATTCCTATTACTTTATGATACACCTTTGTTTTGGCCCAAAGTGGCATTACTTGTTTTGATTAATTAATTGCGACTTTACTTACTAGACCTATCTCCAGGTTACTTTGGGATCTTTAAATCAAATCCAGTTGCAAAAAGTTAACATCTACCACTTTAAAAATTATACCAGGAATACATTTGGCAGTAAATAAACTGATGGTTGTTTAAATAAGAAGGGGAGTTATTTATCAAATATAGGATGATGGGAGGTAAGTGGCTAGTGTCTTTGCTCAGTGGCTCAAAAATGTCAAGGTTAGTGTCTGAATCCCTTGGCCTTTCTCTTGGCATTTGAGATGACTGCCTCGTCTCTAGGCATTATATTCTTATTTAAGGCAGAAAGAAGGGGGTGTGCTTGACATCAGTGACGTGTCCATTTTTATCAGGTAAGCAAAACCTTTCCAAGGGGCTCCTGAAAAATTCTTATGTTTCATTTGGCTGTAATCCTGTGTGATATGGTTACCACTAGCTCTAGGGGAGCCTGGAAAAGTGAAGATATTTCCTATTACAGAAAAAGCAGGCAAGGGGAAAGGGTTGGAAATAGATTTGGGATTAGCTATTCAACAGGGTTTGCTAAAGGATATTCGTTATAAGACTGGTAACAGGCTCTGAAGGGAGTTAAGAGCCATTTAGAGCAACAGTACCATTGGTTGCATAAGTTTATAACTTTCCAAAATAGATGAACTTACTCAAACCTTTTCTGCTTTTTCTGTAATAGATTTCTTTGAAAGGAATATCACTTATTTGGAAGTATAAATTCTGAAATTAAAATCTCAAGTCAAATTATAATCACTTTCCTCACTGTGATTTCTGAGTTGAATTGAGTGGACTCAGTGTTGAAGAGAAAGGGCATTCTTAGGCCAGGCATGGTGGCACATGCCTGTAATCCCAGCACTTTGGGAGGCCGAGGCGGGTGGATCATCTGAGGTCAGGAGTTCGCGACCAGCCTGAATAACGTGGTAAAACCTCGTCTCTACTAAATACAAAAAAATTAGCCAGGTGTGGCAGTACATGCCTGTAATCCGAGCTACTTGGGAGGCTGAGACAGGAGAATCGCTCGTACCTGGGAAGTGGAGGTTGCAGTGAGCTGAGATCACGCCATTGCATGCCAGCCTGGGCAACAAGAGCGAAACTCCATCTCAAAAAAAAAAAAAAAAAATGCATTCTAGGCAAGTAATAGTAGTAGTAGCTATGCTATTATTCTGAGTTTCATTTATTTCCAAAATGCCTATTAAGATACCTCCACCTGGATGTCCTATGAGCATTCTTTTAAATACTTTATTGAGATACAGTTTACATATAGTAAAATGTATAAGTATTAAATATACAGCCAGTGCATTCTGATTAATGTATACACCTGTGTGACTATCACCTAAATCAAGATAAAGATGGCCGTCATCCCAGCAAGTTTCCTCTTGCTCCTTTCCTGTCAAGCCCCACCCATTCCAGGCAATCGCTCATCTAATATTTATCACTACAGGTTAGTGTGTCTGTCAACTTCTTAGCAATGGAAGTCACAGAATCACATATCATGTACTCTTTTGTATTTTACTTCTTTTGCCAAAAGTGTTTTTGAGAGTTATCCATGATGTATGATTAGTTCTTCCCCACCCCTCCCCCCCAAGCCTTTTTTTTTTTTTTTGGCCAAGTGTAATATTCCATTATATGAATATACCACAGAATTTCTCCTGTTAATGGAAATTTAAGTTTCAGTTTTTAGCTAGAGGAATGAAGCTGCCATGACTGCAAGCATTTTAAACAGCACCCCAGCTGGAATTGTTCGTCTCTTATCTCCCAGTTGCCTATTTTGAGGCTTCCAATTTTCCTTATCTTATTGAATAGTACCACCTTACTTTGAATATAGTACCACCTTACTTTGAGTATAGTACCACCTTGAGTATAGTACCACCTTACTTTGAGAATAGTACCACCTTACTTTCAGTATAGTACTACCTTACTTTGAGTATAGTACCACCTTACTTTGAGTATAGTACCATCTTACTTTGAGTTACTCACAATAAAGCTTAATCATTTTTTGATCCCTTTTTTATTCTGACAGATAATTATTGACCTTTTATTAGGGACTAGACTTGGTGATAGAGATATAATGAATATAAAACTGTAATCTAATGGGGGCGTGGGCAGTAGTGGAGATAAGTATTAAAAAAACTGCTTTGGAACTCTAGAAGTGCAAAGGAGAGAAGTACCCAGCCTGGGGCAGCTAGGGAAGACTTCCTGGAGGAGGAGATATATTAACTGAAATCTGAAGGGCCCAAAAAAGTTAAAGGGAAGTATATACCAAAATATGAGTAGCATTGTCGTAGTTAAGAGAGCAAAACAGATCATAGGAACTGCAAGAAAGTCAGTATAACAGGTATAGAGAGGATTTGAGGTGGCAGAGGGAGGAAGTGGCAAGAGAGAGGAAGGGGTCGGATTGAAGGGATGTGTGCTGAGTTTGATGGGGTGATGAAAAGTTATTGTGGGGTTTAAAGCAAGGGAACATTACATTTGTGCTTAATACAATGTGAAGGATGCACTTGGAGTGGGGCAGTACTGGAAGCAAGGAGATCTGCTAGGAAATGGTGGCGTATTCCAGGCCAGAAGGGATGAGCTAAGGAGTTGCATTAGAATTAGGAAGAGATTTTTGGCCCTCTGAGAGGACATTTGAGAAACTATAGAATGTGGAGGAAAAGCAGTGTGAGGCCAGAAGAACATGCAACAGGTTAAAGTGTTTGAAGTTAAGGAAAGTGTTGCCATGATCCAGGTATGAGATAAAGGACTAGACTAGGAATTTTAAAAGTATTTTTGATAGAGTTGGCTTTTAATTGAATAAGAATAAAGGAAAGATAACTCCAAAATGACTTCTAGATTTTTTTTTTTTTGAGACAAGGTCTTACTCTGTCACCTATGCTGGAGTGCAGTGGTGTGATCTTGGCTCACTGCAACCTCTGCCTCCCAGGTTCACGCGATTCTTCTGCCTCAGCCTCCCGAGTAGCTGGGACTCTACAGGTGTGCACCACCACACCTGGCTAATTTTTGTATTTTTAGTGGAGACGAGGTTTCACCATATTGGCCAGGCTGGTCTCAAACTCCTGACCTCGTGATCCACCTGCCTCAGCCTCCCAAAGTGCTGGGATTACAGGCGTGAGCCACTGTGCCCGGCCCCCAGCCTAGATTTTTAACCTCAGTAACTGAGAGAACTGTGGTCTTATTGAAAGAGTACGTCAGAAAATGGAGGTGTTTGTAGAGGAGAATGAGTTAATTCTATTTTGAATATATTGGTTTTAAAGTAATGGGGAGCATATCCAAGTAGCATTATTCAGTATAGAGTTGGAAATACTGGAGTAGAAAGTTCAGGTTAGGACTAAAATAAATTTGAATCATTTACATGCTTAGAAGTCATTCAGGTCACAAAAATTCAACCAAATAGCTTGTTTTAGGGGCTGGGATACAAAGACAAAAGACCTACCCGAGCTCTGCTTTTGAGGAGCTTTGAGGCTAGTAGAAGGGATAATATGTTATGATATTCCTCACTGAATATTGTTCGTTATATATATAATATCTTTGAACATACTATCCCTTCTAGAAGGGATATCATAATATCCCTTAATAATAATAATATACATTATTATCCCTTATAATAATAAGGTATAGCCAGGCGCAGTGGCTCATGCCTGTAATCCTAGCACTTTGGGAGGCCAATGCGGGTGGATCACCTGAGGTCAGGAGTTCGAGACCAGCCTGACCAACATGGTGAAACCCCATATCTACTAAAAATACAAAAATTAGCCAGGTGTGGTGGTGGGTGCCTATAATCCCAGCTACTAGGGATGCTGAGGCAGGAGAATCACTTGCATCTGGGGAGGCAGAGGTTGCAGTGAGCCAAGATTATGTCATTGTACTCCAGCCTGGGTGGCAGAATAAGACTCTGTCTCAGAATAATTATAAGAAGGGATAATATGTTCAGGGTACAAACAGAAAGGGATCTTTACTTTGTGACCTGGGAAAGTTACAGTTTTACAAAAGAAAAAGAAGACTGTTTCAAGAATTTATATGGGTTGAGTTTGAATGGGGTAGAGGAAAAGGGGAAGATACCGGGAGTTAAAGATGAATTTGAAGAGTAGGAAGTGCTGTTACAGAAGCTAGGACTAGGAGGCATGATCAGTAGTGTTAGATATTTTGAGGAAGTCAAGCTGTAGACTCAAACAACAAAATTTTTTTTTAACTGTTGGGGTAACAGCTCACAAATAATTTGGTGGATGTCCCCAAAACAGTGAAATAAAGGGGAGAGGTGAGAGGAGTGTTTTAATTTATAATGGGCAATACTTAGAAAAGAAAATAATTATTGAATTTGGAGTGGCTTCAAGGACAATACATTTAAATATTTGTTCCAGAAATTGACCAAACTTTAAACAAAAAACCAGAAGTCATTCTGACTGAAACTGACAACTGGTGGGGCACCATGGCTCATGCCTGTAGTCCTAGCACCTTGGGAAGCCATGGCAGGAGGATTGTGTGAGCCCAAGTGTTTGAGACTAGCTTGGGCAACATGGCAGAACCCCATCTCTACAAAAGGTACAAAAATTAACAATGTGGTAGCCTACGCTTGTAGTCCCAGCTACTTGGGAGGCTGAGGCAGGAGGATCGCTTGAGCCTGAGACGTGGAGGCTGCAGTGAGCCATGATCGTACCACTGAGCGACAGAGGGAGGGAGTAATCGTACTCTAGCCTGGGCGACGGAGGGAGACCCTGTCTCAAAAAAAAAAAAAGAAACGGACAATTTATAGAGTTCTCTAGCTTTTTACCAGGTCTTCAGATTCTTTCTGTGTGGAGAATGGATACAAATTATTTTGTTGACTGATAGAAAGTAATAGCCCAAAGTAGTATCCTCTGAAGTTGCTGTAGTTTGTGTGTCACCTTTTCCAGAAAGGTTGAATTTTGTGGCTTTGAATTCTGTCTGAGAGTAGGAGTCTTGGCTGTTTTTGGACTGTAGAGTGAGAATAAATTGAGATGGTGATGATGCAGGCCAAGTGGAGGTTCATAGAAGTTGATATTTGCAAGACGCTACTGTGTTTCTCATCTGTTATTTTTGCCCCATAGGTTTAACTTCTTTATTCAACAAAAATGCGGATTCAGAAAAGCACCCAGGAAGGTTGAACCTCGAAGATCAGACCCAGGGACAAGTGGTGAAGCATACAAGAGAAGTGCTTTGATTCCTCCTGTGGAAGAAACAGTCTTTTATCCTTCTCCCTATCCTATAAGGAGTCTCATAAAACCTTTATTTTTTACTGTTGGGGTAAGAGCTCACTTTGCTAGGAGTTACCTACCTTGCTAGAAATGCAGTGTTAAAGTACTTTGTCCCATTTGGGCTCCCTTAAAGTAAGGACAGGTAGAGGGGGGATCAAAAAGAGCTGGGCTCATGAATTCTAATTATAGAGTCTGAATTTTTTTTTTTTTTTTTGAGACGGAGTCTCACTCTGTCGCCCAGGTTGGAGTGCAGTGGCGCGATCTCGGCTCACTGCAAGCTCCACCTCCTGGGTTCACACCATTCTCCTGCCTCAGCTTCCCAAGTAGCTGGGACTGTAGGCACTGGCCACCACGCCTGGCTAATTTTTTGTATTTTTAGTAGAGACGGGGTTTCACCTTGTTAGCCAGGATGGTCTCGATCTCCTGACCTCATGATCCGCCCGCCTTGGCCTCCCAAAGTTCTGGGATTACAGGAGTGAGCCACTGCGCCCGGCCTAGAGTCTGAACTTAAAAATTGCTTTTATTATTAAATTCTGGCTTACTTATGTAAGCCCTAGAGAATAAACATATGGGCCTTGTTTGGTACAGCATTTCAAGCGGTGCTAAGTTGGTATTTTCAGTTTTATTTGAGGATTTATAGCTGGAAACAGGCCCCAGGGTATTGTGAAGTTAATACAATGGGAAACAATAAAATGTCCTTTTTGGCCAGGCACAGTGGCTCATGCCTGTAATCCCAGCACTGGAGGCCAAGGTGGGTGGATCACCTGAGGTCAGGAGTTCGAGACCCCTCTGGCCAACATGATGAAACCCCGTCTCTACTAAAAATACAAAAATTAGCCGGGCCTGGAGGCAGGTACCTGTAATCCTAGCTACTCCAGAGGCTGAGACAGGAGAATCACTTGAACCTGGCAGGCAGAGGTTGCAGTGAGCCCATATCGCACCATTACAGTCTGGCCTGGGAGACAAGAGTGAAACTCCATCTCAAAAAGAAAAAAAAAAGCCCTTTTCACTTATTAGGTTTCACTGTGCCAAGTATTCCCTTCTGTTGGTTTGTAAAAAGCAATGACAGTGAAGAATTCTCCTTGGAAATAATGTATAGATCTATTTCCCTCTTAAATCTATTTTGTAATATATCTAATTTTATATAGTTTACAGGCTGTGCATTTGGATCAGCTGCTATTTGGCAATATGAATCACTGAAATCCAGGGTCCAGAGTTATTTTGATGGTATAAAAGCTGATTGGTTGGATAGCATAAGACCACAAAAAGAAGGAGACTTCAGAAAGGAGGTAAAGATAAACACTGCTTTCTTTCTTCTAGTTAATCACGGTTTTAAAAAACTGATACTTAATAGATGCACGTGTTTTCAGTGTACATGATGCATTCACATAATGTGTAATAATGAAATCTGAGGAACTGAATATCTATCACCTTAAACATTTATCTTTATGCTAGGTATATTTGAATTGTTCTCCACTAGCTATTTTGAAATGTACTATAGATTATAGTTGACTGTAGTTACTCTACTGGTAATCCCAGGTTTTGAAGCCTGGTTATTTATGAAGTGCTTTTAGTTAATGGCAACATCAGATTAATAGATGTCAAGTCAGTGCACTTAATATTCTTCACAGTAAGTATTGATTACTGTTTTATATATCTGGTGTTGTACTTAACAGTGTTCCAGAATTCTGTCCCTCTACCCACATGCATCAAAAATCACCACGGATAGTTGTTAAAAATGTTAACGTTGGCCGGGCACAGCGGCTCAAGTCTATAATCCTAGCACTTTGGGAGGCCAAGGCAGTCAGGAGCTGGAGACCAGCCTGGCCAACATAGTGAAATCCCATCTCTACTGAAAATACAAAAATTAGCCAGGCGTGGTGGTGCATGCCTGTGGCCCCAGCTACTCAGGAAGCTGAGGCAGGAGAATCGCCTGAACCCAAGAGGCAGAGGTTGCAGTGAGACGAGATTGTGCCACTGCACTCCAGCCTGGGTGACAGAGCGAGAACTCATCTCAAAAAAAAAAAAAAAGAAAAGAAATTAATGTTAATAGTTGTTAATGTTTCTGCGTGGAGGATGTCTCAGCTCTACTAAAGTTTAAGGATCTCAGTGGATCTCAGCTCTACTAAAGTTTAAAGGCCACTGTTTTACTTGGATCACCTTGATGGATTGCTTTAGAGCAGCAGTCACCAACCTTTTTGGTACCAGGGACTGGTTTTGTGCAAGACAATTTTTCCACAGGTCGGGGTTGCAGGGGGGCAGATGGTTATGGGATGAAACTGTTCCACCTCAGATCATCAGGCATTAGATTCTCATAAGGAGCGTGCCACCTAGATCCCTCACATGTGCATCTCACAGTAGGGTTTGCATTCATGTGAGAATCTTATGCAGCCACTGATCTGACAGGAGGCAGAGCTCTGGTGGTAATGCTCTCCCACTGCTCACCTCCTGCTGTGTGGCCCAGTTCCTAACAGGCCACGGACCACTAGTGGTCAGCAGCCGGGTTGTTGGGGACCCTGGCTTTAGAGTACGTATTTGAACTGCAGGGAATTTTTCAAAATATACATGCCTTAGGGATAGAGCTAGCAAGTGATTTTTTTTTCTAAGAGACAGCGTCCCACTCTGTCACCTAGGCCTCAGTGCAGTAATGGGATCATAGCTCACTGAAGCCTCAAACTCCTGGGTTTGAGCAGTCCTCCCGCCTCAGTCTCCTGAGTAGCTGGGACTACAGGCGTGTGCCACCATGCTGGGCCAATTATTTCATTTTTTGTGGAGACAGGAGTCTCACTTTGTTGCCCAGGCTGGTCTCAAACTCCTGACCTCAAGTGATCTCCCACCTTGGCCTCCCAAAGTGCTGGAATTTCACAAGTGTGAGCCACTGTGCCTGGCCCCAAGAGGAGTTTTAAACGTTTCTCAGTGACATGATATTTACACACCTGTGGTAAATACCTGCTGTTGAGTGTCTCTAAACTGTGCTCGAGATGAAATACGGAAAAAAAAAAAAAAAAAAGAAATATGGAGCTTTTAGAGCTTTTCATTTACTTTATATGCAAGTCGATGGCCCTCTTTCTTAACTGATTTCTTAAAAATGTTTGCTTTTAGATAAAACATGTATTTTGTTTCTTTTTTTTTTTCTTTTGAGACAGAGTCTCACTTGTTGCCCAGGCTGGAGTGCAGTGGCGCGATCTCTGCTCACTGCAAGCTCTGCCTCCCGGGTTCACGCCATTCTCCTTCCTCAGCCTCCGGAGTAGCTGGGACTACAGGTGCCCGCCACCACGCCCGGCTAATTTTTTGTATTTTTGGTAGAGACGGGGTTTCACCGTGTTAGCCAGGATGGTCTCGATCTCCTGACCTCGTGATCTGCCCACCTCGGCCTCCAAAAGTGCTGGGATTACAGGCATGAGCCACCGAGCCCAGCCAATATTTTATTTCTTTTATTCACCAATACATATTGAACACTGAGATTTTAGTTAATATGTGGTTTCAGGCCCATTTGGTTTTCAAGCACTTCTGTTTTTTTAATGACACATTGCCCTTCCAATCTGGAGAGTAGGTTGATATCTTCTTTACTTTTCCCCTTCCTTGGAACAGTGTGATCCTGGCCAGCAAGAGCCTGAGAAGGAAGCCTTGCATTTTCTTTTTGCTAATGATGTTTTGAGTTTTCTCTAAGTAGGGAAAGGGATTCATTCCTCCTTGTTTTCCCATGGGCACATTCAAGAAGCATGAGCCCTATCTGTGTTAGAGAGGCTTTATGCCAGAACAGTGGATAATATTTGCAGGTGAAAATGACAATAACTAGCCATCGGCATCTGTTCAGTCAATGTATTTGAGAAGATAGTAAAACTGACCTATTCCATTATCCTGGATCTCTTACAAAGCTATAGGTTTCCAGCACATGTCTGCACATGAAGTTTTGATATCCAAATGTACCCAAATGGTTCTTGAGAATGGTGAAAAATGATACAAACAGTATACATAATCTTCATTTAAAGATTGATTTGTTTATAATATAATTAAATGATAAGTTGAATGTATAAAACCTATGCCCATTAAAGAAGTTTGAAACAATGTGTAAATTTAACATGGAAACATGAAAGTCCTGGGAACCCCTTTCGTGCCACTATACACGAAGTTCTGGGAGTTCATACACAGTGCAATTATAATTATAGAAATGGAATCGGCCGGGGCGGCTCATATCTGTAATCCCAGCACCTTGGGAGACTGAGGTGGGAGGATTGCTTCAGCCCAGGAGTTCAAGACCAGCCTTGGCAACACAGGGGGACCCTGTCTCTTAAAAAGAAAAAAAAAGAAAATAAATGGAACTATACATACTAATCTGTAGTTTCTTTTACCTTGGATTTTTTCTTTTAATAACAAAATCTGGTTCAATTTCTTAGTTGGAATATATTTTTTATTTTAAAACTTTAATCATGGAAAATTTCAAGCAGATACAAATGTAGAGAGAATAGTATGATGAATCATTATCGTCCAGCTTCAGTGTTCCCCAAGACAGGGCCAATTTTTTTTTCATCTATTTCCCTTTTTTTCCCTTCCCTTTCCACCCTTGTATTATTGTAAAGCAAATTCTAGACGTATTTCATGCATAAAATTTTCAACATGTATCCCTGAAAAATTAGGACCCTCCTCTTTTTATTAAACTCCAGTACCATTACTATATCTTTAAAAAAGTGCAATTTAGTAGACAATATTCTCAGAATTTTAAAACATAAGACCTTGGTATGAATAATCACTTCCTTGGTACCTGTCTGTATCTGTGAGTGTGCTAGGGGCTTTACATTATTGTTATTCCTTGTGATAACACTGCTGGGTACCTATTATTGTCCCATTTCATGTGTCAAGAAACTGAAGTTTAGAAATAATTGTCTGAGGTTCCAGAGCTATCCAGTGGTTGGTTCTGTGTGGAGAATGTGGGCTGCCTGACTATAAAACATGTGCCTTTTCCACTCTACCACGTATTTATTATGTCTGTGACCACCAGTGATTTTTGCAGAAGAGGAATTCCTCTTATGTGCGAGGCATTTTCTTCTGGTTTTTCATTTTTGTAGCCTGAAATTTCTCACATGTGGTGATGCAATTTTCTGTCTGTTTTAGATTAACAAGTGGTGGAATAACCTAAGTGATGGCCAGCGGACTGTGACAGGTTTGTGTTAGCTTACACGTTTTAACCATTCAAGGGAAGAGAAATCAAACCAAAAGGTACAGTATGTCACAAGCAATGGCTCTTGTACCATGCTCACCAGTGGTTTAGAAGACAGTCTCTGTACTGATAGGCTAATGTAATAGTATATAAAGTGGTGAGGTATAAAGGTTTACATGATGCTCTGGGTCCGTTACTTTCTAATTTTGATTTAGTATGATACTGATTGATCAGTTTTGTTGTAGAATTCCAGCTTGTGGAATAGCTTATTAATTATTACTTCCCTTATTAAAGAAACTAATGGAAACATTAAGTACCTTCTATATTCAGGATGCTGTAATACACATTCTGTCCCTACTTGGAGTTGCTTACAGAGTAGTTGTCTCCCTTTTTACAGATAAGGAAACCGGCTTTCAGAGAAGGAACTTTTGAAAGTCAAACTGCTAGTAAGCAATAGAGCAGAGTTTCAAAACCCAAGTCTGTCCATTCGAAAACCAGTTTTCGCTCTTCTCCCCCATGCTATTTATAAAACCCCATTTAAATGTAAGCATGACATGCATGTCACCATGATAACTTTTTTTCTTTGTAAATTGTTATGGAAAGACAGATTTGGCTCTTCAAGTTAACACCTCTGCAATATTTCATGGAGTCAGTTATTTGAGAAACTTGAAAATAGATTTTTGCCAGGAAGAGTGGCTCATGCCTGTAATCCCAGAACTTTGGGAGGCCAAGGTGGGCGGATTCCTTGAGCTCAGGAGTTCGAGGCCAGCTCAGGCAACATGACAAAACCCCATCTCTACCAAAGATACAAAAAATTAGCCAGGTGTGGTGGTGCGTGCCTGGGGTCCCAGCTACTTGGGAGGCTGAAGCAGGAGAATTTTGAACCTGGGAGGCAGAGGTTGCAGTGAGCTGTGGTCCTACTATTACACTCCAACCTGGGTGACAGATGAGACTCTCAAAAACAAAAAAATTTTTTTTAAGTTTTTTAACGATTGCATAGAAAAGAAAAAATTATTTCTAGAGAATTGCAAAATATTGCTTTTGCTCAAATTTGATTAGACTTAAAGTCTAATTGATTAGACTTAAATAAGCATTTAAGACTTATTTTGTACTCTTAATTTTCTGTACTTAAGTGGAGAAAGGGTGTTTATCTTTCTTCATTCAAACTGTTTATTCTCTCTGGAAGGCTTAATTTTTCTGACTTTATTGGAACCCGATGCAGCTTTCAGGCTTATGGTTCAGACATTGCTTCCTTTAGGAAGTGCTTTCTTTTTTTCTGAACTCATTGCAGTTTTTATCATTGATAATGCAGTGTGCCTTATGTAATTGTATGTGTAACATCCTTGAGGGCAGTATAAGCATCTGGAGGACAACAATGACATCTTTCATTTTGTGACAGCACCTAGCATATATCATGTACACAGTAAGGGCACTCAGTTAAAATCTGTTGAGTGAATGAATGTTGAATGGAATCTTAACCAAGGGATTGAGATTTTTCAGTGTTGCCATAACTAAGACCATAGAATTGATAGGTCAGTGACATCTTAAAATGATTACTTCAAAGATAGCTCTTTAGTAGCACATCTGTTTCCACTAGATTAATGTATTTTGTTTGCTTGCTTCTTTTATGAAAGTAATGAGGCTGGGTGCAGTGGCTTACGCCTGTAATCCCAGCACTTTGGGAGGCCGAGGCGGGCAGATCACCTGAGGTCAGGAGTCAGAGACCAGCCTGGCCAACACGGTGAAACCCCATCTCTACTAAAAATACAAAAAATTAGCTTAGGCGTGGTGGTGCACGCCTGTTAATCCCAGCTACTAGGGAGGCTGAAGCAGAATTGCTTGAACCTGGAAGGCTGAGGTTGCAGTGAGCTAAGATTGCGCCACTGCACTCCAGCCTGGACGACAGAGCGAGACTCTGTCTCAAAAAAAAAAAAAAAAAAAGTAACGAAATTAAGATTTCTTTAGGGTGGCAAGGTTTTGCCTTCACTATTTTCAAAGCATTTCACTATTAGTTTATACCTCACATTCTTTGAAGGTGGTCATGATTTTATGCCATTTAACATATGAAGAAGCCTAGCATCAGAGTTTAAAACCTTTTCTCATGCTGGTGAATACTTTCTTCAAAGAAGCTAGAGGTAATTAAAAATCAGAATTCTTTCCCCCTAGTCTTTTTCTTTTTTGAAATCAAATCAGCCATTTGGCATGAAGAGCGTAGCAGTAGAGAGAGATGCTTGTGATCTGTCTTGCAACTTGAATGTAAGCTGCTTTGAACAACATAAATGTGAATGGTCATGCTGCAGGTCTTAAATCTTTATTGTTAGATTATCCAAGTGACTTTAACCTCAGGAAATGCCATTTGAACTGTCTTGTGTCACCTCAGACTTTTCTTGTAGGAAATAATTATTCTAGTAATAGTGATTCTAGCTTTACAATGTCTGTAAGTGGTGCTTAATCAATTACCTATATATGAGAGTCTCAAGAATAAACTGTTTATTTAGTATGTCTTGTCTTCTTCCTGGGGTGCCAATTAGTCCAGCTTTCCTTGCTGAGCACTCCTGATTGCTTCTTGTAGACTGCAAAGTGAAGTTGGCTCAGCTTCTGGTTTTAATCAGTGATAGATTTATGGGGTGACAGGTCTACTCCGTCCCACTTTCTTTCTTTGGATTGGAGATGTTTTCCGAATGGGTTTTTTTTTTTTTCGTTTTATATTTTGAAAGAACTTGACAAGTTTGACCTAGAGAGTTTTTAAAGCTTTGTGAGACCAGTGTGCCTCTCTGCTTTGTAGTATTCATACCTAGACAATGGCAGCATGAAAGCTCTAGTCGGTTAAAGATTTCTCACTGCTACACCAAACACTTCATGTAAGTATTCCTTGCCATTGAATCTGTTGAGCTCTTGAATTTGGATGGAAAGATTTTGGATACGGTAAGTTCAGACAGTAAAGTGTTAATCCAAATATACATAGTTTCTGAGTTTCAGAGAATGAGGGGTATCTCAAATTTATCCATGTCTCTTTGGTTCCTAGGTATAGGTAAGAACAGTCAGATTGTAAGGCATACCCATAATTTATTTTATTGTTAAGGTGGCATCTGGTGGTGAGGTAAAAAACCCCTTTCTAGCTGGGTGCAGTGGCTCATGCCTGTAATCCCAGCACTTTGGGAGCACTTTTGGGAGGTGGATCACCTGAGGTCAGGAGTTGGAGACCAGCCTGGCCAACATGGTGAAACCCCATCTCTACTAAAAATACAAAATTAGCTGGACGTGGTGGTGCATGCCTATAATCCCAGCTACTTGGGAGGCTGAGGCAGGAGAATCGCTTGAACTTGGGAGGCAGAGGTTGCAGTGAGCCGAGATCATGCCATTGCCCTCCAGCCTGGGCAGTAGAGTGAGACTCTGTCTCAAAACAACAACAAAAACCTCCCCTTCTTACAGCTGATGCCAGGTTTGGAGTCTGTAGTTTTGTTTTTGTTTTTGTTTTGAGATGGAGTCTTGCTCTGTCACCCAGGCTGGAGTGCAGTGGCGTGATCTCTGCTCACGGGCAAGCTCTGCCTCCTGGGTTCACGCCATTCTCCTTCCTCAGCCTATAAGTGCCCGGCTAATTTTTTTGTATTTTTAGTAGAGACGGGGTTTCACCGCGTTAGCCAGGATGGTCTAGATCTTCTGACCTCGTGATCCACCGCCTCGGCCTCCCAAAGTGCTGGGATTACAGGCGTGAGCCACCGCGCCCGGCGAGTCTGTAGTTTTTGACTGTTCTGTCTCAATCTGTCTGTGCAAATCCCTTTTTAAAGCTATGCTAGGAAACTTGTTTTAATCCTTTTTTTTTGGTTTGTTTGGGGATTTTTTTTTTGGTCTTAATTTTTATTACACAGAAATAATCTCCCCAGGCTTCATATTGCTCTGAAAAAGTGTTTATAAGCCCACTAGGTATTTGTGGGGCAAGCGGGGAGTATAACGTGGCATTCTTCAAACTTAAATTTGTCATCCCTGGTGCTTTTATATTTCACCTAATTTTCTGTTCTATTGCCCTGATCTGTCAGCCTTTTAAGCCTCTCCTAGAGGTCCCCAGGCAACCCCCAGAGAGAATATTTTCTCCTCCCTTTCTAGCTTTCAGGGTTGTCTTTGAGGCACTTGCCAGGTTTTCCTGTTAGTTCAAGAGAATGCTGACTTTACTGTATTGAGATTCAGGTAAAGCCACAGGAAAAAATCAGCTAAATTATTATTTTTGATCAAGAAGGAGCAAGGACAGAAAAGGATAGGGAGAGAGATCGCAAGAAAACTGTGCCGTAGTTCCTCTACTAGTGTATTTTTTGTCAGCTCCAAAGCTTAGTCACTACTACTCTCCAGTCTTTGACCCCTTGCCCCAACTTCTAAAGTCTATTCTTTTTTCTTTGCTGTTCTGTTTCTGCCAGGCTTATTCTTTTTCATTTCAGTTCTCTCTCTCCTTGTACCTTTTCAAGGTTTTGAGCTGTCTTCCCAGACTAAGGCCTCCTTACCTATTCCTGATGTTGCTGGTAAGGCAATGTTTTCCTTGGTCTTATAGCCCATCTTTACCTTTTAATCAGAATCAGTCACTGTTTTTCTGTAACTCCTGACTTCCCAGTCTGCAAACAAGTTATTTTTGTAGAAGAATAGCAAAGTTAATCCTTGAGTGCCAACCACACTTCAAGTATCATGCTATGTGCTTTACATGCATTTCTATTATTATTAGTCATCATAAGAACCCTGTTATCCTCATTTCTCAGATGGGGCAAGGAACGGCCAAGTAACTGCGATCACACAGCTAGAACTGGGTGGATTCGGGAATCAAATCCACTTCATGTATCAAAGAATAGGGTTTTTATTATGTCCTTTTCACTTTTCTAGAATAGCAAACCACCATTAATTACCTTTCTGATAAACCACACTGCCTCCCCCTATCAAGTATCTGGGTGCTGATTCACAGCACAAATTGCAGCAAATTGTTCCAAAGTAGCAGCCTACCCCCAGGGAGGAAAGGGAGCCCTTTTTGACTGCCTAGACTAGATTTTGTCATTGTAAAATGAATAAATATGCATGGTAGCAGATGAAAATTGGAATAGAGGATACATAAAGTGAAAAATAAGTCTTTCTCTCACTCTGAACTTCCAGTTCTGCACTTTTCCTTTCCCATAATAACCATTGCATGTTTAGTTACTTGTGTGTTCTTCCAAAGCATCTATTTATATATAGGCATTTATATCTATCTGTGGTTTAACACAAAAATAGAAACATGCAGTACATACTCTTCTGCACCATGATTTTTTTTCACTTAATATTTTAAAGAACATTCTATATCAATACAAGTAGGTTTGTTACATTCTTTTTAATATTTTATTGAGGTATAATATACATAGAAGAATGTGAATATGTCAGATGTACAACTCAACTAATTAATTTTCACAGGCTGAGCACATCCATGTAACCAGCACCTGGATTGATAAATGGAAATTACCAGCACATCAGGCTTTTTTGTTTGTTTTGGTTTGTTTTGAGACAGCGTCTCACTTGTCACTCAGGCTGGAGTGCAGTGGCATGATCACGGCTCACTGCAGCCTCAACCTCCCAAGGCTGGTCTTGAGCTCCTGGGCTCAAGTGATCCTCCTGCCTTGGCCTCCCAAATTGCTGGGATTACAGGTGTGAACCACTGTGCCTGGCCAGCATATTCTTTTTAATGGCATTATGGTATTCCATGTAAATGAGTATTATTTAACAAATCTTTTATTAATAGATATTTAGGTTGTTTTCAGTCTTCTGCTTTTATGAATATTACTACAGTGAAATGCCTTATATATAGATCTCTGTACCTTGTACAAGTATATTTTTAGGATAAGTTACTGGAAATAGAATTGCTGGGTCAAAGAATATACATTTAAAATTTTGTGTATTGCAAAGTTGTCTTAAAAGAAGTTGTGTACCATTTTAAATGTCCTCCAACAATGTACAGAGTATAAATACATCAGATTGATTTCTAAAAGTTCCCCACAGGGGAGGTTAGATATTCTCATCTGCAGGGAGAGTACAGAGAAATAACAATCCTTTTTTGTGGTTAGCAATTACAAGGGCCTTTGCCTCCCTCATTGTGAATTTGCCCTTTCTGTTTACCCGTATTAGTTTCAAACTTTCTGTCTCTATCCCAGTGGGAGGATGGAAGATGGACAGTCTCTCTGGGTTTCTTCTTGATTCCAGGTAGCTGTGGACCCAGTCCTTAATTAGTTTGGTGGATACTGCCTAGGAAAAGAAATGATAGCCACTGTGTGAGGCCAACAGGTTGATCTTTGCACCTGCCTGGTTCCCAGAGAACCTGAGGTAAGGATGGCTTGAGCCTAGTTCTTTGGCTGCTGTGGATGTACTTGCTTGTCAGTGTCTGGACTGGCCAGGTCTGGGTTGGTATAGTAGCCCCTTCAGATAAAGGAGCTTTGGAGGGGTGAATTGGCCCACCCAGAAACAGAGGGGATCTGTGAATAGCTATTAGACCCCAAGTGGTATGGTAAGTCCTTTATAGGAAAATGAGAAAAAGGGTTTTACTACCTTTCTTGGGCTGAGGAGGAAGATAACCTGAGGTCATTGAACCAAGTAGTGCTTTCCAAATCAGTGCATCTGCCTTTTTAAAAATTAAGATATAATTCACATATAAAATTCACCATTTAAAGCAGGGGTTCCCAGCCCTGGGCAGGGACTGGTACCAGAACCGGGCTGCAGAGCAGGAGGTGAGCGGCAGGGGAACAAGTGAAACTTTGTTTGTGGGGTTTTTTTTGTTTTTTTTTTTGTTTGTTTATTTTTTTGAGACAGAGTCTTGCTCTGTCACCCAGGCTAGAATGTAGTGGTGTGATCTTGGCTCACTGCAATCTCTCCCGGATTCAGGTGATTCTCCTGCCTTAGCCTCCCAAGTAGCTGGGATTACAGGCACCTGTCATCACGCCTGGGTAACTTTTGTATTTTTAGTAGAGACAGGGTTTTGCCATGTTGGCCAGGCTGGGATCTAGGTTGTGTACTCCTTATGAGAATCTAATGCCTGATGATCTGTTACTGTCTCCCATCATACCCAGACAGGACTGTCTGGTTGCAGGGAAACAAGCTCAGGGTTCCCACTGATTCTACATTATGATAAGTTGATAAGTTGTGTAATTACTTCATTATATATTATGATATAATAGAAATAAAGTGCAGAATAAATGTAATGCACTTGAATCATTCTGAAACCATCCCCCCACCCCTGGTCTATGGAAAAATTGTCTAACACAAAACCGGTCCTTGGTGCCAAAAAGGTTGGAGACCACTGATTTAAAATGTGCAGTTGGCTGAGTGTGGTGGCCCACACTTGTAATCCTACCACTTGGGAGGCCTGGCACTTAGGAGGCCGAGGTCAGAGGATTGCTTGAGTCTAGACCAGCCTGGGCAGCATAGTGAGACCTCCCACATCTCTCTAAAAATAATAATAAATAAAAATAGAAAGCCAAAGTAAATTCAGTGGTTTTTATTATATTTAAAAGGCTGTGCAACTATTAACGTCATCTAATCCCAGGGCCTTTTCATTATCCCAGAAAGAAACCCCATTCCCGTTAGCAGTCACTCCCCCATTCCCTCCTTCCCTCCTTCCCCTCAGCCTTAGGCAGCCATCAACCTGCTTTCTCTAGGGACTTTCCTCTTCTGGAGATTTCATATACATCAAGTCACATAATATGTGGCCTTTTGTGTCTGTTTCTTTCACTTAGCATAATGTTTTTAAGGTTCACTCGTGTTGCAGTATATATCATCAGTACTTCTGTTTCTTTTTATGGCCAAATGATATTCCAGTGTATGGATATATTACATTTGTTTATTCCTTCATCAGTTGATGGGCATTTGAGTTGTTTCCATTCTTCAGCTATTAATAATGGTGCTATGAACCTCCATGTGCACATTTTTGTGTGGACATATGTTTTCATTTCTCGGTATATATAGCCAGGAATGGAATTGCTGGGTCATATGGTAACTGTTTTTTTTTTTTTTAATTGTAAAAAAAAAAAACATGAAATATACCATCTTAATCATTTTTAAGCATATAGTTCAGTAGAGTTCAGTATATTCACATTTTTGTAAAACCAATCTCTAGAACTTTTTCATTTTGCAGATCTGAAACTCTACTCATTAAACAATACGTCCCCTTTTTCTCCTCCCTTCATCCCTTGATAACCACCATTCTACTTCCTTTTTCTATGCATTTGGCTACTTTAGATACCTCATACAAGTAGAATCATAAAATACTTGGTGTTTTGGACTGGCTTATTTCATAATGTCCACAAGGTTTATCCATGTTGGAGCACGTGACAGTATTTACTTCCTTTTTTAAGGCTAAATAATATTTTATTTTGTGTGTATATCACATTTTGTTTATCCATTCACCTATTGATGGACATTTGAGTTATTTCTACCTCTTGTTATTGTGAATAATGCTGCTATGAAAATGGGTGTGCAAATATCTCTTTGAGACCGACCATGCATTCGATTCTATTTTTTGAGATGGAATCTCACTCTGTCGCGTGGGCTGGAGTGCAGTGGCGTGATCTCAGCTCACTGCAAGCTCTACCTCCCAGGTTCAGGCAATTCTGTCTCAGCCTACCGAGTGGCTGGGACTACAGGTGTACACCACCATGCCCGGCTAATTTTTGTATTTTTTTTTTTGGTAGAGACAGGGTTTCACCATATTGGTCAGGCTGGTCTCAAACTCCTGACCTCAGGTGATCCACTTGCCTCGGCCTCCCAAAGTGCTGGGATTACAGGCATGAGCCACCACACCTGGCCAATTCTTTTGGATGTATATCCAGTTACAGGATTGGTGGATCACATGGTTATTGTATTTTTAATTTTTTGAGGAATTCTCACGCTGTTTTCCATGGCGGTTGTACCATTTTACATTCTCGCCAACAGCGCTCAAGTCTTCCAATTTCTCACATTCTTGCCAACATTTGTTATTTTCTCTTTGTGTGAGTGTGTAGGTGTTTGACAGTAGCCATCTTGATGAGTGTGAGATAATACCTCACTGTGGTTTTGATTTGCTTTTTCTGGTGATTAGTGATGTTGAGCATCTTTTCACGTGCTCGTTGGCCATTTGTTTTATCATCTCTGGAAAAATGTATTTCAAGTACTCGAGTTATTTGATTTTTTTTTGTTGTTGAGTTATAAGCATTCTTTTTCGTTTGTTTTTTTGAGACAGAGTCTTGCTCTTTCGCCCAGACCAGAGTGCAGTGGAGCGATCTCGGCTCACTGCAATCTCCATCTCCTGGGTTCAAGCACTCTTCCCACCTCAGCTGGGATTACAGGCGTGTGCCACCACGCCTGGCTAATTTTTGTACTTTTTAGTAGAGATGGGGTTTCGCCATGTTGGCCAGGCTGGTCTCGAAACCCTGACTTCAAATGATCCACCTACCTCAGCCTCCCAAAGTGCTGGGTTTACAGGCATGAGCCACTTGCACCCGCCTGAGTTATAAGCATTCTTTATTTGTTCTTGATATCACCCCCTTTTCAGATACATTATTTGCAAATACTTCCATTCTGTGATTTATTTCTGCTTTTTTACTCTTTTGATTGTATCTTTTGATACACAAAAGTTTTTAAGTTTGATATAGTCCCAGTTGTCTATTTTTTCTTTTGTTGCCTGTGCCTTTGGTGTCATAGCCAAGAAATCATTACCAAGTCCAGTGTCATGAGGCTTCTCTTCTGTTTTCTTCTAGGAGTTTTATAGTTGAGGGTCTAACATTTAGGTCTTTAATCCATTTTGAGTTAATTTTTGTATATTGGTATAAGATAAAGATCTAGCTGCTGTCTTTTGCATGTGGGTATCCAGTTTTCCCTTTGTTTTCTTTTTGAAGAACTATCAAATTGTTTTCCATAGGTAGCTACACCATTTTCCACTCCTTCAAGTAGTGTGAGGATTCCATCTGTTATTGCCTGTCTTTTCTATCAGCAACTACAATTTTTTTTGTATTTTTTAATTGTAAAATATATATAACATAAAATTTGCCATTATAGACATTTTTTAGTGCACACTTTAGTTGCTTTAAGTACATTCACAGTGTTGTAGGTTGGGCATGGTGGCTCATGCCTGTAATCCCAGCACTTTGGGAGGCGGAGGTGGGAGGATTGGCTGAGGCCAGGAGTTTCAGACAGTGTTGTATAACCGTCACTACTATCTATTTCCAGGACTTTTTCATTATCCCAAACAGAAACACTGAACCTGTTAAACAATAGCTCCCTATTACCCCCTCCCCTCAGCCACTAGTAACCGCATTCTACTTTCTGTCTCTGTGAGTTTGTCTATTCTAGATCCTTCATATAAGTGGAACCATAATTTTTTTTTCTTTTTGGTCCAGCTTCTTTTGCATAGCATAGCGTTTTAATGGTTCGTCGATATTGTAGCATGATGAAAATTTCCTTTGTAAAGCTCAAATATTCCATTCTATGTATTTACCACATTTTGGTTATCCATTCTTCTGTTGATGGACATTTGGGTTGTCTCCATCTCTTGGTTATTGTGACTAATGCTGTGATGTACAAAGGTTCTGACATCCCCACATCCTTGGCAATACTGTTTTTAATTTTTTTGAGACAGAGTCTCGCTCTGTCACTCAGGCTGGAGTGCAGTTGTATGAACATGGCTCACTACAACCTCAACCTGGTCTCAAACAACCCTCCTTCCACAGCCTCTTGAGTAGCTGGGACCATAGGCACGCGCCACCACACCTGGCTAATTTTTTAATTTTCTGTAGAGATGAGGTCTTGCCAAGTTGCCCAGGCTGCTTTCGAACTCCTGGGCTCAAATAATCCTCTTGCCCCGGCCTCCCAAAGTGCTGGGATTACAGGTGTGAGCCACCATGCCTGGCCTATTTTCCTTTTTTTTAAATGTGATAATAGCCATCGTAATGGGTATAGTTTTGATTTCCATTTTGCTAGTGACTAGTAATGGTGAGCATCTTTTCATGTGCTTATTGAGTATTTGTGTTTCTTCTCTGGAGAACTGTCTATTTACTTCCTTTCCCATTTTTACATTGGGTTGTTGAGTTTTTTTTTATATATTCTGGATATTAATCCCTTATTGGATATGATTTGCACATTTTCTCCCATTTTGTTGCCTTTATTATATCCATCCTGGTGAGTGTGAAGGGGTGTATCACTGTGGTTTTGATTTGCCTTTCCTTAATGACTAATGAACATCTTTTCATGTCTTATTGTATATTTATTCTTCTTCGGAGAAATGCCTGTTTCTCCAAATCTTTTTCCCATTTAAAAATAGCTATTTATCTTTTTATTGAGTTGTAAAAGTTATTTATATATTCTGGATACTAGACCCTTATTAAGAGATATGATTCACAAATATTTTTCCCATTCTGTGAGTTGTCTGATCACTTTCTTCACAGTGTTTTCTGAAGCATAAACATTCTAATTTTGCTGAAGTTCATTTTATCTATTTTTTTCTTTTGTTGCTTGTACTTTTAAGTGTCATGTCAAGGAAACCGTGACCTAATTCAAAGTCACAAAGATGTGTACCTATGTTTTCTTCTAAGAGCTTTAAAATTTTAGCTCTTAAATTTAGGCATTTGATTAATTCGGAGTTAATGTTTGTATTTGAGATTTGAGATAGGGGTCCAAACTCATTCTGTGCTTATGGCTATCCACTTGTCTGAGCACCATTTTTTGACAAGACTATTCTTTCCCCTAGTGAATTGTTTTGGAACCTTAGTCAAAAATCAGGTGACCGTAATCGTATGGGTGTATTTCTGGACTGTCAATTCTGTCCATTGATCTATATATCTGACCTTATTCTAATACTACATTGTCTTTATTCCTGTAGGTTTGTGTTGTAAATTCTGAAACTATGAATTGTGAGTCTTCCAACTGTTAATATGAAATATTACATTGATTTTTCATATGTTGAACCAAGCTGGCATTCCTGTGACAAATTCCACTTGGTCATGATTTATAATCCTTTTTATATATGGCTGGATTTGGTTTGCCAATATTTTCTTGAGGATTTTTGCATCTCTTTTCATAAAGGAATATTGATAGTTTTTTGTGATGTCTTTGGTTTTGATACGGAGGTGATAGTGGCTACATAGAATGTTCCTTCCTCTTCTATTTTTTGAAAGAGTTTGAGAAGGATTGGTGTTAATTCTCTTTTATATTTGGTAGAATTTCCCAGTTGTAGTAAGTTGAATAGTGTGCTTCCCCAAAATTTGTGTCCACGTAGAACCACAGAATGTTACTTTACTTGAAATAGGGTCTTTGCAGATTTGATTAGTTACAGAGAGATCATATTACATTAGGATGTACCTTAAATCCATTGACTCATGTCCTTATAAGAAGAAGAGAGGACAAAGAAAAATACAGAAAACAAGACCAAAGAGATGGTGGCAGAGATTGGAGTGATGCACCTGTAAGCCAAACAATGCCAAGAATTGTCGAGAGCCACCAGAAGCTAGGAAGAGGGGAGGAAGGACACTTCCCTAGACCCTTCAAAAGGAAGCATGGCCCTGCTGACACTTTACACCTTGATTTCAGACTTCTAGCTTCCAGAACTGGAAGAGAATAGATTTTTGTTTTAAGCCACCAAGTTTGTGTTACAACAGCTGTAGGAAACTCAAATACTAGTGAAGCCAATGAGAAACATAGGCACCTAACACCTAATCTGGCTCTGGGGTTTTCTTTGTGGTAAGTTTTTTGAATTACTAATTCAGTCTCTTTACTTACTCTTGGTCTGTTCAGATTTTCTATTTCTTCGAGTCAATTTTAGTAGTTTGTATCTTTCTAGGAATTTTAAATTTCATCTAAGTTATTCTCATTTGTTGGTATATAATTGTTCATTGTATTTTGTAGTAATTCTGATTTCTATAAGGTTCGTAGTAACATTCTGCTTTCATTCCTGATTTTAGTAATTTGTTTTTATTTTTATTTTTCTTTTTTAGCAAATCTCAGACCTGTATGAGATGACTTTTGTAATTTGAGTCTTTTTTTCTTTGTCACTGTAGCTAAAAGTTTGTCAATTTTATTGATCATTTCAAACAAATCCAACTTTTGGATTTATTAATTTTTCTGTTATTTTTCTATTCATTTACGTATGTTCTTCATTCTTTCCTTCTGCTTCCTTTGGTTTTAGTTTGCTCCTCTCTACACTTTCTTAAGGTGAAAAGTTAGATTATTGAATTGAGATCTCTTTTTTTAATGTGGGCATTCATAGCACCACTTTTGTTGCCTCCTATAAATTTTGGTATATTGTATTTTTGTTTTCATTCATCTGAGTTTCCTAGTTGCCCTCGTGATTTCTTCTTTGAACCGTTGGTTATTTAGGAGTTTGTTAATTTCCATATACTGGTGAATTTTCTGAATTTATTTCTGTATTGATTTGTAATTTCATTCCAAGTGATCAGAGGACATAGTTTGTATAATTTTAGTGTTTTAGTTTAAGTTTATTGAGAGTTGTTTTGTGACTGAACATATCCTGGAATGTGCTGCATGTGCACTTGAGAAGAATGTATATTCTGTTTTTGTTGGGTGGTGTGTTCTATAGATGTCTGTTAGGTCTAGTCGTTTTATAGAGCTGCTGAAGTCTTTTGCTTCCTTGCTGATCATTTAATTATTCTCTCCATTATTATAAATAGAGTTCTGAAGTCTCCAGCTATTATTGTTATTTATTCCTTTAGTTCTGTCCATTTTTCTTCATTTTTGAGATTCTTTTGTTAGGTACATATGTTTCTAATTGCTATTTCTTGATGGATTGACCTTTTCATCATTATATAATATCCTCCTTTTTCTCTAGCAATGAATTTTGTCTTAAGGTCTATTTTGTCTTACTATGCATGTGGCCTTGTAGAGTCCAGGAATATGTTAGAGGTTTTCAGAGTTTCTATGGAAATCTTATTCCCCTGCTTTTCCTCAAGATTTTTGATTAGTCTCTTATTTGCCCCCAAGTGTTATCCATCATCTCAGGCAGCCTCAAACTTAAAACACTTACCTGTCATTGTTTTTGACAAATGCCCTCTGTGAAAAGTTTTATACTTGGGGAGCTCCCAGTCAGGTTAAACAGACAGCCCTGAAAGTGGGTTTTGCATGGAATCAACAGCCAGGTCAAATAATGACAATTCTTTGGGAATGAGGCTTTGAAAGAGCTCCAGCTCCATTCTACCAGCTACCTCGGTTTTCAAGACTACCTTGTAACTAGAGAGTGGGGGATTGGACTAGGCCAAGTTAAAATGCTGCAAAGCTTTGGGAGGCCGACGCGGGCAGATCACGAGGTCAGGAGATTGAGACCATCCTGGCTGACATGGTGAAACCCGGTCTCTACTAAGAATACAAAAAATTAGCTGGGCGTGGTAGCGGGTGCCTGTAGTCCCAGCTACTCGGGAGGCTGAGGCAGGAGAATGGTGTGAACCCGGGAGGCGGAGCTTTCAGTGAGCGGAGATTGCGCCACTGCACTCCAGCCTGGGAGACAGCGAGACTCCGTCTCAAAAAAGAAAAAAATGAATAAACAAACAAAAAACGCTGCAAAGCTAGGTGTTTTGAGATTCAGCTGTTTTTCTTAAGTAAATACACCCTGGTTTGCTATAAGCCTTTGATTAGTTTCCAGAGTTCTGAAAAGGTTGATTCTGACATTTTTTGCCAGTTCTTTCATTGCTCTTATGAAGGAGAGTTTTCAGAGCTCCTTACTTTGTTATTTTTCACTGACATAGTCCAGTGCGTTACACAGGTGTGAGGGTAGGCACTAGGACAGCAGTGCCTTCCTGAATCAGTAGTGCCAAGCTTGTCCAAGAGTTACCGAGTCAGGAAGAAGCAGGTGACATCCCTCCTAAGTGGAGATATACAAAACTTAAGCTCTTCTATTTCTCAAAGGAAAAGGAGAGAGGAGGAAACCATTATTCTTTGTTCATTTGCATGCTAGGTGCATGTACTATCTTATTTAAGCCTCACTACAACCTTTATGAGGTAGGAGGTATTGTCCTCATTTTACAAATGAGGGAATAAAGTGCCACAGGCCACAAAACTGCTAAGTGACATACTTAGGATTCAGACTTGAAAAGGCCATTCTCTTTTCACCATGTTTTCCATTTGCTGGTTCACTGTGTGACTGCTACATTTCATCATGTTTTCTCATTTCATCGTCACTCAGCCCTTTTTTTTCTTTTTATTTATTTATTTATTTATTTTGAGACAGGGTCTCCCTCTGTCGCCCAGACTGGAGTACAGTGGTGCAATTTTGGCTCACTGCAGACTTGACCTCCTGGGCTCAAGCAATCCTCCCACCTTAGCCTCCCAAATAGCTAGGACCCAAGCATGTGCCACCATGCCCAGCTGATTTTGTTCATTTTTTTGTAAAGAGGAGGTCTCACTATGTTGCCCAGGGTGGTCTCAAATTTCTAGGCTCAAGGGATGGATCCTCCTGCCTGGACCTCCCAAAGTGCTAGGATTATAGGCGTGAGCCACCACACCCGGCCCGTTCAACCCTTTCAGGTAGATTTTATTATTCTCATTTTACAGAAGAGGAAACAAGCTGAGCGGTTAGGCCTCTTCCCCAGGTTATAATGTAAGTAGGACAGAGTCACTTCTGCTGGACTCCTTCACCCATACTTTTAGCCAAAATGCAGTACTGCCTCAGTAGGCCTAGGATTGCCACACATCCTCTCATGCTCATCCGCTTCTGGGGACCAGCATATGCTGTTTCCCAGCAAGGAAGCCGTTTTTATGTGGTGTCTGAAGTCCTAGAGTGACCAAGGTCAAAATAAATCCTCCTGGCTACCCATGTCTTGATGTATAGTAGAAAGAGCACTAGATTAGGAATTCTGGCTTGGCCACTGAATTTGGCCCTCTGACAACTTGTACCTTTTAGAGCCTGTTTTTCTCATCTATAACTGGCCTTCAGAATAGGGTTTACAAAGAAGAAAGTATGTGCATTTCACTTTTCTTATTTCTTTTAAATTTGTTAAGTGTGTCTTATGAATTTATAGTGGTTCACGTACATAATTTGTTAATAAGTATACATATATGGGATGTGTCTGTTACTAATGGATGGTGTTTACTAATGGGGTGCCCCATGAAAGCAGTTTGATGACCACTGGCTTATGAAGTAAGGGATTTTGGCTACAGTCTGTTTCAGTGCCAGTACTCATTATTTATCAGAAAAGCTTCTTGCGTTTGGATTGAAAACTTAGCAGTGTTAACTCTTTGTCTACTGTTAACCTCAATGTCTTTGGTTATCTTTCCCCCCGCTTTTTTTTTTTTTGAGACAGTTTCCCTCTTGTTGCCCAGGCTGGAGTGCAATGGCGTGATCTCGGCTCACCTCAACCTCCGCCTCCTGGGTTCAAGTGATTCTCCTGCCTCAGCCTCCTGAGTAACCGGGACTACAGGCATGCACCACCACGCCCAGCTAATTTTGTATTTTTAGTAGAGACGAGGTTTCTTCATGTTGGTCAGGCTGGTCTCGAACTCCCGACCTCAGGTGATCCGTCCGCCTCAGCCTCCCAAAGTACTGCTGGGATTACAGACGTGAGCCACCGCACCCGGCCTTTATCTTTCATTTTTTTTCATGTATTTTCCTTTATTTTAATCACTTTATCCAGAAACATATCCTCGTCTTGACAGTGCTGTGGTGCCTGTGGTTTCCAGAAGCTGGGTGTGCTGTGTGTCTGTGGTTTGAGGAAGTTGCCCATGGAACTGACAGAGGAAGCAGAGTAGTCGTTGCCATTTTTCAGCCTAGTAGGCAGGATCAGGGACCCCATCTTGCTCTCTTTGCCTTGAACCACAATTAGAATAAAACACCAAAGCCCTGACTGATCATGATCATAGCAATCCGATCTTTATGATCATGGCCAGACCATTCTCAGGTCGTCTTTACCCTAAGATATCAATCACTGGGTATGACAACCTAGACCTAAGGGTGCACTCTGGGTAGTAAAGATGATTAACTCTCCCAAAGGAATCTAAGGAATCCAGAGCAACACGAATCACTGCTCTCTTCCTATAGGGTAAACCTCCCAAGACTCCAGTCCCTGTGAGGAGGCTCTGCCCGCCTGCCCTTCCCAGGGTTCCAGGCTCCACATTGGGAGGTGTACACAGTGCTCTTCGCTCTTCATTGCCTTGTGTATGATCCCTTTTCCCATCTTTGCATAAATGCTGTCCCTCTCACCATCTTTAAAAGAGTTCTGGGTAATTATTTACCAAAGGTGGTATAATGCTGTCACAGTCCCTGCTAGTGAGACATCTGATACAACTGATGGAATCAGTTCAACAAAATGCAGTAAAATTTTATTTAATGTACTACGGAGAAAGAAAAAATGCTACCAGTTATAAGATGCATCCTGATTTCAGATATTAAAATGGAAAAAATGTCTTAAGATCTGTGAAAAATGTAGCTTCCTTTCCCACCTCTCAAGTGGGAGAGCAAAAACTGGACAGACTAGAAATGCCAGGGGCTAGCTGAGAACCTTACAGAATGAGCAACTGCGGAAGCCACAGGTAACACCGAGATGTAGATCAGCTGCCAGGGACAAGACAAAGAATGTTTTCTAAAGTAAATCCTCTTACCAGTATGTTATTGAAATCAGTCCTTATTGGCATCGAAGAAGGTGAAAGTGCTACTTGCCTGTTGCCTACAGAGACTGGAGGAATGACAAATGTTTATTTTAATTCAACAAGTAGAGGAATACCTGCTATGTGAAGGAGTTGTGGCAATTCATAAAATTAATATATTTTTTGAAGTTTGTAGTTTTCAATAATAATTTCTTATCTAAAATGTAACAAGTTAATTATATTATCGAATAAACCTCAATTTCGTAGTACTAACAACATCAACACTTACAGAAAAAGGAAAGTCACTCAACTCCCACATGTAAACAGACTTTAGAAGCAGTTGCAGAGGTTTTCTAAATTATCCCTGAATTCCTATCACATGACTATTTTTCTCAGACATGTTGACCTTCACCTACACAGATGACTCACATATGTTTCCATAAGCTGGCAGTAAGTTTAAGAAGCATACCATGCCCTGAGGAAAAAGAAGTAATGTTAGCTCTTCTACTCTTGGCCAAAGAACCTAATTCTGTATATTACTTCTGTCTTTGGTTTGGCTATTATAGACAATAAATTATTGATCTGATTATAATTGAGAAAAGTAAGCTCTTCTAAAGAAGTAAAATATGGATCTAGGGAAAGGAAGTTAGCTCCCAGAGCATTTACAATTTCCCAGGAATTCTGTGACTTTACCAACCCTAGGCAGTGCTGATACTTTAAAAGCATTCATTTCACTTGCTTTTTTTTGGCTCACCCCCTATCCCCCAGGTATACAGTACTCTTACATAATTGTGGAAGAATCTTACAAGGGGGTAATGTAGATCAGACTTTCCTGCTTTCATTTTTAACCTCCCTAAATTATAAATATTTATTTTGTAGGTATTATAGCTGCAAATGTCCTTGTATTCTGTTTATGGAGAGTACCTTCTCTGCAGCGGACAATGATCAGATATTTCACATCGAATCCAGCCTCAAGTAAGTCTAACTTGTGTGAATTTATTTTAAGGTAGAAATAATATGAAAGAAATATGCTTTAGTTAATGGAAGTGCTGTAAAAAAGACGAATTACCTATCAATAGCTACAAGCAAAATGCAGAGGATAGGCTGTAAGCTCCTTCACTGAGGACAGGGACCTCACCTCTCTTTTTCTTTTTCTTTGTTTTTTTTGAGACGGAGTCTTCCTCTGTTGCCCAGGCTGGAGTGCAGTGGTGCAGTCTTAGCTCACTACAACCTCCACCTCCCAGGTTCAAGTGATTCTCCTGCCTCAGCCTCCCTAGTAGCTAGGATTACAGGTGCCCGCCACCACACCCAGCTAGTTTTTGTATTTTTAATAGAGACAGGGTTTCACCGTGTTGGATAGGCTGTTCTTGAACACCTGACCTCAGGTGATCTGCCTGGCTCGGCTGGAGTGCAGTGGCGTGATCTCAGCTCACTGCAAGCTCCGCCTCCCGGGTTCATGCCATTCTCCTGCCTCAGCCTCCTGAGTAGCTGGGACTACAGGTGCCCGCCACCACGCCCCGCTAATTTTTTTGTATTTTTAGTAGAGACGGGGTTTCAACATGTTAGCCAGGATGGTCTCGATCTCCTGACCTCGTGATCCGCCCGCCTCAGCCTCCCAAAGTGCTGGGATTATAGGCGTGAGCCACTGCGCCCGGCCAATTTACTTTTTATTTTATTTTATTTTATTTTTTGAGACAGGGTCTTGCTCTGTTGCCCAGGCTAGAGTGCAGTGATACGATCTTGGCTCACTGCAACCTCTGCTTCTCAGGCTCAACTGATCCTCCCACCTCAGCCCCCAGGAGCTGGGACTACAGGTGCATGCCACCATGCCCAGCTAATTTTTTTTGTTTTTAGTGCAGATGAGGTCTTGCCATGTTGCCCAGACTGCTTATTTTTTTCTAATCAACTTTTGCCATAAGGACAAGTTGCTTTCATTGAACTGAGAGTTTTTATTGGTTGCTTACTAAGTAGAAAAGAGATTTATTAAGACAGCTTTTTGTCACTTTTAAAAATGATGTCTTAAGCTGGGCATAGTGACTCACATCTATAATCCCAGCACTTGGGGAGGCTGAGGCAGGTGAACTGCTTGAGCTCAGGAGTTCGAGACCAGCCTGGGAAACATGGTGAAACCCCATCTCTACTAAAAATACAAAAATTAGTTGGGCATGGGGTATGTACCTGTGGTCCCAGCTACTCAGGAGGCTGAGGTGGGAGGATCACTTGAGCCCTTGAGCCTCAACTTGAGGAAGTTGAGGCTGCAGTGAGCCAAGATCGTGCCACTGCACTCCAGCCTGGGGCGACAGAGCAAGACTCTCTCCAAAAAAAAAAAAAAGTCTTAAAAATAGCTGTTTTTGTTTTCCATGTTTGTTTCATAAATTTTTTTTTTTTTTTTTTTTTTGAGATAGAGTCTCGCTCTATGGCCCAGGCTGGAGTGCAGTGGCTCAATCTTGGCTCACTGCAAACTCTACCTCCTGGGTCCAAGTGATTCTCCCGCCTCAGCCTTCCGAGTAGCAGGAATTACAAACGTGCGCCACCACACCTGGCTAATTTTTATATTTTTAATAGAGATGGGGTTTGACTATGTTGGCCAGGCTGGTCTTGAACTCCTGACTTAGTGATCCGCCTGCCTTGGCCTCCCAAAGTGCTGGGATTACAGGCGTGAGCCACTGCGTCCGGCCTAATTTTAAAAGTTTAAAATGGATAATTTTTATTGGCTGTGTGTTTCATGATTACCAGACTATGTTTCTCTCTCTTGTAGAGGTCCTTTGTTCTCCAATGTTGCTGTCAACATTCAGTCATTTCTCCTTATTTCACATGGCAGCAAATATGTATGTTTTGTGGAGCTTCTCTTCCAGCATAGTGAACATTCTGGGTCAAGAGCAGTTCATGGCAGTGTACCTATCTGCAGGTAATATGCTTTAATCTCGGGGCCTTTGAGAGTATAAGCACTCTAAGCTATCTGCAGAACGGACAAAGGGAATGATTACTGCCATATTCTACACGTAGTGAGTGCTCAGAACATATTTGTTTCTCACAGTGTATGTAGAGAAGGGAGCCACAGATTGGTGGAGATGTTGCCTTTTCTGTTCATTTTGCTGATTTCTTCTTACATATGAATTATGTGGGTATGTTTAATTTTAAGTTAGGATAAACAGGCGTTAAGTAAGGGTTAGTGTAGAATTTAAGCATGTCATTTTTGTAATCTCATCGGGCCTTGATTTCATTAGTTTAGGCCCTCCATTTTATAGATAGTGGTTCCCAGACTTCCCGGCTGCCTCAATCTCCTGGGTCTTTGTTAAATAACCTTAAGCAAGCTCATTTCCCCCAGTGTGTTCAGTTCACAGAAAGCTTTAAATCAGAGCTATACAATATGATTGTCAAGAGTGAGTTTGTTCTGTCTTCTTTGCAAGAATGTAGCAGGGAACCACTTCCTAGCCATGGTCTTGAAGATGGTATCGTTTCTTATTTCAGTTAGGAAATTCTCATGCATGAATCCAGGTCCCTAGATGCTGCTAACGTGACAGTTGGTCAAATTTTACTTACCTCTCTGTTTGTAAAATGTACTTACTTAATACAATATAAAAATTAATTTCTAAAATCTCTACATTTAGAAACAGTATATCTGGCAGTTGTGCTGTGATGTAGTGAAAAACACTAAGCTTGGCGATAGACCCAGGTTCAGATCCTATTTCTACTACCAGCTGAGTGATGTTGCAAAAATGACTAAACCTCATGATACTTACCTCCTCATGACAAGGGGTTAAAGAAAGGACTACATAAAAGCATCTACCACAAGCCCCAGAGTAGATGCTTAATTAGTGTTCATCGAATACTTATGTGTATCTAGTCCTTCAAAAAAAGAAGCTGAGCATTGTGTTTGGCTTGTAAGATAAGTGTATAGTTCTTTCCCAAGCACTAGTTATGTTGTAGTTACAGAGGGTCTGTTTCAGATACATTAATTCCTGCTCCATAGGAGGTTTTTAAAAATGAGCCACGTTGACTCAAATGGCACTGAAGCCAAAGAGACTTACGGGATCATCCAGTCTGTTGTCCCACCCCAGATATTCTGATTTCGTGTGTCTGGAGTACAGCCAGAGAATATACTCTTGGGAATGAGTCTTCATGTTATAGTTGAGGAAAATGGTAACTGAGAAGTGGAGTGAATGACCGTGTCGCTCAGCAGATCATGCAGCAGGTCAGACTTTTCATCCCCTGTAAAGTCGCTGAAATGATAGGCAGGAGAAGTATTCATGCCCGTACCCTCACAGTGATCCAGATTGAAACCCGACACTGTTTATCTGTGTAGAAATCAGAAATGAAAACCATTTTCATGGCTGGATGTGGTGCCGCACGCCTGTAATCCCAGCTACTCAGGAGGCTGGGGGACAAGAATAACTTGAACCCGGTAGGCACAGGTTGCAGTGAGCCAAAATTGTACCACTGCACTTCAGCAGCCGGGGCGAAAGAGTGAAACTCTGTCTCAAAAAAAAAAAAAAGAAAAGAAAAAAAAAAGTAAACCATTTTTATACCTCACTTAAATTATTGTAATGTGACTTGTTTTTCAGGTGTTATTTCCAATTTTGTCAGTTACGTGGGTAAAGTTGCCACAGGAAGATATGGACCATCACTTGGTGCAGTAAGTATTTCTATTGTAAATTTTTTTTAATTTAATTTTTAAATTTACTTTGAAATAAGTTTAGACTTAGAAGAATGTTGTAAAATTGATAAGAGGTTCTCATATACCCTTCACCCTACTGTTAACTAACATCGAAACCAAGAAATTAACATTGAAACAATACAGTTGACTAATTTAGAATTTATACATTTGTAAAGCTTTGTAAATGTCCGGCTATAGCTTTTAACCATTGGTCATATATATATGTTTACCAGAGCAGAGTATATCTCAGAACAGTAAGTGTGCAATCCTCGTAAACCAGAGAGCCTAATCCAGTATTGGAAGATTCTAATTATAGATTTGAATCTGGTACTTTATCCTCCTATTTAGTCAATATTGGAGTGCCTACTAGGTGCTATGCTAGAGCCTGGGGATAACAGCTGGTGAGCAAGATGATCACGATTATTTGTGTTGGTTTTAGAAAGTGGGGAACAACAACAACAAAAAAGGCTCCTGCCCTCAGAGCTCTTATATTCTGGATGCTTAAAAAAATTTTTCTTAGGCTGGATGCAGTGGTTTACACCTGTAATCCCAGCACTTTGGGAGGCCAAGGTGAGAGGATGAGCCCAAGAATTCGAAACCAGCCCTGGTAACATACCAAGATCCTATCTGTACAAAAAAATTTAAAAAATTAACTGGGGGTGGTGGCTTATGCCGGTAGTCTCAGCTACTCAGGAGGCTGAGGAAGGAGGATAGCTTGAGCCTAGGAGGTTGAGGCTGCGGTGAGCTGTGATTGTACCACTGCACCCCAGCCTGGGTGACATAGCAAGACCCTATCTCAAAAAAAAAATTTTTTTTTAAGTGTGTTTTGAGGCTGGGTGCAGTGGCTCACACCTGTAATCCCAGCACTTTGGGAGGCTGAGGTGGGCAGCTCACTTGAGGTCAGGAGTTCAAGACCAGCCTGGTCAACATGGTGAAACCCTGTCCCTCCTGAAAATACAATAATTAGCCAGGTGTGGTTGTGCATGCTTGTAATCCCAGCTACTCGGGAGGCTGAGGCAGGAGAATTACTTGAACCCAGCGGGTAGAGGTTGCAGTGAGCTGAGATTGCACCACTGCACTCCAGCCTGGGTGACAGAACAAGACCCTGTCTCACAGAACAAGACCCTGTCTCAAAGAAAAAAAATTTTTTTAAGTGTCTTTTGAGTTTAATGGCAGATTTCTGGGCACATGGAAATCTTTATGTAATATTTCCTTACACATTCAGTTTGTACTTATTTAAATACTAATTCATTTAAATGCATTCAAATAGGGAATTTCCTATTTAAAGGAACTCTAAAAAGGTCAATTTTGAAAAGAATTCTTATGTAAAATAACCATTCCCTAATTTGTATGTTCCCCAAATTTGTTTACACTTAATTTTCCTAGTGAGGCCTGTGTTCTGTCCTGTGACCACATGCTTTCTTAAGCCTCCTTCTTTCCCTTCGTGGAATGTTTATTTTCTTTATACAATTTCGCTCTGATATAATTTATATATTTCGAATCATATTGTCTACCTCATTCAACAGCTAAGCACCTAATATATGAAGGCAGTGAAGACCACTAGGATGAATCAGAGACTCAGAATTCGAATTTAGCTGGGGAGAAAACATACACACATCTAATACACACTGAAAGGAATGAGGATTCTCTAGAGGACTTTGGGGGCTCTAAGAGTGAAGAGACCTTTCTAATTAGCTGAAAGGACCTGCGAGGGCATTTTGATGTGCTCTTGGACAGCTGTTGTCCTCATCTTATAGATAAGAAACTGAAGTGCAAACTTAATGAAGTATGGCAGTAAGGTATTTGGAGTTAGAGTGGGGGTGAATCCTGGTTCTGCTACTTACGTGTGATTTCTAGGACATATTACTGAACTTCTCTGAATTTCAGTTTCCCTTTATAAAATGGGGATAACACCATCTATTTCTGAGGTGCAAAGCAAGTACATTTAGAGTGCTTAGCACAATAAGAAGCACATGGTAAGAAATGTGGACATGGTAGTTCCTGTTCAGTCATCAAAATCCTACAGCGCCGTGGTAGGATAACATTATCCCCAAATATCTTAATGAATCTGTGATTAAAATTCAAGGAAATTAAATCACCAGGTATAATGGCATTTTTAATGAGAAATCTGGGAAAAAAACACCATTAACAAAGTTGTGTTGTTACAAAATGTAAAGCGTTAGTCCTCTTGGTTTAGTGAGACGTTATAAGATGCAGGGGACAGCCAGGCACAGTGGCTCACGCCTGTAGGCCCAACACTTTGGGAGCCACGGCAGGAAGATCACTTGAGCCCAGGAGGTTTGAGACTAGCCTGGGCAACAAAGTGAGACCCCATCTCTACAAAAAATTTCAAAATTAAGCCGGGCATGGTGGCATGCACCTGTAATCCTACCTACTCAGGAGAGGTGGGAGGGTGGGAGGAATGCCTGAGCCTAGGAGGGTGAGGCTGCTGTGAGCCATGAGCATGCCACTGTGCTCCAACCTGGACAACATAGCGAGACCCCATCTCAAAAAAAAAAAAAGAAAGTTGAATGGGACTGTTAAAATATGTTTGTAAATTACTGTATTGGTACTATCCTGGATAATTTTTAAACTTTTCTGTAGAGACAGGGTCTCCCTATGTTGCCAAGGCTGGTCTCAAACTCCTGGGCTCAAGTGATCCTCCTACCTGGGCCTCCCAAAGTGTTGGGATTACTGGTGTGAGCCACTACACCCGGCCAATTGTCTTTTCTTATTCAAGTTGAGATTTTTCTGGTTCTTGATATGATGAGTGATTTTTCAGTTGAAGCCTGATCATTTTAGATATGATGAGACTTTGGATCTTATTGAAATCTGCTGTTTCAGTGGTCTTCCTCTGACACTGTTCTGATGAGGAGAGGGGGTGCCGTGACTCGTTACTGCTGGGTGTAGGAGTAGACGTCCAGGTTCCTCACTCAGCCGCCTTTGCCTCCTGAGTGATAGGGGCTCTTGTCACTGCAGGGCAGGGATGGGAGCTGAGGGCGTGCAGGCTACCTAGTGTGCCTCTGCTAATGTCGCTGTGGCTAGGAGGAGCAAGGGTGCTTCTTTCCGCTGACACCGCCTGTTAGGCGTATTGGGATGCCTCATTACAGTGTGGCAAGGGTGGGAGTCTAGGCTCTGCTCAGCCTTTGCTGGGCACCCGTTTCTCTAAATATTGTCTAAAAGGTCTCTTTTGCTAGGCTATCTTTTTTTGGTCCTTGACTAGAGAGAACATGTTGAGGGATGATCGATATGAGGCCAAAAGAAAGCCCAGGGAACTCACCACCACAACATTGATTGAATCTCAGGCTTCCTAGCTGGTCCGCTTTCCTCTCTCTTCCTTTCACAGTCCTCTTACATTTGTTTCATATGTAACACCCAGGGTCTTTAGCTGTACTTAGCTTTTGTAAGCAGAGGGAGCAGATTCACTTAAATTATAATACCAAATAAAGTTAAAAAACATAAGTATGATAGATTTGAAGATTATATAGATACAGAAAAATGTTTGTGAGCCCAGGCGCAGTGGCTCACAACTGTAATCCCAGCACTTTGGGAGGCCGAGGTGGGTGGATCACTTGAGGCCAGGAGTTCGAAACCAGCCTGGCCAACATGGTGGAACCCCATCTCTACTAAAAATACAAAAATTAGCTGGGCATGGTGGTGTGTACCTGTTAGTCCCAGCTACTTGGCAGGCTGAGGTGTGAGAATTAACTTGAACCTGGGAGGCGGAGGTTGCAGTGAGATCGTGCCACCGCACTCCAGTTTGGGCAATAGCGAGACTCTGTCTCAAAAAATATATGTTTATGAAATAAGTAAAAAAAAATCAGATGTGCATATTGATTACAGGTATATAACCAGTACATAAAAATATTGATGGAGAACAAAAGACCTTCACCTCTTCCCATGGACCCACACCTCTTAGGTCTGTTGGATCAGGGTTCATGACTCACTGTACTTAAACTGTGTATGAATGTGAGCGTTTTCTGAGAAGAGAAGGGTTCATTTTCATTAAATTCTTCTTTCTGACTCGAAAAAGTGAAAAAAGTCTCTCTGCATGGGAGTAAGCCCAAATATTTGTCAAAAAACAAGTTGTGATTTATTCAGACATATAAATATTTAAATTTATATAAAAGCCACATCGAGAAAATTCTAGAAGGATGATGGAACTGTGTATGTAATAATTACAATAAGTTATAATCACAAAAAAACCAGCGTTCCATGGAATTGTACAGATAACGACAATTTTTTTTAACAGATGGAGAATAATCATCTATGGAATAGTAGTTTAGAAGAACTTCATAGAATTTTTTTTTTTTTTTTTTTTTTTTTTTTTTGAGATGGAGTTTCGTTCTTGTTGCCCAGGCTGGAGTGCAAAGGTGCGATCTCGGCTCGCTACAACCTCTGCCTCCCGGGTTCAAGCAATTCTCCTGCCTCAACCTCCTGAGTAGCTGGGATTACAGGCATGCACGACCATGCCCAGCTAATTTTGTATTTTTAGCAGAGACTGGGTTTCTTCATGTTGGTCAGGCTGGTCTCGAACTCCAGACCTCAGGTGATCTGCCCGCCTCAGCCTCCCAAAGTCCTGGGATTACAGGTGTAAGCGACTGTGCCTGGCAGAACTTCATAGAATTTTAATGCTCTTTCATATCAACTAATCAAATTATATTTGCTTCATTTTGGGGAAACGTGTAATTTTGATTTGTTTTGGGGTTTTTTTGAGATAAAGTGTCACTCTGTCGCCCAGGCTGGAGTACAGTGGCTCAATCTTGGCTCACCACAACCTCAGCCTTCCGAGTAGCTGGGACTACAGGCGCCCACCACCACGTCTGGCTAATTTTTGTGTTTTTAGTAGAGACGGGGTTTCACTATGTTGGCTAGGCTGGTCTTGAACTCCTGACCTCAGGTGATCCACCTGCCTCGGCCCCTCAGAGTGCTGGGATTACAGGCGTGAGCCACCGTGCCCGGCTACAATTATAGTCTCTTGCACAGAAGCCAGCTTGGTCAAAATTCAGGTCTTCTTGGGTCCTCCTTTTGAGGAGTGTTCATGCTGTCCTTCCATCTTGCAGTTACCCTGACTTCTAAGAATGCAACCCGAGCTTGTTTCCCTGTTGAGGCCACTTGGCAGTTATATGAGGGACTGGGGACATCTGAGATCTCTGGGACTCATAATAATTTTCTTTAAAGTTTTAGTAATTCCCCAAATGTAAGATAATCTTGTATTCTGAAGCAACCCGTCACATAGAAGACATTAAGAAAACATTGATTAAGAGAGGTAGATGCTATTTTCCAGAAACAACCGTTTTTATATGAAAAGGTAGGAACCTTTCTTTTTAATGATAGGGGCTTCTTTCAAAAGTTATTTTGCTCTTAGGTGTCTTTTTTTTTTTTTTAAACATCTCATTCATAAATAATTAAAAACTTATGGAAAGTTGCAGGAAATAGTACAGAGGACTCCCATAAAGTCTTTTTTGTTTGTTTGTTTTGTTTTGTTTTGAGACAGAGTCTCGCTGTTTTACCCAGGCTGGAGTGCAGTGGGACAATCTCGGCTCACTGCAACCTCTGCCTCCCGGGTTCAAGCAATTCTCGGGCCTTAGCATCCTAAGTAGGTGGGATTATAAGCATCCGCCACCACGCCCAGCTAATTTTTTTTTTTTTTTTTTTTTTTGTATTTTTAGTAGAGACGGGGTTTTACCACGTTGGTCAGGCTGGTCTCAAACTCCTGACCTCAGGTGATCCACCTGCCTCGGCCTCCAAAAGTGCTGGGATTATAGGCGAGAGCCACTGCACCCAGCCCCATGTAGTCTTTTTAAAAAGCAGGCAACTCAGGTTTACTAGTTAACATGCAAAAAACTGCACATATTTAAAGTTTGGTAAGCTTTGACATGTAGACACCCGTGAAACCATCACCACACTCAAGATCATGGACATATTCATCCCAAAAGCTTCCTAGTGGTCACTCCTTCCTGCCCCTCCTCTACCCCTGGCGACAACTTACCTACTTCTACTAAAGATAAATTAGTTTGCAAATGGAACCATACAGCATATACTAGTATTTGTTGTCCTGGCCTCATTTACTCTGTATAATTACTTTGAGACTCATCCATGTTCTGTGTATCAGTTTATTCCTTTATTATTTTTGAGACAGGGTCTTACTCTGTTGCCCAGGCAGGAGTGCAGTGGTGCAATCATAGCTCACTGTAACCTTGACCTCCTGGGCTTAAGGGATCCTCATGCCTCACACTGTGCTGGAATTACAGGCGTGAGCCACCACACTGGCAATGTTTTGTTTCTTTATGAAGATGAATAAAGATTTCACATGAATTTTTTAAGATGAAACATGCTTCATGCATGCAGGTTTCTTTGGGCGTATTCATGCCCACTCCCTCTGGTTGGAGCTTTGTCAGAGAAGTGTGAGCAGTTCTTTCCTAGGCCATAGGTGAAAGATGCGCATGACACGCTTAGCACTGTCCTTGCGGTTCATGAGGCACATACATCTTACTGCCCCGTAGTAAAAATTCAGTCTTTCCAAGCGATTACTGTGTGAAGGACATTTAGTTCCTTCACCTATTATTGGGGACATAAGTAACTGAAAGCTTTGAAGCTTTGTGCTCACCTAGAAATGTGCAGCATGTAAACTTTCTAGAAAATGTGCTGCTCTTTAGACCTTGTAGCCACTAAGCAGTTGCATATTGAGTTTCCCATTCTCCCTGCTGTGTTACTTTGCAGTCTGGTGCCATCATGACAGTCCTCGCAGCTGTCTGCACTAAGATCCCAGAAGGGAGGCTTGCCATTATTTTCCTTCCGATGTTCACGTTCACAGCAGGGAATGTAAGTATTTTTATGAAGTGCAGTGCTGGGGATAGTGGTGATGTTTTTATGTTGAGTGGGTTCTTGCCCTTAAGTTAGAAATGTCAGTGCTGGAGCAATCACAGTTGTGCCGCTTGTTTCTTGCTGCCTTTCAGGCCCTGAAAGCCATTATCGCCATGGATACAGCAGGAATGATCCTGGGATGGAAATTTTTTGATCATGCGGCACATCTTGGGGGAGCTCTTTTTGGAATGTAAGTTTGAGTGTAATTGATTGCTAAACTGCTTCCTTGGGTCATGCGCTCCTCCTACCCCAGCCTCACCCCTACCCCCCATCCCCATGGCAGAGACATTGAACTATGCAACGGAAGCAGAAGCAGGTGGGCTTGGGAGGGTGAGGAAACCTCAACGTGGCTTGCTTTGGGTTTACCCAGCATACCTGGCTCATTGTAGAGACAGTCTGTGCCTTTACCCTACGCTTAACCTTAAGTTGCCCCAACTGTTGGCCTGTTATTCCCAGCCCCCTCTTAGAAGACTGCAGCCTGGCCCCCAGTCTATGCTGACATCTTCTTTTTCCCCTTCAGACTTTCCTGCCCTCCTCTCCCCTGCCTGGCGTCCCACCCTGCTACCCTGACCTCTGTCTCGCCAGTGCTATTTAGACATGCTGAGTTGGCGGAGCCATTGCTCTGTATGACTGGAGTAGAGGCCGGTGACTGCAAACCAATGTGGACCACTTACTGAGTACCCGCTGTATGCAGGCACCAAGCTAGTTCCCTTATGTTATACTATTACTACTCCCATTTTACTGATGGGAAACTGAGGCTCAGACATCATCTTCCCCAGGCCAAACAGCTCTTCAATAGCAGAGCAGAGCTGTAAACCCACCTCTATAAGCCCTTTCCACCCCCACCACACCATATGGAATTGGTTGCTAAACTGCTTCCTTGGGTCACAGCAAATGGCATTGTGGTTACAAGACCTTCCACGTGTGCTTCAAACAATGGGGTTTTGCCTAGACTAGTGCTTAGTAGTAACTGTATCACGGAAACACGGTCAGGACTCTTGGCGTCCATCTGATCGTGGGAGACCCGTCAGCATGAGCTGGATCCCCTCGGGGCCTGTCTTTTCTTACATAAATGTTGCCTTTTGCCCTTACTTGGTTTTTATTTTGTTCCGCGACAATGGAAAACTTAATTTTTTTTTTTATTAAAAAGAAAAATCTATTCTGGCCAGGTGCAGTGGCTCACGCCTGTAATCCCAGCACTTTGGGAGGCCAAGGCAGGCGGATCACAAGGTCAGGAGATCGAGACCATCCTGGCTAACACAGTGAAACCCCGTCTCTACTAAAAATACAAAAAACTTAGCCGGGCGTGGTGGCGGGCGCCTGTAGTCCCAGCTACTCGGGAGGCTGAGGCAGGAGAATGGTGTGAACCCAGAAGGCAGAGCTTGCAGTGAGCCGAGATCACGCCACTGCACTCCAGCCTGGGCGACAAAGTGAGACTCTGTCTCAAAAAAAAAAAAAAGAAAAATCTATTCTAAGTGAAGCAGTTTTTCCCAGTAGGTGGCAGAACTAAATGCCATTATGCCATTTATAATTTTAAGTGATTAAAGAGGAGTAGTATGTAGTATATGCAAGGTCTAGCTCTAACAGCAGTGCAGTATAAATAGTAGAAACTGACCTGATATTACAGTATGAGAAACATGAAGGGGTTCTGTTTTGTGAGCTCTAAATTTATCTTCCATGTATACTTCAAGGCTCTTCTCCCCAGTAGATTTTTATTCATCTGAACTATAATTAGGTGGCCTTTTTCCATTCTGAAAATAATTGGATCAAATGCATTTTAAAGTCCAGGGTCTGAAAGGTGGAGGAATCCTTTCTCTTTACTGTTTCTAATTTAAACTCCTTTTCATTTACTAGATTTCAGTCATGTCCAGAATTCATCTTTTCTAAAAGCTTTAATCTAGATTTAGAAATCTAAAATCTTTTATTTATTTTTTTTTCGTTGAAGTGCCCTGATTTTGTTGGTGGTAAAGACTCCATTAGTATCCACTTATACATTTCCCTGACTTTGCCTCTGACCAAACCTTACAGTATTCACATTGTACTGTTGCAATAATAATAGCTAACATATTAATACGCTGAATATTTGCTGTGTGCCTAAGCTAAGGATTTAATTCTCTTAAAATCCTGTGAGGTATTTTATTTTACAGAAAAAGAAACTGCTTAAAGAAAGTAACTTATCCAGGTCACACAAGTAACAATTGCAGAGCTGGAGTTTCAGATGAGGGCTGGCTTGCGCTGCCGCTACAGAAAAGAGTGCCCTAGAAATCGGTCATCTTGCATTTCCCGATTTTAGTTTAGCCAAATGAAAAATTCCTTTTGGATTTATGAGTATAATCAGACAGTATACCTGTGAAATTAAAGTATTTGACTCTTTGCTTGAAATAAGTAGGTTAAAAAGATTTGGGTGGCCGGGCGCAGTGGCTCACGCCTGTAATCCCAGCACTTTGGGAGGCTGAGGCAAGTAGATCACTTGAGGTCAGGAGTTCGAGACCAGCCTGACCAATATGGGGAAACCTCGTCTCTACTAAAAATACAAAAATTAGCCGGGCGTGGTGGTGCATGCCTGTAATACCAGCTACTTGGAGGCTGAGGCAGGAGAATCACTTGAAGCCAGGAGGCAGAGGTTACAGTGAGCTGAGATCACGCCACTGCACTCCAGCCTGGGCAACAGAGCGCGACTCTGTCTAACAACAAAAAAGATTTGGGAAAACACTTTATTAATGAAGAGTTCCTGACAAAGTGATTTTTTTGGGGAGAATTTTTATAATTGCATTTGAATATTAGGGTGCTCCTTTTTCTCTCATTCTAAATTCACCAGAGACTTAAGCACAGAGAATTTTTATTACATGCCTGTTAATTAATGTGTATAATCAGATTTTAACTATATTTAGTGAATATTAAGATTCAGGTACAAATCAAGCCCTTTATAATTAAACATACACATTCAGAACATTTTTAAAATATTAAAACATTAAACTGCTCTTCTCACCCACTCCAAGTCAAATAGCATTTTTTCAGTCAGGTGTCTGGGAGCTCGATGCAAGATAACAAAATCTGGTCTCTGCCTCAGGGAACATGAAATCTGTTTGGGGAAGCCAGAGCAAAAATAAAGGTTTTAATAGCAAGCTCTCACTAACTGCCCCTGGAAATCCACCCCACATCCTCCAGGAAGCCTTTCTCTACCCCCAGTGCCCTCAGGAGCTTCTCCAAGGCAGGCCCTTCCCAGAGCGCAGTGTGCTCCCCAGCTCACAGAAGATGCTCCCTACACGCTGCAGGAAAGTCCAGTGCCTGCAGCACAGGCTTCAGCAGCAGACTCGGGTTCTAGTCTCAGTCTGCTGATTCCTAGTTGTGGAACCTGAGCAGGCGAAGTTACTAAACCTCTCTGTGCGTCAGCCTCCCAGGCTCGTTGCTTCAGGCCGCAGTTAGGCTGTGTGAACAGGAGAGTGGGGATGGGAACTAGGTATCTTAAAGCGGGGCAGAGTTTGGATGAGCGGGCCACCCTTCGTATAGTTAGGAGGAAGATGACGGGAGGCATGGAAGCTGGGATAGCCATCCTGAGTCAGTGCTAATTCTGACACTTCAGAACATCGAGTCAGTCTGACCTGCGAGTGAGCTTTCATTGACCACTTAGAAACTATTAGCACCTTGGACAAACTACTTTCTTTCAGACCTGGTTGCTTCATGTCTGCGATGGGAAAACTGATACTTAACTTGCAGATAGTGGTGAATCAAAAGTAGTATATGTGAAGTACTCACACACTGCGGAGCATTCAGCCATCGTCCCATCCTACTTCTACCTTTTACATATTGTAATATGAAAGCTAAACCATTTCTCGATGTGAGTCAGTTTTAATCGGCTACATAGTGAGTGGCATTCGATTTTAAAAATGTCAACTTGGGATCTGTCACCATGCTACTTACCATTTGTATGTCACACTGTTTGAATGTCGGACCTGGTTTGTTTTTCTCCAGATGGTATGTTACTTACGGTCATGAACTGATTTGGAAGAACAGGGAGCCGCTAGTGAAAATCTGGCATGAAATAAGGACTAATGGCCCCAAAAAAGGAGGTGGCTCTAAGTAAAACTGGGATTGGACAGTAGTGGTGCATCTGGTCCTTGCCGCCTGAGAGCCCCAGGAGACATCGGCTAGAGTGACCATGGCTATGCTCCCGTCTGGAAGATGCCAGCATCTGGCCTCCCACTGTTTTCAGCTGTGTCCCCCAGTCCGTGTCTTTTTAGAATGTGAATGATGATAAAGTTGTGAAATAAAGGTTTCTATCTAGTTTGTAAGCAGATGTGTGTGTTCTCTCTTTAAGGGGCCGACACGGCTCTGGCATTTTGCTTTGGTTGTTGCATTGACAGGACCTGGGGAGAGTGCACCCTGAAAGGCCTGATCAGAACATGAAGGCGCTGGTTGCCTGTCTTTGGACCCTCCAGTGCCTCTGCTTAGCCTTCACTCTTCCTTGCCTCCCCCTCCCCTGGGTTGGCTGCACATAAAAGTCGAGAGTATCCCCTCTCCAGCACAATCTGAAATAACAGCTGCAGTATTTTCTCAATTTTCAGGAAAGGTAGTGTTTTCTGGCAGTGAGTGGCATATACAAAAAGCTATTTTCAGGTTTTGCTTTCTAGGTTCAATTTGTAGATAAATTAAGAGGTAGAAAGAAGTGATTTGGGTAAATTCAGACTTGAATCTGAGCCGAATTTTATCTTCTGTTTGAAAGTGTTCTAATTGAAGCGTCTCACTGAAATAGCAGATAGTGGCTGTCGTCGTCACAGCCTCACTGTTGTGGAATTCATGTTACCCTCGTGACTGAGAATGACATCTAGGAAATGCAGTTTGAGAGTATGTTCTTCTTGAAGTCATTTACAGGAGAATTTTTAGTCTTTTGATGGCTTCAAAATGTTATACCAAGTCTTGCAGCTTTGTCCTGGGAGGATCGAAGGCCCTGATTTCAGCCTCCTGTGGCCGATCGGACTCAGGTTGTGTGCCGTGGGGGATGGGAATGGCGGCTTTGGAAAAGGAGTGGGAGTGGTGCCCACCTCACCAGGCAAGTGAGAACTGCATGGCAGCACGCGCCCAGCACATAGAAATTGTCCAGTATTTGGCAGTCCTTCATATCCTTCTTCCATCAGGCTGGACTTGTTTCTACTATGATTTACAGTTATTCTTCCCAGGCACAGGATTCTGTTCTAAACTCGTATCACTTCTAGGGGAGAGAGTTATCTTAGCCATCATTTTGCCAGCGAGGAAACGGCACACGTGGTGTAGGGGCACTGCCCAAGGTCACAATGCTTTGCTCTGACATCTGCTAACAACTCTGCAACACAGATGAGGCAAGATGCGTTTTCCAGAGATGGGATAGGAGGCTGAGTTCATAGGGACATTCCCTCTAGAGCCCAACATTAATTCACATCGTGCTTTGGGCAGACCAGGCAAAGAGGCAATGAAGACATCTCTGTGTCCCTGCTTTGTGACTGGGAAAAAGTTAGAAGTCCCTGTAGCATCTCCTGGTCCCTAAAACCCCTCAATGCTGGAGCCTCTGTGCATGGCCTGGGGAGGCCAGAACCTGGCTGTGGCCGGAGAAGCCTTGCTGTCCACAGCTCCCTCCTGATTGCCCACGAGGGTGCTTCACTTTCTCCTCTTGGCTTCTCTGGGGACCCGCGATCACTGCCTTCAAGGCCATGCACTCCCTGGCCCGTGGGCCTCTTGGGCTGTGCCGCCTCCACTGGCATCTGAAGTGTGGGGTACCTAGGAACATGCCGTGGCTGCCGTCTCCCTCATTCCATACACTTCTTGAGTGGGTGCACTTGCTGAAGCCTCAGTTATCTGTGAGGATTCTGAGCTCCAGACCCACAGAATCTCTCTGTACTCTTAGTAAATGTGTCTACTGCAACACACGCATGGTTCCAGGCTCTGGGACCACCCCCCCGCCCTGCACAGGCCCCTCAAATAGCACTCGGCTTAAGGAGTGACACGAGCAATCGGTGAAGTCTGAAACCCGGAGCCATTCGAGATCTCCCTCTCTCGCCTCTTATTTCTAGAATTCAGCCCCTCAGCCTTCCCAGTGCCTGTGACTCCGTGGTGGTCCTCACTTCTTAGTCCCTGGACTGTTGAGCCTGTTCTTCCAGCTGGTCTCCAAAGCAACCCTGTGCTTCTCCATATGCCTGCCAGAGTGCTAAAAACATGTCTGTCATTCCTTTGTTGTCACCTGTGAAAAACTTTTATTTATTTGAGACAGGGTCTCTCTCTCTCTCTCTCGTCCAGGCTGGAGTTCAGTGGTGCAATCATAGCTCACTGTAGCCTTGAAGTCCTGGGCTCAAGCCTCAGCCTCCAAGTAGCTGGCACTGCAGGCACACACTACCACGCCTGGCTAATTTTTAAAAGTTTTTTGTAGAGACAGGGTCTCACTGTGTTGCCCAGGCAGTTCTCAAACTCCTGGGCTCAAGCAGTCCTCTTGCCTCAGCCTCCCAAAGTGCTGGGATTCCACGCATGAGCCATCTGCACCCGGCCATATGAAAAGCTAAAATTCCTTAGTGTGGCCACCAAGACCCTCCATGGTCTGCTACCTCAGCTGAACCCTCCTCCCCCGTGACCTACATTCCCACCTGGCCCAACCACCCTCCCTCACAACAGGTGGCGAGTCCAGCTTTCCCCAGCCTGCCTCCCTCTCATGCTGACCTGGCCTTGTCAGTTCAATTACACTTCCTTCCGTCCCTCACTACCACACTAAACCTCCTGAAGGCACCCAGAATTATTCCTAGCACATAGCAACTGCTCTTTGACTGTTGTTTGATCAATGAAGTAATAAAAAGAGAGCTGCTCTCTTTTCCTGCGAGATGGAGAATTTTAGTCCCAAGCGCCATCTGCCAGGCTGGCTAACCCAGGGCCGTGGCGGACAGTCCACAAAGAGTTCACTCTGACCCGGCCCCTGTGTGTCATTTTCCAGGATCTCCCTCTACACCTGGCGCCTCGCCTGCTGCCTGCTGGGACATGGCCTGGCCTGCTCAGCTGACCTGCTGCCACTTCTAGGCAGCCGTCATGTCACTTTGCTACAACTTCAAGCTAAGACAGGCAATGTTTTGGGAGATGAATCTGTTTTCTGACTGGCCAGGGATGTGCTGCAGTCCCCTCCCAGGCGCAGACTGGATACCTTCCAAGTACAACCTTGAAATGGAGCTCTGGGTAATTAATGCTGTCTCAGTAGTGTTATTAGTAATTGGTCTGCAGTGTATACCGAGAGCATGTGTCAAATATTCAGAAAAGCGTTTGTGGGTGGTCAGGGAGTTGTTTGAGACGGTGTCCTGCATTGAACAGACCTGCCTTTACGCTGGAGGATCCCTCAACAGCTCTGCCTGAAAACAGCCATGCATGCACAGGAGGAAAGGAACTTGATAGCCTTGTGGCCAGTTCTGTGGCCGCTTTATCAAACTAAAGCTTTTGCAAATGGCCATGCTTTAAAATTAGGAATTTCAGAACCCAGGGAAAGGTCGATTGGTGGCTAATGCCAATTCTAATGAAAAGTGGATTGGTTGTCACAAATGTAGACTAGCATCCTAAAGGCAAATAGGCGGCGACTCACAGGCTGACTGAAACACGTGTTCTCCGGGAAGCAGGGCCCCGAGTCTTCTCTGACACCCTCATTGCTGCACCTGCCCCTGTGCCCGCGGAGTCCATGCGGTGCAGCCTGGCACAAATGCAGCAGTCGCTGGGCGTCCCGAGGCCACATGGAGAACCTCCCGGCTGGCGGACTGCTCCCAGCTGCGACCATCGGGCCCTTGGCCTCTGCGAAGCCGGGGCCATTTATAAGATGACACTGAGGGAACTTTGGATTCAATTCTGAGGCATTCTTCGAGATGGACACTTGTAAATGAATGCAGGCGGTTTCCGGTGCCCCCTGGCGACGGTGCAGCCTTTCCCCCATCCGCGCTCCCTCCAGCTCCAGCCGTGCGCAGCCGGCCCCGGCCAAGTGGGGCTGCCGCCGAGTGCGCCCCCTCCCGGGACGCCCACCCTCGTGCCGGGGGGCGGTGCTGCGGCGGCGCGGGGCGGGCCGCGGGGGCGGGGACGCTGGGCGCAGGAGGCGCGGCCGGGAGCGCCGCGCGCCGGGAGCGGGGCGGCGGGCGCCGGGGCTGGCATGGCGTGGCCCTGTATCAGCCGCCTGTGCTGCCTGGCGCGGCGCTGGAACCAGCTGGACCGCTCCGACGTGGCGGTGCCGCTCACTCTGCACGGCTACTCGGACCTCGACAGCGAGGAGCCGGGCACGGGCGGCGCCGCCTCGCGCAGGGGCCAGCCTCCCGCGGGCGCCCGGGATTCCGGCCGGGACGTGCCGCTCACTCAGTACCAGCGGGACTTCGGCTTGTGGACCACGCCCGCCGGGCCCAAGGATCCGCCGCCGGGGCGCGGACCGGGGGCGGGCGGCCGCAGGGGCAAATCCTCCGCGCAGTCCTCCGCGCCACCTGCGCCCGGCGCCCGCGGGGTCTACGTGCTGCCCATCGGCGACGCGGACGCGGCTGCAGCAGTGACCACGTCGTACAGGTATGGGCTGGGTAGGGACCGCAACGAGTCCCCACCCTGTGGTGGGAGGACGCGGAGGCCCGGAGCCAGAGGGATGGGGTGGGCGGCAGAGCGGAGGCGCCTGGAGCCCGGATCCCACGCGACCTCGGAGCTGCCGGCGGCCTCAGAGGTCACCCCCGTTTGGTCCGTGGGCACTGCAGGCGGCGCCTTCGCTGCTCCATGCCCGGACTCAGTGCTCGAGCACCCCCGTGCCGGGAGCGCACCGCTGCCCTCGCAGCCGCCCTCCTGGGGGCAGCCGTCAGAATGGCCTGCCTTCAGCCGAGTTGGAACCGGCCTCCCTTTAACTCCCACCGCCGGGCCTAGCCGTGCGAGGGGTGCGCGCAGGCCATGTCCCCCAGCTCTCTCCGGTCACTGCCTAGTGTGCGGGCGTTGGTGGTGAGGACCGAGCGCAGGGTCCCGTGTGGGTGAGCCCTTCAGAGTCCCACTGTGACAGGGGCTTTCAGGGAGAACGGGTCCGCGGGCCCTCCCCACCTCCCAGCCCAGCTCTGCTCCTGGACAGCCGAGGGCTTTCTCCCTTTTTTCCTCTTACCACAAAAGTAATTCATACTGTAGAAAAATGGGAAAGTACAGAAATTACAACAAAATACGTATCTCCTTGATCCCTCCCCAGACGAGTTCTTTCTACTCCGTAATGTGCATTTGGTGCATATGCACTGATATATTTTTACGTGGTTAGATTCTTACTGTACACTTTTTTCACCAGTTGTAGAAGTCTGTCCGTGTTACTACATGTTCTGCAACATGAATTTTAATAAACGTGCAGTATTTTATCCTATGGATATGCCTTTATATCTTCAAGTTTTATTTATCTACTTCCTTACCATTGACTATTTAGGGTGTTTCTAATGTGGGACTATTAAAAGCACTACTTTTCCTTTGATGCAGCTATTTCACTACTAGGAATTTTCCCTACAGGTATCCTACAAGGTAGGGTGGGAGCTCAGGAGCGTAAGATAGGTGGAGACATTGTACAACAAACCCCTTGTCCTGCTGATGTAGGGAACTGGTTAATTATAGCACAGCCATGAAATGGGATACTGAAACCCAGCGGATCTTAAATATACGCATACCAAAAAAGCAAGGTGCCCAGCAGCACGTAGGCTATTTGTGTTTTAAAAAGGGGTATTAATATACACACATATGCTCAAATAAGCACAGGATGCCCTGATGGATGTCTGAGGAGATGGTACCGTTAGGGAGAGGAACTTGATAGGGACTGCCAGGGGTGGAAGGCTTTTCACTCTGCTCTTTTGAACGATTGCTTTTTTTGCCTTTGTAACATGTCCATGTATTGCCTATCTTTTTAACTTTTTTTTTTGGAGACGGAGTCTCGCTCTGTCACCCAGGCTGGAGTGCAGTGGTGCAATCTCGGCTCACTGCAATGTCTGCCTCCCTGGTTCCAGCAATTCTCCTGCCTCAGCCTCCCGAGTAGCTGGGATTACAGGCTTGTGCCACCATGCCCAGTTAATTTTTATTTTTATTTTTATTTTTGATTTTTTTCTTTTTTGAGACAGAGTCTCGCTCTGTCGCTCAGGCTGGAGAGCAGTGGCGCCATCTTGGCTCACTGTAACCTCCGCCTCCTAGGTTCAAGCAATTCTTCTGCCTCAGCTTCCTGAGTAGCTGGGATTATAGGTGTGTGCCATCACGCCCAGCTAATTTTTTGTATTTTTAGTAGAGATGGGGTTTCACCATGTTGGTCAGGCAGGTCTTGAACTCCTGACCTCATGATCCGCCTGCCTCGGCCTCCCAAAGTGCTGGGATTACAGGCATGAGCCACCATGCCCGGATGAGGGACTCCTTCTAAAAGCTAAGCCAGCCAGGCATGGTGGCTCACACCTGTAATCCCAGCACTTTGGGAAGCTTAGGTGGGAGGATCACTTGAGCCCAGGAGTTCAAGACCAGCCTGGGCAACATAGTGAGACCCTGCCTCTACAAAAAATAGAAAATTAGCTGGGCGTGGTGGTGCCTGCCTGTGATTCCAGCTACTTGGGAGGCTGAGGTGGGAGGATCCCTCAAGCCTGCGAGGTCGAGGCTGCAGTGAGCAGTGTTTGTGCCACTGCACTCCACCTAGGCAACAGAGCAAGACCTTGCTTCAAATAAATAAAAGCTAAGCCTCTGCTAGAACATCCCTAGTAAAGAGGAGCCCAGCGCCATGCAAGTCAGCTCGCTCCATGGGCAGACTGTTGTAACTGACAGAAAGCGCTTCCTTCCCGGAGCTGAAGCTGTCTCCCTGCAAGCTCCACCCCTTGCCCTGCTCTGGTGCCTAGAACTTCAGCCGCTGGAATGCGCTGCACGCTCAGGACCCCTGGCCTTCCAGACTCTCCGCTATTCAGGCCCCTCCAGCTGGCTAGTCTAGGGCCTGAGCGCTGCGGCTCAGTGTTGCCCACTCCAGCTTTGGCGGCTCAGCTTGAGGACGTGTCAGTGAATGCAAGACCCACCCTGCAACCACTGTCCCCCAGCGAGTTCCTTACAAAGTGCCGACCTATGAGGGAGCCTCCTCCTGGGGACATGGAATGTTCTTTGTGTCTTGATAATGGTGGTGGTACCCAAGTGGTTACATTTGTCAAAAGTCATCCAGCTGTATGTTTTTAATGGATGAATTGTATGGTTTGGAAATAATGCCTTGATACAGTTGGGTTTTTGGGGGGTTTTTTTGTTGTTGTTTGTTTTGTTGTTGTTGCTGCTGTTGCCCAGGCTGGAGTGCAGGGACATGATCTCAGTTCACTGCAGCCTCAACCTCCCAGGCTCAAGTGATTTTCTCACCTCAGCCTCCCGAGTAGCTGAGACCACAGGTGGGCACTACATGTGGGGTTTTGTGTGTGTGTGTGTGTGTGTGTGTGTGTGTGTGTGTGTGTGTGTGTGTGTGTTTTAGAGATGGGGTTTATGTTGCCCAGGCTGGTCTCAAATTCCTGGGCTCAAGCGATCCTCCTGCCTCAGCCTCCCAAAGTGCTGGAATTAAAGGCATCAGCCACTGTGCCCAGCTTGGTTTTTAAAACTAATAAAATTGGGGGGATAAGTTCATACTTTTTGGCTCTTTAATTCCACAGTTAGGAATTTATCCCAAAGAAATGATGATATGAACAAAGATTTAGCTGTAAGGATGCTTATCACAGAAGTTACTTTTTTTTTATTTTAAAGTTAAAAAGAGGCCGGTCGCAGTGGCTCACACCTGTAATCCCAGCATTTTGGGAGGCCGAGATGGACGGATCTCCTGAGGTCAGTTCAAGACCATCCTGGCCAACATGGTGAAACCCCGTCTCTACTAAAAATATAAAAATTAGGCCGGGCGTGGTGGCTCACCCCTATAACCCCAGCACTTTGGGAGGATGAGATGGGCAGATCCCAAGTTCGAGACCAGCCTGGCCAACATAGTGAAACCCCATCTCTACTAAAAATTAGCTGGGCGTGATGGCACGCACCTGTAATCCCAGCTACTCGGGAGGCTGAAGCAGGAGAATCCATTGAACCCAGGAGGTGGAGGACGCAGTGAGCCGAGATAGAGCCACTGCACTCCTGCCTGGGCAATAGAGCGAGACTCCATCTCAAAAAAAAAAAAAAAAAAAAAAGCAATCCCTCATCTGTGTGGAACATGTGGTGAGTGAATGTCCTGCCGGGCCCTCCCAGCTCTGGTGACGGTGAAGGTACTAGCTGTCGCCTTCTCTGCTTTAACGCACACCAGGCTCAGCACTCCCTGAGGTTAGCCCCCTGCAGCCTTCGTGTAGTGCTTGCCGTCCCCATTCTACAGACAAGGAAACTGAGTGGCTGGCACAGCTCTGAATGGCAGAGAAGGGAGTGGAACCCGTGTGACTTGCCCCAGAGATCAAATTTGTAGCCCCCATGGGTTTTCATCCCTTAAGAGCTGCCTCCTTGGAGTCACTTGCTTTCTTGAACTGTGTCCTGAGGCCAGCTGTGGAAAAGCCTTGACAGACAGGAGTCGGGGCTTGTTGGGGTTCTTACCTCCTGGTGTGTAAATTCAGGTGGGTCAGCCTCTCTTTTTTTCTTTTTTTTTTTTTTGAGACGGAGTCTCACTCTGTCACCAGGCTGGAGTGCAGTGGCGCCATCTCGGCTCACTGCAACCTCCGCCTCCCGGGTTCAAGCGATTCTCCTGCCTCAGCCTCCAGAGTAGCTGGGACTACAGGCGCCCACCACCACACCCAGCTAATTTTTGTATTTTTATTTTGTATTATTTATTTATTTATTTGAGATGGAGTCTTGCTTTGTTGCCCAAGCTGGAGTGCAGTGGCGCAACCTTGGCTCACTGCAACCTCCGCCTCCCGGGTTCACGCCATTCTCCTGCCTCAGCCTCCCGAGTAGCTGGGACTACAGGCGCCCGCCACCATGCCTGGCTAATTTTTATGTATTTTTTTTTTTTACTAGAGACGGGGTTTCACCGTGTTAGCCAGGATGGTCTCGATCTCCTGATCTCGTGATCCGCCCGCCCCAGCCTCCTGAAGTGCTGGGATTACAGGCATGAGCCACTGTGCCTGGCCTAATTTTTGTATTTTTAGTAGAGACGGGGTTTCACCATGTTGGCCAGGATGGTCTCGTTCTCTTGACCTCATGATCTGCCCGCCTTGCCCTCCCAAAGTGCTGAGATTACAGGCGTTAAGCCACCGCGCCTGGCTGGGTCAGCCTCTCTGACCCTTTCTTCATCCGAAAAGCAGGAATAGCAAGAGCTTGGCTGCCTGGACCCCTGCCCCCAATTCGGGCAGAAACACAGGATCACTGTTGAACTTGACCCTCCCAGCGCCATGCCAGTGGGCCTCTGGGACCCCCACCTTCCAGCTCTGGGACCTGATACAAGCCACTCCCTCCAGCCTTGTCTTGTAAGATGTACATCATCTAAGCAAACTTAAGAAATTCAGAAAGCCAAGGAAACGAACAGAGCCAGGAATCCTGAAGATGTGAGGCCACTCCTAACTCAAGGTTCTTGAGGGAGTACCCAGGATCCCCGGGCCTCAGCTTCTTCACCCCTGCAGGACCTGCCTTGCTGGCTTCTGGTCTGCACGTGAGTTGATCTGCCTTGCCTGCCTGGCCACATGGGCACAGCAGGTCCTACCCACATCCAGCCTGGCTCCTTCCACCTGACAGGCCCCCTCTGAATTCTCTCTGGGCCATTGGGCATCTTTGGCCCAGTTGCTAGCCCCGCCCACTTCTGGAAGGCAGTCCTTGCTCCCTGGTTGCTTCCCTCCTTCCTGCCTAGGTGGGGCAGTTAAAGGGCTGATATTCAAGTTCCACAAGACTTGGCCCCACTTTACTGAGTGCCCGAAACGAAGACTCACAACAGCCTCAGGCACATGGGTCAGCAGCCCCACTTTTCAGAAGAAACTGAGGCTCAGGGAAGTTGAGGAATGTGTCTGAAGCCATGTTGGGCTGAGAACCCAGGCCTCCCAATCCTCTGTCCGGGGCTGATGCCGGAACATGCTTGAGCACTGTATGGGGGCACAGCAGGCAGGGAGGCCTGTATTTCTTACTAATCTTGGCCTGAGCCATGAGTCTGTTTTCTTTCTCTCCAGGCAGTCACCGGGTCCTGCCCATTCCATCTTTAAGGTCCCCTCTCCCATCTGGGCTCCAGCCCCGGGTTCCTCCTCTGGCGGCCGCCAGGATTGCTGTCGTCTGTGGCTCTGGTGGCTTCCTGCTCTGAGACCCCTGCAGCCACCTCAGGGCAGCGGGCTCAGGATGCCAGGCCCAAGGCTCAGCGTGGGCATGTGAAGTGTTTTGGGGACAGAAGGGCGCGCCCAGGGGAGGACCTGCTTCCGCAGGAGGAACAGAGCAGCATATGGTTTGGGCAGCTGGTCTTCAGAAGCTCGCGGCTTCGGGAGTGAAAATTACCTGACGGGGCCCCGGCCTAGCTCTCCTCCTGGCACCCCAGTGCTGGCCATGGACACAGCCATTCCCTGCCCACGCAGCCTGCCCAGTGGTGCCCCAGCTTTGCAGCTGCCAAGGAGAAAGGCAGCTTTGTTGACCTCAGGGCCTGAAGCCCAACCCCGGCAGTGTCCAGCCTGGGCAGGAGCAACTCCGCACACGTGGGTGCCAGGCCCAGCTAGCTGGACACTTCCACCTTGGCCAGGTGCTCCTGGGACACAGGGACTTCTGCCTTCTGAGCTCCCCATCTTGCAGAGGAGTGGGTAGAATTAAAGGAGGTCCCTTTTGTTCAGAGAAATGGAAGCACTGTCTTTTCATGGAGAAAGCTGCTCCCGGTACATGGAGCTAGCGGTGCCAGCCTCATCCTCTCCCTCCAGGGCCCGCCTTCCCCCATCACACCACCCTCCCCGCCACAGGCTCAGCAACAGCGCATGATCCACTCCCTCCACCATGCACAGAGCTGTGCAAAGGCCAGGCCACCTTGGAGTCTTTTGAGATGGTCACTGCGATCCATTCTTCTGCATGAGTTAATGAGACAAAGTATAAAAAACTAAAAGTTCTGAGCCTTATTTTTCTTTTCAGTCTTAAGCGGGTCTGGCAAGCCAGGGCTGTGCCCGGTGCTGAGGGCATTTCCTCTTCAGGCATAAGCAGTCACCATGACCTGGGTCTCTTGAAGCAGCCTGGCTCTGGAGGGGCAGGTGTGGGAGAATCGCAGGGGGTGCAGGTATAGCACCGGGGCTGCTCGTCTCCAAGACCCAGCAGTGCCAGGTGCTGTTGCGTTCTGAATGAGACCCAGGTGCTAACTGAGCTCTGCCCTGACCCTGCCGCTCGCCTGCAGTGTGAGAATAAGCTTCCTCTCCTACTTCCTTAGGGACCGGGGTGAGCCCAGATTTCCCAGTGGATCGCTGAGGTGAGGGGCCAGGCAGCCACACACCTTTCTCCTGGAGCTGGGCCTGCACGGGAGTGCACTTGCCTTGCCAGTTCTGTCTTTGGGAAGATGATGAGGACTGCCTGGAGCCGAGGGTTTCAGCAATTGGCAGGGCCGTGCATGGGGCAGAGCAGCAGCCCCTGGGGAGTCGGTAAAGGGGTGGCTGACCCTGTGCAAGCTTGTGACCGTGTTCTCTGTTCCAGACAGGAATTCCAGGCTTGGACTGGAGTGAAGCCCTCAAGATCCACAAAGACAAAACCAGCCCGAGTCATCACAACCCACACTTCGGGATGGGACAGCAGCCCTGGGGCCGGCTTCCAGGTCAGCCGGAAGCTGGTGTAGCAGGGGTGTGGGTATAGAGGCCTCTTTCCCCGGGTAGGGATTAGGAGCCAGATTTTCATGGTGTAAAATGCAATTATGACCAGGGACAGCAGTGCCAACCAGATGTCCCGAACAAAAACCCAAGGTACTTCCTCATCAGTAGCCAGCTGGGTGGCCCTCTAGCGTTGGCCTCTCTGGTGAGCAGGGTCTCTCTGCCTCCTAAATCCCCATCTTACCCTTGGCCACTGAACGCTAGTGACTGGCCTGAGTACCACAGCATTTGTGTAAGAGGAAAGAGACGATGGAAGGGAGTGGGGGCATCTCAGCTCCGATTCCCAAGTGGTTCAGGGAGCAGAATGGAAGGTCCGTGTACCACTCAGCTGCTAATGCAGTGACGCCTATGGCTCACGGTGGGCAAGTCCCCTCTGACCCTTCAGGTCTCAACTCCTGGAGGATGCAGAGGATGGGAGGGGATTTTTTCCTGGAGCTGGGTAGTGGGGAAGAGTAGGGAGTTAAGGAAAAGTCCCACTGATATGTGGCCACACTTCATTTTTCAGGTCCCAGAGGTGAGGAAGAAGTTCACTCCTAACCCCTCCGCCATCTTTCAGGCCTCAGCTCCCCGGATTCTCAACGTGTGACTGCCTGCACCGTGACACCATGGCTGCCGACAGGACAGGGCTGGGGAGCGGCCTCAGGACCCACTGCCGCGGGGCTGGGCGAGAGCATGGCATGGGCCCCTGCGGGAGGGCACAGCCCCTCTCAAAGCTGTCACCAGGGCCAAAGTGCTGGTGTGGAGCAGATGCACCGATGGACTTGGCACACCCAGCTCAGCCTCAAGCATCCTCTTGAGAAGCCTGTGGAAGGCTCCTGCGTTCGTTAACTGCCATCTGGCCGTCTCTCAGTTTTGAAATCTCTGAGGAGCCTGAGGATCAAGTCAGTTGGGAACCGAATTGGTCCATGGAAGCTGAGGAATGTGGACACATCCGGCCCTTGAAAGAACCAGTTATGTCCACTTTTGGTGGATTTCCCAGGATGCGTGAGCACTTGATTAATTTCATAACCTACAGTGAGACCCTTGGCTCTTCCTACAAATGGCCCCTGCAGTTGAAGCTGTTGGAATCTTGGGCCGTCACCTGCATGACTCATGGTGATGCTGAGTATCCAGGAGGAAATTTCCAGAAGAAACAGACCGTCAGTCACGGGCTTCCACTTCACAGACCTCCTTATGGCCAAGATGAGCCTCATGTTTTAACAAAACAGTTCTTGGGATTGAATGACTCACATTTACCTTGTGCTAGGTTCTAAAGATTGAATCCACATTTTGTTACTAATGATTTTCCCGCTAACATAAGGATGATGAGCAGGGCACTATCATACACACTGGCTGAGAACTGGAACTGTTTTTGGGAAGGTGGCATTTGTCTCATTCCCTGAAATACCTTAAAATGTCCTCTACACCAACCCTTCCGTCTACCCTGCTCACATGTACAGTGACGGGGAACTCACCACCTTTTGAAGAGGCAGTTCATTTTCTTTGCAAAGCTCTCTCCTAACTTCCTCCGTAAATTCCAGCCAGCATGGCCACATGGGTCACGCCTGGTGCCTTCACACGTTTGAGGGGTCTTCGTCTCTTTTTAAAGCTTAGAGGTACAAGCTCAGGACAGTCTTCAGTAAGGAAATTTGTGGATTTCCCTTTGGATCTTTCTTCCTCTCCAGCCCACAAGTGGCTCTAGTGAGACGAGCATTTAAGCTGCAGGTGGTGGCACTCGGGTCTCAGAGCCACCAGACGTGCAGGTGGGACAGTGGTTCCAGCTCCGACTGCCTGTCAGCGTCCCTCCCAGGTGCTAGCCCTGGCAGGCACAGCCCTCCCCTCATGCCAGCAAAGGAAATGCTCTTGATGAGAGGCTCGCTTTAAAGAAGCCCAAAGCGTGTGCTTATCCAAGGGGTTCAGCTATTCCTGACTTCACGGCTTGCATGTTTGATTTTTCTAAGAGAAAAGAGGCTGCCTGCTGGGTGTCTGTGGAAATGAGATTAAAAACTGTACAATCTCAGATTTTACTAAAATGCAAAAATGTAGTTTCAGTTTCTTAAATTATAAGCACGAGTCTTCTCACGCTTGTTTTCTCCAGTCTCTTGGTGCTAAGGACTTCAGTGTGGTGCAGCTGCCGCCACACCTCAGAGGCCTGTTGATGCTGAGCACTTCTTGCTGTGGGGTGCAGAGCACATGTGGTAGGTGCAGCCCACAGAACCCACCCGTCCCCTACCCTCACCCAGGCGCCTCTCTCTGAAGCTCCTCAGGCTCTAATCCCAGCTTCACTTGCTACCTGTGAGCAACTGGGGTTCCGTTTCTTCACTGAGAAGTGACGACGCTACCAGCTACACCTTGTGGCTTGCCAAGAGCATCCGTGTTTATGGGTGGGGTGCTCAGTACAGGAAATAACTGAGGCACAGGTGTTAGGATTATTCTTTCCTGCCTTAGTCCCCCCTCCTCACTTTCCCTGGGAGCCAGCTGTGTTCCCACCTGCAGCTCCCAGCATCCTCTAGCTTGATGCCGTGTGCTCCCAGCCCCTCACCCCCCCTGGCCAACGTCACCCTGCACAGCGCCCAGATGCTTGTTTGTTCTTTTCCTATAATGGGCTGGTCAGCTCTGCTGCAGCTCAGCCAGGACCAACCGGGCCTGCCCCTTCCTGGCAGTGCTGGTGGGGCAGCCGCAGTGGAGGCCTCACCACACCAGACAGGCCTGACTGCAAGACAAACAAACAGATGGTCAAGAGCCTCTGCAATGCACAGCAGACAGCTTTTCACAGACACCAACTCCAGTGTTGCTCTGAGGGTGCATCATCATCGAGGCAGGGTCTTGCTTTGTCACCCAGTGGTGTGAACACTGCTCACTGCATCCTCAACCTCCTGGGCTCAAGTGATCCTCCCGCCTCAGCCTCTCGAGTAGTTGGGACCACAGGGGCATGCCACCATGCCTGGCTTTTTTTTTTTTGGCTGTCACCCAGGCTGGAGTGCAGTGGTGCAATCTCGGCTCACTGCAACCTCTGCCTCCCACGTTCAAGCGATATTCTCCCACCTCAGCCTCCCGAGTAGCTGGGATTACAGGCGCCCACCACCATGCCCAGCTAATTTTTGTAGAGACGGGGCGTCATGTTGGCTGGGCTGGTCTCGAACTCCTGACCTCAGATGATCCTCCCATCTCAGCCTCCCAAAGTGCTGGGATTACAGGCGTTGAGCTATCACACCCGGCCATTTTTTATTTATTTTTGTACATTTTGTAGAAACAGGGTCTCCCTATGGTTGCCCAGGCTGGTCCTGAACTCCTGGGCTCAAGCAATCCTCCTGCCTCAGCCTCCACAAAGCACTGGGATTGCAGGTGTAAGCCACTGCACCCAGCCTGGCCTCTTTATGAGGAGATGTGGGTTATGCTGAAACTCCTTCCCACTCACTTAGGTCTAAATAATCAGGCCTAACATGTTCAGCAAGTGACCCAAGAAGCAACTGAGACAGACAAGTCTCAACCATGTGGTCCCAACTCATAGCTATCTATCAATCATCTCTCACACACATACATAATACGCATATAAGACTGAAAGAAAGGCACTGAGAGATGTTAGCAGTGATTATCTTTCAGAGGAGGAATTATGAGTAGTTTTTCAAACACATTTTTTATGCTTGCTAAAGTTTCTGTAAACATTTTTATAATAATTCTGTAAAGAAAAAGTTCTTAAAAATAAAAAGCAAGCCAGGCATGGTGGCTCATGTCTGTAATCCCAGCACTTTGGAAGGCCAAGGCAGGTGGATCACTTGAGGTCAGGAGTTTGAGACCAGCCTGGTCAACATGGTGAAACCCTATCTCTACTAAAAATACAAAAATTAGCCAGACGTGCTCACTTGAACCCAGGAGGCGGAGGTTGCAGTGAGCTGAGATCGTGCCACTGCACTCCAACCTGGGCGAGAGAGCAGACTCTTTTTTTTTTTTTTTTTTTTGAGACAATGGAGTCTTGTTCTTGTCACCCAGGCTGGATGGAGTGCAATGGCACGATCTCGGCTCACTGCAACCTCCGCCTCCCAGGTTCAAGCGATTCTCCTGCCTCAGCCTCCTGAGTAGCTAGGATTACAGGCACCTGCTACCACGCCTGGCTAATTTTTATATTTTTAGTATAGACGGGGTTTCACTATGTTGGCCACGATGGTCTCGATCTCCTGACTTTGTGATCTGCCTGCCTCGGCCTCCCAAAGTGCTGGGATTACAGGCATGAGCCACCGTGCCCGGCCCAGACTCTGTCTCTAAATAAATAAAAAGCAGTTCAACATGTTAGCAAATTCCAGACAAAAGAAAATGTTAACTTTTTAATTATTTCACAACCCAAGCTGCCACTGCGGGAGCTGCCTCAAGCAGCCACGGGCTGCACTATGACGCTCTGCAGGTGGAAAGTCCTAAAGATCCTTCCGCAAGTCGAGGGGGTTTGCAGGCATTTAGAACAAGGTCTCGCCTCTCTGTGCTCCATGGTACAGAACTCCAGGACTCAGGCCACGTTCCCAAAAGCAGCTTTTGAAAAAAGCTAGGCCCTGCAGCCCACCCCAGACAAATGGAAGAACCTCCCCTTTGAACAGGGTCAAGATGATGATGAAGCCCCAAAGCCAGTTCTGTTGGCCCCGTTCACACAGGACTCCTTCCATCAATAACTTGGAGTCCAAGTCACGTAAGGTACTGCCTGTGACACTGATCTGAGCCTGCTCTCGCTCCTGCCAAAACCTTGGCTGAGACAATGAACATTTATGAAGGCAAGCCTAGGCACACCCCTCTCAGCCATCAGACTCTTTGACTCTCCATTATGACTCTCAGCAAAGTCTGGTCCCCAGAAAGTTACATACTTGGACTGTATCATAATGCCTTTGAAGAACCAAAGCTTTCAAAATCTTTCAGCTCTTACGTTTCTGGATTTTTCACTATTTCTGAGCCATATGCTAGCAGATGGTCACAGCATAAGGACCGTGTCACAGGAGTGACTTGTTTCAGTCCTCAACACAGTCCAATTTTACCCTGCCAGATAACCCGGTATGTTTCTTTGTTAGACACGAGGAGCTGATTCTCTCTCTGCCTTGGCTTTAAGGAAGCTCTGAGCTCATTTATGCAGTTTTCTTTTGCCCCAAGCTGTCAGGAATAATTATGTCCATTTCCAAATTTTTTTTAGACTTTTATGTAACTGTAATCCTTTATCTTATACGGTTGCAACATTTTTTTTTTTTTGGCAAGAAGTAGAGGAATTAATTTAAACATATCAATAAGACTCTACACCATCACCTCATCCCAGTGCAGGGAGAACCCTGCCTGAGTACCATGCTTCAAACTCAGAAACACCCACCACAAATACCAAAAGATTTATTGTAGACAATTTTGTTACACAATTATACACATTATGATACACGTTTGAAACATTAACACACGTGGAGACTGCTAAATCATTTAATATTTCTTTTGCAAAAAGATAATTTCTTTAGGCTGTGATACCTGCAATAACCAATCTGTTCTCATTTGGATCAGATCTTTCTCCCTCTGTCCTGGAGATCTCACAGTTCACTTTGCTGAAGCAATCTATCCACTTCCCTATCGACCTTGCTTATAGCAGTTCAGGTATAGACTATTTGAGCCTTATATACTAAACTGTTAAGCCAGTGCGTGCCCTATGCCCTGCTGAGAATAGATTCCTTCTGTACTTGCAGCCCTCAGATGCTGAATTGATCAATCAATTTTTGAGACGGGGTCTCCTCTGTCACCAGGGCTGGAGTGCAGTGGTATGATCTTGGCACACTGCAACCTCCGCCTCCTGGGTTCAAGTGATTCTTCCTGCCTCAGCCTCCCGAGTAGCTGGAATTACAGGCACACACCACCATGCCCAGCTAATTTTCTGTATTTTTAGTAGAGACGGGGTTTCACCATGTTGGTCGGGCTGGTCTCGAACTCCCAACCTCAGGTGACCCACCCACCTCGACCTCCCAGAGTGCTGGGATTACAGGCGTGAGCCACCATGCCCGGCCCAGATGCTCAATTTAAAAGGCAGAGTTTATTCAGTCACTCCCCGCCTTACCTTCCTGACTCAAACATCTACAGGACCCATGAAAACAGGAATTACGTTGCTTGGGTAAGTTTCTCTGACTCTGACTCACAGGTTTCCGATTTTCCTGGAGCAGAATAGAACAGATTTCTGACTGGGCATGCATTCTTTGTTCTGCCTTCCACACAGGCTGTGTTAGGAAGTCTGAGATGGGGCGCCTCCAATAGACCCGGGCACCTGGCAGCGCCACCTTCTCCTGCCTGCCACTCCCTCCCATCGAGGGGGCCTCTGCTTGTGGACACAGACTAATCTCACTGCTTCTGGGCACTGGCATCCTTATTTCTGGGCATGGGCAGTTACTTCTCCAACTTTAAGGCACTCACTGGTATTTCTTTTAAATACTTTTCTTCTTGGGAAAAACTCCTTAACAGAGAAGAGTATATACAATCCACGGATAGGACAGACGACCCCAGAAGAGCCTGCCGGGCGCCGCTCCCCACTGGCCACTCAGCATGGGGTCAGCAGCAGAAGCTCCTGCAGGCCATGCAGATGGCGTGGAACCTGCGATCTGCTTCGCACACATGTGTAACGCTGCTACACTTCTGCCAAGTGTCTGGGACTGGTGCACACAGTCTATTCCTAGCATAGTGAGTTTTCTTGGTTATAATCAAACCTCTTCCTGACTCCTGTTGGGACCTCTCCGTCCCTTGCCACTGCTTTGACAATGGTTCTAGTAATGCTCTCGTGCTCAAAAAAGGAATTCTGCTCAGTCTGCCGTCTCTCAGGCCTTCATGGTTCTTGGCTCTAGGTATGGCCTCTTCCTATAGCTGACTCACTTGGGCTCAGAGTACAGCCCCTCCACACCAAGGCCAGGCATGGGAGAGAACCACCTGCTGAAGGCTGAAGCCCAATCTCTCTTCAGGGTAACTGCTGGAGCTACTGGTAACTCCAGCCCACAAAATGGGTGAAATCTCTAGCCTGCCACTCATTTTCTACCTCCTGGGGAGGCGGGCCCAAGGAGCCCCCTTAAGCACACCCAGGGAGAAGGGCCTGAGGCACACGGCCTGGCCCGCTCTCGTGGGGCCTTTACAAAGACTGCAGAAACGCTGGCCGACAAAGCACGGATCCACTGACAGCCTCACTCCACACTCAGGAAACAAACTCCTGTCCTAGGAGGATTTCATCTGGAGTGCAGCGTGCTGGTGACACGTGGGAACAGGCAGCGGCAAAGGTTGGGTAGCCATGACATGCCGAGTCACACTGGAAACCACCTCCTTCCCGAGCAGCAGGGTCCTCAGTTACAGCTTCGCTGTGCCTTCAAAGCCTGCTTCTCCAGGGCACCTCACTCCGCTCACTGGTCCTCATTCAATATTCCCATGTGTTTGTTTGTGAGGAAGTCCAGAAAAGGAATGTTGCAAATGGCCTGGTGAATATTACTCACTGTAATTTCTTTGGGAATCCTGGTCCAAAAAACAAAGGGTGTTACCAGGTGAAATTCTCTCACGTATATCTCATCATTTATTCACTTAACTCATCACAGGGACCATCCCAGGCAGAGGCCCCGTGGAGAGGGCTCCTGAGCCACAGACATAGCTTAGGGCCACTCTGGGGTGAGGACTGCCTTCCTGTCATAGGCATGAGAAGGATGTCAACAAGTTGGTTGAATAATTAGGAAAAAAGATTCTGAGAACTGAGAAAAGAGAAAGAAAACAAAGCGGATGGCAGAACGGAATGACACATTTGTGAGTGAGTCTCAGCAGACCGAAAGCTGAGTCAAAGCACCACAAAACTCTGGGACCTTATTTCCCATCTCCTAGAAAGACGGGAGACGGAGCCACGCCAGGCCAGGCGTGATGTTAATCGTTCCATCAAAAGCACCTAAGTCACTCTACCCCTCCAGGACAGGGAGCACAGAGGTAAGCAGGGGCCACAGGAGGCCCTGGCTCACTTGTGGGTCCAAGCAGGACAGTGGGCAGCAGGACCGGAACTCTTGGTTCCCCTTCCTTTTCTCTAAAGACGCCTATGTTGTCTGATATATTCCTGTGAAGTTTCATCTACTATTCCTCTGATTTAGGCCCTTCATGTCCTCAGGCACTTTGCTACAATTTTATAAATCTGTGACAGCCTTTAGCATAATGCAATAAAATAATATTTGTTTCCTCCGAAAGAAAAGCAGATGTGGCCTATCTACCATCCTTTCAGGGCCTAGGAACAGACTGAAACTCAGTGTCTTAATCAAAGACAACGAGTCAGCAAAGAGCAGTGGCGAGCCCAGGGGCCTCAGAGCCAATGAGACCTGAGTCGGAAGTCCAGGTCTACACTGTATTTGCTGGGTAAGCTGGGTAAAATTACCTTTCAAAGCCCGGTTTCCTGATTTTTAAAAAGAGAATAATAGTTCTGCAATGAAAAACAAATTAGGTAATATATGCAACGCTTGGCCCTCGTGTCTGACATGTAATGGACACTGTTATCTTTAATTGCAAAGCTAATATTTATTCAACCCTGTAATAAAACAGAGTCCTAGGTGTCTGTGAAGTAATGAGGAGGATATAAACCTCTGAGCAAAGCTGAGTGAGCTTTCACAACCATGAGGTTCTCTAAAAATGACAAAGCAGACCCTTGAGCTCATCTGGCTCTAAGAGTGTCCTAAGCACTCACTCCATCTCCTACTGGATTGATGTAAGTATAAAACACCTTCATGGGCAATTCAACTGTTAGGAAAGAGGTGTAAGCCTCACACCACAGACTGCAGAGATAGTAATACCTGTTGTGAGAAGCTGTCTGGTATCCAACTGCCAAAGCCTGTCTCAGGATATCATTCACCAGCTGTTCTGTAGCCTACAATGGAAGATGCTGTTATTCTTCAAATGGCCATCTGCTTGCTGGCAAGAAGGGACACATTTAACCCCATCCCTTACCCCAAATGTTTGAAACCACTGCAACTAGGGATTAAAAAGTCCTTAAGAAAAAATTAAAGGCCTCAATAATAGACCATAATGATAAAGGCCATGATTCTGAGAAATTATGAATTGGAGTGATTTTCATTAATCAGACATTATTCTATTTATTTATTTATTTTGAGATGGAGTCTCACTCTCGCGCCCAGGCTGGAGCGCAGTGGCGCGATCTTGGCTCAGTGCAACCTCCGCCTCCCGGGTTCAAGCGATTCTCCTGCCTCAGCCTCCCAAGTAGCTGGGATTACCAGGTGAGCGCCACCAAGCCCAGCTAATTTTTTATTTTTAGTAGAGATGGGGTTTCACCATGTTGGCCAGGCTGGTCTCCAACTCCTGATTGCAAATGATCCACCCGCCTCGGCCTCCCAAAGTGCTGAGATTACAGGCATGAGCCACCGCGCCCAGCCCTAGACATTGTATTTAAGGAAAGCAGTTGTTACGGAGGTATCCCTATTCTTGGAGAGGATCCACGAGGAAAGGAACTGCTGAGCTAGGATCAGGCTGGGGAAGGAGGCTGCGGCATTTTCGTCCCCTTGCCAGGGTCAGGACAGTTGGGGCTGTTTGCTGTTGTGACGTGTACAGAAAACCATAGGCTTTGTCTCTGCCACCTCCTAAAGCAACGAGCACACTGACCACCACCCCCAGAATACGTCTTAGGAGGCACCTGAAACCACATGACTCAGAGGAAACATAACTTAGTCCATTTAAAAATCAGAAGGAAAAAAAACAAAAAAACAAAAAGAGAGAACTTAAGCCCAAATAAGACGAGACATTTTAAAGCCTGTTATCTTTGTTCCTTTTCTGTCCTTGCCCCTTACTCCAAACCGCCTGGGATGCAACCATCCTTCCTGGCTGGCGGCCCCTGCAGGCACCCACCTTCAGGATCATGTCCTCCACCACGGACGCATACACGTTCCTGTGGAGTGCCACGGGCTGCAGGGTGATCCCAATCTGGAAAAGCAGAAGAAAGCCGTTTGTTCGTATCGCTGCTTTAGAAACAGCCTCTCTCCAAACAAGCATACCTCCCTGACATGCAAAGCGATGCCTGGTTGGAAGGAGGACTCTGCAAACATATTGGGCAAAATTCACGGGAAAGGAACACGGAATATAACATCTAGAAGAATGTTATCTTGTTTTTCCACATTTCTGGCTGATATTTAAAATATGACTATAATCCTATTAAAATCTCTCAAATCTCCTTCGTGGGAGAACATGGTTGGGATCTGCCTGGGTTCTGATACGCAATCAACACTTTGAAAGGTCTGGAATCAGACTCCAACGTCCTGTTTGCACTTGGAAACTGCATCTTGCCCATTCTTCATGGCATCCAATGAAAGCACACTGTCTTTCACCTTGGGCCCTGAGCAACTGGCAGATGCTGAAGAGCTGTTAGGCTCCAGCAGGGTGGATAAATACCTCTCTCCTGTATAGTAAGGCAGGTGCACGCCATCTGCACCACAGGCGGGGCACTCAGGAGCTATCAACACATCAGGGGAGGATTACGCGCTGACGTGCAACTCAGAAAGAGTACGACGTGCCTCATGAGGGAAAGGTGCTTCTACTGAGGCAGATGAGAAAAACAAGATGAAGAGTAATCAACCATTTCTATCTAGCCAGCTTTGCTTCACGTCTGCGTTCAACAAGCAATGTTTTCACATGTAATTAGCATTTCTGCCCAAGGGCTCTGATGTGGGACGGTGGGAGCCCTGAGAGCACACCTGGGTCAACCAGGCAGAAGGAAGTCAAGCATCTACGGCACCAGAAGAGTCTGGGTCTGAGTCTGTGTCTGTGAGGCTGAACACCTGGGTCTGGGTCTGTGAAGCTGAACGTCTGAACATCTAGCTCTGAGCTGGTCTGCTGCATGAACTATTAACACCACAACCCCTACCTTCTGTGTGACATCCCCAATAAATTCAGACCCTGGGGTTGGTGGCAGGTAGAACTTGACTTCCTCTTGTTTCTCTTCCTGCTCCTTCTTGATGTTTATCTTCACTGGCTCGGAGAGGCTGAGGATGTCCACCTCCTCCTCATTCTCGGGTTCCCTTTTCTGGAACTGTTGCAGGTCCTCCAGTTTGCGGCAGAGGTTGTCAGCAGAGGAGAATGATGATGGGCACTCTAAATGACAGGCAAGCAGTGTTACAACAGCTGTGGGGCCAACGGAAGAGGACTTTCCGTCTCCAAGAGACCCATGGTCTGAGGAAGGGGGATAAGCATCAGGGGAGCTGACCTTCTTTCCAGTTCTAACATTCTATGGATCTATAATGATGAGAACTAGTAATTCACGAGGGAGAAAGGCATAAACACAGGCATCTTGTGTGTGATCTATGTAAGGTAACTGCCATCTAAGATGAAAGAGTAGGAATTCTCACTTCTGCCACCAAAAACCAGGTCATCCCCCTCCCTCTGAGTATTAAGGACTGACCTGATTTTTCCTCATCTCAAATCTGGAAAATTTAGAAATGCAGAGTGAAGAAAATAAAAAGAATCACCCCTATTCTCACTGCTCAGAGAGCAGGACTGTTAACATTTCAATGTATATTATGGGTCCAGTCTCTAATAAGGTGATTTATACAAAACCTAATCAGGAGTGTGAGGACCTCAAGGCCAGATCTAGGGCACTAGTGCCCTTCCACTTTCTGGATGAGTGTGTGAGGTCCACACCAGGTACAAGATTTAAGGGCACCCAGCTCCTGGCCTTTTGTTTTACTGACTGGGCTCTAACAAGCTCCAGCTGCTCCTCAAGTTATGATGGCTGGGGCTATATCCTGAAAAACCCATCGTAAGTTGAAAATATCATTTTTGACTTAGGATATTTTCAACTTACGATGGCCTTATCTGGACAAGGCCATCGTAAGTCAAGGTATGTGCTGATGCCTACAGCTTTCAGACCATTGTAAAGTCACAACATCAAATCACAGGTCAAACCATTGTAGGTTAGGGGCCGTTTGGAATCAGTCAGATTAAAAGGAAGCCTAGTATGTGCAAGTACTGTGCTTTCCACACAATGTCAGTGAAGCCCGGGGATCATTAACACGGTCTCTGCTCTCCGAGTAGCTTACACAGCGAAGTCAGACAAGCCCTCATGCTGTTGATATTAAGCGCTGCAGGAGATGAGAGAAAGGAGAGGCCATCCTGCATTAGGCTCTCAAGAAGCTTAATGGCAAAACTGGGACTTGCCCCCCCTTTTTTTTTTGGACAGGGTTTTGCGCTGTCACCCAAGCTGGAGAGGAGTGGCATGATTACAGCTCGCTGCAGCCTCAACTTCTTGGGCTCAAGCAATCCTCCCTCCTCAGCTTCCCGAATAGGTGGGACTACAGGCATGCACCACCATGCCCGGCTAATTTTTGCATTTTTTGTAGAGGCAAGGTTTCACCGTGTTGTCCAGGCTGGTCTTGAACTCTTGGGCTCAAACAATCCTCCTGCCTCAGCCTCCCAAAGTGGGAGGCCACTGAGCCCGGCCCTAAGTCTTAAAGTAACCCCACCTCTGTGCTCCAGGTTTCCTTGGACAGGAGGGGTGGAGCTTCTGTTTTTCTATATAAATGGGGCTGGGGGCAGAGAACAACTTTTCTTTTTATTTTATTGAGACAGGGCCTGGCTCTGTTGCCCAGGCTGGAGTGCAGTGGTGTGCTCATGGCTTACTGCAGCCTCAACCTCCCGGGCTCAAGTGATCCCTCTCACCTTAGTCACCCAAGTAGCTGGGACTACAGGCGAGCTACCACACCCGGGTAATTTTTGTAATTTTTGTAGCGACAAGGTCCTGCTATGTTGCCCTGGCTGGTCTCAAACTCCTAGGGGCTCAAGTGATCCTCCTGCCTTGACTCCCAAAGTGCTGGGATTACGGGCATGAGCCACTACGCCCGGCCCAACCCTTCTTATTCTTTGAGGTGAAACTCAAAATGCTTCTTCTGCCTATATACCTTTAATCCCTTGCTCCTACACCCCATGGCCCTGCAGCAGTGGTCTGTTTTTTTTGTGTGTGTGGTTTTTTTTTTGAGACGGAGTCTTGCTCTGTTGCCCAGGCTGGAGTGCACTGGTGCAATCTCGGCTCACTGCAAGCTCCGCCTCCCTGGTTCAAGCAGTTCTCCTGCCTCAGCCTCCCAAGTAGCTGGGACCACAGGCGTGCGGCCACCACGCCCAGCTAATTTTTTTGTTTTTTTAGTAGAGATGGGGTTTCAGTGTGTTAGCCAAGATGGTCTTGAACTCCTGACCTCATGATCCACCCGCCTCGGCCTCCCAAAGTGCTGGGATTACAGGCGTGAGCCACGGCGCCCGGCCCAGTGGTCTGTTTTTTTATCGTGAAACAATTCATTTCACCTGCAACATTACTAGTTTTCACAAGTGCCTCCCGCACTGGGTGGCGTCCTCCGAGCTGGGTTTGGAGATAAAGTAACAGATGAGACACAGGCCTCATCTTCACAGAAGTAGCACAAACTTGTCTGGGGCATGGGGGGTGTCCCTAAGGTCACAAAAGATGTGAAAGCCGCTTCAATCTGCAGGAAAGGAGATGGATTAGGAGTCTTCAAAGAAGAAATGATGCTGAGCAGGGACTCCTGAGTGGACAGTGTGTGCCTGCTGCATGGCACAGGCCGGAACATGTGTGGCTGGGGCACAACACTTGAGATACCTGGCTACAAACAGCAACATGGGGACTGCACGGTCCCACGAAGGACACGGCAGGAGGTAGGAAAGGCTCTCGTTCTCTACAGCAACTCTTCCAAGTCCTCATCTCTCTCTACCTCAGCAAATGCCTCCAGGCTGCCAGGCGCTCTGGGCAGTGCCACTGAAGGCTTACCGGGCTCGCTGTCGATCTGGGTCAGCACGTCCTCGATGGAGTCCCCGTCATTCCTCAGGCTCTCAGGGTCCGGTGGGGTGTAGCCATGACAGCGGCACCAGTGAGCGATGTGCTTGGTTTTGAGGGGAGTCAGGTGGTGAAATCTCGGATTCTTCTCCAGGATTTCTTGTAAGACTTTTCGCATTGTCATTGCTCTTTGCCACTTAAAAAAAAAATTTTCTTTTGGAACCATAATCAAATCCTTCCACTTAACACAACTACGTATCATGCAACCATAAATCACCATCCTAACCTAACCTGTTAGAATTTTTTTTTTTAAAGAAAAAAACCTGGTTGTGTTACTCCCCATTAAAAAAAAAAGTCGAACTTCCCTAATGCTAATACAATAAAACAGCAACTCCTAGGTTTGGCCTTTAAGGATCTTCACCTGGTCTCCACCTGCGCTCTCCCACTCCCCTCCTACCCCAGCTTTCCCTAAACTCACCACAGCACCTTCCCACTGTAAGGATCTTCACCTGGTCTCCACCTGCGCTCTCCCACTCCCCTCCTACCCCAGCTTTCCCTAAACTCACCACAGCACCTTCCCACTGTAAGGACTCAATACTCGAGTTCATTTAAAACTCTGAAACTCAGAAAAAAATTTAGAAACTGTGAGGGATGTTTCTGCCAGTGCAGGAAAAGAAGGCACGCCTGAAAGTCAGCTGGATACAGGTCTTTGAAAAATGAGATTTTTTTTAACTGAGGAAAATATTCTGCCATCAAATATTTCAACCAAATATGCTGCAATCTTATCCCTGTTCCATAAGACAAGGTTTCTGGAGGCAGCCAGAGTGGACAGGCAGATGTGGGTTACCTCAGCGGCTCTCCTTTTTCCAATGTTCCAGCCATAGTACTGCTCCACAGACTTTGCAGAAAAGCAGCTGGCATCTTCACCTAGAATGCACACACCCAGCAAAGCCTGAATAAAGCTCTTACGATTCCAACCACACGTCATTTGCTGGAGGCAAGCCAGTCACTTCTTCAGACCTCTTTATCGCATGTATGTTCCTTACTGGGCAAGCTCAGATGCAGCCTAACACAGGAGGGCGTCTCCTCAGAAGAGAAGGTGTCTTGCCGTGTGTACTCAAAGCAACACACCTTCCTGGGCACTTTGCTTCTTTGGTAGAGAAGGTAATCACTGCCATAGACTATTAAAGTCTGTGGAACTGGTGCTCCACTAGGAGCCCTGGACCCGCCATTAACTCACAAGGTGGTTGTGGTAGATGGTGTCTCACTTTGTCACCCAGGCTGGAGTGCGGTGATGTGATCTCAGCTCACTGCAACCTCTGCCTCCCAGGTTCAAGCGATTCTCCTGCCTCAGCCTCCCGAGGAGCTGGGACTACAGGCAGGCACCACCATGCCTGGCTAATTTTTGTATTTTTAGTAGAGATGGGGTTTCACCATGTTGACCAGGCAGGTCTCAAAGTCCTGACCTCAGGTGATCTGCCTGCCTCAACCTCCCAAAGTGCTGGGATTACAGGCGTGAGCCACCAAGCCCAGCTCGGTTTTCTCATCTATAAACTGAGAAAGCTGGGAAGATGGTTTCTGAACTACCTTCCAGCTCTTACATTCTGTATTTTTAAGGAGAGAGAAAAATATGTGTGTGTGTATATACACGTGTATATATATATACATGTATACACACACACACACACACACACATATATAAGAGAGATTTTTTTGTTTGAATTTCTTATGTTAGGCTGGGAAACTGTCACCAAAAGTTTACTCTGAGAGACATCAAAATGATCCCCCAAACTTTACCCTACAGAAAGAGATTACTGCTTTGCTATTACAGTTGGAAAAAATAAGTAGGTGGTCTGTACCTGGTGTATGTGTTCAGAGCCCTACAAATCTGAGTGGCGTGGAGGTTGCCTTGTGGCTCCCCTCTGAGTGTGCATGGTGGTCTTGCCCATGAGCATGCTCCTGTGTCCGTAGGCTGCTGGCCCCTCAGCAAGGGCTATTGATTCTGTCAAAACAACTGGGGCTAAGCAGCAATTTACTCAATCTAGCTAATGATGGGCAGTGACGCAGCACGTCACTTTGGGAGGTCTTAAAAACTGCATTTCTACACTGTGCAATACTGAGTTTCAGAGGAAAGATGAATGGTCTTAGAGTCAAACAGAACCAGGTTTGTATCCTGTTTCACCACCCGTGGCTCTGTGATCTCGAGCAAGTTATTCAACCCTGCTTATCCTCAGTTTCCTCATCTGTAAGTGGAGATGACACCAGCTATCACACAGGAGGCTGGGATTATATGAGACAGTGAACGTACCCAACCTGCACAGGACCTGGTACACTGCAGGCAAACGCTAAATGCTTTCCTCACTCATAAACACCAAATGCTAATACAGAGTTTTAACTGCATACAAAACAATCTATGATTTACATATGAAAAATGTAAAACATTCCTTCTACAGATCAACACAGTGAAAACAATAAAAAACTAACTGGATGTGAATTCTAAAACCCTTGCAAATGGGCTGTATCTCTAGCTGAAACCTTATAAGGTAACCGCCATATCAATATTAATTTACAATCCCAAGTGATTTCAGTTGACTCAATACCTTAAGTTCACAGCTTTCAAAAATGCACCCCTATATTCAGTGTAATTGTCTTACTTTTTGCAGTGATTAATGGAATCTTCTTTACTACTGCAGTTAGGAGTTGCTGGATAGTTTCTAAATGGTCTATCCTGAGAGAGATAAAAAAAAATTAAGGCAATAAATTAAATACATGTAGCAGTTTCTATAGCCATATATATGCCATGTACTTAATGGATATATTCCGTTCTGAGGGAATTATAATTAAAACCATCATATTAGCATGTCTTTCCTTCCACAGATTACCTTCTTTGTAAAGGAGGGGTGTTCTATGCTTAAAAAGAAAATGTCAAGACTAAGATCCCAGGAATGGAAGATTATGCACATATTACAGACATTTAATCTACACCTTAAAATTCAATAGCAATATAATCTTTTTGCAATGTGACTGCTACTAGGGGAGAAAAATTCTGTATACCCATCTTAGGGTTATTACAGTTCACGCCTCCATCTACCATGTTAGAGTGGCTAAGTTTCTATTGTCCCCAGCAGTCTGAGATACTTAAAAGTAGCTGGTCAGAAGTGGCTTCCTGATTTAGAAATTAGGAAACCTCAGGAAGCATTTTTAGAAGCAGCAAAGAGTGTATATAGCCCATGAAGAGGCAGCTAAGATGAGGCAGGTGTGTGGACACCCAGTCACAAAGCGTGTACACACCTGAGTGATGGCAACAGGAGAAATTTTGTGCCTACGGGCTCAGCAGAGAAAGCCCATGTTGGCAACTTCAACTGAAGGGAGGTCTAATCCCACCTGAGGCTTCTAAGGCTACAAATCAAGTGCCACCTCTAGTCACATCACTGTATAAAATGATGACCCTCAGCTGTGCATCAAGTGGTAACACTTGTCCACTGCACGGGGACAGACAGTTCCTCCCGTCAAGGGCTTAGAGCTACACACACACAACTCTGCACATACTCAGCTGTCACAGGCGTGACAAACACCCGAAGCGGAATTCCTTTAGGAAAGATTGGAAGAATTACTTAATGACATAGTTTCCCAGCTCAGAACTTTCTTCTGTTTTCACTGCTGTCTGACCCTCCTGAGAGAGGCAACTCGGTCCAGGTGTTTCTGGTTCAGTCTTCACTACAAGGGAAGAGCAACAAAGAGGCAGCTGTTAGGGGTCAGTGGTGGAAGGACACGTGCAGGCACAAACAAAGCTCTTACAGTGAAGCTCAGTAAGGAAACTGCCACTCCAGCTGTTGTGGGGACACAGCCAGGGGACTGAGATGGCTCCTATCATCCCAGGGTCATCAGACAAGGGAAGAACTGTTAGCCTGGGTCTCAGGACAACTCCAGCCTCATGACAGGGCGGCTGCAATAAAGTGGCTCCTTAGATATTTCTTAAAGGGCCACCCACACTGCTATGTAAGATTCCTCACTCCCCTCCCCACACATGTGATTTAACAATGCTACTCTGGGCCGGGCGCGGTGGCTCACGCCTGTAATCCCAGCACTTTGGGAGGCCGAGGTGGGCGGATCACGAGGTCAGGAGATCAAGACCATCCTGGCTAACATGGTGAAACCCCATCTCTACTAAAAATACAAAAAATTAGCCGGGCGTGGTGGCGGGCGCCTGTAGTCCCAGCTACTCAGGAGGCTGAGGCAGGAGAATGGCGTGAACCTGGGAGGCAGAGGTTGCATTGAGCCGAGACTGTGCCACTGCACTCCAGCCTGGGTGACAGAGTGAGACTCCATCTCAAAACAAAAAAAAAAAAAGAAAAAAAAAAAAAACAATGCTACTCTAAAGTACAATGCTGGTTTGTTCTACGTTCTAATACTGGGACCGTTTCAATATCATCTCTCCAGCTAGTTTATCAACTTTCAGCATTATCTTAGTGTTCTGAGACACAAGGCAGAAAGCAAAAATCAGATCCCCTATGCTTGGACACTGGTGTTATCAATGTCACACGTGTTGCTCTAATCCACCGTGCTATCCTGATCTACTCTTGTGGGCAGGCATGTCTCCCACTGACAGCTCGCCAAAGTCTGGCCCCTACCTAAACCTCCTTTACCATGAGTATACTCCCCAAATGAGTCCCTCTAACTGGCTAGCCACTTCCCCAAAGGGGAAGCTGAGTCTGTCTCTCCTGTGCCCTTAATCTGGCCTACCCCTTGACTCCCCACAGCTAAAAAACCTCTACTCTTTTAAAGTCCAGGTTATAATCCATACTCAGTACAAAGTCTTGCCCTTCTCCACACCCCGTCAACCCTGATCAGACATCCCAAGCTGCAATATTTCAGCAATCATTTCCCTGGCCAAATGTCTTGTGTTTATCAATGATTGCTTGCTATCTACAGCAATTGTTTTCAACCTGATTATAAATTACTGAAGGGCAGAAATGATCCTTTATACATCTCTGTGTTTCCCTCAATGTTAAGTCTACCATATGAGCATTTAGGACATATTTGCCAAGTGACTGATTCACAAATGCTGAAAATTCAAAAGATTCAGATTATGGTAATGTCCCGCATAAAGCTTCTGGACATCAGGAGAGAACGTGAACGACAATAAAAAAGTAACAAAACTTCTGGACGAGAACTCTGTGAGATCCTACGTACCTTTTGCAACAGCTGCTGGAGCAGAGCTGGGGACAACTGGAGTTGGGGCAGCTACAGGCAGAATGGCAGGTGGCTTGCTGGTAGAAAATGACTGAACCACTAAAGGGAAAAAAGGAGGGAGGGATATAACAAATACAAAAATTATTTTTAATGAGGGTGATCTACTTCCAGGTGACAACCCCACATTAGACTAACAGCACAAAGGCAACTTGAGGACAACAGGAATTGCAAAGTCCCTTTTTAATAGTGGGCGATTATTAGGTATGAGGGTAACTGAGATGTATCTTCAACTGTAGAAACGGGAGCCTGTCACTAAACTAAGAAAATAACAATCCAGGCCAGGGGCAGTGGCTCACACCTGTAATCCCAGCACTTTGGGGGACTGAGGCGGGTGGATCACCTGAGGTCAGGAGTTCGAGACCAGCCTGGGCAACATGGTGAAACCCCATCTTTACTAAAAATACGAAAATTAGCCAGGCGTGGTGGCACGCGCCTGTAGTCCCAGCTACTCGGGAGGCTGAGGCATGCGAATCGCTTGAACCCAGGAGGTGGAGGTTGCAGTGAGCCGAGATCTTGCCACTGCACTCCAGCTCTGGTGACAGAGCAAAACTCTGTCTCAAAAGAAAAGGAAAGGAAAACAACAATCCAATTAATGTAAATTCTTATAAACACTTAAAATGTTCCCCCTCAACTCAACTTTAGATAAGGGCAGCTGTTTAGAAGCCAACGAACATTTGGGTTTTGAGTCCTGGCATTGGTGCCCTAGCATTCAAGGCGCTGGGAATACCATGACAGCTGAAGGGTGGCTGTACACAGGCGCTGGGAATACCGTGACAGCTGAAGGGTGGCTGTACACAGGCAGAGCAGTCACCACCTGGTAAATGCGGGGAGATGTGGAGGCAGCCACAGCACAGACGACCCGTGGGCAAGGGACTCACCTTTATTCACAGGCATCAGGATCGTCTGCACCCCTCCAGATGTGTTTACGCTGAGTGGTTTGAGCTGGCTGGGAATCGTCAGGACGGCCTGCTGCGGACTGGACTGACTGGAGTGAATCTTTAACAGTCCTAGAACAAATTGGAAGATAAAGCCAAGTTGAAGGTCAGGTGCTTCGGGAAAGTCTCTTATCCTCTGTGCTACCCATATTTTGTCATGGAGGAAGTTCCCAGGACATTTAACCTTCCAGTAAACAAAGAGCAAGAAGCAGGAGACAACAGATGCTGTGGATTTCACAATAAAACATCGGCATGACAATAATTGTTTATTTACTTTTTGAGATGGAGTCTCGCTCTGTCGCCCAGGCTGACGCGATCTCGGCTTAGTGCAACCTCTGCCTCCCAGGTTCAAGCGATTTTCTTGCCTCGGCCTCCCAAAGTGCTGGGATTACAGACATGAGCCACCATGCCTGGTCCCTATTTATTTATTTATTTATTTATTTATTTATTGTGTTAGAGACAGGCTGTTGCCCAGGTTGAAAAGCGCAGTGGTACAATCATAGCTCATTGTAACCTTGAACTCCTGGGCTCAAGTGATCCTCCTGTCTCAGCTTCCAGAGTGGCTGGTACTACAGGCATACCATGACACACAGCTAATTTTTAATTTGTTTTTGTAGAGATGGGGGTCTCGCTTTGTTGCCCAGGCTGGTCTTGAAACTCCTGGCCTCGAGCGATCCTCCCACCATGGCCTCCCAAAGCACTGGGCTTTTTTTTTTTTTTTTTTTCAGAGTTGGATCTCGCTCTGTCACCCAGGCTGGAGTGCAATGGCTCCATCTCAGCTCACTGCAACATCCATCTCCCAGGTTCAAGCGATTCTCCTGCCTAGGCCTCCCAAGTAGCTGGGATTACAGGCGCATGCCACCATGCCCAGCTAATTTTTGTATTTTTAGTAGAGACAGTGTTTCGCCATGTTGGCCAGGCTGGTCTCGAACTCCCAACCTCAAGTGATCCACTCACCTAGGCCTCCCAAAGTGCTGGGATTACAGGCGTGAGCTACCGCGCCTGGCCAGCACTGGGATTATAGATGTGAACCACTGTGCCTGCCCGTAATGATTAAGTATCCTCGTCCCACAACCATGAAGTAACACATTTTTGCTAGTAAAAAGGATAAAAAGTCACCCAAAGTCCTACCGCAGAGAAAATCAATACTAATGTTTTCAGATAGTACTCTTCCATGTTTGTTTTCTATGACAATTTATTTATTTTGCACATAGCTCTTCTGTGTACAAAATTTTGGATTTTGTACATAGCTCTGGATATAAAATTCCGTGTTTTGATGTGAAACACTGTCATTCTCCTACTTAAAAACCTATGCTGGCTCCTGACTGCCTAAAACGTATTTCCAAAATTAGCTTCAAGCATTCAGGGTCCATTTTAATCTGGTGCCAATGTATGCGCATCTCTTTCCCACTGTCCCTACATATCTAGTATGTGCATCTGTCTACACACCACACCTCATCGTTTCCTACCTCTGTGCAGCAGCCTTTGTTTTTCAAACATCAGATGTTCTCTATCGTTTTAGAAAGGATCACCTTCTCTCATTTTATCTTAAAGGTGATTTCTATATTCCCATTTCCACGTAAAACTGTTCTAGGCATTCAGAGGGCCATTTAAAAAATCAAAAAGGGCCTTTAGTGTGAAGGAGCATACAAGGCACAAACAATACAAACACATTTTAAGAAATACTTAAAAACAGTGGTCGGGTGCGGTGGCTCACGCCTGTAATCCCAGCACTTTGGGAGGCTGAGGCAGGTGGATCACCTGCGGTCAGGAGTTCGAGACCAGCCTGGCCAACATGGTGAAACCCTGTCTCTACTAAAAATACAAAAAAAAAAAAAAAAAAAAATAGCCGGGCATGGTGGCAGGTGCCTGTAATTCAAGCTACTTGGGAGGCTGAGGCAGGAAAATCACTTGAACTCGGGAGGCGGAGGTTTCAGTAGGCCGAGATCACGCCATTGCACTCCAGCCTGGGCAACGAGAGCGGAACTCCGTCTCAAAAAAAAAAAAAAAAAAACCCAGCATCAAGAGCTAAAGATACTTTAAGGCACCGGAAAGCAGCTGGTCTGAGCTAAGGAAAGGAATAATCTTAAATACTTTCTAGAGCAAGGCCTTAAATAAACAAAATCTTTCTTTGGAATAGAAGAGTGTTAAATCATCAGGTAGTAATACTTCCAGAGACAGGATCTTGAGGAGTTTAACAATGATCTGAAGTTCCCGTATTTTTATGCATGCTCATCAGCTGACAAGTTAGAAAGTACTAAAAGGCTTATAACTAAATATAGCCAACCCCATTCCACCTCCCTATTTTCATCTAGTTCCCTACTGGTAGCCACTTTAATCCCTGTCGGTTCTTTTTATTAATGTTTATCTCAGTATATGTAAAAGAATGTGTAGGGCCAAGTGCAGCAGCTTACACCTGTAACCCCAGCACTTTGGGAGGCCAAGAAGGGAGGACTGGTTGAGGCCAGGAGTTTGAGACCAGCCTCGGCAACAAAGCAAGACCCCGTCTCTAAAAAAAAAAAAAAAAAAAAAAAAAAAATTAGTCCCGTGTGGTGGCATGCCCCTGTAGTACCAGCCATTAGGGAGGCTGAAGTGGGAGGACAGCCTGATCCCAGGAGTTCAAAGGCTACAATGAGCTATGATCATGCCCCTGCACTCCAGCCTGGGTAACAGAGCAAGACTCTGCTCTAAAAATGAAATAAAAATAATTTAAAAAGGAATGTATATGTTGTAGGCCTTGATTCATCAATTTTTAATTTTACCTACTGATTTACTATTAGGGTAGATGGTTTATTCTTTTTTTCTTTTTCTTTTTTTTTTTTTGAGACAGTGTCTTGCTCTTTCACCCAGGCTGGAGTGCAGTGATGCGAGCAATCATGGCTCACTGCAACCTCGACCTCCCAGGGTCAAGTAATCCTCCCATCTCAGCCTCCCAAGTAGCTGGGACTACAGGCACAACTACCATGCCCAGCTAATTTTTTTTTTTTTTAAGAAATGGGGTCTTGTCACATTGCCCAGGCTTGTCTCAAACTCCCAAGCTCAAGCAATCTGCCTGCGTTGGCCTCCCAAACTGCTGGAATTACAGTCGTGAGCCACTGCACCCAGCCCCTAGATGGGGTCTTCAGTGGCTTCCCCCAGAGTCAAAGTCAAATCTAGCCCTAGATGGGGCCCAGAAAAGGGTATAAATGCCTTAAAAAGTGCCCCCTTTACGGCACTTATATACCCTTTCTTCCCTATACAGATGTTCCCTTACAATGGTTGACTTTGGAGTTTTTGACTTTGGCATGGTATGAAAGCAACAGGCACTCAGTAGAAACTGTACCTCTCTCGTGATGCTGGGCAGTGGCAGCAAGCCACAGCCCTCAGCCGGTCACGCATTTTTAACACTTAGAATATTTTCACCTTACAACAGCTGACTGGGACATAACCCCATCCCATATTTTAGGAATGTCTTTGGAGAGGGTACACAGGAAATACATTTCAAACTTTGTCAGAAATAGTTCTACCCTCACTCTGTAATGATCTCCTTGACTAGAGAATTCTAGACTGAAAGTAATGTTCTTGCATTTTGAAAAGCAGCAGTATGCTAGCTTCTAGCACTGCCACTGAGAAGCTCAATGATAATGTAATTTCTGAAATTTTCCATTTCTTTACACTGTGCCTTTTGAAAGTAGCAGTTCATGCCCTTCACTTCTGGGAAAAATCCTTGTCTGGCCAGAGTTCCCTGATACATCATCAAATTTTCTTTCTTAGTGTCTACTTCCTGGTCCATTCCCTGCTTCCACCTTGTGCCCCAGAAATTACTGTCAATACTGCACCAATGACCCTGTTAAAAGGTAAGGCAGATCATATTCCACCTTAGCTTAAAACCCTCCAGTGGCTTCCCCCAGAGTCAAAGTTCCAACACCCCACACAGCCCCTGCGTGCTCTGACAGAATCTCCTTATGCTCTCTCCGTTGCTCACGCAGCTTCTGTCCCAATGAGACCTTAAGTTTAATGCAGTTTACGATGCACACAAAAAACTTAATTGAAAAACTGCTGGTTTTAAGTAGGAAATAGTTTGATCCTGTTATGAAAATGTGGGCTGGGTGCGGTGGCTCACGCCTGTAATCCTAGCACTTTGGGAGTCCGAGGCGGGCGGATCACCTGAGGTTGGGAGTTTGAGACCAGCCTGGTCAACATGGTGAAACCCCATCTCTACTAAAAATACAAGAATTAGTGGGACGTGGTGGCACACGCCTATAATCCCAGCTACTCAAGAGGCTGAGGCAGGAGAATCGCTGGAACTCGGGAGGCAGAGGTCGCAGTGAGCCAAGATTGTTCCACTGCACTCCAGACTGGGCGACAAGAACAAAATTCCATCTCAAAAAAAAAAAAAAAAAAAAGAAAGAAAGAAAATGTGATACAGAAAGTTCCATCAGCAGCATCTTAGGAAACTAGAACTTACAGCAGGGAGACTTCATCTATTGCATGCCAAAAACATGATCAGAAAACAGACAAGGTATTCATTATTATAATAATTCCTTTTATTTCTACAATTTCTACTCCAGTATCCAACACAGGGCCTCAAATAAAACAGTTAGTAGAGAACAAGTACTCCCTATACTAGAAGTTGGTCAATTTTAACAGGGAGGTAGAAATCAAGAGAAAAATATAATCAGCCTTAATTTTTTGTTCTCTATCCAAACAAGACACAAGGGGCCTGGTGTGGAGCTACATATGAATGAAGTAATAATAGTAATGACAACAACAACATCCACAGCCTCTTATCCAAAGGCAGTAAGGGGTGTTGTCTGCATGCGTGAGTGTGTGTGTGTATCTCGGTGATATTCAGTTTTTCCGGTAGACCAGTGCCAGCCGTATGCTGGCTGGTATCAATCTGCAACAAGATAATACAGTATTTAGAAACTTTAACAGTTCGATAGTGCTGCGACATTTTTATTATATTTTACAGAAGTATCTGTCTATACCAGATTATAGAAAAACAAAAACAAAACTGAACTTTCAAGTTTGAGAAGCAAAGCCATATATTATATTAGCTTCCTGGCAGCTGAGACAGTATGATGTAATCAAATACATCAATATTCTATGGCAAAACACACAAATATTCACATTAAGTAATACAAACAGGCTGTCAATGGAGGTCAAATTGTGCCCTAAAATTAGTTATAAAAAATAAAATCTCTGGCTGGGCATGGTGGCTCATGCCTGTAATCCCAGCACTTTGGGAGGCCAAGGTAGGCGGATCACCTGAGGTCAGGAGTTCAAGACCAGCCTGGCCAACATGGTAAAAACCTGTCTCTACAAAAATTAGCCAGGCATGAGGGCGGGTGCCTGTAATCCCAGCTAGTCGGGAAGCTGAGGCAGGAGAATCGCTTGAACCCGGGAAGCAGAGGTTGCAGTGAGCCGAGATCATGCCACTGCACTCCAGCGTGGGCGACAGGGCAAGACTCCATCAAAAAAATAATAATAATACAGTACAATACAATATAATCTTGCAGCCATAAAAAAGAATGAGTTCATGTCCTTTGCAGGGACATGGATGAAGCTGGAAGCCATCATTCTCATCAGCAAACGAACACAGGAACAGAAAACCACACACCGCATGTTCTCACTCATAAGTGGGAACTGAACAATGAGAACACATCGACACAGGGAGGGGAACATCACACACCGTGGCCTGTTGGGGGGTGCGGGGCAAGGGAAGGGAGAGCATTAGGACAAATACCTAATGCATGTGGGGCTTAAAACCTAGATGATGGGTTGACAGGTGCAGCAAACCACCATGGCACATGTATACTTAGGTAACGAACCTGGACGTTCTACACATGTATCCTAGAACTTAAAGTAAAATTTAAAAAAATAAAATCTTCGGTTTTCACAGCTTTTGGGATTTTAGAATTGCAGATAAAGGATTATGGACTAACAACAAAAATGATCACACATGATAATGGCAGTGGCAATTGTTTATATAATGGCCACTACACACCAGACAGTATTCTAAGCACTGATATATTACAAACTCATTTAAACCTCTCAACCTTATGAAGTAGGTATTATTATCAATCTCATTTACAGCTGAGAAACTGAAGCAAATCACTTCAACTAAGGCAATGTGGTCTCAGGATGTGTGCTCTCTGTTACTCAGAAACAAAAGGTACACTTTTCTGAGGCCCTCTAGTGCAGGCACAAAGACACCATAGCTCTTACTGGATCTCCAGCCTATCACTCTAACACTAGCCAAGATAATAACTAATGTTAAAAATTATGACTTGGAGTCAACAAGGCTAAGATATATTTTATATACTTTATAAAAGCAAAGAAAGGTATACATTTTATAGTGAATTCTATTCGACACTGATTATAGGAAAAAAGAAATTAGTACTTTAAGGAAAGCAAACTCTTGGCTCTCCCCAAAATTACGTTATAAAAAAAGCTAAAATACCCAGTAGGGTTCTGCGTGGCTAAGGGTTTATTATATCATTCAAAAATTCAAATAGTAACTTTCAAATGATAATTTAAAGTCTCAGACAAAATCTGATACGTAGATTTTAAACAAAAATAATTCATCTAAAAAGCAACTGTTCAGAAAATGCTGCTGGGTTAATTACTTTTAACAATTTACCATACAAAATATTGCTTAAGACCCTCCAAAAAAATAGCTGGGCACAGTGGCTCACGCCTGTAATCCCAGCACTTTGGGAGGCTGAGGTGGGTGGACTGCTTGACCTGAGGAGTTCAACACCAGCCTGGGCAACGTGGTGAAACCCCATCTCTACCAAAAACACAAAAAATTAGCTGGGTGTGGTGACATGTGCCTGTGGTCCCTGATAATCAAGAGGCTGAGGTGGGAGGATGGCTTGAGCCTGGAAGGCAGAGGTTGCAGTGAGTCGAGATTGTGATATTGCACTCTAGCTTGGGCGACAGAGTGAGACGCTATCTCAAACAAACAAACAAAAATATTCCAGCCCAATGAGAGAAAAGAGAGAGAAATAATATCACAATGCAACTCACCGGATACTGTGGCTTTCCCAGAGATGGGGTTTGGTGTAGGCACGAGGGACGTGGCGCTGACGACGGTGGGGGTGGCAGCCTTGCAGGTTCCCACGGTGGCCTGGCTCACACACACTTGCTGCTGCCCAGAAGTTTTCGTTACAGAACTGACCGTAGATGAAGACACGGGAGCCATTCCTTCAGACTGCTCACCCATGGGGTCCGAAACAACACAGTTCAGGAAGAAAGCAGAGTGATGACTGACGGCGGTGACGGCCACACAGCACACACACTAAATATCATCTATTAGGTGTTAATGACTACTTAGTAAATGCCATACCATTTAAAAAAGATTACTTCTCTAGTTCAGTGGTTACTATACCTTTACATTTCATGGACCAAGAAAATTTAAAAAATTTAAAACAAGGAAGTATCATGGGGGTCATCATATTTTTAAAATTCACCACCTATTATATCCCTTTATAAAAGGCAACTTCATCACCAAAAAACTAGGAGGACATATTCTCAGAATATACACATGGACTAAAAATGAGCTTTATTAAGAACACATGACAATGATTCACTTCATTGAACAAACATCTACAGTCTGTCACTTCATTGAACAAACATCTACTACATGGCCGGCATAATGGTTAAGTGCTAAGGCTCTGAGAGAAAAGCGACCAAGGAAACAGTCACCTAAGTATAATGATGCTACGGCAAGCACAGGCAAATGTCACCAACACAACCAAGAAGAAAGGCACTGCTTCTGCCTAGGAATAGAAACAGGAGGGTACAGGAAAAAGCTTCAGGTAAAACATTAGGCACTTTAGAGGAATCTTCCAGATTTAAGACAGAGAAAGGGAGAGATGACAGTGTTTCCTGGCAGAGGAGAGTATGTAGAAAGTTGGTGAGGCATGAAAGAACATTGTATGTTCAAGAAGCTGCAAAGCAGAGTGGTGTCACCTGTGAAGAGGCACGGGGAAGCAGCAGCTGCAGGAGATGAAGCTTGAGAAGTCAAGCCACATCATTCAAGTCTGTGGGCTTCCAAGACGATTGAGAGATGGTTTTTCAACAAATGTTTCTAGGCCAACTGGATATTTACATAAAAAAGAATAAAGTTTGGTGTCTACCTCACACCACGTACAAAAATTAACTAGAGCGGCCAGGTGCAGTGGCTCATGCCTATAATCCCAGCACTTTGGGAGGCCAAAGCGGGTGGATCACGAGGTCAGGAGAGCAAGACCCTCCTGGCTAACATGGTGAAACCCCATCTCTACTAATACAAAAAAAAAAAAATTAGCTGGGCGTGGTGGTGGGTGCCTGTAATCTCAGCTACTCAGGAGGCTGAGGCAGGAGAATCACTTGAATCCAGGAGGTGGAGGTTGCAGTGAGCCGAGATCGCGCCACTGCACTCCAGCTTGGGTGACAGAGCGAGACTCTGTCTCAAAAAAAAAAAAAAAAAAAAAAAAAAAATTAACTCGAATGAATCTGAAACCTAAATATAAGAGCTAAATGTATAAAACTTAGAAGAAAACAAAGGCTTGAATTTTGTGGCTTTGGATTAGGCAATGGTTTCTCAGATGTGACATCAAAAGAAAAAGCAATGAAAGAAAAATAGGTAAGTTGGGACTTTAATAAAGACTTGTGCTGGGAAAACTGGATATCTTTATGCAGAAGAATGAAACTAGACCCCTAGCTCTCACCATGCAATCAAAATGGATTAAAGAGTTAAATCTAAGACATCAAACTACGAAACTACTACAAGAAAACATTAGGGAAACTCTCCAGGACATCGGTTTGGGCAAAGATTTCCTGAGTAGTACCTCAAAAGCACAGGCAACCAAAACAAAAATGTATAAATGGGATCACATCAAGTTAAAAAGCTTCTGCACAGCAAAGAAAACAATCAACAAAGAGACAGCCCACAGAATGGGAGGAAATACTGGCAAACTACATATACATCTGACAAGGGATTAATAATCAGAATATAGAAGCTCAAACAACTCTATAGAAAAAAGCCAAACAATCTCATTTGAAAATGGGCAAAAGATCTCAACACACATTTCTCAAAAGAAGACACATAAATGGCCCAAGGGGCATATAAAAAAATGCTCAACATCATTAATTGTGAGAGAAACACAAATCAAAACTACAATGAGAAAGCATCCCACCCAGTTAAAATGACTCTCATCCAAAAGGCTGGCGAGGATGTGAAGAGGGAACCCTCGTACACTGCTGGTGGGAATCTAAGTTAGTACAATCACGATAGAGAACAGTACAGAGGGTCCTCAAAAAACTGAAAATAGAACTACCATATGATCCACATCCCACTGCTAGGTATATACCCAAAACAAAGGAAATGAGTATATGAGGAGACGTCTGCACTTCCATGTTTATTACGGCACTATTCACAATAGCCAAGATTTGGAATCAACCTAAGTGTCCATCACCAGGTGAACGATAAAGAAAATGTGGTACATATACACAATACAATATTATTCCGTTATAAGAAAGAATGAAATCCTGTCATTTGCAACATGGATAGAACTGGAGGACATTATGTTAAGTGAAATAAGCCAGGCACAGAAAGACACATTTCACACGTTCTCACTCATGTGGGAGCTAACAATTAAAACAACTGAACCCATGAAGACAGAGAGAAGAATGGTGGTTACCAGAAGGTGGGAAGGCCAACAGCAGGGAGGGAGGGAGTGGGGATGGTTAATGGGTACAAAAATATAGTTAGAAGGGATGAGTAAGATCTAGTATTTGATAGCACAACAGGGTGACCAAAATTCACAATAATTTCTTATATATTTTACAGTCACAAAGAATACAATTGGTTTAAAAAAAAGATAAATGCTTAGGGTGACAGATACCCCAATTACCCTGATGCGATTATTACGCATTGTATGCCTGCATCAAAACATCACATGTACCCTGTGAATATCCACATTGATTATGTACCCATAATAATTTATTTATATATATTTTTTGAGATGGAATCTCGCTCTACTGTCCAGGCTGGAGTGGAGTGGCGCAATCTCGGCTCACTGCAAGCTCTGCCTCCTGGGTTCATGCCATTCTCCTGCCTCAGCCTCCTGAGTAGCTGGGACTACAGGCGCCCGTCACCACGCCCCGCTAATTTTTTTTTTTTGTATTTTTAGTAGAGACGGGGGTTTCACCTTGTTAGCCAGGATGGTTTGATCTCCTGACCTCGTGATCCGCCCTTCTCGGCCTCCCAAAGTGCTGGGATTACAGGCATGAGCCACTGCGCCCAGCCTAATTTAAAAAATTTAAAAAGGAATGAAAACCAAAATTTAAAACTTTTGTGGTTCAATACTATCAAGAAAGTGAAAAGACAGCTCAGAGTGCAAGAAAATTTTTGCAAATCTGGTAAGAGACATATCTAGAATATATAAAGTACTCCTACACTTCAACGATTAAAAGACAACCAACTAAAAAATGGGCAAAGGATGTAAATGGATAAAAGATATACAAATAGCCAATAAATACGTGAAAAGATGCTCAATATCATTAACAGGGAATCGCAAATCAAAACCACAATGAGATACTAGTTTACACCCACTACAATAGCTATAATTAAAAAAAAAGGACAAGAACAAGTTTGGGTGAGTTTGTGGAAAAACTGGAACCCTTGTATATCGCTGGTGAGAATCTAAAATAATGTAGCCACTTGGGAAAACAGTTTAGCAGTTCCTCACAAAGTTAAAAGGAGTTATCACAGGCCGGGCGCAGTGGCTCACACCTGTAATCCCAGCACTTTGGGAGATGAGGCAGGTGGATCACGAGGTCAGGAGATTGAGACCATTCTGGCCAACATGGTGAAACCCCATCTCTACTAAAATACAAAAAATTAGCCGGACATGGTGGTGCGTGCCTGTAGTCCCAGCTACTTGGGAGGCTGAGGCAGGGGAATCGCTTGAACCCGGGAGATGGAGGTTCCAGTGAGCCGAGATCTCGTCACTGCACTCCAGCCTGGTGACACAGCAAGACTCCATCTCAAAAAACAACAAAAAAAGTTACCTTATAATCCAGCAATTCCATCACTAGGTATACAGCCAAGAGAAATAAAAACGTGTTTATACAAAAACCTGTACACAAATATTCACTGCAGCATTATTCACAACAGTCAAAAAGTAGAAAATAATCCAAGTGCCCATCAACTGATGAATGGATAAACAAAATATGGTACATCCATCAAACTGAGTATTATCCAGCCATGAAAAGGAGTATTGATGCAAGTCACAACGTGGATGAACTCTGCACTGTAATGCTAAGCATCAGAAGCAGACCCAAAAGGGCATGTTATATGACTCCCTTTATATGAAATGTCTAAAATAGGCAAATCCAAAGAAAGTAGGTCAGCGGTCGCCTAGAACAGAAGGATGGAATGGGAGTGACTGCTGATGGGTATTGGGCTTCTTTCTGGGATGATAAAATGCTCTGGGATTAGATGATGGTAATCACAGTTGCACAACCATGTGAATGACAAGCACTACTGAACTATATACTACAAAATGGGGACTTTTATGGTATGTGAATATTTCTTTAAAAAAAAAAGCAATAGTTGAGTATTTTTAAAAGGTCCACTGGTGTGCCTGCTGGACACCTTCCTTGTATCTACACCACTTTCATGTCTCATTAGGATTCTCTACTGACATGCTATTTCTCACCTGTTGTGCAGGACCGTTTGCTGAGAGGGCCACGGCAGGGGAAGTGGCAGTTGTGATAACCCCTCCTGCTACTCTCAGCATTGTGGTTCCAGGCTTCGAGAGCTGTGAGGTGGCTGGCACAGTCTTCAAGGTGCTATCGGATATTTTCATTAGAGATGCCTGTCCTCCATGGGCTGCCTGCAGAAACAAGATGGGCAGAAATAATCATGTTGCCTTGGATAATAGACATAACTCATTCCTTACTGACAGCTGAGATACGCCCCATGACTTGGAGAATAACCAAGAAAGTCTTACCAATCCAACCTACATGAGGTGTTTACACACCTTTCTAACAAGCTCCAAATTTTATGACCTTTCACCTATAAATATCCCTTTACCCCAATATAGAACAAGTAAATAAATGCATTTGCAAGTTACTATTTGGCAGCAGTATCTTTAAAGGTAACAGGTCACTTGTTTTCAAAATACTTGATTACAACATGCTCTTAAATGTACGTATAATCTTTAAACATGAGAATCAACCCTAGACAGGGCCAGATTTAAATGGGTAAGGTTAATGGTCTTCTAAATTAGATATAGGCTTAGCATTTTAGTACTGGAGAACCATTTACAAATTACATATTTTTTATTTTATTTTATTTTTTTAGAGACAGGGTCTTGCTCTGTCACCTAGGCTGGAGTGTAATGGCACAATCATAGCTCACTGCAGCCTCGAACTCCTGGGCTCAAGTGATCCTCCTGCCCCAGCCTTTCGAGTAGCTGGGATTACAGGCATGTGCCACATCTGGTTGATTTTTTTTTTTTTTTTTTTTTGAGACAGAGTCTCGCTCTGTCGCCCAGGCTGGAGTGCAGTGGCGCAATCTTGGCTTACTGCAACCTCCGCCTCCCGGGTTCAAGTGATTCTCCTGCCTCAGCCTCCCGAGTAGCTAGGACTTACAGGCACGTGCCACCACGCCCAACTAATTTTTGTATTTTTAGTAGAGATGGGGTTTCACCATGTTGGCCAGGATGGTCTCGATCTCTCGTGACCTCGTGATCTGCCCACCTCAGCCTCCCAAAATGCTGGGATTACTGGCGTGAAGCCACCGCACCCGGCCAAACACCTGGTTAATTTAAAACCAGAAAATGTTTTTCAGAGACAGGGTCACCATTATGTTGCCCAGGCTGGATACAAATTATAAATGACAGTCTCAGTAGTCTAAATAAAGGCTCAACAAACTTTTTTTTTTGAGACAGAGTTTTGCTCTTTTGCTCAGACTGGAGTGCAGTGGTGCGATCTTGGCTCACTGCAACCTCTGCCTCCTGGGTTCAAGCGATTCTCCTGCCTCAGCCTCCCGAGTAGCTGCGATTACAGGTATGCGCCACCATGCCTGGCTAATTTTGTACTTTTAGTAGAGACAAGGTTTCTCCATGTTGGCCAGGCTGGTCTCAAACTCCTGACCTCAGGTGATCCGCCCGTCTCAGCCTCCCAAAGTGCTGGAATTACAGGCGTGACCCACCACACCCGGCTTTTTTTTTTTTTTTAATGGCAAGAGTATGCAATTTTGGCTTTCAGGCCGTAGGACCTCTGTTGCAACTCCTCGGCTCTACGATTACAGCGTGAAACGAGTGTGGCTGTGTTCCAATAAAATGTTACTTACAAAAAACAGGAAGCATCAACAACAATTGCAACAAAAAGGAAAACCAAGTGGGACCTAATTAAACTAAAAAGCTTCTGCACAGCAAAAGAAACTATCAACAGAGTAGAGACAACCTACAGAATGGGAGAAAAGATTCATAAACCATACATCCGACAAAGGTCTAATATCCAGAATCTATAAGGAACCTAATTTAACAAGCAAATAAATAAACCTCATTATAAATAAACCCCATTAAAAAGTGGGCAAAAGACATGAACAGACATTTCTCCAAAAGAAGATATACAAGTAGCCAACAAACATGAAAAAATGCTCCGTATCACTAATCACCAGAGAAATGCAAATCAAAACCACAATATCATCTCACACCAGATAGGCTGTGGAAAAAAGGAAAGCCCTATACACTGTGGGTGGGAATGTAAGTTAGGTCAGCCACCGTGGAAGGCAGTTTGGAGATTTCTCAAAGAACAGAAAACAAAGGTTGGGTGCAGTGGCTCATGCCTGTGATCCCAGCACTTTGGGAGGCCACTTCAGCCCAGGAGTTCAAGACCAGCCTGGGCAACCTTGACCCTGTCACTAGAAAAATAAAAAGTTAGCTGGCCATGGTGTCACAGGACTGTAGTCCTAACTACTTGGGAGGTTGGGATGGGAGAACTGCTTGAGCCCAGGAGGTCGAGGGTGCTGCACTCCAGCCTGGGTGACTGTGAGATCCTGTCTCAAAAACAAAACAAAAAACTTAAAACGGAACTACCATCTGACTCAGCAATCTATGTGTATATATCCAAAAGAAAATAAATCATTCTACTAAAAAGACACATGCACCCCTATGTCCATCACTGCACTATTCACAATAGCAAAGACATGGAATCAACCTAGGTACCCTTCAGCAGTGGACTGGATACACCATCAAATACCACACAGCCATGAAAAGGTAAGAAATCATTTCTTTTGAAGCAACACAGATGCAGCTGGAGGCCATTATCCTAAGTGAATGAATGCAGGACAGAAAACCAAAGGCTACATGTTCTCACTTACAAGTGGGAGCTAATCGTTGGGTAAATGGACACAAAGATGGCCACAATAGACACTGAGGACTATGACATGGGGCAGGGAGGGAAGGGTTAAAAAACTAACTATTGGGTATGATGCTCACTCCCTGGGTGACAAGATCAATCATGACCCTAGCCTCAGCATCATGCAATATACCCATGTAACAAACCTGCACATGTACCCCCTGAATCTAAAATAAAAGTTTAAATTATAAAAAACAGCAGCAACAACGCAAACAGGAAGCCTTGGCTGTAGTTTGCTGAAATCTGCTCTAAGTGACTGCTCAGTGTCCCAAATTAATGCACTCCACAAGCAGACACCATTTATTAGTTTCTGAGATCTTACTATGTGCCAGGAAGAACAGAAAGCACTTGTACATATCTTATGTCATCGTAAGTCATTATTTTCACTAACTGTATAGAGTAGGTTTTAGTCCTGTCTTAGAGATGAAGAGATTAATTTACCAGGGTCACACAGCTAGCACTATCTGAAAAAGTTATGACTAGATTCCACAAGTAATAGCCATGGCATAATTTGCATTGGAGCTTTATGCAAATAAAGACCACAATGAGATATGACTTTGCACTCACAACAATGGCTAAAATTAAAAAGAATGACAATCCTCCGTGTTGGTGAGGATGTAGAGCAAATCAGACTTCCTCATATTACTCTGGGATAGTCAAACAGTACAACCATTTTACTAAACCATTTCTCAGTTTCTTATAAACATATATGTACCCTATGATCAGGCTGTTCTGCAGAAAAATATCTGTGTAAGAATATTTATGGCAGTTTTATCCATGACAGCAAAAACAAACAAAAAAACCTGGAAATAATCCAAATGTCCATCAACAGGAAAGTGGAATCATGGAACAAAAATAGAATCACTCTGGCTGGGTGCGGTGGCTCACGCCTGAAATCCCAGCACTTTGGGAAGCCGAGGCAGGCAGATCACCTGAGGTAAGGAGTTCGAGACCAGCCTGGCCCACATGGTGAAACCCTGTCTCTACGAAAAATACAAAAATTAGCTGGGCATGGTGGCAGGCGCCTGTAATCCTAGCTACTCGGGAGGCTGAGGCAGGAGAATCACTTGAACCCAGGAGACAGAGGTCGTAGTGAGCTGAGATCACGCCATTGTACTCCAGCCTGGGGGACACGAGCGAGACGTCATCTCAAAAAATAAAAAAATTAAAAAACTCAAGAATTGGCCAGGCGCGGTGGCTCATGTCCGTAATCCTAGCACTTTGGGAGGCTGAGGCGGGTGGATCACCTGAGGTCAGGAGTTCGAGACCAGCCTGACCAACATAGAGAAACCTCGTCTCTACTAAAAATACAAAATTAGCCAGGCTTGGTGGCGAATGCCTGTAATCCCAGCTACTCGGGAGGCTGAGGCAGGAGAATCGCTTGAACCCGGGAGGCAGAGGTTGCAGTGAGCCAAGATCGCACCACTGCACTCCAGCCTGGGCAACAAGAGCGAAACTCTGTCTCAAAAAAATTAAAAAATTAAAAAATTAACTCAAGAATAAAAAAGAATAAACGATTAACACACATATAGATAAATCTTGGAAACATTACGTTGAATAACAGAAGCCAGACATAAAAGACTACATACTATATAATTCCACTGACATGAAGTTCAAGAAAGACAAAAGCTAATCTATGGTGAAAGAAACAGAAAAATGGTGATAGAAAAAAAAAATTTTTTTTTTTTTAAGACAGGGTGTTGCTCTATCGCCCAGGCTGGAGAGCAGTGGCACCATCATGGCTCACTGTAGCCTCAACTTCAAAGGCTCAAGCCATCCTCCCACCTCAGCCTCCTGAATGGCTGGGACCACAGGCATGTGCCACCATGGCCCAGGTAGTTTCTTTTTTTTTGAGACGGAGTCTTGTTCTGTCGCCAGGCTGGAGATCTACGCTTATGATCTATGCATTATTTTATTATATCTTTAAGGATGTGGGGCTAAAAGGAAAAAGCATTTAAAGCTTTGAATTTTCTTGAGCCTGGTTTGGGTTGTTTCCATAGGTTTTAATATCAAGTACTGTTGTGATGGTTAATTTTATGTCAACTTGAGTGGGCTGAGGGATGCCCAGATACCTGGTAAAATATTTCTGCAAGAGACCAGCATTTGGATTAGCAGACAGAGTAAAGAAGATCCGCCCTCGCCAACGTGGGCAGACATCATCCAATCTGTCAAGGACCTGAATAGAACAAAAAGGCGGACAATGGGCGAATTCTCTCTCTCTTCTTAAGCTGAGACATCAATCTTCTCCTACCCTTAGACATCAGAGCTCCTGGTTCTCAGGCCTTCAGACTCCAGGACTTAATGCCAGTGTGCCCCTCACTCCCATGCCCACCAGTTCGCAGGCCTTTGTAGTCAGACTGAATCACACCACTAGCTTTCCTGATCTCCAGCCTGCTAACAGCATGTCGTGGGACTCCTTGGTCTCCATAATCACAGGAGCCAATTCTCATAATAAATTTCCTCTTAATATCTATATATATTATATTTGTTCTGTTTCTCTGGAGAACCCTAATAAAATTGTCATTTGTATTAACAGCTAAATCATCCGTAATTTATTTGGATTTTTTTAACCCAAGAATTTAGAAGAGTATTTTAATTGTCAAGTTTTTTGGTTGTTATTGATTTGACTTTTTTATTGAGTAACAGAATGAAGCACATTGGATGCTACTTTTGAAATATGCTAAGAGATTCTCTTTGTGGCCAAGTATATAATCAATTTGTTAATGTTCCACAGATATACAAGCAAAATGTGTATTCTGTGTCTCAATGATACAGAATTAAGCCTGTTAGTACTGTTATTCCAATACAAATCCTTTATAATAAAAAAGATTTATCCACTTGATTAGCTAAATGCTGAGAGACATGTTAAAATTCTTCTCTGTGACTGCAGTTTTATCAAATTCTCCTCATATTCCTAATAGTCTTTGCACTTTATGTATTTTGCTGCCAGAGTTCACTGCATAAACATTTGTGCCATTTTATCTTCATTGTGGACAGCAATACTCCTCTCAGCGCCAAATCCAAAAAAACCAGAAAAGGCATAAATAAATAAATGCATTCTACTGGTTGTGTTCAAAAACTAGTTGAGGAGCCCAATAGTGGACAAGCAACTACGAAAAACAGACAAAAGGCTGCAGAAGAAAGCCTCGCCAAGTGATAAAAGCCTTACGTGGGACACGCCAGGAGAATCTGCCACAGAAGCGTGGAAAAACGCTAGATAAGCTCCACATCTGGAGATAGCAGAAGCTTGAGGCAACCAGAAGGGTGATGTGTTGGGTACTGTGGCAAGAGCAGCCAGTTCTATTCAGTTTCCAGTGTTCTCCATGCCCTGCGCCCCCGCTTCCTCCTTCCTGTGGTGCTTGCTGTGTTGGTGTGAGATATATCCACATATGTAGTTGGAAAAGGGAAGAGTATTTTAACAGCTCTTTCAAATACTGTTGTTACTCTTCTCTGATGCTACACTAAAGCTCAACAAGTGGAAGTTTCTTCAAGTTTAGTTGTATTATGCAATCTGAAACCACAGCAATTTAAAGTTTTCTCTGTTAGATCTTGAGTCAGAAAGATAAAAAATTAAAAAAAAAAAAAAAAAAAGTAAAGGCCAGGTGCGGTGGCTCACGCCTGTAATCTCAGTTCATTGGGAGGCCGAGGCGGGCAGATCACGAGGTCAAGAGATCGAGACCATCCTGACCAACGTGGTGAAACCCCGTCTCTAGTAAAAATACAAAAATTAGCTGGACATGGTGGCGGGCACCTGTAATCCCAGCTACTCGGGAGGCTGAGGCAGGAGAATTGCTTGAACCCAGGAGGCGGAGGCTGCAGTGAGCCGAGATCGTGCCACTGCACTCCAGCCTGGCGACAGAGCAAGGCTGTGTCTCAAAAAAATATATAAAAAATAAATAAATAAATAAAAATAAAGTTTTCTCTGTCAAGTTAAAATCCGTTGGTCAGGGACTTTTGCTTCCACATAGGAAACAGAGGGCTATAAAGCACGGTTGCTCCTACCCTAACAAGAAAAGGCTGAATACACTACAAAATCTTATTTTTTTGAAACATATTGGAGGGCTGAAATCTCAAAGTAGCCAAGTAACCTGAAGATTAAAGATAGCCAGTCCCTGCAAGGAGGGAGGGGCAACAGGAACTGTCTCACCTGTGCACTGCTGCAACACAAGCAGGTGTGAAATCTAAGGAAGATTTAAAAGAACTGTCTACAGTGAACTGCAGGGCCTTGTATCTGTTTAACATGGGTAAGGACATTCGACAAAAAAGAACAAAAGAGGACACCAAATGCTGGTAATTTGAAAAGATCAATACAACTGATAAACCTCTAGCTAGACTGATCAATAAAAAGAGGACACATAATTACCAAAAGCAAGAATGAAAACGGGCTGGGCGTGGTGGCTTGTGCCTGTAATCCCAGAACTTTCGGAGGCCGAGGCGGGCAGACCACGAGGTCAGGAGTTCGAGACCAGCCTGACCAACATGGTGAAACCCTGTCTCTATTAAAAATACAAAAATTAGCTGGGCGTGGTGGTGGACTCCTGTAATCGCAGCTACTCGTGAGGATGAGGCAGGCGAACTGCTTGAACCCAGGAGCCTGGGCAACAGATAAAGACTCTGTCTCAAAAAATATATATAAAAAGAAAAGAAATAAACAACCTGAACAGTCCCGTATCTAGTAAATAAACTGAAACTGTAGTTTAAAACAGTAATATAAAAACCTTCTCAATTAGGAAAACTCCAGGCTAATATGGCTTTTACAGGTATATTCAATTAAACAGTTAAGAAACAGTACCAATTCTATATAAACTCTTCCAATAAAGAGAAAAGAAAGGAAAAGCTTCCACTTCATTTTATGAGGCCAGTATTATCCTGATACCAAACCAGACAGAAATTACTAAGAAAACTACTGACCAGTATCACTTGCAAAAACTCTAAACAAGGCCAGGAGCGGATCACGCCTGTAATCCCAGCACTTTCGGAGGCCGAGGCGGGCAGATCACCTGAGGTCACGAGCTGGAGACCAGCCTGACCAACATGGAGAAACCCCATCTCTACTAAAAACACAAAATTAGCTGGGCATGGTGGTGCATGCCTGTAATCCCAGCTACTCACTCACTGTCTGGATACTATAGCTGAAACTGGCCCATTCTGGATCTTCCACGTGAAGCCCCTCTGGAGAAATTTTACAACAAAGTGTCAAGAAAGCTTTGTTTCTTCTAAAGAAATATGCGTTTTTTTCTTTCTCACAAATAGTGTGACTTTAAAACTGACCATGCTTCTCATTTTGTCTTTGCTATCACATTTATACCTTGATTTTTTTAACTGTGCAAGATATCTTAAGTGTTTGCATATGAGAATAACACCTGGGTCCTTAATTTTCTCATTCTACTTATATTTTCCCAAACCTCAAGATTCATTTTTGTTTTTCTATATTTTTTATTGTTCATTTTTTCTTTTTTTTTCTTTTTTTTTTTTTTTTTGAGACAGAATCTTGCTCTGTCGCCCAGGATGGAGTGCAATGGCACGATCTCGGCTCACTGCAACCTCCGCCTCCCGGGTCCAAGCGATTCTCCTGCCTTAGCCTCCCGAGTAGCTGGGACTATAGGCACGCACCACTGCACCTGGCTAATTTTTGTATTTTTAGTAGAGACGGGGTTTCACTATGTTGGCCATGTTGGCCAGGCTGGTCTCCAACTCCTGACCTCAGGCAATCCACCCACCTTGGCTTCCCAAAGTGCTGGGATTACAGACGTGAGCGACCACTCCTGGCCTTATTGTTCATTTTCTTATGTAACCTTAATTTCTTTGTGAAAAGAGAGAAACTACATGTAAATATGTAAATAAATGCCATAATCACCCCATATTTGGGGTGTGTGCATGGGCGTATTTACCTGTGTAAACAATGTGGTTTTCTGTCCAGAGATGACTTTTAGCGTTTGTTGTCCTTGTGCAGAAGATGTGCTGACTCCCAGTGTTCCTTGGACCACTGACCCAGTGGTGAGTTGTTTTCCAGAAGTCTGGGGTGATGGCTGGCCAACTAAAAATGTGCCCTAAGTTAGAAAAAAATATAAAGAACTAATCGGTAATTTGTTAAATTCAGATGGGCTGTTCTGATCCCTTAAATCACATGTAACGTCCCATGTTACAAGCTACAACGCTCTCCCCTTTAATTCTGCAATGTAGGCAAAATAATTCAAAAGAATAGTTGTGCTCTAAGTGTTACTTCCATTAGTTATCCCCACTTCTCAAACTTTGCACTGTAGTTACAGAGCAGCCTGTTGAAAACTCATGTTTTGCAACTTAGTCCTCAAAACTGGATTTAATCATTCAGACTGATATCATCTTTCTCAATAAGAACATCTGGAACCAAAATTCTATTACTTTCCTTCAAAAAGAGCCAAGACTTCAGTGACAAGAGGAGACGAGGAGGAAACCTGTTCCTAATCAAATCTAACTTAACTCTAAATATTACAACTTGATACCATCTCTTTGATCACTCCCTTCTATGAGCAACTTTTCAACTGTACATTAATACTGTTTATTACCTCATGGATTTTGGAGGCAATTAGCATAGTAGAAATCTTTAAGGCAGGAAGATCTGGGTTTAAACCCAAATTCTTTTCCTTTTTTTTTTTTTTTGAGACAGAGTCTCACCCTTTTCCCCCAGGCTGGAGTACCATGGAGTGATCTTGGCTCACTGCAACCTCTGCCTCCCGGGTTCAAGTGATTCTCCTGCCTCAGCCTTCCAAGTAGCTGGGATTACAGGCATGCACCACCACACCCGACTGATTTTTGTATTTTTAATAGAGACAGGGTTTCACCATGGACCAGGCTGGTCTTGAACTCCTGACCTCAGGTGATCTGCCTGCCTCGGCCTCCCAGAATGCTGGGATTACAGGCGTGAGCCACCGTGCCTGGCTTAAACCCAAATTCTACCATTGGCTTGGCAGGAAGATCCTGGATAAGTTACTAAAATCTTTCTCAATCTCTACTTCCTCTTCTCTCAAAGCAAGCAAAAAAGATAAAAACACATAGTTTTTTTTTGAGAAAGGGTCTCACTCTGTCACCCAGCCAGGGTGGAGTGCAGTGGTGCGACCTCAGCTCACTGCAGCCTCAACCTCCCAGGTTCAAGCAATCCTCCCACCTCAACCTTCGGAGTAGCTGGGACTGTAGACGTGCACCACCACGCCCAGCTAATTTTGGTATTTTTAGTAGAGACAGGGTTTTGCCATGTTGCCCAGGTTGGTCTCGAACTCCTGGGCTCAAGCGATCCACCCACCTTGGCCTCCCAAAGTGCTAGGATTACAGGCATGAGTTACCACACCCGGCCAAGATATAGATATAGATAACACGGTTAAGGTGTTAGTATTGAACCCTGATCCCAGAGCCGTAAAGGTAAATCAATTATAATTAAGCATAGTTATCCAATAGCTAAATGATTTAAAATATCAGTTACAGAGAACCAGACCTGGGGAGTTTGCTTGAGGATGTAAGATGTGTAAGTCAGGTGCTGAGATATCCCTCCAGGGCCAGCAGTACTTTGAGTTCCTCCTCCTGCTGTTCCTCCTCCTCCTCCTGTGCTGCCGCCTCCACCGCTGCCACTGCCGCCTCCTCCTCCTCCTCCTCCTCCTCCTCCGGCACCACTCCCACCACTGGCAGCTGAGCCAGACTGGAGATCTAAAAATACAATGAATGACAGCAACATCATAAAAAGTATCAAGCAAAGCTTTAGCATAAAAAACAAATGAGCCCAGAGAGATGTTTCCCTTTTAGTGCCATTCCTTCTTCTTTCCCATTTTCCTCCGTCTTTTCTGTAATCTACCTACCCTGTGACAAGAGTGAGGAGAACTTCCTAGATTTTAGATCAAAATCTATTTCCTTTCAACTGCATGACAACTGACTGTATTTCGGCTCTGAGTACAATGAAGATACTTTGACGTGGTCGTGGGAGATCAAGAGAAGGCTTGCTACTGACATTTTCTAGCCAAGTATTTTTTTGAGACGGAGTCTCACTCTGTCGCCAGGCTGGAGTGCAATGGCAAGATCTTGGCTCACTGCAACCTCTGCCTCCCGGGTTCAAGCGATTCTCCTGCCTCAGCCTCCCAAGGAGCTGGGACTACAGGCGTGTGCCACCATGCCCAGCTAATTTTGTATTTTTAGTAGAGAGGGGGTTTCACCATGTTGGACAGGATGGTCTCGATCTCCTGACCTCATGATCCGCCCGCCTTGGCCCTCCAAAGTGCTGGGATTGCAGGTGTGAGCCACTGCACCCAGCCTCTAGCCAAGTATTTTAATCAACACTTAAATGTGCTCAGCTAGGTGCTTCCCAACTTTTGGGCATCTGATTCAATGTCAGGGAATTGCTGGAATTTAGTGTAACTTTACAGTGCTCGATGTTGTCTCCCTGTCTCAGGAAAAATGAAGACTTTCCTTCATTTACAATGACTCCAGGACCCCATTCTTCTTTGCCTTTCAAATCCCACTTCAAAGCCTTGAAGTCTTTTTACTTCTCTTTTGGTGAGATAATGCATTTGAACTACCTGGACTATGAATATTCACTCAACAAATACTAACTTCCAATTTCCTTCTCCACCTTCATTCCAGTGATTATTGGAATAGCTTCCTTCCCAATGGTTTATTTTTGCACCAAGGATATCACAAGAATCTAAGTAGCTCCCTGGATGACTTCTGAAATATTTACATTGTCCTTTTCTTACACATTTAACTTTTGGACATACCACTGCTTAGGTATGAGGAAAAAACACCAAGTGAGAGTGGAACTGACACATCATGGTCAATGAACGCAAGGATGATGAGCTGACACACTGCATTTTGGCAAGGGCGGTTAACTTCCAATGACCCTGAATGCTGTACCCTTCTACTTCTGATTCAGAGGGAAATAATTTCCTTTTATCCTATCCTTTTCAACACTGCCCAAACGGTTTTTCTCTATATGTCAAAGCAAAAGTTTCTTTAACTGCAGATAAACTGCCTCATTTCCATGGGGCTTTAAGACTTACAAACCTAGGTAGAGTCTGTATTTCTCTTTCCATCTCCAAACCTAGCAGAAGTAAGGAATACATCCAAACCAGCTGTCCCCAAGCTTTGTGGCACCAGGGACCAGTTTCATGGAAGACAACTTTTCCATGAATTGGGACAGGAGGCGGGGGGTGGTTTGGGGAAGAAATTGTTCCACCTCAGATCATCAGGCATTAGATTCTCATAAGGAGCACACAACCTAGATCCCTCGCATGCACAGTTCTCAACAGGGTTCGCGCTCCTGTGAGAATCTGATGCCACTGCTGATCTGACAGGAGGCGGAGCTCAGGCAGTAATGCTTCTTCGTCCATGCTCAACTTCTGCTGTGCGGCCCAGGGGTTGGGGACCCCTGATCTAAATGAAGTCAAACAGACACACTCGATTCCAATCCTATGCCAACCTATCCCCAAAAACAGACTTCCAGCTTCTATAAGTAGATGGATCTTCCCTCAGGTATCACCAGATAATTTTCAGACACCACTTCATTCATGGTTCATGTAGACAGCTTTCTCCCAACAGCCTCACCAGCCATCTCTCTCCAGAGTGATTCATCTCTGATTGCAAACGCTGAGGAGCAAACCCACTTCTAGTTAAATTATCGTATGTGTTAAATCCATCTGAGCAAATGCTACCATTACACCACCCAACAGAGTTACAGAAATGCTTCCTGAAACAGGTAAGAACTGCCCTCAGATGGACAAGATGAACACACATAGAGAACCAAGAACCAAATGATTCAACCCAATGGTTTCACTAACTAGCATTGTTCGTAGCTCGCAGGATGGCTCCTTGAGGGATCAGCAGCAGTTTTCCTTTTCCTGAAGGGTTCTTGCTGTTTGTAGTTAGGTAGAGTTTAGTGCCAGGAGGCAAATTTGCCAAGTTGGCCAAATTAGTGGCTGGTAGCTGCAACGTTGCCATTACTAAAATGGTAAAGGAGAAAAAATTGTAAGATAAATTGAAACTAAGGGCAACACTCTAAAATTAAAATACAAGGCAATAAATTCTTATTTTAGAACACTAACAAGCAATAAATTCAAAGTTTGTTTCCCAGATGCACAATGCTTTAAAGACTGATATTCTTAAATATCTTGCTAATTAAAAAATAATTTATAGACCAGAAGAGCCTGCCAGAGGCTCTTTATATCTGTATATAATAGGATGATCGTACGTCCTGGTTCTGCCCAGAACAGTTCTAGGTTACACCTGTCCCACTATAATTATTAATAATGACTCTTTTTACTCTCCAAAGTACTGTGGTTTGGACGATTAATGAAATAATCACCCTGTCTATGGAGGATTACATATTTTCCCCCATTTGTTTAAAGTCAAAGTTAGGGCAAATGTGTGCTCCTAACTGGCAAGTACCATTGGCCCTCTGTATCTGTGGATTTCACATCCATGGATGTAACCTACCTCAGATAAAAAATATCCATATATTTGGCAGACAAAAGGATGAGTACATCTGTACTGAACATGTACAGACTTTTTTCTTGTCATTATTCCTTAAACAACACAGTGTAACAACTATTTACATAGCATATACATTGTTATTACATTGTTATTTACATTGTTATTAGGTATTAAGATAACCTAGAGATGATATAAAGTAAAGTACATCAGAGGATGTACATAGGTTATACGTAAACAGTACAGCATTTTACACAGGGGACTGTGGATTAGCATCTGTGGATTTTGCTATCTGCAGCAGGGGGTCCTGGAACCAATCCCCCACAGTACTGAGAAATGATTTGTTCGTGTGTGTGTGTGTATGTGGGTGTGTGTGTGTGTGTGTGTAAATTTAAAGCTAAATACTCACAGACCTTTATGTAAAATGTCCCATAAAAAAGAACAAACATTTCAATACACTTCTTACAGCATCAACCTAACTAGGCTTTCCTAGACCAGATCAAATAGCAAATAAAATCACTAGCAAAGGAAATTTTGGACAGAGCTTCTGCTGAAAGGGCTCCCAGTGATGATCCGTTTTACCTGAACCCTGGGATCCACTCTTCTGAGGACCAGCGGCAGTAACCTGGGCCTTGGTTAAGGTCTGCACTGGCTGAGCAACAATGGTTCCTCCACCTCCACTCACAATTGCTTTGGCAACTCCTTGGGTTACAACTTGCTTTGGCCCAACTGCTTTGGAGACAGAAGAGCTGGCCTTGGCTACCAGGATCTGGCCACCACTGATCGCCACAGCCTGCTTCACTGTTGAAGGTAAAGCAGACCCAACTGGTACCCCGACAACCTGTTCAAAACAGAGCAGAGTCCAACGGTGCTTCGAGAGCTCTTAGAACAGCAGTCACCGTTTTGGCAGAGAGCAAAACAAAGGCCTGCACATAATACATGCAGCCTAATTCAGTCATCTAGGAAAGCTACCTACACAGGTGTGAACGGCAACTGTATTTCTTACACTTGGGTATTACAATAATAGAAGCTTAACAATTGTTGTCTTGCCTCAGCTACTTTTTATAATTTACTTTAATAGAAAATTTGGGAAATTCAGAAGTATAAAGAAAAAAGTTTGGCCGGGCGTGGTGGCTCATGCCTGTAATCCCAGCACTTTGGGAGGCCAAGGCAGGAGGAGCATTTGTGGTCAGGAGTTCGAGACCAGCCTGGCCAACATGGTGAAATCCAATCTCTACTAAAAATACAAAAATTAGCTGGGCATGGTGGCACACACCTGTAGTCCCAGCTACTCTGGAGGCTGAGGTAGGAGAATCCCCTGAACCTAGGATGTGGAGGTTGCAGTGAGCCAAGATCATGCCACTGCACTCCAGCCTGGGTGACAGAGTGAGACTCTGTCTAAAAAAAAAAAAAAAAAAAAAAAAAAATTAGCCAGTACAGTGGCACACATCTGTAGTCCCAGCTATTCAGGAGGCTGAGGCAGGGGAGGATCCCTTGAGCCTAGGAGTTCAAGGCTGCACTGAGCCGTGATCACACCACTGCCCTCCAGCCTGGGTGACAGAGCAAGACCCTAAGAAAAGAAAAAAAAAAAAAAAAAAAAAAGGCAAGAATAATATTTAACTATTAAAAAAAAAAAAGACCCCAGTACCCAAATAATGAAAATTAGAAGTATCTAGTTCCAAAAGTAAAATGAATTCTTTTAAGAAAATACTCAGGAGTGTTTTTAAAACAAAGTCAACAGTAGGATGTTAAATTAAACACTGAATGAATGGCAAACTGGAGCAGTGTTTCCCACTCCCAGCACCTTATTTCATAAAAAGAACTTCTCACCAGAAACTAGATGAACAGACTTCCACAAGGTTGGAAGAAATGCAAATGATCTACCTTCTTAAGGCAAAAAAGACAAAATAGGAAGTGCTGTTCACCCATCAGATTGGGGGAAAAAGAGTTTAAAACCAAGAAGTTACTAGAGGCTGTGGGGAAAATAGGAATTTGTGCTCACTGTTGGTAGGAAGATAAATTTGGACAGCCATTCCAGAGAGGCACTGGCCCATCTGCTAAAACTGAAAATTCACATACCCCCGTATAGTAGGAATTGTTTTTAGGAATATATCCTAGAGAAACATACATGCGTTCAAGGGAACATATACAACAATGCCCAACATAGCATTATTTTTACCAAAAACTGTTAGCAACCTTAATGTCTGCAGCATGCAACAACATTCTTAACGTCTACAGATAGAGGAATGGACAAACTGTGGCATAAAACAGACAACGAAAGGTCATACTAAAAATAAATGAACTAGAATTATATATATTAGTGATATATTAGTGTAAACAGACTGGAAAAATAAGAAAGCGAAAAGGGAGTTGCAGAAAAATGTAAGTAGGAATATCTTTTACGTAAACCTTCAAAACACAAACAACATCACGTTTCCTATGACTATGTATTCATGTAATAAGCGCATGGAGTGGAAGGCTACACATCAAAGCCATGACAGTGCTTGTTGCCTCTGGGAAGAACAAAGTGGACTTCAACTTTATCAGAAATGTTTTATTTGGAGAAAAAAGATCTGAAGTAAACATGAATAAGTAAATTTGGGGTGGAGGATATGGGGGTATTGATTACTTAATTCTCTACATATGTTACTGGAATTTTAGAGTATTTCTAAATTTTAAAATAAGATTATTTAGAAGGTAGAATGAAATGATAAAGCATATTCAACTGATAAGTAGGAAATTTTTGTTTTTTTGTTTTTTGTTTTTTTTTGAGACGGAGTCTCGCTCTGTCACCCAGGAAGTGGCGCAATCTCGGCTCACTGCAACCTCCGCCTCACGGGTTCATGCCATTCTCCTGCCTCAGTCTCCCGAGTAGCTGGGACTACAGGCGCCACCACGCCCAGCTAATTTTTTGTATTTTTAGTAGAAACGGGGTTTCACCGTGTTAGCCAGGACGGTCTTGATCTCCTGACCTCGTGATCCGCCCGCCTCGGCCTCCCAAAGTGCTGGGATTACAGGTGTGAGCCACCGCACCCGGCCAGAAGTTTTAAATTAAAATATTACTATACCATACACGGTTTCTGTTCAAAGACTGTGAGTTCAGTAAAATACATTTACCATGCAGTTGGATAATATAGCTGATATAAAGAAAACAGTCCCTTGGCTGGGTATGGTGGCTCGCGCCTGTAATCCCAGCACTTTAGGAGGCTGAGGCGGGCGGATCACAAGGTCAAGAGATTGAGACTGTCCTGGCCAACATGGTGAAACCTCATCTCTACTAAAATTACAAGGAATGAGCTGGGCGTGGTGGTGGGCACCCCAGCTACTCGGGAGGCTGAGGCAGCAGAATCGCTTGAACCTGGGAGTCGGAGGTTGCAGTGAGCTGAGATCGTGCCACTGCACTCTAGCCTGGCGACAGAGCAAGACTCTGTCTAAACAATAAATAAATAAAATGAAAACAGTCCCTTAATCAAATATTATAAACTATAGCGTCACAAAGAGGAAACAGTGCAGGTTTCGGTAAGCAGACAGATCTGGTTTTCCAGGTTAGTTATTTTTAGTTAGTAGCTAGGTAAGTTATTTAACCTCTCTTGAGTTTTACCATCAATCCCCTCATCTATAAAATATGGGTAACATTTACCCTCCGAATCATGAAGCAAAATGAGAAAAAGTATATAGGATGCCTAGCTAACATGACAGCTGTTGCTGCTCATCACAACACTTCAACTGAAGAATAATAATCCACAAGGGGATGTGGAGACCAGCAAAGGACAGCCAAAGGACAGACATTTGTGGCTGTCTTCCGCATTCGGCCAAGGCAGAGACCTTGATCTTAACCTCTGGATTCAGCAGGTGAAACAAATTAATCTTGAGTGAATTATACAACATGGGGATCCGCCTGCTACTTTAAAATATTCCAGGGAGATAAATTAAGATGAGTAAAATGCTGGTAATTGTTAAAACTGGGTAATAGGCATGTGGGATTCATCACACTCTTCTCCCTACTTTTCTGTATGTTTAAGGAGAGAAGAAAAGAAGAAACAGAATAAAAGAACCAATTTTAAAAAGCAAGTTAACCTAGAATGAAGACAAGAAATCACCCCCGGCTCTCCTGGTTTGGTTGAAATACCCCTTATTACCCACATCTACATCTCTGTTTTGTTGTTGTTTTTTGAGACGGAGTTTTGCTCTTGTTGCCCAGGCTGGAGTGCGGTGGCACGATCTCAGCTCACCGCAACCTCCGCCTCCTGGGTTCAAGCAATTCTCCTGCCTTTGCCTCCTGAGTAGCTGGGATTATGGGCACACGCCACCACACCTGGCTAATTTTGTATTTTTAGTAGAGACGGGGTTTCTCCATGCTGGTCAGGCTGATCTTGAACTCCCGACCTCAGGCGATCTACCTGTCTCGGCCTCCCAAAGTGCTGAGATTACAGGCACCTGGCCTTCATCTGTGTTCTAACTGCATGAACTTCATTCTGCAGGGGACCTGTAGAGTTTCTGTAGCCACAGAGCAGGGCAGGGTCATCCTCCCAGTGATGTGGAAATACGGAAACCCTTCTTACTGATCAAGAACTTTTCTGTATATTTATGAAAGAAAAAAAAAACCCTTCTTAATGTAGCAAAACTTTTTGGGAGTGTGGCAGAAACTGCTAGTTGAACCCCAATATCTATTATTTCCTTCTCCTCTCATAGTAACAGAGCCCCCAGTTTTCAGCTGGGGCAATGGCCACATGGAATCACAACTCTATTTCCCAGCCCTCCCAGACCTAGGCGTGGCCATTTGCTTTCTGGCTAACGGGATGTGTGCAGAAGTGAGAGCGACTTTCGGGCTCTGTCTGCCCTCAGCTCTCCCTCCCCCTGCTCCCTTCCTCTTGGCAAGAAGCGTGAACGTGGAGGTATGAGATGAAGTGTTTTCTTAGTCCACAAGCCGAAAGCCAAATTTTGAGAATGTCAGAGCAAAAAAAGGAAAGCCAGGGATCTAGATTCTCGATGACTGTATGAGAAATAAACTTACTTAAAGTTCTGGTGTTCAGATTTCTCTGTTGCAGTAGTTGAACTTTTCTCTTAACTAAGATAGCAGTCTTCAAACCTCCCAAACATATCAAATAACCTATTTCACAAGTTAAATTACACAGAATCTACTTTTATGTTCCTAAACAAAGAAAGCAAATAACTTAGGGAAAACAATACACACATTTTTAGACCTACTTCAATTTCTTTCCCCACATTACATGCACCTGACTTGCTTTTCCTTTCTTGTGCCAAGTGCTTCAGAGTTTTCAGGATATGACACGTAATTTCTCCAAGAACCCAGTAAAACCTGGTATCCTGCCGGGCGTGGTGGCTCATGCCTGTAATCCCAGCACTTTGGGAGGCCGAGGTGGGCGGATCATTAGAGGTCAGGAGTTTGAGACCAGCGTGATGAACATGGTAAAACCCCGTCTCTATTAAAAAATAAAAAAAATGGCCGGGCACAATGGCTCACACCTGTAATCCTAGCACTTCAGGAGGCCAAGGCGGGCAGATCACAAGGTCAGAAGTTTGAGACCAGTGTGGCCAACATAGTGAAACCCTGTCTCTACTAAAAATACAAAAAAATTAGCTAGGCATGGTGGTGGGTGCCTGTAATCCCAGCTACTTGGGAGGCTGAGTCAAGAGAATCACTTGAACCCAAGAGGCGGAGGTTGTAGTGAGCCGAGATGGCGCCACTGCTCTCCAGCCTGGGCGACAGTGCAAGACTCCAGCTCAAAAAAAAAAAATTAGCTGGGCGTGGTGGTGTGGGCCTGCGATCCCAGCTAAGGCTGAAGTAGGAGTATAGCTTGAGCCCAGGAGACAGAGGTTGCAGTGAGTCAAGACTGCACCACTGCACTCCAGCCTGGGCAACGGAGCTAGACGCTGTCTCAAAACAGAAACAAAAACCTGGTATCCCAAGTCAGCCACTGGAGGGCAGTCTTTACCAGCAGAGCTTACCCACCTTGTGCACACCGCCTGGGAGATGACTGTCACTACCTCCCTACCTTCCTTCTGGAAAACAGGAGAATGAGGAAATCTGCATTCTGTTGGGAAAAACTCTGCAGCTGATTATGGACACCACTAAGAAGGTGTAAGACCTCTTAAATAAGACTGTATTACCCAAAATTAGTTTGTTATTTTTTTAAAACAACATACTTTGGCCAGGCACAGTGGCTCATGCTTATAACCCCAACACTTTGGGAGGCTGAGGCAGGCAGACTGCTTGAGCCCAGGAGTTCAAGACCAGCCTGGGCAACATAGTGAAAACCAGTCTCTACAAAATACAGAAAACAAAACAAAACAAAAAACCTAATTGGGTGTGGTGGTATCACCTGTAGTCCTGGGAGACTGAGGTGGGATTGCTGGAGCCCAGGGAGGCTGAGACTACAGTGAGTTATGATCATAAAACAAAACAAAACAAAAAAACCCACAAGAGCAACAACCACCAAAAAACCACAACGTATTTCGGCCTAGAGCCTGAACTCACCTACTGACTTTCCTCATTCTCTTCCCATTCAATAATTCTCTCTCTGTTGCTAATTTCCTGCTAGCTTGAGAAAGCAGACACCCATTGTTTTGTATTTGTTATACACTTAACTTCGATTCATGCTTTGATTAAATGTTTCTATTTCTGCCCTCCCTGTTTCCTACACATACCTGTGGCAAGTCAGAATTTACTTCAGCAAACTGAAGGGGAAGAGTCTGTATCTGAGATTTTCCCTCCAGATATTAAAAAATATGGCTGTTTACAAGTTAAGTGCTCACTGATAACCATTACAATGGTACTTAGGCATGGATATGCCTGATACTCACATTAGTTACTATTTACTGAGCACTTGCTCTGTGCTAGGTAGGTCCTTCATATACAATCTCTAATTCTTCTACAACCCTGAAAGACCAGGGCTCAGAACCTGCACAGGTTACACCAGTAATGAGTGGCTGAGATCTGAGATTTGCAACAAGCTCTAACTGCAAAGCTCATGCTCCTTCTACTTTAACACACTGCTTCCTTCCCATATGGAACTACTTATTCCTCAGTTGTCCCTTTTCATGTCAAAGGCAGCACCTCTTCCCACTTTGAGGAAAAAGATCAGCTGTGTTTCTGTTGTCCCAAAGTTGTATGGAGGGTAAAACAGTGCCATTTTTTGCCACCCTCCTGTTTCCTGGCATATCTTTTTTTTTTTTTTTAGACAGAGTCTTGCTCTATCTCCCAGGCTGGAGTACAGTGGCGTCATCTCAGTTCACTGCAACCTTGACCTCCCAGGTTCAAACAATTCTCCTGCCTCAGCCTCCCAAGTAGCTGGGATTACAGGTGCACACCACCATGTCTGGCTAATTTTTGTATTTTTAGTAGAGACAGGGTTTCACCATGTTGGCCAGGCTGGTCTCGAACTCCTGACCTCAGGTGATCTGCCCACCTCAGCCTCCTAAAGTGCTGGAATTACAAGCATGAACCACACACCCAGCCTGTTCTCTGGCATAGTTTCTAGGAATGCACTTCAGCAATAACCAGGAACAGTCTGTACTCACAGACAGCTCCTTATCTCAACTGCTAATCATGGATTCCATTTCCTGGGTAAACAGTGGTATCATCTCACGCACTACTGCTTCTCTGCAGTTCCTTCACACTTTGCTGTGGTTTTTCTTTTCAGATGCCCTTAAACCATATTTAGGGCATTGTGGCACAGACCCACCTATCTCCTCCAACCTTACATTTACCATTAAGTAGGTGGCCATGTGACAAGTCAGTACAGTTGTTCAGCATCACTGGAGGAGTGGATTGGCAATATGCAAAGCGGCAAAAAATGGAAACGAACTTATCCAAGAGCTTCTAACATAAACAGCAATGCTAAGTTGATTCAAAGCAGAAATCAGTAAAGCCACATATCCCTATGTGAAGCAAAACAGATTTTGAGGTACATATACGACAAGCCTGAGTAGGAAGTTCAGATGACAATAACTGATTTACTAAGGGATTTTGGCAGAATTCTTACCCCTGAAGCCAGAACCACAGTGGGAGCACTAGTAAGCAGTTGGGGATGCCTGTCTTAGTCATTCTGGCTACGAATGCCTCAAAGTCAAATGAGATGCTGTAGCACCATGATTCCTAAATCTGCTGCCTAAGTAGATGAATCAGCAGAAACACTTATTAAAAACCCAGATTCCCAGGGATCTCAAGAAGAATCCGATGCAGTAAGTTTGAGATGGTGGCCTAGGTAGCTATCAGCAGATGATTCTTATAACCAGGTAAGTCTGAGAAAGTCGTTAATAAACTTAACAGATTTTAGAACCACCGATAACACCACGAATTTTATTTTATTTTTTTGAGATGGAGTTTTGCTCTTGTTGCCCAGGCTGGAGTGCAATAGCAAGATCTCGTCTCACTGCAACCTCTGCCTGCCGGGGTCAAGCGTTTCTCCTGCCTCAGCCTCCCGAGTAGCTGGGATTACAGGCGCCCGCCACCACGCCCAAATAATTTTTTGTATTTTTAGTATAGACGGGGTTTCACTATGTTGGCCTGATCTCGAACTCCTGACCTCAGGCGATCCACCCGCCTTGACCTCCCAAAGTGCTGGAATTATAGGCGTGAGCCACTGCGACAAGCTCTATGAATTTTTAAGTTGATCCTAATCTCTATCTGATAGCTAAAATCTTTTTCGATTTTGGGCTATTCTTAAAACAATTCATTCTCCTTAGATAGGTAGGCTGGGTTTCAAGCTGAAAAACATCTATATGATATCTTTTTTTTTTTTTTTTTTTTTTTTAAACAGAGTTTCACTCGTTGCCCAGGCTGGAGTGCAATGGTGCGATCTCAGCTCACTGCAACTTCCACCTCCTGTGTTCAAGCCATTCTCCTGCCTCAGCCTCCTGACTAGTTGAGATTACAGGAGCCCGACACCATGTCCACCTAATTCTTGTATTTTTGGTAGAGACAGTTTCACCAAGTTGACCAGGCTGGTCTTCAACATCTGACCTCAGGTGATAACGCACGCCTCAGCCTCTCAAAGTGCTGGGATTACGGGCGTGAGCCACCGTGCCCAGCCATTGTTTTTTGTTTTTTTGTTTTTGAGACAGTCTCCCTCTGTCACCCAGGCTGAAATGCAGTGGCACAGTCTTGGCTCACTGCAACCTCCGCCTCCTGGGTTCAAGTGATTCTCCTGCCTCAGCCTCCCAAGTAGCTGGGATTACAGGTGCATGCCACCCACCACGCTCGGTTTTTGTATTTTTAGTAGAGATGGGGTTTCACCACGTCGGACAGGCTGGTCTCAAACTCCTGACCTGAAGTGATCTGTCCGCCTTGGACTGCCAAAGTGTTAGGTGGCTCACAGGTGTGAGCCACCATGCCGAGCCCATATTATATACTTAATAGCTTTAGAGTATACCTGCCAAAAGTTGAGGTAATTTAACCCTGATGCTCTGAAAGCATACCAAGGTTAGAGACAACCACTTTTCATTAGTTCTGAAATGGGGAGCTTGGAGTTAGCAGGCCTGACTTTAAACACTTTGTCATTTATTAGCTGTAATGCTCCCAAGGAAACTGTTTAACCTCTGAGCCACAGTTTCCTCATTTGTAAAACAGGGATGAAAATCCCCACCCTCCAGGGTTGTGTGTGGATTATAGAAAATGTAGAAATACAAGCATGGCATACACAAAAGCACTCAATATTGATACCATAGTCATCTACCACATTAACGATGTTTTAGTCAATGACAGACTGCATATATTAACAGTGGTCCCATAAGATTATAACACTGTATTTTTACAGTATCTTTTCTATATTTAGATATGTTGAGATCCACAAATACTTATTGTTCTATTACAACTTCCTATAGTATTCAATAGTAACATGCGGAACAGGTTTACAGCCTAGGAGCAATAGGCCACACCATACAGCCTAAGTGTGTAGTTAGCTATTCTATCTGGATTTAAGTACACTGCGATGTTCACACAACAAAATCACCTAATGACACGTCTCAGAATGTACCATCATCAGGTGATGCATGGCTACATTTCCAATTGATTCAGGAAAACATGGCTCTATGTGCTATTTTTTTTTTTAATTTTTTAATTTTTATTTTTTTGAGACAGAGTCTCTCTCTGTCACCCAGGCTGGAGTGCAGTGCCGCGATCTCAGCTCACCGCAACCTCTGCCTCCCAGGTTCAAGCAATTCTCCTGCCTCAGTCTCCCGAGTAGCTGGGATTACAGGCATGTGCCACCACACCCCGCTAATATTGTATTTTTAGTAGAGATGGGGTTTCTCCATGTTGGTCAGGCTGGTCTCGAACTCCTGCCTTCAGGTAATCCGCCCGCCTCAGCCTCCTAAAGTGCTGGGATCACAGGCGTGAGCCACCATGCCCGGCCTCTATGTGCTATTTTAAAATTCTCTCAATACATTAATTCTCCTGTACCTCCAAATTATTAAAAAAAAAAAAGAACTCTACAGAAAGCTAAGAATCATTAAACAGGTAACAGCCCGAACATCAGAGGTATAAACTACAGCATTCTCCTACCATAAATAAACAAGTCAACAGCGGATCCCTTTTAGAGATGAATCAAGTAGAAAGCTGTGCCCATGAGTCAGCTCTGCCTCCACTGCCAGAGACAGCAGTGTTCCCCTGCCTCTTGGCCCATTCCGGGATCCTTTGCAATACATAACGCGGCTCTTGCCAATGATTACTACAGGAGTAGAAGAGTTTCACACCAACAGACTTGTTTTTCCAACTAGGCTTTCACCCACAGGTTCTTATGGGATCATCAACCCTGTCACCGTGAATCTTTTCAGCACTTGTCAATTATTTAGGCAAACAACATCATTTACATGTGAAATTTCCCATCTCTACCCAACACAAACCTTGGAGGGCTGAACCTTTGCTGACTGGGCAATCCCTTCTCCAGGAGTTATGACCTGTTTTTGAGGGGACACAGCTATCATGTGACCCCCTTTCACAGTCACATACTGCGGGAGTGGTGACTGGCTGGCAGCTCCTGTTGCGGGCACGTGAGGGGCTTCACCAGGTTCCTGTTTGATGATCACCTTGCAACAAACATAATGACACTGAATAAACATCCATAAACATCCCATTTTATAAAGCTGCTAATATCTGACTCTTCTCCGTTTGCAGGGATTAATGAATTGATGAAACTTGATACGTAAAGAATGACTCCACCAGAAGGGTAAATATACATACTGCTTAAATACAGTCCATACCAGCTATTAAAGGGACCAAAAGTAGGATCTGAACTTGATCCTGTGCTCCTGTAATAACACAGTCACTTGTTTTAGAGACTGTGGCAAATGACAGCAGAGAGAAACAAACACACTGTGCTCCATGAATCCCCATCTTGCTGGACTCCAAGGGCTGCCCTGAGGACATCATTAAATACATGGAAGCACGTCTCAGAATGAGGAGTTGAGACCCACTAAAAAGTAACATGTTGTAGGGGTAGTGGCAATGAACTCCAACATGCCACAAAAAGTATTATGACTTGTGGGACAATGCCCTAATACATACTCACTTTTGTGAAAGCTCCAAGTCCTCCTGTTATAGGTTTGGGGCTTTGAACCTTAGGGTGACTCCCAATTGGGCAAAGAGGTGGCATAGATGCAAACAAAGAATCCTCCTGCTGTGTGTGTAAAAATACATATTTTACAATCAGGAGAAATGGGTGATTTCAGATATCTAGTCACTTATATTTAATACAAACCTGTGACATTCTCTAGCAATATAAAGAAATAAAAAGACTGGCTGGGTGCGGTAGCTCACGCCTGTACTCCCAGCACTTTGGGAGGCAGAGGTGGGTGGATCGCCTGAGGTCGGGAGATCAAGACCAGCCTGACCAACACGGAGAAACCCTGTCTCTACTAAATATACAAAATTAGCCGGGTGTGGTGGCGGGTGCCTGTAATCCCAGCTACTTGGGAGGCTGAGGCAGTAGAATCACTTGAACCAGGGAGGCAGAGGTTGTGGTGAGCCGAGATCACGCCACTGCACTCCAGCCTGGGTGACAAGAGCAAAACTCCGTAAAAAAAAAAGAAAGAAAAAAACCTAAAATTCCTTGGGGTCTTCCAAGCCTCTACACCTGCATTTTAATATTGTTTTAGAAAACAAATGCAAAGAAAAGCTGTAACTTGGCAAGAATCTACTCATCTGTGTCCTGCTGTACACTGGAAAGACTTCTAACTTACTACCCCTAACATTTGGCTGACTTTATTGGTCTTCCCCGATAGTTGGTAAACCACTAAAGGACAGGGACTGTATTTAATTTTATATCCCTGGAGCCTAGGCACTAAATAAATAAATGAAAGAAACAGGCAGCTGCAATGTTTCAGTATATACTCTCTTTTAATAGTACTCACAACTGATTTGCAAAATTTACTCAATGAACACCCAGAATACAAAGGAAAAATTTTCAATAAAAACTTAAAAAACAAGCAAACAAACAAAAAACTTGAATAATTTGGCACAGGCAAAGACAACGAAAGTCAACATTCAAAACTTCTGTAGTTCTGGCCAGGCGCAGCGGCTCACGCCTGTAATCCCAGCACTTTGGGAGGCTGAGGCGGGCAGATTACCTGAGATCAGGAGTTCGAGACCAGCCTGACCAACGTGGAGAAACCCCGTCTCTACTAAAAATACAAAATTATCCGGGCGTGGGGCGCATGCCCTGTAACCCCAGCTACTCAGGAGACTGAGACCGCAGAATCGCTTGAACTCAGGAGGCAGGAGGTTGCAGTGAGCCAAGATTGCGCCACTGCACTCCAGCCTTGGCAACGAGAGCGAAACTCTGTCTCAAAAAAAAAAAAAAAAAAAAAAAAATTCTGTAGTTTCTCTTTAATTCTCAAACACAAAATGCAAATCTCAGAGGTAATCTGTCAAAATTTGGAAACGAAGAACACTTCTTGGCTGTAAAGTAAAATGATCACCAACAAACAATAAAAATTAAACCAGCAGAGTTAAGACTTTCAAGATTACTATAATTCAGACATTCATATAACAGTGCCAACACACTGCACAGAACTTAGAGAACAGCCTCGCCTTGGACCAGGAAGTCATTCAATATCATCATTAGTGTCTAAATAAAAGAAATGCTGTGTCAGGCACCAGTCATTTGACTGGAACAGGTCAGATCATATTTGGAGTTGTAAATTTTAAAGGACTGCTTACCCAGAAAAAGGGGAGCAGGGGAGAGACTCTGTGGAGGTAAGCATTATTTTCAAATAGCTAAACGGTTAACACATGGAAAAGGAAACACTGATGCTCCCCGACTTAGGATGGGGTTACGTCTGGATAAACCCATCATAAGGGGAAAACATCATAGGCCAAAAGTGCATTTTTGACTTCCCACACTTTCACCGTATGGTGGGTTTATCTGAATATAACCCCAGCGTAAGCTGAGGGCTCGCTAAGTGCATATTGCTTTTGCACCACGGTAAAGTCGAAAAATCGTTAAGTTGGACCACTGTAAGGTGGGAGCCATTTGTATATTTACTTCTTGGTGATGCAAACATAGAAAAGATAGGAACGTGCTGTCAGATGAATGTTTTTATATTTTTAAATTTTTATTTTTTTTATGGGTTAAGGAGCAGAAAGTTTAATAAGCAAAAGAAAGGGGAGAGGACAGCAGCTCTCTGTTGCGAGAGAGAGAGGTGTCCAAAAGGGAAGAGGTCAGATGAATATTTTTATAAGCAAGTATTTTTAACAAACTTTTCAAATAAGTAAATAAATAATCTTATCACAGTAAGTTTTTAAATTGATACTGGGTGACTATTTCACACAAGTGTTGTGAAGCATTTGTGACACTATGAAAAGATCCAAGTAAGGTAGTAAAGTCTGGAGTAGATCCAAGTAAGTTAGTAAAGTCTGGGGGTAGTAAAGTCTAGATACTTAACAGCTTGAAGATTCCATTTTATGAAATTTGCGTCATCAACTGACACATTCTTGCTGAGGCTGAACATACTATGTTCAGAAACCGGCAAAGTGGCGGGGTGCAGCTCATGCCTGTAACCGCAGTACCCTGGCAGGTGAGGTGGCAGATCTCTTGAGGCCAGGAGTTCGATACAGCCTGGTTAATACGGGGAGACCCCATCTCCATTTGAAAAATTATTTTTTAAAAATGAAAAGAAAAAGAAGCTAGCAAAGTGTAATAACGCAGTAAGAATGTTACCTTGACAGTAGATGTTACAAAACTACTTCCATGAATTTTAGGAACAGGGGAACCTGTTCCTTGGGAGACCTGAGAAGCCGTGGAGATCTTGTTTGTAGGACTTCCTGATAAGCAAGGCACAATTAAAACATAAACAAAGTAAAATTTACAAAAGGTAATTTTAAAGCATTTCTACCATCCTCCCCTCTTTCGCACTATTTATTTTTCATGTTTAAGGGTTGAAAACTCATTGTTAAGGCTGAAACTAGTATGGAAAAAAACCCTTAAGGACCCATCCCTGTGAAGCTGATCTCATGCTCAACCTGAAGAAGGTAAGAAGCTGGTAAGGACATGCAGAAGAATAAGTAGTAAAGTCACTTGTTTTAGACTACTCCTTGTACAATAAACAGTAGCATATTCTCGTATATTCTACTCCTTATACAATAAAAGACACTATAACGTATTCTACTTGTATGTTCTACTCCTCATACAATAAAAGACACTACAACATAATGATACTGTTTAACAAATGTGCCAGAATATATGCATTCTGCTAGCTCCTTCAAAGTAGTTTCACCAGAAAGTTATGCCTATTCCAAAATGCTGCCAACATTATTATTTTTTTTTCCTGAGATGGAGTCTCGCTCTGTCACCCGGGGTGGAGTGCAGTTGCCTGATCTCGGCTCACTGCAACCTCCACCTACTGGGTTCAAGTGATTCTCCCACCTCAGCCTCCCCAGTAGCTGGGACTACAGGCACGCGCTACCACACCTGGCTAATTTTTCTATTTTTAGTGGAGATGGGTTTCGCCATGTTAGCCAGGCTGCTCTCGAACTCCTGACCTCAGGTGATCCGCCCACCTTGGCCTCCCAAAGTGCTGGGATTATGGGCATGAGCCACCACGCCTGGCCAACATTAAACATTTTATACTCCATCTGTACAACTGCCTTTAGAGTCTGAAAAAAATTTAGTCATATATTACCTATAGTCAACAAGTCAAGACCCCAAATAGTATTTAATCATTTACTCCATTTACCAAACTTGCCTCCAAAGACTTCTAGCTGATTCCTAAAACAAAATGTCATGAAATAACACCTATTTGGCATCCTTAAGTATGTTCGAAAGGTACTGGGTAAGCCTTGAACACAGTAATTTTTAAGGGCATTCCACAATTACAATCACTATTAAAATTTAGCCTTTCCAAAAAAAAAAAAAACTGCTTGGAAAAGCCCAACATACATTCATGTGTTAAATCCAATAGGTCAAACAAACAACAACAAAAAAATCAGTCTCATTATCTTATAATCATCCCTTTTATTTCATTTATCTTCTATTTCTCTTAATTAGAAGTGAAAACTTCAGGGAAGTTTATAGTTAGGAGCGTGTGTTTAAATACAGGTTGAATGGGGCCAGGCGTGGTAGCTCACGCCTGTAAATCCAGCACTTTGGGAGGCTGAGGCAGGTGGATTGGAGTTTGAGACCAGCCTGGCCAACATGGTGAAACCCCATCTCTACTAAAAATACAAAAATTAGCTGGGCGTGGTGGTGCACGCCTGTAATTCCAGCTACATGGGAGGCTGAGGCAGGAGAATTGCTTAAACCCAGGAGGTGGAGGTTGCAGTGAGCCGAGATCACGCCACTGCACTCCAGCTTGGGTGAAAAGAGCAAGACTCTGTCTCAATAAATTAATAAATTAATTAATTAACAATAAATACAGGTTAACTGAAGGGAATAAATAAAATAATGTTAGAGAAAGCATTTCAAAAAAACCTAAAAAGCATGGGATTACAGTGAGGAACACGGTGAACCCAAGGATGACTTTTTCCTATTAGAGTTCTCTTTAAAACTGCAGGTTTCAATTTCCCCTCCCACAAGCAGAATGGGTCTTCCTTGAAGAAAATAATATCATTTTTTATTTGACTGGGGAGAACGGTATGTGGCCCACAAGGTTAGCAAAAGCTTCTTTGGAAGAGGTAGTAACCACATTGCTTACAGTCCCCCAAAGCGTAAGTCTTCCAAATGAAAACAAAATCAACTATTCTTTTAAGAACATTCATTATGGCTTATTTTGAACTTTTAGAAATTAAAAGAAAACTCAAGTAAATTCTAAAAAATGCAACTTTTACAGAGTAAATCTCCCCTCAGAGAAAGAGTATTGGCTTTCCTTTTACTTATTCTCGCTTCTCGTTTACGGGAGATTTCATTCTCCAATTACATGGCTACCAAGTCATGGCAGGATTACATTTTTAATAAAGATCAAACCCTTTAGATGGTACAAATATGGATCTAATACACACCTGTACTGGGAGTGGTGGCTCCAATCACCTGCCCCGGCTGCTTGTCCATGATAACATAAGGATTATTAATAACAGAGCCGGCAGTGCCTTGCTTCACGTGGACTGGAGTGGAAGTCGGGGTTCGAGGCAATGGTGATGGGCTTGGAGTTGATATTGGGGAACCTTATTAATTAAAAAGAGAGAATACAAACAAAATACACATATTCAACTCACGTAAGAAGATGTCGAGGACAAGGAAGAAGGTCAGTGCCACCAGGACAAAGGTAACAAATTGGGAAAATAAAATGGATACTGCGTGCTCCCGGTACTGAGCAGCAACAGAGGTACAAAGGAGGCAGAGGATGTATGTTTCATGCTCTGCATCCTTATCCATGGATCAACAGCATCAGTATCATCGAGGAAATTGTAAGAAACAGATTTTATGGTCCCATCCTTGACCTACTAAACATAAATCTCACTTCAACAAGATCTCCTGGTATGCACCTTATAGTTCAGAAAGCAGTGCTTTACACAGCAGTGCAAAACTGCTGAACCTTTTTTTGTAACTGCTGAATCTTGATATGATAAATCTTTTAACACCATAGGCAGGCTTTTATAGTACTGGTTATACTCGAAGACACTAAAATTAGAGACCGGGCATGAGACACCAGGTGCAGTGGCTCGTGCCTGTAATCCCAGCACTTTGGGAGGCCGAGGCAGGCGGATCACCTGAGGTTGTGAGTTCGAGACCAGCCTGACCAACATGGAGAAACCCTGTCTCTACTAAAAATACAAAATTAGCTGGGTGTGGTGGCGCATGCCTGTAATCCCAGCTCCTCGAGAGGCTGAGGCAGGAGAATCGCTTGAACCCGGGTGGCGGAGTGAGCCGAGATCGTGCCATTGCACTCCAGCCTGGGCAACAAGAGCAAAACTCTGTCTCAAAAAAAAAAAAAAAAAAAAAAAAAAAAAGAAAGGAAGGAAGAAAATCAGTAAGTAAACAGCTAGATTTAAGAACCTGGTGTCTTGTTTTGAATAGGAAAATATGAAATTCACCTACCCAGAATAAAAGTCTCTGTCAATACTATGTCACAGCCGTAACCCAGAAAGATTCGTGTTCCCGCAAAATACTCTCAAAAGTTACTGACAGTTAAACATCCTCTACTGTCTTTTATTGATCAAACGTCATCCATGAATTTCTTTAAACTTCAAATCAATTTATATGTTCAGCCTATTCCACCTCTGAAGTAGCAAGTTCCAAAATTTTTCTACCTGGTAGGTAAAATTGCCTACCAATGACAGGGGACGGTGGCTCACGCCTGTAACCGGAGCACTTTGGGAGGCCAAGGTAGGTGGATCACCTGAGGTCAGGAGTTCAAGACCAGCCTGGCCAATATGGTGAAACTCCGTCTCTACTAAAAATACAAAATTAGCTGGGAGTGGTGACACGTGCCTGCAGTCCCAGCTACTTGGGAGGCTGAGCCAGGAGAATCACTTGAACCCGAGAGAGGTGGAGGCTGCAGTGAGCTGAGATCGCGCCATTGCACTCCAGCGTAGGTGACAAGAGTGAAACTCCATCTCAAAAAAAAAAAATTGCCTACCAATTAGAAGCTATTTATCTCTCATCAAAGATTTGGATCCTATTTCTACTTAGCTGTCTACTTACAACACCAAACATTCTTTTTTTCCCCCCTTCATTTAACTATTATACAGAAGTCCTCATACTTCCTGGTTATTTCCAATTGCCTTTTAACAAACATGTTTTGTTCTAAGGTGGAACAGTCAAAACCATATATTCCTACTAAATTTTACCTAACATAAAATGAAACTATCACAAGGCAAAAGATAATCCAATCTTAGTGAACAAGACAACTCAGAACTACCTACTGACAATAGGAATGAATAATTTTCTAGTGTGGTTACAGACAGAATAAAGCATTTCAATTCCCAACCAACTCTAACCCTTAAAATTTAACTCCATGCCAAAGGCCTCTAAATTTTTTCTATCACTAGTCACTGTGGTTTCCATGTATATAATCCCCAAACACGATTCCTACACCTTAGTTTCAGCCATATATCCTAGCAAACATTTTACCTGTGCTGATTCTGGCAGACAAAAATTTGACCATTTGAGTTTCATTTATCTCCTCCATTCATTTCCGTATGAATGAGCTTTGTTTTTGCCTTGTGACAGCTTTGCCAATCAACAGTGATAAACTTCCTTTTGTTAAACATAACACTGCTTAGAAGAACTTAAGAGAAAAAAAGCCAAGTATTTTGTTTTGTTGTTCCAACAATTTTAACATCCAGTCAACTCCACATACACTGTCTTCAAAACATCTGCATACCTGACACAATCTTGCAGCTCATGGTGATGGGCTGGAAGGATTTTCCAGGTGACTCAGGATTAGGAACCTGACTTTGTGGAACAATTTTGCAGCTTGATGCTATTGGCTGGAAAGCTGAATTGCCATGGGAACAAAAGGTAACTTTCTGGGATGTAGTCATTTTGGTGGGTGTTCTTTCCAATGAAGATGGCAAAGCATAAAACGGAGTGTGTCGTTCAGCTTCAGTGCTAGCTGGGAATCCTGCTTGAGATGAAAGAGGCAAACGGCAAGTCATCAATCGCTTTGAAATAAAACCTTACCGTTGTGGAAAAAGAATAAAAATGCATTATTTCAACACCATTTTAAACCATGTACTGGTAGCAAAATAAATACAATCAATCATCCCTTCATATTTTTGGTGAAAAATATATATGCTTAGAATAATGTTTAAAGTGCTTTTTTAAAAAAACTTGAAAACATTATTAACTATAAACCATGTATAACATAAAAAGAACAAAAGTTCTTATGTTCCTCCATTTTTTAATATATAAACTGAAAAACTGTTTAGAGAAGAAAAAATCTTAGAAAGCATTCACTAAATCTAATGATATCCTCCTATCTTATTTATTTACTTATTTTTGAGACATTATTTCACTTGTCACCCAGGCTAGAGTGCAGTGGTGTGATCTCAGCTCACTGCTACCTCCACCTCCCGGGTTCAAGCAATTCTTGTGCCTCAGCCTCCGGAATAGCTGGGATTACAGGTATGCACCACCATCCCTGGCTAATTTTTGTATTTTTAGTAGAGACGGGGTTTTGCCATGTTGGCCAGGCTGGTCTTGAACTCCTGACCTCAGGTGATCCGATGGTTTCAGCCTCCCAAAAGGCTGGGAATTACAGGCATGAGCCACCGTGCCCGGCCCCTCTTGTATCTTATTAAATGCCCATAAAAAAGATGCAATTGAAATCTAAAGAGGAATAAAGTTGAGATTTTATAAAAGAACTATAATACTAACCACATTAAAATATAGGCTTAGAAATAAAACATTTAAGATCAATTTTATATCTTTTATGCTTATATATGGGAACATTAAAATATGTATTTATACACATATATTTGTTAAATTTAAAAATGGCATGGTCAAAATACATTGTTGGTGATGAATCTTTTCTTAAGTAAAACCAGGTATTTAATATCCAAGTTTCTTGCTCGCACAATCAGAAGCTGAACCATAAAGTCTTCCTGTAATACATTATAAGGAATTATCAAGTGATAAAAATCTGTTTTAGGCCAGGCGTGGTGGGTCATGCCTGTAATCCCAGCACTTTGGGAGGCCAAGGTGGGTGGATCACCTGAGGTCATGAGTTCGAGACCAGCCTGGCCAACATGGTGAAAACCCATCTCTACTAAAAATACAAAAATTAGCCGAGAGCGGTGGTGGACGCCTGTAATCCTAGCTAACAGGGAGGCTGAGGCAGGAGAATTGCTTGAACCCAGGAGGTGGAGGTTGCAGTGAGGCGAGATCATGCCACTGCACTCCAGCCTGGGCAACAGAGCAAGACTCCATCTCAAAATAAAATAAAATAAAAATAAATTTAAAAATCTTATGTTTTTTAGCTATTTTTACATTTTATAATATGTCAGTAAAACTTCATGGAAATTTTTTTTTTTTTTTTTGAGATGGAGTCTCGCTCTGTTGTCCAGGCTGGAGTGCAGTGGTACCATCTCAGCTCACTGCAAGCTCCACCTCCCGGGTTCGAGCCATTCTCCTGCCTCAGCCTCCCGAGTAGCTGGGACTACAGGCACCCACCATCACACCCAGCTAAATTTTTGTATTTTTAGTAGAGACGGGGTTTCACCGTGTTAGTCAGGATGGTCTTAATCTCCTGACCTCATGATCCACCCGCCTTGGCCTCCCAAAGTGCTGGGATTACAGGTGTGAACCACAGCTCCCGGCCGGAAAAATATTTTTGACAAGAGTGGAAATTTGGCTTTCATAACAGAACTGTGTAGTAGAGGCAGCATGTCCACTTATAGCAAAGTTATTTTCCATATACTATAGGTCTCTGAAAGCAGCAAATGGGAAAGGAATGCCTCAGAACAACGCTATGCAAGGAAAACTGCTGTATTACCTTTCTCCACAGAGGTATCGGGTACTGGCTCATGTGACTGCTTTATTGGTGAAGAAGCTTTCACTGGGGCTGGAATGGTCAAAGGCAAAGATGGAGGGGCATCAGAGATGTCAGACTCCGAGGACTGAGGATAGATACAGTCTTCTCCGAGAGAATGGCGATGGAGTTCAACATCCACTACCTAGACAATTGGGCAACAATCAGGCTCATGAGTCCATCATCAATGTCACAGAAAGCTCAAGTCCCGTCCAAGAATGTAATCTCCGGGATGTGAGAGATAACTTCTAATCACACTTCAAAGGCAATTTCAATCTGAAGAACTAAAGGATTTATTCTAGAAGGTAATCTAATCTGGCTTAACAGACACATACCTCAGTGAAAATCTAATCTGGTTTAACATACAAATCTCAGTGAAATTATTCACAAAATTGGGACCTCTTGATTTTGCTGTTGCTACTCCTTACAACGCTATTCCTCCAAATCTTTGCATGGCTGCCTTTCTCACCAGCAGGTCTCAATGAAGTAGCACCTTCTCAGAGAGACCATGCCTAACCACCCAAGAATAAGCTACTTCCTTATCCCCCAGCTACTCTTATCTTCACAGCACTTATTTGTAACTGAAGTAATTTTATTTGCTTTTGTGTTTACTGTCTACCCTCCCCATTTTCAATGCCACTAAGAATTTGACTCTGAAGGAAGAAGCTACCGTGTTCATTTCTGTATTCCCAGCACCTGGACCAGCGCTCAATAAGTACCTTCTGATATAATACAGCAGATTTCTCTAGACAGAGTAAGATTTAATTAGTGAACTCTGATTAAATGGCTATTGCTGATTATTATATGATGAATACAAAAAAAGGGAGAGAAGGTGAAGAACAAAGTTGGAGGTCTCAGACTCCTGATTTCAAAATTTATTACAAAGCCATAGTAATCAACAGTATGCTGCTGGCATAAAGACAGACATACAGACCAATGGAACAGAATAAATCCTCACATATATGGTCAAATGATCTTTGACAAGGGTCCCAAGACCATTCAGTGGGGGAAAAGACAGTATTTTCAGCAAATGGTGCCAGGGAAACTGGATATCCATATGCCAAAGAATGCAATCGGACCCTTACCTTACACTATATACCAAAATTAACTCAGGATCAAAGAACGAAACATAAAAGCTAAAACAATAAAACTCCTAGAAGAAAATGTAAGGGAAAAGCTTCATGACACTGAATTTGGTAATGGTTTCTTGGACACGACACCAAAAGCACAGGCAACAAAATAAAAAATAGACAAACGGGACATCAAACTTAAAAACTTCTGTGCATCAAAGGACACAATCAACAGAGTGAAAAGGCAAAAATATAACACGGAATGGAAGTAAATATTTGCAAATCATCTATCTGGTAAGGGGTTACTATCCAGAATATATGAATAACTCCTGTCACTTAGCAACAACAAAAACCAAACCACCTAATTTAAAAATGGGCAAAGACATTTTCTGAATGTCTCTGAATAGACATTTCTCCAAAGAAGATAAACACATGGTCACCAAACACATGAAGGGATCCTCAACATCACTAATGATTAGAGAAACACAGATCAAAACCACAAGATATCACATCACAAACAACAGAATAACTACTATAAATTAAAATACAAAAAAAATTAACAAATGCTGGTGAAGACGTGGAGAAACTGGAATACGTGTGCACTGTTGGTGGGAATGTAAAATGGTGCGGCTACCACGAAAAAATATAGCAGTGGTTCCTCTAAAAATAGAATTACCATAGGATCCAGCCAATTCCATTTCTGGGTATATACCCAAAAGAACTGAAAGCAAGGATTTGAATAGATACCTGTACACCTACGTTCATAGCAGCACTATTAACAACAGCCAAAAGCTGGAAGCAACGCAAGTGTCCATCAGCAGGTGAACGGATAAACAAAATGTGGTATATACATACAATGCAGTATTATTCAGCCTAAAACAGGAAGAGGGGCGGGGCACAATGGCTCATGCCTATAATCCCAACACTTTGGGGGGCCAAGGCAGGCGGACAGCTTGAGCCCAGGAGTTGAAGACAAGCCTGGACAACATAGTGAGACCCTGTCTCTACAAAAAATAAACAAGTAGGCCGGGCGCGGTGGCTCATGCCTATAATCCCAGCACTTTGGGAGGCCGAGGCAGGCAGATCATGAGGTCAGGAGATCAAGACCATCCTGGCTAACACAGTGAAACCCCGTCTCTACTAAAAATACAAAAAAAAAAAAATTAGCCGGGCGTGGTGGCAGGTGCCTGTAGTCCCAGCTACTCAGGAGGCTGAGGCAGGAGAATGGCGTGAACCCGGGAGGTGGAGCTTGCAGTGAGCCGAGATCGAGCCACTGCACTCCAACCTGGGCAACAGAGCGAGACTCCATCTCAAAAAATAAATAAATAAATAAACGAGTAAGTAAATAAATTAGCTGGTCATGGTGGCACACGCCCACAGTCCCAGCTACCTGACAGGCTAAGGACAGATTACTTGAGCCCAGGAGGTCAAAGCTGCAGTGAGCCGTGATTGCACTCCAGGCTGGGTGAGAGAGAGCAAGACTCTTTCTCAAAAATAAATAAATAAAAATAAATTTTTTTACAAAGGAAGGAAATTCTGACATACGCTACAACATGGATGAAATCTGAGGACATTATGCAAAGCGAAATAAGGCAATCCCAAAGAGACACATATGTTATGATTCCACTTATATGAGGTACCCTAGAGTAGTCAAATTCACACAGACAGAAAGTAGAGCAGCAGTTGCCAGTGCTGGGGGGGCGGGAGGAGTGGGTGGTCATTTTTTAATGGGTACAGAGTTTCAGCTCTGCAAGACGAAAACAGTTCTAAAGATGGACTAAGGTCATGGCTGCATAATAATGTGAATATACTTAATGCCACTAGACTGTACACTGAAAAATGGGTAAGACGGTAAATTTTGTGTTACGTGTTTTTTAAGCACAATTTTTAAAAAATATATGAACCGGCCGGGCGCCATGGCTCACGCCTGTAATCCCAGCACTTTGGGAGGCCGAGATGGGCGGATCACAAGGTCAGGATATCGAGACCATCCTGGTCTAACTCGGTGAAACCCCATCTCTACTAAAAATACAAAAAATTAGCCGGGCGTGGTGGCGGGTGCCTGTGGTCCCAGCTACTTGGGAGGCTGAAGCAGGAGAATGGCGTGAACCCGGGAGGCGGAGCTTGCAGTGAGTGGAGATCACGCCACCGCACTCCAGACTGGGCGACAGAGTGAGACTCTGTCTCAAGAAAATATATATACATTTTGAAAATATATATATATACACACACATATATATATGAACCAAGGCTGGGCGCAGTGACTCATGCCTGTAATCCCAGTGCTTTTGGATGCTGAGGTGGGAGGACTGCTTGAAGCCAAGAATTCGAGACCAGCCTGTGAACATAGTAAGACACTGTCTCTATAAAAAATGTAAAAATTAGCTGGGCTTGCTAGTGCAGGTGTACAGTCCTAGCTACTTGGGAGGCTGAGGTGGGAGAATGGCTGGAGTCTAGCAATTCAAGGTTGCAGTGAGCCATGATGTTACTGTACTCCAGCCTGGCTGACAGAGTAAGACCCTGTCTCAATTAAAAAAAGAGAAGAGAAAAAGAAGAAAAGAGAAGAGAAAAGGAGAAAGCCTGGTGTGGTGGCTCACGCCTGTAATCCCAGCACTTTGGGAGGCCAAAGCGGGTGGATCACCTGAGGTCAGGCAGTTCGAGAGCAGTCAGCAGTTCGAGAGCAGCCTGACCAACATAGTGAAACCCCGTCTCTACTATGAATACAAAAATTAGCTGGGTGTGGTGGCGCGTGCCTGTAGTCACAGCTACTTGGGAGGCTGAGGCAGGAGAATCGCTTGAACCCAGGAGGAGGTTGCAGTGAGCCAAGATTGCTCCACTGCACTCCAGCCTGGGCAACAGAGCGTCACTCCCTCTCAAAAAAAAAAAAAAAGGAGGGGAAGGGGAGGGGACAAGGGGAAGGGGAAAGGGAAGGGAGAAGGAAGGGAAGAGGAGGGAGGGGAGACAAGGGGAGAGGAGCCACAAGTTTCCTGGTAAGCCTGTGGAACTGTGAGTCTATTAAACCTCTTCATAGATTACCCAGTCTTCGGTAGTTATTTATAATAGTGTGAGAATGGACTAACACAGAAAGGCAAACTTTAAAAAAAAAAACTAACACTAATTTTTTCCCTAATTAAAAATGAAGATCGGCCAGGTGCAGTGGCGCACACCTGTGAAACCCTGTCTCTACTAAAAATATAAAAATTAGCCAGGCATGGTGGTGCGTTCCTGTAATCCCAGCTACTCGGGAGGCTGAGGTAGGAGAATCACTTGATCCTGGGAGGAAGAGGTTGCAGTGAGCCGAGATCATGCCACTGCACTCCAGCCTGGGTGACAGAGCGAAGACCCCGTCTCAAAACAAACAAACAAACAAAAAATGAAGATCAATTTTCATCCTACTCATTCCCAGATAATACTGTAGGAAAAAAACCTACCGTCTCTGCTCCAAGAGTCTGCAAGCCAGTATAAGTTCTATCCAGCTATGGAAAGACAAAAGGGAGAGTGTTAAATTTCACTGCACTTACTTACATATTATCATAGGATACAATCTTTATCTACAGCTCTTTTGCAAGTCTTCATACCATAGGATCTACTTTTTCATAATGTAAAATATAAATTCATCACTTCAATAAAAAATTGAGTAAAATCAATAAAAACCTCAGACATATAGTTACTATATTTTTAATATAAATTATAATTTTAAAAAACCTATTCTAAGGACAATGTAAAAATGGAGGAAGTTTTACACAAAAAGATGTTTACTGCAGCATTATCTATAACCAAACTAAAAACAACATAAAAATCCAGAATAAAGGAATGTGTAAGTAAACCATGGACCATCAATCTCTGAAATATCATGCAGCCACATAGATGAGGTTTGCAAAGACTGTGTACAGATATTTTAAATGACAGGCTATACATATTTTAAATGCATACATTCTTGGACACAATTATATACTCAGAGTATATTTACTAAGCACTTAAAAAAAAGAATGAAAACATAGGCAGTAGAGGCTATGCTAATGACTTCAAATATACTGGCATCATGATTTGTTTTTTGAGAGAGGAACACAAACTGAGGGTATGTTAATAATATAAACAAGAGTTTACAATTACACAGAAAAAGGTTAAGTTCTTATTTGTAAATTTATATTCCACCACTAAAAAAAGAACTTGTGATAACAATATAAACATGCAATAAGATTAACAGGGAAAAGTATTAAATTGGGTAGAAAAAAAAAAGAGAGGGAAAAAATGAAGCCAGGGTAGGTTAGTAAATACAAGGTTTTAAAGGCTTATGAGAGGTAGGTGTCACGTCTGGCTGAGTTTCTTAGCAGCCAACATAGAGAGGACAACTCAGTCAGTTATGAGAGTTAGTGTTCACAAGATAAAAAGCAATACAGGGTGGATTAATAGTGGTTCCATGGAAGAAATCTGGAGTTTTAATATTTAAACCTTAGCTAACAGTATGACTGCTAAAAAAAAAAAAAAAAGGTAATTTTAGGTTACATCCATTTTCACAGTCTCCAGAGCATAGAAATAATAGTCTCTCTGTAATCCGCACGGGTGTATCTTTCATTGTTGGGACCAAATTTCAAGAGGGACATTGGATAGGACAGAACTAGTATCAAAACAAGAAGAGGAACTGGAAAACAAAGCATACAAGAAATGTAACAGGAACAGGTTTTGCCTGGAGTAGAAATGATTTCAGGAGACATGAAGGCTATCATTAAACATTTTTAGCGTTCTTATAAAACAAAGCCTTATTCTGTATTATTTCAAAAATCAACAGCCTGAGGCCAGGCTTGGTGGCTCACTTCTGTAGTCCCAGAACTTTGGGAGACTAAGGCAGGCTGATTGCTTGAGTCCAGGAGTTTAATACCAGCCTGGACAACATGGCAAAAGCCTGTCTCTACAAAAATTAGCCAGGTGTGGTGGCATGTTCCCGTAGTCTCAGCTACTCAGGAGGCTGACGCAGGAGGATCTCTTGAGCCCAGGAGGTTGAGGTTGCAGTGAGCCATGATCGCCCCACTGCACACCAGCCTGGGTGAAAAAGGGAGATCCTATCTACAAAAAACAAACGAACGAACAAACAAAAAAACCAGCCTGGGCAACATGGCGAGACCTCAACTCTACAAAAATAATTAAACAATTAGCCAGGCATGGTGGCGCACGCCTGTGGTCCCAACTACTCAGGAGGATGATGCGGGAGGATTGCTTGAATCCAGGAAGTTGAGACTGCAGTGAACCGTGTTTGCATCACCGCACTTCAGCATGGGTGACAAAGCGAGATCCTGTCTCAAAACAAACAAACAAAACAGAAAAAAGAAACACTACGACAAAAGGACAAACGGGGTCAAGGTTTTACTAAATGGATCAATGTGTTGGCTTGGGAAGTGCTGTGCTCTAGGGTAATGGGTAAGGAGAGAGTAAATGACTACCTGTCAGAAATGCAGGATATAGTAATTTCACACATTCTAGGAACTTTAAATTTTATGTAACTCTAATATTTAGAGTATTTAATATTTAATGTATATTTACAGAATCAAATACACGTCATTATTTACTGTACAAAATACAAAGATCACTTCAGGCTTTAACAGCCAGGAAAAGCTACATAAGAACTTGAAGAATGCAAAGAATTCAGACAAGCATCTGAGGAGGGGAAGAGCATTAAAAAAGACCCAAGGAAAGACGGCCCAAGGCATCTCTATGACATGAATAGACTGCCATGGCTAGAGCAGAATGTTCATCAGGGGATTTGTGCGAGACAATCTAGGGGAAGTAAATCGAGTCAAAATGAGCCCTGAGAGCAGGTGGGGGCATTCGCACTTTAACAGGAATTCAACCAAGTTTTCTGAAAGGGATAGCAGAAAGGTTCTGCGGTTTTAAGCAGACTGATCAGATACTGTTGTGTAGGATGCCCTATGAAGAAAGGAGATGGATTTTTAAAAGCCTATCAGGAGACAGCAAAATAGCAGCCTAGGAATAGTGGGCAGGGGCCAGGGCGCGGTGGCTCACGCCTATAATCCCAGCACTTTGGGAGGCCAAGGCAGATGGATCACTGGAGGCCAAGAGTTTGAGACCAGCCTGACCAACATGGTGAAACCCTCTCTTACTAAGAACACAAAAATTAGCTGGGCATGGTGGCGTGCACCTGTAGTCCCAGCTATTTGGGAGGCTGAGGCAGGAGAATCGCTTAAGCCCAGAAGGTAGAGGTTGCAGTGAGCCGAAACTGCGCCACTGCACTCCAGCCTGGGTGACAGAGTGAGATTCTGCCTCAAAACAAAAAACAAAAAAAAAGAATAGTGGGAAGGGCGGAGGACGGAATGTAAAAGAGATTATGAAGAAAGAATGATGGTCTGCAACTAAACAAATATTTAGAAGAGGGAAGAATCAAAGATGGCTCCAAGAGTTAACTAAAAAATGACAGGAAAAATACTACCGTACAAAGAAGGATCACAAGGCTACAACACAGGTGTTTAGGGTCTCAAGGCCAATACACAGCAAAACAATAAAATGATGTTTTCCAGAAAACTGGTAGGAAACATTTTATTGTCATTTTAAAACACTTGTCTCCAATAATCTTCCACCAAAAGCTCTAAGTAATATGTACAATGTAAGATGTGAAAAGTACGTAAAGAATTCCTTTTGTTTAGAGACTAGGTCTGAGCCCAGTGCAACATAAGGTAGTATGTGCTGTGTTAAAAATAAGATTAAAAGAAAGTAAAACTGGCCAGGCGCAGTGGCTCACGCCTGTAATCCCAGCACTTTGGGAGGCCAAGGTGGGTGGATCACCTGAGGTCAGGAGTTTGAGACCAGCCTAGCCAACATGATGAAACCCCGTCTCTACTAAAAATACAAAAAAAAATTAGCCGTGCGTGGTGGCGGGCACCTGTAATCTCAGCTAACTGGGAGGGTGAGGCAGAAGAATCGCTTGAACCTGGGAGGCGGAGGTTGCAGTGAGCTGAGATTGCACCACTTCCCTCCAGCCTGGGCAACAGACCGAGATTCTGTCTCAAAAAAAAAAAAAAAAAAAAAAAAAAAAGCAAAACTAAAAGACTTTCCTCTAAGTAACAGGACAGTACTCTGCCCCTTAATAAAGTGGCTGTGTGCCCTTTTATTTGGTTCCAGTGCTTCTCTGAGGTCATAAGGCAACCTAGTCTTATGGTAATCTTTGGAAAATAACTTAAGCCGCAGGTTAAGCAGTCCCACCTATCACCAATGGAAGAGAAATTTCAGCATGGCTTAAGCTTGAAAGAGGTCCATTTGTAGAAGAAAGGGAATGAAAAAGGAATTCTACAGATATACTCAGCTTCAGTTAGCCCAGTTTTGGAAGCCATTAGTGGGAACAATGTGATAAACCACAAAGTAAGGGTGCTTTGGAGATGTACAGTATCAGGATTATGTCACATGTAGAGAAAATGTACACAAAACTATAATACTATAAAAAGGGTCTAAGGGAACACTAAGAAATGGTCTTTCCATTATAAAAATTGAATATGGGCCAGGCAAGGTGGTTCACGCCTCTAATGCCAGCACTTTGGGAGGCTGAGGAGGGTAGATTGTTTTAGTCCAGGAGTTTGAGACCAGCCTGGGCAACACAGTGGAAAAAAAACTCCATCTCTACAAAAAATAAAAAAATTAACTGAGTGTAGTGGCATGCGCTTGTGGTCCAGCTACCTGGGACGCTGAGATAAGAGGATCACCTGAGCCGGGGGAGGTCAAGGATGCAGTGAGCCGTGATCACGCCACCACACTCTAGCCTGGGCAACAGTGAGACTCTGTCTCAAAAAAATAAAAAATAAACGTTTATTTATATAAAATTGCAAAAATATTTGAGAAAACCAACCAAAAACAGGGCATGAGAAATAGTTCACAATGTCATTATTTCAGTTGCTCCAACTTTTTGGTATATTTCTTTTGTTTTATTTTTCTACCTTTCAAAGATCGTGGTTGACTTCATGTACATACAGTTTTATACAAACATACCTCAGAGATAATTGCAGATTCAATTCTAGACTACTGCAATGAAGTGAATACTGCAATAAAGCAACTCACAATGAATCTGTTTCCCAGTGCTTATAAAAATTATGTTTATACTATGCTGTCATCTATTAAGTATGTAACAGCATTATGTTTAACAAAATAATCTACATAACTTAATTTAAAAATACTTTCTTGCTAAAAAGTGCTAATGATCACCTTGAGCCTTGAGTGAACTGTAATCTCTTTGTTGGTGGAGGGTCTTGCCTTGATGCTGATGGCTGTTTGTTGAAGGTTTGGGTGGCTACGGCAATTTCTTAAAACAAGACAACAATGAATTCTGCTGCCTCGACTGACTTCCTTTTATGAAAGATTTCTCTGTAGCATTCAATGCTGTTTGACAGTGTTTTATCCACAAGAGAAGTTCTTTCAAAATTGGAGTCAATCTTCTCAAACCCTGTAGCTGCTTTATTAAGTAAGTTTATGTAATATTCTAAATCCTTTGTTGTCAATTTCAACAGTGTTCACAGCATCATCACCAGGAGTGGATGCCATCTCAAGAAGCCACTTACTTTGCTTATCCGTAAGAAGCAAATCCTCATGCATTAAGGTTTAATCATAAAACTGCAGCAATTCAGTCACACTGTCAGGCTCTACTTCTAATTCTTGTACTCCTGCTATTTCCACCATACCTGCAGCTAATTCCTCCGCTGAAGTCTTGAACTTAAGTCATCCACGAAGGTTGGAATCAACTTCTTCCAAACTCCTGTTAATGTTGCTACTCTGACCTCCTCTCATGAATCACAAATGTTCTCAATGGCATCTAGAATGGTTAGTCCTTTCCAGAAGGCTTTCAATTTACTTTGACCAAATCCATCTGATAAATCACTATTTATGGCATCCATAGCCTTACAAAATATATTTTTTTCCTTTTTTTTATTTTTTATTTTTTGACATGGGGCTTGCTCTCTCACCCAAGCTGGAGGGCAGTGGCTTGATCGTGGCTCACAGCAGCCTCAACCTCCTGGGACCATGAAGCTGATTCTCCTACCTCAGCCTCCCAAGTAGCTGGGTCTACAGGCAAGCGCCACCATGTCCAGCTAATTTTTTTTTTTTTTTGTAGAGATGAGGTCTTATTATGTTGCCCAGGCTGGTCTCAAACTCCTGGGCTCACACAATCCTTCCTCCTTGGCCTCCCAAAGGGCTGGGATTACAGGCATGAGCCACTGTGCCTGGCCACAAAATATATTTCTTAAAACAGTAAGACTTGAATGTTGAAATTACTCCTTGATCTCACAGATGCAGAATGGATATTGTGTTAGCAGGCATGAATACAACATTAATCTCCTTATACATCTCCATCAAAGCTCTTTTTTTTCTTTTTGAGATGGAGTCTCGCTCTGTCACCAGGCTGGAGTGCAGTGGCGCGATCTTGGCTCACTGCAAACTTCGCCTCCTGGGTTCAAGTGATTCTCCTGCCTCAGCCTCCCTAGTAGCTGGGACTACAGGTGTGACCCACCACGCCCAGCTACTTTTTGTATTTTTAGTAGAGACGGGGTTTTGCCACGTTGGCCAGGCTGGTCTCAAACTCCTGGCCTCAAGTGATCCACTCGCCTCGGCCTCCCAAAGTGCTGGGATTACAGACATAAGCCACCATGCCTGGCCTCTCATCAGAGCTCTTAAGTGACCAGGTGAATTATCAATGAGCAACAATATTTTGAAAGGAATCCTTTTCTCTGAGCAGTTGGTCTCAACAGTGGGCTTAAAATTTTCAGTAAACCATGCTATAAACAGATGTGTTGTCACCCAGGCTTTTTTGTTCCATTTATAAAGCAGAGGCAGAGTAGATTTAGCATCATTATTAAGGGCCCTAGGATTTACTGGATGGTAAATAAGCGCTGGTTTCAATTTAAAGTTACCAGCTGTGGCCAAGCACAGTGGCTCATGCCTGTAATTCCAGCACTTTGGGAGGCTGAGGCGGGTGGATCACTTGAGTTCAGGAGTTTGAGACCAGCCAGGACAACACGGTGAAACCCTATTTCTACTAAAAATACAAAAATTATCCGCGCGTGGTGGCAGGGGTCTGTAATCCTAGCTACTTGGGAGGCTGAGGTGGGAGGATTGCTTGAACCCAGGATACAAAGGTTGCAGTGAGCCGAGATCACGCCACTATACTTCAGCGTGGGTCACAGACCAAGACTCTATCTCAAAAAAATAAAAATAAAAATAAATAAAGTCACCAGCCCCTAACAAGAAGTCAATCCTATGTTCTGAAGCCAGGCATTGACTTCTCCTCTCTAGCTATGAAAGTCCTAGATGGCATCTTCTTCCAACAGAAGCCTGTTTCACCTACAGTGAAAATATGTTGTTTGGTGTAGCCACCTTCATCAATGATCTTAGCTGGATCTTCTGGATAACTTGCTGCAGCTTCTCCATCAGCACTTGCTGCTTCACCTTGCAACTGTATGTTATGGAGACGGCATCCTTCCTTAAACCTCACGAACCAACATCTGCTAGCTTCATACTTTTCCTCTGAAGCTTCCTCACCCCTCTCAGTCTTGACAGAATTGAAGAGCTAGGGCCTTGCCCTAGAATAGCATTTGGCTTAAGGGAATGTTATGGCTGGTATGATCTTCTATACAGATCACTGAGACTTTCTCCAAATCAGCAAGAAGGCTGTTTTGCTTTCTTATCATTTGTGTGTTCACTGGAGTAGCACTTTTAATTTCCTTTAAGAACTTTTCCTGGTGTGAGATGATATCTCATAGTGGTTTTGATTTGCATTTCTCTGATGACCAGTGATGATGAACATTTTTTCATGTGTTTTTTGGCTGCATAAATGTCTTCTTTTGAGAAGTGTCTGTTCATGTCCTTCGCCCACTTTTTGATGGGGTTGTTTGTTTTTTTCTTGTAAATTTGAGTTCATTGTAGATTCTGGATATTAGCCCTTTGTCAGATGAGTAGGTTGTGAAAATTTTCTCCCATGTTGTAGGTTGCCTGTTCACTCTGATGGTAGTTTCTTTTGCTGTGCAGAAGCTCTTTAGTTTAATTAGATCCCATTTGTCAATTTTGGCTTTTGTTGCCATTGCTTTTGGTGTTTTGGACATGAAGTCCTTGCCCACGCCTATGTCCTGAATGGTAATGCCTAGGTTTTCTTCTAGGGTTTTTATGGTTTTAGGTCTAACGTTTAAATCTTTAATCCATCTTGAATTGATTTTTGTATAAGGTGTAAGGAAGGGATCCAGTTTCAGCTTTCTACATATGGCTAGCCAGTTTTCCCAGCACCATTTATTAAATAGGGAATCCTTTCCCCATTGCTTGTTTTTCTCAGGTTTGTCAAAGATCAGATAGTTCTAGGTATGCGGCGTTATTTCTGAGGGCTCTGTTCTGTTCCATTGATCTATATCTCTGTTTTGGTACCAGTACCATGCTGTTTTGGTTACTGTAGCCTTGTAGTATAGTTTGAAGTCAGGTAGTGTGATGCCTCCAGCTTTGTTCTTTTGGCTTAGGATTGACTTGGCGATGCGGGCTCTTTTTTGGTTCCATATGAACTTTAAAGTAGTTTTTTCCAATTCTGTGAAGAAAGTCATTGGTAGCTTGATGGGGATGGCATTGAATCTGTAAATTACCTTGGGCAGTATGGCCATTTTCACGATATTGATTCTTCCTACCCATGAGCATGGAATGTTCTTCCATTTGTTTGTATCCTCTTTTATTTCCTTGAGCAGTGGTTTGTAGTTCTCCTTGAAGAGGTCCTTCACATCCCTTGTAAGTTGGATTCCTAGGTATTTTATTCTCTTTGAAGCAATTGTGAATGGGAGTTCACTCATGATTTGGCTCTCTGTCTGTTGTTGGTGTATAAGAATGCTTGTGATTTTTGTACACTGATTTTGTATCCTGAGACTTTGCTGAAGTTGCTTATCAGCTTAAGGAGATTTTGGGCTGAGACGATGGGGTTTTCTAGATAAACAATCATGTCGTCTGCAAACAGGGACAATTTGACTTCCTCTTTTCCTAATCAGAGAAATGCAAATCAAAACCACTATGAGATATCATCTCACACCAGTTAGAATGGCAATCATTAAAAAGTCAGGAAACAACAGGTGCTGGAGAGGATGTGGAGAAATAGGAACACTTTTACACTGTTGGTGGGACTGTAAACTAGTTCAACCATTGTGGAAGTCAGTGTGGCGATTCCTCAGGGATCTAGAACTAGAAATACCATTTGACCCAGCCATCCCATTACTGGGTATATACCCAAAGGACTATAAATCATGCTCCTATAAAGACACATGCACACGTATGTTTATTGCGGCATTATTCACAATAGCAAAGACTTGGAACCAACCCAAATGTCCAACAATGATAGACTGGATTAAGAAAATGTGGCACATATACACCATGGAATACTATGCAGCCATAAAAAATGATGAGTTCATATCCTTTGTAGGGACATGGATGAAATTGGAAATCATCATTCTCAGTAAACTATCACAAGAACAAAAAACCAAACACCGTATATTCTCACTCATAGGTGGGAATTGAACAATGAGATCACCTGGACACATGAAGGGGAATACCACACTCTGGGGACTGTGGTGGGGTGGGGGGAGGGGGGAGGGATAGCATTGGGAGATATACCTAAGGCTAGATGACGAGTTAGTGGGTGCAGCGCACCAGTATGGCACATGTATACATATGTAACTAACCTGCACAATGTGCACATGTACTCTAAAACTTAAAGTATTAAAAAAAAAAAAAAAAAAAAAAAAAGAACTTTTCCTTTGCATTTACAACTTGGCTGTTTGGCACAGAGGCCTCGCTTTTAGCCTATCTTGGCTTTCAACATGCTTTTTTCACTAAGCTTAATCCTTTCTAGCTTTTAATTTAAGGTGAGAGATGTGTGACTCTTCCTTCTACTTCAACACTTGGAAACTATTATAAGGTTATTAATTGGCCTAATTTCAATATTGTTGTTCTCAGAGGATAGGAAGGCCCCAAAAGAGGGAATGAGATGGGGAATGACTGGTTGCTGGAACAGTCAGAATCCACAAAACACTGATCAATTACTTTCATCCTCCTATGAGCATGGTTTGTCGTGCCCCAAAATAATAGTAACATCAAAGACCACTGATCACAGGATCATCAAAACAGATTTAATAAAAAAAAAAGTTTGAAATATTTCAGGAATTACCAAAATGTGACAGAGAGACAAAAATGAGCACATGATGTTGGAAAAATGGTACTCACAGAGTTGTCTGACAGAGGGTTGCCACAAATCTTCAATTTTTTTAAAAATCAAGTATCTACTGAGAGCAATAAGCAAAGTGCAATGAAACAAAGTATGCCTGTACTCTGTGTTTCACTTCTTATAAGGGCAGTTCTCCCCGTGGAAAGACAACACTTCATAAGATATAATTTACAATGGCTGCACCATAAACCACATGGCTACATTTATCATTAAAGGATTTCTTACAATACAAAAGCATTATAATCTTGTATAGTACTTTATCATTTCCAAAACACGTTCATTTCTGTCTTTACAGACAAACATTATTATTTGCCCCACTTTATAGAAAAGTAAACAGATTTAAAAAAGATTTCAGTAACTTAGCCCCAAGAAACACATTGATGGTGAGGTCTGATCAAAGATTCATGTGTTCTGATTATCTGACCACTTTGTTCATCTTTTTAAAGGATATGCATTGTCCTCTAAAGTGATTCTCTCTCTCTCTGATGGTTGCATCAGAGGACAAAGTAGTGTTGTAGCAGTAAGCATAAACATACTCAGAAATAGTATCTCTTCCCCCCACTATTCTTAGCCACTTCTTGCAGAAGACCTAACACTCCCACTTTGAATACAGCTGACCTTTGAACATGGGTTTGAACTGCACAGATCTGCTTATACACGGATTTTCTTCCACCTCTGCCACCTGAGGCAGCAAGACCAATCCCTCCTCTTCCTCAGCCTACTCAATGTGAAGATGGCGAGGATAAAGATCTTTAGGATGATCCACTTCCATTTAATGAATAATAAATATATTTTCTATTCCTTATAATTTTCTTAATAACAGTTCTTTTCTCCAGCTTACTTTATTGTAAGAATATAGTCCATAATATATATAAGATACAAAATATGTGTTAATTGACTGTTTACATTATTCGTAAGGCTTGCAGTCAACAGTAGGCTATTAATAGTTAAGTTTTGGGGGAGTCGAAAGTTGTATGTGAATTTTTTAATGCGAGGGGGTCCTTAACCGCCATGCTATTCAAGGATCAATTGTAGCTGGTAAAAAGAGACTTCAAAACTAGGGAGCAATGTTTTGTTACAATACCTTCAGATTATGTATGATATCTATCCGCTTGTTCTGGCTGTCCTTAAAATGAACTTGAACTCTGACGGGAAACTCACCCCAGCCTCTTCTGGTCAGGTGAAAAGGAGGCTCTCTATGGAAAAGCAGATATTAACACGTTCATCCATGTTCACTCTCTCATCCTACACAGGAAAAGTTTCCTGATAATGCATAAATCAGAAATTCACTGTCTTCTGAGAATCATTTAGATTTCCTCGTTTAAAACTAAATCAACATGCCGAATTTTGCTAAAATGATAAATTTTAAAAGAAAAAACTCAACTCAAACCTCTATTAAACTTTCAATTATTGAACGCTAACAGCTAGAGTAAACTTAGACCATATAATCCAATGTCATTTTCACAGACGAGGGAACTAGGTTGATCTGATGAATGTCACTAGAGAGCGAGGATCTTTAATTGGCATTTGACAGATACAGGCCATGAGGTATGCTCCCTACCCTAAACCCTTGTATTTATTCCTCCACTGAGGCAGAAACAAAATGAATCATGAACATGCTCAACTGAGACAATTTATTTGAAACTCTCTGCTAAGAAGACTTAAAGAAAGATCATATGTTCACAATATGACCTTCCCTGAATAGTGACTATGACTGATTTTAGTGGGCAGAAAGGAATGTGTGTGCATGCTAACTGGATTGGAGAATTCTCAGCACAATGTAATTTGTGAAGGAAGAAAAAAGGAGGGGCGGGAATTGATGGAAAAGAGCAAATTGTTAATAACTGGTGATGGGCACATGAGGGTTCATTATGTTCTTTACTTCCATATATGTCTGAAATTTTCCATAATAAAAAAATTTAGAAATTTAATTGATATATCATTAAGTACTCAAAACAATATGGTTTAAGTGCATAGGGAAGAGAGAGAATGCTTTTAAAATGAAAACATTTGTTATGAATACTGGCTTAGAATTAGTAATGAGAGAAGATATCAAAATTACAAGGAGGCTGGGTGCGGTGGCTCATGCCTGTAATCCCAGCACTTTGAGAGGCCACGACAATCGCTTGAACCCGGGGGGCGGAGGCAGCAGTGAGCTGAGATCACACCACTGCACTCCAGCCTGAGACAGAGCAAGACTCCATCTCAAAAAAAAAAGAAAATGACAAGGAGAAAGAAACTCAACAGACAGTGTTTTTGGAAAACTGAATTGAGTGAGTGCAGAGTTCAAGAACACGACCTGAAAAGAGTGTAACAGATGTGAATTAACGAGCACAGAGCCAGCAGCTAACAACGGAGCCCAGGACAGGAAAAATCCCTGAGATATGAGGGGAGCCTAGAAAGCAGAGAAATTAATAAATACCTTATAAACCAAAGAGAAAAGAAAGCAAAGAAAACTAGAGTGCCCTGGATGGAAGAAATCAGCTGCAAAGGAGCTAAGAGAAGCAGCTGTGACGTTGGTATAGATTCACACTTGGGGTCAAAGGAGAAGGCAGACTTAGTCTGAAACGGGACCCACAGCCAGAGATACAGTGGAGCCTAGAGGCATGGTGGACTTGAGTCAATTAATGGAAATTCTACTGATGTGAAGTTTGGTCATTTAAATTCCAGTAAAGCTAAATGGTAAGTCTAAATTCATTTGCAATATGCCTCAATCACACTGAATGCTGAACTTCTCTCACAATGACTATGATAAATTAGGTATGTTTCTCAATTTATGTACATGGCCTAACCTTTAGTGAATAGACAGGAAAGACTGCTGCCAGAGAAGACAGACAAACAGCACAAAGTCAGGAAAAATGAACAATGCTTTTTAACAGGAAATTCCTCCATAACCATATTTTTAGAAGCAAAAAAAGAATCTAAGACCTACAACAACACTATTTATGGAAATGGTATACTTCAAAAGACGTTACTTCACACAATAAAGGACTGCCTCCCCCGAACAAACTTCAATACTTCTAGATTCCTCATAGAAGGTGAAATAAACCATTGACACCAAGAGGGAAAAACCATAAGACTATGGGGATTAAACAAAAATGGCTTTATTAGAAACACAGAATGGAGTACAGCTCCCTGCTCGACTAATTTATTCATATGGCCAATCATTCTTTTAGCATCACTCTGAGTGACCCTGAACTCACCACTGCATGAGACCCTGTGTTACATTTCTGAACAGCTCTATTACAAAATGACTTCTTCTACCTCCTGCATGTTAATTCTAGATATGCCATTTGGAATCACAAGGAGTAAATTCTTCCTCCACATGAAAGCCCTTTAAAAGAACCAAAGCATTCCCTCAAGTCTTTTCGGAATGAACATCTCTGTTCCTCACAACAGCAGTAGCAGCAAACACTGCATTCCTACGTTTCACTGTTTGCTATGACCCAATCAGTGTTCTAAGCCCTTTAGAACTATTAACTTACCTAATCCTTACAACCACTCTATGAAATAGCCCCTCTGAGACACAGTGAGGCTGAACAACTAACTTGCCAAGGTCACACAGCAAATAAGCAACGGAACCAGAATTCAAACTCAAGCAATAGGCTCCAGGGCCATGCTTTAGCCACTGTGTGCTAGTCCATGTCCCCAAGGTGACAGACCTCAGTTCCCAGACCACTCTCCCCAGTACGCACAGTAATATGACTGGGCATTGTCCGACTGTGCAGGGCATGGAATGTCAAATCACTTCTTCTGGGTACTTACTTCTCTAATGTGGCTACTCGAAAATTTCAAATTACAGATGTGGCTCACAGTATATTTCTATTGGACAATGCTGCTCTAGAGAGTTCTACATTTGAGTGAAATAAAACAGATACGAAGGTTTGGAAGAGGCTCACTAGGATTCCTCTGGCGAGCTGGCCCGCTCCAGTTTCACACACACCAAGGGCAGGAAGACCTTTTTGGTTTCCCAAAGCCAAGGCCCCGTGCTCATCTTCACAGTCCCTTTATCACGCCCTGAGCCTAGCACATATCTAGTCACCACTATCTTGTACCTAAAAAAAAAAAGCAAAGTTCACAATCACGGCTTTTAGGAAGTTGGCTAAGGGTCGTCCTGACAACTGAACAAACGTGGAAGAAAGTGCTTCAACAAGAGCAGCATCCACCCACCTCTTTGTCAGGTAATGTGCTGTGATGAAGAGATTCAGGGTGTGTAAGAAAAACATTTGTGCTTTGATCCAGAAATAAGATTAACCCCAAGTTTGAAGGCAGCCGCAAAAATCCTCCCTTATTCGTTAAATTACTTTAGATACCTAACACAACAAACATCTTAAGAGTCCTGCAAAGAACTAAGAGTTATAATTAAACCTAGGACATACGTTAATAGTCCTCACCTACTTTATATTGGTTACACCATACCTGGAGTTTTAGGTTCAGTTCTAAAAAGGTTATTTTAAAAGGAATATAGATAAACTGGAGTATACCAAAGAATACAACCTGAATGGCAAAGGAACATAAAACAAAGTCACACAAGTGACAACTGAAACAAATATGGATGAGACCCAATAACTGCTTTCAAGTATCTAAACAACTGTACAAAGAAAAGGGATTATGATGATTCTGAGTGGTACATAAAGCATATGAAAAGCTTACTGTTTAGAAGTTAGAGGAAGTTAGATCTCTGCTCAATATAATTAAAAACTTCCAAACAAAACCAGCCACCTCCAAATGGAATGGCCCATTTCATGAATTCAATAATTCACTCAGTATCAAACATGAAATGAGGCTGGGTACAAGGCTCACGCCTGTAATCCCAGCACTTTAGGAAGCCAAGGCGGGAGGACTGCTTGAGGCCAGGAGTTCGAGACCAGCCTGGATAAAAAAATTAGCTGGACATAGGTGGCACACGCCTATAGTCCTAGCTACCCAGGAGGCTAAAGTAGGAGGACAGTTCGAGCCCAGGAGTTCGAGGCTGCAGTGAGCTATAATCATGGCACTCTTCTCCCACCTGGGTGCCAGAGCAAGACTCTTATCTCTAAAAAAATAAACAAAATTGGCCGGGTGCAGTGGCTCACGCCTGTAATCCCAGCACTTTGGGAGGCCGAGGTGGGCAGATCATGAGGTCAGGAGATCGAGACCATCGTGGCTAATAAGTGAAACCCCATCTCTACTAAAAATACAAAAACGTTAGCCGGGAGTGGTGGCGGGCGCCTGTAGTCCCAGTTACTCAGGAGGCTGAGGCAGGAGAACGGCGTGAACCCGGGAGGCGGAGCTTGCAGTGAGCCAAGACTGCGCCACTGCACTCCAGCCTGGGCAGCAGAGCGAGACTCTGTCTCAAAAAACATAAAAATAAAAATAAAAAATAAAATTTTAAAAAACACAAAATGAGCATTTACTACATGCTAGGAACTATGATAGACCCTGGGGATATTTATTTATTTATTTTTTATTTATTTATTTTGAGACAGAGTCTTGCTCTGTCACCTAGGCTGGAGTGCAGTGGCATGATCTTGGCTCACCGCAACCTGTGCCTCCCGGGTTCAAGCAACTCTCCTGCCTCAGCCTCTCGAGTAGCTGGGACTACAGGCACACGCCACCGGGCATGGCTAATTTTTTTTTGTATTTTTAGTAGAGACAAGGTTTCACCATGTTGGCAAGGCTGGTCTCAAACGCCTGATCTCGTGATCCACCTGCCTCAGTCTCCCAAAGTGCTGGGATTACAGGCTTGAGCCACGGTGCCCAGCCGACCCTGGGGATATTAAGACAAGATAAGGTCCTAAACATCGAGAAGTTCTAAATCTGGTGAGACATACATGTAAATGAGTAAGTGCAGTAATAGACTTATATACATTTCCTGCTATTAAAAAAAAAACAGCGCTATGGTTGATCACAGCATATGATTTCTCCAGGAATTTTAAAAACCAGAAGCACGTAACCAATAATCTCTTTTAAAATACTATTTACAAATCCTAACATTGTTGTTAATAAAGTTTGGTTTGCTATGGGAAAAGTATGTGGTAAAGGTGTGTGCCGCCAGGCTGTGAACAGCTAACTGCTCAGGCGTGGCACAGCAGACCATCTTTGCAACACTGTCAGAGTGGCACAGATCAGGCTGAAAACAAGACACAGGCTATTTCGATGACGTCAAACCTCATACAGGTAATGAAACAAAGTTCATTTACTATTAGCAGAAAACACTCCAGATGTCCAGGATGAAAGAGAAACTGGATAAGGAGCTGCAGCACAATCCTTTCTTTGGATTTTCTCACTGTTATAATATATCTTGATAAGTGACTTGCCACACCTCTGCCCACAGATTAGTAAAGACTTCTTAGCAAATAAATCTCATAAATTACTGCAGGAATAGTCTTTGCAATTTAAAAGAAATAATGTGTTTTACAAATTCTCATTTATGGTATGAGAACAGAGAAATAAAACAGGCACTTGTGTTGCATTTTTAAGTATTTTATGTAATTAGTTTTTAATCCCATCCTTTTGGGTATATGAGATTTCTATCATCAATAAAAATATAATTAATACACAAGAAGAAAAACATACTGTACCTACCTACAAAAATCTTATTTCCAAATATTCCGCTTTTTTTTTTTTTTTTTTTGAGACAGACTCTCACTCTGCCTCCAGGCTGGAGTGCAGTGGCACGATCTTGGCTCACTGCAACCTTTGACTCCCTGGTTCAAGCCATTCTCCTGCCTCAGCCTCCTGAGTAGCTAGGATTACAGGCACGAGCCACCACACCCAGCTAATTTTTGTATTTTTAGTAGAGATGGGTTTCACCATGTTGGCCAGGATGGTCTCGATCTCCTGACCTCGTGATCCGCCCGCCTCAGCCTCCGAAAGTGCTGGAATTACAGGCCTGAGCCACCGCGCCCAGCCTATTCCACTTTCTGACCACCAACCCTTATCTTTCCAGTTTCACCCCAATCCAACTATTCTTTGACTTCACGGAGACTTCTATTTCTTGCCCACAAAACTTTTCACCAGCCATCACTGCTCTTATATACGTATATTCTCTCCTTACTCAGCTTACAGTCTATGATATATCACTACAATAACCTAAGCATCAAAGTGAAGAAATCAAAGAACCAAGAGACCAGGGTTTTGGATGAACTGTCTATATGGATGTTAAGAATGACAGCAAGAGTTATGGTAGAGAGAAAATCAGTAAACCAGGTGCTGAAACCTTTCCCCCTTTTCCAAAAAGCCTCAACTCCTTTGAGGCTGCTGCTTGTCCTCTGTTGCAATTATCTACTAATTTCCCCAGTCACCCTTGGCAGGGAAAGGTGGTCTGGAAGCCATAAATGTGATCAAGGAAGACATCCACCCCACCCCCAGGCCCAGTGGTATGTGGCAGCAAAAAAAACAGCCACCATCGCTTGAAAGGGTTAAAGAAGCAGCAGAGTTCTCAGGAGGCAGCCATGTTTTGTTTAAGAGTCGGGGGTGAAGAAAGGCTCTGAACAGAGCAGAGAATAGAGATTTCACTGATAATAACCAACAACCACTTCCACAGTGCATTTATACAATCAATATGGGCCGGACATGGTAGCTCATGCCTATAATCTCAGCACTTTGGGAGGCCAAGGCGGGCAGGGGGCTTGAGCTCAGGAGTTCAAGACCAGCCTGGCCAACATGGCAAAACCCCGTCTCTACAAAATATACAAAAATTAGCTGGGCATGGTGGCGTGCACCTGTAATCACAGCTGCTTGGGAGGCTGAAGCATGAGAACTGCTTGAACCTGGGGGGTGGAGGTTGCAGTGAGCCAAGATCGTGCCACTGCACTCCAGCATGGACGACAGGATGTGTCTCCAAAAAAAAAAAAAAAAAAAAAAAAAAAAAAAAAAACAAACAAAAAACCACACAATTAATATATATGTGTGTAACATCATATAAAGATGTAAAGAATAAGGCCGGGCATGGTGACTCACACCTGTAATCCCAGCACTTTGGGTGGCCAAGGCGGGCAGATCACCTGAGGTCAGGAGTTCGAGACCAGCCTGGCCAACATGGTGAAAGCCCGTCTCTACTAAAAATACAAAAAAATTAGCCGGGTGTGGTGGCGGGCACCTGTAATCCCAGCTACTTGGGAGGCTGAGGCAGAAGAATCGCTTGAACCTGAAGCAGAGGTTGAACCTGAAGCAGAGGTTGCAGTGAGCCAACAGCACACCACTGCACTCTAGCCTGTGTGACAAGAGTGAAACTCCGTCTCAAAAAAAAAAAATGTAAAGAACACACCTAAATGGTACAAGCAAATTTCACAACAATATATATAATCATTCCATCTTGGTGAAATAATCACAAGAAACAACTATACTATATTCAAATATGTACAGAAGAAATATGATTGGGAGTTACTTCTAAGAGAGTGAGATCATGGGAAACTTTCAACATTAAATAGTCTACCATGTTAGAATACTATATTTAATTCTGTTACATTCTGATATTCATAAAAAGAAGTAACATTTTCATATGCATCTGTATCTATATAAACAAGTTTAGCTGTTTCCAGAGGGGAGCAAAACCAGTTAATATAATTAGTGTGGTAACAATTGGATAGAAGACAATGCCTGCTCAGTGAGACAGTAATCTGAGAGAGTGAACTACAACTACCTTTTTTTTTTTTTTTGAGACAGAGTCTCGCTCTGTCGCCCAGGCTGGAGTGCAGTGGCGCGATCTCAGCTCACTGCAAGCTCCGCCTCCCTGGTTCACGCCATTCTCCTGCCTCAGCCTCCCTAGTGGCTGGGACTACAGGCGCCCGCCACCACGCCCAGCTAATTTTTTGTATCTTTAGTGGAGACCGGGTTTCACCGTGTTAGCCAGGATGGTCTCAATCTCCTGACCTCATGATCCGCCTGCCTTGGCCTCCCAAAGTGCTTGGATTATAGGTGTGAGCCACCCCACCCGGCCTCCAACTACATTTTGACTAAGAGCCAATTCTCAATTACTACTGCATTTCCAGGAAATGTTTTGAAGTTAAATCACTTTTCTTCCACTTCAAAAATAAGTCTGCATTTCAATTTAGGTTAAATACCTCAAGCGTGCTTACCTAACTTCCACAAGGTCATTTGGTTTATAGCTAGGATGAAGGAAGAACCAAACCTTCTTGACAAAATGATTAATGCTGGGTTCTCTACGGGACCCTCGGACATATACCATCCACTTATGAGTTGACTGGTCATTTTCTTCCCTCTTATCCGGAGGTATATACCTAGAGAAGAAGAAAAAAGAAACCTGAATTCTTTTCGTCCTTCAAAAACCTAACTAAATAATTAAGTCCTACTTAAACTTAAAAACAAGGTTAAAATTCCTGCAATATTTAACAACTACATCACCTAAACAAGCAAAATGAGTCTTTGCAAGTTAATCATTTTGTTTTTCTTTCTTTCTAAAACATAGCTGGGGCTGGATGCAGTGGCTGGCTCACACTGTAATGCCAGCACTTCAGGAGGCTGAAACGGGAGGACTGCTTGAGGTCAGGAGTTAGAGATCAGCCTGGGCAACATAGCAAGACCCCATCACCATGTTTAGCTATTTCCAGAGGGGAGCAAAATCAGCTAATATAGTGTGGTAACAATTGGATAGAAGAAGACAATGCCTGCTTAGTGAGACAGTAATCTCAAAGAGTGAACTACAACTACAATCATCCCACCTAAAATTTTAAACTCAGCTGGACATGGTGGCCCACACCTGTAGTCCCAGCTTGCTGGGAGGCTGATGAGGTGGGAGGACTGCCTGAGCCCAGGAGTTCGAAGCTAAAGTGAGCTACAATCACATCACTGTACTTCAGTCTAGGTGACAAAGCAAGACCCTACCTCAAAAAATTAAAATAAAATTAATGAACTAAAATAAAATAATAAAATAAATAAAACATGAATTTGGTTTAAGGGACATTCTGTTAAAAGTTTGTGTTGTTCTCCTTATTCGGTGTGCTATTTAAAAAAAAAAAGGCAAACTTGTTTTTCCTGCCAGATAAAGACATAAGGTGGAAATAAACTGGCATATTTTTATTCCTAGGTTAGGGAAGCTCTAGCCTTCGGGTTGATTTCATTCAGGTTTCAGGGTGCTAGAGCTTTGCGCCTTTCTGGTGACTCTCATGGTTGCCAAGAAGACTGCACCTAGTTTCCTGCCCTCTGAAAGCCAAAACGTGCCATTTCCCTTAAACCCTGATCATGGTAAAATTAGCATCTTTAGCGCTCCCCTTTATGGGCCCTGTCTTTATTTCAGTATGAGGCCCCCTTCTTAGATTCATGTAGAAAATATAGTCAGGCCTTCTATATGCTCATCTATGCCTAGTGCTAATCCTTAGTGATATGGGGGGGCCAAGTTGCCCAGCCTAGCTCTTGAGGAGTGTTCTTGACCAATCCTGGCCCTTTACTCTTCCAGCTCATGAAAGTCATGAACCCTGATGGGATTTTAACAGGAATACCTACAGATTGATTTGGGGAGAGATGACAACTTTACAAGACAGGTCGGCCCAGAAAAAGCCAGGCCTGGAAGTTCAGGCAGACCCACTAGGCCACAAGAAAATTGGGGCTAAACAATCATTTCATCTAAATTTTTCAATGTATTGGCATAAAGAAGTTAATAGTTTCTTATCTCTTTAATAGTACAGCATCTGTAGTTACGTCTTCTTTTGTATTTCTAATATTATTTGTGCCTTCTCTTTTTTTAATTTTTAAAATTAATTTCGCCAGGTTTGTGTATGTTATGTTTATTTTTTCCTTTCATACGTATATCAATGTATTCATCAATCAAATACTTACTAAATATATACTGTTAGGGTACAAAGCCAGACAAGGCCAGGCGTGGTGGCTCATGCCTGTAATCTCAGCACTTTTGGAGGCCAAGGCAGGTAGATCACCCAAATTCATGAGTTCAAGACCAGCCTGATCAACACAGTGAAACCCCATCTCTACTAAGAATACAAAATTATCCAGGTGTGGCGGTGCATGTCTGTAATCCCAACTACTTGTGAGGCTGACGCAGGAGAATCGCTTGAACCCTGGAGGTGGAGGGTACAGTGAGCTGAGATCGCGCCATTGCACTCCAACCTGGGCAACAAGAGTAAAACTCCGTCTTGGAAAAACAAAACAAAACAAAACCAGACAAGACATAGTTTCTACCCTCAAGAGATTCCAGTCTGATTTGAGAAAAATATACGAAAATAGAAAATGGCCACATAATATGATAAAAATCACAAAGAGATAGCATAGAGGGAATATGCCTAATGAGGGAGGGGATCAGCAAATAAAACTTCATGAGAAAATTAGTTTAAAACACTACCAGTTAGAATCCTAGCCAATCAATTTTCCTCCATCAAATTAATTTAATCCCTTCCATCTATTTACATCTTGGCCAAATATTTACTTAACATTTTTATGTTTTTAGAGGATTTATAACGTCCTAATCTACCCCTAGACACTTGGCAAAAATGATGAAGCTGCTCCAAGACAGCCTGAGATCATACTGTTCAAGTACATGGCTCTGGAGCTTGGAGGAATTCTGCCTTTAAGATCTGCTCAGCAACCTTTTGTTACAAACTAAAAACATCTCAGTTTGGGCAACCAAATCAACATTTTTAGGAATTCGCTAAGGCCCCTAAAGACAGAACTGGTTCAGAGTAGTCAAAAGTTCTTCCAAACTTACACACATTGACACAATTGGTGAAATATATTTGTGTAAGAGCTCATGTCTTAGAAATTTTTACCAAGCCCTATTTTATTCTCAGGGAAAGACTGACAGACACACTAACGCAGAGACTCCAATCTCTGGACCTTGGTTCACTTTTGAAGCAACAAAGAGCTTGAAAAAACATTCCCTGAGGCCTCCTCCTACTGTAACACCAGGATAATAAGAGTATTACGCCCAAGTATTAACACAAATGGGTGACCGAAAAGACTTATCTACTTTATTCTCATGTCCCAATGACTTGTTAGATACAAACCTCTCTGGTTTGCCTTAGAGTCCCAGAAAAAGACCTGAAGTAAGATTTTGAAGAAGAACAAAAAGTCAAAGGAACCCATCACACTTACATCCTCCCATTTCAAAACAGAAGAAAAGAACAGGAAATAGGTTTTCCAGGGAGAAGAATCTGGTTTCAGCTTTGGACGTGCCAATCACAAGTAAATGGCCGATATGGTTTGGCTGTGTCCCCACCCAAATCTCATCTTCAATTGTAGCTTGCAGAATTCCCACACGTCCTGGAAGGGACGCAGTGGGAGGTAATTGAATCATGGGGGTGAGTCTTTCCCATGCTGTTCTCGTGATAATAAATCAGTCTCATAAGATCTGACAGTTTTATAAGGGGTAGTTCTCCTACACAAGCTCTCTTGCCTGCCTCCACTTAAGACATGGCTTTGTTTCTCCCTTGCCTTCCGCCAGGATTGTGAGGCCTCCCTAGCCATGTGGCACTGTGAGTCAATCAAACCTCTTTCCTTTATAAATTACCCAGTCTCGAGTATGTCTATATTAGCAGTGTGAAAACAGACTAATACAATGGCAAATGCAGGAATGTAAATGGAGAGACAAAATGAAGATTTGAACATTCGAGCTGAGGGCAGTATCTGAGGATTTACCATTCTCTACTGGCTTTCAAATACCTAACAATTAGCATATTCTACAAACTGCACAAGCAAGGGTAGGGGTTATTATACTGCCTCTTCTCTAGCAATATTTTGGAACAAACATCTTCCCCTTATTTATCCTTTGTGGATACTGTGCAAGGCAAGGCAAAATGTCACAGTATAGAGGCAGTACAGAGAAAATAATATCCAAATGAAAAATAGGATACCTAGGTCCCCTGGCTATTTGTATAAAAAGACTAATAAAACGATAAAAAAAAAAAAAAAAAAAAAAAGGCCGGCACGGTGGCTCACACCTGTAATTCCAGCACTTTGAGAGGCCAAGGTGGATGGATCACCTGAGGTCGGGAGTTCAAGACCAGCCTGACCAACATGGAGAAACCCCGTCTCTACTAAAAATACAAAATTAGCCAGGCGTGGTGGCATATGCCTGCAATCCCAGCTACTCGGTAGGCTAAGGCAGGAGAATCGCTTGAACCCGGGCGGGGGGAGGTTGCGGTGAACCAAGATCATGCCATTGCATTCTGGTCTGGACAACAAGAGCGAAACTCTGTCTCAAAAAAAGGAAAAGAAAAATAGGAGACCTAGATTCAAATTCTGACTTTGCTCACTAAGGAGCAAAATTACCCTAATAAAGTCTCTAGACTGTGGTTTACTTTTTAAACAACTAAGGGCTTGGGAAAAAGAATCCCTGAGGCTGCTTCCTACTGTAACACTGTAAGAGTATTAATGCCAAAATATTAACACAAATGGACAAATAAAAATAAATTCAACTGGATACTCACTTGGACACATTGCCCACTACTATTGTTTTCTTTACAAAAAGTCGTGAAGTCTCATCTGTGAGATCAGCATTCCGCTGTTCTGTTTTATGGGAGCCAGTAATTCTAGAAGTATCCTGAAAAAAATCATAATCAACATCCATTCTCATTTTGAACAACTTTCAATAGGACAGAAACCACAAAATTGTAAAAAGTATAAATGGAATAACTAAGTTTTTTTAAAAAATTACAAAATTTTCTGGCTTTGTAGCACCTCTCAAAGCATTAAAAAAGTTACTATAAATGCTGCCTTAATTTATACAAAGTTTATATACTGTAACTCCCGGTGTGTTTTTAATAGTCACATACATCTGCTTTGAATATGCAAATAGGATTTGGAAGGATACACAAAAAACTATTACAGTGGTTACTTCTGGGAAACAGGAATAGAAAGAGAGAAAGGGGTCAATGGAATTTACCCTCTTTTTAACCTTTTATAATATTCAAAACTGTTCAATGAGAAATAAGTGCCTGGTACATAGTAAATGCTAAATGTTTGCTATATAAATACATATAGAAATGATCACATATTGTATAAAACATGTTAAGTTTCTATGACCATTATGCCCTAAATTCTATTTTTTGAGACAGAATCTCGCTCTGTCAACCAGGCTGGAATGCAATGGCACGATCTCGGCTCATTGCAATCTCCGCCTCCTGGGTTCAAGCGATTCTCCTGCCTCAGCCTCTCGAGTAGATGGGATTACAGGTACCCGCCACTAAGCCCAGGTAATTTTTGTATTTTTAGTAGAAATGGAGTTTCACCATGTTAGTCAGGCTGGTCTCAAACTCCTGACCTCTGGTGATCCCCCACTTGGGCTCCCAAAGTGCTGGGATTACAGGCGTGAGCCACCACGCCCAGCCTCCTAAATTCTTTTTAACTAAAAAAAAGAAAAACACATGTAATATTTGCTCAGGAATAATACTGGAAAGGTAAGGTAAATCCAAACAGTGAAGAGTTCTGATTTTGGGGGTGGCAGCCTCACGAATGAACTTTTCTATTCTTTTTTACTTTTCTGTATTTAACAATTTTCAAAAAATGAACACATATGAATTTATAATCTGAAAAATAAATACAAACATATTTTTATCAAAAATAAATCAAACCCTTGACATCTAAGTATGTGGAAAGTAACTTGGAAATTTTCTGTATCACAGTCAACACCTGGCTGAGAAAAATCGCTGCTCTAATCCAATAATGACTCTATAGCCAAATATTTTTCAAGAAGTTCAGAGTAGCTTGAGATGGGAGCTCAAATTACAAACTGGCATGATCAAAGAGCAATGTTTTTCAATTCTGTTTATTTGTCAAATTTCCTCCATCTACTAAAGTACTAAAGCATCTTAGAATATAAAGTCTCACAGAGGAAACCGTTGAAGAACGGCTGCTCTCGAGAGAATAAACACGACAGAGTTGAAAGACCTTGAGCAAGATCACGGAATTGCCGAGCTAGAAGGTTTCTTTCACACCTACGTAAACAGCATCCAGGAGCTGTGCTGTGCACAGAATCTCCAGGCTGTAAAATTAGAAACACTCAGGTTTAAGTCGGGCGCGGTGGCTCACGCCTGTAATCCCAGCACTTTGAGAGGCCGAGGCAGGCAGATCATGAAGTCAGGAGTTCGAGACCAGTCTGGCCAACAGGGTGAAACCTCGTCTCTACTAAAAATACAAAAAATTAGCCAGGCGTGGTAGCACATGCCTCTAATCCCAGCTACTTGGGAGGCTGAGACAGGAAAATAGCTTGAACCTGGGAGACAGAGGTGGCAATGAGCCGAGATTGCGCCACTGCACTCCAGCCTGGGTGATAAAGCGAGACTCCGTCTCAGAAAAAAAAAAGAAACACTTAGGTTTAATTCGCAGTTCTGACACTTTTGGGCAAGTAAAACCAAATCAAGATTTGGTTTCCCGCTGGGCGCAGTGGCTCACGCCTATAATCCCAGCACTTTGGGAGGCCGAGGCGGGAAGATCACGAGGTCAGGAGATCGAGACCATCCTGGCTAACACGGTGAAATCCCGTCTCTACTAAAAATATAAAAAAATTAGCCGGGCGTGGTGGCACACACCTGTGGTCTCAGCTACTCAGGAGGCTGAAGCAGGAGAATGGCGTGAACCCGGGAGGCGGAGGTTGCAGTGAGCCATGATCCTGCCACTGCACTCCAGCCTGGGCAACAGAGCAAAACTCTGTCTCAAAAAAAAAAAAAAAAAAAAAAAAAAAAGATTTGGTTTCCCCATTATAAAAGGAAAACAAACCTATTTCCTAAGATTCCTGTGACAGTTCAGTGAGATAACAAGCGCATACTTTAGTAAATATAGTTCCCTTCTCCTGTGGCTCCCTCCCACATCCACCCATCTATATACCCTTCCAGTATTTCGGCTTGGTCTCTGCTCCATGTTGTTTGAGAGTCTTTCCTCTATATCCATATTGCTGTTATTATCTTTGTCAGATAAGAAGTCATTGTGCTGAGATAAAGAATCACTTTCTGAATGATTGGCTGATGGTGTTTCTGCTCTCTGATTGGCAGGAGATGATGACCTAGATGGTGATTCCAAAAATTTCTTGATAGCAGGATGATTAAAAACCATTGTATCACATGTCTTTGATCCCTACAAAAAATGAAAGCAAGCAAATAAATTTTTAATCAAATCCATCAAAAGCAGGCAAAAATCTGATCTCTCCAAAACCTTATCTATTACAGGATCATGCTTAAAATCTTTCAAAATCTCCCCACATCCATAAAATGATATCCCAACCCCTTAGCACAGCCTGAACCAACCAAACAAAAACTAGAATGATGAATAATTATGTAAAGTTTCTAACACTAACAGCTAGAGATGTAGGGTCTTCCGGAGGTAAATGAGAAATAATATATGTTAACACAGAAAATAAAATCTGACTTTAAAAGTCTCACATTGCTTTACACAAACATATCAACTGCTCTAAATAAAATATCCCTGAAAGAAATATAAAAATACAAATAAAAAGCTGTATATATAAAATGGTCCCCACATAAGAGTAAAATGTAATAGAGAATATTTTTGAATGACTAATACTGATTGTATTAAGTTTGCCTTCAGTTCAGTATAGACATCTATGGAATTTTTCTGTGTCTTAGTTACTTGCATACAAAATACAGTGTATTCTGTTATTATGTGATAACACTGTAGTTATGTTCCTAGGAAGCCTAGCTTTTAAAAACTGTGTTATTAAACTAATGGTTCTAGAGAGAAAAAAGGAGGTAGAAGCTAGTCTTTCAAAGCAACAAAGTTCTTGAATTTCAATAATAAAGGTTTTTCAGAGCTATAAATGTTTTGCCACTGAAAACTAAAAATAATTAAATGGTTGATCACGAGACAAAAGCATACCTAAATATCCCTGAATAAATCCTAATCAAAACATAAGAGGATAAAATCAGCATATTTCCAGACTATCAAATAGCACAGATCAGAACTGCTAACAATTCAAAGACAGAATCATTGCTCATGTAATCAAGTTAAGGTGAAGTCAATGAAGTCCTCCTCGCTTATAAGAAGAGGGAAACTTGGACACAGACACACAGAGAAGACACACACAGAGGGAAAACAGCCACATCATTGACAGGCAGAAATTACAGCCGGGAAATACTAAGGATTGGCAGCAACCTCAAGAAGCTAGGAAGAGGCAAGGAAAGATTCTTCCCCGGAGCCTTAGGAGGGAGCACTGCCCTGTTGACACCTTGATTTTGGACTTCTAGACTTCATAATAGTGAGATAATAAACCCGTCCTTTTACATCACGAAGCTTATGGTAGGTAATTTGTTATGGTAGCCCTAGGAAAATGAATACGATTCTAACATGCATCTGGGAAACTGTGCCACACTAAAAGAAGCACCTGTCTACCGTTTAAAATTCAACTCAAATAATGCTCTAGTTTCTATAAGACAGCATCAGGAGCAGCACCAATACCAGGTGTCCCTAGAGCACCAAGGGTAACATGAAGGCCTAAACATGACAAGCACCATTTACTGTTACCCTCCAGCCCTTCCCTGGTTCCCAGTGAGCCAGCACTGCTCCAGAGGTGATTCAGCTGAGACTAATTCCAGCTGAAAACACTTAGGAAAAAGAAAGTAAAAAGAGAAAAAAACGAAAGTTATGCTGAAATTATCAAAATATCAAATAGGAAGAAATACTCCTATTTCAGGTCAATCCTAACCCCTATGCCTGAATTTAGACAGATTACTAGGATAAAAGAGCAGATATTTTTCATTTACATGTCAAAAACTAAATTGGGAAAAAACATTCCTTTATAATTGGAATAATCTAGTGGTGATCACATTAACCAAGTGGTCAAACTTAGTATCACCAGCAGGACAACCTGGAACTAGGTGCCTGCTGATATGCTAGAATATCAAGTACACAGCATCACTACGAAGTATTCTTGCCAGAAATATTTAACCCAAATCTATATATAATATATATAATAACCAAGCCTTTAGACTTAACTTCCAGTTTACAAGAAAACAGGATGAAAAAGTAATCCAAGGAAAACATAAATCCAAAATGTGAGATATTCATAAATGGCCTGGTTTCTCCGAAAAGTCAGGATCATGGAGGGAAAAAGGTAGGAGGACCATTTTAAATCTTAAAAAACTAGAGAAACAAAGCTGCAGTCCTAGCTACTCAGGAGGCTGAGGCAGGAAGACTGCTTGAGCCCAGGAGTTGGAGGCTATGTGAAGGTGGAGGCTATGTGGAGTTGGAGGCTATAAGTGAAGCTATGATCGTGCTTGTGAATAGCCACTGCATTCCAGCCTGGCCACATACCATGTCTCTTTTAAAAAAAAAAGAAAGAAAACAAAAAGTAGAACTCAGGGCTCATTAAACAGGGTAAATCTGAAACTAAAAATTGCCATTCACTAGACTAAAAGGTCAAAGAAAACTCAATCAATTTATAAATTACTCCAAAGTGGGCCACAATCAAGTGAGGCACTAGGGCCAGTTCAATGAGGTCTCAATCATCTTTGTATCTGCAAAGCCTAGCATAATGCTAACAATTAGGAGGAAAAGAATTACGTAAAAATGAAAGGCTGGGCCCGGTGGCTCACGCCTGTAATCCCAGCACTTTGGGAGGCCAAGGCAGGCAGATCACATGAAGTTGGGAGTTCAAGACCAGCCTGACCAACATGGAGAAACCCCGTCTCTAGTAAAGTACAAAAAAATTAGCCAGGCATGGTGGCGCATGCCTGTAATCCCAGCTACTTGGGAGGCTGAGGCAGAAGAATCACTTGAACCTGGGAGGCCACTGCACTCTAGCCTGGGCAACAAGAGCGAAACTCTGTCTCAAAAAAACAAACAAAAAAAAAAAAAAGGAAAAAATATTACTTAGGATTATTGACAATGCGGAAAGTCACAACTGAAGGACTATGGTTGAACACAATGACTGATAAGTCTATGTATAGTCTATGTATATTCCCAGGAAGTAGGCTAGGCTTCTTGGATTCTGAAGGTCAATGTAAGAAGTATTTTAGGCCAGGCATGGTGGCTCATGCTTGTAATCCCAGCACTTGGGGAGGCCAAGGTGGGTGGATCACCTGAGGTCAGGAGTTCAAGAACAGACTGGTCAAAATGGTGAAACCTCGTCTCTACTAAAAATACAAAAATGAGCTGGGCATGGTGGCACACGCCTGTAATCCCAGCTACTCAGGAGGCTGAGGCAGGAGAATCGCCTGAACTTGGGAGGCAGAGGTTGCAGTGAGCCAAGTGCCACTGCACTCCAGCCTGGGTGACACAGCGAGACTCCGTCTCAAAAAAAAACCAAAAAACAAACAGAAAGAAATGTTTCAGATGCAGGGATTCCATATTGACATAACTTCCCCTCAGACAACAAATATGAGTGGCTGGAAAATGACTGGGTATGAGGAATGCTTACCTCAGAAACTTTTAGAAGACCTGCAGAAGCATAGTAGTTTGCTACAATGCAGGCACGCAGTTTATCCATCATCCTTCTTGCTTCAATCAGTCGCTAAAAACAAATGTTAACTCATTACTTTAAAAAACGGCAATTATAAAAGAGATGTACAAACAATTCACAAAATAAGAAACGTGAATGAGTGAAAAAAAAAAGCTCAACTTCTCTAACAATCAAAAGAAAAACAAATAAAAGTGACCTTTTCCACCCATCAGATTCGCAAAGATTTAAGAGAAAGACAAAAGTGTTGCAATGAATATGTACATTTATGTGTATATTCACTGAGAAAAATCCACAAAGACACTGAACACAAGAGCAAAGAGGGATTATCTTTTTTAAAAACACTTTTTAACTGTTGTGGGTACACAGTGCACATGTTTATGGGACACGTAAGATATTCTGATAGAGGCATACAATGCATAATAATCACATCCGGGTAAATGGGATACTCATTACCTCAAGCATTTATCCTTTCTCTATGTTACAAACAATCCAATTTTACTCTTTTAATTATTTTTAAATGTACAATAAATTATTGTTGACTGTAGTCACCCTGCTGTGCTATCAGAAGATTATCTTTTTGAATGGAATTCCAGGTAATATTTCTTCAATCCTTTCTGCAATTGCACTATTTAAAAAATAGCATTTTCTCTCCCCAAAACATGAAAGCTATTTAAAAAAAAAAAAAAAAAAGCAAAGAGGAGGATAAAGCAAACTGTGACTCCATCTCAATAGATTATTTTTCAATCATGTATACATTTTTTTCAATAGCTTTGGTGTTTATTTCAATTTATCATCATTATACCTGGTCAATGACTTCAATTTCATGTTCCTTATTCTTCATTTCAAGAGCAAACTGTTCTTTGATAATAGTCTCAATCTTCTGCACAGCAGCATCTCGAGCTGTACAAAGAACATAAAATACATCCAAGGCCTAATTAATCAGTGACTGTCTTTATTTAAGTCAGCAAGCAACAAAAGAAATCCAAGAAATAGTAACTCTAAAGTGGAGAAACCTAGTGGACATCACCTTAACCAAGTGATGAAAAACTGAAACCACTAATATTGGTGTAAAGTGATCTCGTGTACTTTCTAGTATCATGCCCTAAAAAGACACCATTCTATGGTATTCCTGTCAAAAATGCTGAATCTACTCACAAGGAAAGATTAGACAAACTCAAACTGAAAGACATTCTATAAAATTATTGGCCTATTCTATTTAAATATTAAAGACAAGAAAGAAAGACAAGGAAAGGGTTGAGGAGACTGAGAGAGACTAAAGAGATATGACAGCTAAATGCCCTGTATGTCCTGGACTGGATCCTGCGGGGAGGGAAATAGCTATAAAATACAACACTGGGGGCCAGGCATGGTGGCTCGCACCCGTAATCCCAGCACTCTAGGAGGCCCAGACAGGTGGATTACCTGAGGTCAGGAGTTTGAGACCAGCCTGGACAACATGGTGAAACCCCGTCTCTACCAAAAATACAAAAACTAGCTGGGCGTAGTGGGGGGTACCTGTAATCCCAGCTACTTGGGAGGCTGAGGCAGGAGAATCGCTTGAACTTGGGAGGCAGAGGTGGCAGTGAGCCGAGATCGTGCCACCGCACTCCAGCCCGGGTGACAGAGCGAAAAAAAAAAAAGACACAAACAAAACAAAATAACATATGCAAAGAGAAGCATCCCACCAAATCTACTTTGAGAAAAATTCTGGTGGGGGGAGAAAGGTTAGCATTAGGTAGAGCATGGACACCAAGAAAAAGAATAGCAGATTGTCACTCAGTAACAAACAAAAAACTGCCCCTGCTTGAAAGGGGGTATTTTGGAACTTACATTCAATTTAAACTGAGTTTCAGTGTTATTAAAACAATCACTTTTCCCTGTTCTTGTTTTTATTTTAAAAAGTTATGCCATGTGAAGCTCTTGGGTAATGAATTAAGTTACATAACACTCTAACATTTATTTGGCTTGTAATTGAAAGGAAACGGTATTTCCTCTAAAATTACAGCTGAATGAGGAGGGAAAGTTGCAGCAAAATGTTTTCACTATTTGGGATTGGATTTAACAATTTTCCTTCTATACAGATTTTCTGGGGATACGTAGGACTTCACTGCTCTTACAGAAATAGGAATTTTCTTCACCATTTCCACTCTACGGATCCTATGTGGAACTGCAACATCTGAGCTATGACTGACGCCTTCTTTACCCTGTTAAAAGTATTAACTTAGGTAGATTATTTAAATAAACATTAATGAAGTTCAGTAATAATTTGTTTTAATAATGTAAATTTAGTGTTGCCGGGCGCGGTGGCTCACGTCTGTAATCCCAGCACTTTGGGACGCCGAGGCGGGTGGATCACGAGGTCAGGAGATGGAGACCATCCTGGCTAACACGGTGAAACCCCGTCTCTACTAAAAATACAAAATATTAGCAAGGCGTGGTGGCGGGTGCCTGTAGTCCCAGCTACTCGGGAGGCTGACGCAGGAGAATGGCGCGAACCGGGGAAGCAGAGCTTGCAGTGAGCCGAGATCACGCCACTGCACTCCAGCCTGGGGGACAGAGCAAGACTCTGTCTCAAAAAATAAATAAATAAATAAAAAAGTAAAGTTAGCAATTTTTTTAAGCTTGCTTAAGACATTCTGAGGAACAACAGACACCCAGTTGATGATTTGCTCTTCAACTACTTATATATGTTAGGTAAGTAATCTGATGTCTCTGAACCTTAATTTATCTACTATTAGCTAAGTACAAGGGTTGAACTAGATCGATGTTTCCTAATCTTCTACCATTCATATGCCTTCAAGATAGCTACCACATCTGAGAACCATATGACACATTTAATTAACAAGCATTTAAAAATAATTTTAGCTTTATCCTTGTAGCTATGGAACTACAAGTTTGATGAGATCATTCTTTTTTCTATATACATTAAAATGTTACCTATTAAAATTAAAAACCTTAATCCATGTACCATCTATGACCATCTCACGATTATAGCACACCTTTATACATATCATAGACTTTATGATTACACCTAACATACAGTGATCGCTAAAACTCACAGTTTGTCTCGCTTTCACTGTCTGCTTGATCATGTTCCTGCCAGATCTTCTTCCACTTTTTACAGCACACATGGTGTATTACTATTAAACAGATCCCTTAGCTAATCTCTCTCACGAACCCCTTCAAATTATACATAACAGTGGAAATTCATTTCATTCTAGTTCCTGTAAGTTTTCTAGCGGAGGCATATGTCAATAAAGAAATAATTTCCTAAGGCAGGATTTCTACCTGAATTCTCAATTGCTTTATGCCGCTTATTTGGAAGGGCCACAGATACATCCTCGTAATCAGGGTCGGTTTCTTTGATGGTTCGCTTGATTCCAGACATGATGACATTCAGTTCTTCACTGTGAAGCAATGATAAATTAATAATTTTTAATTATTCAGTTAAATAGTTGGGTTGTAGTAACACTGCATACCAGTACTTACAAATATATGTGTACAAACAAAATAAATAAATAAATATTACATTAATACTGGTACTTGCAAGTCTGTGGGTATGTGTATATACACACATATACATATTTCTTTTAAGGCCAAAAGCCTAAGTTTAAAAGTTTCCACCAAAAAAAAAAAAGAAATCATAATCATCTGTTAACAAGCATGGGTTTCCCTTTCAAGAGAAAAATCCTTGAACAAAGTAGCACATTGTTCAGACTTTTCAAAAGGAGCCTGGCTTTCATGGAAGAGCCCTCATAAGGAAAGGAAAGGAACCAGACTTTGATGAAAACATGGTTAGCCCACACAGTGTCTTAGAATTCACTAAGCATTCAGCATATTAGAAAATATAAGCAACATAGTTAAAGGCTCAATAAATAATTGATTATACAGATCCTTTCTCTGGTACTTAGCAGGTATCACTATTACTGATCATTATTACAATAAACACAAATCTATAGACTTATATTAAACTAATTAACAAGTCTGCAATACGGTAAACAAGCCCCACATACACAAGTCTTTGAATAAAACAATCCCATTAAAAAAAAAATCCCGGCCGGGCACGGTGGCTCACGCCTGTAATCCCAGCACTTTGGGAGGCCGAGGTGGGCGGATCACGAGGTCAGGAGATTGAGACCATCCTGGATAACACGGTGAAAACCCGTCTCTACTAAAAATACAAAAAAAAAAGACGGGCATGGTGGCAGGCACCTGTAGTCCCAGCTACTCGGGAGATTGAGGCAGGAAAATGGCGTGAACCCAGGAGGCAGAGCTTGCAGTGAGCTGAGATCGCGCCACTGCACTCCAGCCTGGGAGACAGAGCGAGACTCCATCTCAAAAAAAAAAAAAAAATCCCATAAATCCTCTAGACCTTTACTGTCTCAGTACATTAACCACTAGCCTTATGTGGCTGTTTAAATTAAAATTTAAAAAAATTTAAAATTATGGGCCGGGTGTGGTCGCTCATGCCTGTAATCCCAGCACTTTGGGAAGCAAAGGTGGATGGATCACGAGGTCAGGAGTTCGAGACCAGCCTGGCCAGTATGGTGAAACCCCATCTCTACTAAAACTACAAAAATTAGCTGGGCATAATGGTGGGCACCTGCAGTCCCAGCTACTCAGGAGCTGAGGCAGGAGAATTGCTTGAACCCGGGAGGCAGCGGTTGCAGTGAGCCGAGATCGTGCCACTGCACGCCAGTGTGGGCGACAGAGCAATACTCCGTCTCAAAAAAATTAGTGCTCGAGAGTCACCGTAGCTAGTAGCAACTACATTGTTCAGTGTAGATACGAAACATTCACATCACTGCACGAGTTTATTGGACAGTGCTCCTCTTCCAAAGTGCTTCATTAAGCAATGATACATATTTCATGAGTCAGTTTCAGAAATATCATCCAGACCAGTGCTGTCCAATAAAAATATAACATGAGCCACGTACAGAATTTAAATTTTCTAGCTGCCAGGTTTCTTATTGATTGATTGATTGATTGAGACGGAGTCTCACTCTATTGCCCAGGCTGGAGTGCAGTGGTGCAATCTCGGCTCACTGCAGCCTCCGCCTCCCGGGTTCAAGCAATTCTCCTGCCTCAGCCTCCTGAGTAGCTAAGATTACAGGCATGCACCACCACACCCAGCTCATTTCTGTAATTTCTGTATAGACAAGGTTTCACCTTGTTGGCCAGGCTAGTCTCAAACTCCTGACCTCATGATCCACCTGCCTTGGCCTCCCAAAGTTCTGGGATTACAGGTGTGAGCCACCGTGCCCAGCCACAGCCACGTTTGAAAAAGGGAAGTGAAATGGGTGAAACCAATTTTAACAATATATTTTACCTAACCAATATATCTAAAATATTATCACCCCAACAATGTAATTGATATAAATAAATCAGCAATTAGATTTTACGTTATATTTTTACCAAGTTTTTAAAATCTGGTGTGTATTTTACACTTACAGGACATCTTAATTTGTATTAGCGGCCTGTACAGGCCATGTACAGGCAAGGTGGCTCACGCCTGTAATCCCAGCACATTAGGAGGCTGAGGCAGGCAGATCATTAGAGGTCAGGGGTTCCAGACCAGCCTGGCCAACATGGTGAAACCCCGTCTCCACTAAAAATACAAAAATTAGCTGGGCCTGGTGGCGGGCTCCTGTAATCCCAGCTACTTGTGAGGCTAAGGCAGGAGAATCACTTGAATCCAGGAGGCAGAGGTTGCAGCGAGCCAAGATCACACCACTGCACTCCGGCCTGGGCAACAAGAGCAAAACTCTCTCGAAAAAAAAAAAAAATTTGTATTAGTATTAGCCACAATCCTAAGGCTCAATAACTACTTGTGGCTGGTGGCTCCCTTTCTTCGCAGCCTGGATCTATTGATTAAGATAAGGAAACAGGTCCAGGGTGGTTAGATTATCCCTTACAGTGTTAATCTATGAAAGAGACCAGAATAGCTCTCTGATTTCCAAATCTCTGTTCTACCACTAAGGAAGATTCCCTAGCCAGAGGCAGAATTACTGAGGTAACAACATGTTTTAAAATAAAATTAGGCTGGCTGCGGTAACTCACGCCTGTAATCCCACCACTCTAGGAGGCTCAGGCAGGTGGATCACCTGAGGTCAGGAGTTCAAGACCAGGCTGGCCAACATGGTGAAACCTCGTCTCTACTAAAAATACAAAAAAATTAGCTGGGCATGGTGGCTCATGCCAGTAATCCCAGCTACTCAGGACGCTGAGGCATGAGAATCGCTTGAACCCAGAAGGCAGGTTGCAGTGAGCCGAGATTGTACCACTGCACTCCAGCCTGGGAGACAGGGTGAGACTCTGTCTCAAAAAATAAAATAAAATAAAATAAAATAAAATAAAATAAAAGAACATAAAATGCTAACTCAAAAATACTCATTTTGTATTCACTCAAAGTTAAAACAAAAATAACAATTTAGGCCGGGTGCAGTGGCTCATGCCTGTAATCCCAGCACTTTGGGAGGGCAAGGTAGGCGGATCATGAGGTCAGGAGTTCGAGACCAGCCTAGCCAACATGGTGAAAATCCATCTCTACTAAAAATACAAAAATTAGCCAGACGTGGTCATGTGAGCCTGTAATCCCAGCTACTCAGGAGGCTGAGGCAGGAGAATCGCTTGAACCCGGGAAATGGAGGCTGCAGTGAGCCGAGATCATGCCATTGCACTCCAGCCTGGGTGACAAAGCAAGACTCCATCTCAAAAAACAAAGAAAAAAAAAAAACACACTATTTAAAAGTCCCTCAGCTCTTAGTCCAGTTCTTTCACTCATCTCAGAAACAGACTCACTTGACTCAGCTAGGAGAGTGGCTCATTATGTAATGTTACATATGGAAGTCCCACATCTGAGAGAACACTTTTCCTACAGCTGTTATCTGCTGTTATATCACTAATCTTAAAAATATTCTAAAACCCCCAGAATTTATAAACATCATGAATCAAGCCATTTAATGTTTGTTCATATTCATCCGTTACCTGCTACAATTCAGAATATAAATGACTATTTTTGGACAGGCCCAGAACCCAACTATTATGTTTTATGTTTAAAGCTTTTTTTTTTTTTTTTTTGAGACAGAGTCTCGCTGTCTCCCAGGCTGGAGTGCAGTGGCGCGATCTCAGCTCACTGCAAGCTCCACCTCCCGGGTTCACGCCATTCTCCTGCCTCAGCCTCCCGAGTAGCTGGGACTACAGGTGCCCTCCACCACGCCCGGCTGATTTTTTTTTTGTATTTTTGTGGAGACGGGGTTTTACTGTGTTAGCCAGGATGGTCTCAATCTCCTGACCTCGTGATCCGCCCGCCTTGGCCTCCCAAAGTGCTGGGATTACAGGCATGAGCCACTGCGCCCAGCTGTTTAAAGCTTTTAAAAAGTAAAAGTAAGGTCTTGTTTCTTCAGCCTTCTCCATTTGGTCTGCAATTAATTTTAGACAGCCTCAGAAAATCTTGGGCTGTTACATAAAAAAGACAACTTTAAAAAAAAATAAACTTAATTTATTCTTCCTTAATGCAGATAGGAATCTAAAAACACCTAATTACACATGAACCTAGAATCAGAGGTGGATATAGCCCAGCAGATACCTAAACTTGTCCTTGTACCATACTACTTCCTCATCAGGCACCTGTCTTCCACAGTTTGCCAAGAGTCATAGGAGATTATCTACAAAGATGAGTCCCCCTCCAGCATCATCCTCACTTATCCATTCTACAGACTTCATAATCTGTATATTCTTATCCTACCTTCCAAGTAATCTCAAGAATAACGGTGGCTCCCACTAAAATGGCTGGGGATCCTTGAAGAAAAGTTATTTTTATTTTATCCTCACTTAAGGGACTTAAAAAAAAAACCCTCTCTTTGACTTTTGGTGTAAAACTGGAAGACTAGGAAGAGAAAAGAGAGGAATTTGGGGAGGGGGTGGGCAGAAAGGAAGAAACCAACAATGAGTTCATTTGTGCTGCCAAGATAATTCATTTTTTATGCAGCCTTTAGAATAAAGCTTTTCTTGTTGCATGTGGGCATATATTTGAGCTTCTTATAAACACATTTAAGAGGATTAAGCTCTATACTGGGCATTTAAAAATAATCCAGGTCTGCTTCTGTCTCACAAGAATAATAATGTGTAATGTGCACATGTCACATGCAAGTAACTGCTAGCTAGCTAAGACTAGGCACATCTGCTGAGGCATGCTCTCATGATGATATAATAAATAAGTGAACAGAATGTGTAACAAATGACCAATGATAACATTACCTTCTGGACTCTTCTTGTCTGACTTGTAGATTTTATGAAAAGGAAACATGAGCAGTTGTTAGATATGGTCAATTCAACTTGGAAACAAAATGTCCAGCTAATCCTCTATAGCTTCTGAATCAGCTGAAATTGAAAATACTGAGATGGTACTAGGAACTGCTAGGAAAAAAATCTGTTATCATATACAATTTGACTGTGAGAAAGAATTTTCTCTATACTCTGAGACAAAAACTGAATACGGAAATAAATGTAACGCTGCGACTAAAATAAGACTACTGTCATCCATTTCTCCAATTTAAACTTTTTATCTCGGGTCAGGCATGGTGGCTCACGCCTGTAATCCCAGCACTTTGGGAGGCCGAGGTGGGCGGATCACAAGGTCAGGAGATGAAGACCATCCTGGCTAACATGGGGAAACCCCGTCTCTACTAAAAAAAATACAAAAAATTAGCCGGGCGTGGTGGCGGGCACCTGTAGTCCTAGCTACTCCGGAGGCTAAGGCAGGAGAATGGCGTGAACCCGGAAGGTGGAGCTTGCAGTGAGCCGAGATCACGCCACTGCACTCCAGCCTGGGTGACAGAGCAAGACTCTGTCTCAAAAAAAAAAAAAAAAAAAATTTATCTCATTAAAACAGCCTCATTATAAAAAGTAAATGTGGGCAAGATGCAGAGGCTCAGGCCTGTAATCTCAGCACTTTGGGAGGCCAAGGCAGGTGGATCACTTGAGGTTAGGAGCTTGAAACCCACCTGGCCAACATGGTGAAACCCCATCTCTACTAAAAACACAAAAATTAGCCGGCCATGGTAGTGCATGCCTATAGTCCCAGCTACTCGGGAGGCTGAGGCACGAGAATCTCCTGAACCTGTGAGGAGGCAGAGGTTGCAGTGAGCCGAGATCATGCCACTGCACACCAGCCTGGGTGACAGAAACTTTATCTCAAAAAAAGAGTAAATGCTTTCAATTTAAATATAGAAAATAAATGATTTTTTCCATAAGTAACACAAGAAAACAAAGCTTTATAGAAGTAAATGCCATCAATTAAAACATACCATATCCATTCAAATAACATAACCAAGTCTGAGTTTTTGACAAAGGTTAGAAACCAAAAAGAAAACCAAACTTTTTTTTTTTGAGACAGAGTCTCACTTTTGTCGCCCAGGCTGGACTGCAATGGCATGATCTTGGCTCACTGCAACCTCTGCCTCCTGGGTTCAAGCTATTCTCCTGCCTCAACTGTCTGAGTAGCTGGGATTACTGGTGTGTGCCACCACTCTCAGCTCATTTTTTTATTTTTAGAAGAGACGGGATTTCACTATGTTGGCCAGGCTGGTCTCGAATCTCTGACCTTGTGATCCGCCCACCTCGGCCTCCCAAAATGCTGGGATTACAAGTGTGAGCCACCGCGCCTGGCCAAAAAAAATTTTTTTAGAGACAGAGTCTTACTCTGCCATCCAGACTGGAGTACAGTGGCACAAGCATAGCTCACTGCAACCTTGGAATCCTGGGCTCAAGTGATCCTCCTGCCTCAGCCTTCCGAGTAGATGGGACTACAGGTGTGTGCCCATACCTGCTAATCTTTTTATTTTTTAAAGAGACGGGGGTCTCACTATGTTGCCCAGAGTGGTCTTGAACTCCTGGCCTCAAGAGATCCTCTGGCCTTGGCCTTCCAAAGTGCTGAGATTTGTAAGCCACCACCCCTGGCCCCAAACAAAACATTTAATGTTTTATACTTTAAAATAAAACCCAAGAGAAAAATAATTTTGAAAAGAAAATTGTATAATAAAAACCATAAAGATGATGTAATGTACAGTCACTGGAAATTCGAGGTCTTAGCTCTCGAGTCAGGGAAGATGGAGAACCCCAGAAGCCAGTCCTAGAACTCTACCATTGTGTTTTGCAAACACATCATATAAGATGTGGCCAACAACATGGTGAAACCCCATCTCTACTAAAAATACAAAAATTAGCTGGATGTGGTGGCGAGTGCCTGTAGTCCCAGCTACTCGGGAGGCTGAGTCAGGAGAACTGCTTGAACCCAGGAGGCAGAGGTTGCAGTGAGCCGAGATCGTGCCACTGCACTCCAGCCTGGTGACAGAGCAAGACTCCGTATCAAAAAAAAAAAAAAAAAAAAGTGGCCAATTCTTGAGGAGAAAGGAGTAAAATCTGATAAATTAGACACTTGAAAGATTTGCCATATATCATATGAGGTATCATCTCAATAATTCTATGTGCCTCACATCATTTGAATATCAGAACCACTGAACTTGGGGCTCTCACTCAAGACTTCCCATCTGGTTTAAAGTTGGGGAGGGGGACGCCGGGCATGCTGGCTGCTCACGCCTATAATCTCAGCACTTTGGGAGGCCAAGGCGGGTGGATCACGAGGTCAGGAGTTCGAGACCGGCCTCATCAACACGGTGAAACCCCGTCTCTACCAAAAATACAAAAAATTAGCTGGGCATGGTGGCATGCACTGTTATCCCAGCTACTCAGGGCAGGAGAATTGCTTGAACCCGGGAGGCAGAGGTTGCAGTGATCCGAGATTGCGCCACTGCACTCCAGCCTGGGTGACAGAGTGAGACTTCGTCTCAAAAAAAAAAAAAAAAAAAAAAATAGGTGGGGAAGGGGAGTAGTACAATCATTTTCTATCTGCTTCCATACAGACAGGCATTCCTAAGATGCTGATAATGATTTCATAGTTCCTGGCCCTGTCCTTTCTACAGTCTTAAAAGAAAATACATTCTCTTTTGTAAACAAGACAACCAGTGTTCCTTTATTAAATATCTGAATAAGACTCTACAATCCATTTTCCATTAGCCAATGACATTTCAAAAATGTCTCAAAAGTCCAAACCAGAGGAATGGACGAACAAATCGTGGTATACTCAATGAACTCTTGATGCAGGCAACAACAGAAATGAACCTCAAAATCATTATGGCAAGCCAAAGAAGGCAAACACAAGAGTACAAGCTAAATTATCCCACTTAAGTTCTAGAAGAGACAAATTAATCTATAGTGAAAGAAATGAGAATCATAGTTGGAGGTGCTGGTGTTAGGGACTGACTGGGAAGAGGAATGAAGACTTTTTTCTTAGAAATATTTTATTCAGGTTGAGTATTCCTTACCCAAGATGCCTGGGACCAGAACTGTTTCAGATTTCATACTGTTTTGGATTTTGGAATATTTGCATATACATAGTAAGATATCTTTGGGAAGGAACCCAAATCTAAACATGAAATTCATTTACGCTTCATAAATATCTTACACACAGAGCCTGAAGGTAATTTTATACAACATTTTAAATAATTCAAAACATAACACAAAGTTTTGACTATGTTTTAACTGACCAGTCACAAGGTCAGGTGTGAAATTTTCCACTGTGGCATCATGTTGGTGCTTAAGAAGTTTCAGATTTTGGAGCATTTAAGATTCAGATTTTTGGATTACCAATGCTCCACCTAACTTTTTTTTTTTTGAGACAGAGTTTCGCTCTTGTTGTCCAGGCTGGAGTGCAATGGCACAATCTCAGCTCGCGGCAACCTCCGCCTCCCGGGTTCAAGCGATTCTCCTGCCTCAGCCTCCTGGGTAGCTGGGATTACAAGTATGCGCCACCGCGCCGGGCTAATTTTGTATTTTTAGTAGAGACGGGGTTTCTCCATGTTGGTCATGCTGGTCTCGAACTCCCGATCTCAGGTGATCTGCCCGTCTTGGCCTCCCACAGTGCTCCACTAATCTTAATAAGAGTGTAGGTTAGATGGGTATGTATATCCAATTGCAAAAACACCCAACTGTACACGCAAAATCTGTATTTCACTGTCTGTAAACTATACCTCACTTTAGAAAAGGACAATAAGAATATTTTTCTGATCATGTCATCCCCTGCTTGAATCCTTCAAATAGCTTTTCATAACATTTAGAACAAATTTCCATTCCTTAACATGACCTAAGAGATGTGAACTGCGCCCTGTCTCCCTCTCCATCCTTAATCTTTAAGATCCAGACAGGTTGGTTTTCTATCCCTCAAATATACTCCCAATTTTCCTTTGAGCTTTTGGAATCATGGCTCCTTCTATCTGGAATGCTCTTTTCTTAGGTTAGCTTAATCAGATTCCAGCTGAAATCTCCCCCTTATCAGGGGCCTTCCTTGACCGTGCCCCATCCAACACAGCTCTCCCTACCTTCTCCCTCCAAAGTTCCTGGAAGTGCTCAATATTACTATCTGGAAAAATAAATGAAGGATTTTTTTTTTTTTTTTGAAACAGTCTTGCTCTGTCACCCAGGATGGAGTGCAGTGGTGCGATCTTGGCTCACTACAAGCTCCGCCTCCCGGGTCAGGCCATTCTCCTGCCTCAGCCTCCCGAGTAGCTGGGACTACAGGCGCCCGCCACCATGCCTGGCTAATTTTTTTGCATTTTTACTAAAGATGGAGTTCCACCATGTTAGCCAGGATGGTCTCGATCTCCTCAACTCGTGATCTGCCTGCCCCGGCCTCCCAAAGTGCTGGGATTAGAGGCGTGAGCCACTGCGCCCAGCCATAAATGAAGGATTAACTAAAATATCTGCCAAAATATAAATGACCACAGGGAACATAACTACTACCTTACATTAGTTTTCATCATTAATCTATTTGTTGATATTGCTACATCTTTAAAGGCTCTTTAGCTAAATGTTTAAAAGAATGTACAAAGTTATTATACACAGACACATGCAAACAAAA